>NC_000010.11:109120368-110370368 GCF_000001405.40 Homo sapiens
TTTCATAAAGCGTAGTTCCCCTGCACGTGCTCTCTTGCCTGCTGCCATGTAAGACATGACTTTGTTCCTCCTTTGCTTTTTGCCACTATTGTGAGGCCTCCCCAGCCATGTGGAACTGTGAGTCCATTACACCTCTTTTTCTTTATAAATTACTCAGTCTTGGGTATATCTTTATTAGCAGCATGAGAATGGACTAATGCACCTGGCCTTGTGGATATATGCTGCAGCATATGGAGAGTGACCATATACTTTATCATAGAAACCTAGGCATGGTTAAGAGTACAGAGAGTATATTAATTCCATAAGCAATGGATGCAAACTAGGACTAGCCAGAGACAGTTTATCTGGCTAGTGGATGCAGGGTATGAAATTAAGGTTTCATGCGGCAGAAATTCATTTAAAAAATAAGTATGAAATCCTTCTTTGTTATTCTCCCTTTGAAACTATTTGTAGTAGGCTGAATAATGGCTCCCAAAAATATCAGGTCCTAATCCTTGGAACATGTAAATATTACCTTACATGACAAAGGTGATTTTGTAGATATGATTAAATTAAGGATTTTGAGATGGATGGATTATTCTGGATTATTTAGGTGGGTCCTAAATTCAATAACATGTATCCTTATACAAGTGAAACTTGACTACATACAGAGAAGACAATGTGCAGATGGAGTAGAGATAATTTGAAGATACTGGCCATGAATATTGGAGTTATGTAGTCATAAACCAAGGAATTCTGGTAGCCATCAGTGCTAAAGGAGGCAAGGAACAGATTCTCCAGAAGGAGTGCAATCCTGCCGATTTTGGTCCAGTGATAGTGATTTGACAATTCTGATCTCCAGAACTGTAAAAAAATAAATTTTAATTATTGTAAGCCACCAAACGTCTGGTACTTTGTTACAGCAGGTACAGGAAACTACTACACTAGTTTAATTCTTTTTTCTTTAGTAATGATTTCTGAAAATAAAATATTTTTTTAAACTTTTAACAAATAAGCAATGCAAAAGCGTACCAAAAAAATGAGTTAAAAGAAATCACTGTAAAGTTCATATCCCGAGGAGGGGATAAAAAGGCACTAGTGTTTGCTGAACATCATTTCTACTGTCTTTCTACTTATTAAGGATAAATACATAAATAGAAACAAATATATATAAATAGAATATAAACCTAATTCAATGAAATCATAATATGTACAATATTTTTTAAAGAATTTAAATTCGCTTTTGCATAACAAAATAAATGAATATTTTAAAAAAACTGTTGAATTTCAAATAAACCATTCTTTATTAAAAGGAAGTTGAGCCTTCCTTCCTTCCTCCCTCCCTTCCTCCATCCTTCCTTCTCTCTTTCTCTCTCTCTTTTTCTTTCTTTCTTTCTGAGATGGGATCTCACTATATTGCCCGGGCTGGTTTCAAACTCCAGGGCTCAAGTGGTCCTCCCACCTCAGCCTCCCAAACTTCTAAGATTATAGGCATGAGCTACCACATCCAGTCAGAAGTTGAGTTTCCATTCCCAAACTCTCCTGCCTCTAAAAGATTATATACCCTAATCCTTTTCCTCATAACCTAAGTTCAATGTCAGTTTACCTTTGGTTAAACAGAAGGTTGGCCTTCAAGTGAAATAGGACAGTTAATGTGGTCGTGAGGCTGAAGGAACACAAAAGATACCACTTCTGACAAATACATCCCTATGGTCCAAGTATGGGATCAGTAATTTCTACCTTCAGACACTGGTTTGGGGAAATGCCGCTGATTAAATGCAGAAATAACACTTGAAACGTTGATGGTGCAGTGAGAAGTGATTGATAAAGACAGGAGACCAAGGCCTTTCATCCAGACTGGCTACTATTTGTTATTTATGACTTTTTAATCCAGGTTGCTCTGCCTTCACTTAGGGATTGTGTGAAGATCAAATGGGAGAGATTATCTAAAATCTTCCAAAACGATAACTCTAAGGTATGGTTATATCAGTAGCCCATGCAGCCATTCTGCATTTAGAACCTTTACCCAGGAGCAAAGAACAAACAGAAAGTTACAGTGGAATGAGTTATATGTCTATGACCTTGACTCAGTTGCTTAAACTTCCTGAGTCTCAATTTCCACATCCTTAGAATGGGAAAAATAATAACACTCGACTCATAGGTTAGCATGAGAACTAAATAATGCATTCTATAAAACAATTATAATAAAGATTCTAGGTCATCATGAGCATTTTATAAATGACAGCTAACAAAACCAAACAAAACAAAATTTTCAGGAAGAGAGTTTGTCAGAAAAAGTGCAGGAAAGCACTCTCTGGGATAGACAGGCCTAAATAGCATATGGTAATGGAGACCCAAGGCCATGGCAGCCCTAGAATAGCATAATGGCAGTGCAGAATGAAAGCAGGCAGAGAAAGCCCCACTCTTCATGTCAGCTTTTTACCTTACCCAGCTCTGCTAATCATGGTTTATATTTAACACTAGCAAATGCAGACTCTGCAAAACACTGTATCAGATAGAGCAGAAGCATGGTGGCAAAGAATACAAGCCTTGAATTCAACCATTGGCTCTATCATCAACAGGATGTGTGATCATGGGCAAGTTACTTAACTTCTGTTTCTTCATCTGTCAAATGGGAATAATAATTCACTTCATAGAGAATGTGAGAGGATTGTGCCCCACAGGACCTGTTATAAAAAATAGATACTTTAGAAATTGAAGCTACTTTTGTGACTAATTTTATCAGAAACCATCTTTTAGGAGGTTAAAGCATAGCTAAAGGAACAAGAGTAATCAAAATGAAATAAATGAGCAACAACAAAACATGGGAAACTATTAAGAGCTAAAGTCAGGGATTTCCTTCATTAATATGCATTAACTGGCCGGGTGCGGTGGCTCACGCCTACAATCCCAGCACTTTGGGAGGCCGAGGCGGGCGGATCACGAGGTCAGGAGATCGAGACCATCCTGGCTAACACAGTGAAATCCCATCTCTACTGAAAAAAATATATATATACAAAAATTTAGCTGGGCGTGGTTGCAGGCACCTATAGTCCCAGCTACTCGGAAGGCTGAGGCAGGAGAATGGCCTGAACCCGGGAGGTGGAGCTTGCAGTGAGCCGAGATCGTGCCACTGCACTCCAGCCTGGGTGACAGACCGAAACTCTGTCTCAAAAAAAAAAAAAAAATGCATTAACTATGCATTGTAGTAGTCACTGTGTATCACTATATGTCAGCTATTGTGCTATCTGCTGCAGAAATAATAGTGAATAGAATAGTGACAGTCCCAGCCCCAAAGCATTTACAATACAGGGGTGCTGTTGACTCAATAGGAGTTCATCATATGGGCATTCCCGCTTCTCCTACTGCTCCCTAAAATAAGCACAAAGAAAGTTTCCTCTACATGTTCACTGCCTGTTTACCTTCCTGCTTCTAGCTAATATAATACAGAGACACTTGCAGAAATTTTTGTTAATATCCAGATCTAAATTTACAGAGTCAAAGGCTGCAGCCCTGGAGCCTGAATTGCATTCATGAATATGTAGTAGTAAGATATTGCTTTACAAATATGACAGCATCTAAGAGTCAATATATATTGTGGTAGTTATTTGGTGTTAGACTAGGCCTGAGAGAAGAGCTTTGAAATAAAGGGAGACTGGGTGAGAAGAAAACCATTATTCACCAAAGACCTACCCTGAGTCAGAGGCCAGGTGCTGTGAAATGCTATAGGTAATTTAATAAACTGGCACAAGGCGCTTGGTTATTTTCCTCCTGTCACAAATGAAGAGCCTGAGGCTCAGAAATGGTAAGTGATTTACCCAAAGCCACAAAGCCAATGAGGGGCAGATGAAAATTTCAAAGTCTCTGCATCTAGTTTATTCCACCTTATCAAAGAGCCTCAGCAGACAGACATCCTGGCACAGGCTCTGTCACTAACTTGTTTTAGCCACTATGGATGAATCATTCATTCCCACTTGGTCCTTGGAAATAAATGAGTGGTTTGGACTAGACGATTTCTGAGTTATTTTCATGTTATCTTTCTTACCTTCTGGCTTGGACTTAAGCATGAATATCAAAGGCAGAGCTGGGAACAACTACAGAAGGATGTGCTACTTGCAAAAGGACATCCTTCTCAGAGTGAGCCTCATACCCAAGGTGCCTGCAGATGACACCCTCCTTTACCCGGGTCATTTTAGTTGTCCTCTAACCTGGGAGTTAATGCCTGGCCCTTGCAGTGGTCTCTATATACTAGAGACCATTCTGATTGCAATTTAAGGCAGTGCCCTGTCACATAAACAGACCCAAGATCAGTAGTTACAAACTGAGACTTAATTAGAAACTTAAAAGGTCATTTAACCTTGTTTAGCTCCAGTCTTCTTGGCTGTAAAATGGGAATGACACCTGTTCTCCTCATTTGGATCTCTTGAACTTTAAATGATAAAATTGAGACATGAAAACACTTTGAAATAGATAAAATGGTCACAGCAGGCAAGTTAGATGTTTGTAACTAGAAAAGAGCATGTGTCCAATATCAGAAAAGGAATGAACATATTTAAATTTATATATATTAAATTTTATCATTTATATTTGATCATATTAACATTCTGTCTATATTTTTTAACACAACTCTAATTTTAAGGATAAAGGCCACATTTTCTGGCAAACTGATTTATATATACACTAGTATTCTTCATTATGATACAGAAACATAAGTCAGAAACACTGGGGGCACTTTCTTATAGAAGCAGATACCTGTGCCATGAAGAAGGCCAACTGACTCCGAATTTCTAGGAGTGAGACCTATAGATTTACGTTTTGGTGTTTTTTTTTTTGTTGTTTTTTGTTTTTTGTTTTTTTTGAGATGGGTTTTCACTCTTGTTGCCTAGGCTGGAGTGCAACAGTGCCATCTCTGCTCACTGCAACCTCTGCCTCCCAGGTTCAAGTGATTCTGCCTCAGCCTCCCAAGTAGCTGGGATCACAGGCACCTGCCACCACACCTGGCTAATTTTTATATTTTCAGTAGAGACGGGTTTCACCATGTTGTCCAGGCTGATCTTGAACTCCTGACCTTATGTGATCCACCCACCTCGGCCTCCCAAAATGCTGGGATTACAGGCATGAGCCATCACGCTGGGACCTAGATCTACATTTTAACTAATTATTTCATCCCCCAACTGATTCACATCTAGGTGGTCTTCAGGACTCTGGATGCAGAGAGTCAGCTAAATGCTTTTGATGGAGTAGATTAACAATGAAATATCTAACCTTGCCTGGGCTTAACCCGGCAGATTATAACGGGTGGGTATCAGGAACTGTGGTAGGGGTGGATGGACATTCCGTGTGTTTCAATACATGGGAGTCACAGTTAATCAAGGTGCCACAGAATCGTGCCTGGGAAAAGCATTTCCATTACTCCATGTCTACTGAACCAAAAGTATTCCAAGAAGTTAAGATTGAACACATGGACTAGAATCAATAATCCTAATGCTCTGAAAACCTCAGACCATCCATCAAGCTATCTCAAAATCATAATGGCTAAAAACGTGACCTCTGGAATAAGAACAGCTGGCACTAAATCCCAATTCTAGTAACAATCAGCTGCATTACTGAGAAAGTTAGCCGCACTCATCTTATCTATAAAATAGGGTTAATATTAGCACCCAGGTTGCATAGTTTATGTAAACACTACATGAGATGAAATATTCTTAATGCAGTGCCTGGCACAGATTGAGGGCTCAATAAATGCCTGTCACCCAGGAAAATGGATCACATGAGTCACATATTTGTTTCCCAGACACATTTTGAAACTTGCCAAGTAAGCAATTCTAATATTTTGGATGAATGTGAAACACACACACACATGCCCATGCTTGAATGGCGACAACATCTGGAAATGGTTGAAGAAACCATGACCCCTAGCTTCCAGTTGGGATAATGCAAAAAATAAAGATGCTCCCAATGAACTCATGATGGTGTCCCTGTCCCCTTCACTGCAACTGAACCAAACATCCTGATCAGGGTTGTCCAATTCTTGATCTATCAAAAGCAAAAAGATTATTCTATATCTTCTGATTTACAATGAAGAGATAAGAGTCATCATCATCAACCACACACTTATTGAGACTCTCACCATGGTCCAGGATGAAGTGTTTCATATTGTAAAAAAAACTTCAGAATTTAATTTACACTGGAATCCTTGTGAGACAGTTACTGCTATTTCCATTGCATAGGTGAAGCACTTAAGATGGCTCAGTCTTTTTCCAGATTGCAAGATCACCTAGAGCGGGAGCTGTGCCTTACCTTCTTCGACCACCCTCTGGGAGTTAGTAAAACCCTTGCAGATGGATAGTACCCAATTAGTACAGATGGTGCTGTGATAACTCTCAGCAGCTGCTCCCACAAGATTATAGCTGTGGCTTTCTATTCCTTACACCAGCAGCTGGAGCAGGCAGCTTCCTTCAGTGGTTAATTCCAGCAACCGTTCTGTGAAGTCCTGAATGTTTCTCTCCTAACATAACACTTTTCAAAAGCTATTAGACATCTCTGAAGCCAGACTGTTCCATATACTTGGTTCCAGAAACTAAGTAAAGCATTGTCCTGTGCAAACCCACTTGTAATGAATGTTGTGTGCAAATGGTCTTTGAATTCACAGGTGCTCTCCTCCCATCCATCAGAAGCCTTCTGTTCCCCAAAGTAGACAGATGCCCATGAGTCCATTTCATAGGTGAGCACTCATGCCATGAAACGTCTTCTCCAACACTCATGAAGTAGGAGAAAAGAAATCCACACATATTTTCATAGCTTCAAAACTCAGATTATCGACTTAGCCACAAACCCAAATATTCCTCAAAATTCCCCAATATTATTCGCAGAGGACTGTACGCAAATCAAATTCAGAAGATACTTTATTGCAACTATAATTTCCTTTAATATCCAAACTAAATTCTAACAGTGACTCTGAGTTTATGCTGGGACTGGGGGAGGAGGCAAGGGAGAGCACTGAGGAAAATTGACCTATGTATTCCTATGTGGTCCAAGGACCATCACGTTGTAAATAAATGGGTGATTTGGGTAAAGTCTAAATTAAATACCACTCTCTATTGGATATGATTGGTGATCATCTCCCCTGCCAAGAAAAAGAGGATACAGGCTTGTGATGTATAAATCCCACCCTCCCCAAGCAAACAGGTAGGATGATTCACAAAGAAAATATGCAGTGTAAGCACATTAATTATGCACTGTTCAAACTCCAGAAAACAACTCTCCCAACTTACCAATGATATATCCCAGGGATACTTAAGATGAAATCTGTGGCTGTGCCAAATAATATCTATAAAAACACCTTTGTTTAGGTTGGAAAACAACCAAGGGTTTTTGTTTTTTGTTTGTTTGTTGTTTGTTTTTCTGTTGTAAATGTCAGAAAATCTATCTAGGATCAGCTTAATCAGAAATATTTTATTTATTTATTTATTGACTTCTGTAACTGATAAATTTGCTTCTGACAGGCTCGGTCCAGAGGCTGAAGTGATATCTAGGGTTTATTATTCTCCATGTCTCAGGCAAGCTGTTTCCAAGTGGTAGCCCCTGAAATCTTAGACTCTTTGTGCTTTGAGTTCAGCAAAGAGGGGCTCTTTCTTCCTAAAATCTCCAAATTGGGCCAATTGAAATAAAGCCTTCATTCCTAAACCAATCACTGAAACTAGAACCGGTGAGTTTTCTGCCCTTCCAAATCACAAGGACTTTGAGTGGGAGAAGGATGTTTCCTCAAAAAAAGTTTACTTGGTGTTACTGGAAGCGTGGATGAAACTTACACAGACAAAACAACAGATTTCATCATAGTTCATAAGTGTGTTTTTTTTCCTTAAGAATATCAATAACTTTTATCATATTCTCAATGTGGTCAAAAACCTCTGAAGTTGTTAACAGCTCATAGAAGTCTGTAGTTCTTTGTACACCATGGAGGTAGTTGTGAGATGGAAGAGACTCTAAACGAAGAGCAAAAAGGCAGAGGTTCTTGCTCCTGTATCTTCCTAACAAACTCTTAAGAATTTCACTTTGCTCATCTATGTTTACAAAAGGCAAAATAATAACACCAACGATTCTACTAAACTTCTACTTTCATAACATTCTTTACATGTGTAATCACTTTTTCAAAGTTGTCTTCCAATTAGACCAAATATGTGAAACAAAAATGTTGGACACATAAGAAAGTTTAGAATTTCTGACTTCCACAAGGGTTGAACTAGTTTACATTCCCACCAACAGTGTAAAAGTGTTCCTATTTCTCCACATCCTCTCCAGCATCTGTTGTTTCCTGACTTTTTAATTATTGCCATTCTAACTGGTGTGAGATGGTATCTCATTGTGGTTTTGATTTGCATTTCTCTGATGGCCAGTGATGGTGAGCATTTTTTCATGTGTTTTTTGGCTGCATAAATGTCTTCTTTTGAGAAGTGTCTGTTCATGTCCTTCGCCCACTTTTTGATGGGGTTGTTTTTTCTTATAAATTTGTTTGAGTTCATTGTAGATTCTGGATATTAGCCCTTTGTCAGATGAGTAGGTTGCAAAAATTTTCTCCTATTTTGTAGGTTGCCTGTTCACTCTGATGGTAGTTTATTTTGCTGTGCAGAAGCTCTTTAGTTTAATTAGATCCCATTTGTCAATTTTGGCTTTTAGCTTGACTTTCTTCAATGGGGATGGCCTTGAATCTATAAATTACCTTGAGCAGTATGGCCATTTTCCTGATATTGATTATTCCTACCCATGAGCATGGAGTGTTCTTCCATTTGTTTGTATCCTCTTTTATTTCATTCAGCAGTGGTTTGTAGTTCTCCTTGAAGAGGTCCTTCACATCCCTTGTAAGTTGGATTCCTAGGTATTTTATTCTCTTTGAAGCAACTGTGAATGGGAGTTCACAGTCAAATTAATACAATAAAACACAGTAAAATTAATTGTAATTATGAATGTATTTGGCCAAATACATTCAAAACACTGTTTCAAATCAATAAAACAATTAGTAAGTTATTTTAAAGACTTTATTGATATATAATTTAAATAACACAAAGTTCGCCCATATAAAGTTTAAAATTCAATTTTTTTACTAAGTTTGCAAAGTTGTGCAAGTATCATCATAATCTAATTTTAGAATATTTTCTTCAACCTGAAAAGAAACCATGTATCCATTAAATTAACAATCAGTCCTCACCCCACCCATCCAGAACTAAGCAACTCCTAATCCACTTCCTGACTGTAAGACTTTGCCTACTCTGGACATTTCATATAATGAATTTAGAGACTGAAGACACAGAAGAACAATAGATAGTCTATATATCTAAAAATAGAACCCTGGCCTACAGCCTGCAGTTACTGGCCCAGGATGTCAACCTATTACCTTCAATAATCCATCTAGAAAATCAGACGACCCAGTGATCCCATTACTGGGTATATACCCAAAGGATTATAAATCATGCTACTATAAAGACACATACACACATATGTTTATTGCAGCACTATTCACAATAGTGGAACCAACCCAAATGTCTATCAATGATAGACTGGATTAAGAAAATGTGGCACATATACACCATGAAATACTATGTAGCCATAAAAAAGGAGGAGTTCATGTCCTTTGCAGGGACATGGATGAAATTGGAAACCATCATTCTCAGCAAACTATCACAAGGACAGAAAACAAAACACTGCATGTTCTCACTCATGGGTGGGAATTGAACAATGAGAACACATGGACACAGGGCAGGGAACATCACACACCAGGGCCTGTCAGGGGGTGGGGGGCTGGGGGAGGAATAGCATTAGGAGACATACCTAATGTAAATGACAAGTTGATGGGTGCAGCAAACCAACATGGCACATGTATACCTGTGTAACAAACCTGCACGTTGTGGACATGTAACCTAGAACTTAAAGTATAATAAAAAGAAAAGAAAAGCAGACAACAAACCCTTAAGAATAGGCCTAAAATTGCTAGGACTTGATTAGTAACTGACAGCTTTCCTAGTTCTTGCCCCTGTTTCCACGTTAGGACCAATCAGAGAAAGCAAAACATGCACCCTAATCAATTGCTTAGGATGAGCTACTTCTACTTAGCCTACCTACAGGTTCCCATGTCAACAACCTCTCATCAGTACATACCTGCCTTCCCCTTTTTTTTCCATTATAAAGCTTTCCACTCTTCTGCCTTAGTCTCTGCTAAATGCAAGTGATGGTGGCTGCTTTCCTTGCTACAACATGCTCTACAACATGTCCCTTTTGTGTCTCTATTCTTTCACATATCAAGTTTTCAAGGATCACTCATGTTATAGCATGTATCAGTGATTCATTCCTTGTCATGGCAGAACAAATCCCATTGTAGTGATATACCACATTTCATTTACCCACTCATCAGTTCATGGATATGTGGGTTATTTCCGTTTTGGGGCTATTATGTATAACACTTCTATGAACATTTGTGTGCAATATTTTTGCGTGGACATATGTTTTCATTCCTCTTGAATATATACCAAAGAGCATAATTTCTGGGTCATATAACAAACATTACATTTGACACCAGCAATATATGACATTTCCAATACCTCTACACTTTTGCCAAAAGTTGTCATTATCTGCCTTTTTAAAATGTTAGTCATCATTGTAGGTGTGAAGTGATATATCACTATGGCTTTTATTTGTATTTCCCTAATAACTAATAATATTTAGCATCATTTCATGTGCTTCATAGTCATTTGTAAATCTTCTATAGAAGTATGTATTTTCAAAACCAATGTCCATTTTTAAATTGAATTAAATATTAAATATCTTTTCATTATTGAGTGATAAATGTTATTTATCTATTCTAGATACAAGTCCTTTATAAGGTATATGATTTGCAAATATTTTCTCACATTCAGTGGACTGTCTTTTTACATCATCAATAAAGATGGAAGAAAAATAATTGGAGGTAAATTCTTTTTTTGTGTTCTATTTGTTTCTACCCATGGGATCAAATTATTGGGGGAAAAAAAAATCTGTGTACTGAAGGCAATATAAGAAAATCTGTACTGAGTTTGATTCCAAAATGGCCAAACAGGAACAGGTCTGGTCTGCAGCTCCCAGTGTGATTGATGTAGAAGACGGGTGATTTCTACATTTCCAACTGAGATACCTGGTTCGTCTCATTGTGACTGGTTGGACAGTGGGTGCAGCCCATGGAGGGTGAGCCGAAGCAGAATGGGGCATTGCCTCACCTGGGTAGTGCAAGGGGTCGGGGGAATTTCCCTTTGCTAGCCAAGGGAAGCCATGACAGACTGTACCTGGAAAAACAGTACACTCCCAACCAAATACTGTGCTTTCCCCATGGTCTTAGCAACTGGCAGACAAAGAGATTCTCTCCTGTGCCTGGATCAGCAGGTTCCACACCCATGGAGCCTTGCTTACCACTAGCACAGCAGTCTGAGATCAACCTGCGAGGCTGCAGCCGGGCTGGGGGACAGGATCCACCATTACTGAGGCTTGAGTAAGTAAACAAAGCACTGGGAAGCTCAAACTGGGTGGACCTCACTGCAGCTCCACAAAGGCTACTGCCTCTACAGACTCCACCTCTGAGGGCAGGGCATAGCTGAACAAAAGGCAGCAGACAACTTCTGCAGACTTAAATGTCCCTAACTGACAGCTCTGAAGAGAGCAGTGGTTTTCCCAGCATGGCGTTTGAGCTCTGAGAATGGAGAGACGTCTTCCTCAAGTGGGTCCCTGAACCCATGTAGCCTAACTGGGAGAAACCTCCCAGTAGGGGCTGACAGACATCTCATACAAGCAGGTGACCCTCTGGTATGAAGCTTCCAGAGAAAGGATCAGGCAGCAATATTTGCTGTTCTGCAATATCTGCTGTTCTGCAGCCTCAGCTGGTGATACCCAGGGAAACAGCATCTGGAGTGGACCTCCAGCCAACTTCAACAGACCTGCAGCTGAGGGACTTGACTGTTAGAAGGAAAACTAACAAACAGAAACAAATAGCATCAACATCAACAGAAAGGACATCTACACGAAAACCCCATCTGTAGGTGACGGACATCAAAGACCAAAGGTAGATAAAACCACAAAAATGGGGAGAAACCAGAGGAGAAAAGCTGAAAATCCTAAAAACCAGAGCGCCTCTTCTCCAAAGGATCACAGCTCCTTGCCTGCAATGGAACAAAGCTGGATGCAGAATGACTTTGACGAGTTGACAGAAGTAGGCTTCAGAAGGTTGGTAATAACAAATTTCTCTGAGCTAAAGGAGAATGTTCTAAACCATCACAAGGAAGCTAAAAACCTTGAAAAAAGATTAGATGAATGGCTAACTAGAATAAACAGTGTAGAGAAGACCTCAAATGAACTGATGGAGCTGAAAACCATGGCACGAGAACTTCATGATGCATGCACAAGCTTCAATAGCCAATTCGTTCAAGTGGAAGAAAAGGGATCAGTGATTAAAGATCAAATGAATGAAATAAAGCAAGAAGACAAGTTTAGAGAAAAAAGAGTAAAAAGAAATGAACAAAGCCTCCAAGAAATATGGCACTATGTGAAAAAACCAAATCTACATCTCATTGGTGTACCTGAAAGTGATGGTGAGAATGGAACCAAGTTGGAAGATACTCTTCAGGATATTATCCAGGAGTACTTCCCCAACCTAGCAAGCAGGCCAACATCCAAATTCAAGAAATACAGAGAACACCACAAAGATACTCCTTGAGAAGAGCAACCCCAAGACACATAGTTGTCAGATACACCAAGGTTGAAAAGAAGGAAAAAATGTTAAGGGCAGCCAGAGAGAAATGTCAGGTTACCCACAATGGGAAGCCCATCAGACTAACAGTGGATCTCTCAGCAGAAACCCTACAAGCCAGAAGAGAGTGGGGGGCCAATATTCAACATTCCTAAAGAAAAGAATATTCAACCCAGAATTTCATATCCAGCCAAACTAAGCTTCATAAGTGAAGGAGAAATAAAATGCTTTACAGACAAGCAAATGCTGAGAGATTTTGTCATCACCAGGCCTGCCTTACGAGAGCTCCTGAAGGAAGCACTAAACATGGAAAGGAACAACCAGTACCAGCCACTGCAAAAACATGCCAAATTGTAAAGACCATAGATGCTATGAATAAACTGCATCAATTAATGGGCAAAATAACCAGCTAACACCATGATGACAGGATCAAATTCACACAAAACAATATTAAAGTTAAAAGCAAATGGGCTAAATGCCCAAATTAAAAAACACAGACTGGCAAATTTGATAAAGGGTCAAGACCCATCAGTGTGCTGTATTCATGAGACCCATCTCACATAAACAGATACAAATAGCCTCAAAACAAAGGGACTGAGGAAGATATACCAAGCAAATGGAAAGCAAAAAAAAGCAGGGGTTGCAGTAAAACAGACTTTCAACCAACAAAGATCAAAAGAGACAAAGAAGGCCATTACAGAATGGTAAAGGGATCAATTCAACAAGAAGAGTTAACTACCCTAAATATATATATGCACGCAATACAGGTGCACCCAGATTCATAAAGCAAGTCCTTAGAGACCTACAAAGAGACTTAGACTCCCACACAATAATAATGTGAGACTTTAACACCCCACTATCAACATTAGACAGATTAGACAGATCAATCAGACAGGTTAACAAGGATATCCAGGACTTGAACTCAACCCTGCAACAAGCAGACCTAAAAGAGATCTACAGAACTCTCCATCCCAAATCAACAGAATATACATTCTTCTCAGCACCACATCACACTTATTCTAAAACTGACTACATAATTGGAAGTAAAGCACTCCTCAGCAAATGTAAAAGAACAAAAATCACAAAAAAACCATCTCTCAGACCAGAGTGCAATCAAATTAGAACTCAAGATTAAGAAACTCACTCAAAACAGCACAACTACATGGAAACTGAACAACTTGCTCCTGAATGACTACTGGGAAAATAACAAAATGAAGGCAGAAATAAAGAAGTTCTGTGAAACCAATGAGAACAAAGACACAACATACCAGAATCTCTGGGACACATTAAAAGCAGTGGGTAGAGGGAAATTTATAGCACTAAATGCCCACAGAGAAAGCAGGAAAGATCTAAAATCAACACCCTAACATCACAATTAAAAGAACTAGAGAAGCAAGAGCAAACAAATTCAAAAGCTAGTAGAAAGCAAGAAATAAGTAAGATCAGAACAGAACTGAAGGAGATAGAGACACAAAAAACCCTTCAAAAAAATCAGTGAAGCCAGGAGCTGGTTTTTTGAAAAGATCAACAAAATTGATAGACCGCTAGAAAGAAAAATAAAGAAGAAAATAGAGAAGAATCAAATAGATGCAATAAAAAATGATAAAGGGGATATCACCACCAATCCCACAGAAATACAAACTACCATCAGAGAATACTATAAACACCTCCACGCAAATAAACTAGAAAATCTGGAAGAAATGGATAAATTCCTGGACACATACATGCTCCCAAGACTAAAACAAGAAGAAGTTGAATCTCTGAATAGACCAATAACAGGCTCTAAAGTTGAGGCAATAATTAATACCCTACCAACCAGAAAAAGTCCAGGACCAGAAGGATTCACAGCTGAATTCTACCAGTAGTACAAAGAAGAGCTATCATTCCTTCTGAAACTATTCCAATCAGTAGCAAAAGAAGGAATTCTCTCTAACTCATTTTATGAGGCAAACATCATCCTGATACCTAAGCCTGGCAGAAACACACACACAAAAAAGATATTTTTCGACCAATATCCCTGATGAACATCAATGTGAAAATTCTCAATAAAATACTGGCAAACCGAATCCAGCAGCATATCAGAAAGCTTATCCTCCACGATCAAGTCAGCTTCATCCCTGGGATGCAAGGCTAGTTCAACATATGCAAATCAATAAATGTAATCCATCATAAAAACAGAACCAACAACAAAAACCACATGATTATCTCAATAGATGCAGAAAAGGCCTTCAATAAAATTCAACACCCCTTCATGCTAAAAACTCTCAATGAACTAGGTATTGATGGAACATATCTCAAAATAATAAGAGCTATTTATGACAAACCCACAGCCAATATCATATTGAATGGGCAAAAACGGGAAGCATTCCCTATGAAAACGGCCACAAAAGAAGGATGCCCTCTCTCACCACTCCTATTCCACATAGTGTTGGAAGTTCTGGCCAAGGCATTCAGGCAGGAGAAAGAAATAAGAGGTATTCAATTAAGAAATGAGGAAGTCAAATTGTCCCTGTTTGCAGATGAGATAATTGTATATTTAGAAAACCCCAACATCTCAGCCCACAATCTCCATAAGCTGATAAGCAACTTCAGCAGTCTCAGGATACAAAATCAATGTGCAAAAATCACAAGCATTCCTATACACCATTAACAGATAAACAGAGAGCCAAATCATGAGTGAACTCCCATTCACAATTGCTACAAAGAGAATAAAATACCTAGGAATCCAACTTACAAGGGATGTGAAGGACCTCTTCAAAGAGAACTACAAACTACTGCTCAATGAAATAAAAGAGGACACAAACAAATGGAAGAATATTGAATGCTTATGGATAGGAAGAATCATATCGTGAAAATGGCCATACTGCCCAAAGTAATTTATAGATTCAATGCCATCCCCATAAGCTACCAATGACTTTCTTCACAGAATTGGAAAAAACTACTTTAAAGTTCATATGCAACCAAAAAAGAGCCTGCATCGCCAAGTCAATCCTAAGCCAAAAGAACAAAGCTGGAGGCATCATGCTACCTGACTTCAAACTATACTACAAGACTACAGTAACCAAAAGAGCATGGTACTGGTACCAAAATAGAGATATAGACCAATGGAACAGAACAGAGCCCTCAGAAATAACACCACACATCTACAACCATCTGATCTTTGACAAACCTTACAAAAACAAGAAATGGGGAAACGATTCCCTATTTAATAAGTGGTGCTGGGAAAACTAGCTAGCCATATGTAGAAAGCTGAAACTGGATCCCTTCCTTACACCTTATACAAAACATAATTTAAGATGGATCAAAGACTTAAATGTTGTACCTAAAACCACAAAAGCCCTAGAAGAAAACCTAGGCAATACTATTGAGGACATAGGCATGGGCAAGGACTTCATGACTAAAACACCAAAAGCAATGGCAACAAAAGCCAAAATAGACAAATGGGATTTAATTAAACTAAAGAGCTTCTACATGGCAAAAGAAACTACCATCAGAGTGAACCGGTAACCTACAGAATGGGAGAAAATTTTTGCAACGTACCCATCTGATAAAGGACTAATATCCAGAACCTACAAAGAACTTAAACGAATTTACAAGAAAAAAACAACCCCATCAAAAAGTGGGCAAAGGATATGAACAGACACTTCTCAAAAGAAGACATTTATGCAGCAAACAGACACATGAAACAATGCTCATCATCACTGGCCATCAGAGAAATGCAAATCAAAACCATGATGAGATACCATCTCACACCAGTTAGAATGCCGATCATTAAAATGTCAGGAAACAACAGATGCTGGAGAGGGTGTGGAGAAATAGGAATGCTTTTACACTGTTGGTGGGAGTGCAAATTAGTTCAACCATTGTGAAAGACAGTGTGGCGATTCCTCAAGGATCTAGAACTAGAAAAACCATTTGACACAGTATATACCTTTGGGTATATACCCAAAGGATTATAAATCATGCTACTATAAAGACACATACACATGTACATTTATTGTGGCACTATTCACAATAGCAAAGACTTGGAACCAACTCAAATGTCCATCAATGACAGACTGGATTAAGAAAGTGTGGCACATATACATCATGGAATACTATGCAGCCATAAAAATGTATGAGTTCATGTCCTTTGCAGGGACATGGATGAAGTTGGAAACCATCATTTTCAGCAAACTATCACAAGGACAGAAAACCAAACACTGCGTGTTCTCACTCATGGGTGGGAATTGAACAATGAGAACACACGGACACAGGGCGGGGAACATCACACACCAGGGCCTGTCAGGGGGTGGGGGTTTAGGGGAGGGATAGTATTAGGAGTAATACCTAATGTAAATGACAAGTTGATAGGTGCAGCAAAACAACATGGCACATGTATACCTATGTTAAAAACCTGCATGTTGTGCACACGTACCCTAGAACTTAAAGTATAATAATAAAAAAAAATAAAAAAAGAAAATCTGTATTCTAATTTCAGCTCCTCTATTATCTTAGGGTGGCCCTATATCTTATCTTCCCTGAGCCTCTAGGCATTTTTTTAATCTGTAAAATAGAGAGTCAGATGTGGGTAATCCTCCAAATCTCATCCAGATACAAATTATGCAGGTTTGATATACAGTAAAAGAATGTATACTTCCTAAAATACAGCCATTTTATATATCAATTTTTTAATGTAAAAAAATAATTACTCTAGAGCCATAGATTTTGAAGGCAAATTCTGTTTCCTGGCATTGCACACTTCCCACCTCTTCACTTCCTGTTTATCTTCTTATTCATTCACAAGTTACAGAACATTTTCTCTGTGTGTGTCAGCTCTATAGGAGAAAAAATAAATCAGATTTCTCTATATCTCTGCCTTCTTAATACCTCCAATAAGGGACCCCACTCTGGTGTCCTAGTATCTCCCTTTGTAGAAGTTCAAAACCCAATCATTATAGAGTTAATAAGATAAATTATTTCCTGAGCTTGTATGCCCTATAACATATTATGTGAATGACAGAGACTGCCTGTAGTAAAAAGCTTTGAAAATAGAATTCCAAACATAATAATTTAACCAAATGCACATTGGAGAAAGGCTGTTCTATCTTGTGAAAATTTTCCTATATGGATTAATTTGGCTATGTTTGCTTTTCTGAAAAATTTAGCAGCCCTCAACCACATATTAATGCCACCTGTGCTAAATTGACATCCATGATTTATTACACTTGGATATGGGGGGAAAGTCATTCTTCAGACAATATACTTTATACCACAGGTACTACCACTTTCACCAGCTTGTACATTGGTTCACATCCATTAATAAAACCGTGATCAAATAAAAAGGCCTCAGGCATAAACACAGCAGGAGCAAAGATCTAGGTGGTGGTTTACACTCATTTGTAATATATTTTTTCATCACATTGTAGGATTTTTACCTTTCTCAATAAGTTGATGGTTTTATAATAGAGTTTCCTTTCTGAATCTTTTCCTTTCTACATACAAACCGCTAATTTTCATCACAGGCTCTCATGCAATTTCTTGACAACACTAATTTCTAAATTTTAAAGCTTACTTCAATAATGCTTGGTTAATTATATGGGCATTTGGTGGCAAGCAGAAGACGCAAATTATTAATTGCACAAAATGAAACATTTAAATGCCTATCACTCTTTAAAAAATTCATTTTAAAATGTACATCATATTTATTTTATTCCTATTGTCTAAGAAATAGGCTTAATACTATTGTCCTAGCTATTCAGAATGATAATTAAGTTTTCTGGTCTTATATATCTAGATTCGAACCCCATCATCACCATTTGCAATTTTGAACTTTGGTTCAAGTTAGTTGAATTATTTCCGCCTCAATGTCCTCATCTCTAAAATGGAACGTTAGTAGTACATGCTTCATAAAGCTGTGGTAAAGCATTTTTGAGATATACCTTGAGGTGCTGTATAAAACAGATCTAATACAAATGTCACAAAAGCTTGTACAACACTTAAGAACAGATTGGTATGTGGCATGTTCTTATAAAATTCTACATGAATATTTGTGTTCTTGCTCTCCCCATTACACATGTGAAAGCAAAGGAGATGCCTTTGGTTCTAAATGTAGTCCAAATGAAAGATAGGAGGAATCCTTTAAGATATAATATAATCTTCTATCTGTGTCCTTCTCTCTAATCAGCCTCACACATAAGTAGCTTTCCTTCATTCCTGGAATCTCTTCTCACACCTTTAGCCAACAGTTGCATTGCTTGTTAACCCACCCTCCTTCTTTCCTGTTACTTGACCATCATATTCTGTCTCCTTTCCACTCTGTGGTCCAATCAAATACAGCCTCTATCCATTAACTTTATACATCTCCCTAAATCCTAGATGATATAGTTTTAAAAATCTTTTATCTCACCAAAACTATAAATACTGGACTGAAGAATGAAACTTGGGAGCCACTGCATCATAAATATTACTCTATTTTCCACCTGAGATTAGAGACACATACCCTGCCTCTGAAGCAGTGCATCATTTTTAGAATCGAAGTGGAGAACTTACACAGTCCAGAGAGTAAAAGCAGTGTTGATATACCAGAACCAGATCCTTTTAGGCATAATACTAGTTGTAGCAGAGGTGTGCTGGAGAAAAAAAAACATGTCCAAATCACAAGCAAAATGGATCAAAACACATAATGTTAACATAAACATGCAAATAGTTTAATGTTGTGATGGAGAAATGAAAAATGATTAAAAATTAGAAAATCATCACAATCATAATGTTTATTGTGTCCATAGAAATACATTTCCCCAACTCTAATGTAGAACTCCACTCTAATTTAGAATCCTTTCTTTCTGAAGAAAAGCTCTGATTTTCTTTGGGGTGGGTTACATTTGTTCTTCATAATGTTGAGTATGTCCACAAATTAATAAATACAGTACATAATAATTTAATCTCAAAGTCATGAGAAAAAACATTGAGAGGCCAATTAATCCTACATTTTACTTCTGCAAATGACAACCCCAAAATTATTCCACTATTATCCTCCCTTTTGAATATATCACAGTATGTTGGAAAGGATGATCAGGAGCTTTGAAAGGCTATACTAACACTGGACTTCAGACATCTGCTTCAACAGGTTTAGCAATTACCAGTTTCTGTGCTTCTGTGACTTGATTCTGACCTAAATCCTCCACTTTCTGCCTTTATGAATGTAACCAATGCATAGATAACGTCAATTTCTTTTTCATAAAGATGTACCTGGCATCCCTAGTGCTGACACCTTTTTCTCCATACAGACCGTTCTCCCTACCTGAAGCCACTTGGCATCATTTTTTAATCCTTCCCACAGGAGAGTGCTATAATTGCAATATACCTAAAAGTTTCTGGAAATTTTATTCCCTAATTTTTTGAAATTCTCAATTCTAATGAATGATTTAAAGCCAGATCTATTTTAAATTAAGTGCTTCCTTTGTCATATTCCTTATCAAGAGGGGTGTCTATTTTGTCTGTACAGTTGCTTCTCTCTTTCTCACCAGCTGGATAGAAGTGGTAACCCTGCAGCCACACTATTCTACAGGAAGTAACAATACCATCTGTTACTTAACGGCTTTACTAACACATGCCCCATTCTTGCAGGAATGCTATTCCAGTGAAATAACATAACAAGAAATGACTGGAGTGCCCAGGTGCTGTATTAAAATGTCAACTCTGGCCTTTGAAGATTAGAACAGCGAAAGACAGTCATTATTAATGGCTTCCCCAGGCTTCATGGGTAAAGAGATACATTTATAAATTACTACTTCCAGGATGAAGAGAGGGAGGTGGGTAGTGGTTCAAACCCAAGAGGTGGGAAAGGTTCAAACCCAGTGCTTCAATCTCTTGTCTATTACTAAACTATGCCAGTTTTAAAAGCTGATTAGAATGTAGTTTGGCCAATCATTCATAACTTTTTGCCACATTAATTTATTAATTTGTTAATTTAATATTTTTTCGGGTGCATTAGTAGTTATACATCATCCAAGAGGTTTCAGGAAGAGAAAAGCTAGGCAAGGGTCCAGGTAATGCAGTACACACTTTTTGTCTCCACTGAAAATCTGTTAACATATCTTCCCATCTATGTCCCAGAACAGGTTCAAGGGACAATGATATGGTTTGGATCTGTGTCCCCACACAAATCTTACGTTGAAACGTAATGCCCAATGCTGGAAGTGGGGCCTGGTGGGAAGAGATTGAATCATGGGGGTGGAGTTTTCACGAATGGTTTAGCACCATCCCCATTGGTACTGTATAGTGAATGAGTTCTCATAAGATCTGGTTGTTTAAAACTGTGTATTACCTCCCCCATCTCTCTCTTCCTCCTGCTCCTTGCCATGTGAACTGTCAGCTACGTTTTCAACTTTTGCCATGATTGAAAGTTTCCTGAGGCCTCCCCAGAACATGAGCAGATGCCAGCATCACGTCTTCTGTACAGCCCTTGGAACCCTGTGCCAATTAAACCTATTTTCTTTATAAATTACCCAGTCTAGATTTTTTAGTAGCAGTGTAAGAATGAACTGATACAGAGAATTGGTACTGAAAAGTGGGGCTTTGCTATAAAGATACATAAAAATGTGGAAGCAACTTTGGAACTGGGTAATGAGCAGAGGTTGGACAACTTTGTAGGGCTCAGAAGAAGACATAAAGATGAAGGAAAATTTGGAACATCCTAGAGACCTGTTAAATTGTTGTGACCAAAATGCTGATAGTGATATGGATAGGGAAGGCCAGGCTGGGAAGTCTCAGATGGAAATGTGGAACTTATCGGAAACCAGAGTAAAGGTCACTTTTGCTATGCTTTAGTAAAGAGCCTTCCTGAATTGTGTCCCTACTCTAGGGATCCTGTGGAAATTTGAACTTGAGAGTGATAATTTATGGACTTCAGCAGAAGAAATTTTTAAGCAGCAAAGCATTCAAGATGTAACCTGACTGCCTCTAACAACATATGCTCATATGCGTGAGAAAAGAAATGACATAAAACTAAAACTTATAATTAAAAGGGAAGCACAGTGAAAAAGTTTGAAAAATTTGCAGCCTAGTCGTGGTAGAAAAGAAAAGACCATTTTCAGGGGAGCAATTCAAGTCAGCAGCAGAAATTTGCATAAGTAGAGAGGAGCCAAGGACTGATAGCCAAGACAATAGGGAAAAATATTCTAAGGCATTTCAGAGAACTTGGCAGCAGCCCCTCCCATCACAAGCCTGAAGACCTAGGAAGGAAGAATGGTTTTGTAGGCCAGGCCCAGGGCCCAGCTGCCCTGAACAATGTCCAGACACTGTTCCCTGCATCTCAGCTGCTCCAGCCATGGCTCAAAGGGCCTCAGACACAGCTCTGGCCATTGCTTCAGAGAATGCAAACCATAACCTTTGGCGGCTTCCACATGGTTTTATCCCTGTGGGTGTACAGAGTGCAAGAGTTGAAACTTGGGAGCCTCCACCTAAATTTCAGAGGATGTATGGAAAAGCCTGGATATACAGGCAAAGCCTGCTGCAGGGGCAGAGCTCTCATGGAGAACCTCTACTAGGGCAGTGTGGAGGAAAAATGTGGGCTTGAGGCCCCCACACAGAGTCCCCACTATGGCACCTAGTAGAGCTATGAGAAGAGGTTCACCATACTCCAGACCCACACACTCCAGAATTTTAGATCTACATACTCCATAATTGTAGCTATACCAACAGCTTGGCCTGTGCCCCTAGAAAAGCCACAGGCACTCACCGTCAACCTGTGAGAGCAGCCTTGGGGGATGAACCCTGCAGAGTCACATGGTCAGAGCTGTCCAAGGCTTTGGGAGTCCGCCTCTTGCTCCAGTATGCCCTGGATGTGAGATGTAGAGTCAAGGGAGATTATTTTGGAGCTTTAAGATTTAATTACTGCCCTGCTGAGTTTTGGACTTTCATATGGCCTGTAGCTCCTGTTTTTTGTTCGTTTATTTGTTTTGCTTTTTGTTTGTGTGTGTGTGTGTGTGTGTGTGTGTGTGTGTGTGTGTGTGTTGGCCAATTTCTCCCTTTTGGAATGGGAGTATTTCCCCTGCAAATGCTCCCACTGTCTAAGTTGAGGAGGTCTCAGATAGAAATGAGAAACTTATTGGGAACTGGAGTTAAGGTCACTTTTGCTATGCTTTAGAAAAGAGCCTGGCTGCATTGTGCCCCTGCACTCCTATTGTATCTTGGAAGTAACTAACTTCTTTTTGATTTAACAGGCTCATTGGCAGAAGGGACTAACCTTGTCTCAGACAACACTTTGGACTTCAAACTTCTGAGTTACTGCTGGAATGAGTCAAGACTTTGGGGAACTGTGAGAAGGACATAAGATTTGGGAGGGGTCAGCAGCAGAATGATATGGTTTGGATCTGTGTCCCCACCCAAATCTCATGTAGAAATGTAATCCCCAATTCTGGAGGTGGGGCCAGGTGTGATGTGATTGTGTCATAGGGGTGGAGTTCTCATGAATGGTTTAGCACCATCCCTCCTTGGTACTATATAGTGAAGTGAGTTCATGCAAGGTATAGTTATTTAAAAGTGTGTAGCACCTGCCTCTTCTTTTTCTTCCTCCTGCTCCTGACCATGTGAATTGCCAGCTCTCCCTTCACCTTTTCCATGATAGAAAGCTCCTGAGGCCTCCCCAGAAGACAAGCAGATGACAGCAACATGCTTCCTCTAGAGCCTGCAGAACTGTGAGCCAATTACATATCCTTTCTTTATAAATTACCCACTGTCGGGTATTTTTTTTATAGCAGTGTGAAAACAGACTAGTACTGACAATGCAGATGTTTGTGGCTATGTCAAATACCTCTCCTCCAACACAGTGCTATAGACAGGGGTTAACATCATGGTCCTTGGCATGATGTTTTTGAGGTACAAAAATGAGGTTAAAATAATCCAAGTGATCAATTAATACTTAGAAAATATTGCAACACTAACAGATTCCAGTGCCTAATGAAAGGTATCCAGATTCAATTTCATTATCCATTTACTCCCCGCACATAATAACACATACACAAACACACACACACACACACATACACACACGTGAGAGAGAGAGGAGAGAGAGAGAGAGAGCATGAGCAAGAGAGCGGGAAGCTCCTGGAGGGTAGAGATATCTTCTTTCTTAACTCTTAGTAAAAAAAATAATAAAAACTTTTCACGCACTTGATGAACTTAAATTCCCACAAACATCCTTAATTTGTGTATTTTGTTAAGTTTTCAAAAACATAGCTTTGATTAGTTTACCTTCCCATATGCCCAAATTCTGCTAATATGACTCCACTCCCCACATACTCCTAATTCAAGGGTATTCACAATCTGGCCCAAATCGCCTTAATAGGTTCATCTCTCCTTCTTCTTCCTTACAAATTCCACACTCCTTTCTAACCAGCCTTGCCACTGCTCCTCATCAGTGCCCTGACCTCTATGCATTCTCACATAGCATTTCTTTTCCTGAATCCCCATCCCACTTCAATCTCAACTTTTAGAGACATTCATTTCCCTATGAAGGTTTTCATGATTAACTTCCATTTTCATCCTATATCTTTTTCATCTTATGTCTTCTTTGAGGTCCCGCAGTACTTTACATGTTCTTGATACTGGTATCACATGTGAGCTTTTTAAAATAAGTATTAATCTATTGCCTTGGACCCAAATTAAACTGCAAGAACCCTGAAGGAGGATTATGACTTGAATAACTCTTTATGCCCTGCAATGTCAGTCTCAGTGCCTTATACATCATCAATATGCAACATATACTTTTGAATAAACTGTACCAGAGAAATAAAAAATGAACTCCTAAGCCCACCATCCAATTGACCATACCCGCTCTTGGCCAAGGGGATGCCAGAGAAATCTTGGAAGCTGAGTTCCTGGCCATGACGGGATGGGAGGTTAGATACACCTAGATACATGCCCTCTCTCAGACAACAGCCATTAGGCTTTCTTCCCTAAGGGTTAAACAAAAGCCTTTTGGAAAGACCCCACTACTGATAGCAACCAAGTGCCTGACACTACCCCTCCTTTTTGTGGGTTTCCACAAAACAACTGACGAGCATTCCTTCCTAATAAGAGACCACCAACCTACCAAAGTGGTTCTGGCCAGTATATGGAGGATGTGCAGAGGTTTTTGTGTCCTCTGATTTCAGAGGGCTGAAAATTCTACCCTCATATCAGGCTAACAGCATTGTTTTTTCAACATGGATTCCATGGAGAGGCATAAAGCTCAGTTGGGCATATTCAGGTTTCCCCTCTCATAAATATTCATGAATTATCCTTTGGCTTATTAAATATGTATATTCAACCACCCCACTCAGCATAAATACCTGTTCCCTTTTTATCTCCCTTGAGTATATGTTTCTGATTTCGAGCTAGAGCCTACGTTTCCCAGCCTGTCAGAATGGCCACCCTGCAAGCTGCAACGCTTTATGGAAAATAAAGCTATTCTTTCCAAATTTATGAACCTCCCACTCTTCGATTGACATGTCCAATTTAAAAATAGGAATGAGTGACTGCAATCCATTGTACATGCAAATTATAAAACTATAATGAAATATGTTTTTCATCTACTTTATTGGCAAAGACAAATCATGATCACATAAGTACATGCTGACAAATATCTAAGGAAACATTATTATACTTTGATGGAAGAAATACAAATTAGTACAATTTTTAGTTTGAATAATTTGGCAATATCTGTCAAAATGGCAAATCCATATAGCCTTTGATCTAGCAATTGCTTTTAAAGTGTTTAGCTTACAATTATACTACTACATGTTAAAAGTTAGAAACAATGCAAATGTTCACAGAAGCAGCTGCGGTAAATAAATTATGGTGCATCTACAAGGTCAGGAGATCGAGACCATCCTGGCTAGCATGGTGAAACCCCGTCTCTACTAAAAATACAAAAAAAATTAGCCGGGCATGGTGGCAGGTGCCACCTGAGTACCAGCTACTCAGGAGGCTGAGGCAGGAGAATGGCATGAACCCGGGAGACGGAGCTTGCAGTGAGCCAAGACTGCGCCACTGCACTCCAACCTGGGCGACTGAGCAAGACTCCGTCTCAAAAAATAAAAATAAAAATAAATAAATTATGGTGCATCTTTATCATGGAATGCTATCGCAGGGGCCAAGGTCCTTGGATCCCTGGAAGTCTGCTGAAAAATCACTGACATGAGGCAGATTGATTAATAGGAGAAAAGACATACAAATTTATTTAACGTATATACACAGAAGCCTTCAAAATGAAGACCCAACCCCTGAATTAGGTACTAAAGCTAACATATCATTTTAAGATTACAAAAAGAATGAAGGCCTTGGATCCTGGTAAAACAGGTTATGTTGTGGTGAGAAAATACATTATGTTGACGGGCAATATATGATTACTAGGGAGAATGAATTAACGGGGAACAGAGATTAACTGGCAAATAGTTTGCTTTGGAATTTGAGTATGAGAGACAGCTATTATTTTTTAAAAAGGTTTGTTCAGATGTGGTAACATTCTTGGTCTTATTTTCTGCAATAGATAGTGAGACAATAGGAAGGGGAGGGAAAAAACCATTGTTCTTTTTGGTGGGTCTGGACTTTGGGCAGAAAAAGGAACTTCAAGGAATATCTTAATCGTATTCTTTAGAGAGACTGTTGGGGTGAGGAGGAAGGTCTGGGGACCTTGGGGCTTTTTCAGTTCAACATGTCAAAAAGCCATATTTTGGGGTATCTCTTTCTGAACCACAATACTATACCACAGTTTTTTAAAAAAGAAAGGAAACAAAGAACAAAAATATTGATGAGAATAAATGATGTGTTTGATGAAAGAAGTAAAAAAGAATATGCACAGACTTCTACGTGCATATGTTCCTGGAACAAAGTGAGGGTCAGGCTGCTATTTCTCGTGGCCCAATAACAAGATGCAGATGAACTAGGGAGGAAGAGAGTTTTTATTTCTGCAACTAGTTACAGGGAAAAGGCCTGGAAATTATCCCCAGGCCAACTCAAAATTACAGCGTTTTCCAGAGCTTATATACCTTCTAAGCTATATGTCTACGTGTAAGTGTGCATTAGTCTAAAGACATAAGTGATTAACTTATTTTAATCTATAACTAAGGTCCGAGTCCTAAAGACCTTCTTCTGGAGCCTGAATAAGTTTACTTAATCTAAATGGGTCTAGGTGCTGGGGTAATTACCCGTATCTTTTTTCCTGCTAAATCACAAAGGTTTGGGGAGTTCCTTTAGATCCCAATAAATTTTGTGGAGCCCTGGGGAGTCTCTTCAGACTCCCAATAAATCTTGTTAAATCCTAAAAGGATCCTATTAAGAATGTCTTCATTATCTTTTCATGATTCAAGGCCCAGGAAAAGCCTAGGCAAAACTCTTGGTGGGCTCTTTCTTACATTCCAGCCTTTTATAAGGGCACTGGCTCAATCAGTTTTTAATGTTTAACCTAGCTACTAAGTCAGTGCTGAGACAGTTGTAATGGAGGCCTGTGTTAGTGAGACCTGGCCTGCCACACATACATAAAATATATCTGAAAGGCTGCATAAGAAATCAATAATAATAGTTACCTCTGGAGAGGAACACTGAATTGCTGGAGCAGGGGAATGGAAGGGAGATTGTATTAGTTCGTTCTCACATTGCTATAAAAAACTATGAGACTGGGAAATGTATAAAGAAAAGAGGTTTAATTGGCTTACAGTTCCACAGGCTGTACAGGAAGCATGGCTGAGCCAGCCTCGGGAAACTTACAATCAAGGCAGAAGGTGAAGGAGAAGCAGGCATGTCCTACATGGCTGGAGCAGGAGGAAGAGAGTGCAGGGGAAGGTGCTACACACTTTTGAACAGCCAGATCTTATGAGAACTCACTCAAAATCACAAGAAGAGCAAGGGGGAAATCTGCCCCCCATGATCCAATCACCTCCCACCAGGCCACTCCTCCAACACTGGGGATTACAATTCAACATGAGATTTAGGTGGGGACACAAATCCAAACTATATCAGAGAATTTTTATTTTACATTATTTGATGTCAATTGAATCTTGACCATGAAAGTGTATTATGTATTTAAAAATCATAATTATCATTAATTAAATAATATTTTAAATAAACTTCTCATTCTTTGGATCCCATTTTAGAACAATGCGTTCCCAGTGGGACCCCACGGATGTCTGGAGTGCAACACTCCAAAACGCAAGAAAAGAGTGTGCTGATGAGAATCTGTAAGGGAGTACTCAGATTCCTGGAATGTTCATTGTGGGGATCATCCTCACTAAATTTTTGAAGTTATCAAAAGTTCCTCTTCAGTCACCTTCCATCAGAAGAATCAGCAGAAAGCATTGTGCAAGGAGCTCATATCTGACTGTCAATGAAAAGAGTCAAACTGTAAAATATTTGAAGAGATTTATTCCAAGCCAAATGTGACTGACCATGGCCCGTAACACAGCCCTCAGGAAATCCTAAGAACATGTGCCAAGGTGGTCGGGGTACAGCTTGGTTTTACATATTTTAGGGAGGCATGAGACACCAATTAAATGCATTTAAGAAATACATTGGTTTGGTTCAGAAAGTCGGGACAACTCAAAGTGGGGGCTTCCAGGATATAGGTAAATGTAAACATTTTCTGGTTGACAACTGGTTAAGTTTGTCTAAAGGACTGCGATCCATAGAAAGGAAATGTTCAGGTTAAGATAAAAGACTGTGGAAACCAAGGTTCTTTTGAAGTCTTAAAAGATTGTGGAAACCAAGGTTCTTTTGAAGTCTTACAATGGCTGCCCTTAGAGACAATACATGACAAATGTTTTCTATTCAGATATTTAAAAGGTGCTATATTTAGCACCTATTCAGATATTTAAAAGGTGCTCCCAATCTTTTCTGGATTGGGAGGGTCTAGAAGAAAAAGATCTAGTTGCTTTAATAGAGATTCTTTTCAGATGAATATTTTCCCCCACAAAGAACAGCTTTGCAGGGCCATTTCAAGATAAGGTAGAGAAACATGTCTTGGGGCAAAATATTTTGATTTTCTTTCTTGTCTTGTAATATTATGCCAGAGTCAGATTGGAAAGTAAGTCACAATATATAGGGTTAAATAAAATCCATCTGATGAGAATTTATGGTTTATAGTGCATGACTCTCCAGACTCCTTAGATAGAAACTTGGGCAAGATAAAAAAAAAATCAGAGCTTAGTCCTCATGACAGTTGTTCTGGGTTCCTCAGATCTTAGGCTTTGGCCTCAGTCAGAGATGGCCAGGATTTAACTTAATAATCAGGTGATTGATTCATTTGTCTCTTTTGTATCATAAATAAACAGAATAAGTGGATTTGGGGATTAGAAGTCATAGAGCTCTGTAGGAATGGAAAAGTTGAGGAGCTCACTTCTTTGGCTGGCTGTGAACTTGGTGAAAAATCTGCCCAAATTTTGCCTTCTTTCAGGGAAGCGTCCATCAATCCCAAAGCAGCCTGGACCCTGGTCATCTCAGAGAGTCCTGTAACTGCCCAATGGGTTCATTTTGCCTGCTGCCCAGATAGAGCTGCTTTATCAAGACAGGAATTGCAATAGAGAAAGGGTTTAATTCTTGTAGGGTCAACTGAACAGGAAACCACAGTTTTATTATTACTCAAATCAGTCTCCCAAAAAATTAGGGGACTGGGGTAGGTTAAAGCTAATTTAGTGGGGAAGGGGCCAAGGAGTGGAAAGCACTGATTGATCAGCTTGGAGATGAAATCATAGGGAGTTGAAGCTGTCCTCTTGCAGTGAGCTGTTTCCTGGGTGAAGGCCAGAAGACCAAATGAGCCAGTTTATTGATCTGGGTGGTGCCAGCCAATCCATCAAGTGCAGGATTTGAAAAATATCTCAAGCACTAATCTTGGGTTTTACAATAGTGATGTTATCCCTTGGGGGAATTGGGGAGGTTTAGAATCTTGTGGCCTCTAGCTGAATTACATCTGATCCATAATTTATAATCTTGTGGCTAATACTTAGCTCTACAAAGGCAATCTTTTCCCCAGGCAAGAAGGATGTTTGGTTTGGGAAAGGGCTGTTATCATCTTAGTTTCAAAGTTAAACTATAAACTAAGTTCCTCCCATGGTTAGTTCAGCCTTTGCCCAGGAATAAACAAGGACAGTTTGGAGGTTAGAAGCAAAATGGATTGATTAGGTCAGGTCTCTTTCACTCTCATAATTTACTCACTTATAATTTTTGCAAAGATGGTTTCAGTCTGACTTGAATACATGCATATTACAAGAGTTTTGGTGCAAAACAAAGGCCAAATAATAAGTATAACGGTCAAAAACAAAACGGAAGCAAAACAAAAGGAAAGAAAACAATAATAAACCTTCATCAACCATTGAGCTAATCTCACTTTCTGCTCTTTAATCATGAAAGCTCATTTCTAAGAAGGGATAATGAGGATAATGTCAGTTTCAAAATCATTTGAAATGATACTTTAAAAAATAAAGAAGACAGTTCTTCATTTGAATTGGCCTCAATGAGCTTTAATTACAGCAATGTGAGCAACTAAAAAGAGCTAATTAGGAGGTATATCCTTGTTTAGGTACATTCCCATCAATGTGCTTTCACAAATGGTTTTCATTTGAAAAGAGATAATTTTTTTAAAAAATCTAAATAAGTACTTTATCTTTGTTGATAATGAGTGAACACAAATAGAGGCATTAAATAGCTGAAAAGGTGAAAGTAAATTTATTGAGGTTTTAAAAAATACAAATCAAATTCTTGTCTGTCTTAGTAGGGTCAGTTTGTTGACACTAATCTGAACTCTTATTAAACAGCTGAAAGATGGTCTCCTGCCTGACTCCAACAGGGAGATGTTTACAAGCTCTTCAATTTCTATGTAGCAGGGAGGACTGATTTAGTTACGAAGTCCTAGAAGTTGCAAAGAGCTTGCACCAGATCATATTAACTTTTGGGTGATTACATGTACAAATTCAAATGATCACTTATTTAACTATGCCTGAATTTGAAGCCAGAAGAGCTTGGAGATTTTATCTCTACATTATCCCAAATTTATCACCTTGGAGATATATCTGGTTTAATTTCATTTTTACCCCAAAAGACCTCAGGCATTTTGGAGGAATGAGAATGATCCATTTGATATTCAAATCAGTTAATGAATTACACATATAATATAATACTTGCTTACATTTATTGAACAATATGTGTCTGGCTCTGTACTTTGGGTTTTGCATAGATTTATTGAATCATTTCAACTTTCCTATGAATATGCATTAATTTCATCTATAACAACATCTTGCCCTATCTTCAAACTAACTCTACTAAAAACACTAAAAAGTGGCTCATGGGGATAAACCCAAGCAAATCTGAAGAATGTCAGGCTTTGTGCTTTCTTTCTTCATTCACACACAAAAAGTATCAATTTATCCACTATGCCCTGAATCAGCAATATAGGGTACATCAGTCCTAGGGAGGTGGGGCAAGGGTCATAGTGATTATTTTTTCTGGGTCCCACAGGGTAATTGACTGGACCAGGTTATTATAATTTGCTCTGGGTCCTGGCCTCATACATACAGCTAGACCTGCTTTGCACAGTACTGCACACACACATCCCAGATTATTAAACCTGATTCTTAAAGTGGCCCCTGTGCTGCATACCAACCACTTTGGTTGCCCTTGCTGTGCCCTTCTTGCTTTTTATTTTGAATTGAATTTTTTACTGAGGTAATGGTAGGTTCATGTACAGTTTGTGAAAAACAATACAGAGAGAGCCTACGTGGTCTTTACTCAATGTTATAGGTGGAATTGTGTCCCTCCCACCAAGGAGGGACACAATAGGCTGAAGTCCTAACTACCAGTACCTGGGAACAGGACCTTATTTGGAAACAACAGTCTTTGCAGATTTAATCAATTTAAGATCATTAGCGTGAGCCCTAATCTAATGTGACTGGCGCCCCTAAAAGAAGAGAAAAGACACAGAGATAAAAATACACAGAGGGAAGACAGCCCCATGAAGATGGAGGCAGAAATTGGATTTATGCTGTCACAAACCAAGGAATGACTGTGGCTACCAGAAGCAGGAAGAGATAAGGAGGTTCCCTCCTTAAGAATCCTTGGAGAGAACATGGCCCTGCTAACACTTGATATGAGATTTCTAACTTCCAGAATTGTGAAAAAACAAACGTATGTTGTTTTAAACCACCTAGTTGGTGGTATTTTATTATCACAGCTCTAGGAAACTAATATGCCCAGTTTTCCCCAATGGTAACATTTTGCAAAACTATAGTATAATATTGCAGACAAGATATTAACCTTAATACAATCCATCTTTCTTATATTTGCCAAAGTTTAACTTGGATCTATGTGTATGTTCAGTTCTATACAATTTTGTCAAATGCATAGGTTTGTGTATGGACCACCAAGTCAAGATATTAAATAGTTACATCACCAAAAGGATCCTTAGCAAACCCCTTTTAGAACCACCACAACTCTTTTCCATTACCAGGGTGGATAGGGATCCCATCCTTAACCACTGGCAATCGATAATCTGTTCTCCAGTTCTAAAAATTGTGCCATTTCAAAAATGCCATATCAATGAAATGGTAATCTTTTGAAACTGACTTTTTTTCACTCAGCTTAAATCCCTGGAGATTCATTAAAGATGTTGTGTATCTGTGTCTGTGAAACCTTGCTGAAAAATTGATAGGAATTACATTAAACCTGCACATTAATTTCAGAAGAATTAACATCATTACTATGTTGAGTGTTCCAATCTATGGACACAATATCGGCCTTTATTTATTTAGGTCTCCTTTGATTTCTTTTATCAACATTTTGTAATTTTCACCATGTAGATCATACACATGTTTTGTTACATGTATATTGAAGTCTTTTTTCTTCAGAGTCATTGCTAAATTGCAAGCCCAGTTTTGTAGCAAAAACGGATTCGAGCACAGCATCTTTTCCCAAGGAATTCTTAGATAATAAGAGTGAGGCTTTTGTAGCCTTCTCAATGTGTTAAAATGCATCTGAGCTTGTCATCAAATATTATACAGTACATTTGTATCTTATAGGAAAATAAGATAAGATAAACATGGAAACCTAGTTAAGACATTTTTGTTGGAATTCTGGACATTTTAGAAAGCAATATAATCAAACTATGATGTTTCAGCCCCTCATTGCTGAGATAATGCTAAAGAACAAAAGGAGGGAAAAAAAGCAGATGGGCAGAAGGATTTTTGACCTCTAAAGGCTGAGAATAAGAATACCAACCTATCCAGTCTGTCATCACCCAATAAACTTGATAGGTAGAAGACAATTCAACATCCTTTATCAGCTCAGTTGCCACATTTGGCTTCAGTTGCAGTTCATGCTGGAATGTAAGCCACACTGGTCCAAAGTAAGAGGAAGGAAGTTTTAACTGGGCTAAAGAAAGTGACCAAGCTGAAGGACTGGCCCCTGTAGGTCACTGGGATTCCACAACAGTATAAAAAGATATGATAATCTAAGAAGAGTTTCAGAGATATTCTGATATTCATTTAACATTTCATTCAGAAGTGGGATTACAGTGCTCTAATTCAGGTGGGTAGAAGTGCTATGGCTCTGGGTAATTAGCCTATTGCATCAATATGCCAGCCTGTGGCTGCTAATGAAGGGACAGGATTCACTTCCATAGGAGAGAATGATGGCAAGGACACTGTAGAATGTCAGGGATCTACAGAATCACTTTATTCTCAATAGGAAATCAGGTATAGGCCAAAGAAACTCCAGGTGTAACGCAAGAAGCAAAAACTGAATCAACATAAAGGCAAGCAGGGTTTGCAAAGCTTGTGCTGAAAAAGTATTCAGGAGTCCACACTGCAAAACAGGCACAATTAATGCCAGATCTATGGCAGGCAGGTCAACTCATGATTTGGAGGGCTAAGACTGCTGATGAACTCCAGAACCAGGTTAGAACTGACCAAGACTTCAAACTATACTACAAGGCTACAGTAACCAAAACGGCATGGTACTGGTACCAAAACAGAGATAGAGACCAATGGAACAGAACAGAGCCCTCAGAAATAATGCTGCATATCTACAACCATCTGATCTTTGACAAACCTGACAAAAACAAGAAATGGGGAAAGGATTCCCTATTTAATAAATGGTGCTGGGAAAACTGGCTAGCCATATGTAGAAAGCTGAAACTGGATCCCTTCCTTACACCTTATACAAAAATTAACTCAAGATGGATTAAAGACTTACATGTTAGACCTAAAACCATAAAAACCCTAGAAGAAAACCTAGGCAATACCATTCAGGACATAGGCATGGGCAAGGACCTCATGTCTAAAACACCAAAAGCAATGGCAACAAAAGCCAAAATTGACAAATGGGATCTAATTAAACTAAAGAGCTTCTGCACAGCAGAAGAAACTACCATCAGAGTGAACAGGCAACCTACAGAATGGGAGAAAATTTTTGCAATCTACTCATCTGACAAAGGGCTAATATCCAGAATCAACAAAGAACTCAAACAAATTTACAAGAAAAAAACAACCAACCCCATCAACAAGTGAGTGAAGGATATGAACAGATACTTCTCAAAAGAAGATATTTATACAGCCAAAAGACACATGAAAAAATGCTCATCATCACTGGCCATCAGAGAAATGCAAATCAAAACCACAATGAGATACCATCTCACACCAGTTAGAATGGCAATCATTAAAATGTCAGGAAACAACAGGTGCTGGAGAGGATGTGGAGAAATAGGAATGGTTTTACACTGTTGGCAGGACTGTAAACTAGTTCAACCATTGTGGAAGTCAGTGTGGCGATTCCTCAGGGATCTAGAACTAGAAATACCATTTGACCCAGCAATTCCATTACTGGGTATATACCCAAAGGATTATAAATCATGCTGCTATAAAGACACATGCACACGTATGTTTATTGCAGCACTATTCACAATAGCAAAGACTTGGAACCAACAAACATGTCCAAGAATGACAGACTGGATTAAGAAAATGTGGCACATATACACCATGGAATACTATGCAGCTGTAAAAAATGATGAGTTCATGTCCTTTTTAGGGACATGGATGAAGCTGGAAACTATCACTCTCAGCAAACTATTTCAAAGACAAAAAACCAAACACCCCATGTTCTCACTCATAGGTGGGAATTGAACAATGAGAACACATGGACACAGGAAGGGGAACATCACATACCGGGGCCTGTTGTGGGGTGGAGGGAGAGGGGAGGGATAGCATTTGGAGATATACCTAATGTTAAATGATGAGTTACGGAGTGCAGCACACCAACATGGCACATATATACATATGTAACAAACCTGCAGGTTGTGCACATGTACCCTAAAACTTAAAGTATATTAAAAAAAAAACCCACTCAGATTAACAGGAAAAATAAATAGTACCCCACTTTTGGGGAAGACAAAGTGTCAAATAATTTGTAGCTATCTTTAACCTACCACACCATTTACCTTATTTTTTTCTCTCTGTATTCTAGATGTTCTCTCTCCCTGATAGCTTCTGATTATAACTCAGATAGTGCTGACTTTTCACAGGAACTTAATTCCTCATACATGACTCCAAACCCATGTCAAGGGATTCTCTGCATGTAACCTTCAGCTTGAAATCTACTATTAATTGCCTGCTTCTCTCTTTCCTCAATTCATGTCAATGAGAGTAAGAATGTGATTAGCTCAGATCATCATTTCATGCAAAGCCATGCATGTCATAGGTAACAAACAATCTATGCATTGGCTACCATTCAATCAAGTGCTTACAATCCAGTATCTGTAGCCAAGGGGGCAGGGTCATAGATATAAAATATGACTTTTTGGCTCATCTTTTTTGCATTTTCTGTGAGTATGGCAATGAAGTGCATGAGTAGAGTTGTTGCAAAGGTTGTAAATGCAGTAGATACCATAGTTCATTTTCCTAGAATAAATGGAGCACTTAATGGTGCTGAAAATACTTATGTAACTATCCACTGCATCTCGGATTATCAATACATTGAAGACATAACTGGTTTAATTGCTTCTTTTTTTTTATATATCATTCCAGAAAACTGGATGTGGCTTTCCTATAACATTTTATCTCCCTCTTTTCCCCCGAAAACTGCCCTTAAAATCCACATAATGCATTTCCTCTGAATAAAAATTGTATCATGATTTTCCCTGGAAGCTGCAGTCTGCAAGTAATTAGTCTGGCCCTATCATGGCAACAGAAAAGAGGTAGCAATACATATATATGTGTTCCTTCCTGATTTCAAAGATGTTCTTGTTGACCAAACATTAGTCAGGTTTCTAAACCTTCTTTTCAAGTAAGCTTTGACTTTGGGCTTCAGTGGACATCATCGATGGGCCTGGATCACCCAATTTCAGCAAGAATCCTGTTAAGTCAGTTCAGAAAGAATCCTCCACCCTCCATTTCTGATCACTCGATAAAATCAAATTTCTTGTCCCAGACATTCCCCCAGGGGACAGCTGGACCCCCTCCCCCTGCCAGCCTGCCTTCAGCAAGAATCTCGTCAAGTCAGTTTAACCAGAATCCCCACTTACCCAAATATTTCCTCTTAGTAATTTTCCTTTCAATGACCACACCCTGCTCCTTGACTGTAAATCCTCACTTGTCCTTGTTGTATTCAGAATTGAGTCTAGTTCTGTACTTAGGTCTCTTTTCTCCTATTGCAATAGTTCCTGAATAAAATCTGGTTTTATCACTTTAAAAAAAAAAAGAAAGAAAGAAAGAAAGAGCCTCAAGGCAGAAAGCCCCAGCTTTTTCTTTTAACTGAATGTTTTTGAGGTGGTGGAATCATATCAACTAAGGTACCCGCACACAGCTCCCCATTACTGAGAGTTCAGTCAATATCAGGATGTATATTTTGTGATTCAATCCTCCCAGCAATACTAAGCAGTGAGCACTATTATTAATGCTATTTTAACATGAAACAACAGGAGCAAAGGAAAGTTAAGAAATGTGTCCAAGGTCACATAGATGGGAGATCACAGAGCCAAGTTTCCAGTTTGTACAGCCTGACTAGAGCTTGCACACTTAGCCATTAGGCTATATTTTACTCCATTCCATTTTCTGGGTCACTGGAGTAAAAACCAACCCACCAGCTCCTACTGTGACACAAGTGAAACTATCCACTATATCAAATCAGAACCTATTTTGCCCCTGGTTGTTTTTGTTTGTTCTTGTTGTTGTTATTGGTGTTTTTCTTGAGACGGAGTCTCGCTTGGTCACCCAGTCTGGAGTGCAGTGGCGCAATCTTGGCTCACTGCAATCTCCATCTCCTGGGTTGAAGCGATTCTCCTGCCTCAGCCTCCCAAGTAGCTGGGACTACAGGTGCGCACTGTCACTCCTGGCTAATTTTTGTATTTTTAGTAGAGACAGGGTTTCACCATGCTGGCCAGGCTGGTCTTAAACTCCTGACCTCAAGTGAAATTACATTTCCTCCAGTGCATTAATTCTAGATACAGATACTTTTATTTAAACTAATTGTGAGTTGTTTTAGAGTTATATTCAAATAAATGAGGATATGATAAATTAGTAACAGCTAGCTAATAAATCCAGCACACTCTACACAAAAAGCTAATTTATTCAAGTATAGATGAGTAACTCCTGCTTGAATGATTTACCAAGCTACTATAAAATGGTCTTTAAAAGCTAGCTACTAATCAATCGTGTTTTGCATTTGGAACTTCCACTGAAAGATGGGAAAAGGATGGCTCAAAGTATAATTCTTTTTCAAAAGATCAACGTTAAAAAACAGAAAAATTTGTGTTAGGTTCCTGTTATATATATATTAAAGATGAGTAGCTCAAGCAGTAGGCAAAAAACTAGCAAAACGAAGTTATATAAACTGTTCAAATCAGATATCATACAATTTGTGCATGGTCACTGGAGAAAGTAAAAACACCATTAATATTACATAAGCTTATTAAAATACAATCCCTCAAATTACTAGTTACTAGTAATCAATTCATTATTAGTTATAAGGGTTATTACCAAAAAAATACTACTTTCTTAGGCCACTCACAAACTGATTATTAAAACAATTTATAGGTCTGGATCTTAGACTGTCAATTTTATTTAAATAACCACAGATGATTTTAATGTGCAGCCAAATTTGAAAAACACTGGTAGTTGACTACATTTTTTATGGAGAATCTCAATTTATTCATTCACTCTGAAGGATTAATAAGTAACTATGGAAATATCAATTTATGGCAATTAATATATATATATGTATATATATAGTATTATAATTCATTCACCTGTGTGTTCTATTCCCAGCGCTATGCTTAAACCAGTGACAAAACTTCCATGGCTTCAGTGCTTCATTTGTAAAATAAATGATAGTCTAAATTATTTTAAAACCCTTTCTACCTCTAAAACTCTAACCTAGTATTAATGATGTATCTCCAGGGCAAAGGGCAGAAACCTATGACATTTACCTGGGGTGTTTTGGTCAGCACCATCTGTTCATACCCCAAGAGATGTTCACATACTATTCTATGTCCACCACCACTACCACCACCAACACATACAAACCACAGGCCTAAAAAATAAGACACTAAAAGTCAGAAACCACTTTTTTTCATTCTTCCTTAGTATCTCACAAAAAAACTGCCGTAAGTGGGTAGGAAGAAAGAATCTACAATTTGCTAAGCAAAGTTTTCAGATAAGACAGGTCATCAGCTATCAGTTGCTGCATAAGAAACCATCCTCAAAGTCAATGGCTTAAGGCCACAAGCATTTTATAAGATCTCATGAATTTGGGGAGCCTTCAGCTAGATGATGCTTCTGCTCTACACAGCATTGACTAACCTCATTCAGCGGTATTTTGTAAAGCTGTTGGGCTAGTCTAGAGGATCCACATAGTTTCACTCAGATGTCTGATGCCTTGGCTCCCTGGAAGGTGGGCTCAGCTGGAAACTCTCCCTCTCCCTGTAATTTCAGAACCTCTGCAGGTAGTCTCTCTCCAGAAAGGCAATGACCTTCTTACATGTTGGCTCAGGGGTCCAAGACAGAATTTTTTTTTTTTTTTTTTTTTTTTTTTTTTTTTTTTTTTTTTTTTTGAGAGGAGTCTCGCTTTGTCACCCAGGCTGGAGTGCAGTGGCGAGATCTTGGATCACTGCAGCCTCCGCCTCCTGGGTTCCAGCGATTCTCCTGCCTCAGCTTCCTGGGTAGCTGGGATTACAGGCACATGCCACCACGCCTGGCTAATTTTTGTATTTTTAGTAGAGATGAGGTTTCGCTATGTTAGCCAGGCTGGTCTCGAACTCCTGACCTCAGGTGATCCGCCTCAGTCTCTCAAAGTGCTGGGATTACAGGCATGATCCACCATGCCCAGCTGACAGAATGTTTCAAGAGACAAAGTTTCAGTTTAAGACTTGGGCCCAGAAAATGGCATGGTGTTAATTTCACTGTGTTCTACCAGGCAAGACACTCACAGAGTCCAGCTAGATTTAAGGAAAGGAAACATAAAACCCAGCCTCGCAATGGGTGAAATTCAAAGAATTTACAACAAGCTTGAATCAACAACCGAGTCTATCAATGCATCCTTCCAACATAGGGGAGGATTAAAATGCACTGCATTCACAGAGTTTTAATGCTAGCTTGGCTACTCTCTGGTTGAGTGGTTTAGGGTAAGTCCTTCTCTGAGCAAGTAGCCTCTCAGAGACTTAAATTTCTGCTATGTAAAATGAGATTTGTGATACTGCTGCCTAGCTCCTAACTGTGAGAATTACAGAAGAGAATTTGTAATGTGAAAATTGCACAGTATCTGGCACTTAGGTGATAGCTATAATGTGATTATTAAGTATAAGAAAGTCTGTTAGCTGTTTTGAGATGCTACAAAAATGTTTTATAACAGGAAATTATGAGCAAAAGATTTACATTGAATAAATGTGAGTGTTCCAAAGTTGGGAGGAGAGAACATTTACATCCTGACTTGGGTTATCCTATGAAGCATTAGGAAGCTTCAGCCCTGAAGTCTGTTTCAGGTGTGACAGAGAAAGGTGGAGGACCACAGACACAGCTGTGCTAACCCTTTGACAGAGAAATGTACTGATTTTCTCAATAATATGGGAAAATGCATAATTATAGTCACAGAATTATTCCCTCTTGTTTTGTCAATGGCAAAACAAAACTCTTCTATGTATCATCTTCAGCCACATGGTGACACGTAATTCCACTCACATGCCTCTTCATGCGCATATGTGGAACACTCATTTTCCTTCTTAAAAAAGTATACTCAAACATCCTTTGCAACAACTTCCCTAATTCTCTCAGACAGAATTTGCTCCCCACTCCCTCTATATTCTCATATCACTATGAATGTTTATTGTACATATTATATAATATTATGATTTGTTTTAGGTAGTTGTGTATCCCTCTCCACTTCCCACTGTCCCATGAGTGTGTTGAGTGTGGGAACTGCATCATGAGTGCACAAGTGGGGCACTAAGCCCATGTGCCTGGCTGGAAATACATCACAGGTGAGCCATAGAGTTGAACATGTCCTAGTCCCTTGCTATTCAAGTGTTGTACTTGGACCAGAAGCCCCAGAATCACCTGGGAGCCTGTTAAAAATAAAGAATCTAAAACCACCCAAAACCTACTGAGTCAGAATCTGCATTTTAATAAGATCCACAGGGTATTCATGTGTGCACTTATATTTGAAAAGCATTTCTCTAGCATAAGCTGCAGTCCGGCTTCCCTCATTGAAATGTACTCAATCTTTCCTGACAGGAAATACCTAAAGACATTTTTTCAAACCCCTTTCTCAATTTTTGAAGACAAATAATTTAGTATAGTTTGGTTAAAAAACATAATTTCTTTTTGACCACATATACATATGCTTTTTTAAAAATCTGGATTACTTTATAATTTTTATTTTTTCATTTTTGTGGGTACATGGTAGGTGTATATATTTATGAGGTACATGAGATATTTTGACACAGGTGTGCAGTGTGAAATAAGCACATCATGGAGAATTAGATATCCATTCCCTCAAACCTTTATCCTCTTATCCTCTGAGTTACAGATAATCCAATTACACTCTAAGTTATGTTACAATGTACAATTAAGTTATTATTGATGATAGTCATCCTATTATGCTATCAAATAATAGGTCTTACTCATTCTTTGTAACTACTTTTTGTACCCATACACCCCCTCACCCCCCACTACCATTTCTAGTCGATGGTAACCATTATTCTACTCTCAATGTCCATGAGTTCAATTGTTTTGATTTTTAGATCCCACAAATTTTGTGCCTGGGATATTTCACTTAACATAATGACCTCCAGTTCCACCCATGTTGTTGCAAATGACTGGATCTCATTCTTTTTTTGTGACTGAATACTACTCCATTGTGAATATGTACCACATTTTATCTATTCATAAAGAATAAAGAATATCTATTCAAGGACTTTGCGACTCTTGGACCTTTGGCCTCAGACTGAAGGCTGCACTGTCAATTTCCCTAATTTTGAGGTTTTGGAACTCAGACTGGCTTCCTTGCTCCTCAGCGTGCAGACAGCCTATTGTGGGACCTCACCTTGTGATTGTGCGAGTCCATACTCCTTAATAAACTCCCCTTTATATATACATCTATCATATTAGTTCTGTCCCTCTAGAGAACCCTTACTAATACAGGCAAACACTGTCCTGAGTGCTTTACCTGCATTGGTTCATTTCATTTTACAACAATTTTGAGAAGCTGGTATTATTATCCCCATTTTATAGAGGAAGCAACTGACATTCAGAAAGGTAAAGTGTTTTTCTCAAGGTGTTGTGAAAAAATCATCATTTTTAATTTTTAAGGCTTACTACATATTATGTTTACACCTGAAATTAATTTATGGAAATAATTTTCTGGAGGATGTAATGATAAGCATCAGCAATGCCTTAATAGGGGTGTTGTCAATTGACACATTAGGGAAGTCCAATACATGAGGACTGACCTATAATAGAGTCAATTCAGTGCCAATACCAGTTTCTGATGGACTATGAGATATCAATCTTCTTCATCTTTTACTGTCAATACAACAAGTGTTTCAATATGTAACCTTAGCTTCTATGGTGCTTAGTAGAGAGCAGACCAATCAGAAGGCTTCACAGAGAAGCATCCTGGGCATCTTACAAGGCTGTGCTACAGGTTCTCCTATAGGTGGTCCATGTGAATATTAGATTCCTTCTCTGGGTGAAAGAGTAACCACTTAAGCAACAGTTCATGTGCTTTGAAACCTCCTTCACCTCACTGCTGAGAAGATTAAACTCTTACTTTTATTTTAGCATCCAGGAGGAGGTGATCAGAGACTATCTAGAATGTGACAAGTTCTTGTCAATCACTCTGAGAGCAGGAGGTGAGGAGAGAAAGAACTTTGAATCCTCCTGGAGAACGCTTTATGCCTTTGAACAGAGACCATTTGAATTTCCAACATCCCAGGACACTATTTAAAAATTATTGTCTTTGTATCTCTCATAACCTATTCCACTGAGTGTCAATTTTGCTAGTTACCATAAAGTGACTAGACTACCTTCATGACATTCCACCTTAGAGTCACATCATTCAGTTATTTCCTCATGTATGAGGTTAGGGCATTTTTGGTGCTGTGAATTAAAGCAGGATTACCATACAGCCTTAAAACACACTTCAAGTCAAGCATCGGTCCCCAGCTTCATTGCCTGTTAGAATTCTGTTGTGAAGGAGAGAAGTGAAACAAAAAAATAAGTTGAGACATCAATGATTTAATCTTTGTTCTGAGAATGAAGAAGCAGTGAAAGCCATCATACTCCACAAAGAAAATCAGAAGGGACTGAAAGGCAAAAGAGAGGGGTAGTGCAGCAGTAGAGACAGTGCAGCTCTTCCACCGGGCAGGGCAGTGAAACTTGATTTCACCATTTGCTGGCTGGGTAGCCTGAGGCAAAGTCAGTCTTTGCATCTCAATTTCTCATTTGTCAAACATAAAATACCCTACCTTGATGGGATTTTGCAAAGAGTAAGGAAAAAAGGAAGAAAAGGTATATAGACTGTATTAGTCTGTTCTCATGCTGCTAATGAAGATATACCCAAGACTGGGTAATTTACAAAGGAAAGAAGTTTAATTGACTCACAGTTCCACATGGCCAGCAAGGCCTCACAGTCATGGCGGAAGGCAAAGGAGGAGCATAGTCACATCTTACATGGTGGCAGGCAAGAGAGCATGTGCAGGAGAACTCCCTTTCATAAAACCATCAGATTTCATGAGACTTATTCACTGTCACAAGAACAAGATGGGAAAAACCCGCCCCCATGATTCAATTACCCCCCATGGGGTCCCTCCCATGACACATGGGGATTATTACAATTCAAGGTGAGATTTGGGTGGGGACACAGAGCCAAACCATATCATAGACCATGGGCACTCAACATTATAAACTAAATTTGTAAAAAGCATTAAATCTTCTTAGTTAAGATTCTCTGAAAACATGCTCTGGAATAGAGCTTTTCCTAAAGGAGATTTTTGGTGAGTACATTCAGAATCATCCTATGCAAGGTAATGAAGGAAGTGGCATTGGAAGAGGAAGAAGTTGAACTGTGATGAAGATTCAATACAAGGCTCAGCTGACACCATGGGAATCTCTGGAGTCTTGATAATCTATCAGAATTGTTTAAATTGAGGAAAGGGAACTCAATTTGTTCCTTGATACCAACCTATCTTTGGATGAATGCTATCCTTGGGAAGAATCATAACCCTGGGCAGGACAGCTCCCTTCAGCAGAGAGTGATGCTAGAGACAGACTCAGATGTGAGTCCCAGCAGTTAACATTTCTGGTAGATTGGGGAATGAATGGCTCTGTCCTGAAACAGTAATCTGGCCAGGGCACTATATTATCCACTACTGATGCAAATGCCACATAGGCAGAATTCTGACTCCAGGCCATTGGGAAAACCCATATTGATGCTAAATCCAATGAGACATACCAATGTGTGCCTTTGTGTTTCCAAACACAACCTCAGGACTGGACTCTCCCCTAATTCTATCTTAAGGTCAGCACAATGCAGAATATCAACTGTATGACCCTTTGTGTACCCTAAAGTGAAAGGTCTAGGTGTGCAAAAATTGGATCAGTTCTGTCACTAATAGATTCTCAATACCTATCACAGAGCCTGCACATAATAGTGGTTCAAAAGTTGTTGAATAAATGAGTATACATAATGAGCTGGATTGACTCTGAAGACAGACACAGAAGAAACATCAGAAAAGGAAACATGGAGGCCTTTCTTCACCAAATATAGATTCTGGTAAGTCACTCAAGTTAATTCAGAGTCTACTATACATGTTTCAAAAAAAGCAAAGACTTAATGATAAAGAATGATGAATAATCCCAGGAAAATAATGTACATCTGAAACTTAGTCTTTTTATATCCGATAATGAGTGTAGCCACAAAGATGTTTTCTATAATAGTCATTAAAGCTCTCCAGGTTTGAAGCAAAAGAAAGTCAGAAAACCATTTCCCATAATGACAGCCACCAATTTTCTCACAATCATAAAGGAGATGCAGAATTAGCTCCATAATATCTGCTATTTAAAAATGTCAGCCTAGTATTACTAAGGAAACACAACCCAGGCACAAGACCCAGCTTCTCACACAACGCATTTCATGGATATGCTGACTTGGCTAACGCTTCTGCGATTGTACCAAAGGTTGAGGTGACATCTGACTACAGCTTGAGAGAAAATAAATTTATGTGGCCAAAAATGACATGTAGCCTTCCCTGTGAAATGTAGTTTTTCAAATTTCTACTTTTAACGTGATTTACATCACAGAAAACACTGAGAGCCAGTCAGCACTTTCATGCCTTTGATTTTGGGGTAATTATTTTTAGGCTGAAAGATTTTTACTGTCTATTACTTTTGCCCATAAGCATATCAAGTTTTTTTTTCTATTCTCTCTGTTTAAAAGATGGAAATAGAAATTTCTCAAAAAAGTCTTTTCAGAAGCAAAACATTGCCAAAACTCTCATCAGAAGAGGGAGTGTTTTGCTATTGCAGCCTAGGGAGCATTCTAAAATCTGACAGAGCCTGGCTTGGTGTCTGGGGCGGGCAGAGTCACATGAATGCCTAAGTTCTAATTCACCTTCCAAGGTGCTGGCTGGGAACTCTCACAAAGACTGCTGCTATAGCTCCCAACTCATCTCCCTGCTTCCCTTCCCTCTTGGTCCTCTTTAATCCACCCTCCACAGTCAGTCAGTGTGAGTTCATTCAGCAAAATCAGACTTTGTCACTCCTCGGCCTGAACTGTTTCAATGCCTTTCCTGACTCTTAAAATAAAAATAAAAGCTCAATGCCATGTCCTTTGTAGTACTTATGATCTGACTCCAACTCTTTGACCAGGATAACCTTATGAAAGGTTTGAGAGAGAACAATTATAGGCGAGTGAAGTTGATATTTTTCTACATGATAAGCGTCTAAGAAATGTACCCTGGAAAGTGACCAGCAGACCTCTAGGCACTACCTCTCTCATCTCCCATGAACTACTCCTCTCTGAGCCCACAGGCCCTAGCTCCATATCTTAAATAGTCCTAATGTGTGGTTGTTTGCTTTTTTACTAAACTTTTCTTTGGCACTGGACTTAGAACAGAGACAATAGAGCTGAAGTGGAATTCAGACCTGACACTTGGCAAAAGTACGATGTTCACTCTGATGATTCTTGCATTTGACACCTTTGTAGCTTTTAATTTAATATAAAAAACTGACCCCTACACCAACATTCTAAACCATCCATCCCAGTTAGAGGCACATATTACCATGCAAGAGAAAGTTCTATTAAGAGCCTCTTGTGTTTAAGCAATGAACTTCGTATGGAGAGAACTGATTATTTACTTTCAGTTCCACAGCTCGGTTGCCCTTAGCTTTTTCATGTATAAGTGTCTATTTCCACTGCTGAGGCTCCAATATGTTTTGGTGTGTTTGGTGAGTAGGTGGGACCAGCCACCGTTTTACTCCCCATCTAATTCCTATGGTAATTGACAGAGCAAAAATCTTAGAAAACCTTCAGGGTTATTGTGCTGACATTAAGAACATGCAGAGAAGGAATCTGTGATAACTTCTAGAGTTTCATGGGATATTCAGGAAAGAGAAGACCCTGGTTAAAAACAGCAAGCAGTGTCAATGAAAGTCGAAGAGGTGGAGCTGCTACTCAGAATCTTCGCCATAAAGGAAAAGATTATCTGCAAAGATGAAGCCCAGAGACCAAGAACACTGATCTCCGAGAGCCTCACTGATCCCTGTGGAAGGCTTCTTTCTTCCTTATTTACTCAATAAATATTTCATTAATGGTCAAGTTTATTGATTTATTCAACTATAGCACACAAGGTACCCTGTGTTGTGTAGAAATATTTATGATTACTTAATGATACATAACCCACTATTGATTATTAACATATAATAACTTGAACTTCTCTTCTGACAGCTGTGAGAACAAGCTACTTATCAATCAACCAAAATTTTTAACACTGACATAGTGAGATGAACCCTATCATTTTCATCAGATTTATTGGATGACAGCATCATTGCCAGGTCTCACAATGAAATGCAATCTGGAATAATGTGAAGGTATTAAATTTATATTTGGGTTATTAACTGTAGCTATGAAATAAGAAATGATAAAGATAGTGACTTCAAAAGTTTTAGAAATACGTATTGGAGGAACCTATCATCTGAGAGGAACTCCTTCTCACATGTCTTTCATGTGTTTTCAGAATAATAAAGATTTAGAAGTTATTTTCTAAAAAAACTAAGAAATATTTTTTAAAATTAAACCAAAAAAATTCTCAGAGATACATAAGGAGTGTTATCAAATAAGCAAGGAGTGTGGAAAGTTCTTATACAGTTTTCCAGCAAAAGTGAGAAATTGATAGCACTTCCATGAAGAAAAGAAATTCCAAACTTATACTATAAATGAAAACTCACACTATAGTCTGTGTTTGGAATGTTTTATTTGGAGAAAAAAGTGAGTCACTCAGCAAAATCTCAGAAGCAAAAGAGTTTTAGAATCATAGCCTTCAGCAATGGGATTCATCACAAGTCTCTCTGTCTGCAGGATGTAATCCCTTCTTGAATTTAAAATGGTGTGCCTCCTAAAAAGGCTCCCTGGGGGAGTTCTGAAGTACTTTAGGGGAAAGTACCAATGAAATTATCATTGATTCTATTTACACTGCTACAGCACATTTAGAACTAGGCTTTTGACTGCAGTACTATTTTTCCTTCCTCAATACTCACTAAGAGTTTGAAGACTTGGGCAACCTATTTAACCTGTTTCTTTTCCATGTCTATGAAACTGGTTAATAACACTATTTGGTAGAGTGGTTTTGAAGATTAAATAAGTAAATAAAATTAAACCCTTAAAGTAGAGACAGTTTAAAAGAGAGTTTTTAGTGATAGCTGTCACATTAACATCATCATTACCATCATTTACCAACAACTATGGGTTCTGAGCTACTTAGGGTTGACTTTATGGTAAAGGAACCCTTCATACTTCAAGAAAGCAGCATCAACTCTGTCTCACAAATATTTCATGATGTATGCTTTCATGATGTATGCTTTAACTGTGTATGCTAAATGTTCTGAGTAAACAAAACTGTCTCCACTACTTTGATGACATATGGTTGGACAAAGGCCTGGTTGTAAGCTGAAGGCAATTATACCTTGGCCAAATATGAAGAAGGCAAACCATCTCTGAGGTGGCATATATACAATTCTTCCAAACAAGAGTAATCCAAATCAGATGGGCACAGGAACCCCACTTGAAATATCTCTTTTTAAAATGTAAGCATGGAGAAATTGGCAATGAGCACAATGATCACTGTCTTAGTCCATTTTCTGCTGCTATAATTGAAACTGGATAATTTATAAAAAAATAGAAATTTATTTCTCAAGATTCTGGAGGATGGGAAGTCCAAGATCAAGGCACCAGCAGGTTTTGATGTCTAGTAAGAGCTCAATCTCTGCTTCCAAAATATTAGACCGTACCTTGAACACAATGTCCTCTGGAGGGGAAGAACTGTTCGTCTCTTGGCAGAAGAGTGCAGGGAGCAAATCCACTCCCACAAGCCCTTTTTATAGTAGCATTGATTCATTCATCAAGGAAACACCCTCATAAGCTAAACACCTCCCATTAAGCTTCATTTTCCAATACCATTGCATTGGGGATTTAGTTTCAACCTAAGTTTTAGAATGGATAAAACATTCAAACCATAGCAGTCACTAAACTTAAGTATAAACCAAATGAACCTATGCAATTTTTGTAGTTCTACTTGAGAACCTAGAAATCTCAGTCTTGGTGCTGATAGACAATGCTCTTGAAGAAACGACACCTTTTGCTGTCCTGTAGTGTGTTGTATTTGTATATACATACTATAGCACATACTATAGGGTATACACACACTATAGACACTACATATATTCTCCTTAACTTGCAGATGGCCATTTTCTCACTGTGTCCTAACATGATTTTCCTCTGTGCACTCAGGTCCCTCATGTCCCTGTGTGTCTAAATTTCTTCTTGTAAGGACACCAGTCCAATGGGATTAGAGCCCTGTGATGGTTAGATTTATGTGTGAAGTTGGCTGGGCCACAGAACCCAGATGTTTGGACAAACATTTTTCTGAATGTTCCTTTGAGGGTGCTTTTGAAAGAGATTTACACTTAAATCAATAGGTTTGGGGTAAAGCATATTGCCCTCCATAATGTGTGTGGGCCTCATCCCATCCATTGAAAGCCTGAAGAGAAGAAAAGGCTGGCCTTGCTCAAGAAACAGGGAATTCAGCCATCAGATCAATTCAGACTTCATCAGCAACATCACCACCAGCAGTCTGCCTTTGAACTTGAACTGCACCTCTTTCCTGAGTCTCTAGCCTGTGAGCTTCCTCCATGAGATTTTGTACTTGCCAGGCCTCCCTTCACCATTCCATGAGCCAATTATGTAATAACCACCCCCACCCCCCACCACCACACACACACACATTGAATAGGTGCACATTTCAGGCTGGAAATAAACTGGGGAAAATGTAGCCCAGGAACGACTGGCAGCCAACTGTGGCCCAGAGGAAAAGCCTGACCAATAATGAAATTAATTAATAAATGATGTTAATATTATTAAACTGAGCAACAGTGTGGAAAAGGCGGCATTTTTTAAGCCCTCATGACCAGCTATTCTTGGGCCTGCTGGCAAAGAGTGTAATTCAGTGAGTCTGGGGAGAAGCCTCGTAAATTAAATTTTAAGAAGCACTCAGATACTCACTATAAAGTTGTTATATAGAGCACACTTTGAAACACAATGACTTGTCTCTCTGACTTCACTCTGGACTCAAATTCTCTCCTAATCTGGCTCTTCTGCCAACTAAAGGCCAAATAACCCCATCTGGTTACCTTAGCTCAGTGAATCTCGGCGCGTGGCCTTTTAAGCTGGAAGTTCTCCCACACCAACTTACATTAACTTACACAGACATGCATACAAATTTGAGCCTCTACTTCTTCAATAGTTATGTTTTTTAAATGCTGGATTCTATTTATTTATTTATTTATTTACCTGCAGGAAAGGCTGATTCTCACCCCTAACACAGGGTTTGCACACAGAAGGGCATTATTGAATAAGTGTGTGACCTTTTGCGATAATACCAGCAATGTTATTTCTTTGGTTATCCCTCTGCAGTTATCATTTTCCCTGTTTCTATGATTGTTATGAGACCCAAGTAAATAATTTTAATTTCATGACTGTCAGCTTGGAAAGCTGTTGAAGAAGGATTTTTTTTTTTTCATCTAATGCAGCTAAGTTACTGATAGGGTCTTAGAATTGGGGTTCCTTCAGACACTAAATTTTCTGAGATTATCTTTGTTCATGGTGATCAGAGAAACACATATACATGTTTATACTCAGAAAGAATATAAAGCAACAAATATACAATTTTTTAACAATGTAAATAAATTTGTTTCTTTTGAAGAAAAATGACTGGAGGAGATATCCTCGATCTCTTCACTGATAATGAATTGGGGCAGTAAGTAACAGCTAGGGAAATAGTCACTGTGGCAGAAATAGCACAGCAGCAAAATTAATGTGGTGATGTAACTATGTTTTTCAAATAGCCCCTATTCTGTTGTTGTACCTGTTCGTGAGTTACAGGAACCCCACCTATTTCCATTTTCTTTGTTTTTGTTTTTCTTTTATTTTTCTTGTGAAACAGGGTCCCTCTCTGTTACCCAGGCTGGAGTGCAGTGCTGTGGTCATAGCTCACTGCAGCTTTGACCTCCTGAACTCGAGGGATCCTCTTGCCTCAGACTTTCTAATAGCTTGAACTACCAACAACTTACCCAGCTTTTTTTTCTTTTCTTAATTTTTGTTAGAGACAGAGGTCCTGTTATGTTGCTCAGGTTTGTCTTGAAATCCTGACCTCAAGTGATCCTCCCTCCTCAGACTCCCAAATTGCTGGGATTACAGGAATAAGCCACCATGCTCAGCCTCCATTTTCTCATATTAGCAAAGATTCTGGAAAATATTACAAATCATTCAGGGAAGAAAAAAGAAATGAAGATTGGCATTTTCTAAGACTAGCTGTAGATGCCTGCAAATCTCCTATTTTCCTGAGGTTAAACCTTTCTGTCTTTTTCTGTTGCAATTTAAACTTGAACAAATATTTATAGGTAAATTAAATTATTGGTCTCACATTTCTCAACAAAGAGATTTTTGTCTTCCCTCTATCAAAGTATTTTGCAATAATGATTTTTTCATTTTCACCTTTTAAAGCCACACAATCTGTATTGTTAATATACTTCAAGAAGACGTTGTCAATATGTGCACTGAAGGAATATAAAGAAAAATCTCACCTTGGCCAGCCAATCTGTAGAGTGTATGGGGATGTGCAGTGCTGTTAATTCCTCTGAGCTCTATCTGTGGGAATGATGAATTCTAGCCATTATGGAGTTCTGTGAGGTTAAATTAATTAGGTTCTTCTATTACACTGCAGTATTCTGGAAATGGTAGCCATTTTTCCTTTAAATGTCATCATTTCTGGATCTAGTTAGCAGCTGATAAAATTAAAGAGGAGATCATGTAAATTTAACAATACAAATAACACTTCCCTTCATGTATATTGAAAAATGCATGAAGAGAAGGATCAGCCAAGTTGTACCTGCCCACAATGAACAAAGGATATAATATAATTCATATTTTAAAAGAATAAAGTAGAACCAGCCAGTGTGCACTTGGATTCTTCAGTAAGTTCTTGAATCCATACCGTTCTTGGTAACATTAATATATGTAGTTACAAACTGTTGCCAATAAGAAAGAAAATATCCTCTGCTGTGTGGTCTTCTAAACACTTTTTAAAGAATTATGTCCTTTTTTTCATTTGGAATTATGATTTTGATTGTCTGCGATATCTTAGAATCTCCAATGGATCATAAGCATACACATTTAATTCCTTAAACTAATCACCTGAGTTGAAAAACAATGTCACATTAGCAGACCCAATAACATCTCTTATCTTGTGAAAAAAGAGCACATATAGGCATAAAAATAATATCAATTATGATATTTATTCTGCTGCTGCAGAAACAGAACAAAGAGACTGGTAGGCTAATGAATCCGTATAGTATTAAAAACAGATGTGTTCCTATTGCATTAGAGAGTAAGAATGCACTATTAATAGGTGACAAACTGCACATTCTAATAAAAATAGTACAATTTTTTAAAAAAGTTTAAACCTTTCAAGGGGTATTTTATTACGCTTATAGTTAATAAAAATTTTTTACTGCAAAAAAAGACCAACAATATCTTGAACTCCAGGGCTCAAGCTATCCGCCTACCTGAGCCTCCCAAAATGCTGGGATTACAGGTGTGAGCCACCGCACCCAGGCTGCCTTATATATATTGTAATAGCCTTTGGCCAAGGGTAACACAACCTGATGTACCAATATTAATTTCAAAAAATGAGTAGAGAGTAATATGTCATGAAGAAAAAACAGGGCATTAAAGTAAATAAAGATAAAGCAGCCAAAAGAATGGCAGATATAGTCTTGAGCTTAGAAAGTAGATGGGAAATACAGATGAGACATTCCCTAAACCCAGTGAGTTCTCAGACGTGGATAAAATGAGGAAGTAGGAGACAGAGAGTAAATGAGAGGCAGAGCTACTTGGGAGCAATGTCTATTGTCCACAAGATTTGAAGAACTTTTAATATAGAGGAATGTAGGTTCAAAATTCTGAGTTTATCTACCTACTCCCCCACCACCACCAGAATTTTATCCCAACTTCCACCTCTCACACGATAAATTTGGAGCAGGGAGTAATTTTCAGCCTGGGAAATACTTTCATTTAATAACTAATTATATTAATGACAACATTTTATCTAATGAATCCTTTTGATCCTAAGACTCTCCTCAATTTGTCCAAGAAGACCATTCTCCCAAGATTTCAAGAGTCATTGGATGGTTTTATCATTACTGCAGGGAAGATTTACTCAAACTGTTGTGAGGGAAGGTTTCTAGTGGGAAGCCAACCCCTCCTCAGGTTTCTCTGTCCCTTACACCACTCAGCTACAAAAATACTCTCAAACATAAATTTAGATCTAGAAAAAATATATTGTGGAAATGGAAATTATGCACATAATCATAAAAGTTTGAATTTTATTGAGTCTTCTTCCTCTATCCATTCTGGGTATCCTGAGAATATGTGCTAAAAGGTTTCCCCCCACCTGCCCACATGAAGGAATGTATACACATTATTGTTGATCTTAGGTACTTAGTACAAAAATACATTTCTTTCTGAGGGAATGATTGAATGAATGAAATGAGAGCAACTGGGAGGCCAAATCAACACGTGGAAATAATCGTTACTGTTGCTTTATCAGCTGTGTTCAATTATCACTTAATAATGACTTTCATTAAAATTGGCTCATTTATGGCCAAGTTTAGAATTAGAGCAAAGCATAGTTGTCTTAGTTCAGATTCCCCAGGAAGCAGGCAGAGAGACAGTATTTCTGTGGAATTTATTAAGGGAGTATTCCCAAAAGAAACCAGCAAGAGAGCAAAAGAAGCAGGAAAGATGAGAGGAAGAAGCCAAGCAGGGTGCAGTTTTAGACATCACACTAGACTTCAGCTGAGGCTGCAGGAGGCTGTGGAGCACACTTAAACGTTACAGGGCCTGTAAGGCAAGGGAGCTAGCTGGGCTTTCATAGTCCTTTGCAAGTGCCTGGCAACTCTCCAACTGAAATTGAACTCCCAGGCATTTCTGGCTCCTGGCATGTCTGATCAAAGTGTTCCAGAGGCCCCAGGGTGGTCCTCTAAACAGGTTGCAGGTGTGAGCCCTTAGGAGGCACTAACAGACAGGCAGGCTTTACCCACGGAACTGGTAACAGAGATCTGAGGGATGACAACAGCATTTGCTACAATATTTAAAACCACTGGGGAAACCTGAAAGCACTTATTATATCATCAAACAGAACTGAACTTAAGGCTCACCTGAGCACTTACACCTGTGCCACATTAGCCAAATTACTGCAGCTTCTTGATCCTCGGTTTCCCCATATGCAGAATGAATGTGATAGTAACTGCCCCCGTATGTTTACAAAGACCAAATTAGAAAACATGTACAAAGCAATGTAAAACAGTGCCTTCTATATAATAACTACTCAATAAACGTTCATTATGATTATCATCATCACCATGCTCTTCCCCCTCCTCATTGTCCTCGTCATCCTCAACATTGCTGAAATGAGAAAATATTTTGGTAAAATACAATATTTTGACATTTCTTTAATGCCTAAATTCCAAGCTTTCTTGTGTTTTCTGGTCCAAAATATTCAACTCTCTAGCTTCAAGAAAGATGCTTGCTCTTCTCTTTCCACTTCATTCTTCTCTTTCCACCTCTGATTCTCATGTCTGTGTTTCCCCTGACCTTACATTTAGAGCCAGCCAATTCATTATTCAGCCAGTACCAGGCAGACTCAGAGAGGAGTGTGGATCCAAAACTAATAGATATTGTCAGTTATTTGCACACTGAAATTAAGGAGATCATTGCCAGCTCCATGGAAGGTCTGCCAGAAAGCACAAGTGACAAAGACCTCTGGCAGCAACAATCCTGGGATGATCAGGCTTTATTAAAAGGCAGTGATGGAGAGATTCCAAAACAGAACTGCCGGGTCTCAGAACTGCTGAAAGCCTCGGGTATCCCAGAACCTTTGAGTATGATTTCATTTGCCTTAGGTGGTAAATTAATTTCTGATTCATACAAGGGGGATGAGAAGAGAAGTGTGTTTTCAGAGGGAACCTTGACCTGAGAAATTCAAATACTGAGCAAACAGAAAACAGAAACAGCTTAAACTTTTAAGGCTCCCAAAAAACTTGTCAGGCTTGTCATTAGTCCTACCTGCTGCTGTGGTCATCTTTCTGTCGTCAAGAATGTCCCCTTATACCAGCTTAAGATCTCTCTTTGGGTTTTCTGTCTTGCTTCCAATTATAGAAGGGTCTAATCTTTCATTATAAATACCATGCTCTTAATTATGGATATCTATGACAGACACAATAGATTCTCAGAACCTGGCCTCAGCACTCAAGACAAAAGACTCCAGTGAGACACTCTGATGACCCAGTGGGGAAAATATTGCCCTGTGGTTATGCGTTATTATCGTTTTCAAGCTGCCTAAGGATACAGTAATTTGAAGATAAGGGGAATGTCAATCAAATTATTCACATCCTTAGATCATATTTCATATTAGAAAGTAAAAATTAGTCTATTTTTCACTCAATCAGTTAACACAAATCATCATTTAAGATGCAAATTTAACATAGATTAAAAATTCTTTATTGAGGGATGCTTCTTGGAGGCATACCAATTAAACATGTATTGGATTTTACATGACTTTTTTTGCTATTTTTTTGCTCATTTAAGATTCCAACTTGGCAAAGGAGATCCCAGGAAACTATCACACTTCCACCAAATTATTTTTGGACTTGAAAGAGAAATAGTGCTAGAACTTGAAGCCAATTTTCAATACCCACAGAAGCTCACATAGCCCCAACCTATAAATGTGGTAGGGCATTAAATGAATAATATATTGGAGCACAAAATAGTACATTGTGGAGTACTAGCGGCTGTATGAAAAAGGCAGAGTGAAAATCATCTTTTTTACTTCATGAAATTCAGCTACATTCCTGGCCTCATAAGATGGGTTTCAGGAACCCATGTAGCTTTGTGATGGTGAGCCTTGCAACCTAGCCCCTTGCTCCCTCAGTGACTAGCAGCAAAAATGAAAAGGATATGATAAGTTAATTTCACGATTGTTTTTTGTTGGTCTTATGTAAAAGTCTGGAAAATTAAAAAATTAAATAAATATATAAATATACAATGCCAGGTGTTTTCAAGACCCTATGAAGCAAGGGGCCATAATGTCCTAATTTTTTACAGCTAGTATACCTCCCACACGGTGCTCAGCATTGATAGGAAAAAAAATCTGTTTATTTAATACATGTGGAAATACAGTCTAGTAGAGAAGGCAAGACTGTATGTATGCAAAATAAATAGGAAAGGATTCACAATAGATTAAAAGATCACTGGGCGTGCTGAAATTGTCAGAAAATGTCTTGGTTGAAAGGAGGTTGATACTGCTTCGATGTTTGTCTCCTCCAAATCTCATGTTGAGATGTGATCCCCCATGTTAGAGGCAGGGCCTAATGGGGGTGATGGGGGTGGGTACTTCATGAATGTCTTGACGTCCTCACCATGGTAATGAGTTCATGTGAGATCTGGTTGTTAAAGGGTCTAGGACCTCCCTACTCTCTGTATTGCTCCCTCTCTCCCCATGTGAAATGCCTGCCCCTCCTTTGCCTTCCTCCATGAGTAAAAGCTTCCTGAGGTCCTGACCAGAAGCAGATGCTGGTGCCATGCTTCTTGTACAGCCTCCGGAACTGTGAGTCAAATAAACTTCTTTTCTTTATAAATTACTCAGTCTCAGGTATTCCTTTATAGCAATGCAAAATGAATAATATAGAGGCACATGACAAAATATCTTGAAGAAGATCAACAAACAGTCTTTATAGAGTGATATTATATGAAAGATGATTACATTCCTGATGGGAAAACAGTTAAGCTGGCACCAAGGTACAGTAAGGGCAACCCCAACTTTCATCCCTGAATTTCTTAAATTATGATTCCAAAGAGTTCTCTGAGGAATGAGGATTCATGTGTTGATGGCTATATGGTAGTGATACTCATGTGCTTCTCTTTGTGTTGGGACCTTCCTGTGATGTATCAGGGGTCTCAGCATCCATGTTTCTCCTTGTTCCTCCACCTGCTCAAATCACCCTCATTCTTCTAGAATAACTCAAGTTGTTTTTTCATGAAGCCTTCTCAAATGGTTCAGTCTTTATTTATTTATGTTTCAAATGTTCATCTTGCTCCCTCAAAATGGATTGTACTATAATTTTTAAAATAAAGTCTATGCAAAGCAAAATAACATTGTGTGTTTATCAAACCATGTCATTTCTCTGACTGATGAGAAAAAAAAATGGAAGACTAAATTTTCTTGCTTCTAGGTGAAGTCATTTGACCACTTTTATCTAATACTATGTGAGAGAAAATGTTGTTCACCATTCCCACACCCAGCCCCTAAAAACTCACCCTTCATAAGTTTCTTGTACCATTTAGTTTCCACAAAGAATCATACTTTGGTAATAGCCAAGTCCAAAAATAGAAGGAACCTGGACTCTTGGGTCAGTGCCTCGAGAAGAGCCATCAGGAGTACTCCTGACTGGCAATAATCTCAGAAACATGAGCAAATAATAAAATTTTATTATATTAGGACATTGAGATTCTATGATCACCTATATAATAACTACTATTTATTATCCTATTTAATATAGTTGTTTTTCTATTTATTATAACTTTTAATTGAAGTATAACATATACATACAGAAAAATGCCCCAATTATTAGTATATAGCTTGATGAATTTTCACAAAATGAACACACTTGGCATCCAGCACCAAGATCAAGAAACAAAAAAAAAATTATCACCTCTGTATTAGTTCATTTTCATGCTGCTAATAAAGACATACCCGAAACTGGGCAATTTACAAATGGAAGAGGTGTAATGGGCTTATAGCTCCACATGGCTGGGGAGGCCTCACAATCATTGCAGAAGGCAAGGAGGAGCAAGTCACATCTTACATGGATGGCAGCAGGCAAAGAGAGAGTGAGCTTGTTCAGGGAAACTCCTCCCTTATAAAACCATCAGATCTTGTCAGACTTATTCACTATCACGGGAACAGCATGGGAAAGACCTGCCTCCATGATTCAATTACCTCCCACTTGGTCCCTCCCACAACACATGGGAGTACAAGATGAGATTTGGGTAGAGACACAGTCAAACACTATCAAGCTCCTAAAAGCCACCTTCATGCCCTCCCCCAGCCACAGCTTTCAAGAGTTTCCAGTAGCCTGGCTTCCAACATCAAGCACTAGTTTTGCCTCCTTCTGCACTGTAGAAATGGAATCATGAGACTGAAGTTTGATAGCCTCTCCTGATGTAAGAACACACCCTTCCTCACTCTGAATTTGGCCTAACCTGCAGTATCCTTAGCACTTACCTTCATCTTCTATAATAAAAGCAATTGTTTCTCATGTCACAGAGTGGGAGGAAAGAGGGAGATGTGGTTCAACACCAGGATTTCTACGTATCTGGGTCTTCAGTCCCAAGGTTCTCAGGGAGATTTGGGGGACAAAGCTGAGTACAAAAGCAACATCTAGGACTTTGTCCTCAAAATCTCACTGCAATGTGTCAATGAGCTGGTGTTGCTCAAATGAGCAATGGGGACTGCTGCTTTCCAGACAAAAGTCCCACTATCACAAGGGCCCTTTATTCCAGGCCCAAACCCTAAATTCACCTTCTTAGAGCTTATCACCCTAATCAAGGTAAGATGAAGGCAAGGAAGAACATACAAAGGAAAGAAATAAGGAAAAAAATGAAGTAGCATACAGACGCTAAGTACACAGACATTGGAGTCAGGCAGAATGCTATGGATTGTGTTTACCACCTCCTTGAATTCATATGTTAATGCCTAATCGCCAATGTGATAATGATAAGAGGTAAAGCCTTTTGAGAGGTGATTTAAGCCATAAGATCAGAACCCTCTTTTATGAGATTAGTCCCATTATAAAAGAGGTCTGAGGGAGCTTGTTTTCCCCTTCCACCACATGAGGACACAGCTAGAAGGTGCCACCATTGAGGAAGAAGGCCTTCACCAGGACCTGCATCTGCCAGCACCTTTATATCGGACCTCCCAGGCTCCCTCCAGAACTAGGAGGAATCAATTTCTGTTCTTTAGAAGCCACCTGGCTTATATTTTTGTGATAGCAGCCCAAACTAAGATACACAGCTAGGTTTGAATCACTACCCCACCACTTATTATATTTGTAAATTAGTCCTTTGTTATTTTTGGTGTCTGCATAATATTTCAAAGTGCAGCTGCTGTGTAATTAAGTCATAGTCCCATTGGGACATATGGGTGACTACCAAAGGAAATGGCAAGGGGGTTTGGGGGTTTTTTAGTGCTTAATTTATGTACACTCACTTTGTGTCCAGTGGTTTGCCACTAAGTGCAATGCTGTAATAAACATCCTGTATGTATACCTTTAAAAACCCAGAGCTTTTATTTTTATGGGAGAGATTCAAAGAGTAGGCCTTCTGGGAGGAAGGCTATGTAGTTTCAAGTTTCAACAGCTGTTGCACTATTGCTTTCAAAAAATTCCAGGGCAATTTACATGTTCATCGGCAATGTCTGAACATCCTTTAGCCCAAATTCCAGCCAGAAATGTGTTAGACTTATTATTTTGTTTTCCAAACATAAAAATAAAGAGAAAAGTATAACCCCCAAACACCCATCACCCAGCTTTATCAATTGTGAATATTGTGGCACTCCTATAGCCTTACTTTAACTCAGTTTATTGAGGTATCATTTATATCTGAAAAAATAGATTATTTTTAGTATACAGTTCTATGAGCCTTGACAAATGCATATTGTTGTATAATCATCTATGCAGACATGATACAAAGCTTTCCCTCATACGAAAAAAAGTTTCCTCGTGCCTCCTTTTAGTCCAGCATTTCCCTGAAACCCCAGTCCCTGGCAAGCACTGGTATATAATTTTTTCTCTATATTTTTGCTACTTCCAGAATGTCATATAAATGCAAGCATATATCATGTAGCCTTTTGAGTATGGCTTCTACAATTTAACATTTGCATTTGAGATTTATTTGTATCGTTACTTATATCAGTAGCTTGTTCCTTTTTATTGCTGAGTAGTTTCCAATTGTGTGGGCACTCCTGCATTTGTTTATTCAACATTTGAAATTTGGGGTGGTTATGAATAAAGCTGCAGTAAACATTGATGGCCATGTATTTATGTGAACATAAGTTTTTATTGTTCAGATAAAAACCTAGGAGTGGGACGGGCATGGTGTTTCATGACTATAATTCCAGCACTTCGAGCACTTTGGGAGGCAGAGGCAGGTAGATCACTTGAGGTCAGGAGTTTAAGACCAGCCTGGCCAACTTGGTGAAACCCGTCCTTACTAAAAATACAAAAAAATTAGACTTGCATGTTGGCGCACACCTGTAACCTCAGCTACTTGGGAGGCTGAAACATGAGACTTGCTTAAACTCGGGAGGCAGAGGTTGCAGTGAGCTGAGATCATGCCACTGCACTCCAGTCTGGGCAACATAGCGACTCTGTCTCAAAACAAAACAAATGAAAAATCCTAGGAGTGGAACTAGTAGCTCATATGACACACACACACACCTTTATAAAAACAACTGCAAATCTATTTTCCTGAGTGGCTAATACATTTTACGCTCCAACCAGCAATGTATGAGAGGTCTAGATCTTCTGCATCCTCACAAGTACCTGACTGTAAGTTTTTTTAAGTCACTCTAATAAGTAAGCAGCACTGTCTTCTCATAGTTAAATCTGTATTTTCCAAATGACTTATTCTGAGTACTTGTTCTTGGCCCTAATTCTTTTCTTTGCTGAAACATTGTTCAACTCTATTTTTTAATAGGCTTGAATGTTTTTATATTATAGAATTTTAAGAGGTCTTTATATATTCTAGACACATGTACTTTATCAGACATGTATTTTGAAATTTTTTTCTTTCTCTTGCCCTCATATTTTCTTAACTATGTCCTTATTTTTTTAATGTATACAGCAATATTGACTTGTTGCTACTCTTTCAGTTATGTGAATTTTAACATATATAAATCCATGTAAACACCACAATAATCAATATGCAGAAAGTTAAATTACTACAAAATACTCTTATGCTTTCAGTTTGCTTTCTCCCTCTGTTCCCAATTATAATCTCTAAAAACCACTGAGATAGTCTCCATACCTACAGTTTCCTTTTTTTTTAGTAATTAATCAAGCAGTAGTAACCTTTGGAGACCAGGTTCTTTCACTCACTGCAATGCCTTTGAGACTCACATAAGTTGTGTGGATCACAAGTTTGTTCCTCTTTGTTGCTGTATCTGATCTATTCCATTGTGTAAATACACCTCGGTTTGTTTATCCATTAACCAATTGAAGAACATTATGTTTTTTCCGATTTGAGTCAATTTTTAATAGTCGCTATAAATATCCATGTAGAGATGTTTGTGTGAATATATGTTTTCATTTTTCTAAGATATATTTCCAGGAGCGGGATTGGTGGAGTCACACAATAGAGTGCTGTTAACTTTGGAGGAAACTGCCAAACCATTTTCTAGTGTGGCTGTACCAGTTTTCATTCCACCAGCAATCTATGAAGAGTTCTAGTTGCTCTACACCCTTGTCAGTACGTGTTACTGAATGTTTTGTTTTAGCCTTTCTAATATGTAGTAACATTTTATCATGATTTCAATTTGTAAATGTTAAAGACTTTTTTTTAGGTATTCTTTTCTGAAATGGTCAGTCAGGTATGACCACATGAGAGAAAGGAGAGGCTCAGGGAAAAACTAAGTTTATTATACTAACAGATTTTAGAGATAGGAGGCATAGGAACACCATGCAAGGCCAGATGGGAAAGACACGGAGGTGGTCAGAAGGCAGAAGACAAGAGTGGAAGGACCCTGTAGGCCACAGTCTTTTTGAGAGTTTCCGCAGGAAAAGAAAGGGCAGAAAGAACAGATTAAGCCTGGCTAGTCTGAATAATGTCAGTAGACTCTAAGCTACAGGGATTGTCCTCAGGTGTCCAATACCAGGCTTTGAGATGATTAAGCAAGAGGAATGTTGGTTCCTGGAGTGTATAGGCCAGAGAGAGGAGGCATGGCTCTGGATTGATTAGTTTGCACCTCAAATGCATGCTCCTGGCTGAGCCCTTGCTATTTCTAAGAATTGGCTAGCTCCAGGAGGGGCAGTCTCTCCACAGCCAGAAAAGTTTTTCAAGATGTCAAAACATTATGATACACACAACATTTATACTATAATAGTATTATAAATATTTTTAAATGCATATTTGCCAACTTTATATCCTCTTCAAGGAAGGGTATATTCATGTCATTAACCCTTTTTAGAATTGTGGTTTTATTTTCGTATTATTGAGTTTGGGAAGTTATATATTCTGGGGATAGGTGTGGTGACTCACACCTGTAATCCCAGCATTTTGGGGGGCTGAGGCAGGAGGATTATTTGAGGCCAAGAGTTGAAGACCTCTCTGGACAACATAGTGAGACCCCATCTTTACCAAAAATAAAATACAAAAAGTTTATGTATACTTGTTAAAAGCAATTGTTTTTTATATATATTTATATATATGTATATATATTATATGTATATATACATATATACACATATGTATTATATATGTATATATGTCTGTATATATGTATATATGTGTATATATGTATATATGTATTATATATTTATACTTATTTATATAATATTTATATATACATATATTTAATATACTAATATATAATATACAAATATATAATATTTACATATATATATAGTTTTGCTAATATTCCTAATGTGTAGTTTATCTTTTCATTTCCTTAATAGGATATTTTGCAAAATCAACATTTTTAATTTAGATGAAGTCTAATTTTTCCAAGTGTATTTTTAAATTGACAAATAATTATATATATTTATGGCACATAGTGATGTTTTGATACATATAATGTATAGTAATCATGTCAGGGTAATTAGCATGCCTATTGTCTCAAACATGTATCATTTATTTGTGTTAGGAACATTTAATATCTTTCTTCTAGCTATTTGAAACTATATATTGTTATTCACTGTAGTCATCCTACCCTGATAAAGAACACTGCAATTTATTCCTCTTATCTAGCTGTGATGTTATATTCTTTAACAAATCTCTCCTTATTCTTCTGTATTAGTCCATTCTCACACTGCTCTCAAGACATACTGGAGACTGGGCAATTTATAAAGAAAAGAGGTTTAATCAGCTCATGGTTCTGTGGGCTGTACAGGCTCCTGCTTCTGGGGAGGCCTCAGGACACTCACAATTATGGCAGAAGGTGAAGGGGAAGCAGGCATGATCTTCACATGGCCAAAGCAGGACAGAGAGAGAAAGAGAGTAAAGGGGGAGGTGCTATACACTTTCAAACAACCAGATCTCCTGAGAACACTATCACAAGAAAAGCAAGGGGAACCACCCCAATGATTCAATCACCTCCCATGCAGCCTCTCCTCCAAAACTGGGAATTACAATTCAACATGATATTTGGACGGGGACATGCAGCCAAACCATATCACCTTTCCTTCTTATTACTCTTCCCAGCCTCTAGTATCCTCTGTTCTATTTTTTAGTTCTATGAGGTCACCATTTTTTTCTGAGGCAGAATCTCACTCTGTTGCCCAGGCTGTAGTGCAGTGGTACAATCTTGGCTCACTGCAACCTCTGCTTCCCAGATTCAAGCAATTCTCCTGTCTCAGCCTCCTGAGTAGCTGGGACTACAAGCACGCACCACCACACCCGACTAATTTTTCTATTTTCAGTAGAGATGGGGTTTTGCCATGTTGGCCAGGCTGTTCTTGAACTCTAGACCTCAAGTGATCCACCCGCCTTGGCCTCCCAAAGTGCTGGGATTACAGGTGTGAGCCACTGCACCCAGCCAATCACCATTCTTTAGCCTCCACATATGAGTGAATGCAATGTTTAAGTATCTGCTCCTGGCTCATTTCACTTAACATAATGTCCTCCAGTTCCATCCATGTTACTGTGAATGACAGGATTTCATTTCATTTCAGAGCTGAGTAGTATTACATTGTGTATATATATCACATTTTCTTTACCCACTCATTTGTTTTTGGACACTAGTTTTACTCCATATCTTAGCTATTACAGTGTTGCAATAAAAATGGGGGTACAGATGTCTATTCAACATAACAATTTCCTGTCCTTTTGATATATTCCCAGTTGTACAATTTCTGACTCATCTGGTGGCTCTAGTTGTTTTTTTAAGGAACCTTGTATTGTTCTTTTTAGTGGTTGTACTAGTTTACATTCCAGCATGAATAAGAGTTCCCCTTTCTCTGCATCCTTGCCAGCACTTGTGACTTTTTGTCTTTGTAATAATAGCCTTCCTAACTTTAACTTAGGTCTGTATTGTCTAATATAAGTATAGCTACTCTTGTTTACCTTTGGTTTCCGTTTACATAGAATATCTTTTTCCATCCCTTAACTTTCAGTCTATGTATGTCTTTTCAGTAAGGTGAGTTTATTTTATGATTATACTTTAAGTTCTTGGGTACATGTGCAGAACGTGCAGTTTTGTTACATAGGTATACACGTGCCATGGTGGTTTACTGCACCCATCAACCCGTCATCTACATTAGGTATTTCTCCTAATGCTATCCCTCCCCTAGCCCCCTACACCACAACAGACCCCGGTGTGTGATGTTCCCCTCCCTGTGTCCATGTGTTCTCATTGTCCAACTCCCACTTATGAGTGAGAACACGCAGTGTTTGGTTTTCTGTTCCTGTGTTAGTTTTTTTAGTTTACTGAGAATGATGGTTTCCAGTTTCATCCATGTCCCTGCAATGGACACGAATGCATCCTTTTTATGGCTGCATAGTATTCCACGGTGTATATGGGCCACATTTTCTTTATCCAGTCTATCATAGATCAGCATTTGGGTTGGTTCCAAGTCTTTGCTATTGTGAACAGTGCCACAGTAAACATAGGCGTGCATGTGTCTTTATGGTAAAATGATTTACAATCCTTTGGGTATATACCCAGTAACAGGATTGCTGGGTCAAATGGTAGTTCTAGTTCTAGACCCTTGAGGAATTGCCACACTGTCTTCCACAATGGTTGAACTAATTTACACTCCTACCAACAACGTAAAAGTGTTCCTATTTCTCCATGTCCTCTCCAGCATCTGCTGTTTCCTGACTTTTTAATGATCGCCATTCTAACTGGCATGAGACGGTATCTCATTTTGGTTCTGATTTGCATTTCTCTAATGACCAGTGATGATGATCTTTTTTTCATATGTTTGTTGGCTGCATAAATGTCCTCTTTTGAGAAGTGTTGGTTCATATACTTTGCCCACTTTTTGATGTTTTTTCTTTTTTGTAAATTCCTTTGTTGATTCTGGATATTAGTCCTTTGCCAGATAGATAGATTGCAAAAATTTTCTCCCATTCAGCAGGTTGCCTGTTCACTCTGATGACAGTTTCTTTTGCTGTGCAGAAGCTCTTTAGTTTAATTAGATCCCATTTGTCAATTGTGACTTTTGTTGTCATTGTTTTTGGTGTCTTAGACATGAAGTCTTTGCCCATGCCTATGTCCTGCATGGTATTCAGAGTTGTTCCTCTCCATGGAAATCTTTAGTAAAAGGCAAACGATTCATACAATCTGAAGAGAAACCACAGTATGTGAGTTTCTCATAAACAGCATATAGTTAGGCCTCATTGTTGTTGTTTTTAATCTATTAACCCAGTTTTTATCTTCTAAATGGGAAATTTAATCCATTTACATTCAAGGTTACTATTGATAAGTAAGACTTACTCCTGTCACTTCATTGTTTTCTGGTTGTTTTATATAAATTTTTGTTTCTTACTTCCCATCTTATTTTTGCAATTTGGGTGGTTTTAAGTAGCCATAAGGTTTGATTCCTTTCTCCTTTGAGTATCAACTGTACCAGTGAGTTTTATAGTTTTTGCACATTTTCATAATGGTGATCATCTTTTCACTTCCAGATGTAAGATTACCTTGAACATTTCTTCTAAGGCTGGTCTAGCGGTGATAAATTCCCTTAGTCTTTGTCTGTGAAATATTTTATTTCTCTTTCATTTCTGAAGTATAATCTTTCTGAGTATAATAATTGCATTGCTAGGTTTTTTTCAGTACTTTGAATATATCATCTTATTCTCTCCTGCCCTATAAAGTTTCTGCTGCAAAATTCAGTGTAAGTCTAATGATGATTCTTTCATAAGTGACTTGATGCTTTTCTCTTGCTGCTTTTACAATTCTTTCATAATCTTTGACTTTTGACAATTTGAGTACATTGCGCCTCAGAGAGGACTTGTTTGAGTTGAGTCTATTTGGGGTTCTTTTAGCTTCTTAGGTCTGGATGTTCACCTTTCTCCCAAGACTTGAGAAGCTTTCTGCTATTTTTTTAATTAAATATGTTTTCCTCATTTTTTCTCTTCTCTTCTTCTTCTGAAATGCTAATAGGAATATTTGTCCTGTAAATCCCAAAGGCTTTCTTCATTCTATTTTATTCTTTACTCTTTTGTTTTTGTTTTCCTGTGTAATTTCAAAAGACCTATCCTCAAGCAGGCGGATCATAAGGTCAGGAGATCGAGATCATCCTGGCTAACATGGTGAAACCCGGTCTCTACTAAAAAATACAAGAAATTAGCCAAGTATGGTGGTGGGCACCTGTGGTCCCAGCTACTTGTGAGGCTGAGGCAGGAGAATGGCATGAACCCAGGAGGCAGAGCTTGCAAGTGAGCCGAGATCGTGTCACTGCACTCCAGCCTGGGCGACAGAGCAAGACTCCATCTCAAAACAAACAAACAAACAAACAAAAGCTAATTTGGTGTTGAAGTTATTTTTTGTTACATTAAATTTTTCAGCTCCAAGATTTCTGATTATTAAATGATATTTATCATTTTATTGGATTTCTCAAAATTTTTTTTCTGATTTTATTGAATTGTCTATTGGTATTTTCTTGTATCTCACTGAGTTTCTTAAAGATTATTATTTTGAACTTTTCCTGGCATTTTATATATTTATGATACCAGTCTTTGGTTTTTTTTTTTTTTTTTTGGAAATGGCATGTTTCTTTGAGTTGTCATGGTTGGTGTATCCTTATGTTGATTTCTATGTATCAAGTCATCTTTTCTAATTATATATGGTTTTGTAGGAAATGATTTAATTGTATGAATAAGTCTTGGGATATCATTTTGTGGGGTATGTTGGCCTTGGTTCTAGGTAGACATAGTAGTGTAGTCTTCATGTTGAATCTTCAGTTGTAATCCACGCTAGAGGTCTTTTTGAGTTTCTCAGTGGCTTAGACTGAGTGATCTTGTGGCAATGGTGGTGTGGTTTTGCCAGGAATGGATTTTCAGGCTGTTTCTAAAATCAGGAATGTGTGAGTACACATGGTAGGTTGGCCAACTTGAGGTATGGATTACTGGAGTTACAGCCATGGGACTGTTCATGAGCCTGTGGTTGCTAGGTCAGCCTGGGTGTTTGCCTGACAGGAGTGGCTGGTAAGGCCATTTCCTCAGAGGTGGGACACAAGTGTAAGGCTGCTCAACCATCGTAGGGGGCATGCCTGCTGCAGCAGCCCACAGAGCTGTTTCTCAGGCCTGGGACAGAGTTACATGGCTGCACAGTTGGCCAGGGTGTGTGTTTGCTGGAGATGGTCTATGGGCCATTTCTCTGGCTCAGGACATAAGCAAACAGCCGCTTAGCTGGGCAGGTGACATGTCGGTTAGTGGCAGCTCACAGGGCTGCCTCTCAAACTCTAGATGTGGATCCAAGGCTACTTAGCCAGGCTGGGGATATGGCTGCTAGGAGTACCCTGTGGAACTGTTTATAAGCCCTTATTGGAAGTGCAGGGCTATTAAGCAGACCAGGAACATGTCTGTGAGGAGTAGGGAGGCTGCTGGGCTGTTACTCAGGTCCCAAGCACAGGCTCGTAGCCACATTGGCTCAGGGGCATATCAGCTGCTGTAGGCTCAGAGACCTCCCCCACTTAAGGGAGGGCACATAGTATTTGGCCAACTTAAGGGTGTATTTGCCCTGGGTGAGACTGTTGGACTGTTCTACTGGCTGACAGTGTGGCAGTGGGATTTGGTTTCCATAATGTGCAGGACAAGAGTCATAGCCAATCCTGGGCTTAAGGCTGTAGAAGCTGGCCTCACAGGGGATGAGTTGGAGGTGGGGAGTTAACACCTTGTGCTCCTAATTTAGGGAAATGCAGCTCTATGAATTTCTAACAGGACTCCAAACTGGGCCCAAGACTTTGCAAGGACTGTGAAAGTATCCTGTGATAAGAATTGTAGAATTATTTTGTAGTAAGGATTATAGCTGTTTGTGGTGGGAATCAGGATGGTGGTTGTCTTCTGCTTACATTTCCACACAGTGGGAAATCCCTCCTACTTCCAGGCTGATCCAATCCAGGCAGGGGAGACAGGACTGCATAGGCTGAGTGCCTTCATGCTGGCTTCCTCGGCTTTCAATCACCAGAGGTGTATCTGCACTTCCCCACTACACTGCAACTCTCTCCCTTTGACACTTGAGTCACATCTTAGCTCTATTTGTTGTTTTGGTCTACTCTTGTGGGAATCCAATGTATACATTTTTATTTCATGAATAGTGCTGTGTGTCATGTCTAAGAATTCATTACAAAACTCAATGTCAAATACATTTTCTCTGTTGTTTTTCTTAAAACGTTTATAGTTATAGTCTTACACTGACATTTAAGCCAATAATCCCTTTTGAGTTTATTTTTGTATAAGCTGTAAGATTTAGATCAAGATTTGTTCTGTTTTATTACCCTGTTTTTTGTTTTATTGCCTATGGATATTTAATTGTTCTAGCATCATTTATCAAAAAAGCTCTTCATTGAATTGATTTTGTAGTTTGGTCAACGATAAATTATCTGTATATCTATGAATCTATTTCTGGACTCTTTATTCTGTTTCATTGAGCTATCTGTCTATTATTATGCCAATATCACACTGTCTTGATTATATGGTTTTATAATAAATCTTAAAATTGGGTAACTTTTTCAAAATTGTTTGCTATTTTACTTGTCTTTGAATATACATTTCAGATTATCAATATCTACCAAATATCCGCTTATCAATATCTACCAATATAAAATCCTGCTGAAATTTTTTTGATATTGAGTTAAATTTATAAATAATTTTTGGAGAAGTCTCTGCTTTCCTGTGACAATTCTTCACTCATGATGATTCTCCAATTCATGAACATGGTATGCCTCTCCACTTATTTAGATTTTTAAAATTACTTTCGTCAGTGTTTTGTAGTTTTCAGCATATAGAGCTGAAAACTATATTGTTTTCATACATAGCTAAATATTTCATCAGTTTTGTTATTCGAAATGATATAATTTTAATTTTGGTTTCCAAATATACATTGTTAGTGTAGAAATACCCAGTTGTTTTTGTGCTTTATCTCATGACTTTTCTGAACTCACCTGTTAGTTCTAGGGTTATATTGTTTTCATTTGTAGAGTCATACTATCTACTATGTTTTTTTTCTTCCTTTTATATGTCTGCCTTTTATTTCCTGACTTATTGCATAGGCTAAGACTTCTAGCTCAATTTTGAGTGAAGTTGAAATAAGTTTATGTCTTTGACCAAATTTAAAATTGGAAGCAAAAAAGGACACCAGTTGGACTTTTGGCTTCGTGGAGCATTCAGAACATACCAACATGGCATGGCTACTCCCAGAAACCTGTACCCCTGGGGTCCCCTAGAGGCCAATAATGGAGAGCATATAGTGTAAATGACTTCTGCTGCCACAAACCACCTTTAACACTGTTAAATAGAGGCAATACCATATTTAGAACACAAGCAAGCAAAAGCACAAGAGCTTGTGCCAATGGTCAATGGTATATTCTTCATAGCCCAGAGCCTTAAAATCTTTCTGTGTTTGATGTGAGCAAGAGCAAGAGCAAATCAGGGCGTTATAACTATTCTAGAAGCACAATCTCATGTAATCTTGTAAGGGAAATAGCACTATGGTCAGAAGGAACATTCTACTTACCAAGTCACTTTCCTGAAATCAGACCAGCACTATGAATCCTTGGGATAATTTCACAGTCAACAGCCCAGAATTACTTGGGGTATGTGGTCAAACCCCTATGAGGGTAGAGGGTTGGAGAGTGCCTGCAGAGGGAAAGGGCCAGAACCCATTATGGGTTTTGGTCCAGGATGAAGCACCCTGCCTCGACAGTACTGCTGCATTGGCTGGTCCTGGGCATCATAGAAGACTCCAAAGTTCAAGGGATTCTGAGGCACAGGTCCTGAGTCTCAGGATTTCTTTTGCTTGAGCTTAAAGGTGGTACTGCTTCTGTGTTTGAGAGTCCAAGCAGGATAACACATACACAATGTGGAAGTCGTGGTTCCCATGGGAAATTAAAGAGATTTTTCCAAAGCAAAGAGAAAGGTATGCTTGGCTGTCATAAACAATAGATGTCAACTGAAAATGCTTATGATTTTGTAATAATAATAGCGAAATCCCTATAATGAAAGCTAACACGGTGTACTTAGTCTATGCCAGGTACTTTTCTAAACATTTTTTATATATTAACTCATTTGGCCTTCAAAACAACATAATGAGGGAAACATTGCCTATTTTCACAGCTAAATAAATACAAACATAGGGAAGTAAATTATTTACTCAACGTCACAGAGCAACCAAAGAGTAGAGCTAGGATTTGAACCCAGGTCACCAAGCACCAGGATATCAACCATTAAACTTTATTCTATATTGCTCAATGGAAGTTTAAAGATAAGAGGAAAAAAGACTTCAAAGCATTAGGTGATTCCATTATACCAGGTTTTTTCATTTACTGAAAAAGTTCTAAAACCATCATTTGATAGATTAAAAGTAAATTCATGTAATCTTCCAGCACTCGCTTTCATTGAAGGCTGGAAGATTACCTACATACACACAAGCACAGAAACACAATTTTTAATAACTCAACATGTGAAATTGGGATTTTAAAGTCTACTTTCTAAAAGTCCACTGTGTTCTCCAAAATTCTGGGCATCAGTGCTGGTGTTATCAAGTAATGTCTTTTTTATTAAAAAATTAGACCTTTCTGAAAGCAAGTGATATTATTGATACAACAGAAGTTCAAGTTCCTCGTGAACATATTGTACAGAATCACATAATTGGACATTTAGTCAAGCAGAGAAGGTAGATGGTAATGGTAAAATCAAATACTACCATTATCTGAATGCCTGTAAACCCAGGCATTTCAAAATGAAAATAATTTACCAGTCTCCAGAAGGACAAAGAAAAGGAAGCCTCAAAAATAGAGTGTAATAGCTGAGATATGAGTACCCTTGAAAGGTCGTAGCAATAATTAAGGTTCAGTTCAACTATAGCATATGCTAAGGACACACAAAAAATAATGTCAATTAAGAAACGTTTATTGGATTGGCCTCTAAAACAGATGCCCCAAAGCATAACTGATACAAGAATATAACCTATTATCTCTAATCTTCCTAGCAGCAAGTATTCATTATAATTATGACCTAAATTTTGTACTCACTAGCCCAATTAAAAATTATTTTCATGTGAACAGCATCAATACTCTTGCCCTTGATCCAAAAGCTTAATAATAATTTAAAACAAATTTGTTCTTTTCTTTAAAAGCTATTCACCTTCATGGCCTTTCAAGACCATTATATAATGTATCATTATATTCAGCTTATTCTATTATGATTGGCATTATAACAGAAACCACAGCAGAATCTCCGAAGACCTTTAGTAAATCTGCTTACTTGCAATGAAATATTAAAAAACTCTCAGTGCCAAAAAATCTTCTCAAATCATTTCCATATCCATGTAAATCTTCTCATTTGTACCCACTCATACGTGTCTTGGAGGACAGAGTCAGCAAATGTTTAGAAAATAAATGTAAGAGAATTGCAGTGCAGATGGAGATAGACCAAAAGTGGAAGAATAGCATTATGTTGAAAAGCACATTTTAATATACGACTATGGAAACTTATCTGGCCCAAAAAAGGGAAGAAAGATTGCAGTGATTTTGACTTTTCTGTTACTTCTCTAATATTTCACAATAGGAAAGACTTCTTGAAGTTGGGAAGCAAGAGATCTCATTTTTGAAAAGGAGAGTAGATTGTTTGCACAGGAAGCGTTTTCTATAGCTCTGACGGAATTTAAGGTAACCATATAGTCAGGTTGTGTTTTCATAATTTGGAGTTTCTCATCTCATCAACGTCACCAAATTGGCATTCCTATTTGTTTTCTGGAAGGAAGGAAGGAAGGAAGGAAAGAAGGAAGGAAGGAAGGAAGGAAGGAAGGAAGGAAGGAAGGAAGGAAGTCCCTAGTCTTCAATGAGTCCGTAGTCTTAAGAATTCAGCAAAATGAAAGAGGAAAAGTTTTATAGTAAATTATATTTACATAAAATACACATAATTAAAAGAAAATGTGCTAGAATAAAAGCAAGAGGGAGGTTAGGAAGAAAGGTTAGATAAGCAAGAGACATAGAAGAAATCTATGGTATCAGGAGTAAATAAATATTAGAACTGTCAGGTTGAAGATATTGAATGAATTCCCTGAGTTAATTAGTAAACATTAAAGAAACAAAAGAAGAACGAACCATCTTGAGCATCAAGACTCCCAGAAGAACAGAACTGTTTAGGCATTCATTCAGCTCACAGTAAGCAAATATTTAATACTTTTTATGTGACAGACCCTGTGCTAGATACCGAAAATTGAAGAATAGGAAGGACAGTCTCTCCTCTGAAGATCTGATAGGCCAGACTTTGAGTCTTTTTGATATTCAGAAGAGCTGTTTGATTCTAGATGGTTCAGCCAAATATGGAAGAGACATGAGAGAAACAATGAGATAAGGAATTAACTGCAAAATGGAACCCATTCTGAGCACAGTTGCCCAAAAGACCCTGTGAAGGATAAATCAAATCATGGCACTTCTTTGCTCTAAAATCTTCAATAGAGTCATCACTTTTTTAGAGCAAAATGTCCTTAAAGACCTATAGAGCAGGTCTGGGGGCTGTGGCTTATACCTGTAATCACAGCACTTTGGGAGGCTGAGGTGGGTGGATCACTTGAGGTCAGGAGCTGAAGACCAGCCTGGTCAACATGGTAAAAGCCCATCTCTACTAAACATACAAAAATTAGCTGGGTGTGGTGGTTCACACATGTAGTCCCAGCTACTCAGGAGGCTGAGGTGGGAGGATCACTTGAACCCTGGAAGCAGAGGTTTCAGTAAGCCAAGATAGCACCTCTGCACTCCAGCCTGAGTGACAGAGCAAGAATCTGTCTTAAAAAATAAAAATAAAGAAATAAAAGACCTGTAAGGCAATAGCAATACCCGCTACTGTCTGATCCTCTGTTATCCCTGTGGCTGCAACTATTACTAATCTTCCATTCCCTCACTCAGTCTCTACCATGCTGGAGGGACTACACACTGCTGCCTCCTCTTCCTCTGGCTGGAATGCTTCTCCCTCAGCTAGCCCCAGGCCTTACTCCTTCCACTTCCTCAGGTCTTGGCTTAAATGTCACATCTCAATATGGCATTCCCTGACCAGCCTATTATCAACATGATATCCCAATGACCAGCATGTCCGATCCCTCTTACTATTCTCTATTTTGCCCATTGCAGATATCTTCTACCCCATTACATACATCTACTTATCTCACATTCATTTATCTAGCTTCTGTCACTGGAATAGGAGCCTCAAGAGAACAAAGGACTTTTTGTTTTTCTTCACTGTTTTACCTGCAGCACTTAGAACAGTTGTTGAAACAGATTATGCCTTTCATAAATATCTGTTGAAACAAGGAATGAATGTTGAAAGAATAGACATGTATGAAAACTCCTTTTGGTGTGTTTCATGTTGAGAAAACAGTTATAGATTTTGAAATGGGAGAGTTCCCTGATTCCCCTTGCAGGATGTGTGACAGGGGTGTCACTTGCCTGTTGGGTCACTCCTGCTGCTCAAACCCCTGAGGGGAGGGGGAGCACACAGACAGGCAGGTGCAGGGGCCGGGGCAAGTGCTTTGGGCTTTGGCCACATGGTAGTATCTAGGGGTGGGTGTCTGCAGCCCCAGTGTTACCATGCTCTCTTAGCCTTGCCATCCGCAGATGGCTTACGTGTTAACCAGCTCAAAGGACCTTCTGCCTTTTTGCAAAGGCAGAGGGACAGTGTGACACCTTTCTGTTTCCTGAGTTCTTGCCCAGTGTCCCAGAAAAATCAGATCACACATGGGTTTGAAGGATGCATGTGGCTCTCAGCGGGATGGATGGGGAACCAGAAGAGGGGATGGAGTGGAAAGATGATCTTCCCCTGGAGTTTAGCCAACCAGAGGCTAAACTACTCTCTAACCACCCCCAGCCAAACTTTTCTCAGAGCTCAGACATTCCTCTTCTTTCTCTGCTGTGTCATTCCACCATCCATCTGCTTGTCTTGTCTCCTCGCCTGCGCATCTGCTTCTGGAGCCTCGGGTTCAGGATTTATATGGGTGCAGGATCAGGGTGTATGGCAGGTCAAAAGACAACTTTTTTGGGCACGAAAATAGAAATGCCTGTTCCCACCTAGGGCCACGGGTCTCTAGGCTTGAGGGTGAGGCTTTGGCCAGGGAGCTGGCTTCTTCTACCCAGAATTTCCCTGTATCCTGTTCCTATCAATTTCAATACTAAATAAGTACTATTTATAAGAATTAAGTGAAATTTTCTTTCTAGAGATCCACAGAGTTAAAAAAAAAAACTGGCTGCTTTAAGTGGCATAGATAAGTACTTATCTACAGCAAAACATGGAACAACCAGACAATTTCACAGAATTGTTTTATTCTTCTTCTGATTTAAGATAAAGAACAATTGGGTAAGAAGTGGATATTGCACTCTTCAATGATCACACCTTTTGAAGAGTACCTTTCTACACTAGGTACTTGCATGTAAGGGGATGCCATCAGAGATTGTTCCATTTAAACATATGCAGCCCATACAATGCTCTATTGTTTTATTACATTACTTAAATTCTCCACTTATTTTTGTTTATTATACTTTAAGTTCTGTGATACAGGTGCAGAACGTGCAGTTTGTTACATAGGTATACACGTGCCATGGTGGTTTGCTGCACCCATCAACCTGTCATCTACATTAGTTATTTCCCCTAATGCTATCCCTCCGCTAGTCCCCCACCCCCCAACAGACTCAGGTGTGTGATGTTCCACTCCCTGTGTCCATGTGTTCTCATTGTTCAATTCCTACATATGAGTGAGAACATGCGGTGTTTGGTTTTCTGTTCCTGTGTTGGTTTGCTGAGAATGATGGTTTCCAGCTTCATCCATGTCCTTACAAAGGACATAAACTCATCCTTTTTATGGCTGCATAGTATTCCATGGTATATATGTGCCACATTTTCTTTATCCAATCTATCATAGATGTACATTTGGGTTGGTTCCAAGTCTTTGCTATTGTGAATAGTGCTGCAATAAACAGACATGTGCATGTGTCTTTATAATAGAATGATTTATAATCCTTCAAGTATATACCCAGCAATAGGATTGCTGGGTCAAATGGTATTTCTGGTGCTAGATCCTTGAGGAATTGCCACATTGTCTTCCATAATGGTTGAACTAATTTACACTCCCAGAAACAGCGTAAAAGCTTTTCTATTTCTCCACATCCTCTCCAGCATCTGTTGTTTCCTGACTTTTTAATGATCGCCATTCTAACTGGCATGAGATGGTATCTCACTGTGGTTTTGATTTGCATTTCTCTAATGACCAGTGATGATGAGCTTTTTTTTCATAAGTTTGTTGGCCGCATACATGTCTTCTTTTGAGAAGTGTCTGTTCATATCCTTTGCCCACCTTTTGATGGGGTTGTTTTTTTCTCCTAAATTCGTTTAAATTCCTTGTAGATTCTGGGTATTGGCCCTTTGCCAGATGGATAGATTGCAAAAATCTTCTCCCATTCTGTAGGTTGCCTATTCACTCTGATGATAGTTTCTTTTGCTGTGCAGAAGTTCTTTAGTTTAATTAGATCCCATTTGTCAATTGTGGCTTTTGTTGCCATTATTTTTGGTATTTTAGTCATGAAGTCTTTGCCCATGCCTGTGTCCTGAATGGTATTGCATAGTTTTTCTTCTAGGGTTTTTATGGTTTTAGGTATTATGTTTAAGTCTTTACTCCATCTTGACGTTTTTTTTTGTATAAGGTGTAAGGAAGGGATCTAGTTTATTTTCTGCATATGGCTAGCCAGTTTTCCCAACACATTTATTAAATAGGGAATCCTTTTCCCATTGTTTTTTTTTTTTTTTTTTTTTGTCAGGTTTGTCAAAGATCAGCTGGTGGTAGATGTATGACATTATTTCTGAGGCCTCTGTTCTGTTCCATTGGTCTATATATTTGTTTTTGGTACCAGTACCATGCAGTTTTGGTTACTGTAGCCTTGTAGCATAGTTTGCAGTCAGGTAGCATGATGCCTCCAGCTTTGTTCTTTTTGCTGAGGATTTGGCTATATGGGATCTTTTTTCATTCCATATGAAATTTAAAGTAGTTTTTTCTAATTCTGTGAAGAAAGTCAATGATAGCTTGATGGGGCTAGCACTGAACCTATGAATTACTTTGGGCAGTATGGCCATTTTCACAATATTGATTCTTCCTATCCATGAGCACGGAATGTTTTTCCATTTGTTTGTGTCCTCTCTTATTTCCTTGAGCAGTGGTTTCTTTAAAGAGGTCCTTCACATCCCTTGTAAGTTGGATTCCTAGGTATTTTATTCTCTTTGTAGCAATCGTGAATGGGAGTTCACTTATGATTTGGCTATTATTGGTGTATAGGAATGCTTGTGATTTTGGCACATTGATTTTGTATCCTGAGACTTTGCTAAAGTTGCTTATCAGCTTAAGGAGATTTTGGGCTGAGACAATGGGGTTTTCTAAATATACAATCATGTCATCTGCAAACAGCAACAATTTGACTTCCTCTCTTCCTACTTGAATATCCTTTATTTATTTCTATTGCCTGACGGCCCTGGCCAGAACTTCCAATACTGTGTTTAATAGGAGTGGTGAGAGAGGGCATCCCTGTCTTGTGCCAGTTTTCAAAGGGAATGCTTCCAGCTTTTGTACATTCAGTATGATATTGGCTGTGGTTCTGTCATAAATAGCTCTTGTTATTTTGAGATACATTCCATCATTACCTAGTTTGAGAGTTTATAGCATGAAGGGGTGTTGAATTTTATTGCAGGCCTTTTCTGCATCTATCGAGATAATCATGTAGGTTTTTTTGTTGGTTCTGTTTATGTGATGGATTATGTTTATTGATTTGCATATGTCGAACCAGACTTGCATCCCAAGGATGGAGCTGACTTGATCATGGTGGATAAGCTTTTTGATGTGCTGCTGGATTCAGTTTGCCAGTATTTTATTGAGAATTCTCACATCAATGTTCATCAGGGATATTGGCCTGAAATTTTTTTTGTTGTTGTGCCTCTGCCAGGTTTTGGTATCAGGATGATGCTGGCTTCATGAGTTTGGGAGAAGCCCCTCTTTTTCTATTGTTTGGAGTAGTTTCAGAAGGAATAGTACCAGCTCCTCTTACCTCTGGTAGAATTCAGCTGTGAATCCATTTGGTCCTGGGCTTTTTTTGGTTGATAGGCTATTAATTACTGCCTTAATTTCAGAACTTGTTATTGGTCTATTCTGGGATTTGACTTCTTCCTGGATTAGTCTTGGGAGGGTGTATATGTCCAGGAATTTATCCATTTATTCTAGATTTTCTAGTTTATTTGCATAGAGGTATTTGTAATATTCTCTGATGGTAGTTTGTATTTCTGTGGGATCAGTGGTGATATCCCCTTTATCATTTTTTATTGTGTCAATTTGATTCTTCTCTCATTTTATTAGTCTAGCTAACAGTCTATATATTTTGTTAATCTTTTCAAAAAACCAGCTCCTGGATCCACTGATTTTTTTGAAGGGTTTTTTGTGTCTCTATCTCCTTCAGTTCTGCTCTGATCATAGTTATTTCTTGTCTTTTGCTAGCTTTTGAATTTGTTTGCTCTTGCTTCTCTAGTTCTTTTAATTGTGATGTTAGAGTATCAATTTTAAATCTTTACCACTTTCTTTTGGGGCAGTTAGTGCTATAAATTTCCCTCCACGCACGGCTTTAGCTGTGTCCCAGAGATTCTGGTATGTTGTATCTTTGTTCTCATTGGTTTCAAGGAACTTATTTATTTCTGCCTTAATTTTACTATTTACCCAGTAGTCATTCAGGAGCAGGTTATTCAGTTTCCATGTAGTTGTGCAGTTTTGTGTGGTTTTTTTTTTTTTTTTTTTGAGACTGAGTCTCACTCTGATACCCAAGCTGGAGTACAGTGGCACAATCTTCACCCACTGCAAGCTCTGCCTCCCAGGTTCATGCCATTCTCCTCCCTCAGCCTCCTGAGTAGCTGGGACTACAGGTGCCCACCACCACACCTGACTAATTTTTTTGTAATTTTAGTAGAGATGGGGTTTCGCCGTATTAGCCAGGATGGTCTCGATCTCCTGACCTAGTGATCCGCCTGCCTTGGACTCCCAAAGTGCTGGGATTACAGGCATGAGCCACCGCGCCAGGCCTTGTGTGAGTTTCTTAATCCTGAGTTCTAATTTGATTGCACTGTTGTCTGAGAGACTTATGATTTCCGTTCTTTTGCATTTGCTGAGGAGTGTTTTACTTCCAATTATGTGATCAATTTTAGAATAAGTGTGATGAGGTGCTGAAAATAATGTATATTCTGTTGATTTGGGGTAGAGAGTTCTGTAGATGTCTATTAGGTCTGCTTGTTCCAGAGCTGAATATCCTTGTTAATTTTCTGTCTCATTGATCTAATATTTACAGTGGGGTGTTAAAGGCTCCCACTATTATTGTTTGGGAGTCTACAGCTAAATGCCCCAATTACAAGACACAGACTGGCAAATTGGATAAAGAGTCAAGACCCATTGGTGTACTGTATTCAGGAGACCCATCTTATGTGCAAAGACACACATAGGCTCAAAATAAAGGGATGGAGGTATATTTCCCCAGCAAATAGAAAGAAAAAATAAAAAAGCAGGGGTCACAATCCTAGTCTCTGACAAAACAGACTTTAAACCAACAAAGATCAAAAGAGACAAAGAAGAACATTACATAATGGTAAAAGGATCAATGCGGCAAGAATAGCTAATTATCCTAAATATATACGCACCCAATACCGGAACACCCAGATTCATAAAGGAAGTTCTTAGAGACCTACAAAGAGACTTAGTCTCCACCTATTTTAATGAAATCTTCTATTCAGAGAACAGGCATAATTAAAGTTATTATCAGTCTAATACCAATTTATTTATCTTGTCTTGAATACAGTATGACATCATTAAAAAAGGACTTGGAGGTACACAGACAAGAGATGTAATTTCAGCTCTTCTATATTCAGGATATCTGGCCTTGAACAAATCATTGAACAGCTTCAAGTCTTCATTTTCTTTCTATTAAATGGAGAGGATGGGTAGTAATACTTGTTTTGAGGTGTTGTGGGGAATAAGCTAATACGTGTAAAGTGTTGTCACAGTGTTTGGGACAGAAACATTTAAAATGTTAATAGCTACAATTAAGAACTCTCTATGACCCAAGTACTTTCGTATCAAATGACTTCCATATATTATCTCCTTTTATCAAAATCCTATGAGGTAGAAGATATTATGATCCTCATTTCACAGATGGAAAATCAAGACACACTGGGATTAAGTGATTTGCCTACACATTACATGGGCAGAAAGCAGAAGTGTGGGGATAGAAACTCTAATCTGATCCCAGAAGTAGAAGATATAAACACAAGTGTTTATGTGCTCCATATGCCACTATGCTAGCTCCATCACCCTTGGATTCCAGAAAAACATACTTGTCTTGAATTTTGCTCCAAAATAGATTGTATTATAGGAGGACTCCAATATATCACCTATTCCCCAAACTGTTGAACACAACATGTTCAACTTCACCTGATTGTTCTTTCTAAATCATTCCTCTCTGCCCTTTAGCATCTTTTCCAGAAAGGAGGGTACTCAGAGAGCTCTTTTTCTCACCAATTTTTGTTTACCATCCTTTTCCCAAAACCACACATATTTGGTATCTTTACCCAAAAGGGTTGCCCTCTGGCCTGGTTCATTATTTTGCTTCCTCCTTTCTCAGTCACTCCCTATAGCGTTTGGTGACAACTTCCAGGTACAGGAATTCTCTGAAATAAAGCCATGGTTTCAGGAGAGGTTTGTAGGGTCTCTAGTTCTACCCAAGCAAAGTAGCTTCTGTTTCTAAATTCAGCCTCCCAGTGCTCATGAAGCAGGAAAAATAACACTGTAAAATTTAGTATGGTGGCTATAGTGATAATCACAGGTATAGTCTTACATCAGTTTCAAACAAAAGGGGATAAGCAGGAGGCCTGAGGCATTTTTCAGACAAGAAGCCAAAGAACACACAAACCAGAGAGCTGTAGATATCTAAAACTGTAGTTCTGCTTGTCTGCATGAGGCAAATATTTGAATAATGATCGCTGGATGGAAAGTCTACACACACATGCGCACACATCACAAAGTCAAAAAAAAGTTGAAAATGCTCAATAAGCTCTGCCGAGCAGTTAGAAGGAGACACTGGATTTTAAAAAAAGAAAAGACAGTCCACTCTGGTACACAGTGTAAATACAGGTGTTCTCAAAGGGCCCCATATTTCTTTGAAGCTTCACACAGCAAAGAAATTTTTCCACAGATAGTTCAAACACAGCTAAAACCAAAAACAAAAGTGAAGAACAAAGAGGAAGGATGGGCTGACAGAGGGTTACAGTTCCAAACTGAAGAATAGTCCTAAATATACAATTCATTAAGCTCTTACTAGGTATCAGCCACTCTTTGACGCTCTGTTCATAATCTTAAAACAACTCTCCAAGAAAGGAATTATTATCAACTTCACAGAGCTTAAAAAATTGAAGTACATGTCTATCCTGCTTTGCAAAGAAAAAAGTAAAAAAAAAATAAATAAAAAGTTAAGATTTTAAAAAATGAAAATTGTGGTACAAACTACTACCTACAAATTATTTCTCATCACAGGATTCAAACCCAGATCTACATAATTTCAAGCCCTCTTTCTTAAGCACTCTTCTGTTCTCGTAAGAAACAGCCTTTACAGCTCCTGCTTCATGGTTGGAATTACTGCCTCAGCTCCACCAGCTCTTGTGGGGAGAAATGAGAAATGAGGGTTCCCATACCAGAAAGAGGCAGCCATACTTAGCAATCTAGAAAACAAGAATGGTCCAATCTGTTGTTTTCAGACACTTTGCTCTTTATAGCCACATAATGTTCAGCTACCATGATCTGTTCAATTCTTTCTGTGCCAGAAATGGGAATTCATTGAAATATGCAATTGAACTTTATTTCTCCCTGTCCCATCAACACACCCTGAATCCTAAAGTAATAAAGTGAAATCTCATGTTAAGTAGGCTTCAGAGTATATGAAAACGTCTGCCTTGGCAAAAGAATCTAACTACAACAAGCACATAAAGAGACAGTTTGTTAGGATGTTAAATTTCCTCCTAGACTATGTTGGAGAACCATGCATGATTACTTGGGGATTTTTGGCATCGTTGGCAAATGTGGAAAGAAGGTTTGTTGCTTGGTTATATATAGAGTGATCATACAATTCATCCAAATTGGAACTCTCTTAAGAAAAGAGAATGCCAATTGGACTACTTGTGGGTTAAACAGGCATTAACTTGGCATTTCCTGGAAAAGCTAGGAATTTTGATCTTGCTGGTTTTTTGTAACTTTACCTCCAAGGAAGGATGAAGAGTTTTAAGCCAAATGAAAAACTTTAGATGCCACCTTGCAAGTTTATTTACAACCCAGGTTGACACTTGGTTTGCTCAAAAGAAGATGATAGCTTGCTCAAATTTGGAGCAAAATCAAATAGAAAAAAAATTCATTGCCATTGACTCCAATTCTTTCAACTCTGCATAGGTGAGACATATATAAAATTCTTTTCTGTACTTATCTGTTCCAAAATTAATAAGGTTTTTTAAAAATTAAAACAGTATTATCCTCTCTCCCCACAACTATGTATAGGAGCCTTACATGATTTTTTCTAAAAATAAGGGTCTTAAAAACAAGTTTAAAAAAAGAAAGTTTTCTTAAAATCAAGGAAGCCAGAGGCCATTATCCTTAGCAAATTAACACAGGAATAGAAAACCAAATACCGCATGTTCTCACTTATAAATGGGAGCTAAATGACGAGAATGCATAGAGGGGAACAGCAGACACTGGGGCCTATTTGAGGGTGAAGGATGGGAGGAAGGAGAGGATCAGGAGAAATAACTAATGAGTAGTAGGCTTAATACCTGGGTGATGAAACAATCTATACAACAAGCCCCTATGACACAAGTTTACCTATGTTACAAACCTGCACATGTATCCCTGAACTTAAAATCAAAGTTAAATTAAAAGAAAAAACCAAGGGTTTCTGTTTTAATTATATTGTCTATTTCCAAACAGCATGATGATTGACATGATAAAAAACCCACACGTTATTGTAAGAATTAATGAGTTAATGATTGAGAGTGGCATTGCCAAATTGAGAGAGACTTGAACTGGTGCACGCTTTATGAAAAAAAGAGACTGCACAGCAAAATTCACAAATACTCCTCTCATCATATCTTAGCTTAATTCATGTTCTTTTTATAAACAGCTGGAAAATTCTGGTATAAAATGCCAAAATTTTATCACATTGCTTAAAGAATCAACCAAATAGATCCATAAAGTCTTCTGGGATTCAGCTAGTAGACCAATTTATTTTATGGCAACAACTGCAATAATTTTCAATGACCACATATAATTCTCATACGTGATTTTCCTACTCCAGCATATTGGGCCCATCTGTGATAATGGCAGGGAGCCCACAAGCAAGGTGGCAGGCTGTCAGCTGTTTGGCATAGGTGCGGAGAGAAGGGATAGGGGAGCAAAGCTGCTAGAACCTTTAGCATTAGCTAAAGACCACCAAGCCATGCCAAGTCCTTCCGTGCCAGCCTGCTCAATCCTGAATCTCTTTGATTCCCTTTGTGACCATTAACACTCAAAAACTGATAAAAACTAGGAAAAAAATGATAAAAGCCAGAAAATAAGAGGACATAAGGAAAGCTAGAGTTGTTCAGCTTGGAGAAGAAACGGAAAAGACATAAAATATGTAGAAATTTCCTGGGTATACAATGAAGGGACTTGACAGAGTGCAATTTCCTCATTCTGCAGCTGAGGAAACTGAGGTCTAGATCGGGGCAGAGACGTGTCTATTTCTAACAGAACTGCTCTGTGCTGGCACTCTGATAACTTTGCACATCTTCACATAAGCTGTATAAATAAAGGTCAACCACAGGCTGACCAAAAATCCTTGTGGAATATCCTGTGACCCTCCAAGTTCAGGGCAAGAACGGCAGTCTTGGGAGGAGCTGCTACAGGCACTGCGTTCTCTTTTGAAGGGAGGCTGCTATAAGGCAGTTTCTCATCTGCCTCCCTCATTCTGGTGAGGTAAGGGGCTCTTCTAATCCACTTAGATAAACTTTAAATCAATCCAAAAATGTTCTGCCGCCCACAAGTGTAACTCCTTTGTGAAAATGCAGTTGGCTACCTAAGACCAAACTCAGAGTAATAATGGTTCATTTTAATTCATTCTAATAAGATAATTTGTATAACTCAGAATTATCCCCAAATGCAATAAATCAATTTATCACCAGAAATATTCAGTCAGAGGCTGGAAGGGCATCAGTCAGAAAGACTGTAGGATAAATTTCTATGCTGGATGAGTTGTTGGACTTAATGACATTTAAGGTTCATTCAATGTCAAAATTGAATATTTTTTAGTATATTTGAGCTGACCCCTGCTTCCTTTCCTGACACTTGGGTGTGTGGGAACTGTCCTCTATCAGAGGTAGAACATCCCCAATTATGGCTCCTGAATATAGGAGAGATGACATGGTAATAGTGAAAAGCAAAGAAGACTAACCAAGGAGCCAGAACACCTGCATTATTCCATGTCACCTCTCTGGACCTCAGTTGTCTCATCAGGAACATGGAAATAATAACAAGACTAGTAATTATATCTGCTTGGTTTTGTTTTCAAGATTATTGTCAAAAACCTTTAAAACTATAAAATGGAGTTTAAAAATAGGGGATTATAATTATATAATTTTCTTAAAAGTCAGTTCAATGGGAAATATGATTTGTGGCTATTAAACTTATTTGCAGGGGTCCAGTCTTCCAAGAAGCAACAAGACCATCTTCCCATATTAAACAATAAACCTGTAATCCCTCAAATCCCATAAATTCTGGGCCTATGAAACATAGCACTTCAGCTAATGCACAGATTATATTTGTCCGAGCAGAAGAATCAACAGGGGAAGGCCACTTTCACTAGCTGATGCAATCTACTGTTAGCTTATTTTCTGAAATTTCTCCAAAACATCTGTAAAAGTAATAAACCAATTATAGGAGCCATCTGGAACACAGCATAGAAGATTATTTTTTAAATTTTACTCTGAATAACTGGCACTGTCATAGATAACATATAACAAGAATCAAGATATTAAGAAAGCCATTATCACTAAGGGAAGGATGACAGAGACTTGTTTAAAGAAATTGTGATTGCTCTTTACCAAGTAAGGTGGAATCACATGACGATCCACTGCTGAAACAGGCTGAGCGTCCATCTTCACTCCTTCCTGAGTCTTAAGTCAGGACTCTCAGCTCATTCTTTATGGGAAGCAGGTCAGTAATGGATAGCTTATGACTATTCAGACACCCTCAGCAAATTACTCATGCTCTTAGGATACAGGACTCATTAATAAAAATAGTGACTTTTTACCACAAACCAATCCCACATGAGCACAGAATATTGAAGAAACACAACAAGAAGAAGGTTTCAAGGCTCAAACAACCCATCCCAGTTCCAACACAAACTTCACCTACCCAATGGCATAGCTGATCCAGAAAAGACAACTAGATACAGAGCCCCCCGGCTCTGATCCAGAAAAGACAACTAGACACATCATCCCCCCGAAGTGGAGAAAAGAAAACAAATGTAAAACCCACAACCCAGAATCTGTCCCCTTTAATCCCAGGACCTGCTCTACCTGTCTACTCTGTCTAGCTTCAATCAAGTCACAATGGAATTGGGTGGTTTAGTGCAAGGTTTTTAGAGTCTGGCAGCCCTGTGCTGAATCTCATGTATGCTATTTTGTAGATTCCAAATCACTGGAAAGCATGTTAACTCTCTAGGCCTCAGTTTTCTCATCTGTAAAATGAGGATTCTTAAAGAAAAATAATCATATTTTAGGTATGAGATTATTCCTAAAAAGGCCATTAGTAAAGCAGCGGGCCAATGGTAGTTCTTACTAGGAGCTCTGTTTCTCCTCTCATCCTCCCCTCGTCTCCCTCATAAATTAACATTAGAATTATTGCTTTGTAGTTTGATTATATCATTATATCCTGATGACTGTCTAATTCCACTGAAACAAAATTGCAAATTATTCCTCCCTTGACATTTTGTCTCCAAAATAAGTAAATACACAATTATTATAAAAGTTATAAAGTAATCAATACAAAATAAGGAAGAAACAAATAATCTCTTTATTTTCCCTAGGCCACTGAGAAAATCCCAGGCCCAGCAGATGGTTCTGGCCTGACTCTGTTTCTTACATTTCATCTGGTCTTAAATAGTTATTGAATAGTCTTAAGATCAGTTTTTCTATCTATAAACTGGTGAAACAAAATGTGTTTTTCACCTTCAGGGTATTTTTTTGAGTGTTAAAAACTTATGGAAACATTCTTTGTAACTTAAAAATGTTCTTCCGTGTCCATAGTCTTTGATGCAGAAATCCTTTTCCTATTATTCTAAAAATATACTTTTAAAAAACATGAAGCTATGAATTCAAAGATATAAACTGTCTTTTAAAATAACAAATATAGCCAGGCATGGTGGCTCATGTCTGTAATCCCAGCTATTCTGGAGGCTGAGGTGAGAGGATCACTTTAGGCCAGGAGTTCAAGACAAGCCTGGGCAATGTAGTGAGACCCCACCTCTAAAAAAAAAAAAAGAAAAAAATAGAAAAAAATTAACCAGACATTGTAGCAAATGCCTGTAGACCCAGCTGCTTGGGAGGCTGAGGCTGGAAGATTACCTGAGTCCAGGAATTTGAGGCTGCAATGAGTTATGATCACACCATTGTACTCCAGCTTGGGAGACAGAGTGAGACTCTATCTCTAGGAGAAAAAAAAAGATTTTATAAAAGTAATAAGTAATTATAATAAAAAAGTTTGATAATTTATTTAATATCTTAATTTATTTTAGATAAGCATAATGAAATATATAACCAAGAAAAGCATATTTTGTGTTCTCTATGAATAAAGGCTCATGATTAAAATGTTAGATTAAAAAGGAGGCACAAAGGTATTACTCTTCAAAAATAATAAAATGTTATGTAAATGGGCAAATATTAATAAGGCATACTTAAAAAAGAAAGTTATATTAGTCATAAGATTTTTTTGCTATAAAAGTGAAGGACAAAATTAAATTTTAAAAGCGTTGTTATTTAAAAATGTTATGTGTGCATGACTGATTGAATCATTAGCCATGTGACTCAATCTCCAGTCATACCTTCCCTGCGACCAGACTGATATCACATGACTCAAAGACCCAGCATTCTAATCACATAGTTGATCTTTATGGCATGATCTGAGTCATATTGTTAGCATGAATGAAGTAATGTGGTCTCAGGGGGCCACCATAAATAACAAAGACCCTGCTATGACTTGGGAACTTTCAAGAATTTAGAGGTTACCTCCCAAGAACCACAGATAAAGGCAAACTGAATTATTTTTTATAGAAGACCTTGACTTAAAATCGCAAAGTTGGCAGAATTGCAGTCCCTGATATATCTCCCTGTAAATCTGATGCTCTTTCTACTGAAATAGTCAATGACAAATTTTGCTGTCATCAGACTCACTTGAGAAACTTTTTAAAAAGTACAAGTTGTTGTACCTTACTCTTAGAGACAGGGACTCAGCTAAGGCCTGAGCATTAGCAGCTTTTAAAGCCCTACATGATTTTAATGCTCAGCCCAGGAGAAAAAGCACTGCACTCAACTAGAATGACATTATGTAGCCCAAACTCTAAAAATGATGCATATCCCTCAGAAAGAATATTCAGTAGGTTACAATTTATAGCTGGCAACTTGGAATATGAACACTTCCTAACAAAAATGTTTCCCACCTAAAAAGACAAGTAATAAGCAACTTGATTCAACTTCACAAGATGAGATCTACCCTGTCATCAGACTCTCATATCAACAATATTTGCAAGTAACAGTAACAGTACATACATATTACACATTTTAGCTCACAATGGGTTTTTATATCCACCACATTGCTTAAGAATCACAACAAAACATAGGTATTTTATGAGAAAATGAGACAACTCGGTCCTAGAATTATCCACATGTCTTACCCAAGATCACACAGCAAATTAGTGTCTCAGTCCAGTACTCATTTGATTATTCTACTCTAATTGCTCCAATGGCATTGTAACTTTGTGGCACCTCTTCAAAATGAAATGAAAGATGGAGAATTCACAGATAACTAATTGAACAAGATAAAAAAATAGATATAATCACTTTCCTATGAAGCATTCCTAAAGCTCCTATGAGAAATACCACCCAACCAGCATTGCCATAGTTATCCTTCCAAATAAAACATTTATATTCAAAATGCATGCTTATTAGCTTTTTTTTGAAATACAGATAACAATATTTCTTCCTGAACTGCTTGCTAAGCACATTAACATGCATTTTATCCAAATGTAGTGAATAATACACTTAGACCATCATCAGGGGAAATCATCATTAAAATTCATTCAAGTGCAAGAAAACAATTAGCCAATAGCTTTTTGACCAACCTGCACTATTTGGTCTAGGCTCCCAGTATGTCCTTTCAGAATAAACAACTTCAGGGAGGCAACTACACAGATTACAGGGCACAGTGAGAAATCAAAGTGCCTGGAAGCGTTATCAAGGAACAACAGATGTTTGCTTGTGAGCTGGGGTCATTGGCTTTAACTCACAGAGGAAAATGATCTTTAGAAATTAGGCAAGCCTAGTGTTATCAGTCACTCTTGTGGAATCTTTGCACACTGGAAAACCACCCAGGTGTGAAAGCCATCTCCATTCTGTGTGAGATGGCTGGGAGGGACTGGCTCATTCCTCTTTGTGGCCTTTTGTTGGTAACTTGCTCTTTCTAAAACTCTTCTGAAAAATAGGGATGTAGTACAGGGATACTCAAGTAGTCTTTTGCACTGGGAAATGTGGGCACTGGTAATTCAAGAGGGAGAAGGAGAGAATAAAATGTTCCTAAATTTTTGAGATGGCTTTTTCAACATTTAAAAACAATGAAATTTTTAAGAGAAATTGTTTTTGTTTTTTTGTTTTTTTTGAGACAGAGTCTCGCTCTCGCCCAGGCTGGAGTGCAGTGCCGCGATCTTGGTTCACTGCAAGCTCCGCCTCCCGGGTTCACACCATTCTCCTGCCTCAGCCTCTTGAGTAGCTGGGACTACAGGAGCCTACCACCACGCCCGCCTAAATTTTTTTTTTTTTTTTTTTTTTTTGTATTTTTAGTAGAGACGGGATTTCACCATGTTAGCCAGGATGATCTCAATCTCCTGACTTCGTGATCCGCCCGCCTCGGCTTCCCAAAGTGCTGGGATAACAGGCGTGAGCCACCGCGCCCGGTCAAGAGAAGTTTTAAGTCTCCTAAAACATTAATGATAAACTGCATTTTATTCTTCAAAACAATTGTATGTTTTATTCTTCAAACTAAGTATTTATGGCAAATACACAGATATGGGTTCAAATCCTTGTAGCTACTTACTTGTGTGTGTGTGTGTTTGCATATACATTTTAAAATTAGATTCTTTTCTTTTTAGTAAAAGCTAAAAGCAAGTAAGTAGAAAAGAATATTGGGACATCTCACCAACTGGAGGCTGCAGTATTAAGGTGTCTCAGTTCTTCTTGGTGGGCTCAGTGGAGCTTATGTAAAAGAGGCATGCCTGCATGCTCATCTCCTTGAGGATAGTCTTGTTGAGTTAACAGGTTGAGGTAAGCCTTGCTAAATTTACCACTAGAGGCTCACACACCCAAAAGTGGTAAACAGACCACTCCAGCTCCCTGGAACATTGCCAGTTCCATGGATTTGTGTGACACTCAAGCTGTGATAGATGCATCAACATTGTCTATACCTCTGTTCATGTATTATTTACTTAAGCTAATGTGGATAAGCTTGATCATTTGCATTCACTCTGACAACTCAAACAAACGCTTGTCCATAACCACTGCCAATCTGCAATATATGAATGTTTTGACAGTGTTATAAAATTCCCAAAAGAAACAATATAATTGGTCTAGCTGGGGCAAAAATATCTTCTTTATTCCAATCCACAATTACCATATATGACAACGTAGAACACAAATATAGTTGGTGCCCTGTCCTTCCTTGGCCTTTCCAAGGACCTGGGGTCATCAGGACTTGGGCAGGTATCTTAGAAAACCTTGACTACAATTAATAACTTTTTCTCCCTGTGCCAGTTTCTTCATAGAAATGGAGACAATCACACCTATTTTCTACCATATCTACTTTATTATATTTTCATAGTGTCCTAATCTGCTGTACATTTTATTTACTTATTAATATAAATATTCTATGTTTTTCTCCAATGGAATGTAAGCTTTGTGAGAGGACAGGTGCTTGATTTCTTTACCGCTAAATCCCCAGTGTCTTACAAAATGTTTGGCACAAAGTAGATTCTCTATAAATATGTATTGAAAGGTTATGAAGTGATTTAGTGTTGTAAGGATGAAATGAGATAAGCTAAGCAAAGTATCTGTGATTATGTAAGATGAGCAATAAATAGTGGCTATTAATGTTCTTGTATTTAACGTTTTCAAAATATCATATTCCATTACAAAATAGCAGAAACAGTTAACACTTAAAGATCTATTAGGTACCATGCACTGTTCTAAGCATGTTACATGAATTAACACATTTAGTTCTCACCACAGCCTTATGAGGTAAGTAGGTAGAATGTTATCTTCATTTTCTAAGTGTGGAAACTTCAGTTATGCAATTTGCCCAAGGTCACTCAACTACCAGGTGGCAGTGCTGGGATTCACATTAGGCAGTGTATATTTAGATCCATGATGCTTTCCCAAAGCCAAGACTGCAGAAAGTAGATGGACAAGGGGTAGACAAGACTGAATGGGTAAATTTTTGTTTTGTTTTTGTTTGACATTAGTTTTTTGTTTTTGTTTAAGATGAGTCTTGCTCTGTTGCCCAGGATGGAGTGCAGTGACATGATCTCGGCTCAATATAACCTCTACCTCCCAGGTTCAAGTGATTCTCCTCCCTCAGCCTCCTGAGCAGCTGGGACTACAGGTGCATGCCACCACATCCAGCTAATTTTTGTATTTTTAGTACAGACAGGGTTTCACCATATTGGCCAGGCTGGTCTCGAACTCCTCACCTCGTGATCCACCCGCCTCAGCCTCCCAAAGTGCTGGGATTACAGATGTGAGCCACCGCGCCCAGCCTTGGGTGAAATTTTTAGGATTAAAACAGGTGGGATCCTGTACCCAAAATAACAGCAATAAAAAGGCAACAACAAAACATGGTAAAGGGAACATCAGAATATACTCTATGGAAGAAAAAAGATTCAAAGAACGTTATGTATTTCTACTGCTATGGTTGAATAAAAAAATAAAAAACAAGATTTAGAAGATTATATGTATATAATGTGATCCCATTTAAAAAACAGAATTTTGAAAGGTTCATTAACATTATTTTAATTTGAAAGACCCACAATTCCATTAAAGTCCAGTTCAGTTTTATATGTTATTTTTGTTAGTATCAACTTCCTGTAGGAATTCCAATTCAACTATCTAAGCCAATATATTGAAATCTTGTATCCTCACAGATAATGAATAAGAATCAAATAGGCTGATTATTATACAAGGGGACTGGTGGGAACTGTAGAAAACTGAAAAATGTACACCCATAAGGGCTTTTTAGCTACAGGTGATCATTACAGGAATTCAAGGTCACTAGTGCCAGATCTCCCACTTTTCAAAATATGATAATAATCTGTACTTGTAATGAAGCTGATTTTAAATAAAAGTAACTAAATAAATTTAAATAAAAGTAAGTAATTAATATGACACAAATACTACATGAGCTAGAAGAAAAAAGCTATCAGGCAAATTTATTCAACTTTGTTTAGTTTTTTGCTCCAATGAGTCAGACTCCTTGAGAACAGAAAAGTATCTTCTACTTCAACTTTCCCTAGTCTCCACCGCCATGTGGGGCTCACTGCAGGCCCCCAGGAAAACTCACAGACCTGACAAGTCACAGATTGGCTGTCCCCAAGCTAAAACAAGACAGAGCCATGATAGCTACCAAAAGTGAATAAATTATGCCTCATCCTTGCATTCTGCCTTTAGCAGTGGGACCAGTTGTAATCTGACCACTGAGCAGAAGATTATTTTGTCCCCATACTCCACTCTGCCTGATCCTCCATAGCTATAAGACATGATTATCTACTTGACCACACTCAAACTGCTAAGAACCTGAAAAAACATGGCTTTCTGATAGGTGGTGTTTGTTTTTTAAAATGGTAGTAGACATTACATTGGGAGCAAAGGAACTATTTAAAATGTCTATTGGAAAAAAAAGTGGGAAACAGATTAGCTCATAAACACTGGTGAGAGCACAGATTAGGAATGGCTTAAGGGAGAGCAGTCCAGCACTACATATTAAAATGTAAAATATACACCTTCTAATGCAGTGAAGTAAAAAAATAAATCAGAATAGAACACAAGACTCTGTTCTAAAAGGATCCCTGTTCTATCATTCTAAAAGAATGATACCAGTTGTTTACAAGAGTAAGTTTAGATAGGAAAATTAGAAAAGAGAAAATGAGCACTGAGAGCTGAGGTGGCTTTAACGGGGTGACCAATAGCACAAGAAAGCAAATGCAATCAATTGAGTACAAGATTCTGGGCACTGTGAATTCAATCTTTGCAATCACGCTGAGATGTTCATTCCACAGAAGAGAAAACAAGTCTTGGAAAGTTATGATTTTCCACTGATTCTCTGGCATAAATATGACTAACTACAACAGCACATGGCAGAAATGTCAGTGAGTCTCCATGGGAGTAAGGTATTAGGCACTGCCTTTAGAATGATCCTATCTGAATTCCAAAATTGTAGTTGAATTCTGGAAAAGACCCTCAGATATTCTGACTAGCCACCCCCTCTTTCTCCTATGAGAACTCCTAAATTTTAATTAAATTAAAACTTGATCATTCTGAGTCCAATGCTAGTGTTCTTTGCATCATTAGCAGTAGACACAGGAGTTGGCAAATCATCTGACTGTACTTATGTAAACTCATCATTTCATTTCATAATGCAGATATGTATCCATTTTCATTAGTATATCCACTAACCATGGGCAAGAAAGAATAAACACAAGGGTAATTGATCATCTTATCAGGTTCAACAAACACCATATTGATGTGCTAACAGTCTCTAATGAAGACAGAAAATGTCGTAAATTATTTGATTCATGAATACATGTATTCAGCAGTTATTTATTTGGAACTTATTTCCTAGTCAGGCTGCCTGATCTCAGTATGTAGATTTGAAGATGAATGAGACATGGCCTCTCTGGCCCTAGCTGAGCTCATCAAGTAGAGATGAGGCAGAGGGAAAGTAGGAATAGAATGTTTTGGGAAAATGAAGCTATCTCTGCCAGAGGTGGCCCTGAGGGCCACACACACTTGTCATGGAGAACTTACCCTACTCTGGGATGCTGCAGCACACTCTAGCTCTTTGAAACTCCATAATTATCCTGTGAGTTAGGTACTATTTTACCTTATTTTCCAGCTCAGAAAGATTAAACGTAGACCTCAGGTTTTCTAGGGCCACACAGCTAAAAGAATTAAAAATACACTAATTAACAATGAAACATTTATTTAAAGTCACTTTTGATCACATATCACACAAATATTTAAAAATACTTAGTCCTAAAGGAGTTTAGGAGATTATATATTACTATAATATTAAAATATCACCAGGTGCTGTTACAAACTCCCAGATTTCAGTGGCTGAGCACAATAGTTTATTTCTTACCCTGTGTAATTACTTAAATGAGTTTCTTTTTGGCCAGTAACTTCCATGAAGCTCAGACTTCAATATTATGAGTCTACCCTCAGATTCTAAGTGTTCTCTCATAATCATATACATCCTGAGAGGATTTGAATATTCATGTGAGACAAAATAATGGGCGAGTCCTGGGAATAAATAACACATTCTACTTCTTCCCCCTTTCCATTGGGCAGAACTTAGCCACATGGCCACATCTAATAGCAGTCAGTCTGCAACATGCAGATGAACTATGCGCCTAAGTGGTAGAAGAAATATATTTAATTCATTGTGATGAACACATAAAAGTTTCTGCCATCATAAAGTTATATATAATATATATACACATATATTTATGTATTTGTATAAATACATGTATACCTATATAAGTATTATACATACATTTATATACATGTATATGTGTGTATATATGTATATATACATCAACATAAAGTAGCTGTATGACCTATATGATTTCCAAGTCATTATTACTTTTTCCTCAGCTTTTTCCTCACAAAGATGTAGAAAAGATAAAATTAACTCCCATACCTACGTACCACATTTGTGTGGGGTTACTTAGTCCAAACCATGGCTAGTGTCCACAGTGAGGAAACGATTTTGTCAAGCATGTGTCTTTCATTTCTCTATTCCAAAAGTGTAATATAGAAATTTCTTTATTTATATTGGTAGTGATCCTGTTTGACTTATAGTTCTGCCCAAAAATCTGTTAATTGAGCTCTTGAACATGAATGCAAATCAGTGTGTGGACCAGAAATTAATTACCATAATTCAGGGCCAGTCGTAAGCTCAATATGAACATTAATAACAGAAGTGAGAATGATGAAGATGGTAATGATTAATAATCATTAGAAAAATTACCTATCTCTTCTGTAATTTTATCAGAGCTTTCTTCCAGATTGTTCCAAAACTTTCCTTATATGCATCATCCTAACAAGAATGACAGGAATTAATTATGCCACTGCCTTTTGGTTTTGTTTTCTAAAAGTCCTCTGATTTGAGGCAACGTTTTTGTCATTGTTTCTCAAAACAGAAAATAGAGGAAGCTTGAGGAGAACATATGCCAGTATTTTAATTCATGCAAATATACTGTCGCTCTGAGCAGCACCATCCAGCTCCCAGACAACAAACTACTTAGTCCTTCAAAGGTGAAAATATTGAGAACTAAGTTCTTCCATAATTTGAAGTTGAGGCAAGGTATTAATATGAATTACCAATAAAAATATTGAACATTGTATTAGTCCATTTTCACACTGCTATGAAGACACACCCAAGACTGGGCAATTTATAAAGAAAAGAGGTTTAATTGACTCACAGTTCTGCACGGCTAAGCCTCAGGAAACTTATAATTATGGCAGAAGGAGAAGAGTCAAGTCTTACATGGCAGCAGGTGAGAGATAAGAGTGAGGAGTGAAGGGGGAAGAGTCCCTTATACAACTATCAGATCTCATGAGAACTCACTATCATGAGAACAGCATGGGGGAAACTGCCCCCGTGATCCAATCACCTCCCACCAGGTATCTCCCTACACACGTGGGGATTATTGGGATTACAATTCAAGATAAGATTTGTGTGGGGACACAGAGCCAAACCACATCAAACATATAAATAGAAAATTGGCAATGGCTAGAGCTGGCAACAGAAAAAGATGCAAAGTTTTTTTTCCAATTCTTATTAACTTTCTTACTATCTTCCAAGAAGAGGGAAAAAATCAAGCAACATTTAGTGAGTGCCTATTACATTCATGGTGCTGTATTGGATATTTTGCAGGAAAAAAAATAGAAGGTATTATTATCACTGTCATTATAACTGTCATTATCACCATCCTCATTATCACAGCTAATATTTATTAAGGTTTTAGGAATGATGCTAAGCGTTTTATATGTAGTAAGCACCTGATTTCCCCCTTGCTGGAATCCTGTATGGTACTATATTAACTAGGAATTTTCCAGTTACAAACTAAAGAAGCTCAACTCAAGCTGACTTAAACAGCACAGCAACAAATAATGTTACTCTACTACTGCTACTGATACTGGTGGACTAAGAGAGGCCCCCAGAAGCTGGTGGGACCTTAACCTCCCTGGTGTCCAGGCCCTTGATACTGCCCAGAGAAGGAATTAAAGGACTAGTTAGAAAATAAAGAAAGTAGGCCGGGTGTGGTGGCTCACACCTGTAATCCCAGCACTTTGGGAGGCTGAGGCAGGCAGATCAGGAGGTCAGGAGTTTGAGATAAGCCTGGCCAATACAGTGAAACCCCATCTCTATTAAAAATACAAAAATTAGCCAGGCATGGTGACACATGGCTGTAATCCCAGCTACTTGGAATGCTGAGGCAGGAGAATTTCTTGAACCCAGGAGGCAGAGGCTGCAATGAGCTGAGATTGCGCCACTGCATTCCAACCTGTGCAACAGAGCAAGACTCCATCTCAAAAAAAAAAAAAAAAGAAAAAAGAAAAAAATAGGGAGATTTATTGCAAAGTGAAAGTGTATACTTAAGAGAAGGAGTGCAGACATACTCAAGAGAGCGCATCTCGCTCAGAGTTTGGGGCTTCTATCTATTGGTTTCTTTAACCAAGAGGTGGAATATTCATGAAGATTTCTGGAAGAAGGTGAAGATTTCTCAGAACTGTGGTGCCACCCATTTTTACACCAAATGTAGATGTTCCCAGAACTGTCATGGCACTACTGAGTGTGTGATCTGGTATGTTAATGGGCATATAACAAGGTCCTAGGGGAAACCTAGGTCAAATCCAGTGCTATGTTGGGTCCAGTCAGTCTTAGCTAGCTTGGCCCACATCCTGTTTCTCATGGTCTTATCCACCCTGAGCTTATACAACTATTTCAACAGTTTCCCTTTGCTAGTGATGTGGAACTGCTGCCTGGGCATTTCTATTCTCCTGTGACCATCCTGTATGATTCCTATCTCATTACTAGTGCTAATAATGACAATGCTAAAGTAAATTGGGGATTTAACAGTTCAAGAAAATGGGAAGAGTGGCTCTTGATGCAGTATTATATCGGGCTTGTTTGCTATGTCTCCCCCTGCCACTCCACAACTTTTCTTAACTCACTGGCCACAATCTCACCTTCCATGGATATGTGTTCTACTTGTGGCAGGAAAGATGGATACCTGCAATTTGAAGAGGCAGTTGGCCCTGCTTTCTCCAGCAAAGAAATCCTAAGGAACATCTCTAATTATTCTGTCTTGAGTTACAAGTTTATCCTTTAACCGATGGCTGTAACCACAGGAATAAAGCTCTTCACTGAACAATCTTGAGTCAACATGCTCAGTCCTCAGATCCAAGGAGCGGGGATTCTGTATTAGTTGTTTTGAATTATGGAGGGTTTAAATAAAACATATCAAAGTCCACTAGAGGTAAGTATACCATCTTACCATTTAACAGATAAAGGAAAAAAAAGCTTAGATTGGTTAAGTAATTTAATGAAGGTCATCCAAGTACACGTGGCAAAGCAGGATTTTATTCCAGGTCTATCTCCAGCATTAATTTTAAAATCCATGTTCTTAAAAACAACTAAGCCATACCACTTACCTAGTTTAGGCCTTGGAGCTGTTTACGACCTATAGGAAGGACTATTACCATTACGGTATAAATTCATCACTCATTCCCTGCAGCCTGGAAACAGAACTAGAATTATCAGTACATGGGAAGTTTTCTTGGATTGCTTTTGTTGTTACATAAAAGGATCTGCTCCTGGCTTTGAACAGTACAGAACACATTTACTGGCTCATTTTTTGCATGTTTCTTACTCATTGCAAAATCAAAAGTCTATAATGTAGCACTGGTCATTAGGATCATAGTGATGAAAGAGAATTGTGCTAAAATACATAAAAAACAAAGAAAAATAAACAAGTACTTCAATCATAACTGGTAGCTTAGAACAAGAAAATTATATTATTAGCCATGGGGAAGATTTTATTTTAGACCTGCTTTGTGGAGTTGGTGATATTCCAGGGTCTATTTGCAGCGATGGCTACTTATTTGACAGTTTCCTAACTGCCCTGGATTTGATGGTAAGAGACCTATGGCTGGATTTGGAGTGCCTTCATTGTTGCCCTTTTCAAATGTTTACTCAAAATTATTCCCTCCCTACTTGCAAAGAAGGATCTGAAGTGCTTTAAGGTACCGTCTCCTGTACCAAGGCTGTGTTTTTCCACTGAACCAGGCAGAAAAGAGAAAGAGCTAGTTTGTTCATCCCACCCAGTGCAGCTATGGGGTTTGGGGGTGGAGGTGGGGCAGGGAGCAGAAATAAGAGAATTATCAGTGCTGTTACGACACTAAAAATTCATTGCAGGTAATTGCTGAGTCTCTTGCTTATTATCAATCCTTTCAAAACTACACTAATACTTGGCATATACTCAACCCAGTGCTCTCAGGATCACCTGAGAATCTTCTTTGAAAAGCTACTTCCTAGACCTCACCTCCAAGAATGAGTCAATGGGCCTGGGATGAACAATATTAACCAACTGATTAATATCCTGCATATAATGTGTGGATCAATCCGTATCACTTGTTCCTTTTTTCCCACTGACATCTACTTCCACCTCACTCCCCTACTCCCATTTTAATTATTTCCTATTCATCCTATTGGTGAGGGAGTGATGTCCAGAGCTTCTGCTTTATAGAAAAAAGGAGAGACTATAAGAGATCAATCTCACATAATTCAGCTGTGTGAGAGAAGCTGGCCCAAGAATGTGTGTGTACAAATGTGTGTGTGTGCGCTTGTACAATAAAACTCCAGGAAAATAAATTATCTCTTCCAAGCAAAGTTCAAGATGAGATTATGCTAATCAAAAAATTGGTAAACATGAAGCCTTGATAATTAACTCCCCCTTCCTTCCACTACCCCATATATATATAAATATATATAAATATATATGCATACACACCCACCTCACTTTTACATTATATTTTATATTTTATGTTATATATATAACATATATATAAAAGTAAGGTGGCAGACAGGGTCAACATGAGTTCCTCAAGTCATATAAATTAATTCAGTCAATTCCACCTTATTCTGATGTAGATCCTTCAGTCTCTCTCCAACACATTCTTTCCCTGCCTTCTCCTTGGAAGCAATTTTCAAATTAACCCTATGAAGTCTGGCCAGGACTGGGGCAGTTACATCTCCAGGTGGATGGAAATGCCAGTGGCACTTTGTGCACAGACTACAGCCATTAAAAATGAGTGGTGTAATCCCAGCGCTTTGGGAGGCCAAGGTGGGTGGATCACGAAGTCAAGAGATCAAGACCTCCTGACCAACATGGTGAAACCCTGTCTCTACTAAAAAGTATAAAGAATAGCTGGGTCTAGTAGCACACGCCTGTAGTCCCAGCTACTCAGGAGGCTGAGGCAGGAGAATTGCTTGAACTCGGGAGGTGGAGGTTGCAGTGAGCCAAGTTTGTGCCACTACACTCCAGCCTGGGTGACAGAGACTCCATCTCAAGCAAACAAACAAAAAAATGAGTGGTGTTAAGCTATCAGAATAAAAAAAAATATTTCATACATTTCCATTTTAATCTTTATGTAAATTTAGCCAGTCTACTTTAAAAATGGATTATTTGTGAATGTTTATGTTTATGCCACCTCTCTGTGAGAGATTTCTGCCTTTAATTAATGGTTTCAAAGCAACATTTTTACATTTTATAAAACCAGGTGATTGAGAAAATAAATACATACCCACTTCCTATTTGAGGACAAACAAAACCACTAAACCACATCTGAGCTAATAAAGAATAGAGTAAGGTTGACCTGAAAGCTGCTGACTATTCATTTATATTCGAAGGCCATTTGAGAATCTGAAGAAATATCTTCCAAACGCACAATTTTCTAACTACTAAGTTCTCAATCAATATGAAATATAAAAGACTAGTAATTACTGAAATTTTGCATTATTTAGACAGATTTATATTAACAAAAAATGAAAAAAATATGTTTATTCTTCTTATCCTCAGGTGTAGTGCATTGATGAAGGCGTAATACACTTCCTCATAGACTTCTTATGTGTATTTCCTCGGAGAAGAATTTATCTAGAGGAGTAGTTAAGGTAACACTAGTTTTGTAACAAAAAACCCCCATGGTTCTGTGACTTAAGATATTAGTTTACCTCTTGTTCATATAACAAACCACACTTTTTCATGCTTTTCAATAATCCTAAATTCCTTCCATCTTGTGGAAACACCAGCCTTGAAGCCTAGTTCGGGTCCACAGCCAGTGAGTCAAAGGGAGGAGAGTGTGGAAAAGGATAGAACCACTTCCTAAAAGCTTTGGCCACACCCACATTCTAACAGCCAAAACCATACATTCCCCTGACTGGAAATGTGCTTATAGGATGGGCAGCCAAGCCCCAGCATAAAGGCTCTACTTTTCAAGGAGAATACACATTGTAGTGGATATATCTGAAAAGATATCTGTATAGAAAGGATCATAATACATTATCTAATATAGTGTCCCAGACCTGCTTAAGGACCAGCATTACCAGATCCTGGGGAGTTTACTTAAATAGGGATTCTCTGCTGCTCCTCAGAAAATTAGATATAACTCCCTGACAACTTCACTGCCATTCCCACTGGATGGGATCCCGTGCAGTCTTTGTAATTATACTTAGGTTACAACCAGTAAAACTATTGTCGTTGGGGAAGATTGAAAGGAAATCAAAATAGTACTTGGGTTTGGGTCATTTTCTTTTCTATTTACCGGTGTTCTGTATTTTTCTATACATTATTTAAATATGCATAACTTGGGGCATTCTTTCTTCTGTTGAGCCAAAGATCCAGTTTCTGATATCAGGAGTTGTATATTTCTTTGAAGTCCAAATAACCTTCTTTTGTAATACCTTGAGGAAGGCTCAGTACATATAGGGCATCTAGTTAACTTAATGAGTGATGCAGAAAGAGAAAACAGGAGAAATTGAGGGAAAAAATGTGCTTGAAATCCAAGAATACATAAGTCAATGATTTTAGGGGGAGTTAATAGAAAATCTGCCACAAGCCTAGAAATAATTTCTTCCTTTGTTTCTTCCTCTTATATCCATTTCTCCATTATCATAATTGTTATTATCATTAACCTCATCATCACAATGATCATATTATCTAGTCCTTAAAAAATATGATAAAATAAGGTCTGCCCATCCATATCAATTATGGTTTTTTCCTTATAAAGCAACAAGAATCTCTAAATCAGAGCAAATTAAGCAAATGCTTAAACTCAAGGCTAAATTAATATTAGTCAAAAACTTAGAGTGTATGGAGAAAATTCTGTGATCTCATTGATAAAAAATTTTCATGTCTTGAAAAGTGGGTAGATAGGTAAGTATAGTAAGTAGATAGGTAAGTGGATTAGACAAGAAAATAGAGCAGTTAAGTAATCAGACAAAGTAAGGAGGTAGGCAGGCAACACAAAATTTCCCCAAGTCACCACTTTCAGTTCTCAGCTTCTCAAACTCACAAGTAATAGAAATAATGATCTCAGAGGACAAAGTGTGAGACAAGCTTATCTTGCGACTAGGTGGGGTTTTGGAACCTGAACTCAAGCTAACCCTAATAGGAGGCAGAGGGAATTACATCAGTAACTGTACACTGTCCACAAATTGAAAACATTTTCAGTGGCATGCCCTTGTCACTCAGTGTATTTTGAATGCTCATCCCCTTAATCCATAATTACCCATCACTATGTGATACCCTTGATTCCAAATAGTAATTCCATTAGCTCCTAGAGAATCCACTATTCAACTCCTGGGAGCCCTCTTGCCAAATGAGATGCCAAGCTGTTTGGGAACAGAGCTCAGCAGCAGCCAGAAAAAAGGGCAGACATCAATCAGTTCAATTGACGTGCTTCTCACTGGCTCTGGGCAACCTCAATTTTGCTGCTAAAATCTTATTTCAAATGATCCCAGAAAGATCAATGCTAAATGTAGTAATTACTCTTGGATACATGAATAATGGCCCTAATTTTTTACCTGTATGTATACATTATATACCATCAGGGTTTTTTGCTTTTGTTATTATTTATTTAAAAAACATAGGCCCACCTCATATGCTATTACAATTTTTTAAAGAAATGTATGAAAAATGTATGGAGAAAATAATTTAGCTATCTTATAAACAATTTTTATATTTTGAAAAGCAGGTAGATAGGTAAGCATGGTAAGTAGATAGGCAAGCAGGTTAAACAAGAAAACAAGTAGAGCAGTTAAGAGAAAAAACGTCTAATGTAAAGCAAAGTTTTTCTATTATCAGTAAAAAGATGTCTTCAGATGCTGTTTAAAACATTTACTGGGAGGCCGAGGTGGGCAGATCACGAGGTCAAGAGTTCGAGACCATCCTGGCTAACACAGTGAAACCCCTCTCCACTAAAAATACAAAAATTAGCCAGGCATGGTGGTAGGCACCTGTAGTCCCAGCTACTCAGGGGCCTGAGGCAGAAGAATCGCTTGAACCTGGGAGGCAGAGGTGCATGCAGTGAGCCAAGATCACGCCGCTGCACTCCAGCCTGGGCCAGAGTGAGACTCCGTCTCAAAAAAAAAAAAGAAAGAAAGAAAGAAAAAAAGAAAAACAAACATTTAAAGAGGAATTTTCTCCCCTGGAGGTATGCAAAATCTGAGTTTACAGATTTGGAGAAAGACAACATGAAGTGGCAAGTATCAAAAACAAAAGAATTTAAAATGTGTAGCAGTTAGAATGTGCAAGTCTGTGGTATCCAAAATTATGCTCCCCTAAAGATGTCCACATCCCAATTCCTTGAACATCAGAACAAATATTACAAGTTGTCTATGTAACACTAATATCCTGCTCACTACACTTTCAGAGTTTAGTCAATGCCTTTCTCTTGATTCCCTGGGGAGGCAGACAAGCATCTGATCAGGTGTTTAATATGTATCTAAAGGGATATCTGATAGCCTAGCTCACCACTAATTGTATTACATATAAAAATCGTTTGTGTTTATTCTTCCCTCTCAATCAGACCAAACAAGGTACAAATTAGGCTGGAATGAGTAAACAGTCTTACATTTTGTCAGTTAAAGAGCCTCTGACAGAAACTGATGAGATTAACAAAGCAGAGGCAAAACTGAAAATTAAGCAGCTGGCATCTTGAATAGCAACAGGGAAAAATGTTTGGTAAAATTTAGAGAGATTATGAAAAGTGGATGCAGCCGATTTGAGCTGTGTTTATTTCAATGGATGCTTTCTATTTAAGTGACTGAGTAACTTTACACAGATCTCTTGCCAGTTCTCAACTCTGCAAACAGCATTTAAGAAAAGAAAAAGTCATTGAGTTAAAGGAGCTCTGAAATTATGTCCCATAATTGGTCTCTCCTTTCAAAACCCTTCCCCGCACTCCCTATTTTTCACAATTCACCTTTCTAGAATACTCAACCCCTAGCTATGCCAGCATCTAGAAACAAGGACACACTGTCACATTTCTCTGGGGCTCAGTACTATACACCCCCATACCTCGTAGCTGATATGCTGATACACAGAAAATGTTACCTTTGAATCTTCCAACTGCATTTTTCAAAGATGTTCTTTACTGCTGTTAAGACATCAAAATCAAGACAGAACCATCAGACACTGGACTTTCTTACGAGAATTCCAAGGCCCTGTGTGTTTTCCACAGAAAACCTACACTTTCAAAGCCTTTGTGGGAAGGAAACATTTTTAATCCTTTGAACAAAGACAGTTCAGTCCACACTAAAGCAGCATAACCCTTCCCCAATGCTCATAAGGTTCGCCCTACAACTAAACCCCTCTACCATCAAGAAAGTCAGTGTCTCCAGCCCTCATAGCATGATCTTTTCGATCCCAAGAGCTATCAGGCTAACAGATTGGAGTTTTAGAGCTCAGACTTCACATGTGAAAATTCACATGTCCACTGTATTTCTTCAGAGACTTTGGGTTCGAAGGATTTGTCAAAATTACTTTCCCTTCTTCCTTTACACCTTGCATGGCTATGGGTTCAAAGGATTTGTCAAAATTACTTTCCCTTCTTCCTTTACCTTGCATGGCTATGGACTCTGTGGCTTATTGGAGACCACCAAATGGCTGCAGCCCCCAAGCACCTCAGGAAGGTTCGGCAGATACACATCAGAAGTGAAAAATAGAAGGAATATAAGAATCTAGCTCTTATCACCAAAGTGACCAACTTTCCCACATGATATTTAGCCTCTGAGATCAACCAAACTCTTCTATGTGTTGACCACTCAGCATAGATAACCAGTTACAAAGTGGTAGAGGTGGGGTCTGTCTGCCAAAGCCCATTTATGCCCTTCGCTGCCTCAAAAAAGAGTAAGTCTGTAGTTGGCTCTAGTAAGATATGACTTGAGATTTCTCACCCAGGAAGCCTGCACTCAGAGACTCACTGCTATTGGTCAGGCACTGATGAGAAAAATCACATCCATTAAAATATAATATTCCTTTTTCCAGAACTTAAAGCACAAAGAGGTATGTATAGTGAGAGAAGGATCACTAAAGACGAAAATAAACAGTACAACAGGGACACCAAGAGCTAACATTTCCAGCAAAAAGAAGGCCAGCCAACGGCTTCATTGGCCATTCCAAACTGTATTTCAGACATGTCCCAGACAAGGAATAACTATCAAATTATTTTCAAAGCCCAATCAAAGCAATGAGGTCAAAGTACTACCCTCACTGAAATATTAACATCACATCACTTCTTTACAGGGGTATTTTTGTTTGAAAACACATCAGGGAAAAAGATTATTTTGTTTTACATCTTGGCAATCTGAACATCCTTAACAGGAGCTCGTTATTTCCTAGAAGGCACCAGGTAACAGAAATGTCCTACAGATCCTTTCCTGTATGGAATGCCAGAGGCACTCAGTGACTGACCTGTGGTGAGTCTACATAGTAAATCACACTACAGAAGCCATTTTGCTCTCTATGCACTTTCTCAAGATGCTCAATTTTGTAGCTATGCATTAAAAATAGGGGAGGAGCCAAGATGGCCGAATAGGAACAGCTCCTGTCTACAGCTCCCAGCGTGAGCGACGCAGAAGACGGGAGATTTCTCCATTTCCATCTGAGGTACCGGGTTCATCTCACTAGGGAGTGCCAGAGGGTCAGTGGGTGTGCGCACTGTGCACGAGCGTAAGCAGGGCAAGGCATTGCCTCACTTGGGAAGTGCAAAGGGTCAGGGAGTTCCCTTTCTGAGTCAAAGAAAGGGGTGACTGACGGCACCTGGAAAATCAGGTCACTCCCACCCGAATACTGCCCTTTTCCGACAGGCTTAAAAAACGGCGCACCACGAGATTATATCCCGCACCTGGCTCGGAGGGTCCTACGCCCACGGAGTCTCGCTGATTGCTAGCACAGCAGTCTGAGATCAAACTGCAAGGTGGCAGCGAGGCTGGGGGAGGGACGCCCGCCATTGCCCAGGCTTGCTTAGGTAAACAAAGCAGCCAGGAAGCTGGAACTGGGTGGAGCCCACCACAGCTCTAGGAGGCCTGCCTGCCTCTGTAGGCTTCACCTCTGGGGGCAGGGCACAGACAAACAAAAAGACAGCAGTAACCTCTGCAGACTTAAATGTCCCTGTCTGACAGCTTTGAAGAGAGCAGTGGTTCTCCCAGCACGCAGCTGGAGATCTGAGAATGGGCAGACTGCCTCCTCAAGTGGGTCCCTGACCCCTGACCCCTGAGCAGCCTAACTGGGAGGCACCCCCCAGCAGGGGCACACTGACACCTCACACGGCAGGGTACTCCAACAGACCTGCAGCTGAGGGTCCTGTCTGTTAGAAGGAAAACTAACAAACAGAAAGGACATCCACACCAAAAACCCATCTGTACATCACCATCATCAAAGACCAAAAGTAAATAAAACCACAAAGGTGGGGAAAAAACAGAACAGAAAAACTGGAAACTCTAAAAAGCAGAGCGCCTCTCCTCCTCCAAAGTAACGCGGTTCCTCACCAGCAACAGAAAAAAGCTGGATGGAGAATGACTTTGATGAGCTGAGAGAAGAAGGCTTCAGACGATCAAATTACTCTGAGCTACGGGAGGACATTCAAACCAAAGGCAAAGAAGTTGAAAACTTTGAAAAAAATTTAGAAGAATGTATAACTAGAATAACCAATACAGAGAAGTGCTTAAAGGAGCTGATGGAGCTGAAAACCAAGGCTCGAGAACTACATGAAGAATGCAGAAGCCTCAGGAGCTGATGTGATCAACTGGAAGAAAGGGTATCAGCGATGGAAGATGAAATGAATGAAATGAAGTGAGAAGGGAAGTTTAGAGAAAAAAGAATAAAAAGAAAAGAGCAAAGCCTCCAAGAAATATGGGACTATGTGAAAAGACCAAATCTACGTCTGATTGGTGTACCTGAAAGTGATGGGGAGAATGGAACCAAGTTGGAAAACACTCTGCAGGACATTATCCAGGAGAACTTCCCCAATCTAGCAAGGCAGGCCAACGTTCAGATTCAGGAAATACAGAGAACGCAACAAAGATACTCCTCGAGAAGAGCAACTCCAAGACACATAATTGTCAGATTCACCAAAGTTGAAATGAAGGAAAAAATGTTAAGGGCAGCCAGAGAGAAAGGTCTGGTTACCCTCAAAAGGAAGCCCATCAGACTAACAGCGGATCTCTCGGCAGAAACCCTACAAGCCAGAAGAGAGTGGGGGCCAATATTCAACATTCTTAAAGAAAAGAATTTTCAACCCAGAATTTCATATCCAGCCAAACTAAGTTTCATAAGTGAAGGAGAAATAAAATACTTTACAGACAAGCAAATGCTGAGAGATTTTGTCACCACCAGGCCTGCCTTACAAGAGCTACTGAAGGAAGCACTAAACATGGAAAGGAACAACCGGTACCAGCTGCTGCAAAATCATGCCAAAATGTAAAGACCATCGAGACTAGGAAGAAACTGCATCAACTAACGAGCAAAATCACCAGCTAACATCATCATGACAGGATCAAATTCACACATAACAATATTAACTTTAAATGTAAATGGACTAAATGTTCCAATTAAAAGACACAGACTGGCAAATTGGATAAAGAGTCAAGACCCATCAGTGTGCTGTATTCAGGAAACCCATCTCACATGCAGAGACACATATAGGCTCAAAATAAAAGGATGAAGGAAGATCTACCAAGCAAACGGAAAACAAAAAAAGGCAGGGGTTGCAATCCTAGTCTCTGATAAAACAGACTTTAAACCAACAAAGATCAAAAGAGACAAAGAAGGCCATTACATAATGGTAAAGGGATCAATTCAACAAGAAGAGCTAAGTATCCTAAATATATATGCACCCAATACAGGAGCACCAAGATTCATAAAGCAAGTCCTGAATGACCTACAAAGAGACTTAGACTCCCACACATTAATAATGGGAGACATTAACACCCCACTGTCAACATTAGACAGATAAACGAGACAGAAAGTCAACAAGGATACCCAGGAATTGAACTCAGCTCTGCACCAAGCAGACCTAATAGACATCTACAGAACTCTCCACCCCAAATCAACAGAATATACATTTTATTCAGCACCACACCACACCTATTCCAAAATTGACCACATACTGGGAAGTAAAGCTCTCCTCAGCAAATGTAAAAGAACAGAAATTATAACAAACTATCTCTCAGACCACAGTGCAATCAAACTAGAACTCAGGATTAAGAATCTCACTCAAAACCGCTCAACTACATGGAAACTGACCAACCTGCTCCTGAATGACTACTGGGTAAATAACAAAATTAAGGCAGAAATAAAGATGTTCTTTGAAACCAACGAGAACAAAGACACAACATACCAGAATCTCTGGGATGCATTCAAAGCAGTGTGTAGAGGGAAATTTATAGCACTAAATGCCCACAAGAGAAAGCAGGAAAGATCCAAAATTGACACCCTAACATCACAATTAAAAGAACTAGAAAAGCAAGAGCAAACACATTCAAAAGCTAGCAGAAGGCAAGAAATAACTAAAATCAGAGCAGAAATGAAGGAAATAGAGACACAAAAAACCCTTCAAAAAATTAATGAATCCAGGGGCTGGCTTTTTGAAAGGACCAACAAAATTGATAGACCGCTAGCAAGACTAATAAAGAAAAAAAGAAGAATCAAATACACACAATAAAAAATGATAAAGGGGATGTCACCACCAATCCCACAGAAATACAAACTACCATCAGAGAATACTACAAACACCTCTACGCAAATAAACTAGAAAATCTAGAAGAAATGGATAAATTCCTCAACACATACACTCTCCCAAGACTAAACCAGGAAGAAGTTGAATCTCTGAATAGACCAATAACAGGATCTGAAATTGTGGCAATAATCAATAGCTTACAAACCAAAAAGAGTCCAGGACCAGATGGATTCACAGCCGAATTCTACCAGAGGTACAAGGAGGAACTGGTACCATTCCTTCTGAAACTATTCCAATCAATAGAAAAAGAGGGAATCCTCCCTAACTCATTTTATGAGGCCAGCATCATTCTGATACCAAAGCCAGGCAGAGACACAACAAAAAAAGAGAATTTTAGACCAATATCCTTGATGAACATTGATGCAAAAATCCTCAATAAAATACTAGGAAAACGAATCCAGCAGCACATCAAAAAGCTTATCCACCATGATCAAGTGGGCTTCATCCCTGGGATGCAAGGCTGGTTCAATATACGCAAATCAATGAATGTAATCCAGCATATAAACAGAGCCAAAGACAAAAACCACATGATTATCTCAATAGATGCAGAAAAAGCCTTTGACAAAATTCAACAACCCTTCATGCTAAAAACTCTCAATAAATTAGGAATTGATGGGACGTATTTAAAAATAATAAGAGCTATCTATGACAAACCCACAGCCAATATCATACTGAATGGGCAAAAACTGGAAGTATTCCCTTTGAAAACTGGCACAAGACAGGTATGCCCTCTCTCACCACTCCTATTCAACATAGTGTTGGAAGTTCTGGCCAGGGCAATTAGGCAGGAGAAGGAAATAAAGGGTATTCAATTAGGAAAAGAGGAAGTCAAATTGTCCCTGTTTGCAGACAACATGTTTGTATATCTAGAAAACCCCATTGTCTCAGCCCAAAATCTCCTTAAGCTGATAAGCAACTTCAGCAAAGTCTCAGGATACAAAATCAATGTACAAAAATCACAAGCATTCTTATACACCAACAACAGACAGAGAGCCAAATCATGAGTGAACTCCCATTCACAATTGCTTCAAAGAGAATAAAACACCTAGGAATCCAACTTACAAGGGATGTGAAGGACCTCTTCAAGGAGAACTACAAACCACTGCTCAATGAAATAAAAGAGGATACAAACAAATGGAAGAACATTCCATGCTCATGGGTAGGAAGAATCAATATCGTGAAAATGGCCATACTGCCCAAGGTAATTTACAGATTCAATGCCATCCCCATCAAGCTACCAATGACTTTCTTCACAGAATTGGAAAAAACTACTATAAAGTTCATATGGAACCAAAAAAGAGCCCGCATTGCCAAGTCAATCCTAAGCCAAAAGAACAAAGCTGGAGGCATCACACTACCTGACTTCAAACTATACTACAAGGCTACAGTAACCAAAACAGCATGGTACTGGTACCAAAACAGAGATATAGATCAATGGAATAGAACAGAGCCTTCAGAAATAATGCCACATATCTACAACTATCTGATCTTTGACAAACCTGAGAAAAACAAGCAATGGGGAAAGGATTCCCTATTTAATAAATGGTGCTGGGAAAACTGGCTAGCCATATGTAGAAAGCTGAAACTGGATCCCTTCCTTACACCTTATACAAAAATCAATTCAAGATGGATTAAAGATTTAAACGTTAGACCTAAAACCATAAAAACCCTAGAAGAAAACCTAGGCATTACCATTCAGGACATAGGCATGGGCAAGGACTTCATGTCTAAAACACCAAAAGCAATGGCAACAAAAGACAAAATTGACAAATGGGATCTAATTAAAATAAAGAGCTTCTGCACAGCAAAAGAAACTACCATCAGAGTGAACAGGCAACCTACAAAATGGGAGAAAATTTTTGCAACCTACTCATCTGACAAAGGGCTGATATCCAGAATCTATGATGAACTCAAACAAATTTACAAGAAAAAAACAAACAACCCCATCAAAAAGTGGGCGAAGGACATGAACAGACACTTCTCAAAAGAAGACATTTATGCAGCCAAAAAACACATGAAAAAATGCTCATCATCACTGGCCATCAGAGAAATGCAAATCAAAACCACTATGAGATACCATCTCACACCAGTTAGAATGGCAATCATTAAAAAGTCAGGAAACAACAGGTGCTGGAGAGGATGTGGACAAATAGGAACACTTTTACACTGTTGGTGGGACTGTAAACTAGTTCAACCATTGTGGAAGTCAGTGTGGCAATTCCTCAGGGATCTAGAACTGGAAATACCATTTGACCCAGCCATCCCATTACTGGGTATTTACCCAAAGGACTATAAATCATGCTGCTATAAAGACACATGCACACGTATGTTTATTGCGGCATTATTCACAATAGCAAAGACTTGGAACCAACCCAAATGTCCAACAATGATAGACTGGATTAAGAAAATGTGGCACATATACACCATGGAATACTATGCAGCCATAAAAAATGATGAGTTCACGTCCTTTGTAGGGACATGGATGAAATTGGAAATCATCATTCTCAGTAAACTATCACAAGAACAAAAAACCAAACACCGCATATTCTCACTCATAGGTGGGAACTGAACAATGGGATCACATGGACACAGGAAGGGGAATATCACACTCTGGGGACTGTTGTGGGGTGGGGGGAGGGGGGAGGGATAACATCGGGAGATATACCTAATGCTAGAGGACGAGTTAGTGGGTGCAGCACACCAGCATGGCACATGTATACATATGTAACTAACCTGCACAATGTGCACATGTACCCTAAAACTTAAAGTATAATAAAAAAATAAAAATAGAAAATAAAAATAGCTAGGAGGAGAATCTAAGCTTCTGCATCAAAAATGTCGAGGATTATAATCTGCCATAGCTATCTCATGGGACATTGAGCAGCATGGTGTTCTTCGTAATGTACTTAATTGCTCCTCAGCTCTCCAGTACCAGCTCATTTCACCTTCACAAACCTTTTAATAATGATACACCTGTGAGTTAAATTTTGTAGTATACCCTGAGTTTATATTTAATGACCATCTTATGGATCAAACCTAACTTCTAATTGTAGATTTTTCATGGAGGCTCTGTTTCACAATTATGCTGTCTTCCTTCATCACTTCAAATCATAGACACTGTTAGAACACAATTTATTTTTTTTTAATTTTATGAGACACAGTCTCAATGTGTCGCCTAGGCTGGAGTATAGTGATGTGATTATAGCTCACTGCAGTCTTGAACTCCTGCCTCAGCCTCTTGAATAGCTGGGACTACAGGCACGTGCCAGTTTGCTTGCCTGGAAATTTTATTTTTAATTTTTAGTAGAGAGAAGGTCCCACCATGTTGCCCAGGCTGGTCTCAAACTCCTGGGCTCAAGTGTTCCTCCTGGCTTGGCCTCCCAAAGCCCTGAGATTATAGGCGTGAGCCATGGCACCTGGCCCTGAAGCACCATTTAAAGGTCCTCATCAGCATCAGAAAGACTCCTTCCCTTTTCCTGATTCCCATAGTCCTTTCTTTCCCCGTGTTCTGTGTCATTTATAGTCTGCCCCATTTTAGAGTTACTTCTTTTTATCTCAGTTCCAATACCAAACTGTACACCTCTTAAAAACATTTTTGTGTTCCTCTGTGTTTTGGCTTTCCCTGTGTCTAGACCAGAATCTTACATATTAAATTAGTTCAATCCAGTTTTGCTAAGAATATGATTTTTAAAATATCAATAATTTAGTAACAAACATAATACGGGTAAGAAAATAGCACCTAAAGCATCCCAAATTAGAGAAAAAGAATATGATATGGATATTACAAATGCAAACTTTTGAATCAGACAGGTTTGCAACTAATTTATGGAAACTTGGTGAATAAATTCAAATAATATAAGTCTTAGTTTCTTAAGACCTGTAATATGGAGTTATTTCTGGGACATGCTTTATAGAGTTTTTTCAGAATTTAATGAGATTATGCCCTTTAAGCAGCTCAGTGTGGCAAATACCCAATAAATGTTACTATTATTTTTCAGCTAAATGATCTGTCACAGTCTTTGTGTCTCTCTGCCTCTCAACACATACACATGCACGCGCGTGCACACACACAGACACCCACCCCAGATAGATATGTGGCCTTATCAGTAAAAGTAATGTAGTATCACAAAAGGATTCTCACTTTATCAATCATTGACTCAAAATTTCTGCCTAGAAGTTACTGTCAAATGAAAAACAAATCCAGACTTAAGAAAAGACACTTTTAAGATGACTACTGCAATAGGGAGAACACATCAACCTCAGAGTCCATGTATGTCTCAAAATTAAACAAAAGCAAAAGGTTTTTCTTGTATAGGGAGGTGTCTGCAGGACTAGCAGAAACTTTGTTGGGGAAGAGAATGATTTGGGGGGTCAGCAGACAACATGATCAGGGTGATTCAACAGGTGACGCTCTTCCCTGTGGTAAGCTGTTAAGGGAAGGAAAGGTCAGAGGTATATTCTGCATCTCAGTACTAGCTTAACCTTAACCGTGGGGGTGAGCCAAAGGTCCAGGGCAAGTGGAGCGAAGAGAAGCCCAGCTGAAGTTTGTTCTACCCGAGTGAATTGTCAAGTGATGGGCAACCATAAGCACTTGGTGAGCACGTATCATTTCACTCATACTTCTTCGGCTAAACATTTACAGTTAATTGAATAATAATGTGTTTTTCCAATTTTTATTGAAGAATTAGAAAAACAGATTGAATTATTTGTCATTATGTAGTATTCTTTCCTAAATGTTTAACTTCAATGACTGCTATATCATTATTAGAAACTAAATAAGAACGTATTTAGGATCAAGGCATTCTATAGAGACCATTAGGCTCTGCAGGCATTTTGCCATGTGAATAGATGTGAGTAGCTTTACTGCATCCACCAGGCCTTAGAGAACATCTATCTTCTTCTCCAGCTGGTGTATCAAAAGCTCTGGATTGAAAACTAGATAAATCATTCATTCTATTTAAAAGCTACATGGGCAAATAGAGAAAAGAATATCTGACTAACAGAAGCGATTATTGTGAGGATGAAATGATATGAGGAGAATGTGCTTTACAAATACAGAGGAGTAAATAAATGGAAGGTATATTCGTTCATTCTCATGCTGCTATGAGGAAATACCCAAGAGACTGGGTAATTTATAAAGAAAATAGGTTTAATTTACTCACGGTTCCACATGGCTGGGGAGGCCTCGAGAAACTTACAATCACAGCCAAAGGCACCTCTTCACAGGGTGAAACGGGAGAAAATGAGTACCGGCAAGGCAAATGCCAGACGCTTATAAAACCATCAGATCTCGTGAGAACTCACTCATTATAATGAGAACAGCATGGGGGAAACCACCCCCATGATTCGATTACCTCCCACCAGCTCCCTCCCACTACACGTGGGGATTATAGAGATTACAATTCAAGAGGAGATTTGGGTGGGAACACAGCCAAGCCATATCAGAAGGTAATGTTACTTGTATATCAGATTGTGTTCATTAATGAGAGTTTGATTATAGGCCAGGGGAACTTTATATCCTTATTCAATCTAATCATTACCCAAAACTAATAAGGTATTTTCTCCATGCTACAGAAGTGAAAACTGAGGTTCAAAAATTAGAGTCATTTATACTTTTCTAATTGATAAATAGTAGGGCCAAGATTCACCTACCACTCTCCAGTCCCAAAGCCCATAACCGCTAATTAAGTTGTTTCCTGTCTTCTCATTCACAAATACAAGTTTCATTTTTTAAAAAGAAAGAAAGAAACAGCTTTTGAAAGAATTACTTAATTTCAAGAAAAACAGAAAATACCATACCCTTGCCTGCCTCAATCCTCACCCCAAATTATGAAAAGATGCTGCACCATGAACTATTTATTGGAATCCTGCAAACAATGCGCCCTCTGCCTTGCTGAGATGGAGGAGCCAGGAACTATGAAAGCAGCAGATATGTTGAGTGAAAAGTTGCCAAATTTACACATCTACTTTTTTTTATTGTAGTCACATTCCCCTTAACAGTCCCTCATCCCTCACAGTCAGGGGTGTGGGGTTTAGAAATAAATTAGTTATAATAAGCTACCACTTCTGCCCACTGATAGAATTCTTCTCATAAACTGCAGCCTGGGGATACATGTCCCTATTGAAACTTGAAATGAGAGGCCATTCCCTCTCTGGAAAGGATGAAAGGACAGGTCTTTCTCTACTGCACGGTGAGGGAAGAGGGCATTCTTCTTAGAGGAAACAGCATGGGACTTCAAGGAGTTAAGAGAAAACCTAGAAATGTAGATGGGAAGCCCCCAGTGTTAAACTTGCTCACTGGTGACATACCAAAAGCTAGATGGATAATGATTTGGATTGTGGAAGTAAGTGGAAAGGAAATGCCAATGCCAGGTGTTTCTATGCTGCTGTTGCTCTGTTTGGAAAAAAATTCCCATTGACTGAAGGGCTGTGTGCTGGTTAAGTCTATTTGTAAACTTCAGTCTTAGAAATTTACATATTTTACAAAACATTTGCAGAGTGGTCATTATGTGCACAGGACTGAGCTAAAAGTTTTTATATGCATTGTCCTATTGAATTGAATCTATACAACTACCGCATGGCAAGAAACATTTATATTCACCTTATAGATGTGAAGTCTGCAAAATAAAGTGGAGAAGTAATTTTCTCAAGTTATTATATAATTTAAATTCAATAAATACTATACTATTTTATAAAGTCTGACTCCTCTCCATTTGAATTTTGGAAGGCAGAGCCTGTCAGCCTATCAATGCATTCCTTTTTTCCAAAGTAAGATTTAGTGTGCCTATATACTTGTGTGTGTGTTCATGTGCAGACATGCATGTGTATCTCAGAATAAAGAAGAGATGATTTCATTCCAAGGAATTAAGCTTCTGGTCAGGAAATAAAATTCCTCACAATCATATGAGTACTTCCTCACAGCAAAACTTTCATTCCCTAAGTGTATCCAGGAAGCCCTATAGCTACCAGACATCCACTTCTCCATGTAATCGGATCATAGTGCAGTGGTTCTCAAAATCTGGTGTCTGACCAGCTGCATCAGCAACACCTGAAAATTTTCATGCCCCAGCCCAATAGAGTCAGTCAGTTTCTGACTCTATTAAGTCAGAAACTCTGCGAGTGGGGCCCAGCCCCACAAGGGACTCTGATGCTTGCTGAAGTTTGAGAAGCACAACTATAGAGAGAAGCAATCTGAGTAAACTGATTCACCTGGAAGTGTGGATGACTGGGTTCACTCTTGTTAAGTATTGACTTATTAAAGGAGAAACTACAAACCAAGTCTTGTAGCCTTCATTTCCAGCTAGACTGTTGCTGTTTCTATATAGAGAATCATTGGCCATCCAATAATATGAAAGTTACCAGAGCAGCCACAATGAGACTTAGCTACTTTGGCCTGGAAATAGGTACTTTTCAGCTAGCCTCAGGGAAATGATAAAAGGACTAAGTTGCTAGGCTAATTGCTGCATGATTATACACAAAAATTCACTCTGGTCCCATGATGGAAAATGGTTTTAAGGTAATTATGAATTGGTAATCTTTCATGACTTTGGTCCTGGCTTCGTTTGCATAGGCTCTGATTACAGCAAGCAGATTGTTTTCCCTCACGTTTGAAATTGAAGATATGACAGGGAAGGAAAGAGGAGACAAATTGCCAAACAAAATCAGGTTATAGAGAACTTCCAGGGAATTTTAAAGGGCACTAAACTTAAACACACCTTACAATACCTGAAGCCTAGACATAACATGTGCATCTTTGTTTCAATTGGCTTTGATATATTTTATCTCAATTTTTGCAGTTTGGCAGTGTATCGACATGGTGCATTCAAAATGTGGCTTGAAGTCAAGAATAATAAAGATTACATGCTCTGAGTACACATTTGGAAGGCAATTGATCAGGCAGCATTCTCTTCAGGAAGCTCAACGTGGTGAATTAGGAAGAGCCTGATCACTTACAACCAGAAAGGCTGTGTGGAAAGAACTGATGCCGACCCAAGCTCTGCTGTTGAAGAATTTCATGAACTTAGACAAAGCGTAGTCTCTCTATGAAGTTCAGTGAAGGTGCTATTCTGCACACTAATGTTGCCAGGTCTTGGCACATGCTCTTTCCTCTAAGAAGAATGCCCTCTTCCCTCACCCTCAGGGTTCCTTGGTAAACTCTCCATCAAGATTCAGCTTAAGCACCACCTCACTAGATATTCACTGGCTCCTCAGGTAGAGCTGACAGTAAAGTCTTCTAAATAAGTATGAGGAACATTTATTAATATGATACACATAAAAGGCATAAGACAGAGGGTTTCATTCATCACAAAATACAATAATTATTTGTCTACTAATCTGTTATCCTTATCAGATTGCTGAACAAAATGACTACAAAAGAAGGGTTTTTAGTTGTAGGTAGTGGGAGGAATAGGAAAAAATATTTACTCCATCTCAGCAGAAGTCTTTCTAAGAATATTTCATATGAAAGAATCTATAACTTTTGAGATAAGTATTAAGTGTGATTCCTGTCCTCAAAGAGCGTATTTGCTTGATTGGTCGTTTTAGGTTCTACTCCTTAATATCTATAAGGTAGACTAGGAACACCAGTCCTGAGACTACAGGACTGCATTGTCCAATACAGTAGCCACTAGCCATATGCGACTATTTAAACTCGAATTTAAATTAACTAAAATGAAATAAAATTAAAAATAGGCCAGGCACTGTGGCTCATGCCTGTAATCCCAGTACTTTGGGAGGCCATGGCAGGCAGATCACCTGAGGTCAGGAGTTCAAGATCAGCCTGACCAACGTGGAGAAACCCTGTCTCTACTAAAAATACAAAATTAGCCAGGCATGGTGGCACATGCCTGTAATCCCGGCTACTCGGGAGGCTAAGGCAGGAGAATAGCTTGAATCTAGTAGGTGGAGAACCAGAGATGATGCCATTGCACTCCAGCCTGAGCAACAAGGGCAAAACTCTGTCTCAAAAAAAGATAAAAAATAAAAATAAAAATTTATTTTCTGAGTTATGCTAGCCACATTTTAATTGCTCAATAGCCATATGTGATTAGTAGCTACCATATTGGACGGTGCAGATATTCAATATTTTCAGCATCACACAAAATTCTGTTAGAAGAGCTTATTTAGAACTATTAATTATCGATACAAAGAAACTCAAACTAAAAGTAACAATGAGGAAAGACCCCTGAGAGATTGTCATGGTCAGTTCTAGTCCCCTGACCCCATGGTGACCACTGATCATTGTCTATATTCAGAACTGGAGATGAGAGACAGTCTGGCAGGGAGGACTGTAGGAAAAGCACTCATCATGAACCAGGTCAATGTGGTTGACTGTAGGAGGTCCAAGTCTCTATTATCTCAAGATACTCCATGATTTTATAGATATTTAAATTATTTTTAAAATAATGGATAACTGAAAATATTCTTGAATATTTATCAAATTTTGTGAACCCAGGAGTTTGAAGTTTCAGTGAGCTATGATTATACCACTGTACTCCAGCCTCCAGGATGACAGACCATGTAGAAGAAAAAAATTGTCAAAAATTTGAATTCTATTCTGTTCCTCATCCCCTAAAATAGGGCCACTTATTGTCTGATAATGATGTGTGGGTGGGAAGCAAGTACACCATTAGTGCTTCTCTCTGTTTTTCGCTTCTCTGATTTCTGGGGCAATTATGCCAAAGAACAATCTCGCATAAACTTGGAGAATAAGGACATTACTTAGAAATCTGGCAATCATTCACCTTTTGAGTGTAGTTGTTTCCAAAACACAAAGTAAAGGATCACAAACGACTAGGTTTTGGTCCATAACTACATGAATTACAAATCTTATGTAAGACTCACATCAGTCCTTTTAGGTGGGTATCACTTATCCCTTTTGTGGATGCTGAATCTTAGTTATAGAAAGATAATATTGTTGAACAGCGAATTTCATTGACAATAAGATTTATCCAAAACATGAAAATAAGGCAGAAGGATGGTTATGTTTTTTTCAATGCTGAAGTATTACCTAACAAGCACATTAGACTATTATTTAATTCTCTACTAAGTGTACCTTTGTTTGATTTGCTATTTACTATTGATTAAGGCTCAGATACTGAGTTACATACTAATTTGTGGGTGTTTGTTGAGTAGAAATTCAAGAGACTTTCGGCCAGTAGAAAAGATGCCGCAAAATGTAATAGTTTTTTGCTCTGTAGGAAACTAGCCAGCTTTGTGTCTGACTTGCAAACTTATTTCAGCATGCCCTTCCTGATAGACTACGTGAATTTCTGTTCCTCAAGTTCTCTCTGAACCAGCTTTACCATCTTGCTGGTTTCCTTGTTAATGATTTAAGTCATTCCTGGCACATACTTTCTATGTATTTTTACAACATTCTTGTTTTTAACTTCTTGAAAATTATACTGTGTCAGCGTTTACATTTGACAACACCTAGAGTTGATCCCCTATTTTTCTGACACAAACAATACCTTACTATTTCATGAAGCCTAAGATCTGTTGAGTTTATTTTCTTAAGTAAATTCATGATATGTTAAAGCAAGACTAATCAAATAGATTTCATATGGCAGTCATTGTGGCATTGAGCCAAACCTAACTTATCCTTAAGAGAAGTCTGAGTTTATACGACATCAAAATAAATGACTGAAAACCATGTGATCACAGAAACATGCAATTCTGCAGCAGACAGGGATCTTACAGATCTTCTAATGCAATCCCTTATGTTTAAGGTAAGAAAGTTATTACCTATGGAGTGAATTGCCTTGCAAGAGGCCACACGTTAAGCTGGAAGAACAGAGTTCAAAGTTATCAAATCCCAAGTTCTACTCTATTGCGGCTATTTCATATTTCTTCTAACCGGGGAGAAATAGAATTTATAGGCAATAAGAAAAACATTTTTAAATCATAAGGGGACAAATTGCACTGGGTGGCATTTCTATCTTTCCCTATCTGCACCTGCAAAGAATAGTAGGGATATAATAAATCACCTACAAGACATTCATCCAGAGCCTGGAGCTCTGGGAGGAAGGGAGAAAAACAGAAGACAAGCATCACCGGCATTGGGCCCTGGGTAGACAGTAAATTGATATCTCTGTCACCATAGTCACGAAGCACGTTGTGAATAATAAAGCAGATCATGAGATCCTGACAAAGCCTCAGTTTTCTCATTTGAAAAGTGGAGAATATTAGTACCTACCTGATGGGCTTTGGGTGAGTTTCAAGTGAGATAGTGTGTTACTGTATTTATTACAGTGCTAATCAATAAAAGTTGCTATCACTATTATAATTATTTTCACTTAATTACTAACATTACTACTGCTAAAACAGGTCCAGCCTTGCCATGCCAACTCCATTCACTCCACCTCCTAACTCCTTCCAGAGAAACCAATGGGTTTTACCTGCTGATTAACATTGCTCTCATCTCTGAGTTTTCAGATATATTGGTCTAGCTGTGGAGAAAGCTGATTTCTAGAAAGTTAGTCCTTTCCTCAGGGAATTGTGCCAGTAGGGAAATTGCAAGACAAACAATGAAAGAAGCATAATTTCTTTTTATTTACTTGTTCTAAACTGAAACATTCTTAACAGAAACCTGCAACTCAGAAACAGAAGGCTAACAAGACAGAAACCAATACGTGGCTAAAGAAATACCTTACATTAATTCAGGGACACAGACGCTACAGAAAGATACCTTTGGCAGGTGACAAGATTCAGGTTTGTCAGGGGACATGAGGAATGAATGTAGTAGTTCAGCTTTGAAAGGCATTCAGTGAAGGTCATGTTAAGTTCTCTACTGGGAAAATTTTTTTTCCTGTGTTGTATTCATAGTACTTGGATAATTTATTTTAGGTTCATTCATTTACTTATTTTACTTCTTACCATCCTTATGGTCAGAACTTTGAGTTTTGATGGTCCCTCGGAAGTGGTCAAGGGATCCAGTCAGTTGCAAAAGACAGCAGGCTCTTTACTATGTCAAAGTGAGGGCACAAATAAATTGGTCTTCCTGTCAAACCTAGTCCAGAGTAAGTTGTTGCCCCAAAAAGCTGTGTTCTCAAAGCCCGGGGAATCACTCAGGTGTCCTGGCCTGGTTGGGTGGATGAGCTTGTATCAGGAGGCTAGGGAAAGAGGGATCTGCAAAGAGAGGAGGCAGAATGGATCCGATTCTTGGCTAATCAGGAAAAGGGCTAATTTCTTCAACCGAGAGGTATACAATCCAAAGGAATTTGCATTTCTTTCCCGGAGAATGAAAAATTACATTCAAAGAAGCAGCTTTTGAGACTGACTACAACATTGTATGTGGTCAATTTGGCTAGATATATAGAGAGGGTAGGGAGGTTCATCATCTGTAGATTGCTAGGCTGAGGCCTGGAAAAGGGTTAGGAAGGGCAGGGTGGTAAAATGAGAAGGCTATAGGGCTTTGGAGACAGACTGTGTTCCCACTCTATCACTTGCTAGCTCTGGGTCACTGAGAAAATTAGTTTTCCCCTTGTCAGCTCTAGGATTTTCATCTGTAAAACAATCTTAATAATACCCAAATCAAAGATCAAATAAAAGGATACTTGTGAAAAAAAATTATAAAGTATGCATCCCATGTAGAAAGTTCTGTTGGTTTGTAGAATCAAGTGGGTTTCTATCAAAGTTTGAGGAGAATCAAGGGATATGTTTGTCTGGTGACATCATCACTGTAAACAGCAACAGCTTTCCATAAGTCCTACAGTGCTAGGCAGCAAGGACATTGGTCTGTTCCAAAGTAGCAATATTTACATTCCACATACTTTCTGTTAAAAGATTTCTGGTGTTCAGTTAGACAGCACATATACTAAAATTGGAACAATACAGAGAAGATCAGCATTTGCCCCTGAGCAAAGATGACAGGAAAATTCATGAAGCAGTCCACAAATTAAAAAAAAAAATGAGAAAGACTCCTGCAATGCACTGCAAGGATAATATATTAAAAATAAAAATAAGTGGATCTTAGTATAAATGTCATAAATGTATATTGGGGAAACAAACATTTTGCAGGGAGAAAGCTGTAGTGCTTTACTCATTTACTCAGACACTTCTGGAAGTAATGTATAACCAGGACATTTTGTCATGAAGTAGCAGAATAACTTTCCTTTCTTATCCCATAATCAGGAGCTGGCCTAGAATAAGAACTGAGCTCCTTAGATATCAAGTTCAATATTTCATCAACAAGAACAGGCTTTTCCTTGAGAAGGGCATCCCTAATAGCTCCTACCCTTATTTTGTTCTAATTTCTGATGAATTTTGCCACAGTAGAGTAGTGAAACTTGCTGACTATAGATAGAGCTGATTTCAGCAGGAGTTACAGAATTTAGCCTAGAGAAAAACTGAGCTGAGAAGAGAAAAATCCTGTTAGGACCATTTTCTTCATTCCTATATGGCTGAGGCTGGGCCTTCCTGGCAGCACATCTTTGATGACTTTGTCCAGTTGAGTTTTAAATAATTCAAGTGATTGGCCTCCTATTGTATCTCCTGGGAGCTCATTCCATCATAGAAAGGAGCTGACTCTTGGGAAGTCTTTCTTGACATAATATTATTGTGTATGATTGTCTCCCCCACACCTCCAACAACTAGTTCTTGTGTATGATTTCTTCATATTCTTCATACATTGTCTATTAAATTTTACATCACAAAGAAATAAATATGAATGGAAGGAAGGAAGCAAGAAAGGAGGGAGACAGGGAGGAAGGAAGGAAGGAAGGAAGGAAAGAAGGAAGGAAGGGAGGAAAGAAGGAAGGAAGGAAGGAAAAAAGGAAGGAAGGGAAGGAAGGAAGGAAAGAAGGAAGGAAGGGGGAAGAGGGAAGGGGAAAGGGAAGGGGAAGGGAGGGAAGGAGGAGGGGGGATGGGAGAGGGAGGGAGGGAAAGAAACAAGTAATGGAGGTTAGATGTGATGGGATGGGGGATGAGGTGGGGTTGTTGGCTGATAGGAGAAGGGAGAGGAGGCAGACAGTAAAGTATAGACTAAAAGAAAGGACTGGTTGTTGGGGAGATGAGGGAGACAAAACACTAAAAGAAAGAACTAGTTGGAGGGTGGTATGGACATCCCTCAGCATGAATTTAAGGAGGCAGCAACAGTCCAAAATCAATAGTAAATCCTCTTCCTAATTTCTACCTCTCTCTGAGCCTAAAGACATTGATCTTAATAATCTCAGTGGATTTAATCAATTCTACAGTTGTTAACCTTAAATTGATATTTAATCCATTTACAAACTAATCCGTAGCTATCCATATTAACGTGCACAAAAAAGCTTGTGTACCAGTCCCGAGGAGGAATGTGGAGTGAGGTTGAGAGAGGCAGCTTAACTTCCCCCCACTTGGGGACTTAGCTGTTGCTTTTCCACGGATCACCACCAACCTCCATAGACACCAAGTTCACACTCCTTTGTGTCTATCCACTTTTGAACTTTGTGTTCCAAAAGGAATGCATACCTGACGGAACTAAGAAATGAGTAGAGAATTATACAAAATCAATGTGCAAAAATCACAAGCATTCTTATACACCAACAACAGACAAACAGAGAGCCAAATCATGAGTGAACTCCCATTCACAATTGCTACAAAGAGAATAAAATACCTAGGAATCCAACTTACAAGGGATGTGAAGGACCTCTTCAAGGAGAACTACAAACCACTGCTCAAAGAAATAAAAGAGGATACAAACAAATGGAAGAACATTCCATGCTCATGGGTAGGAAGAATCAATATCGTGAAAATGGCCATATTGCCCAAGGTAATTTACAGATTCAATGCCATCCCCATCAAGCTACCAATGACTTTCTTCACAGAATTGGAAAAAACTACTATAAAGTTCATATGGAACCAAAAAAGAGCCCGCATTGCCAAGTCAATCCTAAGCCAAAAGAACAAAGCTGGAGGCATCACACTACCTGACTTCAAACTATACTACAAGGCTACAGTAACCAAAACAGCATGGTACTGGTACCAAAACAGAGATATAGATCAATGGAACAGAACAGCGCCCTCAGAAATAATGCCGCATACCTACAACTATCTGATCTTTGACAAACCTGAGAAAAACAAGCAATGGGGAAAGGATTCCCTATTTAATAAATGGTGCTGGGAAAACTGGCTAGCCATATGTAGAAAGCTGAAACTGGATCCCTTCCTTACACCTTATACAAAAATCAATTCAAGATGGATTAAAGATTTAAACGTTAGACCTAAAACCATAAAAACCCTAGAAGAAAACCTAGGCATTACCATTCAAGACATAGGCATGGGCAAGGACTTCATGTCCAAAACACCAAACGCAATGGCAACAAAAGACAAAATTGACAAATGGGATCTAATTAAAATAAAGAGCTTCTGCACAGCAAAAGAAACTACCATCAGAGTGAACAGGCAACCTACAGAATGGGAGAAAATTTTCGCAACCTACTCATCTGACAAAGGGCTAATATCCAGAATCTACAATGAACTCAAACAAATTTACAAGAAAAAAACAAACAACCCCATCAAAAAGTGGGCGAAGGACATGAACAGACACTTCAAAAGAAGACATTTATGCAGCCAAAAAACACATGAAAAAATGCTCATCATCACTGGCCATCAGAAAAATGCAAATCAAAACCACTATGAGATACCATCTCACACCAGTTAGAATGGCAATCATTAAAAAGTCAGGAAACAACAGGTGCTGGAGAGGATGTGGAGAAACAGGAACACTTTTACACTGTTGGTGGGACTGTAAACTAGTTCAACCATTGTGGAAGTCAGTGTGGCGATTCCTCAGGGATCTAGAACTAGAAATACCATTTGACCCAGCCATCCCATTACTGGGTATATACCCAAATGACTATAAATCATGCTGCTATAAAGACACATGCACACGTATGTTTATTGTGGCATTATTCACAATAGCAAAGACTTGGAACCAACCCAAATGTCCAACAATGATAGACTGGATTAAGAAAATGTGGCACATATACACCATGGAATACTATGCAGCCATAAAAAATGATGAGTTCACGTCCTTTGTAGGGACATGGATGAAATTGGAAATCATCATTCTCAGTAAACTATCGCAAGAACAAAAAACCAAACACCGCATATTCTCACTCATAGGTGGGAATTGAGCAATGAGATCACATGGACACAGGAAGGGGAATATCACACTCTGGGGACTGTTGTGGGGTGGGGGGAGGGGGGAGGGATAGCATCGGGAGATATACCTAATGCTAGATGACGAGTTAGTGGGTGCAGCGCACCAGCACGGCACATGTATACATATGTAACTAACCTGCACAATGTGCACATGTACCGTAAAACTTAAAGTATAATAAAAAAATAAATTAAAAAAAAAAAAAGAAATGAGTAGAGAAGACTATAGATCACAAGGGGGGATCTGCGGTTTCCAGGGCCAGATTCTTCCCCACCCTGTCTGTAAAGGTCAAGGGCAGAGTTCCCAGATGAGTGCCATAAAGACAAACTCTAATGGTTCTGTTGAAAAAAAAGAAAAAAGACACCCAAAAATGGGATCAATTTTTGTATCAGTGTTTCTTCACATTAGCCAAGAGTAGGTACGTTTTAACCGGAATCAAGCTTGGCTCCACTTAATATGCATTGAACTCCACGGTTTCCAGATTGTCATGACATCTCGAATCTACCTCCTGTTTAACTGCACACTCCCTACAAGGACTATCTGTGTTCTCAAAACAAAATTCCAAATCCTCAACACTGTGCACCAGGCCCTGCCTGATCTGGTCTTTATTTGTCTTTCCAACCTTCCCTCTGGCCACCTTCCCCGCTTCAGGCCTACAATGGCCATCATCAGCTTTCTAAAGGGTGGCACGCACCTCCTCTGTGCCTTGGGGGCTTCTACATGCACAGTCCCCTTGCCTTTTACTGCATCCTCTGATATCCTCCCCTTCCCCTGAGTAATCCCCGCTCACCTCTAATACCACCTTAATTATTCCATCTTCAGGGAAAGCTTCTCTGACCACTTCCACTCCCAGGCTAGGTCAGGTCCCTCTCACAGAACTTCGCATCCAAGGCAGGTATAATTATTATTTTTTTAACTTTTATGTTCAGGGATACAAGTGCAGGTTTGTTATATAGGTAAATTTGTGTCATGGGGATTTGTTATACAGATTATCTCATCACCCAGGTATTAAGCCTAGTACCCATTAGTTATTTTTCTGATCCTATCCCTCCTCCCACCCTCTACCCTCCAAAAGGTCCCAGTGTGTGTTGTTCCCCTCTATGTGTCCATGTGTTCTCATTATTTAGCTCCCACTTATAAGTGAGAACATGTGATATTTGGCTTTCTGTTCCTGCATTAGTTTGCTAAGAATAATGACCTGAGCCCCATTTATGTCCCTGCAAAGGAATGATCTCATTCTTTTTTATGGTTGCATAGTATTCCATGGTATCTATGTACCACATTTTATTTATCCAGTCTATCATTAATGGGCATTTAGGTTGATTCCATGTCTTTGCTATTGTGAATAGCAGAGCAGGTATAACTAAACACATAATCATATGGTTCACAGGTAAGGGAAAGCACTTCCCTGGACTATAAACTCCAAGAGGACAGATACCCGATGTCCTTTGCTCACCTGTGTCTATAGGTCCTACTAATGCCTTGTGTATACTGGAAACCTACCCCTTTTTTGCAAGAAAAATGGCAGTGTAGGTTACAGCCCATACTTAGAAGCAGGCCTGTCTATAGCAAGGTGCGAACCCTAGGATGCAGAGGTATGTGGTAGTTGTTCAAATTGAATAAAACAATTAAAATCTATCGTTATCTGTTCTTTAAGTGGAGTAAAAGAAGCCTTTCCCAGCTGGAAACTAGTTTGTTGCCAGTTCAAGTTATCAAAGCAATCCTCCAAGGGCCTCAACAAGTACCTTCTGGTGGGTTGCAGGGTTTAGTCAACACGTGGTCAGAGACACATACCTCCTCAAAATAATGACCCGTCTCCTGGGCATTTTATCCATTTTCCTATTATACTTTCCTCAACTTCTTAGAATATATTACTTTTCTGATTTAAATTGTTAATCCACTGAGAAGAGAACACATCTTTGTTTCCTACAACAGCCAGTGCACAGTTAAATAATGCTTACAATAATATTTAAGGGTAACAACCATAGAACATGCCGGGGGAATATTAAGAAGTTTTTCTTTTTTTTTTTTTTTTAAGACAGAGTTTCGCTCTTGTTGCCCAGGCTGGAGTGCAATGGTGCATCTCGGCTCACCACAACCTCCGCCCCCTGTGTTCTATCGATTTTCCTGCTTCAGCCTCCCGAGTAGCTGGGATTATAGGCACGTACCACCATACCTGGCTAATTTTGTATTTTTAGTAGAGATGGGGTTTCTCCATATTGGTCAGGCTGGTCTTGAACTCCCAACCTCAGATGATCCACCTGCCTCGGCCTCCCAAAGTGCTGGGATTACAGGCCTGAGCCACCACGCCTGGCAAGAAGATCTTATTTTTTTTTCCTTATATAGTAAAGAGTTAATTGTGATATTCAAATCTAAGTTACACATGAGCAAGAAGAGTGAAGAGATTCAACAGTGTTACTAGACAGACACAAATCATCAATTATCCAGAGGCTGTATCAGCCAAAGACACAAGTGAAGGCAACTGGTAAATAGCCCAGTGGCTACAGGAACCACTGAAACACGTGAAAAATCGAGCACATTCAGGAGAAAGTGATAGTTCCAGAAGCCTCTTCAGGGAATAAAATCTTGAAAATTTGGAGAAGTGGGAATGAACAGCGTTAAGGGCCCTGAGAGGAAGACATAGGCACCTGAAAAGTGTCTAAGCAGGACCACAGCACCATCATCATTGCATCCTGTTAAGGTTGAGTTGGTAAAGGAGCTTCCCACACAGCCTCAGCTGGTGCCGGGGACACAAGGAGATAGCACAGAAGCAGTAGCTCATGTTCCCAACTTTTCTGTAAGTCCTGTAATGAACACAAAGAGGTCAATAGCAGGTGATATACTACAAAGGTCCAAATTAACCTGCTATGCTTCAGACCCATAGGCCCAAGAGGAAGTGGGCAGGCAAAGGGACATAGTCAGAACCTCACTGCTTTGTAACACCCTCTTTCACTGCTACCTCAGGAGTCTCTTCTAACCCTGACTGCTCCTGCTCTCATGCCTGTGTCACCCACCTGGAACTGAGGTTTTGATATTCCTAGTGGTCAGTATTCTTAGCATGGAGCTGCCTTGTCTCTCCAAGTAGAACCAAGAAACTGTGGTGTGCCTCCTGCCACTGTCTTGCTTGGTCGCCTCCACACATGGAACAGGTGTGGCTGCTGAACAAATCTTACACTTGAAAATGGTCTTGCTCTTCATCCAAGTCATGCAGGTAGAAAACATCAGGCTCATCCCACCAGTCTCTCCTGATATTGTTTGATCCTAATGCTGACCTCCTAACTGAATAGCTGAACATTTTCAGGCCTGTCTGTTTATTGCAGACACCCTCTGATGAAACATCAAAGAGGCCACAGCATGCTTCTTGTGGAACCAACAATGGTGGAATTTTCTTTCCTTTCTCTGGTTTGAACACTGTATATTTGTGATGCAGGTGGCCCAGCTTCATTCTCTGCTGCATTTTTTAATTAGTGTCGTTTCTGGGTCGTGTTGTTGGTGTCCTGGTGCTTGTTCTTAGATGCTGTGCTATGTGAACGGCCTGTGAGGGCTCTTGTGTTTCCTTATTGGAATCTGGGTATATTCTTCAAAGAAGGTTGTTTTTTAAGGATGTTTTGGCTGCATGGAATTGTTTAGTTCTTACTTTTCTCCAAAATGCATCCATAATTTGCCCTGCTCTACAGTGATTGAAAACTTGGGTATATAATCTTGAACTAAGATAAAATGGGAAAGAAAAATTGGACCTTTCTTCATTTTTTTTATTAAAAAGTTAGCAAGAAGACAACCCAGGGAAAATTTTTACATCTTTAATGTCAGCTATTAGGTAGGATAACAGAATGGAAATGGACTGGAATGAATTCAAATTTTGCTTTGGTACTACCTAGCCAAATGATCTCAAACAATCTTCTCAACTGTTAAGGTAACAATTTCTTCTTCTGCAAAATGGAGGAATTACACTAATAAACCACCTGAAAAGACTTTCTTGGCTCTAACATTCTATGCAGATGTAGCACACCAATTTTAAAGGCTTAGAAATGCAACTGCTTTAGTCCAGTGGGAGATATGGACATGGCTAATATAAAAATCATCAGAACTTGTAAAGTCATTAGGTGAAATCTTTCATTTCCTTATATAAAAACATTCTCATTTCCTTCTATAAAACAGATTCTCATGCCTGTGGCCCCCATGATTGATGCTATTGTATGAGGCAAGCAAAAGAGAAACTAGCAGGAAAGAAAAAAATACTTACTCTAGATAGTGAGTATAGAGTAGTTCTAAGCACTTTGTGTACGTCATCTTACAATCCTCACAACAGCTCAACCATAGGCATTTTTATCTCAATTTTATAGTTGAAATGGAGGCCTAGAGAAGTAAAGCAAGTTGCTTAAATTTATATGACTAGTAATTGTGTTTCTCCAGATTAAGTCCAAATCTTGCTGATTTCATGGCTCTATTTTTATCCTACCAAAACAATACTAAACAAATAAACAACAATAACAAAAACAAAAACAACTTGAATTTACTATAAGGAAGGCAAACAATTCTTCAAAAGATTTTTTATTGACAGAAAAGAGAAGGGAAATGTTGTCTCATATTTGTGGTATGGAAGATTCCTGGAGAAGATGGTCTTTTAGGAGCCTTTTCCTAGTCTCCATGGTATATCTGCCTCATTTTTACTGAAATGTGTATCTTCTGGTGGGATAAATTCATTGTCAATAGCAGCAACAGCGTCATCATCATCACACGTAAAACGGGGCATATGAGTACAGCTGACCCCCTTGTGAAAAACTGCCTTCCTTTGATGTTTGGGAAAATGCAGATGATACTGATCTCCTGATCTTCAGCTCTGGAACAAGGAGGTTTCAATGAATTATAAAGAGACTGTGGCAGGAGGAAGAATTTGGAAATAGTCAAGTTCTAAACTACAACTCCTGTTACTCTGAGAAAGCACAGATTCTCCCATTAATGCCCAGCAGTTTCATCAGGAAATTCCTTCTAGCTAACACTGACTTCATGGACTTTACCCTGGGTGTGGAATGGTTAAGGAGAACACAGAGTGTCTGTATAAGCTAACACAGAGTGTCTGTATAAGCTGAGCTCCAAAAATCTCCACCGTCTCCAGGGAAGAGGAGATTTTGAGGGCACTATATATTTCCCAGTAAGTGGTTGTATATAGTACAGTAGATGCTTATTAGGGAAACCCCTTGCCTACATGGAGGTTTCTGGCAGGGAGTCTATGAAGTAAACTGAGAGACACCTTTTCCCACCTACCACAAAGGCCCACATGAGTAGGAAAAAATGCATGCTCATGGCCAGACAGGTGTATGTTGGTGTCATTGCTTCTCCTAGTCACTTCCTGAGGCACAACACCCAAACCATGTTCGTTAGCCCTATCTTTAGGTCCCTTACCCTCCATCCCTAACTCACATCTTCCCACCTCCTACCTTGTCATCCACAACAGTGCTTAGAATTTAATGAGATGTTGACTTGGTAGATTGAATAGTCCTGAAAACAGTGATTCAATCCCTAATGCTAAAAACTAGAAACTTTTCACATTGCTCTTTTGAGGAAATTGACATCCAAGGGTTCAGTCAACCTGTTTTCAGGCTGGTCTGGTAGAATTAATTCAGCATTTGCACACCCACAGTCACTGCTATCTACAAAGGCCATTTAAACCTATAAAGAAAACACATTGTTGCCTCCTGCTTAATCAATGGCTAAGTCTCTCTTTATCACATCCAATTTTTAAAAGTCCTAAAGTCAATGTGCTGGCTCTGGACCCTGAAAGAAGGACACAATGAATGTTAGCTATTTCTTCCTGCTTTATACAAGGGACAGACATTTTGAGTTGTTTTCTGAATAGTAAAGGATCAGTATGCAGAGTTATTTACCCACTCTTTTTTGACCTCCACTCTCATCAGCTATATTTGATAACATGTTATCATATATTCCCTACGACCTAGACATTACATACATAGGGCTTTGTAACTAGGAAAGGCATGAAGGGCCAAATGGCCTGAGTTTCAAACTGTCTGAAGCTGGATGGAGCTTTGGACTGAACAGAGATCTCATTTATGATTTTGACATTAATAATAGCATGTGCTTCTGTATTATTTGAGAGCATTGGAATTCAGGTAACAGATAATCACTGAGCTAGCTTAAGAATCAACATGGAAATTTATCATGAAGTTATTGGGGAAAGGGGGTCGCAGAAGCAAAAGACAGCAGCTGAATCTTAAGAAGAAGCTGGCATCAGGAAAGGATATAGTGTCAGGTATCCAGGGCACCTCTGCCTATGCATTTCACATCTTTACCTGTTATCATCCATGCATTTGCTTTATCTGTCTCTGTCTGCAGACTAGCTCTCTTTACATACAGTCACATGGAACAAAGGGCTATGTCACAGCTTCTCATCTGACTTTGTCAATAGGAGAACAGACAAATTTGTGATATATCTATATAATAAAGTAATATTCAGCAATAAAAAGAAATGAACTATGAAGCCATACAAATCATAGATGAATCTTAAATACATATCACTAAATGAAAGAAGGCAGCCCAGGAAAGCGTATTGTATGATTCCATTTATATTAAATTCTGGAAAGGACAAAACTATATACATTCCAAATAGATCAGTGGTTACCAGAGCTTCAGGAGTGGAGAGAGGAGGGTTGAAGTGCAGGGGATTTTCTTTAGGGCAGTGAAATATGATAGTGTAATGGTGGATATATGACACTACACATTTTTTCCAAATTTCACAGAATTCTATACCACAAGGAGTAAACAATGTATGCAAATTTTCAAAGTCCTTTCAGAAGTCAATGGAACCTAAGGTAGAATACCGACTATAAGAAAAAAATTGACTGATTACAAATGTTTAAAAAAACTTCACTGAAAGGACTGGAAGAAAAAGGTGCTAATCTGAGTAGCTCAGGAAATGAATGGAGTTTATACAACTAAATAAAGGCAAAATTAACGTGTATAATATGTGCATGTAAGATGCACTCTATTTGGTTTTTCCTGTGTGGTTGTAGATTAACAATTCTGAAACTAGTACATTTGTATACAGGAGTTCAACTTAGAACCATTAACTTAGAGGAGAAAAAATGAGCAATGAAAAAATATTGATATAATAAGAAATAAAAATAAGAGAAGCAGAATAATATTTTAACAAATAATGAATGCATGCTCACAAGACAGATACAACGTCTTCCCAAGTGTTGAGAGAAAACAGGAGAAAGGAGTTCACAGCATGAAGATGGAGACAGCTTCCTTTAGTGCAGCTTTAACAAACTCGTGGATGCAGTTCTAGTTCTTTCCCCCTGGAGCACAAAGCACACCCAAAGGGCGTGGTACCTCTGCCAGAGGTTCCACTTCCAGGAACCGACTGGAACCTAATGACTACCTAAGAGAATTCACTGTGACAGCTAGGCTCTTGCATGGATAATGAGCCAAGATTCAGAGCACAGAGTATAGAGAAGTCAAGAAGGGTCAAAATTCAAGAAGGGCAATCACAGGAAGGTCTGAATCTGGGAAAGTTTTTACTAATAGTTCTGAACCCATCACAGTACCCATTTAGTAGCCCATGTATATGCAGGCCATAGGGCATCAAGGTAATTTTTATATATATATATATATATATATATATATATATATATATATATATATATATATATATATTTTTTTTTTTTTTAACTTTTAAGTTCAGGGGTACATGTGCAGGATGTGCAGGTTTGTTACACAGGTAAACGTGTGTCCTGGGGGTTTGTTGTACAGATTATTTCATCAGCCAGATATTAAGCCTAGTACCCATTAGTTCTTTTTCCTGATCCTCTCCCTCCTTCCACCCTCTGCACTCCAGTGGGCCCCACTGTGTGTTGTTTTCCTCTGTGTGTCCATGTGTTCTCATCATTTACCTCCCACTTGTAAACAAAAACATGCTGTATTTGGTTTTCTGTCCCTGTGTTAGATTGCCAAGCATAATGGCCTCCAGCTCCATTTATGTCCCTGCAAAGGACATAATCACTTTCTTTGTTATGGCTGTATAGTATTTCATGGTGTTTATGTACCACATTTTCTTTATTCAGTGCATCACTGATGGGCATGTAGGTTGATTCCATGTCTTTATTATTGTGAATAGTACTGCAATAAACATACATGTACATGTGTCTTTATAATAGAATCATTTATTTTTTTTGCGGGGGTTGGGGGGTGGTATATACCCAGTCGTGGGATTGCTGGGGTCAAATGGTATTTCTGTTTTTAGGTCTCTGAGGAATCGTCACACTGTTTTCCACAATGGTTAAACTAATTTACACTCCCACCAACAGTGTAAAAGCGTTCCTTTTTCTCCACAACCTTGTCAGCCTCTGTTATTTTTTGACATTTTAGTAACAGCCATTCTGACTAGGGTGAGATGGTATATCATTGTGGTTTTGATTTGCATTTCTCTAATGATCAGTGATGTTGAGCTTTTTTCATATGATTATTGGCCTAATGTATGTCTTCTTTTGAGAAGTGTCTCTTCATGTCCTTTGCCCATTTTTTAATCATTTTTTTCTTGTAAATTTTTGTAGGTTCCTTATAGATAATGGATATTAGACCTTTTTCAGATGAATAGTTTGCAAAAATTTTCTCCCATTCTGTAGGTTGTCTGTTTACTTTGTTGATAGTTTTATTTTGCTGTGCAGAAGCTCTTTAGTTCAATTAGATCCCATTTGTCAATTTTTGCTTTTGTTGCAATTGTTTTTGGCATCTTCATCATAAAATCTTTGCTTGTGCCTATGTCCTGAATGGTATTGCCTAGGTTTTTTTTCTAGGGTTTTTACAGTTTTGGGTTTTACATTTAAGTCTTTTTTTTTTTTTTTTTTTTTTTTGAGACGGAGTCTCACTTTTTCGCCCAGGCCGGAGTGCAGTGGCACTATCTCCACTCACTGCAAGCTCCGCCTCCCGGGTTCACACCATTCTCCTGCCTCAGCCTCCCGAGTAGCTGGGACTACAGGCGCCTGCCACCACACTTGGCTAATTTTTTGTATTTTTTAGTAGAGACAGGGTTTCACCACGTTAGCCAGGATGATCTCGATCTCCTGACCTCGTGATCTGCCCGCCTTGGCCTCCCAAAGTGCTGGGATTACAGGCGCGAGCCACTGCGCCCGGCCTACATTTAAGTCTTTAATCCATCCTAAGTTGACTTTTGAATATGGTATATGGAAGAGGTCCAGTTTCCATTTTCTGCATATGGCTAGCCAGTTATCCCAGCACCATTTATTAAATAGGGAACGCTGCATTCATTGCTTGTTTTTGTCATGTTTGTTGAAGATCAGATAGTTGTAGGTGTGCAGTCTTATTTCTGGGTTCTGTATTCTGTTCCATTGGTCTATGTGTCTGTTCTTATACCAGTACCATGCTGTTTTGCTTACCGTAGCCCTGTATCCACAGATGAATTAATACCTAAAGAGAAAGCATCTGGATCTTGGAAACAAACTGACCAGAAAAGGCTTGGGATTTGGAAAGTGTAAATCAGCCTAACGAGGTGGGTACGCAGTGTCTCATATTTCCTATCCTTCCATCTCACTTTCTCTAGAGCTCCAGCTTTAGCAATTACATAGCCTCATCATGACTTTCAGTTCTGTGACCTTGTTACTTTTTTCCTATTTTCACTGGTCACAGGTATTTCCCTTCTTACCCAGGTAGATCCCCTGTTCCTTTTTGTTCACTCATTTGCAAATGCATTGATGTTACTCCTCCCTCCATTGTACTCAAGAACCAGCCCCAACTAGAAAACCTATTCATATGTCAACAATGGTCCAATATCTACTTGGCCATAAACTTGACTATGATACCATATGGAAACTGGGAACTGTGGTGGGGGAAATAGGGAGATGCTAAGGTCAATAATAGCTGTCCTCTGAAGGCCAGAAGCACTGGTAGGAGATGTTCTTACAGAGTTAGTCGCACTTATAGCAACAAAAATAAAATAGTCCTGAACTGTGGAGTCCACAGGATGGTATTTTTCTATCAAAACAAAGTAAGAACAATTATAATGAGCTGAGCAGAAGGGTCAGAATATCAGCCAAGGAGGATTGACCAAATGGGAGCTTCTTGAATGGTGATAACACAGCATCCTTAGGTAGATCTATCTGCCCCCAAAGAAATAAAAAATAGATAACCTGCAGGCTGAGAGAAATTATCCCAGTGAAAAGTCAAAATCCCTTGCTAAGTTTTTGGATCTGAGTGAGTTCTCAGACCTAGAACCAATTAATTGAAAGGAAGGCCTACTTCTCAATGAAAAGGCCCTATAATATTACAGTAAATGTATATGATAATAATACTCCTAATTCTTCCCCAAAGGCAAATACAACCATTCAACTGGGTACCATATCCTAGGAAACAGGGAATATCCAAACGTTTTAAAAACTTACTGGATACATGGTCCTAACTGACATTAACATCTGGGGACCCAAAGAGTCATCATGCCTCACCCATTAGAGTAAGCATCCTATTAATAAATGGAGTTGTGGCTCAGGTCCAGCTCACAGAGAATCCACCCAGTCCAGGGATATACCAGGGGTCATGTGCTCGGACCCAATTTATAATTAGAATTTACATACTTGCTAGTTGGCAGAACCCCTACACTAATGCCTTGGCCTATGGGGTAAGAGCTATCATCGTGGAGAAAGCTGAGTGAAAGCCTCAGAAATTGCCCTATTAGGGAAAATACCAGAGATCAGTGCCACCCCTACAGATCTAAATTATGAAGAGGTGGTGGTTTCTATCACATCACCATTGAATTTACCATTCTGATCACTGGAAAAATCAGCCAGAACCTAGAGGAGGACAGTGGACTCACACAAATGCAATCCAGTAGCAGCCCAATCGCAACTGCCATGTAAAATGTGATTTCCTTGCTAAAGCAAATTAACAATATTTTTAGGTGCATAGTATGTGCCCATTTATCTGGCAAATGCACTCTTTCTCAGCCCCATCAGGAAAAGAAGATAAGAAACACTTCACATTCACAATGGACAAGAGCACACACCCACAGTCTCACTCTTCTTTATGTAGCTACTACTTAATTAGAAAACCTGTAAGATTCCCTATATTAGTCATTTCTCACATTGCTATAAAGAAATACCTGAGACTGGGTAATACATAAGAAAAGAGGTTGAATTGGCTCATAGTTTCCCAGGCTGTGCAGGAAGCATGGCAGCGTCTGCTTCTTGGGAGGCCTCAGGAAGGTTTACTCACGCCAGAAGGCAAAGCCGAAGCAGGCATCTACAGATGTCTGGAGCAGGAGCAAGAAAGAGAGGTGGGAGGTGCTACACACTTTTAAACAACAAGTCTCGTGATAACTCACTCACTCAGTATCACAAGAACAGCACTGAGAGGGTGGTGCTAAACCATTCATGAAGGATCCATCCCCATGATCCAATCACCTCCCACCAGGCCCGACCTGGAAGATTGGAGATTACAATTTGACATGAGATTTGGGCAGGTAGACCCCCTATATTTCTAAGATTCTTTTATTTTAAATATTATTGTAGGATATTGGGGGAATATTTTACATGAAACTGGATTCCATCTTTTTTTTTTTTTTTTTTTGATGGCATCTCCCTCTATCACCCAGGCTGGAGTGCTGTGGCATGATCTCGGCTCATTGCAATCTCCACCTCCCGGGTTTGAGCAATTCTCATGCCTCAGCCTCCTGAGTAGCTGGGATTACAGGCATGTGCCACCACGCCCAGCTAATTTTTGTATTTTTAATAGAGATGGGGTTTTTCCATGTTGGCCAGGCTAGTCTTGAACTCCTGACCTCAGGTGATCCACCCACCTTGGCCTCCCAAAGTGTTGGGATTATAGGCATGAACCACTGTGCCCAGCCAAAACTGGATTCTAGTTTAAACTCACAGCAGGACGTAAATTTCTGCTTATCTTCCAGATTGGCAAACTCCTACTGACAGTACTCTTGTGTTTTGAATACATAAAAATAAAAGTGATCTACTACACTGGGAAAACAGAAAAGAACTTTTAAAACATTTAAAGATAGCTGTGGACTAAGAGTCAAAACATCTTTTTGTTTAATATGATGGATGTTTATTTTTCTTTTGTGTTTGTCTCTATACCTGATACCCCTTTTAGACATTTTTCTAATCTGTCTGCTGTCTGCTGTAGATACAGGAAGCAGAAAGATCTTATCACCTGAAAATGCACTTTCTGTATTTCTTCTGAGAAAATGTATTAGAGTTTTCAGAAATAAACTGCAGAAATGTTGGGTATAATGACATGGAAAATGCCCATCTATCAAACCTCAACTGCTGATTTCTCAAAGAATTTTGAAACAATATAATAGGAATTTTCTCTTTCTGCCAAAGTCTATACCACTAAACATCTCAGAAGAGACTTTATGGGCAGTTTCTCTGTAGATGTATTGTTTGCATGCAAGAACATCAGTCTCTTTAAATGTTGGTCAGAGAGAACACAGGTTGTGAATTAGGTGTGCCAGCTTGTCCAGAAACATGGCAAAGATAAAGAATCAAATGCCAAATGTTCTCTTCTTTGAAAACCCACTTTGTAATATTATGTTTTATATCAGCATGTGAGCATTGAATTTTCATGTGCAAATAGTTAGAGTTTCAGTTCTCTCTCCCACTTTTAAATTACCTACAGAAAAATGTCATCTTTAAGTAAAATTGAAAGTAAAAAACTAGAAAAAGAAATTTAAAGACACAAGAAAAATGTTATATGAGCCTCAAAACATAAATAGTTCCTACATATCAATAAGAAAAATGGAGCACTATAACAGATGTATCAAATGTACATACAAATCGCAATTGAACAAATGCCAAGCCCATAAAGAAAATGTTGTACACATTTAAAAACTAAAATTTATTTGTATATTTTGTTATCAAAATTTATTTTTTGAAATTGTTTTAATGATAATATAGCATGTGAGTTCTCTAATACATTTCTGATAGCGCTATAAGTGGGTACAGTCTTTCTTGAAAATAATTTGTTGATATGTGTCACTTGTCTTCGAAACATATATATTACTTGACCTAGAAATCTCTCTTCTAGGAATTTGAGGACATTGTCAGAGATACATTTGAAGTTTATTCCATTAAGATGGATATTAAAACAATACTTATATGTTTAAGCACAAGTCCTAAATGTTGAAAAATTGATTATGTAAACAATGGTACATTCTTTCAATGGACTTCTAAGCAACTGTTAAAATTATTTATAAGAATATTTAAAGCACATAAGAAATTGTCCAATATATCATGTAGTGAAAATATCTACATAAAATTATGAAATCAGTATAAATTCCTTTTTTTGTTAAAAATCGAGTCAGCTAACTAGAAAATTCATATATTATTTAATGTCATTACCTATTATTATGTATTTTTATATATGCATATGGAAAGAACCAGAAATAGGTATAAGAGAATGTATTTATTCTTGTCTGGCAGAAGTTTGGTGATTTTTATTTTTATCTGAGTTCACTTATTTGGTAGTTTACAAATATTATGTGTGTAGTATCTATTACCTGAATGATCATATGCTGGCAATAAACATTATTTTTAAATAGAAGTAATATTCCTTCCAGGACATATTTTCTACCCTAAGTTTCCCATTCCTTCTGACTTTCTTCAATGCGAAAGGCAAAGACAGCAACACCACAATTTTGTTTGGGATACCTAAAGGTGTCTGCCATAACCCATCTCCAAGTTTTTGAGGGTGATCTTGGCTTATCAACAGCAAGCCATCAGACTGTTACAGGGCAGGGGTCCAGATCAAGACCCCAAGAGAGGGTTCTTGGATCTCACACAAGAAAGAATTCAGGGCAAGTCCACAGGGCAAAGTGAAAGCAAGTTTATTAAGAAAGCAAAGAAATAAAAGAATGGCCGTTCCATAGACAGAGCAGTCCTGAGGGCTGCTGGTTGCCCATTTTTATGGTTAATTCTTGATGATATGTGAAACAAGGGGTGGATTATTCATGCCTCCCCTGTTTAGACCATCTAGGGTAACTTCCTGATGTTGCCATGGCATTTATAAACTGTCATGGTGTTGATGGGAGTGTAGCAGTGAGGACAACCAGAAGTCACTCTCATCGCCGTTTTGGTTTTGGCAGGTTTTGGCCAGCTCCTTTACTGCAACCTGTTTTATCAGCAAGGTCTTTATGACTTGTATTTTGTGCTGACCTCCTATCTCATGCTGTAATTTAGAATGCCTTAACTGTCTGGGAATGCAGCCCAGTAGGTTTTAGCCTCATTTTACCCAGTTCCTATTTAAGATGGAGTTGCTCTGGTTCATATGGCTCTGACAAAACTATGGATCAATAGGGAAGTTTAGGGAAAAGAACTGTTCTGATGAGAGCTTAATGCCTTGTTCTATCTTTTAAAGCTTGAATAAATATGGCCCCACTCCTCCCAAAGCTCGCCAGCTAGCTTCTCTATCAGAATCCCTTGGTGTTCATCTTACTTAGAAAGAGACATGAGGAGTACCTCAAGGTGATACAGATGCTTGAGGTACAGGAAACCACATCGTGCTTTATTAGCTAAAGACAAAACTTCTTAGAGAAGCAGTGGGAAATTCAAATGGATTTGGATTCCAGTAAAGGTGCCTACTCAGACTCATCTACGGAGATGGAGAAACATACAATAGCATAGCTGCTGTAACAGTTTGGACCTGAGTTATCAGGTGCCCTAGATATTTACAATGTCTTTGCTACCTTTGACACTGGTCTTGTCACAAAACATATAAAATATTGCTCCCACTTTTTCAGGCGGGAAGAAGGTATCCCCTCTCCATAGTGCACATTGATGAAATCAACACTTGGAAATATCAGAAGTACCAAGAACCAGCACCTCCAGGGACAGCATCACAATTGACACGCTAGTATTTATGTTCTGGAATATGACTCTAATCAACTGCAATCCTCGAGGCTTCCAGATAAAATGCTGTTTCAAGATTTTAAGTATAATAGGACAGGGCTGGCCAAGTGTGAGAAGACAGAGTTAAAGGAGTGAGCAGGTGTCTGGTAGATAATACAAGTGTTTATGGCAAAACAGAGATTACACATAGCAGATAAAAAGGGAACTCACTCTAGAGAACCTAGACAACCTAGGGAGAAAGGCACAGGCTTGTCCTGGTAATCTAGACAGGAGATGCCAAAGCCTGGGGATCAGTACCTCAGAAAAGGAAGCACTGCCCAGTCAATACAGGACACTCAGGGCAAACTAGGCCCATAATCTGAGGCATCTGAACCAGACCTTTGATGACTGTCTGCTGGGAGAATGGCTTGTTCTTAGAACCAGACAGGCAGTCAGACACCTATAAGAAAAACTGTCCAGACTGGGATAAGGCAGTAATGCTGGGCCCTCAGGAGGTCCTCACAGGAAGAACTTAGGTCAGATGTGCAGATGGCAAACATTTTTATGGCTGGGTGGGAGTTTCTTGGAATCCAGGAGCAATCCAGGCATCACCACCAGTGCTCAGCCCTAAAGGGAAGCAATGAAAGAATATAGGGCCCGCTTTCAATGAGAGTGATAATGTGCTGTGGAAGCAGTTGTGATGACACCAAGCATGCCTAGAGGCAAATGGTCTAGACCTGGGGAAGGCCAATCTCCTGCTTTCAGTCAAAAAGAATAACAAACTGCATTATAAGGAACTGTTGCCCTTCTGTTCTGAGGTAGACAACCTTCACGTTTCTTTCTCTTATGGCTCTTATTTTTGCCTTGCAGCACAAATGGCATTTATGTATGAGAAAGAAGGGCTATCCTTCCCCTTGAGAATGAGTGAACATGAAATATCTCCAATCAAGGGGATTTATAGCTAATGAATCCTGCACAAAACAAATAATTAGTTCCCATTGCTACTCACATGAGTAAGGAACAGTCCTCATTTTCTAGCTTAAGTGTACAGGAAACCTACTCATTTGAGAATGACAAGTCATTTTATTTCAGAATCATACTTTAATCTGCCAAAGCAAATGAAAGTTGAAATGAGGATAAAATGTAGCATGACATGGCCATCTCTGATCATTTGTGATTGTAACAAGCACTTGTATAGGATTGGGAGCACCATGCTTTGAGAATGTGGAGACCCAGATTCTTTTTTCAGCTCTTTCAGGAACAAATTGTGTGAACTTATTACTTAATCCATCTGGGCTTCAGTTTCCTCATCTTAAAAATTGAAAGGGTCAAACGTAACACCTTCAGTAAGCTGGTAGACTATAAAATATAAATTAACATATATGTGTATATTACTAAACACTTATACGTGTGTGGAGAATGATGTTGGTAACGTTAAGTAGCCTTTTCTTGTTGTTTTCCTGCATGTCATAGTAAGTGTTCAATGCAGGAGGAATATTGTTGCTATAAATTATTTCTGGTTTTCTGTAACGCATTTAATGAAGAGGGACATCTTTGGTAGAATGACTCACATAATAAATATGGTACATTTCTTCCTGTTTAGTAACCAAGCAAGTACATTTCTGTCATGAGCATGATAGAATGTAAACATCAGCTGCATGCTGTCCACGCCTTTTTGGAAAAGTGTTATTCAGTGAGCCCTCCCCTTCCTCCTCCCCTGCTCAATCTCAATTTCAGTGCTGACCAGTTTTATGACTTTGGGAAATCTCTCTAACATCTCCGTGCCTTTGTTTTTGCTCAAGTGAAATAACAACTTTGGGTTAGACTTGTATCGCATAAGAAACAGAGGAAGAACAAAAGCATTTTAAATGATTCTGTGAACAACAATGTTCAGAAAATGCTGTGCACCTGATCCCTTCTCAGAGCCTGGGCATCGCATTAACATTCTGGAGACTCTGAGATGTCCTGCACAACAAAATCCTATCTAACTTTAATTCACCCAGCTTGTCCCAGAAACAATTGTCCATGAATCCTTTGTTTCTGAGTAGAAGCAATTAATAATGGCACCTCAGAAGTAAGAATCACAAGACTTTGGGAAACCTCAAACATGGTGGTCTCCAAGATGTCATTATAGCTTAAATATTTTATGAAACCTTGGCAGACAGATTTTTACATGGATTAAAAATATAGTAAATAACTACAATGTAAGACTTCCTAATTTGTGACTAAGAATTTATACATTCTGATTCTGGCATTCTCCCCCAAACACTCTGACATCATCTCATCACAGGATAAAACTGAGGTGACATACCAAATAATCTAATTCTCCCCATAAACACACACACACAGACACACACACACACGCAATAATCAGTAGAACCTACCCTGTTTACTTTATGATGATGTTATAAAATTTTATAATGAAACAGCATATGGAAAATACAGAAAAAAATTAATAGCTTCCAAATGTTAATGTCATATCTCAAAAAATGAAGGTTCAATGAGAAACTAACTGTAAAGGCTATAAAAGTATGGAAAGTCTGGATGAGGTGAATTTAGTTTGGCTCACTAATTTATGAAATATCAGAAATTTGAGGTCAACTTCAAATCTCAAGAGATAATTTTAGAACCAATGAAAATAAGCCAACAATGAATACCTTTATGGACCATCCAATGCAATAACTAAGGAAATACAAGTTAAAAGGGGGTTCAGAAGCATCCATGGACTAAGCGTTCTCTTACTTTTGAAAGCTGAAGCAAGAAATATTAGAGCTGGTGTATTAGTCTCTTCTCATGCTGCTAATGGAGACATACCTGAGACTTGGCAGTTTATAAAGGAGAGAGGTTTAATGGATTCACAGTTCCACATGACTGAGGAAGCCTCGCAATCATGGTAGAAGGCAAAGGAAAAGCAAAGGCATGTCTTACATGGCGGCAGGCAAAAGAGCACGTGCAGGGGAACTACCCTTTATAAAACTATCAGATCTCATGAGAATTATTCAGTATCAAGAGAAGAGAATGAGGAAAAACCCACACCTATGATTCAATTACCTCCCACTGGGTCCCTCCCATGAAATGTGGGGGTTATGGGAGCTACAATTCAAGGTGACATTTGGGTAGGGAAACAGCAAAACTGTATCATTCTGCCTGGGCCCCTCCCAAATATCATGTCCTCTCATTTCAAAACACAATTATGCCTTCCCAGCAGTCCCCCAAAGTCTTAACTCATTCCAGCATTAACCCAAACGTCCACAGTCCAAAGTCTCATCTGAGACAAGGCAAGTCCTGTTCACCTATGAGCCCGTAAAATCAAAAGCAAGTTAGTTATTTCCTAGATACAATGGAGGTACAGGCATTGGGTAAATATACCCATTCCAAATGGGAGAAACTGGCCAAAACAAAAGGGCTATAGGCACCATTCAAGTCTGAAATCCCATAGGACAATCATTAAAACTTAAAGTTACAAATTGATCTCCTTTGACTCCATGTCTCACATCGAGGTCACACTGATGCAGGAGGTGGGCTCCCATGGCCTTGGGCAACTCCGCCCCTGTGGCTTTACAGGGTACAGCACCCCTCCTAGCTGCTTTCACAGGCTGGCATTGAGTGCCTGAGGCTTTTCCAGGTGTATGGTGCAAGTTGTCAGTGGATCCACCATTCTGGGGTCTGTAGGATGGTGGCCCTCTTCTCACAGCTCCACTAGGCAGTGCCACAGTGGGTACTCTGTGTGGGGACTCTGACCCCACATTTCCTTCTGCACTGCCCTAACAGAGGTTCTCCATGTGGGCCCTCGCCCTGCATCAAACATCTGCCTGGGCATCCAGACATTTCCAAACATCCTCTGAAATCTAGGCACAGGTTTCCAAACCTCAGTTCTTGACTTCTGCACACCTGCAGGCCCAATACCACATGGAAGCTGCCAAGGCTTGGGGCTTGTGCCCTCTGAAGCAATGGCCTGTGCTCTATGTTGGCCCCTTTTAGCCATCACTGGGACACAGGGGACCAAGTCCCAAGACTGCAAAGAGCAGCAAGGCCCTGGGCCCAGCCCACGAAGCCATTTTTTCCTCCTAACACTCCAGGCCTGTGATGGGAGGGGCTGCTGTGAAGACATGCGCTGGAGACATTTTACCTATTGTCTTGGTGATTAACACTTGGCTCCTTGTCACTTATGCAAATTTCTGAAGCTGGTTTGAATTTCTCCTGACAAAATGAATTTTTCTTTTCTATGGCATCACCAGGCTACAAATTTTCTGAATTTTTATGCTCTGCTTCTCTTTTAAACATAAGCTCCAATTCCAAACCATATCTTTGGGCATATGTAAAATGGAATGCTTTTAACAGCACCCAAGTCACCTCTTGAACACTTTGCTGCTTAGAAATTCCTTTCACCAGATACCCTAAATTGTCTCTCTGAAGTTCAAAGTTCCACTGATCTCGAGGGCAGGGGCAAAATGCCTCCAGTCTCTTTTCTAAAACACAGCAAGAGTTACCCTTATTCCAGTTCCCAACAAGATCCTCATCTCTATCTGAGACCACTTCAACCTGGACTTCATTGTCCATATCACTAACAGCATTTTGGTCAAAGTCATTCAACAGGTCTCTAGGAAGTTCCAAACTTTCCTATATCTTCCTGTCCTCTTCTGAGCCCTCCAAACTATTCCAACTTCTGCCTGTTTTCCAGATCCAAAGTCGCTTCCACATTTTTGGTTATCTTTACAGCAGCACCCCACTCTACTGGTACAAATTTACTGTATTAGTCTGTTCCTATGTTGCTAATAAAGACATACCTGAGACTGGGCGATTTATAAGGAAAGAGGTTTAATGGATTCACAGTTCCACATGGCTGGGGAGGCCTCACAATCATGGCAGTAGGCAAAGGAGAAGCGAAGGCATGTCTTACATGGTGAAAGGCGAGAGAGCATGTGTAGGGGGAGTGCCCTTTATAAAACCATCAGATCTCATGAGACTTATTCACTATCATGAGAACAGCATGAGAAAGACCCAACCTCATGATTCAGTTACCTCACACCAAGATCTTTCCATGACACATGGGGATTATAGGAACTACAATTCAAGATGAGATTTGTGTGGTAACACAGCCAAACCATGTCAGCTGGTAAGGACACTTCCAAGTGATCTAGCTTTTCACATAATATCCATTACCCAGTCCCACACAAATGGTTGTCGGCAAAACAACTGAGCCCTCCTCCAATGCATCCCTTGGTTCTCCTGTGAGGGGACTGAAGCTGTTCTGGTCAAACTCAATATGTTCTTATATATTTTAGGCATAAAACAGAGTCAGAAAGAGCTCTATGGACAAAAAGCATTATAATGACAAATGGATATTGCCCTGACATTGTGACACCACCACACAGAGAGCTGTGACACTTACACCGACAAAGCATACACAATGTAGAAGAAAAATCACCCTTTGCGCAGAACTTTAGCAATTGTAAGAAGTGTTTGAAAGGACCCAGGCCTGAGTGGCAGCACTTGTCAAGTTAGTAGATTTTACAGTATCCTAGAAAGAAGATCCAGGACTCCAGTGAGTGAGTGGATTTATGTTCCATTATTGTTATTTTTTTCTCATATCTGTGATATTCTTTATCTTTTACCATATTCCTGGGAAGCAGGATTCTTCTGAACCATTGTTTCAAGCTGTCTTCCTTTCAGATTTCTCTTTTATCATAATATTTCCTAAATTTCCCTATGTCTTGTCTTCCCAACGCAACCATTAGCCCTTGGAGGACACAGACTATACCTTTTACTTCTCTTGTTTCTCTCACAGCTCCTAGAAGATCATGCACATGAAGCAGGAGCTCAGTAAACATTTATTGTGTGAAAAATAGATTGATATATAGATTAACAGATCTATGTAAAATTAACAATTTTATTTTCAGATTAACCTTTTAAAGTTGTTTTATGATTTATTTCAGCCATCTAAACAGGATGATTAACACAAGGAATAACTGAAACTGCTGCAAAGACACAAATTGAATACCTGTGAGCTCCTCCCAGTTCACATTCCCATCACTCCTTCTCAGAGATGACCAGTATATTGAACATGGTGTTTATCATTCATATGAATCTCTTTATACCTTTACTAGTTATATACGGTCCCTAAGTATTTTCAAATGTTATTTTTGCATGCTGGTAAATGACAGAGCAGGAGCACCGCCATCTTGGACAAGCACCATCATTTTAAAGTTCACCTTGATCAAAAACTGCCTAAATCCAAAAAGCATCAGCCATAAACCACAAATAACATCTCTGACCAGAAACATTCCAAACCACTCCCCAACCAGAGACATGCCAGCCCCAAGATAACCCCTCTTCTGGCTGGAGAGATGTCAGTCCCAAGATAACCTGCCCTCCAACCAGAGACATTCCAACCCTGCCATAAACTTCCCTACACAGAAACATTCCAAGCTTGTGATAAGCTCTCTCACCCTAAAAAAATCAATAATATTCTTAGTCTGTAAGAGAGAGCACTGCTGACCGAAATCGGCCAGAAGCCCCTCTCAAGTTTATTCTCCAATATAAACCTGTCTTTGACTATTGAGCTGCCTTTTGTGTTTCTTTCCTCTTTAACTCTTACAGTAAACCTTATAAAATATTATATTATTCTGAAAATTGCATTTATAATCAAGTATATTATGAAGTTAGTTTAGGTTGATATACATCCTTGTAGTTCAATTGTTTTCATGGCTAAATTGTATTTTATTGTGTGAAAATAGCATAATTATTTATTCTTTACACATGGATGGAAGTGGGTATTTTTTCCAAATTTTTACTATTACACACAATGCTATTACGGACATTCTTTCCATGTCTACATAGTGAGTGGATTTTTACAGGGTAAATCCCTTGGGGTGAAGTTGTACCATCATGGAGAATAAGCACTCTCAGTTATACTAGGGATCACTGTATAACTCTCCAAAAAGGCTATACCAATCTATTCTCCCATAAATCCTCATTTTGTAAGATTCCAGTTTCACAATACCAATTTCTAGCCATTTGGGTACTGACTTCAAGAGAGGATACTCTCTGCTGCCAAGCTTGCCAAAGGACTCTCTCAAAGCTTCTAGGATGTGCTGGTGTCAGTTCAAAGGCTGGAACTCCAGCCACCATGGTATTCTAGTCCTCCACAGCAGCTTCCTGAGCACAAGCCCCAGTGTCGCCTCAATGTTCCAGGTATAAGCTTTTCCTTCCAACCCTCAACTATTATATCTCTTTTATTTTAAACACAGATTTCCATCAAAATTGAAAGTTGCCTTTAATGTCAAAAAAAGCGACGCATTTATCAAAAAGTGATCTGTGTGTTAGCAGGACTGATTGTGATCCTATTTGTATGCTCCTGGTCTTTTTGGGTCCTCAGTGCATTAACATTCTGTAACATTGTGTTGTGGGACTATAGCATCCCAGCACAACAACATGGGTGCTGAGTTTCAACATCATTTTTAACTTACTGCCTCCTCCATGAAATTGATTAAATATGTAATGCCTCAGAATACAGTTATTACAGTAAATCAGACTGTGTAGTTGCAAGGTCACATTCAGTGGAAACCTGTGATAGATGATCAATTCTATCATAAAGACGTGCTCTCCAAGGCAGTCCATCCTGAACTGTTGTGCTATTACTATTTGTATTTCCTTTTCTTCTTACATGACTATTCACCGCCGATCTCCTTTGAAAACTGCAACCTGTAAATGAGATGATGTCTGTTAGGGAGGTTTTAAATCATTTTTCATCTAGTTTTTCACTATGTTTCTCCTTGGCCTTTTTTCTAAATAATGATTTGAAGTAACTAGAACTTCAATTGGTTTGATTTCCATGTTTTTATTGTAAAATATTCCAGAAGAATAAAATACATTTAGAAAAGTGAACTAATAAAAATGTATAGATGATTAGACGACCCCTGTAACTGGCACACAGATCAAGAAACAGAACAATGCCAGAACCACAGAGGCTGTTCTGGGTCCCCTTCTGGTCACCCCAGTCTCCCACCCCAGGGTGTCCACTGTTTGTGTGTTTGTTTTAAATTAGATGATGTAATATACTATCTAAACTTCTTCTTAAATATGAGTTCAGTGCAGCCCAGCAAGCAAATGAATCACTCAACTCCACACAAGGAGCTATTGCAAGGACAAGGGCCAGAACTCAGGCTTCCTGATGCCTTGTCCACACCCTATTCCACCTATACCATGCTGCACTGATCTCAATTTCTCTCCCACTGAAAAGTGGCAAGAGATTCAGTGACTCATTGATTGACAACACATTCCTCTTCATTCAAAAAGTCAAGACCGTCCAGATTAATTGTTGTCACCCAGGGTGGATTCCCTTCTCCTTTGGCATCTCTGTTCTCCTAGTTGGAACTTGGTGTCTTACATACATGGAAAGGAGATCTTACTCTCCTGATCTCCATCTCCCTCTTTCTTCCTTTCTTCCTTTCTTTTCTTCTCTCTTTCTCTCTTTCTCTCTCTCTCTCTCTCTCTCCCTCTCACACACACAGGTTTTATGATCCCCCCAAATAACGCACAGAAGTTTTAAAACAAAGCATGGAGTCTTCTTTATAATCAGAGCTCATCTGCTCATCTGATGGAAGCACCCAACTAGATAGTATTTTTGTTGTGTGAGTCTTCAATCTGAAGAAAAATATAGTGATTAAAAAGCCAGGCTCATAAAAATTATGTAATCTCAAGTTTAGAAACTCTCAGAATATGTGCTAAAACTGTTGATTTATTTCCAATATTCCCACATTGGCTGCCTCCATTTCCGTGACATCATTCCCTAAATATTCAAGTTAATTGAGGTTTCAGTGTAGTGCGGCACAATAGAAAGAACTTAAAATTTTAGCATCAGATAAACAGGGTTCTAATCCCAGTTTTCCCTATGGGAGTGTGTGATCTCATGTACAGCTTATGTGACTTAGCTCTTGAAGTCTTGTGTTCTTCATCTGCTAAATGGAGAAAATAAAACATACCTCCCTACTCCCTGCCTTTCAATTAGCACTCCGTAGCTCTGAGGCTGGTTAGAGGTCCAATAGGGAATCCAGAAAACCCCAAAGTGGACATAGACTCAGCCAAGAAAGTTATTAGTGACTGACAAGATAGCATTTACTCACATTCCACATTGGCTGCCCCTATTGGGATGTCTCTGGGACACAATTTGCCACCCAAAAGTGGCAGATGCTCAGAGAATTCTGAAGGCCCTGCAGACTGCTCCCTGCCTCAGGCTCCTTACCTGCCTGGGGACTTCAGAAGAGCATGAGGGCCCAGGTGTTTCTCAGCATCCGCTTTGTAGAATCCTTGACTGAGTTGCCCTCTGCCCTATTGCCTCCCACCTTCCAGAAAGAGCAGTGACCTCTTGGAGCCCAATGACCCTCTGCCTTAGAACTGAGCCTCCCCACATCCTATTACCAAAATAACCTCTCTTCAATAGGTAGGGTCATGAAATGGGGAGTGTATTATGTGTGCAGTGAGAAGTGGAGGATGAATTCCAGACCTACCAGTTGCTCACTATATGAATTGGGGAATCTGTTCAGCATCTCTAAGCCTCAGTTCTCTTATCTGTAAATCTCAGATAAGAGTTTAGTAGGTACGAATGATTTATATGGACATGTCTAGCATGTAAGAGGTGCTCAGGAACCTACAGTGTTTTCTTTTTACTTACAGATACAGGTGGAAATTCCTATTCCCAGTTGTCACAAGCACCACACATGTGTGTCTCTATCCTGGATGATGACCATTTGCTGTCCTCTGTGTACACCTGCTCACCTTTGCCCCACCGCCTACACAGGTCAAGTTATCTCACCTCCTCCCCATCAATCCAAAGTCCTGCCCTTCTTCAATGCCTTCCTCATACATAAAACCCACCGAGAGGCCCCAGCCCACACCAGCCTCTTCTTTCTCTGAAGGCTATTTTCAATTCCACCTAGGTTAGTACTTAGCCATCAGCTAATCATTTCAGGCACAATCATTTTATCTTCTTCATTGTCCACTTTATAATGAAAGTAACATCATGAGCTTCTAGCGAACTCCCCAGGGTGTTTTACATTGTGCCAAGCACAAGGCAGTTACTTGGAGTTAAACTTAATACCTGACATAAGTCTAAAAATTTTGACTGTAAGTCTAAAAATGGCACAGACTCCAATTATGTCCACAGGTGGATAGTTCTCTCAATTCCATCATAACTCTCTATTCGTTACTTCATTGAAATTCCTCCCAGAACTATAAATCACACACTTCACTGGGAATAGAGTTGAAGGAGATAGACTCATACCCTGCTCTGGTGTGGTCCATATTCTAGTGAGAAATGAGCAGGTGTAAAGAGGTGTCTCAATGGTGGTTGATGCCAAAGATCCAGAGGAAGAACAGTGCTCTGCCCCATTGGGGAAGATAATTGAGAGATCCTTGGCAGGCTGAGAAGAAGGTGATGAGAAGAAACACGAGGCAGAGGAGCATCAGGGAAGTCAGGGGGTGTTGTGACTGGTCCCCTTCCATGACTCACTCTCCTTCACAATCTCTAGTGGCGTAGTGTACTCCTGAGTGCTTGCAAAGAGTGATGATTGTTTCCATTGCTGTCTCATTGAAACAGAGTCCTGTAGTGAGTTTCCAGTTGAGATCCATGTAGAGCAGGATGGTTCATCCCCATTTTCTTTTCCTGCTCTAAAGTCAGGACTTCCAGAAAAATAACATCTTCCCATGCCCTCTCTCCTCACCTCAAATACCCTGTGGGTAATAGCTGATATTGGCTGATTCCCTGTGGAGGGATTGGATGCCCTCAGGCCACTGAATTAAAAGGTTTGATTCAATTTTACCAATATCTCAAAAAGGAAGAAGGCATCTAGGTGACATCTGTGTCATGCAAGTAGGTGACAATGAAAGTGCAGAATAAGACCCATGATGCAGGGAGGACTGGGTGCTATGAGAGCACAGAGGATGATGCCCAGTGTAGCCTGAGGAGTGGGAGGATGGTAGGGGCTTTCCATCAGAAATGACTTTAACATTGAGCCTGAGAACTAAGTAGGAGAAAGGCAAGGCACAAGGAAAATAGATGAGATTTTAGCATGTTTATCTTGCAAAGTAGCTGAGAAAGGATGGATAAATAATGAATTTAGGGGACAAATGTCAATGTCAATGACATTGAGAGCAATAACCGAGAGCAAAGTGTTCAATCCAGCCCCTACGGTGTAACCTAAGTTGTCTGAGGGCATTAGTGGGGTTTCTACTTGAGAGTTCAGTGTCCCCACGGGAAGTATCAAGACGTGAGGGTTGTTGAAAATCTAAAGAACACCGAACATGTCCCTAATAGAGAAAATTGAGGTTTGACTTACATTTCTAAGCTATTGGACAACCAATTTCTGGGGTAGTTGAAGGAGCCAAGATAAGCCTAAGAGAAGACTTTTCATATAAGCAAAAATCTTTAGAATGACCTCTTTACATCCATCAAGTAAGAAAAGTTTTGCCTTTAATTACCACTTCCCCAAACACCAGAGTTTCAATTTGTCTATCAAGGTGTCCAGAAGTGTCTTAGGCCCCTAATTGGTGGTTTTAATACGCTTTCTGTCAAAAGTCCCATTGCCCCTATAACTTATTCTCAGCTGTTGGAGAATATAAAAGATCTGATATTATACTCCTATTGAGTTTTAATAGCTGGTAAAACATACTACCTTGCCTCTTCATATTTGCCTTTAACATACCGGAATTACAGCCACTGCTATGAGGATGTAGACAGGAATATTTCAGAGATTGGGGTGGGGTACCATTTGTGTCACAGAGAAAAATTTTTTATCACTTCAACTTCTCACCACTTAGACTCAAAATGAGGCCACTTCATGACCAAGACACTTTTTCTCACTCCCTTAAGCACACAAACACACCTAACCAGAATTGGTTTTATGGGTCTGTAAGTCCATTTTAAATAGGGTCAGATAATGAGTTTGAGGGTAAGTCTGATCTGGATGAATTCCCATTAATACCCCTTTGCAGCATTAAGTTGGCCATGACCCAAATCAAAGCCTGTCTGTTAGTGTCTGCCCTTCTCCTCCCCTCTTCCTCTGACATCAAGCCCAGCTTGTCATAGATGGTTTACTTCTTTTTATCTCCATCTCCACCCTAGTCAAAAACACTCTCCTCTCTTGCCTGAACTAATCCAACAACCTCCCAGTCAGTTCTCACACCCATTCTGTTTCTTTTGCTGCTATGCTTTTTATTGAAGTAAAATTCATATAACATAAAATTAGCCATTTTAGACCGTAAAATTCAGTGGCTTTTAGTACATTCATGGTACTGTGCAACCACTACCTATATCAAGTTCCAAAACATTTTTATCACCCCCAAAGAGTACCCCATACTTATTAAGAAGTCAGTCCATATTCTCTCCTCCCCCAGCTCTGGCAGCCGCCAATGTTCTTTCTTTCACTATGGATTGGCATATTCTGTATATTGCATATAAATGGAATCACAAAATATGTGACTGTTTGTGTCTGGCTTCTTTCATTTAGCATAACATTTTCAAGGTTCATCTACATTGTACGTATATAAATACTTCATTCCTTTTTTATGGTGATGAATATTCCATGGTGTGCATAAGTATATGCAATTTGTTTATTCATTTATCTCTTGATAAACATTTGGGTTCCAAGAAATCTACTTTTTGACTATTGTAAATAGTGCTTCTGTGAACATTCTTGTACATGAATTTGAGTATCTGTTTTCAATTATTTTGGCTATATACCTATGAGTGAAATTACTGAATCATGTGGTAATTCTATGTTTAACTTTTTGAGAAATCACCAAACTGCTTTCGACAGCCACTGCACCGTTTTACATTCCCAGAAGGAGTGGTTAAGAATTCTAATTTCTCCATATCTTGTTAACACTTGTTATTTTCTGGATTTTGACTTGTTTTATATATTATAATAGCCATCCTAGTGAGTGGGAAGTAGTATTTCATTGTGGTTTTAACTTGTATTTTTCTAATGACTAATGATTTTGAACATCTTTTCATATGTATATTGGACATTTACATATCTTCTTTGGAGAAATGTTTATTCAAGGTCTTTACCCATTTTTTAATTGGATTTCTTTTTTTCATTAACTTGTAAGAGTTCTTTACATATTCTGTATACTAGATCCCTATCCACATATGATTTGCAAATATTATCTCTCATTCCGTAGGTTATCTATTCACATTCTTCATAACCTTTTTTTTTTTTTTTTGAAACAGTCTCGCATTGTCACCCAGGCTGGTAGCAGTGGCACCATCTCAACTCGCTGCAACCTCCAACTCTGAGGTTCAAGCGATTCTCCTGCCTCAGCCTCCCAAGTAGCTAGGATTACAGGCACCTGCCACCACGCCCAGCTAGTTTTTCGTATTTTTAGTAAAGATGGGGTTTCACTACATTGGCCAGGCTGGTCTCTAACTCCTGACCTCATGATCTGCCCATCTCGACCTCCCAAAGTGCTGGGATTACAGGCATGAGCCACCACACCTGGCCTCTTTATAATATTCTTAAATGCACCTAGGGTTTTTTGTTTTGTTTATTTGTTTCTTGAGATTGGGTTTCACTCTGTCAATCAGGCTGGACTGTAGTGGTGCAATCATAGCTCAATGAAGCCTTCAACTTCTGAGCTCAAGTAATCCTCTCTCCTAGCCCAGTAGCTAGGACCACAGGTGCACACCACCACACTCAGCTAATTTTTTTAAAAAATTTTATTTTTGTAGAGATGGAGTGTCACTCCCTTGCCTAGGCTTGTCTCAAACTCCTGACCTCAATCAATTATCCTGTCTTGGCCTCCCAAAGCACTGGGATTACAAGCATGAGCCAGTGTGCTTGGCTGGGTTTTTTTTTAAATGTTTGTTTTGATGATATCTAATTAATATTGTGTTTTTCTTTTTTTGCTTACACTTCATATATCAAATTTAAGAATCCATTGCCCAGTCAAAGATCACACAGATTTGCCTCTATGCTTTTCTCCAGGAGTTTTACAGTTTTCACTCTTACATATAGATCAATAATTCATTTTGAGTTAATTTTTGTATGTAGTGTTAGGTAGGGGCCCAAATTCATTCTTTTGTATTATGTGAATATCAAGTTTTCACAGTACCATGTATTGAAGAAATTATTCTTTTCTCAATGAATGGTCTTGGCACCCTTGTGAAAATCAATTAGGCATAGATATATGATTTTTGGATTCTGAATGCTTATCTAATGGTCTATTTGTATATCTTTAAGCCAGTACCACACTCCTTCAAAACCTGTAGTAGGTTTTGAAATTGTGAAGTAAGAACCCTCCAATTTTGTTTTTCTTTTGAATATTGTTCTGCCTATTTGGAGTCTCTTGTAATTTTGTATACTTTTGAGGATCAACTTTTCCAAAATGAGAATCCACCAGAATCATGAAGGGTGCCACAAATCCTAGGGAGGAGAATGTGGACAAACAACCCCAAATCATTCCATGTGGTTGGAGAAAGTATTTTGATGTTTTCAATCTTTTCCATTTATTGAGATTTATTTGTGACCTAACATATCCTGGAGAACGTTCTATGTACACTTGAGAATAATGTGAATTCTATTATTTTGGTGTGGAGTGTCCTGCATATGTCTGCTAGGTGTATTAGTTTATAGTGTTGTTCAACTCTGCTACTCCTTTTTTTTTATATTTTGTCAACTTGTTCTATTATTTAATGTGGAGTAATGAAGTCTCCAACTATTATTGTAGAAATGTCTATTTCCTTCTCCAATTCTATTAATTTTAGACTTGTATCTTTTCCTCTGTTGTTTATACATTTATAATTATTACATCTTCTTGGTGGATTGATACTTTTATTGGTGCATAATGTCTTTCCTTGTCTCTTGTTATAATTTTTATCTTAACGTGTATTTTGTCTAGTGTTAATATAACCATTCTAGCTCTCTTTGGTTATTCTTTGCATAGGATAAGTTTTTTCAGCCTTTTAGTTTCAACTTACTTGTGTCCGTGGATCTAAAATGAATCTCTTATAGAGAGCATGTAGTTGGATTGTGGTTGTTTTTGCTTTTTATCCATTCTGCCAATTTCTGAGTTTTAATTGGAAAGTCTAATCCATTTGCATTTTTTTCATAGTTCTTTCTCTCTTTTTAAAAAATTTTTCCATAAGTTATTCGAGCACAGGTGGGATTTGGTTACCTGAGTAAGTTCATTAATGGTGATTTGTGAGATTTTGGCACACCCATACCCACGTATACACTGCACCATGTTTGCAGTCTTTTATCCCTTGCCCCCTTCCACTTTTTCCCCCAAGTCTCCAAAGTCCATTGTATCATTCTTATGCCTTTTTGTCCTCATAGCTTAGCTTCCACGTATCAGTGAGAAGATATGATGTTTGGTTTTCCATTTCTGAGTTACATCTATGTGATAGTCACTTTCCATTTGCTGCTTTCAAGATTTTCCCTTTGGTTTGATGTGCCTTCATTTAAAATATGTCATATGTCTTGCTGTAGATCTCTTTGAGTTTATTCTTCTTGGAGTTCACTGAGGTTTTTAAAAGTGTAGGTTTATCTTTTTAAAATTACATTTGCAAAGTTTCAGTCATAATTACTTCACACATTTTTTCTTCTTTCTCTCTCTCCTCTCCTTCTGAGACTCTCATTCCCAAATTCATTATTGCACCCTCCAATTTATTCTTCACGCTGTGGTTATGTCAGAGAAATAGCAATTTATGTATATGAGAGAGAGAGAGAGAGAGACAGTGTGTGTAGAGAGAGAGAGTCAGAATTTATTTATTTATTTATTTTTAAATTTTAATTTAGGTTCAGGGTAGTACATGTGCAGGTTATATAGGTAAACTGCATGTTACAGGGCTTTGTTGTACAGATTATTTTATCACCCAGGTAATAAGCATAATACCCAATAAGTATTTTTTTATCCTTTCCTTCCTCCTACCCTCCACCCTCAAGTAGACCCCAATGTCTGTTGTTCCCTTCTTTGTGCCCATGTGTTCTCAATGTTTAGCTCCCACTTATAAATGAGAATATGCAGTATGTGGTTTTCTGTTCATGCGTTAGTTCAATTAGGATAATGGCCTCCAGCTCCACCCACGTTGCTGCAAAGGACATGATTTTATTCTTTTTTAAGGTTGCTTAGTATTCCGTGGTGTATATATACTACATTTTTAAAAATTCAGTCTATCATTAATGCGCATATAGGTTGATTCCATGTCTTTGCTGTCATGAATAGTACTGCAATGAACATTACGATAGAACAATTTATACTCCTTGGGTGTATACCCAGTAATGGGATTGTTGGATTGAATGGTAATTTTGTTTTAAGTTCTTTGAGAAATCACCACACTGCTTTTCACAATGGCTGAATTAATTGACATTCCCACCAACAGGATATAAGCATTCTTTTTCTTCTGCAACCTCACCAGCATCTGCCGTGTGTTGACTTTTTAATAATAGCCATTCTGACTGGTGTGTAATGGTATCTCAATATGGTTTTGATTGGCATTTCTCTAATAATTAGTGATGCTGAGCATTTTTTCCTGTGCTTGTTGTCCACACATATATCTTCTTTTGAAAATTATCTGTTCATGCCCTTTTTAATGGTGTTATTTGGTTTTGATTGTTAATTTGTTTAAGTTTCTTACAGATTCTGGATATTAGATCTTTGTTGGATGCACAATTTGTGAATATTTTCTCCCATTCTGTAAGTTGTTTACTCTGTTGATAGTTTCTTTTGCTGTGCAGACGTTCTTTAGTTTAATTATGACCCATTTGTCATTTTTTTTTTTTCTCAATTGCTTTCAGCATCTTCATCACGAAGTCTTTGCCAGGGCCTATGGGCAAAATGGTATTGCCTAGGTTTTCTTCTAGGGCTTTCATAGTTTTGGATTTTACATTTAATTACTTAATTCATCTTGAATTGATTTTTGTATATGGTGTAAAGAAGGGGTCCAGTTTCAACAAGTTCCTTTAGAAGTACTCTTCTTGTCACCCCTTCCCTAGGGCATTTGCATACGCTTTTTCTTTGCCTTGTAGGCTTTTTGTTTTCCTAATTCCACCACTTCTTTTACATGACTATTTCCATTCATTCTTTAGATCTCAGCGTAGCCATTACTTTCTCAGGAAAACCTTCTCTGAAACCCTGTCCAGATCTCATGTCTCTTTATTTACACTGATAGCACCATGTACCTTCCTTTGTAGCACTTAAGTAACTTGCAATTTTATATTAAATTCTCTTTTCTAAATGTTTTTCTCCCTTTATAGATGAGAAACTCCATCAGAGCAGGCCTTACTTCTGCTTGTGCTAATCATTCTTTTTCCTCTACCTGTCATGTTGCCTGGCACAAAGGAATATTCACAAATAGCCAATGAGTAAACAAATATCACATACAGCCAATAAATAAACGACCATTGTTGGTCATTGCTTTTTCATGAGGCATGAGTACACTGTCTTCCTAGTGTACCCATCTCAAAGAATGGATACGCTGCCTTTCTACTGTACATCTATTTCTGTAAGAGCTTAGGCATATAGTGTGGGAAGAGAATAATCATTTCTTGTGTCACCATTAATTCTTAAGCCGCTCTTAGTAACTCATCCTATTTTTTGTTTATTAGGTGTATTTTTTCATGGAAATTTGTCAAACACTGGGCAGCATTCTAGCTACTGCAGACATGTGGGAAAAAAAAACCCTCAGTCCTTTTTATACTGGACATTTGTCACTCATTTTTGCTGCCCAGTGCTGAATTTCTTTCTTAAGGTGGGTAATTCTACATTTCTTGTAAGGTGAAAGTGCTGAGTACTCACCTTCCCACCCTGCGTTAAAGGTAGGATGTGGGCATTTCACCTAGACTCTGCTAATCAGAGGCACCCACACTGAACTTGGATTTCGAAGCTGGTGAAACAATGAAATAGGACTATTGAAGATCCTATCCTGTTAAGGCTGATGGGAAGAGTGACAGACATCGTCACACCCAGTATCCAGAGGCAGTGTTGTTCACTATTCTAGTAGCCCCTTTAAGTGCCTTGGAGCAGAGGTGTCTTCATGTGATTGGTTTTGTGCATGATTTGGTCATTTTTCCTGGCTTTATTACATTCATTGCTTGTTCTCTAGCCTGCTATAGATTCTGCAAACTGCCAATATTCTTTAATAAATTCATTTTCTGCTCAAATTATGAAAAGGCAGTTACTTTGTTTGCAACTGAGAAACTTCGTAGATACACTGTCCTCATTGCTGACATGTGATAGCATGTGTGCCAAATCTGGCCACTGCCTTAAAGTATTATTGGAATACAGCCATGCTTTTTCATTTGCATATTGTTTATGGCTGCCTAGAGCTATAATAGCAGAGTTGAGTCAACACAGACACCAAATGTCCCACAAAGCCTAAAATATTTACTGTCTCACTCTTTACAAAAAGACATTGCAATCCCTACCCTAGAAAGAAAAGTATACAAGTAACACACTATTGTAATGTAACATATTTTAAGTTTTTATTAAGATATGTATTTAAGTGATATATTATTTTTCATTTCTACTGTGTTAAGATGATATTTTATAAGTAAGTTACCTCAACAACTTTCAAAAATATTTATGTTAAGACATAGTTCCTTGGGCAATGTACTTGTTACATGAAATGAGATTTTATTTGTTTCAAATGTGTCTTAACAAGGGAGGACTTTGGCATAGGGATAGGAAAATCAGTGAAGAAGTTTCTTTTCTCTTAGGCCTGACTTTGGTATCATCACAGATCCTGAGGATCATAAGAAGCCTTAAAATTTACCTACATTAGGCCGGGCGCGGTGGCTCACGCCTGTAATCCCAGCACTTTGGGAGGCTGAGACGGGCGGATCACGAGGTCAGGAGATCGAGACCATCCTGGCTAACACGGTGAAACCCCGTCTCTACTAAAAATACAAAAATTAGCCGGGCATGGTGGCGGGCGCCTGTAGTCCCAGCTACACGGGAGGCTGAGGCAGGAGAATGGCGTGAACCCGGGAGGCGGAGCTTGCAGTGAGTCGAGATCGCGCCACTGCACTCCAGCCTGGGCGACAGAGCGAAACTCCGTCTCAAAAAAAAAAAAAAAAAAAAAAAAAAATTTACCTACATTAATGCTGATCTAATGTTTGAATCTTCTTCACACTAAATGACCACCATTTCTTTACATTTCTTCACTGATAGATAATGCATATATTCTCAAGGAAAACTAACCTCTTCTGGTAAGCCCTGATTGAAACTAGGCTTGGCATTAAGTCAAAATCTGTTTCAATTCACCAGGTCCCAAAAAGAATAGATTTAATTCCTTTCCCATATTAGTGCACTTAAGTATTTGACAACTACTCTATCTTCCTGACTTTTAAAAAACTGGAACAACAGAACATTGTAAGAGACTTATCAAAGCTGTCTGAGGATTTTATCCACATTTTCTCATTAACGTCTCACAGTGACACTAGTCAGAGGAAAGTATTATCATCCCTCTTAGACAACTTGTCCAATCCAAGCTCACAGCTGGTAAGTGGTGTACTTGAGCTTCTGATAGCTTTCCATTATGGCAAACATTTTGACTGAAATCACATAGATTTTCCATCAATATTTTGTATCTTCACAAGCTTTCCTTCACCATGGTAATGCTCTCTCTCTCTCAGCATTTGTTTTCCCAAGCCGGAGATAGTCCCACACACACAATTACCTTGTTTTTATGTTATCATGTCCTTATATGACAACTAGAAACCCCTAAACCTTCCCTCCACTGCTTCCACTTCAAGCATGTCCTTTAAGTTGCCCCTCCCACATCATTTTAATGTTGCTGATGTCATTGCTATGTCCAGAATGCAGTGTTTATAGTGCCAAATAATTCTGTCACTTACTAGTTGTGAGATTTTTGGCAATTATATTTTTGACCTATGACTTCACAATTGCTTCTCACTTTCTGTGCCTTAATAAAATTTATATAATATCTATGCCTGATTACAGTGAGGGTTAATTAAAATCTTACATAAAATACTAAGGAATAAGAGCCAAACACATCATTATTACTGTAAGTACACTTGAAAATATAACCATATATTTCCTACAGACATCTCTGTTGAAAGAAAAATTTCCAATTCTACAGTAATGAAAATAAGGCATTGACATAAGCAATCTAGCATCAAAATTTATTTTTCTCTTCTTATTGGAAGAGCAATTTAAACTTTTGAAGAACAACTTGAAGATGAAGTATATATAAAATTCACTCAACACATCAAGCCCATGCAATTAGATTCAGTACAGAAAATTTTTTTCCTTGTGGAAATAAACCAATATAGAGAAAAGTTATCTTATGTATCAAATATATATATTTCTCTAATCCTAAAAATAAGAAGATTCTCTACCAGGGCCCAACAAGTCCTTCTGACTGCACAAGGCATCATGCAAGATGAGATAATTTGTAAATGCAGTTTCATTTAAGAAAACAAGAAAATCTTGACGTCCAGAGAAATAGCCAAAACTAAACACTCTTTAATATACTGAGATTTAGATTTTATTAGTAGGCTGAAAATTAGGTAACACTAGCAAGGTGACTGTGAGCAATTTGTTTAATTGCTATAAGCCTCATATTCTTTATGTATAAAATGTTGAGATCTACTTCACTTGTTGTGAGAGTAAAATGAAAAAAAAAAAAAAGAGAAAAGAAAAAACTTGCATGAGACCCAAAGGCAAGTACTGAGTAACTGGTAGCTATAAATAGGAAGTAGTAAAATGTAGTAGTTACTATGGTGTCTTCTTAGTGGTGTAAACTTAATCAAATTATTTAACTCAATTAATCTGTACCTGTTTTCACATCTATAAAATAGGAATACAATTATATTACTTATTACCAAAGTTAGTAAAGGGAATTAAACTAGGTAATACGTGTAAAGCACCCAAGACAGTGTCTGGTGCGTGGCGAGCATTTGGTGAATGTTGATCACTGTCATCCTCATCATTATCACTATTGCATCAAAAATACATTTTTCTCTTACCAGTAAATGTTAGCCAAATACTAAATCATTTTCAACAGTGATACTTTTTATATAAATTTTAAGAAAACATCAAGTAAAAGTTAAAACTAATACTGAGAGAAAATTATTCTTAAGATTAAGAGTCAGCCTGGAGCAGTGGCTCACACCTATAATCCTAGCACTTTGGGAGGCCGAGGTGGGAGGATTGCATGAGCTCAGGAGTTCAAAACCAGACTGGGCAACAGAGTGAAACCCTGTCTCTACGAAAATACAAAAAACTAGCCGGGCTTTGTGGCACATGCCTGTAGTCCCAGCTGCTTGGGAGGCTAAGGCAGGAGAATTGCTTGAACCTGGGAGGCGGAGGTTGCAGTGAGCCAAGATCACGCCATTGCACTCCAGCCTTGGTGACAGAACGAGACTGTGTCTCAAAAAAAAAAAAAAAAAAAAGTCACAGTGACCTTGGAACACCACTTCCAACACTGCTGTTGATTCCTTGGCTTCCAAATCCCAGACACTGGCTTATTAGGTGGATCCCTTTATTCCTTCTGATGCTAAACATCAACAGTGAAGCAATCATACAAAACTCTCAGAATAAAAGGTTATGGTATCTCATGAATTGGTTAAAATAGCCATTTCAGGCATTTTTAATATAAAAGTTTCTAAATTGTTAGTGTTTTCCCAAGTGGTGTCTGATAGCAAAAATTAATATCTGCATGTATAATAATTATTTTTCATGGTAAATAAACTGTGTATGTTGACTGAGTATGACAATTACACAGTCAAATCCCATTTTCTCAGATCCATCTATATGCCCTGGTTTCAGCTGCACAAGGTGTCATCCAGGATGGTGGGATTTATTTCACCCCTAATTGCGCCATGGCAGCCAGCTTTATAGAAACTACAGCTGTAATATCCACTTTTCGAAAAGGTGTAAAATCATGGCATCACTTATAAAGGAGATTATATGCCCAATGAAGAGAATGGCTCACATGTCGACAAAACCATCCTTTCTTCCCTATTAAAGGTTTTATAGAGACCTGGGATGCAATTCAGATGTCTAAAACCCAAACGGTGTGTTCAAGACTTTATCCCAAAGGAACTGGCCATGAGACAATATGAGTTTGATCTCTTTTGTGCAATTTGTGGTGGTTTGCTTTTTCATGCCCTAAGATACGCAGCATGCATTAAAAACTCTCTGTGGCTGTTTCAAGATCTAAGTCTTCAATTTCCCATAATTCACTAGAGGCAAATAATGATTTTGAGCTCAGGACAAGGCACTATATTTAGCACTATCTTTTTTTTTTTTTTTTTTTTTTTTTGATCTGCCACTAGTGTCACTGTGGGACTGGCTGATGGGTTTCTGTTTACTCTATTTACCCACATGAAATTTATGCTAAAAATCATTTGCTCTAGGAGGTGCCTTACTTTATGCAACTTTCTAAAGCATATCATATGTCCCAGTCCTCAAATGCATGTATTTGAGGACTAAGGCTTGTGTTTATGAAAAATTATTTGTTTATTATCATGTGTGAATTGAGTATCATTAGATGAGCTAGGCAATGACCAGCAGAGCTAACTTACTAGAAAGGCAGCCTTTAGCATTAGCTTTTCTAGATCTAAATCCAAAATATACTACTAATAAGCTGCATGACCTCAGTAACTATGAGAGAACTTCTTAGTCTGGATGGCAAACCAGGGCATCTATGGAAATTTCAAGATGGACTAGGAATTTGATAGGTGAAAAGTAGGGAGCACTGTGTTACAGGCAGAGAGAGTAGCTTGTGCAAATATTCTGAAGAGAGAGAAAGAATTTGGCAAATTCAAGAATCACAGAAATGAGACCACTGTGACTCAAAATAAGAAGTAGGAATGAGGCTGGAATTAAGGCTACACAGATTCAAAGGAAAGTGAAGTCTATGGATGTTTTTATAAGCCATCATGAGGGTTTTATTTTTCTTTAAAAACAAATTATTAATTGGAAGTGACTGCTTGATAGATACAGGGTATTCTTAGAGGGTGGCAAAAATGTTTTAGAACGAGAGAGAGAAAATGATTGCACGACACTATGAATATACAATATACTATGTTTCACTGAATTGTGCACTTTAAAAAAATTAATTTTTTGTTATGTGAATTTCATGTCACTAAAAGGAAATTTTAAAACTTATTATTTTAAAAATTAGGCCGGAAGTGGTGGCTCAAATCTGTAAACTCAGCATTTTGAAAGGCCAAGGTGGGCGGACCACGAGGTCAGGAGATCGAGACAAGCCTGGCCAACATAGTGAAACCCTGTCTCTACTAAAAATGCAAAAAAATTAGGCGGGTATGGTGGTGGGTGCCTGTAATTCCATCTACTCAGGAGGCTGAGGCAGGAGAATCACTTGAACCCGGGAGGCAGAGGTTGCAGTGAGCTGAGATGGTGCCACTGCACTCCAGCCTGGGAGACAAGAGTGAAACTCCATCTCAAAATAATAATAATAATAATACACGTGCAAATGGTGCAGAATTTAAAATGTATGAAAAGGTATTCAGTAAAGAATTTTCATCTTATTCCTGACATTTGCTTACAGTGTCCTTCTGCATAAACATCTAAGTTATAGATGCATTTTTGTTGATCTTTCCAGATATATTTTATATGATATATACAGCCATGCATCATTTAATGACAGAAATACATTCTGAGAAATGCATCTTTATGTGATTTTGTTATTGTGCAATCATAGAGCGTACTTACACAAACCTGACAGTATAACCTAGTACACACCTAGGCTACATGGTGTATATAGCCTATTGCTCCCAGGCTACAAACCAGTACAGCATGTTAGTGTGCTGAATACTATAGACAATTGAAACACAATAGTATTTGTGTATTTAAATATATCTAAACATAGAAAAGTTACAGTAACAATATGGTATAAAAGACCAAAATAGGGTACACCTATATTGGGCAGCTCCATTATAATATTATGGAACCACTGTCACATATGTGGTCCATCATGGACAACATGTATATGCTGTATGACAGAATATTGTCGATGATGTCTATATATATACATATGTCCATATATATACATATATATATGTATATGCTGCATGACATTTTGGTCCATTATTAAATGCATATGTGTTGTTTTCCTTATCCAATTGGTAGCATCTCATACACAATATTCTTTGCCTTGCTCCTGTTATTTAATAGCCACATTAGAGATTATTCCATGCAAGTACACAGAGAGCTTTCTCAGTCTTTCCAACGTCTTCATTATACAGTTGTGCAGTTCCAATTGCTGAATATTTCAACTACTTCTAATCTTTTGCCTTTACAAAAAATTATTGCATACCTCTAAGTTTTCACATTTGCAAGTATATTTCTGGACTAATTATATCTTTCCATTTACTCTTCTGGTTTTTAGTGGATACCGGGCTAAAACTCTCTACTCTTGGCAATAATGAAATTGTTGTTGATTTCCATTTCCTCTCCACTGCTCTGCCTCATCTACCATCTCATGTTAGTGGATTATAAGATTTTTGTACTGATTACCTTTAAATATTTAAGCATGTTTACAGCTCTATTACTTGATTTGCCAGCTTTAGAAGCTTTTAATTTTAAGCTATACAGCTTTCTATACTACCTCCTATCTTTCTTCTTCTCATCCCAACTTTACTCTGTTCTTTCCATTTTTTTTCAGGGATTATAGATTATTTATATTCTATTCTGTTAATATAACCCCTACCTTTATTTCAGTCACTCCTCTCCTAATAAAAGGAAGTTTTGCTATACTTTCCTTATTCATCTCTTCATCAGTTGAAGTTTGCCCTTTAGAATCTTCTATAACAGAAAGTTGCATTCTAGACTCACTGGAATTACATTCCTGGAGTTCTTGTGTACTTAGAGATGTCTGCTTTGTTTATAAATTGGATGACAGAGTCCAGGAATAAGATACTTGACTCACTCTTTTTTTTTTTTTTCCTTGAGCACTTTCAGGCATTGCTATTTCTTGTAGCATTAACTGTGAGTGTGGAGTCTGAAGCAGACTAATTTTCTTTTTCCTCATAAGAGATTTGATCCTTTGCCTAATTGCAAATAGAATTTCAATCTTTGAATGTCAGTAATTTTTTTTAGAATGTGATTTCAGTGTTAATTATTCCCCATCAGTTTTTCTTGGGACATACTATGACTTTAAGATCAAAGTATTTCATTTCTGGAAAAAAAATTATTGAATTATATATTTGGATATTATTTCTGTACCATTGATTATTTAATCCTCTTAGAAATGCTTTTTATAAGTGTATTTGTCCCTTTTTGTTTCCTAGGAGACAGGGTGTCACTTTATTGCCCAGGCTGGAGTGCAGTCGTGTGATCATAGCTCATTGCAGTCCCTAACTTCTGGGCTCAAGCCATCCTCTCACCTCAGCCTCCCAAGTAGCTAGGACTACAGGGGCACAAATCCATTTTCTGCTATGTTCTTTTTTAAAAAATTGTGTCTATTGTCCAGGCTGGTCTCAAACTCCTGGCCTCAAGCAATCCTCCAGCCTTGGCATTCCAAAGTGCTGGGATTACAGGTGTGAACTACCACACCCAGATGCCCTTTTTAATTTTTTTGTAGTTTCATTTAATTTTGCTTGCTTTCCTTAATTCAATCCCACATGTTTATAGAGTATTTTAGCCATGTCTATTCTCCTTTGGGAAGCTTCCAGTGTGGCAATAATACCTATCATCTTTCCTATTTCTTTTTTATGTCAATTTTAAGTTCATTTTCAACATCATTTATCATCTCTTCATATCTTCCTTGAGTCCTTGAAGCCCCCTGCTGCATTGTTTTATTGAGCATCCTTTATAAAATTTTTTTAAAATTCATGGAAACATGCTTGGTCAAAATGTTTATCAAATTCATGGTAACATTTTTCTGGTGAATGAATTTTTGTCTTTCACTTGTTTTTCCTGTTTCTGTCCTCCTTTTTTCTCCCCTTTTGGTACATTTATAGAGATACTTGTGCTCACATAAATTTATATGACTCATATTGGAATGAGTTGAGTTCTCCCTGGATTTGCAATTGGTAGAAACTGTATGTGATTGAGAACCCAGAGTAGTGTCTGGGTTAACAGAACTTGCCCCCGGCTCACAGTGAGGTTCTTCGCGGCCCCAACTTGTAAGTATATTTTGGTACTGCTTTACTTCTCCCAAAACAACAGAGGTGAACTTCCGGAGGATGACAGCAATGCAGATTCTCTTCTTCATCCTGTGTCACCAAGAGAATCCTTCCTGCAAACATGACAATTGGTGTGTTTCTTTGGTCAGCCCCTAACCTGCTCCTTCCTACTACTTCAATGGGTCCAATGATGCTCCCACTGCCACCTAAGCGTAACATTCTGAGTATTCCCAATCAGGAATTATTGGAATCCTCTCAGGGCGTGACATAAACTCTGAAGAACTTTGTTTTACCAGCTTTGCCATGAACGTATTAACATGGATAATGCTTAGCTGTAAGCATTATCTCTCTGTATTCTCTCATATTCCTCTTTTCCTATTAGATCATAAGTGTTTTGGGAAGTCATTCTTAAAATGTTGTGATTCAGGTTACACACATCATCTTGTTTGTTTTTTTTCTTGTTTCCTAATAGCCTTATTGAGGTTTACTTGATATGTAATAAACTGCACATATTTAAAGTGTACAATTTGATTATTTGACATATATAAACACCCATGAAATAATCAACACCATCACCCATGAAATAATCAACCACAATCAAGATAGTTTTCATGTGACTATTAACCCAGTCCTCTCCTTTTCTCGACAACCCCTCTTCATAAACCCTTTCCCTTACCTTTCCGGGAGATCCTTACTGAACTGCTGTCATATAGATTAGTTTGCATTCTTTAGAGGTTTTGTAAATAAGATCATGCAGGATATATTCTTTTATTGTCTGGCTTCTTCATTTATCATAATTATTTTGAGATTTGTTCCTGTTGTTGCATGTATCCATAGCCAAGTCATTTTTATTGCTGAGCAGTATTCCATTGTATAGGTATACCACAGACCGTTTATATATTCAATCATTGATGGACATTCAAACTGTTTACTGGTTTTGGTTACTACAGAGCTGCCATAAACTTTCTTCAAGTCTTGGATAGACATATGCTTTCTTTGTTCCTCGTATTATACCTAGGAGTGGAATGGAAAGATCATATGTAAGAGTATGATTAACCTTTAAGAAGCTCCCAAACAGTTCGCCACAGTAGTTGTAACCATTTCATATCCCCAGTCGCAGTGTATGAGAGTCCCAGTTCTGCCATATCCTTGCCAATAATTGGTATGATTGGTCTTTTTTAATTTTGACAATTTAAATATTTGGCAATATTACGTGGGGGATACCTCACTGAGCAATAATGATAATCATTTTATGTGCTTATTTGCCTATATATCTTTTTTGAGGAAATGTCTATTGAATGATTTTACCCAATTTTTATGGAACTGTTTTCTTATTATTGCAGTTTAAGTTTTCTTTATATGCTCTGAGTTTTAATCAGAAGTATGATTTGCAAATATGTTTTTCCAGTTGATTGTTTTTTATTCTCTTACCAGTGTCTTTCAAAAAGTAAACGTTTTTAAAATTTTTTGACAAAGTACAATTTCGCAATTTTTTTCTGGATAATTTTTTTTAATGTTGCTGTACCTAAAAAGAATTTCACTAAGGACACAAATCTTTCTCCTATGTTTTCTTTATATGTTTCATAGCTTTAGGTTTTGGATTTAGGTTTATGACCTATTGTTAGTTATTTTTCCTATGTAAGGAAAGGAATGGGTTGACACTTATTTTGTGCATATAGATATCCCATTTTTCCAGCATTATTTATTGAAAAAAATATCCTTACTCCACCGATAATTCTTTTTAAAACTGGTTTAGTTGACCACCCTACCAGTTGCTTGAAAACCATTGCTTCACATACATTGCCTGGTATTTTTGGTCATTTCAGGTTGGAGAGCAAGCGGATCCCGGTTATTCTATCTTACCTGGAAATGGAAGTCAGGACCTAGTTTTCAAACTGGTTTTTCGCACTTGATACTGGCTTTATAAACTTGTGTATTACCATTATTTCCATGTTGCAAATTTATAAACTGAAATTCATGGGAGTTAAAAAATTTGCCCAATGCACAGAGTTGTTGCAGAAGATTGAATGAGAGAAGCTTGCAAAACCCACAGCACAGCATATGACACCGCAATTGCATAGCGGATTATAAATAAGAGATTTGAATCCGTTTTAATTATTTATTAATTTAACTCGACTACCATAACAACTGTCCCTTTCTAATATATTCAACATCTATCACTTTCCCAGGAGAACTCCCTATTTTTATTTCCTTACCTAACACACTCTGGAGAGTGTTCTCTTAGCATGATCAGAGGGGCCTATCTGCACTCCCAGCATCAGCTACAGATCTTCTGCACTTCTCAGAAACCTACGAGCTTCATTCTTTAGATGCTAAATTACTGCTTCGGGAAAGTGACAAGTGACTGCAACATTTCACCAACATAAACCTCACTCAGTAAAAATAAAAGAAGCCTTAGAGAAGAAGCAGCCTTGGAGAAATAATAAATAAATATATATTTCAAGTAGACTGTGTTTGGCCTGTTGTCAGGATAAGTGAGTAAATGCTAAAGAAATAAATAGCTTCAGTTAATGAAGCAGAGTATTAGGAAAATAGAACTGTTCTGATCATTTGTCATATAAAGGAGTGAATCTGTTATTTTTGAACAGTTTCATTTCCCAAAACTGTTGTTTTGTTTATAAAAATAAAGCTTTTAGATGGGTTGTGAAATGTTATCTTTTCATCTTTGAAACTCTTCCAGCAGCAATCTGATTGTATTACATAAGGATATCGGGGGCTTATTTCATGAGATGATTCATGTAAGATTTTGCTGGCATTTTAGAACAATGCTCTGAGCTGAACCCCAAGATGTCTCTGTAACAAACTGAAGTCTAATTCTGTGTGTTTTAGTGAAGCAGGGAATATAGCAGTAGAAACCCAGAACTTCAAGGTTTGGAAACAAGGAAATTGAGGGGGGTGGGGTTGTTTGTTTGTTTGTTTGCTTGTTTTTGAGACAGAGTCTCACTCTACCTCCCAGGCTGGAGTTCAGTCGTGCATTCTCATCTCACTGTAACCTCCACCTCCTGGGTTCAGGTGATTCTTGTGCCTCAGCCTCCTGAGTAGCTGGGATTACAGGCATGCGTGACCACGCCCAGCTAATGGAAACAAGAACATTTGTTATAGTAGGAAATTTGTCCAGCTATCTCGCTCTCTCACCCCATGTCTTCACAGACAAACTTTTAAAAAGAGTTTTCTCCCTTTCCAACTCTTCATCAGTTCTCTGACCACTCACTACCACCCCTTGCTCACTCACTCTATGAGATTGTCAGGGTTCTCCCTACCACTAAAGACATGTATGTATTTTAGTCATCATCTATCCTGACCCATCAAAAGAATATTCTACTGTGACCAGTTCTACTGAGGACATTCGGTCCCTTGGTTTCTATGACCAACATTGCACTAGCTTTCCTTTCTTTTTTTCTTTTTTCCCCCCTCCCTTGTCATTCTTTATCAGATTTCTTTTTAGATTCATCTTCCTGTAACCTCAATCATTAAATGCTGCTGAGGGTCAGCCTTGGCTCTATTTTCTTGTCACACTTTGCACTCTTCCTGAAGGATCCCTGACACCTAGGGCTTCCCCAGCCTTCTGTATTCAGGTGACTCACCCTCCTTCCCCCTGAGCTGTGGCCTTCCTTAACCAGCTGTCCCCAGTGGCATCTCTACATAACGTCTCAAGGGAATCTCATACCCACCAAATTCAGGTACAAGAATAAAGCAAATCTGACATGTTATTCCCATTCCTGCAGCCTAAAACCAACACTTAACTGTTTCTCACTGCTCCTAAGAGAAAAATTAACATTATTCCCAGAAGCCTAGGTAATCTAGCCACTGCCTGTCTCTCCAGCCTCATCTCACAGCACATTCCCCTGTCTCTCTTTGCTTCAGACACACCAACCACACCTCACATTTGCCCCCACTACTACCTGCCATTGGACCTTCTGCTTGACCCACTTTCCTCCACCCTCCCTGGTCACCTCCTAGTTAGCTGGTGCTCTTCCTCCAAATCATGAATCATGTGCCACCACTCAGGGGCATATACCATAACCTTAACCTTCAAGAAAAGGTTAATATATTCTGTTTTGTGATCACGTGATGCACTATATTCTGAATGTTATCATCTAATTTATATGTGCAATTATTTGATTAATATGAGTCTCCTCTCAGGGTGAAAGCTCCGTGATGGCAGGGGCAAATCCTGCCATACTCTCCAGTGTATCCTCAGAGTTAACACAGTTGACGATCTGTAAAATTTGTTGGGTGTATTAAAGAATTGTAGACCAGGAGGCCTGGGTGCCAGCCTAGTTCTGCATTTGTTGAACTTCATGACTTTGAGTGTAAAGAACTGCCACTTAAATGCAAGAGATATCTGCCTTCATTAATGAAATATATTAATACACTGTACAAATCCTACCCACTGGAAAAACCCAATCCATTTGCTGATAAATCCTTTAAGCATGCTTTCACTTTCAAGAGGCCTGGATAGAAAAAATTGATAGCACTGTCATCTTTCTTCTAACTCCCAAATCTCCTCAATTAGTGTCTGCAAATGCCCCAATATTCAGTGTCCTATAACTGAGGTTTATGGCTGTTTTGATGGGGCAGATGCCTGAATCTTTCTGGGGATCCAAAAAGCATAGAAAGTGCACAGTTGATTCTTATTTGGGGATACTCATTGCTTACCCTGGCTGCTCTATGGTTTGGAAAAGTTAAAGGAAAGGCTTCAATGTGAACAAGTGTAGGAAAACAGTTGACATTCAACTGTAAGAGAGAGAAAAATTGCATCCCTGGTTGATACCTACTCGAATTTCAAGGCTTCACTGGCAATTATCCTGCCTTCCTCTACTGAATATATTGCTCTTACAGCACTTGTTTTTAGAACCAGTTGGCATATAATTTTTCTATTTTTTGTTATAATTGAGAGTTACTAAGAATTACATAGTCCCAAGTACATGCTCTGTTGCCCCAGCAGACTTTACTTATAAAACATATAGTCAAAATTAAATTATTAAGAATTCTGTGACAGTAATAACAGAGCATTCAACCTCAAGGATGGGGACCCCTTCTAAGTGTGGAAATCAGTGCAACTGTGCACACCCAGCAAACAAGCCTTGCCCTGGGCTCAGAGGTGTCAGTGCAGCTAGGACGAGGTCACAGGTTCCTGGACCACCAACAGATCTTACATTCTGCATCTCATATAAAATCAGCACTTGGCAACCCCAAATAAAAATGGCATTGAATTGAATTGGAGAGATTGCTAATAAAACAGGAAATGTTAAGATCTGCTTTTTAAATCCCAGTATTAATTGAAGCCAGACTTTCCTTTGAAATTCAAAAGAAAAAATTTTTGGTTCTTCTTTCACGTTAATAGAAACAGGAAGATGAGGTATCAGATGTGCAGGTTTTAACATCAAATTTAATCCTTTTAAGCAGCAGCAGGCCAGACTGTGAGAGCACCTCCCGCACCCGTGAACTCTTCCTCCTTCACTTTGGCTCCAACAACAGAAGACTCCATCTTTGCAGAGGGACAGTTGCCCCATCTGAAGGCTGCACAACTTTTGATGATCAACATCCTTCATCATTTTCAGGGAATGACAGCAACACAAAGAAAACAAAGTACTAAAAGCCTCAAACAACACATTCTTGTTGATGTGGAACCTTCCTAGACCCCAGAACCACACTTGATTTTCTTTGTTGTGATTACTAACGCCACCACTTTCCAGAGCTATTACAGGTCTAACAGCAGCCCTAAAAGGTGGACATCACAGAAATGACTGGAAGAAAACTTTCTGGGGCTACACCTTAGCCTTAAATCAGAAAGCGTTGTGGATAAAATTGTGCTTACAATTTATGGGACTTCTCTTTGGGAAGAGACTGTATTCAGCCACACAGGAACTATAATCCACCCAACTCTCACAGTGTGGGGACTCATTTTACACAAGAGTTACTAGTCACATTCCTGCAAAGTCAAGAGACTTAGTTTTTATAAGTTTTTATAAGCTTTATAAGACTAAGTTTTTATAAGCTGAATTTCACTTTTAATGCAATACAACTCAGAATTTGAGGGAAGCCTGGGGTAAATTCTCTGCAAACCCAGACTTCCCTGTTCTGGGAAGATACATAGCTCTCTGAAAGATGCTGAGTAACAAGCATAAGTTTGAATTTTTATATTGAATTGGGGATGCCTACGGCTTTTCCTCAGAGTAGTTCTGCTCATTCTTATGCATGTGGTTCTTCATTTTATATGGTGAGCCTTCGTTTTGTTTTGTGGTCAACATGTTTCTTTCCTGAAATGCAGTCTTTTAGGTTGGCATTTCTAATATCATGCTCAATATTCAATGTGGCAAATATTCTATTCTAGATTATGGCCAGAGCAAATGGAGGGATAAATAAATACAATTACCACAAGATGTGTCACACACTAAAAGCAAAACAAAAAGGGTCCTGCCATCAGAAAGCTCCTGTCCACCTTGGCAGAAAGGAGGTTGTTTGCACCCTGGAAATACATCAGAGATGTTAGTGCAAAATTACAAACGAGGAAAAGTGGGCTCTTAAATGCATTTTCCTTCTCTATTGGAGTTAGTCTTAAATTTTATTTGTTTCTTATGGGATGTATTCATTTTCTATGGCTGCCATAACAAAGTACCACAGACTGAGGAATTTAAATAACAGAAATTATTTTTCTCACAGTTCTGGGAATAGAATTTTGAGATCAAAGTGTCAGTAGGGTTGGTTTCTTCTGAGGCCTCTCTTCTTGACTTGTAGATGGCTTCTCCCTGTGTCTTCATATGGTCTTCCCTTTGTAACTGTGTGTCTCCAAATTTCCACTTCTTATAAACACCAGCCATACTGAATTAAGGTCCAGGTAATTACCTTATTTTACCTTAATTACCTCTTTAAAGACCTTGTCTCCATACACATTCTGAGGTGCTTGGAATTAGGACTTCAACATATTAATTTTTGAAGGGATACAATTTAGTTTGTAGCATGGAAGAATAGTAACAAGAAAAAACCACTTTCAGGGAAACTGTTCTGATTTATTGTACATATGCCAAAATCCAACTATATCTGTAGAGAAAATTTTAAAACAGAGAAAAATCTTATTTTCTTTCTGTAATTTCTATTTTAGAACATTGCTGCTACACAGTTAGGATTTGTACTAAAATGGGCCTCATTTTCTGCAGCTCACTCTGAGAGAAATGAAGAGCTTATTATGAAACACGCCAAATAACCTTAATAGTAGAGAGTTTCTTTATTCAACTTGTGCAACATGAATTTTTCTTAGGTTTTTGCTTTGAGAAAATGTTCTGAAAATATTAATATTCCCATTAGTCAGTGTAGTCGGAGCAAAGCAAAAAATACTACCTTTTTCCAAAAACTAACATATGAACTGACATATTTTCTGCCTTAAAGATATAATAAATTCCTACCAATGCTGCACAAATAAGAGAAGGCTAAGCAGTTGACAGTTAGCACCAGAATTGGCTGCAAATGAGCCCCTGGTAACTTTCCTCTCCTCCTGCATGGCTTACATCATCAGCTGCAAGAGAAGCTTGAAAAAGTCTTTGAGGCACGTTGGTTAATGAGCTGGCTCTGTTGAAGCTGCTCCTGCTTCTTGGAGTGATTGTGAACCTTTCTGACCCCCTCTCCGGGGTGAAATCCCCACTTTACAAGCTCTTGTAATACCCTGAACTTCCCCTTTGTTACATACATAACAGTTAAGAATATGCATTCAATGCCATGGGTAATTGATTAATTCTAGCCCCATTACTAAATTGTAAGCTCCAGGACTTCAGGGACCACGTATGTTTCACTTACCTTTGTGACTCTTGTCAACCAGGTTTGAAGATAATAAACTGGAAACCAGCAGTGGCAACCGGGCTCTGAACGGTTATGTTATTACTCTTGCTAAGTGAGAATAGAATTTTAGATTTCAGCAAAGGGTTTCTTAATAAGCCCTAGTTAGAGAATCTTTTTTTTTTTTTTTTTTTTTTTTTGAGACGGAGTCTCGCTCTGTCGCCCAGGCTGGAGTGCAGTGGCGGGATCTCGGCTCACTGCAAGCTCCGCCTCCCGGGTTCACGCCATTCTCCTGCCTCAGCCTCCCAAGTAGCTGGGACTACAGGCGCCCGCCACTACGCCCGGCTAATTTTTTTGTATTTTTAGTAGAGACGGGGTTTCACCGTTTTAGGCGGGATGGTCTCGATCTCCTGACCTCGTGATCCGCCCGCCTCGGCCTCCCAAAGTGCTGGGATTACAGGCGTGAGCCACAGCGCCCGGCCAGAGAATCTTAAAAGGGCATTCTTTCTCTACAAGGACCACACCAAACCTAGGCCAATAATACGTACTACGAAAATATTTGTGTATGTAATAATGCACAAAAACTACACGTGCTTATAAATGCACACATATTTTAAAATCCTGAAAATATCTCCCATTTTATTTTCTGCTGTTTCCCCCCCACCTTTGAACTACATGTTAAACTCCCAATATAGCTTTAATATTGAAGAAAGAAGCATGGCTCCATTTCTTATGCATCATTATTATTGTAATGAAGAATAAGAAGAAGATTCATTAACCAAACACAGTATCGAGCCCTTAGAACATGCACAAGAAATATTTACGGCATCTTTCTTTTTTTTTTCTTTTTTCTGACACAGAGCTTCACTCTTGTTGCCCAGGCTGGAGTGCAATGGCACAATCTCAGCTCACTGCAACCTCAGCCTCCCAGGTTCAAGCGGTTCTTCTGCCTCAGCCTACTGAGCAGCTGGGATTACAGGCGCCCACCACCAGACCCAGCTAATTTTTTTTGTATTTTTAGTAGAGATGGGGTTTCACCATGTTGGCCAGTCTGGTCTCAAACTCCTAACCTCAGGAGACCTACCCACCTTGGCCTCCCAAAGTGTTGGCATTACAGGCATGAGCCATCGCGCCCGGCCTATTTACAGCATCTTATCTGACTACCCAGCTGGTGATATATATCCCCTCTCCAACATCTGCAACCAAGACATATGGCTAAAGTTAAGGACCTCATTATCGTCTAGAAACTCCATTTCATCTCACTTGAATCTCAGATCCACATTACTGCTAGGCCTCTCTCTTTGTGGGCAAGCCAAATTTGGTCCACTGCCTGTTTTTGTAAGGAAAGCTTTTTTTGAAGGCAGCCACACTCAGTCATTTACTTATTGTCCTGTGGCTGCTTTCAAGCTACAATGGCAGAAATGAGTAATTGCCATATTACCCCAAAAGCCAAAAATATTTGTAATCTGGCCCTTTACAGAAAAATTTTTCCAATATTTGGCCTAGAGGCTCTTCCAATATTACCCACCCCCCATATCTGCTCTTTTTCTTCTTATATTCCAAAACTCAATGAGTGATACATTTATCCCATTGCACAATATTGAAATGTTAGAATCATCCCAGATTCCTTATCTCTATTTATCTATTTTTTATTGTGGTAAAAATATATAACATAAAATCCACCCTCTTAAAAATTTAAGTGTGCCATACAATATTTGTTAACCATATGCACATTGTTGTACAGCACATCTCTAGGACTTATTAACCTTGCATGACTAAAACCCTCTTCTCTTCTCTCACTCACCCCATATACTCAGTAGATCACCAAGTCCAGTGAAATCTACCTCCTAGTCACTTCCATCTCATATTCTACTTCATGCCTTTGCCCAGGTCCTCTCCAATCTCACCCAGATAGTCACAAAGGCCTCTTGACTTGTCTACCTGACTGTATCCTCACCTGCCACCAATCCACTTATCCAGATGATACCAGAGCAAGCTGTCTAAAATGGAAATCTGGCCTTGCCATTCCACAGATGAAAATAATTCATTGGCCTTCCTTGCTCTTCAGAAAACATCTAGGCTCCACAACACGGTGAGTGGTCTTTCTTCCTGGTTTGGCTGTGTCCCCACCCAAATCTCACCTTGAATTTCCACATTGTAGGAGGGACCTGGTGAGAGGTAATTGAATCATGGGGGCAAGTCTTTTCCATGCTATTCTCATGATAGTGAATAAGTCTCACGATATCTGATAGTTTTAAAAAGAGGAGTTACCCTGCACAAGCTCTTCTTTTCTTGCCTGCTACCATCCACATAACATGTGACTTGCTCCTCCTTGCCTTCCACCATGATTGTGAGGCCTCCCCAGCCATGTAGAACTGTAAGTCCAGTTAAACTTCTTTCCTTTGTAAATTTCCCAGTCTCAGGTATGTCTTTATCAGCAGCGTGAAAACAGACTAATACAATAAATTGGTACCAGGAGTGGGGAGATACTGAAAAGATACCTGAAAATGTGGAAGCAACTTTGGAAGTGGGTAATAGGCAGAGGTTGGAACAGTTTGGAGGGCTCAGAGGAAGACAGGAAAATGTGGGAAAATTTGGAACTCCCTAGAGACTTGTTGAATGGCTTTGACCAAAATGCTGATAGTGATATGGACAATGAAATCCAGGCTAAAGTGGTCTCACATAGAGTTGAGGAACTTGTTGGGAACTGGAGCAAAGGTGACTCTTGCTATGTTTTAGCAAAGAGGCTGGCGGCATTTTGCACCTGCCCTAGAGATGAGCAAAACTTTGAACTTGAGAGAGATTATTTAGGGTATCTGGCAGAAGAAATTTCTAAGCAGAAAAGCATTCAAGAGGTGACTTAGGTGCTGTTAAAGGCATTCAATTTTAAAAGGGAAACAGAGCATAAAAGTTTGGAAAATTTGCAGCCTGAAAATGGGACAGAAAAGAAAAACCCATTTTCTGAGAAATGCAAGCCAGCTGCAGAAATTTGCATAAGTAATAAGGAGCCAAGTATTAATCCTCAAGACAATGGGGAAAATGTCTCTCAGGCATGTCAGAGGTCTTCACAGCAGACCCTCCCATTACAGGCCTGGAGGCCTAGAAGGAAAAAGTGGTTTCATGGGCCAGGCCCAGGGTCCCTGTGCTGTGTGTAGCCCAGGAACTTGGTGCCCTGTGCTCTAGCCATTCCAGTGATGGCTAAAAGGGGCCAACATAGAGCCTGGGCTGTAGCTTCATAGGAGGCAAGCCTCAAGCCTTGGCAGCTTCCATGTGCACAGTGCACAGAAGTCAAGTATTGGGGTTTGGGAACCTCTACCTAGATTTCAGAGGATGTATGGAAATACCTGGACGTCCAGGCAGAAGTTTGCTGCAGGGGCAGGGTTCTCATGGAGAACCTCTGCTAGGGCAGTCCAAAAGGAAAATTTCGGGTTGGAGCCCCCACAGAGTCCCTACTGGGACACCACCTAGTGGAGCTGTGAGAAGAAAGCCACGGTCCTCCAGACCCCAAAATATTAAATCTACAGACAGCTTAAACCATGTGCCTGGAAAAGCCACAGACACTCAACACCAGTCCATGAAAGCAGCCTGGAGGGAGGCTGTACCCTGCAGAGCTGCCCAAGACCATGGAAACCCACCCCTTGCATCAGCGTGACCTGGATGTGAGACCTGGAGTCAAAGGAGGTCATTTTGGAGTTTTAAGATTTGACTGCCCTGCTGGATTTTGGACTTGCAGGGGGCCTGTAGCCCCTTTGTTTTGGCTAATTGCTCCAATTTAGAACAGCTGTATTTACCCAGTGCCTGTACCCCCATTGTATCTAGGAAGTAACTAACTTGCTTTTGATTTTACAGCCTTATAAGTGTAAGGGACTTGCCTTTTCTCAGATGAGACTTTGGACTGTGGACTCTTGAGTTAATGCTGAAATGAGTTAAGACTTTTGGGGGACAGTTGGGAAGGAATGATTGGTTTTGAAATGTTAGGACATGAGATTTGGAAGGGTCTGGGGTGGAATGATATGGTTTGGCTGTGTCCCCACCAAAATCTCATCTTGAATTCCCACATGTTATGGGAGGGACCAGGTGGGAGGTAATTGAATCATTGGGGCAAGTCTTTCCCCATGCTATTCTCATGATAGTGAATAAGTCTCATGAGATCTTATGGTTTTACAAACAGGAGTTCCCCTGCACAAGCTCTCTTTTCTCTTGTCTGCTGCCATGTGATATGTGCCTTTCACCTTCCACCATGATTGTGAGGCCTCCCCAGCCGTGTGGAACTGTAAGTTCAATAAACATCTTTCTTTTGTAAATTGCTCAGTCTGAGGTGTGTCTTTATTAGCAGCATGAAAACAGACTAATATACTGTGCCATTCTGTCATCTGCCCTGCTCCCTCACATCTTCCTGCTGCTGCATGGGTTGCTTCCTTTGCCTAGGATGCCCTTCTCTCAGTTTCCATGTTGAGGACAGGGCCCAAAGAGGCTAAGAACAGAAGCCTTGGACCCAGATAGCTCAGGCTTGAACATCATGTCCACCACCACTTAGCCCATTTCCTTATCCATAAACTGGGCATCATCATCATAATAATGTGTATCTCATTATTGATATTGAGTGTATTAAATGTGGTACTGCTCACAGACCACGTAGCAGGTGCCTGGGTCATGACAGTGGCACTAGTGCCTCACTGAGAAGCAATCACACAGATCAGATTTTGGTATTAATAGCTTTATTCGCTGGGTGTGGTGGCTCACACCTCTAATTCTAGTGCTTTGGGAGGTGGAAGTGGGTGGATCCCTTGAGTCCAGGAGTTCAAGATCAGCCTGGGCAACATGATGACACCCCATCTCTACAAAAAATACAAAAATTAACCAAGCACGGTTGTGTGTGCCTTAGTCCTAACTACTAGGGAGGCTGAGGTGGAAGGATCACTTGAGCCTGAGAGATGATTATTCCACTGCACTCCAGCCTGGTCGACAGAGTGAGGTCCTGTCTCCAAAAAAAAAAAAAAAGTTTTATTTTTTCTTTGTCTATCTCACAAGCCTCTACTCATATTTCAAGACCACACATCTTCAAGAATCCTCTCTGACCTGCCTTCCCGTATCTCAGTCATTCTTACTCTCTTGTTACGCTCCCAATATAACTTGGGGATACCTTTATTTTAGATTTTACTTCATTACACAATCTCCTGTCTCCACTCAGAAGACTGTGAATATCGTCAGGGAAATAACTGTGCCTCATTTTTCTCTGAATCCACAGTGCCAGTGTCTTGTTCACTGCTGACACTGAATGCATGTGAGCTCTTCATGGGAAATTACAGAATATAAGTGCCCAGCTTAATTAAGCAGGGATGAGGGCATGTAGCCATAGACATGGAGGTTGTCAGAGCATTGACATATTTTGACTTGATGGTGGTTACTCACTCAATTTGTTTTCATAACAGTAGTTGGAGTTACACTTTGGCAACTGAGCACTGATCAACATGAGAGCTCATAAAGTCAGCTCCCACTGAAGACTGGATCCAAATAACTGCATTGCAGCCAAGCTCCAAATTGTACCAATAGCAGCTGACTTTGATTCTTGCCTTTCATGTGGTTCCACATTCATCCTTTCTTAAGGCATCCTGCATGAACAGAAAAATACCAAATGCTGATTTGTTTGTCAAAAACAACTTGCCCTTGAAAAACTAGAACTTAGGACAAATCTGAGAAGTACTCTTATCAAAACCAAGGTGAAAATGGAAAGGACTCGCTCTTTTCTTTTTTGAGTCTACCAGTTTCTCCACCTTTACAAAAATGATAGACACGAAAGTGGGGCCCATTTCCCATCTTTCCATCTAGAATTTTGGAATGGCCTCTCACTGTTTTGGCCACATTGCTCTTTCTAGAAAAATCCATACCTCTAAGATTCAGAATATATGCTATTTTCCTGCAGTTTTAAAGCTCAGTTTCTCATAGAAAAGGTTATTTTCTTCTCTCTTATTTCTTATTAGGATTTTCTGAACTTGGTCATCATCAGAGAATTCTCTTGAGGAGCTAAATTCTGAAAAATATGCATGTTCTTCAAATGTTTCAGCAAAATTTTTCAGTCTAAAATCATTTGCAAAATATTTTACTTTTACGTGCAGACAACTTCAATGGCCCTCTCTCCTGACTGTTCAGAATTACCTGGCAATAAGCAGTGTGATTATTTATCAATACAACAGCTTGAGCAAAATTCAGAATTCATCCTGTCATTTTGCAGTTGGTTCTGAACGCCTAGAATTTTCTCATTTTCGCTCTCAGTTATCTTCCTTAAATAATGTTCAGAATGACCCTTTTCTAACATCTCCTCGGTCCCAAAGACATTTGTGATATACTTATTACAATACTTACCACAAACAAGGCACCTCTGTTTCCTTTCACTCTCTGTACAGGCAGAATGGAACCACTGTTTATGCAAAAAGGTTTTACCATTACCAGGATATTTTTATGATCCTATGCTCTAAAATCAAAAACACACCAAGTTAGAAATTTCAGATGGTGCTCTTTTATTCTTTCAAAGACAAATCAAATGTTTTATTACATTTGAGATCTCATACACAGTTTTATTATAAATGATGAATCCACCTAGAAAAAAGAATAGCTATTGTTGAGGTTTCTCAATGAGCTCTCATTACCTCGTAGTTTTATGTTTTATGTTTATGTTGGATTTGATATCCTATGTTGTGATGTCTGCTGCAATACAGTACATTATACTTAATAAAAGCTACTTTCAAAATTTTAAGTATATAAGTAATTTAAGGTAAATATAAGTTCAACTCTATTTAAACTCAAGTCCTAATTACTGGGAGAGGTAAGAAGTTAAACACACAGAAACACACACACAGACACAGAAAGAGAGAGAGAGAGAGAGAGAGAGAGAGAGAGAATTTTCTTAACTAGGTTCATAGAATATTAAAAATTTCTTACACATAACTTTTGCCTTCATCTTATATATACATACAGTATATTAATATTTTATGATAATTTTCTCCACATCCCAATTTCATTCATTCCTTATACATTTTTCTGAGCTTGAGTTGATTGATTCCCCTTCAATTTTATATACAAATATTATTTTAAATCTACATTACTTTTTTTAAGGTATCATCACTCATCTCTAAATCAACCCATCTGTACTCTGCTTTATGATAAATAAAAATTACATTTTTCATCATTTCCAGTGACTTTCTGTCAAGTCCCACCAATCTGGAGTGCTAGACTGAAACTACAGGCAAGAAAAGAGAAGAGAAGACTTATTACTTCTGCTCTCCCTGTCAGCATCACTCCAATCTCACTCTAGCAATGGTCGTTTACCAAGCAGTGGCGGTTAGTCCCACTCTCTAATAATTTTGGTCCTCCAAGAACCAACATCACTCTGTTCCTTCAGAAGTACTAGCACTTATTGGGAGATGACCCATCTCAGAGGTCTGGACCCAAATTCTCTAGTGTCCCACCTCTAATCTCCTGAGATACCAAAAGTAGCCAAGCAGTGCCTCCTCTTCAAAGTCTGGAGCTTATATCTGCAAAGCCTCTCCTCTAAGCTCCTATGCCATGAGCTGCAGATGCAGGGGCATCACCCTCTTAGAGGGAATCTCTATTCTACAGAGCATCTTCTCTGAATTCCCCTAAAACTCTTACTCCTCCCCTTGTGCCTCAAGCCTTAATGGACTAACTTTGTTCTGCCTTAGTGTTCTATTTTGATCCTTCAGTTCTCTAATACCTCTTTATCCAATTTAATTATACTAAATTCTTTCTGTCGCCATATTTACTACGATTTCTCTGTTCCTAACCAGACTCCGGGTCTGATACTATATTTGTACCCAACATTGTCCCAAGAAACCAACCTCAAAAATGAGATTCATGGATGAGTCTACTTGTATGCTTGGCCTTGAACAATCTTCTGAGTTTTTCACCAACGGGAAATAAAAAACTCATTAATGCTTGGCATGCTGTATATCATGATTAATTAAATTGTCACCCGTGGGTAATTATGATAAAGTGTCTAAAGACATTTGTAAAACCAAGTGTCTGCTCTTGATGCAAATGGAGTAGAATGTCTTTCCCTTACTATACTACAAAGCATATAAAAAGGTATAAGCTTCGGAATTTACACCCTTAGAACAAATGAAAGACAAAGAACAAGAGATCTTCTATAAGTTCCTAAAAGAATCTCTTATTTTACTGAAAGTCACACTCAAAATTTAGTTGTGTATGTCCAGGGTAGACATTTGACCCAAGCTGGGCAATGAACCTCATGCAGTCTGTCACACATGCTTCGTTCATTGCAAAAATGTGGATCTTTTTAGTTGCTAATATTCCAAATTGTTTGGATTTAAGCCTAGACTTCCTGATGACCATTTTGCCACTGGATTAAATGAGCCTGTTTGAAAATTAAGTCAACACAGAGGAACAGAGAGCTAAGAGACAGAGGGAGAACCATCACTAAGGGCATGGCTTCTAGCTGTGTCTGAACCCCAAAACCAAATAACTTTTCAGGGATGTAAGGCAAAGATTATTTTAGTTTTGGGTTTGGATATTTTTTGGTCTGTTTTTTGGTTTTTGTTGTTGTTGTCATTGTTTTCATTCCACCTCATTAGATTTACTACCACATAGAACCAAAAACTTCTGACTAATCCTCTTTTAAACATATAATATGCAATTTCCTCTTCAGAGTTATCCTCATTCTGCATCACACACATGGAAGGCAGCTTCCTCTCTACCTTTCTTTCCTCTCAGCCACCTTCTCCAAGAAGTCTCCTCCCACAGCTCAGCCTTTTGGTGATGACCTTTAACTCTGACTCCCCAGAGCACTAATGGTCCGGGACTTGGACCTTTAGCCTGTGTCACATGGTGCTTTTGGTAGAGGGTCATGACTGCAAGTTGTCCAGGTTCTTGGCATTTTGAACAAAAAATTGGACAAAACACCCAGCAAAGCAAAGAAAGAATAATACAACAAAAGAACAAAAGCAGGGATTTATTGAAAATGAAAGTACACTCCACAGTGTGGGAGCAGACCCGAGCAGCAGCTCAAGGGCCCATATACAGAATCTCCTTGGGTTCAAATACCCCCCACAAATTTCCCACTGGCCACTTCATGCTTACCTTATGTAACTGAAGTGGTAGCCGGGAATCAGTCTGATAGGTTGCAGACAGCAACCATTCAGAGGCTGGAGTGAAGTTACAAAGTTGCAAATGAAGACTCAACCCACACTCAGTATGATTTGTTGCAGACAGCCAATTTCCCATCTGCCAGGAAGAAAAGGTCAAAAGGAGTAGCCTCTGGTCCTTCAGTTACTTAGGCATGAAAGTTAGGGTTTTCCTTTCCATTTAGTTCTAGGAAGTTGGCGTGAAACAGCCTTAGGTCCCCTGCCTCCAGACCCTATTCTCTTGCCTCATCTCCCCACTAAGAGATGTGATCCCCATAAATCTTTATGGGAGGCAGAGGGACTGAAGGTCTTTCTTCTGTAACTGCTTCATGCTGACTTGGGGTATAGCCCCTACTTGTTGGAGATCACGGAACTCTCACTCTGTTCTGTCTAGTGAAGGCAGGGTACTTTTTTTATGGCCAGGGGTAGTGTCTTCAACTGGAACTTACTGAAAACCTTTGTTGCATGATCATCTGAAGCTTGATGGTCTCTAGGCTAGAGGAAATGAATTTGGTTAAAAGACTTAATGGGAAATTCAGGGGGTTGATACCTATGCTGGTAGAAATGTTTGTTATAGAGATTTGTAGGAGAAAATACAAAACCTGGTCTGTTCTAGAACCTATGTGTTCCCTTAAAGTTTTAGCACAAGCAACTCCATTTTGGTTTGGTTCGGTTTGTTGGGGCCTAGTGTATGAGCTCAGTCCAAAACAACCGCCTCCCAGATTTTGTTTAAAAAAATTCTCCCTTTTTGATCAGGTTCTCACTTGGTTGAGAGTATGACCAAAACTTAGGGCCTTAGTACCACTCTCAGTTACCATCATTTCGGGTTTCCCATCTCAGCACATCATTTATAGGTTACAGCGTCCTCATGGTTGCACATTTCTTTCAGCTCCTGTTATTCCAGTTGAAGAGAGACCAAATGACGTTCTAGAGATGGCTGCATGCAAGCATTTAAAACCTTTGAGAGAATACAGCACACAGGGAGGCTATTATTATGACTATTGGGAGGATAATACCAAGAGTTTGGAGTATGCCTCTTACCCAAGGTCCCCATAAACCAACATGAAAAAGACCCAGGTTCCTTAAGGTGGTGGCGGTCAGGCTTCTCCACATGGAAACCCCTCAGTTTCACTGGCCACGGCCAGAAACCTACAGTTGCTTCCATGTTTAGGCACTGCCCACCAAGGGTTCCAGGTTGGAAAGGAAAAGAGAGTCCCTGTATGGAGCAGAAAGGAAAAGGAGAAAGGAGAAGAATAAGTCCCAAACTTTAGGCTTATCTTTTCCTCCTGCCTGGCTCGCCAAGATTATGAGCTGTTCTTCTGAAACTCAGATGCCCCTCAGAGCTGCATAAACAGTGTTGGAACTCCCAGTAACAAAGCTATTGATATTCTCCATGTAGATTCATCCCATGATTTGCAAAAGTCAAGGGCTTATGTCCTCTCAGCCTGTCTCAGTACTCCTACACAATGTTCACAGTTATCTCCCTTTTAACTCAGAGTTGATATTATAAGGGTAAATACCAATTGAAAAGAAAGAATTAATTCTCCCGGTTGAAATTAAGGAAAGAGACTTCTTCCTCCCTTTGTTAGAGTGTTTACTTTAGAAGATTTGTACTTATAAAGTCTTTTTCTGCCTCTTTGACATGTATACAAATCCTTTTGAAAACTAGATAGGTTTCTTGTCAGCTTTATGACCCAAGAATGTCTTCTTCCAAGATGTGGGATGCATATCTTTGAGAAGTAACCATCAAGAAAGATAGTGCCCTTATCTCCCCATTTCTATGGCAAGGTAGGAATCTAAAGGGCAGGAGCCTAGTTCCAAAACTATCTTTTATCACAAAGATATGAGAAGTTCATTTTTCCTTTGGATAGTCAATAAACTAACACAGACAGTCACTCCAATTACCAAGTGAATTTATGATGAACTATGAGTGACAAGTGGTACTGTCAAGTCCTCTTTCATGAGGACAAATTATTATTTATTTTGACAGAATGTATCTAATTGGTTGTATCTGTCTGGCTATTTAAAGGGGTGAGATATATTTCTCTCTTTGCAGTATCTTAGTGGATTGCCTGGGACATGCATCATATTCTGGTTTAATGCCTGTTCGATTACCTATTAAAAAATGAAAATAACTTATTCAAAAATGTAACTGTATTTTATGAAAAAAATCATCAGGCCAAGCATTTGATCATTCAGAAACTTAAGATTGTCATAGGGAGTGTGCATACCACATGGTATAGTTCATCATTTTATTGGCTTTCCAACTTCATTTTTTCTCCCTTATCTTCCCTATCCATATTGCTCTCTTCTACTTCCATAACCATTTCCACTTTATAGAAGGAACATACTTCAACATTCATGACCATTCAAGACAAGCCCACGATGAATATCATACTGATGGGAAAAAGATGAAATTGTTCCTCTAAGACCTGAACAAAAAAGAATGCCCACTTTCCTCTCTTCTATTCAACACAGTACTAGAAGTTTTAGCCAGAGCAATCAGGCAAAAGAAAGAAATACAAAGCAACCAAATTGAAAAAGAGAAAGTCAAATTGTCCCTCCTTATAGATGACATGACCTTATATCTAGAAAAATCAAAAACTTCATCAAAAAATTCCTAGATCTGATAAATTAATTCAATAAAATTGCAGGATACAAAATCAACATACAAATATCAATAGATAGCATTTCTATATACTGATGATAAATTGTCAGAGAAAGAAATTAGGAAGGCAATACTATTTACAATAGCTACAAAATAAAATAACAAAGAATACGTCTAACGTAGGAGTGAAAGACCTCAATAAACTATAAAACACTGATGAGAGAAATTGAAGAAAACACACACAAATGGAAAGATATCCCATGCTCATGAATCAGAAGAATATTGTTAAAATGACCATACTACCCAAAGAAATCTATAAATTCAATGCAATCCCTATGAAAATACTAATGCCATTTTTCACAGAAATAGAAAAAACCATGCTAAAGTTTGTATGGAACCAAAAAAATAGCCTGAATAACAAAAGCTATCCCGGGAAAAATAAACAAAGCTAGAGGCATTATGTTACCAGATGTCAAATGTATTTCAAGCATAGAATAACCATAACAGCATGATATTGTTATAAAAACAGACACATAGACGAATGGAACAGAATAGAGAATACAGAAATAAATCCATGTATTTATAGACAGCTAATTTTCAACAAAAGTGCCAAAAATGTACATTGGAGAAAGGACACCCTTTTCAATAAATGGTGCTGGGAAAATGGGATATCCATATGCAGATGAATGAAACTGGACCACTGTCTCTCACCATAATCAGAAATCAACTCAAAATAAATTAAAGATTTACATGTAAGATCAAAAACTATAGAAGAAAATGTAGGGGAACATTTCAGGATGAAACCATCATTGCAAAGATTATGACAGTGAGAGAAATCTGAAACGACTGACTTCATCTTGCCTCTAGTCTCACAGGCTGGCTGTCTTCACTCATTCCTGGGCATAGGCCAGGCTAACCATGGGGGGAATTTAGTTTATAGTTTAACTTTGAAGCAAGGATGATAACAAGTCTTCTGCAAAGCTGATCCTCTCCTTGTTCAGAGGCTGAAACCACCTTTGTAAGATTAATGAAAGGCCACAAGATTAGGTTTATGGGAAGGGCCTGAATTCTGCTAAAAGGTAAGCATAATTTCTATAATCTCTTACTGCTCTGGAGGCATGTGACCAGATATCACAAGATTTGTGACTTCCCTAATTGTTCCTAAAAATAACATCAGTATTGTAAAACCCAAGATGGTCTTTTGAGATGTTTTTCAGACTGACCTCACCTGGACTCATGACTAGTTACTCAACCAGTTCTGTGGCCTCCATACAACCAGAAGCAGACTCAGCACACAAGGGTTGTTTTCCACACCCCTATGATTGCATCGCCAACTAATTAGCAGCACCCACTCCCTAGTACCCTGTCCACCAAACTATCCTTGAAGAGCTCTAATCTCCACCCTTCAGGGAAACTTATTTGAGTATAATTCTGTCTCCTACATGGCTAGCACAGCATCAGTTAAACTCTTTATTTACTGCAATACCATGGTCTCAGTGAATTGGGTTTGTTTATGCAGCAGGCAGGAGGAAGCCATTGATGATTACAAGGACATTGGACTGGGCAAAGTTTTTTTGGATGAGGCCTCAAAAGCACATTAAACTAAAACAAAAACAGACCAACTGTACTATGTTAAACTTATAAGTTTTGGCACAGCAAAGGAAACAATCAACAGAGTAAAAAGAAAACCTGTTGAAAGATAGGAAATATTCACAAATTCATCCAACAAGGAACTAACAGCCAAAATATACAAGGAACTCAAACAACTCAACAGCAAAAAATAAAAAAATAATAATAATCCCATTAAAAAGTGGGCAAAGGACATGAATAAACATTTCTCAAAAGGAGACATACGAATGGCCAGAACAAAAGGTATGTGGAAAAAAAAAATGCTCAACATCACTAATCATCAGGGAAATGCAAATCAAAACCACAATGAGATATCATCTTACACCAATTAGAATGGTTATTATTAAAAATTCAAGAATAACCGATGCAGACAAGGATGCAGAGAAAAGGGAACTCATACATTTTTATTAAGAATGTAAATTAGTACAGCCACTCTAATTAGCAGCAGTTACAAGTAGATTTTTAAAGGAAAAGAAGATGAAATTCCTAAGTTGTTTACCAAGAATTTACATTAAAATAACATAAGATATTGATTGGCTATACATTGTTTTTTGTATCACAAATTCCAAGAACATGAAGGTAATGAGTGAGACAGCTAATGAGGAACAAAATGTCTTTAACAATTATCCGCAGGCATGGATATGGGGGAGCAGGTTTGGGGAACATGACCTATGTCTACATACTGCACATAGTTCAGACTGGTCTGAGCTATTTTTCTTTTCTAAATCCAAAGGAAAAGAAATCAATATCAAAGGGATACCTGCATCCCTATGTTAATTGCAGCATTATTCACACTAACAAAGATATGGAATCAACCTAATTGTCTATCATGGATGAATGGATAAAGAAAATATGGCATAGGCACGCAATGGGATACTATTTTGGCCTTAAAAAAGATTGAAATCTGTCATTTGCAGCAACCTAGTTGGAAGTGAAAGTCATTATTTAAGTGAAATAAGCCAGGCACAGAAAGACAAATATTGCATTGTTCTCACTTATATTTGGGAGCTAAAAAATGCTGATCTCATGAGAGGGTAGAATAATAGATATGTTTATGAAAAGAGTCAAACTCCGTAAAATATTTGAAGAGATTTATTTTGAGCCAAATATGAGTGACCATGGCCTGTGACACAGCCCTCAGGAGGTCCTGAGAACATGTGCCCAAGGTGGTTGGGGTACAGCTTAGTTATATATATATATATATATTTTTTTTAAATACATTTAAGAAATACATTGTTGGTTCAGAAACGCAGAACAACTCAAAGTGGGGGCTTCCAGGCGATAGGTAAATTTAAACATTTTCTGGTTGACAATTTGTTGAGTTTATCTGAAGACCCAGGATAAATGGAAAGGAATGTTTAAGTCAAGGTAAAGCGCTGTGGAGACCAAGTTTTACCGTGCAGAGGAGTCTCTCAGATAGCAGGTTTCAGAGAGAGAGATCAGGTTGTAAAATGTTTCTTATCAGACCTGAAAAGGGTACCTGGCTCTTAGTCGATTATCTACTGAATCTGCAAAGAAAGGAAGGAAAACAAAGGGGAAAGGGCATTTTCTATACAACGTGAATTTTCCCACAAGAGACTATGCAGGGCAATTTCAAGGTACGGCAAGGAAATACATTTTGAGTTTAAATATTTTTTCCTTGTCTCATAATGTTATGCCAGAGTCGGACTGAAAAGTAAGTCATGATATGCAGGGTCAAATAAGACTCATCTGATGAGAATTTATGGTTTGTAGTGCATGACTCCCTAGACCCCTTAGATAGGAATTTGAACAAGACAAAAATTAAGAGCTTAGTCCTCAGATACCAGAGGCTGTAAAGAGTGGTGAGGGAAGGAGGATAAGGAAATTTGGTTAATTGTTGTGCCCAGGAGTGTTAGAGAAAACGCCACACTTTGAGATGAATTAAGAGTCCTTTATTAGCCGGTGACCAAGAGACGGCTAACGCTCAAAATTCTCTCAGCCCCGAGGAAGGGGCTTGATTAACTTTTATATCTTGGTTTAGGAAGGGGAGTGGGGGTTTAGTTAAAACAATTTTACAGAAGTTAAGTAGTCAAAAAGTTAAAAGGATAAATGGTTACAGGAAAGTAAACAGTTCCAGGTGCAGGGGCTTTAAGACTATTACAGGGTGATAGATGCGGGGCTTTGGGCGTTATCAATCAGACGAATTCTTGGGGACTGTGGATATAGCTTGCCACAGTATCTTATCAGTTAATTGCATTCTTGGATGTGCTGGGAATCAGCTTGCACAAGTTAAGTCCTTGAGGAAGGGGCTGCCAGTGAAAGAGCCAAGATGGAGTTTGTCTGGTTCTCTTAGCTAAGGGAGAAGCTAAGGCCAGGTGAATAAGGAATAAACAAGGTTGGGCATTACATAATCAGTACAAACATACAGTTAGATAGAAGGAATAAGTTCTAATGTTTAATACAGAGTACAGTGACTATAGTTAAAAAAAAATGTATTGTGTATTTCAAACCAGGGAGAAGACAGGACTTGAAATGTTACCAACACATAGAAATAATAAATACCCAAGGTAACAGATAACTTAAATACTCTTACTTGATTATTACATAGTCTATGCATTTAACAAAATATCACATATACCCCATAAATATGTAGAAATATTATGTATCAATCATTTTAGTTTAAACTTTTTAAATGGGGTAAAATATGTCTCTTATTTTCTCATGCTTCTCGATTTAATGAACATTTTTGTTGCTTGGCCACACACCAACGAACTTACCAAAATGTTTCTTCTAAATCAATACAGTGCTCTGTGTAAGAGAAACTCTCATGGATGCAATTATCTACACCATTGCACTATTAGGCATGTGTAATATTTTCTTAGCTATTATAGATCAGGAGAACTTTGAAAACCCACAGGGTTAAGTGCAGAGGAAACCAGTCTGGTGAATAAAAAGGTGTGGGTTTGCATACTGGCTCTAATGTGTATAAAGTGCCCAGCACCTAATACTGTAGGAGCTCTGTGCATGCTAACCTGCTAAATTCTTCTCTCTTTGTGTTTAGCACTTACCGAACTGCTTGCTCTTGCCGAGGTGTAATAACTCTTAATGGAAAAATGGTGATGCGCCAGGAGTCACAGCAAATTTCTCCACTCTAGTTAAAAACGAAACCAGTCTCTTCTTCATGCTGTGGCTCCAACTGGCCCCTGCACAATGTCCTATTCTTTTAGCCCCTGTTCCATCCTTTCTCCTGGCTTGGATAGTATTGATATGCTTTTTTTCAATATAATACATATTTGGCCTTTCCTAACAGCTATGATTCATAGATCTCAGTGAGGGCATAAAATGAAAAAAAGTATGAGAATTTTGAAGGAAAAAAAATAGAAGCAGTAACTGAGAGAACAACTTCGTGGAAAAAGTAGCTTTTTAAATTAAAAAAAAAAAATAAGGATACCCTCAAGTATTACTATCCTAGCCCAGCATCTATGAGAGGATTGTGATGCCAGTCTCTACAGGGGTAGCCAATCTCTGATTTTGTTCCAAGGCATGGAATATGCCAGATTTAGTGTTGCTCCAAAATCTAAATCATCAGTATATAGTCATCGTCTCTATTTATCTAACGAAAATGGTAAAAGCAACTCTCAGAGGCAATGCCAAAGGCTAAGGGAGTGAAACAAAACTGTAAATGTGGAACTGATAAGATCACGTGTGTTGGTTCAGCACACTACAACCAAATGCCAATTTTCTTTCACTTCCATGAAAAGGACAATGTCAGTAATGTATAACTACATACCCTAGCTGAGGCTTGGTGTTCCAAAACAAAGTGTGAGCTCCAAAAATCTGAGAGAGGTCTCAGTTAATTTAGAAAATTTATTATGCCAAGGTTGAGGACGCACCCTCAGGAAGTCCTGACGACGTGTGCCCAAGGTGGTCGGGGCACAGCTTGGTTTCACACATTTTAGGGAGACATAAGACATCAATCAATATGTAAGAAGTATATCAGCTGCGTCCAGAAAGGTGGAGACAGCTCAAAGCAAGCACCCCCTACTGAGGGCTTCCAGGTTACAGGTAGGTGAGAGACAGATGCTTGCCTTCTTTTGAGTTTCTGGTAAGTCTTTCCAAAGGAGGCAATCAGAATATGCATCTATTTCTGTGAGCAAAAGGGATGAATTGAATAGGAGGCAGGCTTGCCCTGAGCAGTTCCCAGCTTGAAGAGGCCCACGATATTTTTCTTTCACAAAAGAAAGAAGAGAAAAAAAGAAACTTTGAAAGCATACAACTACTTTTGAGTAAACATATTTGAATCAATACAAAGAATTTGAACATTCTTTGAAATATTAAAAACCCAAATTAAACTTTTTATGAGCGAGCAATGTGTACATGGTCATTCAAATGGGCCTACTAAACTAAATTTTTTATATAGCAATATTGGGATAACAGTATTGAAAACAGTACAGAATCTTTATTTATCATAGGAAATTAACAGATAATGTCTAAACCTGGTATACCAAGATAGTCAAGCAATGGAATTATAAACATGTAATTTAGAAATAGGTACATAAATAACAAAATAGCCTAGGAAATTAAAAAATTCATTTTCTCTGGAAAGCAGAACTTCAAAGTAAGAAGTAGTAAATAGAAGTTTCTGTACTTTCAAAACTTCTAATGGGAAAATGAGAAATACAAAGTTTATGATCATGGAAGTCTCTCCCAAAATAAATGAGCCCTAGTTTACTACTGGATCAAATTATCTCTTCCAGCTTATTGCTCTACTCGAGGGTTTAAAAGGTCTATAACATATTTGAAAATATTGTAAGATAGAAAATAGCCAGTTTTGATGATACTTGTCACCAGACAGCTTAATTTTTTGGGTTGCCCAGGAAAAGGCATTACAGAGAGGAAATTCTGTTGGAATCCTTACTGGTGCCAGTTCAGACTAAGAGTGGAAATAGTTCAGACAAACATGGTAAAGAATGTTCCTTTAGTTAAATAATATTAACAAGGTTTATCTAGGGCCCTTTCTATTACATTTTGAATGTTTGCCTTGTACCCCCAGATCCACCACTCTAGGAAGCAGATGTTGTCTGCTAGATGCTCCAGAGACAACCTTACAAGCTGTATGTCCTTTTTTCCTGGCCACCAAAGAAATTATTCTCTTTGATGACTTTTGTGATTCTTCACTGAATATTCCTAGAGACAAGGAGCTCACTACTATTCAAATCTTCCTATCCCATTTGTGACCATATGTAATAATTAGAAAGTAATTCTTTACACTAAATCAAGAGCTGTCTCCATCAGCTTTAACATGGACTTCCAATATATCACAAAAGAAGTACAAAAATAGGTCAAAGAAACATAATGGAGTGCAGAAACTGGCTCATACAAATGTTGTCCCCTGATTTATGATGGAGGTGACAGTGCAGTGCCATACGGAAAAGTTAGTCTTGTCAATAAATGGTGCTAGATCAACTGGATATCCATTTGGAAAATAATGAATTTTACCCCTTCTCACAGCTTACACAGAAATTAATTCCAACCAGATTGCAATTTTAAATATGAAATATAAAACAGTAAAGCTTTTAAAACATGTGATAATAACCTGATGACTTTTAATTAAGCAAAGATAACTCAAATACGATATAAGAAGCACTAAGGCTGGGCACAGTGGCTCACACCTGTAATCCCAGCACTTTGGGAGGCTGAGGCGGGCAGATCACCTGAGGTCAGGAGTTCGAGACCAGCCTGACCAACATTGTGAAACCCGTGTCTACTAAAAATACAAAATTAGCCGGGCATGGTGGCGCACGCCTGTAATCCCAGCTACTTGGGAGGCTGAGGCAGGAGAATCACTTGAACCCGGGAGGCAGAGGTTGCGGTAAGCTGAGATCACACCATTGCACTCCAGCCTGGGCAACAAGAGTGAAACTCCATCTCAAAAAAAACAAAACAAAAACAAAAACAAACAAACAAAAAGAAGCACTAACGCAAAAGAAAAAAATGTATGCTTTAAAGCCTCAAAATTAAAAAGTGTTATTTATCAAAATAAACCATATAGTGAAAAGGCAAACTACAAAGTAGTAGAGTATATTATTTGCAATAGATATATCTAACAAAGTAATAATATGTAGCATATGTGAAAGATAAAAAACCTACAAATCAATGAGATAAGACTATAACCAAACAATTTTTAAAAAAATAATAGACTTGGATAGAAATTCATAAGATGTCCAAATGGTGAATAAACATCATTAGTCATCTGGGAATTGCAAATTAAAATTTCAACCTCAGTAAAATATTACTATGTACCCATTAGAATATCTAAAATTTGTAAAAACAACTCAGGAAACAAGAGTTGGCAAGTAATTGGAACAATGAAAACTATTATATGCTGTAAACAAGAGCATAAATTTTTACAACCATATTAGAAAAACTACTTGCAAGTACAAAGCTGAACATATGTGTACACCAACATCCAGAGATTCCATGTTAACATTTGTACCCAATAGAAATGTATACATATGTTCACAAAAGACATGAATGGAAATATTCAGAGCATACTCAGGATATTCAGATTATTCAGAGTTGCCCAAACTAGAAGCAATTGAAAAGTATGCATTAGAATGTTGTACATCAATGAGAATGAAAGAACCACAGCTGCATGTAACTACATGGAATAAACTCATAAACCCAAAGTCAAGTGAAAGAAACCAGCCATAAAATAATAGATGCTGTATGATTTCAATCATATGAAATTCAAGAACAGGCCAAATTGATCTATGTTGCTACAAGTTACAATAGCAGTTACCCTGTGCATATGCAAATTACTAAAAAGAGGCTGTATTAGGGACAGAACTAATATGGTGCATATATAATATATATATTTATATATAAAGGGGAGTTTATTAAGTATTAACTTTATATATATATATATAAAGTATTAACTCACATGATCACAAGATCCCACAATAGGCTGTCTGCAAGCTTGAGGAGCAAGGAGAGCCAGTCCGAGTCTCAAAACTGAAGAACTTGGAGTCCAATGTTTGAGGACAGGAAGCATCCAGCACCGGCAGAAATATGTATGCTGGGAGGCTAGGCCAGTCTTGCCTTTTCACATTTTTCTGCCTGCTTTATATTTGTTGGAAGCTGATTAGATGGTGCCCACCAGATTAAGGATGGTTCTGCCTCCCCCAGCCCACTGACTCAAATGTTAATCTCCTTTGGCAATACCCTCACAGACACACCCAGGATCAATACTTTGCACCCTTCAATCCAATCAAGTTGACACTCAGTATTAACCATCACAAGTTCACCACTTGTCAACTTGAACCCATACACATCTCCTGAGATCATACATAATCTTCAAATAAAGACAATAATGAGGTCATAATTATGCCTAACATAATGCAAGTATCCTTCCTATAACCAGAAATGTACCAATCCTCAACCCAAACACTATTACATAAAGTTAACAATACTTAAATGCTGATATGAAGTCAATAAATCTTAAGTCACATGATAAAGGAAAAGGAAATAAAATGAGGATATTTTGTTAGAACAAGTGTATACACGCACAAACATGTTTTTAACAAAAGAAGGAGGAAATACATGTGACAGTTACAGTCCTCATTTCTACAACTGGTCACGTGATCGTAGCTGGTATTGATGACTATCTTCTTCTACTACCCATTCTGTATTCCCTTTGCCTTCAGCAAGCACCTCAGCAGGTCGTGGGTGTTTTTTTCCTAGTGGACACAAACCTTCATTCCTGAGGGGTCTGGACCATTTGTAGTCCAGCCTGAATTGGGCTGCTGTAGTTTCCCATTGACCTTAATCACAGGGCTTGGTAATACTAAGAGACACCCTAATGCATCTCCTGTATTCCATGCATAGTCTTCCTTACTTCTCTTATGGGGTAGTAGACTGATTTCATCTTGATAGTCCAGGCCAATCACCCCAGCCAACACTGTAAGTCCCTTCTTAGCCTGTTGACTTAAAGATAGGAGAAGACCAAAGTGTCCAGGAGGCAATCTTAACTTCCAGTTTAATGGAATCATTGTTGTGTGTCCTAGTGGCAGCCTTCTTCCCTCTGGAACTAAGACCTCTAGGCCAGCAGAACAGAATGTCACGGGAACAGGAAGCAAACATTTTGCTAGTGGATCACTAGGGGTGATGGTGAGTTGTGCCACTTCCACTTCCATCCATTGATTCCTGGGCCCATGAATCCTGGCTATGGGAGAAACAGAAACATATATTGGACACCAATTCAGAGCATACACGGCCTTCTGGAGAACTTTGCCCCAGCTCTGCAAAGTACTGTCACCTAGTTGGCATTGTAATTGTGACTTCAAAAAGCCATTCCACTGTTCTATCAATCCAGTTGCTTCAGGATGATGGGGAACATGGTAAGATCAGTGAATTCCATGAGCATGAGCCCACTGCTGCACTTCTTTAGTCGTAAAGTGAGTGCCTTGGTCAAAGGCAATGCTGCATAGAATACCATAACGGTGGATAGGGCATTCCGTGAGTCCATGGATGGTAGTCTTGGCAGAAGCATTGCATGTAGGATAGGCAAGCCCATATCTGGAGTAAGCATCTATTCCTGTGAGGACAAACCTCTTTGTCCATGATGGAAGAGGTCCAATATAATCAACCTGCACCAGGTAGCTGGCTGATCACCCCGAGGAATGGTGCCATATGGCCATAGCCAGGTCAGCCTTGGTGAGTGGAAGTCCATGTTGCTGAGCCCAAGAATAACCTCCATCCCTGCCACCATGGCCACTTTCTTCATGGGGCCATTGGGCAATGACAGGGGTGGCTGGAGAAAGAGGCTAAGTGATGTCCACAGAAGCAGTCATCCTATCCACTTGATTATCAAAATCCTCCTCCGCTGGTCACCTGTTGGTGAGCACTCACATGGGATACAAATATCTTCACAGTTTTTGACCAAAAAGGTCTTCCCCAGATTTCTTTGTCACCAATTTTCCAATAATGCTTCTTCTAAGTCCCTGACCATCCAGCCAAACCACTGGCTAAAGCCCATGAATCAGTATATAATTGCACATCTGGCCATTTCTCCCTCCGTGCCAAGTGCACAACCAGCTGCACTGCTAGAAGTTCTGCCCACTGGGAAGATTTCCCTTCACTGTTGTCCTTCAGTGATGTCCTGGAAAGGGGCTGTAGTGCTGCAGCTGTCCACTTTTGGGTGGTGCCTGCATATCGTGCAGAACCATCTGTGAACCAGGCCCTAGTCTTTTCTTCCTCTGTCAACTGATCATAGGAGACTTCCCACGAGGCCCTCAGTACAGGCTGGAGAAGAGAAGGCAGGGTGGAAGGAGTGAAGACCACGGGCATTTGAGCCACTTCCTCATGTAACTTACTTGTGCCTTCAGGACCTGCTCAAGCCCAGTCACATATATACCACTTCCACTTGATGATGGAATGCTGCTGAGCATGGCCCACTTTAGGCTAGATGGGTCAGAAAGCAACCAGTTCATGATAGGCAGTTCAGGTCACATGGTGACTTGATGACCCATAGTCAAATGTTCAGTTTCCACCAAAGCCCAGTAATAAGCCAAGAGCTATCTCTCAAAAGGAGAGTAGTTATCTACAGAAGATAATGGGGCCTTGCTCCAAAATCCCAGAGGCCTCTGCCTCTAGGATTTTGAACACAAAATATGTGCAAGAATAAAAATTTGCATATCAAGTGAGAGTACCATGTGTGACTCATTTTTATGCCTTTCACATGCTGAGAATGGTACCTTCTTTGTGGTAGGTGCTCAATCAGTGTCTATTGGAAATAAGAACTTACACTGCTAAGTCATTTCAATGGCAGATCAAGAAAGGTACATGCTGCATTCTATCTAGCTGATGAATTTTCAGGTAGATTTGTGTCTTTCTTCACAGAATCTGTGTAATTCTAATTGAAATTTTTTTAACCCAAAGCTTGAGGCAAAGCATGAATAAAGCATGTGGGCCTTAGAATTAAAGCTGCAGCCTGTTACTTACTGGATGTGGGGCCACTGGCAAGTTTTGCACCTCCTGAGCCTCAACATCCCCACCTGTAAAGCAAAGAGTCTCTGTATGCGGGTGTTCTTTCAATCAACTTTTATTCAATCCTATTCTATGTCAGATTTTAGCTCACACAATCCTCACATCACTCCTATCAGTTTGGCATATATTTACTCCTAGGTAGCACAGTCAATGAATGACACATCTACTCTTTAGCTAACAAAGCATATGAAGTCATCTGCACAACATTCATCATCTAACTGCTATATCACAAATCCTATTCTCTAACAAGCCATCCCTGAACCCTCTAGGAGAGGTAACAGCCCTTCTCTCATGCTCTCCTGCTGTGTCCTCTGTTTCTCTCTCATATAGCATCTATCTCATTGCTACAGATGTTCATTATCTGTTTTTTTCCACTGAGAATGAGTGACTTGCAGACAAGATATGACTTATCCTTGAATTTTCAGTACTAATATTGTAAGTTCTTAATCAAGTCATATTACGTGAATTAAATAGGTAAATGCAAACCTAGGTAAATGCAAATAATTAGGTAAACACGTATGAATGAATGCATACTTTTTGTTTCCTAGATTTGATTTTCTTTAAAGCAGGGTATCATCAGCATGAAGCCACAGCAGATGTGGCAGACATGGCCAGTTGTCAACCTAATATCTATTTTTCCTTTCTTCCCTACTAAGAGGACTCTGCTTTCTTTACAGGCAGAATAAATAAAAGGTTCCTATCCTACAGGAAAACACTGGTTATTCTCCGGCCATAGTAATCCCTAGACCTGGTTTCAAACCCATGCTAATCCATTAGTGACAGTTCACTCCGGTGAACAACACACTGCTGAAAGTCAGACAACAGGCATGGTCTCAAGTGATCAGCCATCCAAGATAAAGGTTATCCATTCTCTGAACACTCCTGCTTCTCAAATTCTGTCAATCCCCAAATCCTCACTTCCCAAAACCTTTTATGTAATCACCTCATTCCTGTGTTCAGAGAAACTGTGTGTAATAGATACCCAAATGAAAACTACATTTCCCAATATCTTTTGCTGCAAAGACAGCATGTGACACAGGGTTGACCGATGAAATAAGGGAGGTCTACTCGGGATTTCTGTGAAAATTTCACTTTCCTAATCTTATCATGCTCCCACGTCCTTGTTGCTTTCTTTCTCTTGGAAGTCTCCCCTGAGGCTAGAGAAACAATGACCCTGTAAATTGAAATTTTCAGATATACGCCAGGAGGAATAGTATGGGAAGGTAGGAAACAACCCTGTATTACCTACTCCTAGCCCCTTTTCACTGGCTGGGCATCTTCAAAGGAACCCTTGCAACCTATTACAGTCCTGAAAACCACCTCTCACCAGTCCTGCTTTGGCATCTGTTCTGGGGGAGCAGTGTGCCTATTCTGAGCAAGAATCAAGTCAGGGATGGACTAACCAACTCATCTCCATGGTGAGCTCAGAGCCCAGAGCGTGTGCAGGCCATGCTTTTGAGAATCTAGGAGTGAGTGACAGTTCTCCCTGAACATCACTTGGCAAGAGACAGACATCATCTGTGCATGACAGAACGTATCAGGCCATTCTTGCATTGCTATAAAGAAATATCCGAGGCTGGGTTAATAAAGAAAAGAGGTTTGATTCACTCACTGTTCTGCAGGCTGCACTGGAAACATGGCGCTAGCGTTTGCTTGGCTTCTGGGGGGCTTCAGGAAGCTTCTGATTATGGCAGAAGATGAAGGCAGAGCAGGTGTCTCACATGGCAAGAGCAGGAGCAAGAGAGAGAGAGTTGGGGGGAGGTGCCATACACTTTTAAACAACCAGATCTTACGTGAACTCACTATCACAAGGATAGCACCAAGCCATGAGAGATCCGCCCACATGCCCCAATCACCTCCTACTAGGCCCTGCCTCCAACATTAGGGATTACATTTCAAAATGAAATTTGAGGGGACAAATATCCAAACCACAGCACAGAGCCAGAGGTGGGTATTGGTGGGACTAAGTTTCCTAGGTGGTCTTTGTAAGCAAACCAACTTTTCTCCTCTTTTTGATAATGTGTCACCTCTTTCTGGAAAGCCCACACTTTTAATCATATGAATTATTAGGCTTCAACCACTCAATTGTGGGAGTATGAAGAAAAAAAGTACAAACAAGATGCGAGCTGGAACCTCAGCTTTCAAGATCTTAGCAAAATGATTTGTGACACAGCATGCTTTCCTCAACACACCACACACACACACACACACACACACACACACACACACACATATGTAACTCCATGGCTTGTAGGAGTCCACAGCCCTCCTCAGTATTTCTGAGAATAACTAGGAAACTGTTGTTCTTGTGGCCTATCCTGCCTTTTGGGCTCCAGATTCCTCATTCACAGTTTCTATTATTCTCCACACTGACCTAGATTTCAAATCCAGGCCCTTCATTGATTTCTCATCAACCTCCCACCCACACTCCCAACTCACATGAAACATGTGTGACTTCATAGAGTGGGTGTCACTTCACACACCAAAGAGCCAACAACGTGGCCAATTTCTCCTCTCCAAATAACTTTTTTGTAATCTCATCATTCAGGACCCAGCCCCAAATCCACTCTCCAGCTCATCTCCCCCATTTCTTCTCTCCATGTCCCTGCAGAGGCACTTGTGCCTTTTCTCTGAAGTCTTTGGGTCCCACCCCCTGCATCAAACACTTGATTTCCCACATACATATTTCTCTCCCTAAATGGAATCCTAGTGCCTACTGTTAGAGTAATATCATGTTCCCAAGTTTTTACGCCAGCACTGCTGAGAGAAGGTCAGCAGCTGTCTCACAATCCCTGCAATAATTCCAAACTGGATTTTCCACACTTCTTTCTCCCTGATTGAAGGAAGGACTCGCCACAGTGGAGGCACAGCACGTCCCCAGTTGTGCTATTGCCTGGTCACACAGCAGCAGGGACCTGGTCTTATCTGTCTCATTAGGTCCAGATGAACCACAATTTCAGAGTCACATAAATCAATGGCAGCAACTCTCATCTATTCAAAGAGCCACCAGCACCATTTGTAGTAAATGGCCACACACTGCTGTAATTGGCTGCTTTTTTCAAACACTGAGAGACAGTAGGGAAGTGTGAAAACAGGCCATGAACAGTGGGAGTAGCATAAACAGAGATTTCCTGGAGCAGACACAAATAGGTGGAAAGTGATATTCAAACCATGGAAATCCCATGATTAGGTCACTCAAATAGCTAAACCTGACACAAATTTTGGAGTCAGACAGATCTGGGTTCAATTTCCAATTATTCACTTATTAGCTAAACATCCTTAAATAAATGGCTTAATTGTCCCTTCTTTTCTTTTTTTTTTTTTTTTTTTATTATACTCTAAGTTTTAGGGTACATGTGCACATTGTGCAGGTTAGTTACATATGTATACATGTGCCATGCTGGTGCGCTGCACCCACTAATGTGTCATCTAGCATTAGGTATATCTCCCAATGCTATCCCTCCCCCCTCCCCCGACCCCACCACAGTCCCCAGAGTGTGATATTCCCCTTCCTGTGTCCATGTGATCTCATTGTTCAATTCCCACCTATGAGTGAGAATATGCGGTGTTTGGTTTTTTGTTCTTGCGATAGTTTACTGAGAATGATGATTTCCAACACTTAACATACTATGGCTTTCCCAATATATTCAAATCTAGTGACTATAATGAACTATTTCTACTTGTTAACATTTTTCTTCCATCATGTCAATATTAATAAGATTTTCTCTTTACTAGGGTCCTACAAGCAATGATGGAAGTAAGACATTATATAACAAGGAAAAAGTTATCTAATCTATGGCCCAAGTGGAAATTCCTAGATGTGTGTGAGTTGGGGAGAAGGAATTATTTCATGTAGGTTGTACCACAAGATTAGTTCTCCCTGCTAATATTACATAGAGATGAAGGCTGAGTAACACACAGACATTGGTTTAATCATTTAAACGTAATTATACCATTTTATTTTTCACCAACATAAAAGTGAAGGCTGAGTAACTCACAGACATTGGTTTAATCATTTAAACATAATCATACCAATTTATTTTTCATCAACCCAAGTTAATATAATCCTAAAGTGACACAGCATATGTCACTACAGGGAAAAGCCACAATAATTTCATTTATGTTTTTTAAATATTTAATTGTATGTCTTCCTTGCTCTGGGGGCTTCAGCTTTCTTTCTTTTTTTTTTTCCTTTTTTTTTTTTGTTTTTTTAACTTCCTAGCTTATGAGGCAAAAATATGTATAAAAATATTTGAGGGCATGCAGGGACTATGATTTTTTATTTAAATATCTTTATTGACAAAATTTAACTTTTTAGATTTATACAAGTAATTTATAGTCACTGTAAAAATGTAGAAAATAGAATGTAAAATAGGGAAAAAGAAAAGAAAATATCTACACTCTCACCACCCAAAAATAATCCCTGCTTATACTCTCTTCTGCATAATTCCAGATTTCTTTTCAAAACAAAATGATATAATACTATTTTTTGCTTATTAGTTTTGTTTTTAAGGTATTATACAGCCATTTTACTTTAAGTTTTTTATTGTGACATCATTGTAGATTTTCATGCAGTTGTACAAAGTAATACAGAGTGACACAGTACCATCTGTCCTTTATTCATGTGCCTCCAATAGCAACATCTGGCAAAACTATAGTCCAGTACCACGACCAGGATATTTCCATTGATACAATGAAGATACACAACATTTCCATCACCACAAGGATTCCTTTCGTAGCAACATCAACTTTCCTCCTGCTTCCTTTCCACTCCCCTTTACCTCTGGAAACCCTTAATCTATTCTCCATTTCTATAATAATATTCTATAAGAGGAACCTTGCAGCTTTGAGATTAGCACTTTTCACTCAGCATAATTTGGCAATAATTCATCCAAGTTGTTGCATGTATTGACATTTTATTTAATGTTTATTTCTTTTCATTGCAGAGTAATAATCCCCTGTATGGATGTACCACAGTCTATTTATCCAGTCACCTATTGAAGGATAGCTCAGTAATTTCCAGTTTGGGGGCTATAATGAATAAAACCATTATGAGCATTTAGGTACAGGTTTTTGTGTGAACATAAGTTTTCATTTCTCCAATATAAATGCCCAGAAGTACAAATCCACAGTCATATGGTAAGTGCAAATCTAGTTGTGTAAGAAACTGTTTTCCAGAGTGGTTGTACCATTTTTAAGTTCCTACCAGCAACGTGTGAATGATCCAATTTCTTTGTATCCTCTCCATTACTTGCTGTCACTATTTTTTAAACCATTCTGATAGGTGTGCTGTAGTATCTCATTTACAGTTTGAATGTGTGTTTTCTCAGTGACTAATTATGTTGAACATCTTTTAACATCCCTATATCCACCTTGGTGAAATATCTTTATCTGATAATGTAACCACTCCTGCTCTCTTTTGATTACTGTTTGCATAATATCTCTTACTTATCATTTACATTCATCCTAGCTATAATATTACCTTTAAAGTGAATTTCTTATAGGCAACATATAGTTGGGTTACATTTTTAATCCACTCTGCCAATTTCTGTTTCTTAATTGGTACATTTAAGCAATTTACATTTAATGTAATAATTGACATGTTAAGGTTTAAGTTAGTCATTTTATATTTGTTAGTGTTCTGTTTATTCTGTTTTTCTTTTCTGGTTTTTTTTTTTCTGCCGTCTTGTAGGGTACTTGAACATTTTTTAGAACTCCATTTTGACTTACCTATATTTTTTAGTGTACCTCTTTGTATAGCTTTTTTAGTGTGTGCTTCACTAAAAAAGCACATATCATATTTCAGATATTACATCATATATTCAGATATAACATCATATATATGTGAATGGTAATATTGCATGCAGGAGGTCAAGTGATGTTTACAGGCTCCGAACACATATATGTGATGTGATATCTGAATATGTATGTTATATATATAGATATATATATATATATATATATATATATATAATGACAGTCTACTGATGTTGACACCTTAACACTTCTTATAAAGTATTAAACTGCACCTCCTTGTATAATCATTTTCCCTTCTTCCATTTATAATAGAATTATCTTAAATATTACCTCTATATACATTTTAATGACATCAGATAGTATTGTAAGTTTTGCTTCAACCATCAAACATAATTCAGAAAACTCAAAAGGAGAAAGAAAATATATTATCTGTATTTTTATTCTTTTCTTTCTGGTTAGATAACTTTCTTAGCCATCTTTCATTGTAGGTTTTCTAGTGATAAATTATTTTCCTTGTCCTTCGGCTCATGTGTCTTGATTTCCCCTTTCTCCTGAAAAATATTTTCACCGGGCAGTTTTCTTTCAGCACTTACAAAATTTTGTGCTACTCCCTTTCTGGTAAAATACCTACTGTAATTCAAGTTTTTCCCCACTATATGTAAAGTGTTCCTTCTCTTTCATTGCTTTAAATCTTTTTATCTTTAGTTTTCAGAAAATTTACAATAATGTGTCTTGGTGCAATTTATTTGGATTTATTGTGTTTGGCGTTTGCTTAGCTTCTTGAATCTGAATGTTTGTGTCTCTTGCCAAATTTAGGAAGTTTCCAGCCATTATTTTTTCAAGTACTTTTTTAAACCTGCTGTTTTCTACTCACCTTCTAGGACTCCAGTCACATGTTAGATCTTTTGTTGTGATCCTACAGGGCCCAAGACTCTGCGCATTTATGCTCCAGTCTATTTTATCTCTTCAATGTCGTTCGCATTTAATCATTTCTATTGTTTTGTCTTCCATTTCACTGATTCTTTCCTCTATCTTCTCCATTCCGCTGTTTAGTTTTTTTTTATTATCTTCTATTGCTTTTCCTAGACTTTCTATTGCTTTGCTGAGACTTTCTACATTTTTATTTGTGTCAAGCATGTTCATAATTGCTCAATAAAACATTTTTATTATGGAAGCTTTAAAATCTTTACCACATTATTCTAACATTTCTGTTATCTCGGAGTCATACTGATTTTTTTTCATTCAAGTTGATATCTTTTTGGTTCTTCATATTACAAGTGATTTTCCATTGAAACCTGCACAATTTGGATACCAAATTATGAGACCCTAGATCTAATTTCAACCTTCACTTTTAATTAGGTTTCTCTGGCACTACTTGATTGGTGCTGCCTCATGACAGCCAGTTGGGTATAGAAATCCAAGATGCTCATTTGGCTTCTGTTTATACCCAAGGGGGTTCCTCATTACCTGGATGGTGGTGGGAGTTTTGGCTCACACTAAGTTTCTGCCGATACCACTCTGGCTGGAATGGGTAGGAGTGCTGTGTTACTGCTCCCAGGCAGCCTCCCACAACACTACTGTTGGAGGGGGTGGGACGGGACAGGTCATTAGCCTCACTACTGCAGGACACTGGTGAAAGTCCTGCCTCTCCAGTAGGTCTCCTTTGATACCAACCCCGTGGGGAGAGGGAAGTTACCTTCTTACTGTCAGGTAAGGGTGTAAGTCCAGACTTCTCACGTGGTTTCCACATGGGGCAAGGGGTTCATTTTCTTACAGCTGGATGAAAATCCAGGATCTCTACTCAGCCTTCTCTGACACCACCATAGTGTGGAATTGAAATGCCTCTTTACAGCCTGCTGAGAGTAAGCTTCTCATTTGGTCTTTGCTAATATGGATGTGGACAAGGCCACACTTCGCTACAGTGCTTGGTTGAAGTACCGTAGTCATTGTCTAAAAGTTTTCTGTCTTGCTAAGCTGTCCCTTTCATGGTCCTTTAATTGGACAGAACAGACTTTTATTAGGGAATTTTTTTGTCCATACCCACTGGGGTCTCTGGGTTGCTAACTTCTTCAGCTCTAAGTCTGGGATATATGAGGCAAAAAGATAATTCAGGAAACTTACACTGTCCTGTTCTTTGGGTCCCAAGATCCCTAGCCAGTCAGCTTTTTTCTTTCCACCCTTAAGAATCTTCTTATGTTTGTTGTACATATAACATTCAGGGTTTTATTTGTACTTAATAGGAAGAATAAGGGAAAGTACATCTATTCCAACTTTGTCGAAATGGAAGTTTCTGTAATACTCTTTTGTAATGTATTTTTTTCAGTTAACAATAGAGGTTACATATCTATCCATGCCAATAAATATAGATCAACATCATCATTTGCCATGCTTGTCCAGCCATTAGTTTTTCCCCCAGGCCCCTGCCTTTGGGCACATAAACCATTTTGATTTTTGCCAACACTTTTGATTTCCATTAGTTTTAATCTAATGTATTTCCCATAGCAAGGAAAACAGTTTTAATAAACGGTTTACTTCCACCTCTTGTGAAGATGGCCTTCGCTGTTCAGTTTGGAGCAGCTCTCAATGACATATAAAAAGCATTGAGTTACCAAAAAAAAAAAAAAAGGAGAAGAAGAAGGAGGAAAAAGTCAAAGATGTTGCTAAGGATTATAGAGGGATCAATATTTTTCCTCAACAATACTCCCTCCTCTCTTTCCACTTTCTATGTTTGCCAAAATTTCACACACAGTCTTCACTGCTAGGGTCTGTCCTTGGGCATTCTGTTCACATAGACGACCGAGGCAAAGGTTGTGCAATAATTAATAAGGCTTTATCATTTACATATTCTTTTTTTCTAGATGACAGCACAGGCAGTTCAACAGTATTTCTTTTGTGTTTTACTTTATTTTATTGTTTGGAAAAATAAAAATAAAAACTTACATACAAAGAGCTTATTTTCCCTCCCAAGATTCTGAGGAGAGAAAGTCATACTATTAAAGATGTAGATATCTTATTTAGCTCATCATTTTTTCTCTTTTTTAAAGCACTCTTAACAATACATAAAAATCCATAAAATCTAGTTTGATTAGACTCTTCCCACAGTGAATGGTCATATTGCATGCAGGAGGTCAAGTAATGTTTACATGCTCCGAACGCTCCCTATAATGTGACCCATTGAGAACCTCTCCTCCACTTATCTGTAACAACCTGTTGAGTCCCAGTAAATCCTCCAGCCCTCAGCTACAGCTACATGACTGGACTTTTACTACAGATTCAGCCAGGCTCCTGAACCAATTCTGACTTCCACAGAGGGAATTTAAAAGGCTGAAGCTCTGCAGCTCAAATGGCAGGCAGCATGATGTTGGCACCTGCCCTTCAGGCCTGATTTAACATAAACCTCAGATCCAGTGCTGAGAACTCTGCCTTCTTGTCTGGGTATTTACCACACAGCTCAGTTCCACGCATGTGTTCCTTTGTAAACTGGCAGTTTCTGCAGGTCTCTCAGCACTGAAGTTCCTCATTCTTGAAACTCTATGTGGGTACCAGCATTCTGTCTTTGGAAGCCCAAGCGGCGACAGGCCTGACAGCTCCCAGACTCTCAGTGCCCCTTCCCTCCTCCCATTTATAGGTCCCCATCCCTTCCGCCCTCCCAGTCTCACTCATGTCACCTGAAATGCCATCCAAACCCTCTGGATACCAGGTTTTGCCTGACCACCTTGCTGGACCCCGTTCTCCTCTGGTTTCACTCACTAGTAATGGAGGTCAGGTAAAACTGGCTTTATATCTGAAACTCAAAAAGTTAAGAATCTCTGCCTTATTTGGATCTATGTGGGAATATAGCATTCTCACTATCCCCATCATTATATTCTACTAAATATTATCACGATTGGTTTCTTCTTTTTCCCCATTTTACTCCCCACTCCCACTCCCAACCCCAATGATGCTTTCTGTGGTAGCCTAAAAACCAGACTATTTGTACTTAAATCTATATGTCAGCATTTTCTGTGACAGCCCAACCTAAATCCTGGCTCAATGACTTCTAAGGTTTCCTATTGCCTGCCAAGTACAACCCAACTTCTTAGCTCTTGTAGCTCATTATGAGGACCCCGAATCTCAAATTGCTAATGTTCCTTTCCTTCATGTACATCAGTCGACTTTATGTCAAAGTCAAATTGAACATTTTCTTGCTCTCATACTCGCATCATCCTATTTTTGCTCTTATATTTCAACTATTACCCTGGACTGGATTGCCCTATAGCAAAGTGGTTAGGCGCACTAGATCCATAGCTAGAATCCTGGGCATCATATCCTGTTTCTGCCATTTGCTAATTGTGTGTCCTTGGATAGGTTGCTTATGTTCTCTGTGCTTCTGTTTCCATATCTGTTCTAAAAGGATACTAAGAGTATAAGCTAGAATCTGCCTATAGCCAATGACAACTTTCAGAGTATTTTGACTGTTGCTTCACTTCCACCTCCTGAATCTCACAAAATTTGCCTTGGGGGTCAAACTTAACCCTGAAGTGCTCAAGGATGGAAATTCTGGAAAATGTGGTGACAACCTGACTACTTTGAGATGGTCCCAAACCACCACACCTTCTCAATATCTGGTCAGAGACTCCTGATTTTCTTCTGAGGAAGCACCTACCACTCCCAGTCCATGTTCTTTTGTGGAGACGAATTCACGTTCTAAGGGTAGGCAAGTGATGTAGGCCTCTCAGCACATTTTCTTATTCACACTGACTGGGTCAGATGTGGGCCAGGCAAGACCAATTAAGTTCATTCCTAGAATTTTTGATTGAATGTCCTTAATGAATAGTAGGGTTTAACTTACAGTTATAGCTTGGCATCTCATTAACTTTAAACAAGGTATCCCCTCTAATCTTAGAAGAGTTCCTGAACATAAAATAGAAAGGTGAGATGTCTCACCCTAATCATCAGAACAATACCCTTGCCTAATCTCCCCATGGTCTTAGCACCTGTTGTCCTCAAATATCACACAGTGTACATGAATGCTCTGACTCAACAAGTACTAAGTAAAGTTTAAATTAAGTCTTTGCTACTTACAAAGTGCCTTGACGAAATGAGATTCTATGGACCATCTCTACTGGTTAAAATAATTAGTATGGTCCAATCTAATTAAAGCAGAGCCCTCAAGGACTGGAATCTATTATGTAAGACCCATTTACAGAAGAAATTATTATCCCTACTGCTTCTCCCCTTAACTGCCTAATCAGGCCTATTATCAAGTCAGGAAAGAATAAATAGTGCCTCATAGTGGATTCCTGAAACCTTAATGCCCTAGTCCCACCCATTAAGGCCTCCATACTCAATATTACTGAAATTCCTAACTCTATCCAAACAGAAATCTTTTGTTATTATAAATTTAGCTAAACTGTCTTTCTGTGCCTATCTCAACAGCCTCCATGCCATAGAGTGCCCTCACCTCCTTCGCTGCATACATCTTTCCCTGACTATCCATGGAGTATCTTAACAGCCTTACCATCACACATAATCTTTGCAGACAAGATAATAACCACATTCATTTTTCTTGAGGAGCACAGATATGATATTATATTTACGACATTCTCCTCTGAGGAGATTCATTTGAACACCCATAGAGTGTTCTCTGAAAATCACATCCCATGAAAAGAATCTCAAAAAAAGAAGTGAGGGATAGGATCATGTAACTCTGGGAAAGCATGACTGTATTAACTACCTACACCTTAGAAAGTCACAGTGCAGTTTAGCTAATAAAAATTCCAAAAACTTCTGCTATGAACCATACCTACTTAAATTTAGGAGAATATGGCTTCAACAAACTTATTGAAAGCTGAAACTATTTTTAATAACATTCATTAATGTGTAAATCATTTACATAGATTAGAAAATAATTGGGAAAATCAGATATGTACGAATAATCCAAATTTAAAGCTTCAAATCAAATAACATATCTGTGTACTTGAAAAACAATTTGATTTACATGGGAGAAACCACATGCTGAAGGAAAGGAGAAAGTTACTTGGTTTTTCTATCCCATTCCCTGAGAGAATCAACTTCCCTTCTCCCTCTCCACTGTAAGTGAGCTCTATCACCTATAAAATGGATGCTAAAGTGAATACTGAAAAAAAAAGAATCTCTCCCTACACCTGTCTATATATGCTTCTCCTATGGTAATTAAACATGAGTGTTGATTTTCAAATTCCTATTTTCTATCTCACTGACCTTAAGATCCTGTTTCTAAAAGCTAGCAGGAAGGGGCTGACTAATAAGGGTTTTTGAAAATTGCAATAAATATTTTGAAAATTAAGTCATTTTGTGTAGGGAAAAAAAATAATGTTTACCAAATACATTCCTCCAATGTATACCCTCTGTCAGTATATTAAATGAAATAGAAATTTGCTGTTTCCTTTTCTATACACACACATACACACACACACACACACACACACACACATCCTCCTCCTCCTCTCCCTAAATACAAATAGTAGAGATAGAATCTCATTAGCTGTGGGCTGTGGTTAAAAGCTTTCAATGATTGAGAAGCTCGGCATTTTGCTGGTTTGGGGTTAAAACCTGGAAAATAGACTTTGTCATTATTTTGGGCTGAGTGGTTTGTGTGAACATTGGCTTCCACTCTTTAAAGTCAGATTGAATCAGGTGTGAGTAGGCAATGGCACAAACTTCATGAGTGTAAAGAACTCAGAGATGCAAGAGCCATGAGACGCACACAAGCTTGCCTACTATGCTCCTCGATTCTGATGACACAACACCTGGCTCTCATCACACTTGTTTGGCTCATAGTGTTTGAATGTTGACTGTTGTCTCAGTGAATGTGTTAAGACATAGGTGTATTTTCTTTCATGATCAAGAGAGAAATACAACCTCCACCTACCCAGAATGCTTCTCATTAAAAACCAGGTTAGACCTTGAAGTAAGCATGGCATTATTCTTTTTCATAAATACAGTTATTTTAAGCCATACCCCATATCTGTCTCTCATATCACCATTATATATTCATCCAAGGTAAAACTCTTCTCTCCACTTGAATAAAGGCAAACATCTTTTAACGTTATAGTTGGCAGCTACCTGATGTTAAAAATCAATTAAAATTATTTACCTGTGCCTAGTAAATTATTAGGTTAGGTCATCTTGGAAGCTAAATTTCTGCAGAGAAGAGTTGGGAGGGGGTGAAACTGGCTGGCACCATTCTTTGCACTGTGTTGTACTCAAGACGAGCAGAAGATTCTAACAGTAGCCACCCAGTGGTGGCTTTTCACTGGCCTGTGCAGAGGCTGTTTCCTTATCTAGTTCCTGGGGGAAGCTTAGTGCCAATGGAGGACGAAGAGCCTGAAAGAACAAATTTATGCTAAAAGCGTTTGGTAATTAATTTTGCTCATTATTTACACATAAAATTTGGATGCTTACACTGTCCCATGAACTGCACCAAATGCTAGGGATGAAGCTAAGAGCCAAACAGAGTAGATCACTGTTCTTATAAAGCTGCCATTCCAGTGGGAGAGACAGAAAATTGACACTGCCTGAACTAAATCTAAAGTCCAATGCAACCACAATTGTCTGTTCCTGTCCCTCCATCTGCCTGTAGGAAAAGAAGGTATCTCCCTGGATTTTTTTTTTGAGACAAGGTCTCACTCTGTTGGCAGGCTGGAGTGCGTGCGATCTCAGCTCCCTGCAACCTTCACCTTCACCTCCTGGGTTCAAGTGATTCTCCTGCCTCAGCCTCCCGAGTAGCTGGGACTACAGATGCTCACCCCTACGCCCAGCTAATTTTTTTTTTTTGTATTTTTATTAGAGATGGGGTTTCACCACGTTGGCCAGGATGGTCTCCATCTCTTGACCTCGTGATCCGCCCTTCTCGGCCTCCCAAAGTGCTGGGATTACAGGCGTGAGCCACCACGACTGGCCAGTTTTTTTTTTTTTTTATGACCAAATAACGTTTTATGTTCTCCTCTTGGGTTTTCTCTCATTCTCATCCTCCCACCCATTTATTATTTTCACACACTTCACTCTTACATAGATTTAAAGACAGTAAAATTTAAAATAAAATTAATAATAATTAGGGATATCTACCTAGGATTTCCAAACAATTTTGCTATTGAAAAATATATATATATGTTCTTTTAAAACACATAAATATATAATTAAACACTGTAATTTATTAGCTAGTCTTCACAGAGGACTTAATATAGTCCAGATATTTTTCTAAGTGTTTTAGATACATTAATTTATTTTATCAGCACATTAGCCTTAAAGAAGGTAGAGTTATCATTCCCATTTTACAGAAAAAATATCTAAAGTTAGATGAAGCTATAATACTTGTTCAATACAACCATTTAATAAGTGATAGAGCCACACTATGATTCTGGCATTTTTGACCCTACCTTGCCTTTCAACATGACCATGTTATTAAAAAGAAATATCTATTACTCAAAGAAAAAGAAAGAAAAACAGTCGAAGGATATAATTTCAGAGTACAGGTAGACCCTAAAGTTATTGATGTAAAGAATTCACTTGTTCTTACTTTTCTCAATTCACTGTAGCCTGGTAAATGCTTTGTCAAAAGCTGTTGCTGGCTCACTACCCTACATTCAGAAGTCAGAGCACCCAGACATTAGCAACATGGAGGTTTTCAATTCCTGTCTCAGGCAACAGCTCCCCACATTGTAGATCAAGAGCATAACTGTGTTAGTCTTCGTTGGAATAACACTCATAATCCATTTCGCACTTTTAAACACCTATAAAAATACCTGAATTTAATCCCCATTTACATTTTAATTTTAATAGCACATTGCAGGGAAGGGGGGGCTGAAACTACCACCCCCCAAAGCTTCATAAGAAGTCACAAATTTGGAAAATGACCCTCATATGAGAAAGGGTTCTTCACACAGTCCAAGGGCTTTAGGGGGCTGAGAGTCCTCTGAAATGAATCACAAAATGTTTCCAGTTTCTGCAATGGCCCCACCACCATCCAGGAAGAAGATTTATAGCATTGAAATGATTTTAATACTATATTCTATAAGAGCTTAAAAACCACAGCTCCTGGCTCCGTCGCTAAGTTACTAATTGGGACAAGTCATTTGTTCACTCTGTACACTCGGTTTTCCCAGATATCAAATTGGAATAACATGGTTCCTGCCTGACATTCTTTCAAAAGGATAAAAATTAAATGAAGGTTAATAATCATAAGCTGTTATTATTTCTCCATTCCCCATGTCCCCTCTGAGAGAGCTTGTGAAATTTAGCCTTCGGTTTGATGAGGGGACTTCTGGGTATACTTCATTTGCTCTATTTCCTTTAGAGACTTTATTTCAATATTTTACCTATACCCCCTCTGTAGATATTTTAGCATTCTGTACTTACTGTTTTCTGAAAATTGTTACTTCTGTTTGCTCCCAAAAGCCAATAAAAATTTTAAATTGGGAATAAGCATAAATAGGATATATTCCACTTCCACCCAACAACATGTAGATGGGATTTGCCATGAACATGCAAATACTCAAATGACAAATAGTAACTTCCAAGAAGATTAAAATACCCTAATAAGCATTATCTTAAATCAGAGCAGCATTTGTGTAGAAATGTGCAACACTGAGTGGCTGCGAATGATCTATCTTCTAATATTATTATTATTAATAATCTAGAAAAATAAATTTGAAATGATGTGCTTTTATTCTTTTCTACCCCACTTTAAAAAGTAACTACAAAAAAATATCTTCTGGAACCCAGCAAACCCTGAGTATATTGTGTCATTCTCATTCACTTCCAGCTTCAACTATGTGTCTATGAGAAACTGCACCTACACGAAGCACAATTTTTAAATAGTACTTCAAGAGTTTTTGAAAAGCACCATTAAAATTGCATCATTTTCATTGTGATGAAAACATTTTAAAACCTCTTTTCTAATTATTGTGATATATACAATACATTATTGTAAACTCCAGTTATTCTACTATGCAATAGACCACCAGAACTTATTCCTCCTCTCTAACTGTAGCTTTGTACCAGTTGACCAGTCTCTCACCATACCCTCATCTCCATCCTCTGGTAAACAAGCACTTTTCTACTCTCTACTTCTTTGAGAACAAAGAAATGAATGTTTAAGGTAATGGATATGCTAATTTCCCTGATTTGAGCATTACACAATTTATACAAGTATCCAAACATCACATTGGTGCCTCATAAATACTTACAATTATTATGTCAATCATAAATAAGTTTTTAAATTGCGTTATTTCCAGGGCAACTGAAGTTCAAGTAATGGTGTGTTTCAATGTTAAAGCTTACCCTTATAGAGCCTGATTTCATCCTCTCTATCTGTCCCCACAAGAATGACCAACAATTAAGACTGTCATCTTCAGCAAATGAAAAGATGTGATGCCCATTTAAATTTCAATTTCAAATAAACAGCAAATGTTTTTGGTGTAAGTATGTACTATCTATTGCATGAAACATGGTTATACTAAAAATTGCATGTAGTTTATATGAAATTCACATTTTCCTGCAAGCCTTTTTTTTTATCTGGCAACTTTACCAATAATGTGTTAAACATCAGGGATCTGTGTTGTAACATTTCACCATAAGTAGATAAAACTAAACCATTAAGGACAGAAACAAAACTATACTCAAATTCATGCACAATTAGGAGTATATATAACATTAAAGGAAGATGTTTTCCTATTGACTTTTTGAACATTAAACAAAACTATGCTCTTACAGCAAAGCGGGAGAAGCCGCATTATGCATAAGCATCTCATCTTCCAAAATCTGTTTGGAAAAGTCAGCTCTCTGTACCACACTTTCCGCAACTATTCAGCCATTAGTAATACTATTCATAACCTTGAACAGATTTAATAACACAAAATGAAAGAAGCCTAAACAAATTAAATGGATCTCTTCTTTCACTGTACAATAGATTTTAGTTTTGCCCCAAGGAGATCATATACTTCATTATTATTAAAAATGTCAGCAATATTTTACCTGCGAAGAGCACAAATTTTTTCCCCTACTTTTCCATATTACTCCAAACCCCTTATTGCATACTTTATGAGTCACAGGAGGTCTTAAATGCTGCTTTTCAATGTTACAAACTCTGAAACCCAAGGTGGCATTTTGCTAAATGGATTTTTACACATGGAGCATTGTTAAGCATTTACAAAAATAATAATAATAAAATAATAATAAAGCACAATAAAAAAAATTCTTTTTTTTTTTTTGAGATGGAGTCTCGCTCTGTTGCCCTGGCTGGAGTGCAGTGGTGCGATCTCAGCTCACTGCAAGCTCCGCCTCCTGGGTTCACACCATTCTCCCGCCTCAGCCTCCTGAGCAGCTGGGATTACAGGCACCTGCCACCACGCCCAGCTAATTTTTTGTATTTCTTTTTAGTAGCGACGGGGTTTCACCACGTTAGCCAGGATTGTCTCGATCTCCTGACCTCATGATCCGCCCACCTCTGCCTCCCAAAGTACAGGCGTTAGCCACCGCGCCCAGCCAAAAAACATTCTTAGGATGATTTTTCTCTTTGTGTAACCCTCAGAAGTAGACATAAGAGGCCTTTATCAGGGAAGCAAGCCAAGTTCCTACTCCTATTAACTTCACGCTCTTTCCTTTCCCCTTGTGTGGCATAGCCTGCAAGCTACCTATCATCCTCTCTCCTTTATCTCTCACCCATCCCCCAATTCTGAGAAACTTATTAATCATTATAATATAGAGAAAAATTATGAGGTGTGAGCTGTGGTGAGTGTCTTGATGCTCCCTGCTTCCCCCTTTGCCTTGTCCACTGTGGTACTGGAGTGTTAATCAATTTTCCCTGTATCATCAGTGTATTAAAGCTGCGGGAAGAGAAAAAAAAATGGTTCCTCTTGAATTTGGGAAGAATTGAGGGTCTGTTTTGAGAAAATAGACTAAAATAGTTGTGGGGAATAGTTGAATTTGGTAACTGGGGGGTTTGGGAATTATTTACAAAGCTAGATTTTGTGTAATACATTTTCAGAATGATTTGATAGGATGATTTTGATAATTACTGTGATAAAGTATTTCAAGTGTGATGCAAAGGACCCGGCACGTGGAAATTACACAGTAAATACTACGGATTATTAAGGGCCAGGTCTGTTCCTCTTGTATGTGAAGCATTATAAACCCTGCAAGGGGGGTGAGGGGTTGAGATACAAGTACCTTTTTTGTTTGTTTGTTTTTGTTTTGGAGACAGAGTTTTGCTCTTGTTGCCCAGGCTGGAGTGCAGTGGTGCGATCTCATTTACTGCAACCTCTGCCTCCCAGGTTCAAGCGATTCTCCTGCCTCAGCCTCCCAAGTAGCTGAGATTACAGGGAGATGAGACTGGAAAAGGTGTTCTTCCCTGAAAATTTACTGTGGATGTTAAGGTCGCGTAGAGATGTAAGTTCTTTATGAGACCTTAACGTCAACAGTACAATAGTAAATTTCCAGGGAAGAGCATCTTTTCCAGTCTCATGGGGTCCATAATAATGTCAAAGAATAAAAAATGGTGGCCTGGATGACACTTTGTGCAGTAAAAGGGAATGTGAGTTTGAGGGGAATTTCACCACTTTCTGAATGGTGTATCTTGAGACAGCCTTGCTCAAAAGGGTGCTTCATCATAGGTGGAGCCAGTAATCTTGGCCTTTCCAGAACAATTTTGGGTTTGGTCTTCCATAAACCAAAGGAGATCCACAACCCAAGGGAAATAGAGGCATCACTATGTGTGTCAGGCTTGTTGACCTGCAGGGTCATGAGCAGTGAGAGCCACAACTCAATCCCTTGAGTTTCTGTATCTTCTCTTTCCCTCACCCTCAGGACCGCATCCCAGCAATGCCATAGCCAAAGAAAGTTCAGTCTCTCTGCTGAAGAAAAGCCACTGTATTTATGTAGATGCATCAGCCAGCTTCAGACCTTAATAAAAATGATATGAGATTATTTTTCTTTTTACACCCCACCCTCACTCATTCCCTGAACATCTTTGTTCCCCTGGAGCCACCTTCTAGGATTCTTGAATCTTTTCCCATCATGTTGCCTGGGATCTAGCACTGGAGAGCACCACTGGGTCTCCTCCCTTCTCATCTCTGCACTTTGTTTTTCCTCTTCCCTAGTCACTATCTAACAATCATATGTCCTATTCCTTTTGACCCACAACCAAGAGAGTGTTGTCTCAAATTCTGAAATAGAAGGTGATTTTATGTAGCACATGTATATAATAACAAGAATTAAAGAGACTATTTATTGGATATGACATTTCTGTCTTATACAGTCCTAGTGCTTTATAATTCACTCAACAACTCCATGAGTTGATACTGATTTTATAATGATTTCATAGATAGTAAAAACTGAGGCTTGCAGGGATCAAACAATATACCCAACATTAATAGTTAAGAAGGTAGTGGATGATTTAAACCTAGGGTTCTTGAGTCCAAAGCATGATCTGTTAGCTACTAAGCTAGCACATCTTCATCCCAGGTGCCCTTTGAATTGCTTTGACATTTTAAAAGAAATTAACATGAGGCTATGACTCCCTTCCCTTAAGTTCAACCACTCAGAACATCTGGATAAATTTGGGTTATGATTAGAGGTTAGCAAATCAACATGATTTCTTAAACTAAATGTAGTCCTAATTTAAGCACACTAACAGTATGGAGAAGTAAGACCCTAGAAAACTGACTCTCCCACATGTAACTATAAACTCTGGGCAAAATACAACAGCCAATTACCTGAGAGCTCTGAAGAATGAAAAACAGCAGGAATATTTTGGAGAGGAGTCAACACATGGAAGAAAAAGCAAAAAAGGCAAGGACTGAATGAGTTTCCCGTTTATGTGATTTTGCTATGAGGATATCTGTGGTTGTGAGATGGTATAGACGTACTAAACCTCCTGCTAAAGATCTTCTTTTTGACCAGAAGAAACAAAGTAAGCTGCCTTATGAAACTGAGGCCACTGGAAAAAGGGGTTTATCCTAGAAAAGAGAATATCAGGAAATATAAAACCCAAATACATTGTATAAACTCTGCTAAAATTGTTGACTGTCCATTAAGTTATTCTTGCACAATGTAGACTAAAAGTAATCTGAACTAGAATCTAGAATCTAGGCTACTATCCACTACCCACTCTAACCAAAAGAGTTTTCAGTTTGCATTTAATTTAGCTAATTGTTTGCTGAAAACAAATATGAACAATATTTAAAGACATGTAACAGAATCCAGAGTCCCTAAAACATATTATTTACAGTATGCAATATATGATATATAATTACTCAACATACAAAAAGCAGGAAAAATGGCACCTATTTTCAAGAGAAAAGATAATTTTTAAAAAGTCCAATCCTGAGATATTCCAGTGGTTGAGATAAGCAGCAAGGACTTTAAAACAGCCATTAAAACTATGGTAAACATAGAAAAGTAAAATATTCTCATAATGAGTGAAAAACCAGGAAGTCTCCACATGGAAGTTAAATATATTAAAAAGGAAGAAATGTAATATAGAATTTATAAGTACAATATCTGAAACAAAAATCTATTTGAAGCACTTAGGAAAGGGTCCGTGAACTTGAAAATATATTAACACAAAATATCCAATCTGAAGCAAAGAAAGAAATATTTTAAAAATTAACAAAGACTCAGAGAAGTGTTAGACAATATCAAAAGTTGTTAACATACTTATTACCAGAATCACTGAAGGAGAGGAGAGTAAAAGTGGAGAGAAAGAATACATTAAGAGGTAACAGCTTAGAACTATCCATGTTTTATGAAGGGCATAAATTTACAGATTCAACAAGCTCAGAAAACTTCAAACAGGATAAATATGAAGAAAATTACATTTAGAAAAAGTACATCCAATATGTTGATAACCAAAAAATGAAAAATTCTTGAAGACAGTTAGAAATAAAAGATAATATATAAGGAGAAAAGCAAATCAGAAACCATGGAAATCAGAAGATACTAGAAGCACATCTTCAATGCACTGAAAAAGAAAATGTGAGAGATTGACGCAGAATTCCATATTCAGTTAAAATTGCCTTCAAAGAATGGAGGCAAAATATTCTCTTAGATAAAAGAAATAAGGAAAAATTTTTTTCCAGTAGATCTGCACTTCAAGAAATGTTAAAGGAATCCTTCAAGCTAAAGAAAAATGATATTACAGTGGCACAAAGAGCTTCAGGAAAAAAATTAAGAATACTTAAAATTGTATCTATTTTAATATGAGATTTTCCTCTTAGTTTCTTTAAATATCTCCTTTTGAGAAGTGTTTGTTCACATTCTTTGCCCACTTTTTGATGGGGTTGCTTTTTCCTTGTAAATTTGTTTAAGTTCTTTGTAGATTCTGGATATTAGCCCTTTGTCAGATGGGTAGATTCTAAAACTTTTCTCCAATTCTGTAGGTTGCCTGTTCACTCTGATGGTAGTTTCTTTTGCTGTGCAGAAGCTCTTTAGTTTAATTAGATCCCATTTGTCAATTTTGGCTTTTGTTGCCATTGCTTTTGGTGTTTTAGTCATGAAGTCCTTGCCCATGCCTATGGCCTGAATGGTATTGCTTAGGTTTTCTTCTAGGGTTTTTATGGTTTTAGGTCTAACATTTAAGTCTTTAATCCATCTTGAATTAACTTTTGTGTAAGTGGTAAGGAAGGGATCCAGTTTCAGCTTTCTACATATGGCTAGCCAGTTTTCCCAGCACCATTTATTAAATAGGAAATCCTTTCCCCATTTATTGTTTTTGTCAGGTTTGTCAAAGATCAGATGGTCATAGATTTCTGGTGTTATTTTTGAGGCCTCTGTTCTGTTCCATTGGTCTATATGTCTGTTTTAGTACCAGTACCATGCTGCTTTGGTTACTGAAGTCTTGTAGTATAGTTTGAAGTCAGGTACCATGATGCCTCCAGCTTTCTTCTTCTTGTTTAGGATTGTCTTGGTAATGCGGGTTCTTTTTTGGTTCCATATGAACTTTAAAGTAGTTTTATCCAATTCTGTGAAGAAAGTCATTGGAAGCTTGATGGGGATGGCATTGAATCTATAAATTACTTTCGGCAGTATGGCCATTTTCACAATATTGATTCTTCCTATCCATGAACATGGAATGTTCTTCCATTTGTTTGTGTCCTCTTTTATTTCGTCGAGCAGTGGTTTGTAGCTCTCCTTGAAGATGTCCTTCACATCACTTGAAAGTTGGATTCCTAGGTATTTTATTATCTTTGTAGCAATTGTGAATGGCAGTTCACTCATGATTTGGCTCTCTGCTTGTCTGTTATCAGTTTAGAGGAAAGCTTGTGATTTTTGCACATTGATTTTGTATCTTGAGACCTTGCTGAAGTTGCTTATCAACTTAAGGAGATTTTGGACTGAGACGATGGGGTTTTCTAAATATACAATCATATCATCTGCAAACAGGGACAATTTGACTTCCTCTTTTCCTAACTGAATACCCTTTATTTCTTTCTCTTGCCTGATTGCCCTGGCCAGAACTTCCAACACTACGTTACATAGGAGTGGTGAGAGAGGGCATCCTTGTCTTGTGCCGGTTTTCAAAGGGAATGCTTCCAGCTTTTGCCCATTCAGTATGATATTGGCTGTGGTTTTGTCATAAACAGCTCTTCTTATTTTGAGAGACATTCCATCAATACCTAGTTTATTGAGAGTTTTTAGCATGAAGGGCTGTTGAATTTTGTTGAAGGCCTTTTCTGCATCTATTGAGGTAATCATGTGGTTTTGGCATTGGTTCTGTATATGTGATGGATTATGTTTATTGATTTACATATGCTGAACCAGCCTTGCATCCCAGAGATGAAGCTGACTGGATTGTGGTGGATAAGCTTTTTGATGTGCTGCTGGATTCGGTTTGCCAGTATTTTATTGAGGATTTTCACATCAACATTCATCAGGGATATTGGTCTAAAATTCTCTTTTTTTGTTGTGTCTCTGCCAGGCTTTGGTATCAGGATGATACTGGCCTCATCAAATGAGTTAGGGAGGATTCCCTCTTTTTTTATTGGTTGGAATAGTTTCAGAAGGAATGGTACCAGCTCGCTGTTTGTCTGATGGGCTTCCCTTTGTGGGTAACCCAACCTTTCTCTCTGGCTGCCCTTAACATTTTTTCCTTCATTTCAACCTTGCTAAATCTGACAATTATGTGTCTTGGGGTTGCTCTTCTCAAGGAATATCTTTGTGGTGTTCTCTCTATTTCCTGAATTTGAAAGTTGGCCTGCCTTGCTAGGTTGGTGAAGTTCTCCTGGATAATACCCTGAAGAGTGTTTTCCAGCTTGGTTCCATTCTCCCCGTCACTTTCAGATACACCAATCAAACGTAGATTTGGTCTTTTCACATAGTCCTATATTTCTTGGAGGCTTTGTTCATTTCTTTTTACTCTTTTTTCTCTAATCTTGACTTCTCACTTTATTTCATGAACTTGATCTTCAATCACTGATCTCCTTTCTTCCACTTGATCGAATCAGCTATTGAAGCTTGTGCATGCATCACAAAGTTCTGGTGCCACGGTTTTCAGCTCCATCAGGTGTTTTAAGGTCTTCTCTATACTGTTTATTCAATTAGCCATCCATCTAATCTTTTTTCAAGGATTTTAGCTTCCTTGTGATGGGTTAGAACATGTTCCTTTAGCTCGCAGAAGTTTGTTGTCACCGACCTTCTGAAGCCTACTTCTGTCAACTTGTCAAAGTCATTCTGCATCCAGCTTTGTTCTGATGCTGGCAATGAGCTGAGATCCTGTGGAGGTGAAGAGCTGCTCTGGTTTTTAGAATTTTCAGCTCTTCTACTCTGGTTTTTCCCCATCTTTGTGATTTTATCTACCTTTGGTCTTTGATGATGGTGACCTACAGATGGGGTTTTGGTGTGGATGTCCTTTTTGTTCATGTTGATGCCATTCCTTTCTGTTTGTTAGTTTTCCTTCTAACAGTCAGGTCCCTCAGCTGCAGGTCTGTTGGAGTTTGCTGGAGGTCTGCTCCAGACCCTGTTTTCCTGGGTATCACCAGTGAAGGCTGCAGCACAGCAAATATTGCAGAACAGCAAATATTGCTGCCTGATCCTTCTTCTGGAAGCTTCGTTCCAGAGGGGCACCCACCTGTATGAGGTGTCTGTCAGCCCCTACTGGGAGGTAGGGGGCTGACTCCCAGTCAGGCTACATGTGGGTCAGGGGCCCACTTGAGGAGGCAGTCTGTTTGTTCTCAGAGCTCAACCACCAGGCTGGGAGAACCACTGCTCTCCCAGCAGTTCAGAGCTGTCAGACAGGGACATTTAAGTCTGCAGAAGTTTTTGTTGCCTTTTGTTCAGCTATGCCCTTCCCACAGAGGTGGAGTCTATAGAGGCAGTAGGCCCTGAGCTGCGCTGGGTTCTGCCCAGTTCAAGTTTCCTGGCCATTTTATTTACTTACTTAAGCCTCAGAAATGGCAGATGCCCCTCCCCCTACCAGACTGCAGCCTCACAGGTTGATCTCAGACTGCTGCACTAGCAGTGAGCAGGGTTCCGTGAGCATGGGACCCGCCAAGCCAGGCACAGGAGAGAATCTCCTGGTCTGCCGGTTGCTAAGACCATAGGAAAAGCACAGTATTTGGGCAGGAGTGTCCCATTTTTCCAGGTACAGTCTGTCACGGCTTCCCTTGGCTAGGAAAGGGAAATCCCCCGGCCCCTTGTGCTTCCTGGGTGAGGCGATGCCCTGCCCTGCTTCGGCTTGCCCTCTGTGGGCTGCACCCACTGTCCAACCAGTCCCAGTGAAATGAACCAGGCACCTCAGTTGGAAATGCAGAAATCACTCATCTTCTGCATCAATCACGCTGGAAGCTACAGACTGGAGCTGTTCCTATTTGCCCATCTTGGGATGGACCCTCAACAGTGGTAGAATTTCAAGTGAGTTTTTAGACTCTTTCTTATATTTCTATGCATTTCTTTTCTATTTCTATATCTCTTATATTTCTATGCATTTTTACTCAAATTATTCTAGGCGTCATAAGATAATCATATAAACATAAACAACAAACAGCCTGTTTTTCATAGTGAGAAAGAAAATGTACTAGTGGAGGAGAATAAACTTCAGGTGTTTGATTCTTAGATGCCCAGGTATGCTTCCATCCTCTCAAATCCCAAAAGAGATAACATTTTTCTGATAGGATAGTAATCTGCGAGGCTATTATTTACAATAGAAAAACACTGAAACCAGTATTAGGTACTCTGAGCCTATTCTTTTACCTCAAGGAAGTACTTAGTTTTTTGTCCATTGTTTCTCAGAGGGGAGAGATAATCTGGACTCTTACAAATCTTTCAGAAATAAAATTCATCAAGTTAATGGGAGAGATAAGTTGCTGAATAAACATGTAAAAATAAGAAATAAAAACAAGAAATCTTTGACCATTTAACAACAGTTTATGCAAATACATTTTCTTCATTTTTCACTCATTATTTATTTATTCACTTAATAAACATATTTTATTACTGCCTCTATACCAGACACCAAGGCTCCTTTCATCAGTAATCTCAGAGTCTTGTGGAAACATCAAGAAAATTCCGGATTACAAAATCGTTTGGTATAGAGCAACAAGTAAGATACAAAGGAAGAGTAGTTAACTTATTTGAAGGAGGAGAGTGAGAAAGAAAAGGAAAAGAGAATAGTTGTGGAGAAGCATTTCCAAAAGAAGGTGACATGTGACCTGTCTTGAAGTCTCAGTATGGATTTGCTGGATAAAGAAGTGACTTTCCAGGCAGAGGGGACAAGACATGCAAGGGCACAGAGTTTGGTGAAACATGCTTTGAGAAAGCATAAGTGGCTCAATATGGTGACAGCAGAAATGATACATGAGAGTGACACAGACAATATGAAGCCAGAAAGCACCTAGGGCTGGAGAATGATGAGTGTCGTATGCCCACCTAGGAGTTTAAGCTCTATCCTGTGAGCCTCAAAAATCACTCCTAGATGATTGTTACAAGGAAGACGCATAATTACATGTGAATTTTAGCAAAGATGTGGAAGATAGATTGGAAATGGGCAAGTCTGGAAGCAGAGAGACCAGCTAGCAAGCTGTTAATCCTCACTAGAGAAATAGAAGGTGGGAACGTAGGCAGTAGGTGGAGGATAGAGTGTGTGATCACAGAGGGAGCATCACAAGAATCTAAGTGATATGACTTGATGAACAATCAGATGCAGGAGTTGAGAAAAGGAGTAGGACTGGAAAGAAAGCCTCTGGCACGGACGGCTAAGGAGAAAGTGTTGTCATTCTCTGAAATGACAAATACAGAAGAAGAAGCAATTTTCAGAGAGAAGAGGAGTTCCATGGGCCATGTTGAGCCAGGGGAGCCCTTCAGGAGCTTCCCTGGAGGTGAGCAGTGGCAGTGAGAAATGCCACGTAGTTTTCACTTAGAACCCAAACCAGCCATTGCTCCCTGAAAAGCAATGCCATATTCAAAGCAGGTCAAATCAGGAATGAGGAATAAGAGGTGTCTTCCAGGTAAAGTGAAATGAGAAAGGGTCATAGAAAGACAAATTAGGAGGAGAAGAATGGGGCGGGGGTAATGGGTGACAAATGAAGCAATTACCTTTTCACTAGCCTCTGTCTGAACCATCAGATGTGAAATTTTCAAAGAGTTATTTGTAAGTGCTCTGTTCTTTGGAGGCAGAATGAGTTATTAATCTTTTCTGACTGGAATCTGATTTTTTCTAGAATTCTTCATTTCAGACTAACAGGATTTTACAAAAGAGTGTAATGAGTCTGGGGTGACTGTTTTAATGCTATGTAGGTCATTCCTTTAGTAACTGAAGTCCCACTCCTGCCCCTCCATCTCTACCTGTTTCCCAGAGCAGAGTCTAGGTTTTAGGCCCCTGCAAATGTCCATAAAGGCTTCCTGGGCAAACAATGTTGTTAAGGACTGAATGTCTGTGTCCCTGCAACATTAATATGTTGGAGCCCTAATTCTGACTGTGATGGTTATTTGGAGATAGGGCTTTTGGGATATGATCAGGATTAGATGAAATTATAAACATGGGCCCTCCGGATGGAATTAGTGCCCTTATAAGAAGAGACACCAGAGGGTTTTCTCTTTCTCTCTCCCAACACTCTCACAAAGAAAAGTTCATGGCATCTCACAGAGAGATAGCAGTTGCCTACAAGCTGAGCAGAGAGGCCTTAGAATGAAACCTTCTTTGCTGGTACCTTGATCTTGGACTTCCCAGTCTCTAGAATTGTGATAAATAAATTCCTGTTGTTTATGCCTCCCAGTTTGTGGGATTCTGCTATGGCAGTCTAACCAGATTAAGACAAGTGGGCACCACAAACACCAGGAATGCCACACAGAGGATTTATGTCTCAATCAGAAGCATGTCTGTGATCAACCCCAATATAAAACCCCAACACAAAATTCAGGTGACTTAATCAAATGTCAACCCCAATATAAAAATTCAGGTGCCTTAATCAAATGTCTCTATACTTTCTTCCCTCCTGCCTTTAATTTTTTCCTGGGTTAAGTATTGGTAGGAAAGCCAGATGACAGGCCAGAGGACAAATATACTTTCAGGAAAAAAACAGGCCCTCAGGAGAAATCAGCTGTTCTTAAGGCCAAAGAAAATGATGGAAAAAAGCCGCATCATACAAAATGTTGGGCAGAACAGAAAAGAGTTTAATCGCCAGTCCTTAGCCACAGCTGGGAGCTATCAAACACCTTGTAGACTTTCCAAAAAGACTGTAGGGCATCCATAGCACCTAGGTACGTATGTCACCACCAAATAGTGTGTGACAAAATTTCAAGCTTAAAAAATGTGGCACGTATACACCATGAACTATGCAGCCATAAAAAAGAATGAGTTCATGTCCTCTGCAGGGACATGGATGAAGCTGGAAACCATCATTCTCAGCAAACTAACACAGGAACAGAAAACCAAACACCACATGTTCTCACTCATAAGTGGGAGTTGAACAATGAGAACACATGAACATAGAGAAGGAAACAACACACACTAGGGCTTGTCAGGGCATAGAGGGCAAAAGGGAGAGAGAGCATTAGGACAAATACCTAATCCATGCAGGGCTTAACACCTAGATGATGGGTTGATTGGTACAGAAAACCACCATGTCATATGTATACCTATGTAAAAAACCTGCACATTCTGCACATGTATCCCAGAACTTAAAGTAAAATAAAAATAACAAAAGTAAAAAATTTAAAAAAATCAAGCTTAAGGTAGAAGATTTTTCTGACATAAACAAACTCCCATTTGTGAGATCTACGTTTGTCCTGTTGACTGCCTACCCTGTCAAGGTGATGAACACTGAGCTATGCAGTGGGCTGTGAAATGACTGAAAGGGGTAACAAATATAAAGATATAACTCATGGAACCACAAAACGTATTTATTTTTCTTTTAATACTTTATTTTATAAAGGATTGTCATCTTTATCACACACACTCTGGGCTGCAGTTTGATTTTAGCCTTCTTCCAACCAGTGAAAGAGGGACACATAGTGGGTGACATAAGCCACCAGGTGTGGACCATGGTTTCTCCTCTCATTGCATTTAAATGCAAACAGCTGTGTTGTGGTCAGCAGTCAAGTGAAAAGAATGCCTTCAAGATATCTTGATGACACATACCAGTGTAGAATCATAAGGAAAGACAGGTGTGGGAGTACACAGCAATGAGCTCACCAAAGTAATATGAAAATAAGATGTTTGAAGCTATTGAGTCTGAATAATCACAAGTGTCTATCAAGAATGCAAGCGTTTATGCAATGTTAGCTATAAACCAGGGCCCTAAAACAGCATCTCTGACTACAGAAAAGGGTAGCCACACGACAATATGGAAAGAATATGTGAACACCCACCTGCAAAGTCACACACTTCCATATCTCAACAGCATCATCCTCAAACACAAAGACTGGTACCAAACGTCTCATGAATGTGTGTCACAGCAAGAATCCCATGACTTGCTCAAGTCTGGAGTAGAGAAAACTAAAAGCAAATGCACTCATCACAGTACAATCAATCAAAGCCATTCATTTGATATTGGTGACATAGTCTGCATTAATTAAATCTTAAGTGTGCAATGATGCTAAGTTTAAAAAAGATGATTTTCTCCATCAGTATTTTAGCTTCATACATTTTATCATTTCACAACAGGAGTCCACTTAGGGTATGTTTCTATAATTAATCCAAATCAAAAATGGATTAATTAACTTTCACAACATAATTCAGAATGGAATCTAATTAATTCATTTAATAAATGATTATTTCCCTCAATTTATTAATTTACTGAATGTCGTTTCCTCCTATAGATGTTGACCAGAGTTTCATCTTTATAAGATTTTGTAAGCACCAGGCTAGCATAGAACAAGATAGTCTGATCTTAAATCAAATTTTCTTTAAAAGAGTCAAATTATCCAGCAACTAGAAAATATTTTTGTAAAGTAAATCAGATAGAGATGCCTGGATCTATTCTATATTTTTATTAAGTAGCATTATTAGTGTTTCAGGCAATCAATATACCCAGGTATAGCTGATGCCTCTCTTTGTATATGGCAAAAGTAAAGACTCCTGTCTCATTGCTGGCTGGATCTCCTTCAGTGTACTCAGTGCATTCTCCATCTCTTACATAATCTGACCTCCACTCTTTCTGGAAATGCATTTCTTTTTAGAGACAAGAGAAAAGGAAATCCTTGTTGAGTCTAAATGCATTGAGAGAGACTCCTGGAAAGATAAAAGTCCTCCAGGTTACCTTTAAGACTTTCATTTCTCCTGCCACCTGCTTGCTTTCTCTCTCTTTCTTTTCTTTTCTTCCTTTCTTTTCTTTTCTTTTCTTTTCTTTTCTTTTCTTTTCTTTCGATGAGGCTTGCTGTATCACCCAGGCTGGAGTGCAATGACATGATCTCAGCTCACTGCAAATTCCACCTCCCGGGTTCAAGCGATTCTCCTGCCTCAGCCTCCTGAGTAGCTGGGATTACAGGCATCTATCAACACATCCAGCTAATTTTTGTATTTTCAGTAGAGACGGCATTTCATAATGTTGGTCAGGCTGCTCTTGAACTCCTGACCTCAGGTGATCCATCCGCCTCGGCCTCCCAAAGTGCTGGGATTACAGGCATGAGCCACAGTGCCTAGCCCACCTGCTTTAACACTAGCTTCTAGTTTAGAAAGAAATACTTTCAAATAAAAAATAAATCTCAGCACAGACCACAAAAAATTTACCAAAAATCACAATCTGGAGAAAAAGTCAATGAAATGCACTGTCAGGAATCTAAGCTAAATGAAATAAATTATTTATCACATATCCTGCCAACATTCAGGCCTTGGTAGCCAAGGTGAATAATTGAATTAAACATCCAGGGCGATGTGAGAAAGGGGAGAGGCTTAGGAGTGGGGAGAGGCATCAACAACAGGAAAGTACCAACAGTTGTCTTTTACCAGGTGCTTAGCAAATGCCTAGCATTTGGATATATTGTTTGGATATATTGTTCCATTTAATCCCTAAAACAAGCATATGGCAGGTTCACTAATATTATTCCCTTTTGAGTAAATTGAGGCTTAGAGAGGCTAAGAATCTCAATGAGGTGAAAAATAAGTCACAGAGACTAAATTCAAATGTAATCAGTGTGACTAGTCCTCATTTTCAAACCATGCTTACTTGAGGAATTGGGTGTGGTGTGAAGGAGAGACCCAGATAACCACTCAAACAGGGAGAGGACTTCTCCCTGGCAGTGGGCTCAGTGGCCATATGCCCTGGAGGGAGCAGGAGACAGGAGTGGTGGTGCTGTCCCCTTCCCCACAGTAGGAGCACCAAGCATGCCACTCTGAGTGTTGTCTCAGTACTCAAGGTTTTAGTTTTTCATACAACACGGTCCCTAAAATCAAGCCAACAACCAAACAAAAGAAATGATCATTCACTCCAGCATAGCTGGAGTGATCAGAGAAGGCATGTTGGTACCCACTGTGCTATCCTCCTAAAATTGCTTCCCCCAAAGCAATTTCAACCCTTCTATCATGCACCTCTTGGAGAATTTAACATCTCAGTGAGAGGCAGCGCCTCCCTGCTTCTAGTCCCACACACTGTCTTCTATGTTGGAAGCCACAGGCACATCACAGGTGCTGTCTCAGCTTGTGTTTCCCAGAAACAGTCCCTGAGAAGAGAATTCTAGTAAATATAGCTTGTTTGGGAGATAGTTCCAGACAAAGATGGAGGGAGAGAAAAATGGAACAAGGAAGGGAAGGCTGGTAAAATATTCCTCAAGAGTTATCCCCTAGAAAAGATGCAGGAGCTTAAGAGGCCACTTGGACACTAACACTTTCATTGGTTGTTGCATAGAGGGGTTCCTTACTGCCCAGCCTACATAGGCAGCAAGAAGCAGAGATGCACATGTCAGTGGTTGGAAGCCCAGAGAGCTTCCACCCCAGTGGTAAGATGAGAGGTTTCAGAAAGCCATGGACAGGGCCTGCCTCAAGTGACTCTTTTTTTCCAATCATATATACTACAGTATTGATGATAAGTTTATAATAACTTGATATTATTACATTGATAATAACTTCAAGAAATCAAGGTCTTGAGAACTATTTAATCAATTTTAAAAGATAATTTTTTTTTTTTTGAGATGGAGTCTCACTCTGTCACCCAGGCTGGAGTGCAGTTGCGCGTTCTCGGCTCGCTGCAACCTCTGCCTCTCGGGTTCAAGCGATTCTCCTGCCTCAGCCTCCTGAGTAGCTGGGACTACAGGCGCATGCCACCATACCCAGCTAATTTTTTGTATTTTTAGTAGAGACGGGGTTTCACTGTGTTACCCAGGATGGTCTCGATCTCCTGATCTCATGATCCACCCGCCTCAGCCTCCCAAAGTGCTGGGATTACAGGCGTGAGCCACCATGCCTGGCAAAATTTTTTCTTTACATCAATAGAATTTTTTCTCCAAAACCATTCTCATTGTTTTTCTAATAAGTTTTTGTTTGTTACGTTTATAAAGTCTTGTGAGTACATAATAGGTATATATATATTTACGGGGTACATGAGATGTTTTGATACAGGCATGCAATGTCCACCTTATGGACCATGGGGTATCCATCCCATCAAGCATTTATCCTTTAAGTTACAAACAATCCAATTACACTCTTTAAGTTATTTTAAAATGTACAGTTGAGTTATTATTGACTATAATCATCCTATTGTGCTATCAAACAGTAGGTCATATTTATTCTTTCTATTTTTTGTACCCATTAATGATTCCAATCTCCAACCCCTTTCGAGGCCCCACTACCCTTTCCAGACTCTGGTAACCATGACATTCTACCCTCCGTGTCCATGAGTTCAATTATTCTGATTTTTAGATCCCACAAATAAATGAGAATATGTGATATTTCTCTTCCGGTGCTTGGCTCTGAATGACCCAAAATACTTCTTTGTATTTGGTTGCAGTCAGTATGTCTATTTGCAGAAAGGCAAGTAGATGAATAGATTTCCATACAGGAGAGAGATAAAAATAGATGCCAAGACAGAGGGGGGGCAATAGGGAACAGGTTGAGAGGCAAGACACAGATATAGACACACACAGATAGTGATACGTTTCCTCCCATTTTTCAAATTTACTCTGTTCTCTAACTTGGTATAGTAGAGATGGCAAGATCTTTAGAAAAACAACTGAGTTTGAATACATTCTTGGGCAAATACTAATTGAAGATAACTTACCAAACTTCTTTGAGCCTCTCACTATTTATGTAGGCAAGACAATAATAGCCATCTCAAAGAGTTATTGTGAGAATAAATATAAAACGCCTGAAACATTGGAGCTACCCATTTCAATTCATCAAACCTGCATGGCATGCACCAAGGCACAAGTTCTACTGCAGCTCTCCCTCAGTACATTTTCGTAGTGGTAGTGGTGATGCTGATGACGACAATGTACTTCTCACTAAAGTGTACTAGATGTGACATCACTTTCACACCATTTGTCTTCACTTCCAGGTCTTGTATGGCCAATCTTCTCTCTGGCTTTTCAGGGGTACTTTTGTTTTACTGCTAACATAACAATATTATGATGAGAAACAGAACTTGCTGAAAGAAAATACACCTTCCATGGACAATTACCTTCTTGGAGTCTGAATATTAAGAAATAGACAAGTGTGTTGTCTGGAGTGAGATTCACATATCTGGAACATCACTCTTGTTGCTAATATCACAACTACTTCTCACTTTCCTAAAATGATAAGATTCCATACTTGCAGACTGACTGACATTTTATTTGGCCGTAAAATGGATTTCTGTCTGGTGATTTTTTTTCCTTTTTTACTGCATATTACTTTGTCTTTGGAAGTAAAAAGAATGTTTCTATTAATCAGTTTTTTGACATATACTATATATCAAGTAAAAAATCACTCATTTTAAATGTACAGTTTGATGAGTTTGGGCAAATGCACATAGTCATGTACCCTCCACCACAATAATAACATGGATTTTTTTTTTACCCCCAAAAATTCTCCCCTGCAGTCAGTAACTTTGTCCACACCAATTCCATTCACAGATCCACACTCTTGGTTTCATATAAAAATAATCTACAGTCTTTCCTGTCTGGCTTCTAACCCTTAGCATGCTTTTGAGATTCTTCCATGTTGCTTCATATACTATTGCATCATATGGACATACAAAAATTTGTTTATCCATGTACCAGTTGATAGAGAGTCTCTCCCAATACTTAGCTATAATGAATAAAGCTGTTAGGAGCATTTACATACAAGTATATATAGAGAGAAAGAGATGATTGCATTTCTATTGGGAAAATACATTGCTGTGGAATAGAGTCATATGGTAAGTTTATATAAACCTTTATAAAAACTTTCAAACCATTTGCTGGCTGTGCCATTTTGGACTCCTACAAACTTGATATAGTCATACTTTTAATTTTTATCCTTTCTAGTAGATGTGTAGTAATATCACATTGTGACTTTCATTTGCGTTTCCCTAATGACTCGTGATGGTGAAAGTCTCTAATGTGTTTATTTTCCATTTTTCTCTCTTCTTTAGAGAAGTGTCTTTTCAATTGTTTGCCCATTTTCATTGGATTATTTGGTTTCTTCTTTTTTGTGGGGGTACATTTCTTATTACTGAGTTGAAAATGTTCTCTCTATATTCAGAAAAAGGCCTTTGTCAGATATATCTTTTAAGGGGATTTTATTTTTCTACTCCATTTTCTAAGTTTGAATTAAAGTGCAAAAGTATTTACTTTTGATACAGTCTAATTTATCATTTTATGATTCATTTTTTTCTACCCTATTTAAGAAATATTAGCCTATTCCAAAGAAGGTCACTACGATTTTGTCCTAGGTATTTTAAACATTTTAGGATTTTGGCCTCTATATTAGCCCTGTGTTCCATTTTAATTTTTGTGTATATTGTGAGCGAGAGTTAAGTTTTATATTTTTGAATATGGATATCCACTCAAATTGTTTCAGCACAACTTGCCAAAATGAATTACCTGTACAACTTTGTTGAAACAAACAAACAAACAAAAACATATGTAAGGATCTACTTCTGGACTCTATTCAATTCCATGGATTTATATGTCTAGGCCGATAACACTCTTGATTACTGTAGCCTTATAGTGAGGCTAGAAATCAAGTAGTTAAGGTCCTGCAATTTTCTTTTCTTCTTGCCTTTTCTTTTTTTTTTTTTTTATTACTTAGATGCAGTTGCTTTTGCTAACATTTTGGCTTACTTATTTGTAGTTTTTTTCATGTAATAGCAACTTATTTCATAGTTGTGATCATACCTTTAAAAAATATTGTAAAATGTTCTTTTCAGTTAATAGTATTCACACTCCCAAGTTTCTTTTCTCGATTTTTATTTTAGATTCAGTGGGTACAGGTATAGGTTTGTTACCTGGGTATATTGTGATATGCTGAGGTTTGGGGTATGAAACCTCATCGCCCAGGTACTGAGCATAGTAACCAATAGTTTTTCAACATTTGCCTCTTCCTCCTCTAGTAGTCCCCAGTGTCTATTATAACCATTTTTATGTCTATGAGTACCAGATGTTTAGCTCCCACTTGCAAGTGAGGACATGTGGTATTGGGTTTTCTGATCCTGCATTAATTTGCTTACAGTAATGGCCTCCAGCTACATCCATGTTGCTGCAATTGACATGATGATTTTAGTGGCTGTGTAGTATTCCATGGTGTATATGTGCCATATTTTCTTTATCCACTCCACCACTGATGGGCATCTAAGTTGATTCTATGTCTTTAATATTGTGAATAGAGCTGCAATAAACTGCAAGTGCATGTATCTTTTTTGATAAAATGATTTATTTTCTTTTGGTTATATGCCCAGTAATGGAATTGCTTGGTCAAATGGTAGTTCTATTTTAAGTTCTTTGAGAAATCTCTAACCTGCTTTCCACAGTGGTTGAACTAATTTACACTCCCACCAACATATATGTGGTCCCTTTCTCTCCATAGCCTCACTGGCATCTGTTGTTTTTTGACTTTTTTAGTAATAGTCATTCTGAGTGCTGTAAGATGGCATCACATTGTGGTTTGGAAGTGCACTTCTCTGATGATTGGTGATGTGGAGCATTTTTTCGTATGTTTGTTGTTGTTTGTATGCCTCCTTTAGAGAAGTATCTGTTCACGTATTTTGCTCATTTTTAATGTGCTGTTTGTTTTTTGCTTGTAGATATGTATAAGTTCTTTATAGATTTTGGATATTAGACCTTTGTTGGATTCAGAGTTTGCAAATATTTTTACCCATTCTGCACGTTGTCTACTCTGTAGCACAGCATAAGAAACTATCTTTCTTACGGATGCCATAAGAAATTGGATCCCACTTGTCAATTTTTGGTTTTGTTCCAATTGCTTTTGAAGACTTAGTCATAAATTATTTCCCAATGCCGACGTCCACAATGGTGTTTCCTAGGTTTTCTACTAGGATTCTTACAGTTTGAGGTCTCACATTTAAATCTTTAGTCAATCTTTAGTAAATTTTTGTATATAGTGAAAGCTAAGGTTCCAGTTTCATTCTTCTGTATATGGTTAGCCAGCTATTTCAGCACCGTCTATTGAACGTCCTTTCCCCATTGTTTTTTCTCTCATTTTTGGTCAATTGTGTCAAAAATCAGATGGTTATAGGTGTGCAGCATTACTTCTGAGCTCACTATTTGGTTCCATCACCTGTTTTTGTATGAGTGCCATGCTGTTTTAGTTAATGTAGTCTTGTAGTATAGTTTGAAGTTAGGTAATGTAATGCCTCTGGTTTTGATCCTTTTGTTTAGGATTGCTTGGCTATTCAGGCTCTTTTTTGGTTGAATATGAATTTTAGAACAGCTTTTTCCAGTTTTGTGAAAAATGATGTTGGTAGTTTGATAGGAATAGTGTTAAATCTGTGGATTGCTTTAGCCAGTATGGCCATTTTGATGATATTGATTCTTTCAAACCATAAGCATGGAATGTTTCTCCCCATTTGTTTGCCACATTTATGATTTCTTTTAGCAGTGTGTTTTAGTTTACCTTATAGAGATCTTTTACCTCCTTGGTTAGTTATATTTGTAGGTATTTTTGTGGCTATTGCAAATGGGATAATGTTTTTGTTTGGTCCTTAGCTTGAACGTTAATGGTGTGTAGAAATGCTCCTGAGTTCTGTGCATACTTTGTATATCCTGAAACTTTACTGAAGTCATTTGTCAGTCCCAGAATCCCTTCTGGCAGCCTAAAAGGGCTTTCTAGGTTTAGAATCATATCATCCACAAAGAGAGATAGTTTAATTTCTTCTTTTTCTATCTGGATGTCTTTTATTTCTTCCTTTTGCCTGATTGCTCTAGCTAGCACTTCCAGTACTACGTTTAATAGGAGTTGTGAGAGAGAGCATCCTTGTGCCAGTTTTCAAGGGGAATGCTTCTGGTTTCTGCCCATTCAGTATGCTGTTTGCTGTGGATTTGTCATGGATGGCTCTTGTTATTTTGAGATATGTTCCTTCAATGCCATTTCTCTAGGGTTTTTATCACGAAGCAATGTTGAATTTTATTGAAAGCTCTTTCTGCCTCTATTGAGATGATTGTAAGATTTTTGTTTTTAATTCTGATTATGTGGGGAACCACATTTATTGATTTGCATATGTTGAATCATCCCAGAAATAAAGCCTACTTGATCATGGTGAATTAACTTTTTGACATGTTGTCAAATTTGATTTGCTAGTATTTTGTTGAGGATTCTTGTGTCTATGTTCATCAAAGATGAACTGTAGTTGGCCTGTAGTTTTCTTTTCTCCTTGTGCCTTTTCCAGGTTTTGGTACCACGGGGAGGCTGGCTTCATAGAATGTGTTAGGGAGGAATTCCTCCTCCTTGATTTTTTAGAATAGTTTCCATAGATTTGGTGCCAGGTCTTCTTTGCACATCTGGCAGAATTCAACTGTGAATTCATCTGAAACACGGCTTTTTCTGGTTGCTAGATTTTTTATTACTGATTCAATTTTAAAACTTGATGTTGATCTTTTCAGTTTTTCAATTTACTTCCTGTTCAATCTTGGGGAATTGTGTGTTTCCAGGATCTTATCCATTTCTTCTAGATTTCTAGTTTGTGTGTGTAGAGGTGTTCATAATAGCCTCTGAGGTTATTTTGTATTTCTGTGTGATCAGTTGTAATGTTTTTCTGTGGGATCAGAAACAATCACTTTTGTTGCTTCTGATGGAGCTTATTTGGATCTTCTCTCCTTTTTATTTGTTTTTCTAATAGACTCATTATTTTTTCTTTTATTTTTAGTTGACACATAATAATTTATGCATTTATGGGATTGCAGAGGGATTTTTCCATACAAATACACAATGAATAATAATGCAAACAGAGTTATAAGCATATTGTTCACCTCAAACATTTGTCATTTATTTGTGTTGAGAACATTCAAAATTCTCTCTTCTATTTTCTGAATATATGAAATAAATTATTAACTATATGCATGCTAGTGCTATGGAGCACTAGAGTTGATTCCTCCTATCTAGTTGCAAATCCGTACTTGTTAGCCAACGTCTTCTTCTACACTATTTCTTCCCAGCATACAATTCTACTCTCTACTTCTATGAGCGCAACCTTTTTTATCTTCCACATATGAGAACACACAGTACTTATCTTTGTGTACATGACTTATTTCATTTAACACAATTTCCTCCAGTTTCCTCCATTTTACCATGAATACTAGAATTTCATTCTGTTTTTCTCAACTTTTAATTTAGGTTCAGGAGGTAGATGCACAGGTTACATGATTAAATTACATGTTGCTGGGGTCTGGTGTACAAATGATCTTATCACCCAGGTAGTGTGCAAAGAACCTGATAGGCAGTTTTTTGATCCTCACCCTCTTCCAACCCTCCTCCCTCAAATAAGCCCCAGTGTCTGTTGTTCCCATCTTTGTGTCCATGTGTACTCCACGTTTAGCTTGCACTTATAATTGAGAAGATGCAATATTTGGTTTTCTGATACTGCATTAATTCACTTGGGATAATGGCTTCTGGATGCATTCATGTTGTTACAGAGGACATGATTTCATTTTTCTGATTTTCTTTAATGCATGTATATAATTCTGTGGTGTAGATGTACCACATTTTGTTTATCCCATACAACACTGATGGGCATCTAGATTGATTCCATGTCATTGCTTTTGTGAATAGTGCTGCAATGAACATACCAGGGCATGTGTCTTTTTGGTAGAAGAATTTATATTCCTTTGGGTATATACCAAGTAATGGGATTGCTGGGTCTAATGGTAGTTCTGTTTTAACTTCTTTAAGACATCTCCAGCCAGGAGTGGTGGCTCATGCCTGTAATCTCAGCACTTTGGGAGGCCGAGGCAGGCAGATCGCGAGGTCAGGAGATTGAAATCATCCTGGCTAACACAGTGAAACCACATCTCTACTAAAAATACAAAAAAAAATTAGCTGGGCATGGTGGCACACACCTGTAGTCCCAGCTACTCGGGAGGCCGAGGCAGGAGAACAGCTTGAAACTGGGAGGCGGAGGTTGCAATGAGCCAAGATCACACCACTGCACTCCAGCCTGGGTGACAGAGCGAGACTAACGAAGAAAAAAAAAAACCTCCAAACTGCTTTCCACAGTGGCTGAACTAACTTACATTCCCACCAGCAGTCTATAAGCATTCCCTTTTCTCTACAACCTCACCAGCATTTATGTTTGTTGACTTTTTAATAATAGTCATTCTTACTGTTGCAAGATGGCATCTAATTGTGATTTTGATTTACATTTCTCTGACGATTAATGATGAGTATATTTTCATATGTTTTTGGCCAAGTGTATGTCTTCTTTTCAATGTGTCTGTTCATGTCCTTTGCCCATTTTTTAATGGCAAATGGGGTTGTTTATAGGGTTGTTTGGTTTTTCCACATTGACATGTATAAGTTCTTTATAGATTTGGGATATTAGACTTTTATTGGGTGCCGAGTTTGCAAATATTTTTTTCCCATTCTGTAGATTATCTGTTTACTCTGTTGATAGTTTCTTTTGCTGTGCAGAAGCTCTTCAATTTTATTAGCTTCTATTTGTCTATTTTTGTTTTTGTTGCAATTGCTTAAAAGCAAGTCCCCTAAAGGGACTTCATCATGGAATCTTTGCCAAGGCCTATGTCCAGAAGGGTATTTTCTAGGTTTTCTTTGAGGGCTTTTATAGTTTTAGGTCTTAACATTTAAGTATCTAATCCATCTTGAGTTGATTTTTGTATATGGTGAATAGGAGGTATCCAGTTACAATCTTCTGCATATGGCTAGCCAGTTAGCCAGTTATCCCAGCACCATTTGTTGAATAGGTTGTCCTTTCCTTGTTGCTTGTTATTGTCAACTTTCTCAAAGATTAGGTGGTTGTACGTAGGTATATGGCTTTATTTCTGGGTTCTACATTCTGTTGCATTGGTCTATGTGTTTGTTTTGTACCAGTAACATGTTGTTTTGGTTGCTGTAGCCTTGTAGTCTAGTTTGAAGTGGGTAATGTGATGGTTCCAGCTTTGTTCTTTTTGCTTAAGTTTGCTTTGGCTCTATAGGTTCTTTTCAGTTCCATATGAATTTTAGAATAGCTTTTTCTAATTCTCTGAAAAATAAGATTGGTAGTTAGATAGGAATACATTGAATCTGTAAATTGCTGTGGCCAGTATGGCCATTTTAGCAATATTAATTCTTCAAACCCATGAGCTTGAAATGTTTTTTTCGTTTGTTTGTGTCATCTATGATATCTATCATCAGTGTTTTATAATTCTCACAGCAATTTTTTCCTCTTTGGTTAGTTGCATTCCTAATTTTATTCTTTTTGTGGTTATTTTGAATGGGACTGGGTTCTTGATTTGGCTCTCAGTTTGGATGTCTTTTGTGCATATAACAGTAATGCTATTGATTTTTGTACATTGCTTTTGTATACTGAAACTTTATTAAAGTTAATTATCAGTTCTTGGAGCCTTTCAAAGGAGTCTATCAGTTTCATTTTAGGTGTGGAATCACACCATCCATGAAAAGGCATAGTATGACTTCCTCTTTTCCTATTTGGATGCCTTTTCTTTCTTTCTCTTTCCTGATTGCTCTGGCTAGGATTTTCAGTACTATGTTGAATAGGAGTGGTGAAAGTGGACATCCTTTTCTTGTTCCAGTTCTCAAGGGAAATGCTTCCAGCATTTTCTGGTTCAGTATGATGGCTGTGAGTCTGTCACAAATGGCTTTTATTATTTTGTGGTATGTTCCTTCAATGTCTAGTTTGTTGAGGATTTTTAAATGAAGTGATGTTGAATTATATCAAAAGCCTTTCCTGCATCTATTGAGATGATGATACAGTATTTTTTTGTTTTGTTTTGTTGTAGTTCTGTTTATTTGATCAATCACGTTTATTGGTTTGTGTACGCTGAATCAAACTTGCAACCCAGGAATAAAGCCTCTTTGTTCCTGGTGGATTAACGTTTTGATGTGCTGCTGGATTCCGTTTGCTAGTATTTTGTTGAGAATTTTTGTGTCTATATTCCTCATGGATATTAGACTGAAGTTTTCTTTTTTTCCTTTTATGTCTGCCAGATTTCGGTATCAGAATAATGCCGGCTTCAAAGAATATGTTAGGGAGGAGACCCTCCTCCTCTACTGTTTGATATAATTTCAGGATGATTGGTACTAGCTCATTCTTTTATGTTTGGTAGAATTTGGCTGTAAATTCATCTGGTCCAGGCCTTTTTTTGGCAAATAAGGTTTTTATTACTGATTCAATTTTGCCATTTGGGATTGGTCTTTTTGGGATCACAATTTTTTCCTGGTTCAGACTTCGAAGGTTGTATATTTCCAGGAAGTTATTCACTTCTTCTAGGTTTTCTAGTTTTTGTGCATAGAAGTGTTCATAACGTGTCTGAGGATTTTTGTGTTTCTGTGGGGCAGGTGATATTGTCCCCTTTGCAATTTCATATAGTGCTTATTTGAATCTTTTCCATTTTTTTTCTCTATTGGTCTGGCTAGCAGTCTATCAATCTTGTTTATTCTTTCAAACAACAAACTTTCCATTTTATTGATTTTTGTATAGATTTTTGCATCTCAATTTTATTCTGTTCAGCTCTGATTTTGGTTATTTACTGTCTTCTGGTAGCTTTGGGGTTGTTTTGCTTTTGTTTCTGTAGTTCCTCTAGGTGTGATGGTAGACTGTTAATTTGAGATCTAATTTCTTTATTTAGGCATTTAGTGCTATAAACTTCCATCTTAACATGGCTTTATCTATGTCCCAGAGATTCTGGCATGTTGTACCTGTGGTTTTGTTAGTTTAAAATTTTTGTTTGATTTTGGCTTAATTTCATTCTTTACCCAGTAGTCAGTCAGGAGCAGGTTAATTTTCATGTAATTTTCATATAATTGCCTGGTTTTAGGCAACGTTCTTGGTATTTATTTCAATTTGCATTGCACCACCATCCAAGAGTGTGGTTGGTATAAATTCAATTTCTTTTTAATTTGTTGAGAATTGTTTTATCACAGAGCATGTAGTCAATCTTAGAATATGTGCTGTGTGCAGATGAGAAGAATGTATATTCTGTTGTTGATGGGTGAAGTATTCTGCAGCTCTCTTGTCCTGATTTTAAAAAATGACTCTGTATGAATTTGTTCATTGTTTTTACCTTTCCATTTTTGTGGTATTTAACATATAGTGTTTTCATCCTTTGAGGCTCTATTTTGCCTTTTTTTTCTATGTCTCTATTCATTATGTTCATGTTTTCCTTTATGTTCTTGAGACTATTTGTAATATTTATAAGTGCTTTAAGTTTCTTGTCAGCTAATTCTGTCATTTCTAGATATATTTCTATTGTTTTATTGTTTTCCTGGTAATGAGTTCTCTTTTGCCATTTCTTTGCCTACATGGTAATGTTTTCTTGAATGGCAGACATTGTTAATTGTATAATGTTGAGTATCAAATTTTTCTATATTGCTTTTAAATATGTTGGAATTGGAAACTGGGCATGGTGGCTCATGCCTGTCGTTCCAGCACTTTGGGAGCCCGAGACAGGAGGATTTCTTGAGCCCAGGAGTTTGAGACCAGCCTGGACAACACAGGGAGGTCCCATCTCTACAAAAACAAAAATTAAAAATAAGCCGGGCACGATGGCATGCACCTGTGGTCCCAGCTACTCAGGAGGCTGAGAAGGGAGAATCAATTGAGCCTAGGAGGTTGAGGCTGCAGTGAGCCATGACTGCACCACTGCACTCCAGTCTGGGCAACAGAGTGAGACCCTGTCTCTAAATACATACATATATCTATACATACATATATGTATTATATATACATATATTTTAATGTTTATATTAACATTGTTATATTAAATTAATATATTACTTATATAACTTTATATTATTAGATTTTATCTATTAGATAATATATGTTGGATTTTGTGGTGGCATGCAACTAAGTTACCTAAGAATGATTTTCGCAGTTTTATGGTTTGCTTTTAAGCTCTCTATTGAAGTCTCAAATTTTTAATCACCATGCTTATATAATGCATATCACATTTTCTGATTTCAAATAATAACTCTAGCTTATAGAACTCAAGGAAGTGAGAAGAACACCAGATAGAGAGTTCAGGAACCTGTGTGATACACAGGATAAGAGACAATAAACAATAAGAGACAGTGCAGAGAGACTATACACAATCTGAGGGTAGGAGAAGTGAATTAAACTGTACTTGCTCCTTCCTGGAGCATAAATATTGCTTTATTGACTTACTGATTTTATAAATCACAAGCCACCCTCCTCCCCTATTTCCATGTTTTTCCTGTACCTTTACGTTTAACAAGGAGAGCTAGAAAACTCTAAGGCTAAAGAATTTCTGTGCTCCAAGGAAGCCTGTTTTCTGCTTCATAGCTTTGTACGTGACTTGCTAACCTGATATCTGCTCTATAGATAAAATGTATTATTTTTTTCTTGCACCAATAACCTAAATTATGCTTTTCTTAATGGAAACAAAATTATAAAGAAAATTGGAGATACTAGACAGTTTCCCATTGCTATCCTTTTGAGAAAACTGTGTGACCTTTTCTCAGACCTCAGAGCAAAACATCTCGCTTTGGCAGGATTTTCTGGCTGTGTCTGGTGCCTGTTCACAGAGAAGTTTATGTACAGAGCTTGACACATGACCAGATCTACCCATGCATAACTTTCCTTGTTGTTACATTCTGTTTGCATTATGAATTAATTTGCTTCCACAATGTAAGGTGTAGATACCAATTTGCAATATCCCTGGGGATGTTATTTTGTATCCCAGTTTAGTCTCACTTCAAGTATTTATGATTGAGTGACCAACTTTTCTTTTCTGGCTCAAAGAATTTAAATCACAAGGAAGAAGGTAAACAAGCCACTTGCAATTCTTGGCACATACTGTTTTATTCTTATAAACAATTTCCATTCCTATTCATTGACCTCTGTGCCTCGCAAGAGTTTTCATGTATGTGGATTATTACAGAAGCTACTATGAACAGAAGTGACCAGAACAATTTCCTGAGGTTGGTTATCTGGATGATAACCAACTCATGAAATAGGGTGATAGGAAAGGGTAAACATTCTAAGATGTTTTGTATGATATAAAGCCATAGCAAAGAGTTGGGGAAATAGAGGGGGAATTCTAAATCAAAATGGGTTCACAGTGAAGGCTGAGGACCCATGGCCTCTGGAGGGTTGCCACATATGCCTCTGCATATTTACTGTTTAAGAGCTCATTGCTGAGGATGAATAGGGGCTGGAATCTATTCCCATTCCCTTTAACAATCCCTGAACCCATGACACTGAGTCAAGCTGGAGGAAGAGCCTTTTCTTAACTTACAAAAAGGCAATTCCTAACTTAATCGTGAATTTGTTAAAGTATAAGAAAGGCTTTTTAAGTGAGAGAGGAAAAACACAACACTTTAACTTTCTTAAGCAGAAAAGGAAATTTGTTGAAGAATAACAGAAATATATCATGAAACCAAGGGCAGGATAATGACTGGATCTCAGAAACCTGGGATCTAGCAGGATGCTCTCCTCTGTCTCTCTTCCTCTGTTTCTCTCTGTGTGTCTCTGTTTCTCTCTGTGTGTCAGCCTCGTTTTTTTCTCTTACTGCAGAGAAGCTTGCTCCGTCTGGCCGAGAATGACTGCCAAGAGCTCCTGAGGTTTAGATCTTACAGCTTTGGTACAGAGGAACACTGGCCTAACATTCTTCCTGTTTCCAAGTCCAAATTCCTGGGCAAGAGACTTATTGATCCAGTGTGGTACCCACTCTTGGACTGACCAATTGTGGCTGCGGTTGGGGGCAGGGTTATATTTTTAAAAGATAATTATTTAGAAACCATCTATAGGAAGCAGTTAGCTGGGGGTGTGAGGAGAAAATGTCTTCCAGAAGAACAGGAATGCCTTTTCTTCTCACAGTCAGATACAAAAATAAATGTACATTAAAATTACATACAAAGGGATGTCCCCAATTGATTATATAATAAAATGTGCCTCCTGAAAAAGCAAAGTCAAAAAAGAAATGTCATCCTATAAACATTGGGCCCAAAACAGCAATTATGTTCCTATGGCCACATATCTCAAACCTCAATCTGAACAACTTTTCTTCCACATTTAATCCTATTAAATCCCTACTAATCCCATAAGTTTGCTGAATGTCCCTTTCTTCCAAAATGCCATCCCCAAGTATTATATGCTTCAGTGACTTATTTCTTGTTTTCACTGACAATTTGATTCATATGTGTATCCCTTGGTCAGCTCCTGCATTTATTGGCTAATTATTGTATGCATACAGCTCGTCTCCTCTTCTGGATTTTCAGCATCTTAAATATTTTATAACAATTATGGCCCATAGCTCTAATTATTAAAGATTGTCTTTCTTCTATTCCATGCACCTTGCAGCATGAAGCTGAATGTAGCCTTAGTAATTGTGTTTGGGTTCAGACCTTGGGAAGATGGGATTTAGCATTATTTATTCAAAGCATACCCATAGCCCCATAGCAAGCAGATCAAATAAGTGGGAGGGTTACTGATTGTTTCCAGACACATGCACTGAATAATACACTAAGAAAAAAATCTCAAGACACCAAATAATATGTGAAGGAAAGACTTCAAATGTTTGTAAAATATGCGACACCACTTGGTGCCCCATAAAATGCTATACTGATAATCAACTAGGAATGAGGACACAATTTCCCCATTTGGTTTTTTTTGTTTTTTGTTTTTTGTTTCTGCCTAAAGAAGTGCCAAAGAAAAAGGAAGTTTAGAAGATTTACAAAAGGGAACATTCTTGCTATAAGACTATAGAAATTTGTGATGATTCAACCCAGATTTGCAAATCTAAGACTTGGGAACTAAGGTGTGGAAAATGAAAAGCATAAGACACGAATTTGCATTAACTAAATGACCATCATTTTGATTTTGTGAAAAGGAAAAATAAATGAAACACGTTTAAAAGGCACAATAACTCAAATCTGATTAACTAAATGTTATAGGAAAATACTCCAATAAGAGCACCTTGTTTAGTAAACTCAGTGTGAAGATTTTACATTAGCATATTTAGTGTTAGGATGTAAAAAAAAAAAAAGCCCCAGAGTGACTAAAAATAGACTTTAAAAATAAGAGATATTTCCTCTGTAATATTTGTTTAAATTTTAAAAATTTTATTATCATGCTGTTTTCTCATATTTGTGCAGTGTAACACAGTTTAACAGTACATTCTCATGTAGACATTATGTGTGACTTTTCACCCTTTTCACAGGGAAAAAAGTGAGACTTAAAAAGATTTCTTGACTTGCCAAAGGCAGAGCAGATAACTAATCTGAATTGTACAGCTTCCAAGTCAATGAAGCCTGAATAAATATAATTTTACTTTGTTTTGTTTTTTACTTTTTTTCTGAAGGGCATATATACCCATAAGGCAAAGATTTAAAAAAACAAAAAGAGAAAACATTCTCACCTCTGTGTTAATTCCCTAAACTCTTACAGATGATATTTATGAAGGATTTGGGTGAAAGAGGATGGGAAAGAGGGGAAGTCCATCACTGCTGATTCTGGCTGAATTCAGCTGCAGTGTAAAATTTATTATTTATTTTATTGTTTTTGCTCTTTCAATTCAAAAGAAATTATGTATATGTGTATGTATGTGTATATGTATATATATTTTTTCATTTCAATAATGTGGTGATATTTCTTCCATGTCTATCTGGCAAGGGCAGATAATTGAAACCAAACTGATCTTTTCAAGTTTCCCTCAGAATCTTCTCTCCTTCCTATCTCTTTTGACTGCTCCTGCAAAAAGATGTTTCAGAGAAAATTAGATTCACTGTTTGCATAAACCAATGCACTTAGCTGGTAGCTCTGGAAGTCCAATTAACTGTTCTAACAATATGGGTGAAATGAGGTTGTAGTTACGTTTGTAGCCAATTAGATTTGTTTTGATTGAACACACCCTCTTGTAATTTTTTTTAAAGTTAAGAAAACATAGCACTAAAAACGTATTTCATACAATGGGAGAGGACACTTGGGGGAAAAAGAGAAGAAAAATAGCTAGATTATAATAAAATAATAAAATAAAAACATAATATAATACATAAATAGTAATAAATAATATAATAAATATGTGATATAATATAATCCATTATCTATTTATGTGTAAGCATAAAGAAAAGACTTACTTGCACAAATTTTAAAAGCTGCACATAATACACTTTGAAGACATCTTTATTATGACTATCAATATTATCACTACTTCATTATAAAAAATAATATTATCGATGTCAGAGAAAATAGCAAAAGTCAAAGGAACACAGAGCTGAGAATCAATAGATTGCTAGTCTAGCTCTGGGCTCAGTGAGTCACAACCTCTCCCAACTTATTTTTCTTTGCTGCTCTCAAACAGCTTACAATATATTTGGCAAAACAAAGTAATTCATTTAAAAGAAAAAAATAAATAAAATGTGCTAGGTACTAACTTGCTGATTGTCATAACAACCCAAAGAGGTAGGTATTATTATCTCAATTCTACTCACAAGAAAACTGAGGCAAAGAGAAATTTGGAAACTTTACAAGGCCTCTCTGTTGGTTAATTATCAGAGCCAGGTTTCAAGCCCAGCCAGCTTCAGATCATGTGCACTTAACTACTACTGCATGATATGATGTCAGAATGCAATGAGTTCAAAGGGAAAGGTAGGATAATTACACACCAAGAATAGTTGAGCATTGGAGCAACAAGAGAGGGTCCCACATCCTAAGATGGTGAGGCAAATCTTGAAGGATGAAGAGTGTTGGATGGACAGCGGAATGGATGATAGCAGTAGAAAGAGGAAATTCAGCATGAAGGCAGCAGCAGGTATGGGTAGCAGGAGGGAAGAACCCAGGGGAAATGCAGTGAGAGATGAGGCTGGACAATGGACAGGTCAATTGTGGAGAACTTTGGCTACCAGCTCAGCAGCCTTCAAAGCTCCCCAAATGGACAGCTCTGTTTACCTGGCCCTGTATAGGTTAGTCTCTACAGTTGAGCTTGGCTTCTTCCATAAAGTGATGCTTGCAAAGCAAGCAAGGATTTGGACTGCAACTGCCTTATCCTGAAAACCCCAATCAGGGCTCGAGCTGGCCCAAAGGAAGCCTTTGTACCAATTAGACAGAAGGGCTCTCTCCAGATGAGCACAGGGCTTAGAGAGCAGAGCATGTCTTTGTGTGATGTAGAGGAGTGCCCAGGTAGACACAGCCCCATGTGTAGAGCTTGATGGATTCGACACAAGCTGATCTCAGCCCTAAGGGCACTCTCAAGCAGGAGCACACAAACTGCTCAAAACTATATACATCAGCCCCAATTTCAACAGATGCCCACGTCCTCTGAAATCATCCTTAAAATTTGCAAAAGTTTATATATATAATTTTATGTAATTATGAATATTGATTATACTCAAATGTGGCAATAATCACTTTTAATGCTTATTTGGGAAAAGAAAGTTGTAAATATTTGAAAAACAATTACCTATGTAATATGGCAAAATTCAGTGATTCCAGCTATAGTAATCAATATTAAAGATTTTTTTTTACTTCAGAAATGTTTACACAAAGACTTTTTTTCTCTAATATACCATGTAGTTTATATTGGAATAAAATTAGAAGGTAACTTGGGGCACATCATTAGTAGATTATAAAGCAGTGATTCCATTGTTTATATTTTATGTTCCTAATTCCATGGGGAAAATATTTATATTAGAATTTTTCTCTTCTTCTAAGAACAAAATTCTATGTATACTATTATAATATGATTTAAATGGGTAGAAGGAAATTTTTTCAGATGATCAGTGTGTTCTAAAACTGGATGTGGTGATTGTTGCACAACTGTATAAATCTAAGAAAATGCAATTTTCTTAAATTGAACTCTAAATTTCTTAAATTGAACTCCACACATATTATATTTATGGTATGTAATTTGTACCTCGATAAAGCTGTTTCTATAAAAAAATTAAAACTGATGGCTTTTGGTGAATATACTATAAGTTCTTTGAATTTAATTATACTTTTCAAGATTCTCCTAGTTTTTTTAACAGAAGTATGTATTACCTACATAATTTAAAAAATGATTTCAACTCAGCTCAGTTCAACATATACTTTTATCTAGCACACATTCTTTGTTTAGCATTGTCATAGAATCTAGAGTTGTACAAAGTAAAAACATAACATCTGGTCCCTTCCTTAAGGAGTTTTCAGTGGAGTGAGAGTATCAAAAATGTAAACAGTATTGTATTCTAGACATAGAATCATGTCATCTGCAAACAGCAATAGTTTGACTTTCTCTCTTCCTATTTGGATGCACTTTATTTACTTCTCTTGCCTGATTGCTCTGGCAAGGACTCCCAATACTATGTTGAATAGGAGTGGTGAGAGAGGGCATCCTTGTCTTGTGGCAGTTTTCAAGGGAAATGCTTCCAGTTTTTGCCCATTCAGTCATTCAGGAGGATGTTGGCTGTGGGTTCATCACAGATGGCTCTTATTATTTTGAGATATGTAGATATGTTCCTTCAAAACATGATTTATTAAGAGTTTTGTTTTTGTTTTTGTTTTTCTTTTTTTTTTTTTTTTTTTTTTTTTTTGAGACGGAGTCTCGCTCTGTCACCCAGGCTGGAGTGCAGTGGCGGGATCTCAGCTCACTGCAAGCTCTGCCTCCCAGGTTCATGCCATTCTCCTGCCTCAGCCTCCCTAGTGGCTGGGACTACAGGTGCCCGCCACCATGCCCTGCTAATTTTTTGTATTTTTTTTTTTAGTAGAGATGGGGTTTCACCATGTTAGCCAGGATGGTCTTGATCTCCTGACCTCGTGATCCACCCCCCTCAGCCTCCCAAAGTGCTGGGATTACAGGCGTGAGCCACCGCGCCCAGCCTTGTTTTTCTTTTTAGACAAGGTCTTGATATATCGTCCAGGCTAGAGTACAATGGCATAATCATGGCTCACTGCAGCCTTGACCTCCCAGGCTCAATGAATCCTCCTGCCTCAGCCTCCTGAGTAGCTGGGAATACAGGTGCGCACTGCCACACCTGGCTAGTTTTTGTATTTTGTAGACATGGGTTTTTTTCCTGTTGCCCAGCTGGTCTAAAACTCCTGAGGCTCAAGCAATCTACCGACCTCGGCTTTCCAAAGTATTGGGATTACAGGCATGAGCCACCATGCCCAACAGAGAGTTTTTACCATGAAGTGATGTTGAATTTATTGAAAGCCTTTTCTTCATCTATTGAGATAATCATTTGGTTTTTGTCCTTAGTTCTGTCTATGTGTTGAATCACACTTATTGAATTGTGTATGTTGAACCAACCTTGCATCCCAGGGGTAAAGCCTACTTGATCATGGTGGATTAGCTTTTTTGATGTGCTACTGAATTCAGTTTGCAAGTATTTTGTGAGGATTTTTTCATCAATATTCATTAAGGTTATGGGCTTGATGTTTCTAGTTGTGGTTGTGTTTCTGCCAGGATTTGGTATCAGAATGATGCTGGCCTCCTAGAATGAGTTAAGGAGGAGTCCCTCTTCCTCAATTTTTTGAAATTGTTTCAGTAAGAATGGTACCAACTCTTCTTTGTACATCTGGTAGAATTCCGCTATGAATCTACCTGGTCCTGGGTTTTTTTTTTTTTTTTTTTTTTTTTTGGTTGGTAGCCTATTTACTACTGATTAAATTTCAGAGCTCATTACTGATTTGTTCAGGGAATCCATTTCTTCCTGGTTCAGTCTTGGGAGGGTGTGTGTGTCCAGGAATTTTCCATCTCTTCTAGGTTTTCTAGTTTGTTTCTACATCTAGAAAACCCCATAGTCTTGGCCTAAAAGCTCCTTCAGTTGATTAAGAACTTCAGCAAAGTTTTAGGATACAAAAATCAATATATAAATATTACTGTCATTTCTATATACCAACAACAGCTAAGCCAGGAGCCAATCAGGAACACAATCCCATTCCCAATTGCCACAAAAAGAATAAAATATCTAGGAATACAGCTAATCAGGGAGGTGAAAGATCTCCACAATGAGAATTACAAAACACTGCTCAGCAAAATCAGAGATGAAACAAACAAATGGAAAAACATTCCATGCTCATGAATAGGAAGAATCAATATCATTAAAATAGCCATGCTGGCCAGGCAATTCACAGATTCAATGTTATTCCTATCAAACCACCACGGACATCCTTCACAGAACTATAAAAAAACCATTTTGCAATTCATATGGAACCAAAAAAAAAAGCCAAAATATTCAATGCAATCCTAAGCAGAAAGAACAAAGCTGGAGCCATCATGCTACCTGACTTCACACTGTACTACAGGACTACAGTGATCGAAACAGCATGGTACTGGTACAAAAACAGACACATAGACCAATAGGACAGAATAGAGAACCCAGAAATAAAGCATCACAACTACAACCAAATCATCTTTGACAAAGCTGACAAAAACAAGCAATGGGGAAAGGACTCCTTACTCAATAAACAATGCTGGGATAACTGGCTAGCTGTATGCAGAAGATTAAAATTGGACTCCTTTCTTACACCATATACAAAAATCAACTCAAGATGGATTAAAAAGTTAAATGTAAAGCCCGAAACTATCAAACTCCTGGAAGATAACCTAGGCAATACCATTCTGGACATACGAACTTGCAAAGATTTCATGACGAAGATGCAAAAGCAATCTCAACAAAAGCAAAAATTGACAAATGGGATCTAATTAACCTTCTGTACAGCAAAGGAAACTATCAACAGAATAAACAGACAACTTAAAGAATGGGAGAAAATATTTGCAAACTATGCATCCGACAAAGTCTAATATCCAGCATCTATGAGGAACTTTAACAAGTTTACAAGAAAAAGAAAATCCCATTAAAAAGTGGGCAAAGGACATGAACAGACACTTTTCAAGAGAAGACATACATGTGGCCAAAAAACATATGAAATAAAGCTCAGTATCACTGATTATTAAAGAAATGCAAATCAAAACCACACTGCAATACCATTCACACCAGTCAGAATGGCTATTAATAAAAAGTCAAAAAATAACAGATGCTGTCGAGGTTGCAGAAAAGAGGGAACACTTATATACTGTTGGTGGGAGCATAAATTAGTCCAACTATTGTGGAAAGCAGTGTGGCAATTCCTCAAAGAGCTAAAAATAGAGCTATCATTTGACCCAACAATCCCATTACTGGGTATATACCCAAAGTCATATAAATTGTTGTATCATAAAGACACATACTTGTGTATGTTCACTGCAGCATTATTCAATATAACAAAGATGTGGAATCAAACTAAATGCCCACCAATAGCAGATTGGATAAATATAATATGGTACACATACATCATGGAATACTATGTAGCCATAAAAAAGAACAATATCAGGGGAGGTTCCAAGATGGCCAAATAGGAACAGCTCCAGTCTGCAGCTCCTAGCGTGAGTGACACAGAAGACGGGTGATTCCTGCATTTCCAACTGAGGTACTGGGTTCTTCTCACTGAGGCTTGTCAGACAGTGGGTGCAGCCCACAGAGCAGGGCGGGGCATCGTCTCACCTGGGAAGTGCAAGGGGTTGGGGAATTCCCTTTCCTAGCAAAGGGAAGCCATGACAGATGGTACCTGGAAAATCAGGACACTCCCACCCAAATACTGTGCTTTTCCAATGGCCTTAGCAAATGGCACACCAAGAGATTATATCCTGCTCCTGGCTCAGAGGGTCCCACGCCCGTGGATCCTCACTCATTACTAGCACAGCAGTCTGAGACCAAACTGCAAGGTGGCAGTGAGGCTGGGGGAGGGGCACCTGCCATTGCTGAGGTTTGAGTAGGTAAACAAAGTGTCTGGGAAGCTCGAACTGACTGGAGCCCTATGCAGTTCCAGGAGGCCTACCTGCCTCTGTAGACTCCACCTCTGGGGGCAGGGCATAGCTAAACAAAAGGCAGCAGAAACTTCTGCAGACTTAAACGTCCCTGTCTGACAGCTTTGAAGAGAGTAGTGGTTCTCTCAGTATGGAGCTTGAGATCTGAGAACACAAAGACTGCCTCCTCAAGTGGGTCCCTGACCCCAGAGTAGCCTAACTGGGAGACACCGCCCAGTAGGAGCCAACTGACACCTCATACAGCCAGGTGCCCCTCTGAGACTAAGCTTCCAGAGGAAGGATCAGGCAGCAACATCTGCCATTCTGCAATATTTGCTGTTCTGCGGCCTCCACTGTTGATACCCAGGCAAACAGGGTCTGCAGTGGACCTCCAGCAAACTCCAACAGACCTGCAGCTTAGGGTCCTGACTGTTAGAAGGAAAACTAACAAACAGAAAGGACATCCACACCAAAACCCCATCTGTAGGTCACCATCATCAAAGACCAAAGGTAGATAAAACCACAAAGATGGGGAGAAACCAGAGCAGAAAAGTTGAAAATTCTAAAAATCGGAGCAGCTCTTCTCCTCCAAAGGAATGCAGCTCCTCGCCAGCAACGGAACAAAGCTGGACAGAGAATGACTTCGACAAGTTGAGAGAAGCAGGTTTCAGGCGATCGGTAGTAACAAACACCTCCAAGCTAAAGGAGGATGTTCAAATCCATCACAAAGAAGCTAAACACCTTGAAAAAAGATTAGATGAATGGCTAACTAGAAAAAACAGGGTAGGGAAGTCCTTAAATGACCTGATAGAGCAAAACCATGACACAAGAACTATGTGATGCATGCACAAGCTTCAGTAGCTGATTTGATCAAGTGGAAGAGAGGGTATCAGTGACTGAAGATCAAATGAATGAAATGAAGCAAGAAGAGAAGTTTAGAGAAAAAAGAGTAAGAAGAAATGAACAAAGCCTCCAAGAAATATGGGACTATGTGAAAAGACCAAATCTACATCTGATTGGTGTACCTGAAAGTGACGGGGAGAATGGAACCAAGTTGGAAAACACTCTTCAGGATATTATCCAGGAGAACTTCCCCAACCTAGTGAGGCAGGCCAACATTCAAATTCAGGAAATAAAGAGAACACCACAAAGATACTCCTCAAGAAGAGCAACTCCAAGACACATAATTGTCAGATTCACCAAGGTTGAAATGAAGGAAAAAAAATTGTTAAGGGCAGCCGGAGAGAAAGGTCAGGTTACACACAAAGGGAAGCCCATTAGACTAACAGCAGATCTCTCAGCAGAAACTGTACATGCCAGAAGAGAGTGGGGGCCGATATTCAACATTCTGAAAGAAAAGAATTTTCAACCCAGAATTTCATATCCAGCCAAACTAAGCTTCATAAGTGAAGGAGAAATAAAATACTTTCCAGACAAGCAAATGCTGAGAGATTTTGTCATCACCAGGCCTGCCTTACAAGAGCTCCTGAAGGAAGCACTTAACATGGAAGGAACAACTGGTACCAGCCACTGCAAAAACATGCCAAATTGTAAAGACCATCAATGCTAGGAAGAAACTGCATCAACTAATGAGCAAAATAACCAGCTAACTTCATAATGACAGGATCAAATTCACACATAACAATATTAACCTTAAATGTAAATGGGCTAAATGCTCCAATTAAAAGACACAGACTGGCAAATTGGATAAAGAGTCAAGACCTATCAGTGTGCTATATTCAGGAGACCCATCTTACGTGCAGAGACACACATAGGCTCACAATATAGGGATGGAGGAAGATCTACCAAGCAAACGGAAAGCAAAAAAAAAAAAAGCAGGGGTTGCAATCATAGTCTCTGATAAAACGGACTTTAAACCAACAAAGATCAAAAGAGACAAAGAAGGCCATTACATCATGGTAAAGGGATCAACTCAACAAGAAGAGCTAACTATCCTAAATATATATGCACCCAATACAGGAGTACCCAGATTCATAAAGCAAGTCCTTAGAGACCTACAAAGAGACTTAGACTCCCACACAATAATAATGGGAGACTTTAACACCCCACTGTCAACATTAGACAGATCAACGAGGCAGAAAGTTAACAAGGATATCCAGGAATTGAACTCAGCTCTGCACCAAGCGGACCTAATAGACATCTACAGAACTCTCCACCCCAAATCAACAGAATACACATTCTTCTCAGCACCACATCACACTTATTCCAAAATTGACCACATAGTTGGAAGTAAAGCACTCCTCAGCAAATGTAAAAGGACAGAAATTATAACTGTCTCTCAGGCCACAGTGCAAACAAACTAGAACTCAGGATTAAGAAACTCACTCAGAACCACTCAACTATGTGGAAACTGAACAACCTGCTCCTGAATGACTACTGGGTACATAAAGAAATGAAGACAGAAATAAATATGTTCTTTGAAACCAATGAGAACAAAGAAACAAAATACCAGAATCTCTGGGACACATTTAAAGCAGTGTGTGGAGGGAAATTTATAGCACTAATGCCCACAAGAGAAAGCAGGAAAGAGCTAAAATTGACACCCTAACATCACAATTAAAAGAACTAGAGAAGCAAGAGCAAACACATTCAAAAGCTAGCAGAAGGCAAGAAACAACTAAGATCAGAGCAGAACTGAAGGAGATAGAGACACAAAAAACCCTTCAAAAAATCAATGAATCCAGGAGCTGTTTTTTTTTTTTTTTGAAAAGATCAGCAAAACTGATAGACCACTAGCAAGACTAACAAAGAAGAAAAGGGAGAAGAATCAAATAGACATAATAAAAAATGATAAAGGGGATATCACCACCAATCCCACAGAAATACAAACTACCATCAGAGAATACTATAAACACCTCTACGCAAATAAACTAGAAAATCTAGAAGAAATGGATAAATTCCTGGACACATACACCCTCCCAAGACTAAACCAGGAAGAAGGTGAATCCATGAATAGACCAATAACAGATTCTGAAATTGAGGCAATAATTAATAGCCTACCAACCAAAAAAAGTGAAACAGATGGTTTCACAGACGAATTCTACCAGAGGTACAAAAAGGAGCTGGTACTATTCCTTCTGAAACTATTCCAATCAATAGAAAAAGAGGGAATCCTCCCTAATTCATTTTATGAGGCCAGTATCATCCTGATACCAAAGCCTGGCAGAGACACAACAAAAGAAGAGAATTTTACACCAATATCCCTGATGAACAGTGATGCAAAAATCCTTAATAAAAAAAAAAATGCTGGCAAACTGAATCCAGCAGCACATCAAAAAGCTTATCCACCACGATCAAGTTGGCTTCATCCCTGTGCTGCAAGGCTGGTTCAACATACACAAATCAATAAACGTTATCCATCATACAAACACAACCAAAGACAAAAACCACAAAGTTATCTCAATAGATGCAGAAAAGACCTTTGGCAAAAATCTTCAGCCCTTCATGCTAAAAACTCTCAATAAACTAGGTATTGATGGTATTGATGGGATGTATCTCAAAATAATAAGAGCTATTTATGACAAAACCACAGCCAATATCATACTGAATGGGCAAAAACTGGAAGCATTCCCTTTGAAAACCGCCACAAGACAGAGATGTCCTCTCTGACCACTCCTATTCAACATAGTGTTGGAAGTTCTGGCCAGGGCAATCAGGCAAGAGAAAAAAATAAAGGGTATCAGTTAGGAAAAGAGGAAGTCAAATTGTCCCTGTTTGCAGATGACATGATTGTATATTTAGAAAACCCCATCATCTCAGCCCAAAATCTCCTTAAGCTGATAAGCAACTTCAGCAAGGTCTCAGGATACAAAATCAATGTGCAAAAATCACAAGCATTCCTATACACCAAAACAGAGAGCAAAATCATGAGTGAACTCCCATTCACAATTGCTTCAAAGAGAATAAAATATGTAGGAATCCAACTCACAAGGGATGTGAAGGACCTCTTCAAGGGGAACTACAAACCACTGCTCAACGAAATAAAAGAGGATACAAACAAATGCAAGAACATTCCATGTTCATGGATAGGAAGAATCAATATCGTGAAAATGGCCATGCTGCCCAAGGTAATTTACAGATTCAATGCCATCCCCATCAAGCTACCAATGACTTTCTTCACAGAATTGGAAAAAACTACTTTAAAGTTCGTATGGAATGAAAAAAGAGCCCGCATTGCCAAGTCAATCCTAAGCCAAAAGAACAAAGCTGGAGGCATCACGCTGCCTGACTTCAAGCTATACTACAAGGCTACAATAACCAAAACAGCATGGTACTGGTACCAAAACAGAGATGTAGACCAATGGAACAGAACAGAGCCCCCAGAAATAGTGCCACACATCTACAACCATCTGATCTTTGACAAACCTGACAAAAACAATAAATGGGAAAAGGATTCCCTATTTAATAAACGGTGCTGGGAAAACTGGCTAGCTGTATGTAGAAAGCTGAAACTGGATCCCTTCCTTACACCTTAGACAAAAATTAATTCAAGATGGATTAAAGACTTAAATGTTAGACCTAAAACCATAAAAACCTAGAAGAAAACCTAGGCAATACCATTCAGGACATAGGCATGGGCAAGGACTTCATGACTAAAACACCAAAAGCAATGGCAACAAAAGCCAAAATTGACAAATGGGATCTAATTAAACTAAAGAGCTTCTGCACAGCAAAAGAAACTACCATCAGAGTGAACAGGCAATGTACAGAATGGGAGAAAATTTTTACAGTCTACCCATCTGACAAAGGGCTAATATCCAGAATCTACAAAGAACTTAAACAAATTTACAAGAAAAAAATCAAACAGCCCCATCAAAAAGTGGGCAAAGGATGTGAACAGACACTTCTCAAAAGAAGACATTTATGCAGCCAACAGGCACATGAAAAAAATGCTCACCATCACTGGCCATCAGAGAAATGCAAATCAAAACCACAATGAGATACCATCTCACACCAGTTAGAATGGCAATCATTAAAAAGTCAGGAAACAACAGGAGCTGGAGAGGATGTGGAGAAATAGGAATGCTTTTACACTGTTGGTGGGACTGTAAACTAACTCAACCATTGTGGAAGACAGTGTGGCGATTCCTCAAGGATCTAGAACTAGAAATACCATTTGACCCAGCCATCCTATTACTGGGTATATACCCAAAAGATTATAAATCATGCTGCTATAAAGACACATGCACACGTATGTTTATTGTGGCGCTATTCACAATAGCAAAGACTTGGAACCAACCCAAATGTCCATCAATGATAGACTGGATTAAGAAAATGTGGCACATATACACCATGGAATTCTATGCAGCCATAAAAGAGGATGAGTTCATGTCCTTTGTAGGGACATGGATGAAGCTGGAAACCATCATTCTCAGCAAACTATTGTGAGGATGGAAAACCAAACACCACATGTTCTCACTCTTAGTTGGGAATTGAACAATGAGAACACCTGGACACAAGGTGGGGAACATCACACACTGGGGCCTGTTGTGGGGTGAGGGAAGAGGGGAGGGAAAGCATCAGGAGATATACCTAATGTAAACGACGAGTTAACGGGTGCAGCACACCAACATGGTACATGTATACATATGTAACAAACCTGCACGTTGTGCACATGTACCCTAGAACTTAAAGTATAATAAAGAAAAAAAAAAGAACGAGATCATGTGCTTTGTGGGAACACAGATGGAGCTGGAAGCCATTATCTTTAGAAAACTAACGCAGAATCAGAAAACAAAATACTGCATGTTCTCACTTATAAGTAGGAGCTAAATGATGAGAACACATGGACACAAAGAGGGGAGCAACAGACACTGGGGCCTACTTGAGGGTGGAGGCTGGGAGGAGGGAGAGGATCAGAAAAAATAACTATTGGATAGTAGACTTAGTACCTCAGTGATGAAATAATCTGTACACTGCCCATCCCTGACATGATTTTACCTGTAGAACAAACCTGCATGTGTACCCATGAACCTAAAGGTTTTTTTAAAAACACAACTACTTATTTATTGCAGAATGAAATTTTTTCAATCTGGTTGCAAGTAACAGGTGTTTGCAGCTGAACTTTTTTAAAAAAGAAAACAATGATTGGCCAAAGGGAAGACACAAAGGAAAGAATTGCATGGCTGACATTAGAGTTTTAGTGAGTCACCTAGAAGGCAAAGCACATGTCCACCTCCTTAATTGAAATGAAGGAATGAATATTTGTTTGAAGCTAAGGTATAATAGCAAAAGTAAGCATTCTCCATACTTAACACATATATTTGTGTCTGCTAGAACTAAGCACTTATATAATGTCTTTTTAAATTACTATTATGCCCCATATTTCCAAAGAGTTTTAAAATTTTCAAACGTATCCATAATAATGACTTTTTTCTTGCGCCCACACACTCTGTAGAAATGTAGGGCAGTCATTTTTGCATATAAGACAAAGAGGTTTAGAGAAGGTAGACAACTTGCTAAAGGTCACACTGCAGGTAAGTGGACAGAAACAGGAATTCATGTTCCATTTAGCCGTTAATATTCATTGATGAGTCCATAGAATGGCATCCTATCAATAGTAGAAATCACACACACTAGCCATTCATTACACAGGCCTATGGAATGTGCAGTATGTTCCATACAACACTACTAATATGTGACAGAGCTAGGACTCCAAAAATGATTCATAACAAAGGGCCCAAATCTTCATGATGCTGAATTGCCATGACAAAATTACTCCATACCATTACAAATGGTTTTAAAAACTACACTCACAGCTTATGTTGCCTGAAAAATCTGGCATTTGTCCATGCATAGACTCTGCTTCTGAGACAACAAGACCAACCCCTCTTCTTCTCCTCTTCAGCCCTCTCAAATTGAAGACAATGAGGTTAAAGACTTTAATGATGATTCACTTCCACTTAATAAATAGTAAATACATTTTCTCTTCCTTATTGTTTTCCTAATAAAATTTTCTTTTCTCTAACTTACTTTATTGTGAGAATACAGTATGCAACACATACAACATACAAAATATGTCCTTATTGGCTGTGTATGTTATTGGTATGGCTTCCAGTCAACAGTAGGTTCTTAATGGTTAAGTTTTGGGACAGTCAAAGTTATATGTGGATATTTTACTGTGCAGGAGGTTGGCATCCCTAACACCCACATTGTTCAAGGGTCAAATGTAATTAACCTTGAAAAGACAGCAAAATTTTGTAGAGAGTTGGAGGAAAAAGGGAGAGTTGACAGAAGAAAGAGAATTTACCATCCTACAGTAAAAAGAGAAACATGCCAGTTTTTACTTTATTACTGAAAAAGAAAAAAGAAAATAAAAGAGCACATTTTAAAATATAGTTGTTTCTCCAACCAGAGTGAATGGGGGTTTGGGGGTAGTTGCCTCCACATACTGATCTTCTTTCTGAAGGCAGTTACGTCTCCAGGACAAGGGGAATGGAGTTAACGCAAGCATGCCCAGATAATTATTTGCAAATTTACCAATCAGCGTACTATTCCACATCTCTTGGGCTGGAGTCAGCAAAGGATGGAGAAAAGCCAGGAGCTGTACTCAGTGAGCTCTCTTCACAAGAAAAACATAATCACAAATACTCCATAATTACAAGTAATATGTAAGAATCATCCATAAAGCCAGAAGACAATGAGGGTTCCCAATCCAAATCCACAGACATTGTATCTCAGTAGATTCTGAGAGAGGTCCGTAATGTGCATTTTAAACATTCTTGCACAACCAAAACCAGCAGAATCTATTGCAGTACATCTGTCGACCGCACTGTTAGAAACACTACACCAACTCAGAGGTCCCTCTGTGGGCAGCTAACAAAACAATGAATGTGGATACATACAATCTTACTTAATTATTTATTGTTACCAGTATTATTATTATCCACCAGTATTATTATTATCCCCCAGTATTATTATTATCACTTATTGGACTGAGATTCTAGTTACGTACTAGTCCCAAAAGTAATAATATGTTTATGAAGGAAATTTTCTTATTTTGATTCAAAGAAAAATCTAAGCAAGATATTGACTATACCAGGTAACTAATAACTTCCAGTGGTTTAGAAGACCGTTTCTTTAAGTGATTTCCAAAATTGTGTTTGTCAGGGAAACTTGCTATTTCATCAGAGATGGTGCATAAGGCTTTACAATCCCAGGTATTATTCCAGGTTTCTCAAATAAACAATCATTAGAAAAAAAGCAACATTTTGCCTCTCCCCAGGTTTTTCAGCTGTGGGTACACAAACCTGGCCCTTCCCTGTTCATTCTTAACCAGACATTTAGTCTGAAGAGGTTGGAAGGATATGGGTGCAAACAGAGATCCACAAGCTCTGAAGCTGCCCATACCTCTCAAGATGGGAATCTTTATTTGACAGGTTAGCACTGGAAATGTCTGGCTGCTTTCATTAACTGTGGCACCATGCTTAGGATGAACCAGGTAGGGAAGGACATTCATCTTATTTTAAGACTAGCCTTCCATATTCAGAGGAAATTAGCTTACCACAGATGAAAGGCCTTGACATCATTAGTCAGTTCAGGTACCACCTGTTACTTTCTTAAGTGAAACTGGCAGATTTTAGAGGTGTTCTTTAATTTTATCAGTTCTGATAAGCTGTTGTTCGAAGAGAAAAAAAAAAAAAAAAGGCCCTGAGGCCCTGTGTTGGAAGAGCTCAGCCAGGCTGCATCTCTGGAAAGACAGACTTTCTGAGCCGTACGATCCGATTTGCCCTTGCTCATCCAGGCTCCTGTCTAACACAGTCACAATCCCCTGTGCTCACCCTAACTCACTGAAGGGGAAGCTTCTCCTGGGGAAATCTTGTCTGGACTTTGATGACTGCATTTAATTCCAGAAACAAGGAAGAAACTAACATAGGAGAAAGGAGCATGAGGTGCAGCTGAAAGATTAGTGTTACCTGGGTATCCTAGACATAGTTTTTTTTTGGTAACAATTTCAGTTTGTAATTATTACTAATGATAGTAGTAAAGGTCTTATAGTAACCATGGTTTGGGGTGTATACCATGTGCCAAGTACAGTGTTATGTGCTATGTCTTTTTTAATTCTCATCACAGCGTTGTAAGGTGGATATAACTATTCTACCACCAACCTTTTATAGGTGAAGAAACTGAGGTTTATAGTGGTAAAATTATTTGTTCAAAGCCATATGGCAATAGTGCTAGGAATCAAGTTTGTCTGAATCCAATGCCCGTGTTGTTACTCAGTGAGAGTTTGCATTATTACATCAGTCTACCACTGCGAGTTTAATGGAGTGCAGGGAACTTGTGCTATAATATCTGAGCTTTCTGTTGAGTGACCATTTCAACACATGCATGAGAGTGCCATGAGCTCATTGGTCCAAAAATGTCCCCATACATTTGACATGGATTCTTTTGAGTTAGTGTTGACAGGTAGAGTTGGTATTATCCCATTTATTCTACAAACAAAGAAACTGAGGTTAAAATGAAAAGAAGGTGAAGTAAAAAATTAATTAGCAAAGCCAGGTTCGACACCAGCACCTTTTGTTCCAAATGTTTTTTTCACTGTAGGAGGCACCTTGAAGGTGATATGTTGGAGAAAGCTGAGAGTGTTGATCTCTTTCTGCCAGAGCCATCTCCTTTTTATACTCAGATTAAAGAAGGACATATTAGGAATTTTTAGGAACACACACATCTGTGCATGTATGCACACAGTTCTGTGAGCATGCATACACGCACAGATGTGTGTGTTCCCCAGGTGGGAGATACAGATGAGCCTCATGCTCCCTCCTCTAACCCAGGTCATGCTACATAGGTCTAGCGACAGAGAGGCTTCAGGCATTTAGAATGTGACTCAGCCATCTTTATTTTCTTTGTGTCATCTACCTTGGCATCAATGTGACAAAGTGACCTGACATGCAGGGAGAGACATACAAATGAATAAGGGACTTCATTTGATTCAATCAGGCAAGATTATAAAAATTTGTTTTTGAGGGTTTTTTTCCATTAAAAAACCTTTAAGAGGCAGGCTTGGTAATTGGCAAGTAAAAGATGCCACATTTTCTCACCCCTAGCTTTGGCTAGGGTGGTGGGGGCAGAGGAGTGGAATATATGTAGAGATATCAGCCAAATCAATTACATGTTTCATTCTTATCAATTTTCCTCAAGCAAATTGATTGCCAGACAAGACCAGTGAGCCATATAATTGCATTTGCCTCTTCTAACAGGGCCAATTTCTTAGGAATTTGTGTTACGCATATGATGTTGCCCATTATTGTCAGTTTAAATTTAGGGGCCTAGAGTTCAGAAGAAAAACACTAAACTTCTTCTTGAAAGCCAATCTGGAGCTGAGTGGAAGAAAATAAAAAATTACAGCTTGCGTTTCATGTGCCTGAGAACTAAACTACAATGGAAGTCTGGGCAGAGAACAGTATCCAAGAACCGCCTTTGTGCTTCCAACTAGGCTCAAGTCTGAAACTCAATAGATGGATACCCTGGGGTAGCCTAGGTGGGGAGACCAAGCTTAAATGTGTGTCACAGCTAGAAAAATGGAAACACACTATGCACAGAGAGTGCTAGGCTCTTTCCTGCTGACAAGTACACTGCAAGGTAGAAATTTATAGGCTCATATATTCAGACATAAAAGGTTTGCATTCTATCTTGGCCACTTAATGGTTGTGCTAGCTTTGGCAAGTTACTTAATTTTCTTAAACTTTATTTCATCATCTGTAAAATAGGGAGAATGCCTCATGGGTATTAAATGAGTTAATGCAAAAAGAGAGCTTAGCATAATGTCTGACATGTAATAAGTCCTCAGTAAATGTTAGCCATTACTAAAAGTCAAAAATAGGAATAAAAATGTCAAGACTAGGTATGATCAGGTAGGACTTAAGGATGCTTACAAAATTAACATCTTAAGGGACTTCCTGGTCAAGAAGAGCATCTGAGCTTGACTGCAACCCAAACAGGGCCAGTGCAGGGAGGAGGGATGTCCAAGGAGGCTTCAACCAAAGGAAATAGATGAGGGAAGAGGTCTCAATCAGAGAGTGGAAATAGGGCCTAAGTAGTTTCAGAGCTGCCCATAAGTGTGGGGGCCCCTTCAGTCTAGGTCCCCCGACCACACACAACAGTGGTCCTAAAATTCTTAAATGAGCAGCAGTCAAGGGACACCAAAGGATGCAAAACCATAGCAGCCACTCTGGTCTCTTCCTCCTTGCTGAAAGATTTTTTTTTCTCTCTTATCAAACTTAATACCATAATGGGAACGTGGTTAGACCAACCCTAGATGCTTTTTGGGTCTATTGAGACCCACTCATCTCCACTAGGGAACTCCCCACCAGCAATCCAGTGTGTAGTTTAATATGTGATTCATTTATCCCACCCACCCCCTCAGACTAGTGTCAGCTTATTGGATGATAAGGAGACACCTAAATAAGAGTGGTCCATCCATTGACTGGGTGCTGCTTGGCAAAAAAAAAAAAAAGGAATAAAGTTAATGAGATTCTTTGCATTGGGAATTTCAACCAAGAAACACAAAAGGAAATTTCAGATAGTACAGTTAAACTTCTGAAAGTGCCCTACTGCCTCATATGCACAACATTCCTAGTAAGGGCAGAGTTCCAGAAGAAGCAGCTCAGAGTAAATCAGAGCAGAGCGCCAGACAGACTCCAAGAAGCCAAAAAAAGGAAGGTGGCAAAAACATCACATCACAGAGCAATTTTGCAGAAGATTGGCTTCTTGAATCTTCCCAGGGCCTAAAGTTCAGCTGTTTCTTGAAACTTTGCTTTAGTCTTAGCCAACACCTACCTCGAATGACTTTATTTCAGCTTGGGTTTGTTTCTTTTTGTTTCTTTGGAGCCTTCGCCTTCTCCTCCTCCTCTTCCTCCTCCTTCTCCTCCTCCCCCGCCCCACCCTTCCTCCCAATCATATTTCTAATAAGAACAGAAGCCCTGTGTCAACTCTAAAAGCAAAGGCACAGAAGAGTCAACTGAATACCAAGTTTCTTTTCCTAAAGGATCTGTGCACACTGGCTGATGCTTTGGAAATAACCTCAAAAAATTATATGCAAAGTATCGATGACTAGAGGGGATAGTCATGGGAAAGCCCATCTTGAATCCAGTCCCACTAAGTGAAGACGTCACACTTTCCCTAGGAAGTCACCATTCTGTTGCAGTAAAGAGGTCCCATGACTCAAGAATAAACATAAGTTCTGCAAGAACAGAGATGGTAGTTTGGAACCTCACTAGGTAGGCCGGGCGTGGTGGCTCATGCCTGTAATCCCAGTACTTTCAGAGGCCACGGCAGGCAGATCACGAGGTCAGGAGATCAAGACCATCCTGGCTAACAGGGTGAAACCCCGTCTCTACTAAAAATACAAAAAAAAAAAATTAGCCAGGCGTGGTGGCGGGCACCTGTAGTCCCAGCTACTCAGGAGGCTGAGGCAGGAGAATGGCATGAACCTGGGAGGTGGAGCTTGCAGTGAGCTGAGATCGCGCCACTGCACCACTCCAGCCTGGGTGACAGAGCGAGACTCCGTCTCAAAAAAAAACAACAACAACAACAAAAAAACACACACACACACACACAAAAAAAAACCTGACTATGTAACATTGGACCAATTATTGTTTTGTTCCAGTAATGAAACTCTTTATATTATATCCTTATTTATTTGTTTATTTTTATCATTGTGGTCTCATGGGTTTTTATTTTGTTCAACGGATAATAATCCATTTTATTGTTAATTTGGCCAGTGGACCCATCTAGCTAGATTCAGTGTCCTTTGGGAATTTCTCCATCATTCCTTGAGCACTTTTTTACTTTCTGGCAAAATAATATGTTTCAGGCTTGTCTTGTACCTTCTTTGCCCCAGCCCCAAAATAGACATTTACCCAAAGGAAACCTGGTTTCTAGAGTGGAAAATAATATTTAGAGACAATCATCTGGATGCTATATATATTTATTGCTAGTAGCATGTCATTGCTGTTAGCCTACATTTGTTTCTATATCTACTTATTAAAAACCATGAGTTCATATTAATATACCTAATTCCAATTCAACACTATTGGATACATTCCAGTCTTCCTCCCTTCCATACCCACTCCACTTCTCTGTACCATGAAAACTTGAGCCAGTGATTTTACTCCTCCGAGTCAATTTCTCCCTCTGTAAAGTGAGGAATAGTAATATCTCTGTTGCTCATCTTTTGTGCAGGTTAAACATAATGGTGTTTATAAACTTCCTTGATGGGCTTGCATTGGAACAGCCCTGCTGTGAGCCCATGTAAGTCCTCGTGAATTAGACAACACAGACTTGCTCCAAGCAGACAGCCTGGCAAGTACAGTGTGGCTGGCTTTTTGCCCCAGTTTGCAAGCTGAATAATAGTAACCCACAGAGGCCCCGCATCGTAGGCAGTCAGTAAGTGGTTATTGTTACAAGAGATATATATGCATATTTTTCTTCCAAATGTGTCATTAAGCAGGAGAACAGGTGGGGCCGAATAAAAGTGCCATCAAGATTTCAGTCGGAAAGGAAACAGGATGAAGCCCAGGGTACTGTCAACAGCACCAAGGACATCTCCTTGGTCATGATGGAAAGTGGTCCTCACTCTCATTGTACAGATCATTTTTTAAACTGATGCTAATTGTATCACATCTTAAACTCTAAATCAGAAGCAGGCTGACTTGAAAATAAAGCCCATTCCATCATCCAAATGCTTAGTTACCAGCTGAGAATCAATCACTGTACAATGCAGAGTTGCATAATGCAAAAGAACTCTAAAGGAGGAGAGTTCTCTAGTATCTTATGTGTGGAAGGTAGAGTTTGCTGTGGGTTTTGACCTTGTGAAGGCCCCACTGCCAAAATGTTCCACACACGTCCTTTGGAGACAGGGAAATGAGTTCATTTTCAGGCCTCTCCAGTGACCTTTCCATAGGGCTTGATGGACTTTCAGTCTGTCAGGAAGAAGCCTTAGAAATGTATCTCAGTGCTACACATTGCATTGAGAGCACTAAAGTGACACAGACCTCCAAAGTTGCATTTTTCTGTGGAAGAAGGCAAGGCTGTTATAATCACAGCTGCATTAGGATGGGGTGGAGGCATTGTGGGCAGTCCCCTCTCCTCTTGAAGGAGTCCATTCCATACAGCATCAGAGTGACACAAATTTCTAGGTCATTTTGGCAACTGCTCAGCCACAATATGTTTCTTTTTAACCTTTCAGTGGGCGATAGACATGAAAGGATTCAGAAGGATGTGGTCTCTCACCTTCGGAGCCAGGTGACAGTGACACCTAAAGAGCCCCTTGAAGGAATGCTGAGAAGTAAAAAATGTCATCCAGGAGGAAAGCAGAGCTAACATTGTTTCCAGAAGTGGCAGTTCCCACCTGTGTACATTTTCAAGAGTTTCAAAAATCTTGTGGCTCTTGGAGGCATTGATCTAACACCTTATGTTGTGGATGAAGTCCAGACAAAAGCAAAGCCCAGTGAGTTATCTAAAGATTATTTCCAGTCATATGTTCCCTGCAAACAAAAACAAAAGCAAAAAAAAAAAAATCCTTAGGCACAAACCCCCATCCAGAAAAAGAGGAAAGAGCTAAGCCTGAAAGAGTGTGCATCTAGATGTTCAGTATTCAGATCCTTCCTCCTTTCTGGTGTAGGACCCAGTGACCTACTGAGCATGGAAGAAGGGTTAATTCTGTCTAAAGGAGAGCTGGGTCTTAGGATTCCCTGGATCACTGGAAGAAATCTGCTCCCTCATCAGTAGTCCGGGGTCAAGAATCCACCTCACTCTCTGTCCACCTCAAGCAACTAGGAAAATTCCCACCCCAAGTTGGAGAGAGATATTAGCACCCTGAAAACGAGAGAGGAATCCTCAGTCTCTTTAGGACCAGCTCTGTGAGTTGGTGCCTCTGGCTGACCATGCTGGAGAAGTTGCTCCCAACCACAACTGTTGTCCCCTCCCAGGCCCACCACAAGGCAAGGCTGGCATTCAAAAAGTGAAAGCATCATTTGAACCCACTGCCCCATTGACCAGCTGTATCTCATGAGGCAAATCACTTTCCATTTCTTCATTAGTAAAATGAGAATTAGTATCTATTTCACTTGCCTAAGGTGAGGATTAAGTGTGACTATGCAGAAGTGCATGTAACAGATGTTAGCTCTTACTACTTTTACTTGAAATTCAACCACTTGAGGTACATCCTTCCAAGTTAATATTGTCTCTTCCTCACACACAGTTAAGATTTAACTTTCTCCTGACATATTTAAGGAACCAATCCCTCAGTGTAAATCAATATCTCCTCTGCTCACTGAGATAAATGCATATCTGATTGCCTCCTTTGGAGAGGCTAATCAGAAACTCAGAATAACATAACCATTTGTTTCTTATCTACCTATGACCTGGAAGCCCCTCTCTGCTTCGAGTTGTCCCACCTTTTGCTTCAAGTTGTTCACTTTTCTGGACTGAACCAACGTACATTTTACACATATTGATTGATTGTCTCATGCCTCCCTAAAATGTATAAAACCAAGCTGTGCTTCTACCACCTTGGGCACGTGTGAGGACCTCCTGAGGCTGTATCACAGGTGCACGTCGCCAACCTTGGCAAAATAAATTTCTAAATTAACTGAGACCTGTCTCAGATTTTGGGGGTTCACACATAAGAAAAATAATAAGCTGCTGACAGATGTTACTTCATTAACACAAAAGAGTGGTAAAGAGCAATACTTCCAAAGCCCACTGTAATTCAAGGAACTGACTGCAAAATGAAGAAAACTCAAAATTTTAAACCAAACAGGAAAATGAAAATTGGAGGTGAGATCATCATCTAGAAGGAAAAACAATGACACATGTAAACGAAAAATAAAATTCTAAGGCCCCCCAAACCATCTGAATGGACTTCCTCCTCAGCCGGGATACTCTTAAAATTTAACCTGAGAGACTGGTTCAGGCCATCATGGGAAGTCAGGGGGTCAGACATGCCTCACTATACCTCTCTGCCATTAAGGTCAACACAGACTTTAGGTCTGATGAGAAATATTTTATAACCTATCCTCTCTGAAGCCTGCTACCTGAAGGCTTCTTCTGCAAATAAGAACTTTAGCCTCCACCATCCTTCTTTTTCTTTCTTTTTTTTTTTTTTTGAAACAAAGTCTCACTTTGTCACCCAGGCTGGAGTGCAATGGCATGATCTCGGCTCACTGCAACCTCCACCTCCCAGGTTCAAGCAATTCTTTGCCTCAGCCTTCCAAGTAGCTGGGATTACAGGCACCCACCACCATGCCCGGCTAATTTTTTGTATTTTTAGTAGAGACAGGGTTTCACCATCTTGGCCAGGCTGGTCTTGAACTCCTAACCTCACGATCCACCCACCTCGGCCTCCCAAAGTGCTGGGATTACAGGTGTGAGCCACCACACCTGGTCCACAATCCTTTTTCTTAATCCAGACATTCCTTTCTATTGATCCCAGGTATTTAGATAAACTCAATCAACTGTCAACCAGAAAATTTTTACATCTACCTATAAGCTGGAATCTACCTGCTGCTTCAAGTTGTCCCAACTTTCTGGACCAAACCAATGTATTTCTTAAATATATTTGATTGAAGTCTCATGTTTCCCTAAAATGTATAAAACCAAACTGCCACCCCACCCACCTTGGGCACATGTTCTCAGGACCTCCTGAGGGCTGTGTCACGGGCCATGGCCATTTGGCTCAGAATAAATCTCTTCAAATATTTTACAGAGTGTGACTCTTTTCATCGACAGAAAAAGCTGAGCTAAGACAAAAAAAGGTCCAGCGCTGAGGACATTTTCTGACTTAATCTCAGTGCATCTAGGTCATTTGAGGGCAGAGAAGGTCCCTAAAAAAACCCGTAAATTAAACTAAACTACAGGTAACTGTTTTCTAAAACTAGCAAAAAATTCTTTTAAGTTATGAGATTCAATAGATTTAAGGTGCAGTTTAGCTACAAGTAACGGTAGATAACTGAGTTGGAATATTAGATAGAGTGCTGGCTGGAGAAGTCATTTAATACTCTACATCTCAGCTCTGTCTTTGTAAAACGGAGATAATAATCGAATCTATTTTATAGCACTACTGTGATGGGTAAATGGTGATAATGAATTTACAGTATTTAGCTGAGTGTTTAACATTTAAAACTCAATACTTGCCCAATTGTTGTTGTTGTTGTCATCCTTTAACTTGTTAAGCAGGAAATAGAGGTCTTAGAAATGATATTGCAATGGAAAACGTGGGAGACAACTTCCGTGACAAATCAGTATCTACCCTGTATTATGTCAAACAGACTCTGCTTCGATGGTTAATTAGGGAAGAGGGAGAATGAAAAGAAGTTGGTTAATGGGTACAAAAATACAGCTACATAGAGGGAATACGTTCTAGTAGTCGATAGCATAGTAGGGAAAATATAGTTAACAATAATTTATTGTTATTTCAAAATAGCTAGAAGAGAAGAATTATAATATTCCCAACACAAAGAATAGATTAATGTTTGAGGTGATGGTTATTCCAATTACCCTGATTTCATCATTACACATTGCATATAGGTATGAAAATATCAAATGTGCCCCCAATATCTATACAACTATGATGCATTAATAAATAAAGTATATATTTAAACTCTGGTAAAAATGAAAATCTAGTAACTCAAAAAAGCCTAAGCCAAATTTAATGCATTAAGAGGCTATGAAAATAGAGCAAAAAAAAAAAGAATTTAAAAATTTATAACTAAAAACAAAGATCACCACCACCCCAACTCCCCTACTCCCCTACCACTCAATGTGGAAATGTCCCACATAGAAGACCCCTTAATAAGCTATAAAACACATCGTTTAATTCTCTACCAAGAGGAGACAACTAAATTTAAGATCCCTGAACCTAAAACCCCTACAGAGGCCTTTAGGAGTGGGGACAGTTGGGTCAGGATCCCCGGCAGGAAAGCAAGTATTCTATGACCACACGGGACAGGCAGCTGCAGGCTTCTATGGACATCATTCGTCCTTAGTAATATAATATTTTAATGTTGCAAATATATACAAGCATGACAAATGGGGGAGCACAAAATGACCATTAAGAGTATAATATGTGTGTGAATAACCCATCAGAATAGTCTCTGCAAATAAAGGACCATATAAATGCTAATATTCCCACCTCTTACTGGTAATAATAACATGTCATCTGGCTGAAACAGTTCCTTAAGTACTTCATGTTCTCTGCTGGAATCAAGTCATTAATCCCATTTATATAGTTAATGGGGAAACCATGAGTCCAAATTAAGGTCCTAAAGAAAAGTACTGGAATTAATGACAAAGGGGAATCGTTTTTTTCTCTACAACTTTATGTTGCTTTGCTAAATAGAACTTTTTGACCCTGAACTTTACCTTGAATACTGAATAGTTCACACAGGAAAGAAATGCTTAAAACACCTACATCAATAGTTTTGGAGTTGGTCAACCCACACATGGCACAGTCACTCTAGTCCCCTAGTGACCACAGTCACTGGACTCTTTCCTCAAGCATCCATATTCCGATTAGCCCCATGAAGGTTGAGTCAGCTTTTTCAGCCTGCCAGTGAGCTAGGACAGCCACCTGCCATGCCACATCATCCTCCCCTGAAGCTCTAGGTGGTGATGCACTGTCAGTCTGTGGCCTCTTCCACATGAGACACAGTAGCACATAGTAGTGATATGTTTTCCTGAGCTCCAGAGTCAGACAGATATCCCTGCTCTAACAGCATCTGAAGCTCCTGGGTCAGTTACCATCTCTCAGGCTTGTTTCCCTTGTTTTTAAAGTGGATGCAGAAGTACAAGGTATTCTTGGGATTATTTGCATAATTATTTATTACTATTAATAAACAAGTGACCAGAAGGAAAGAAGGAAGATGAGGGAAGGAGGATGCAGAAAGGAAGGAAAGAAGGAAGGAAGGAAGGAAGGAAGGGAGGAAGGAAGGGAGGGAGGGAGGGAGGGAGGGAGGGAGGGAGGGAGGGGAGAGGGAGGGAGGGAGGGAGGGAGGGAGGGAGGGAGGAAGGAGAGGACTCCCTGAAGAGTCACTGCTTTATTCAAAACACCAATGACAGGATAGGCTGCAGGAACTCTTACCAGAGCCCAAAGTCTCTCATACTAGACAGTCTGTCCTTGTTCTCTGTCACTGAGTGGTTCAGGAGCAAAGCCTGTCAACCTGAAAGAAGCAGCAGCCTCCTTCTTGGAACCAGACCCATGGTTCTTTGAGCATCAGGGAGAGCATTAGGTTTTTCATGGGGTAGTGGGGTATATACTGTGAACACATTTAAAGATTACAAGGAAAGTGAGATGCTAAGTCTGTCTGTGGCCGTGCTTCCAACAGAGAACACGTCTGCCCAACCACTTCATTCCTGCTCTACAATTACAAGCCTATTTAGATTGGGAGATTACAGCAAAGGAGCCTAATGCAGCTGAAATGACCATTGTTCGCCATTCCTCCCACAGGCATCCTCTGGGGGAAGCACTTGGGCACCAGCCTGGGTCCTGTGGGATTTTTTTTTTCTCAGCATAAAGAGGCAGCCACATTTAAAGGCAGCTTCTCTCCCTATTTTGTGCCCAGCATGTGGGGGAAGGGGAGCACAAAACATTATCCCCAGAGATCCTCAGGCCCCAGGCTCACTGCCCATGAACATAAAATAGGTGGCCTGGGTCCCTGCTCTGGGGCCCTGTGCTGAAGTGAAAGTAGAGCAGCCAGGCAAGTTATTGTCCAGGACTGGTAGAGGGAGTGAGACAGGCATGAGCAGGGCAGGAGAGGGCTCTCCCCAGCCTGCAAGGAATGTCAGGCGTTGGTTTGGCAATCATCACATTGCCTCTCTAAAAGTGATAAATTGGCAGCCAGCACCAGGGAGTAACCATTTCCTGATGGTCCATACCTGCTGCACTAAAGTGTTCATTGAATGCAGATGCCAGGGAGAAGCAACTTACCAGGCCTGTGCACTAAGAGACAAAATGGCAGAGTATGACATTCCAGGGGCACTCCACTGGAAAAGGGCAGAAAGCCTCAGAGGAATATGCATACAAATTTCTAAACACGCTGCATATGCTCACTTCCCAAGGGTACGGGCAGCCCACCGTAAGAGAAGAATCATGGGAAAAGGGTGCAAGTTGCTGGAGGTGGGCCAGCCTATAAAGTCCCAGGATCAAGGTTAAACACCACACTTGTTCTTCAAGTCGCCCAAGTGGACCTCTTCCAAGTGTACTTTCCTTTCTTTCCGGCTCTAAAGCTTTTTTATTATTTTTTTTTTCTTTTGAGACGGAGTCTTGCTCTGTTGCCCAGGCTGGACTGCAGTGGTGCCATCTCGGCTCACTTCAAGCTCCGCCTCCAGGGTTCACGCCATTCTCCTGCCTCAGCCTCCCGAGTAGCTGGGACTACAGGCGCCCGCCACCATGCCTGGCTAATTTTTTATATTTTTAGTAGAGAGGGGGTTTCACCATGTTAGCCAGGATGGTCTCAATCTCCTGACCTCGTGATCCACCCACCTCAGCCTCCCAAAGTGCTGGGATTACAGGCGTGAGCCACCGCACCTGGCCTCTAAAGCTTTTTAATAAATGTCCACTCCTGCTCTGATACTTGCTTCCATCATTTTTTCTGCCTTATGCCCCTCAGTCAAATTCTTTCTTCTGAGGAAGGCAAGAATTGAGGTTGCTGTAGACCCACACAGATTTGCCACCAGTAGCAGATACCTCCCACTGGTAACAGGACAACACATGTAGAGAGTGAAAGAAAGCACTGGTGATAATATACTGAGAAAACAGGCATAGAATGTGACTACCCACAGCCGGTCATCCTAAGCAGAAGACAGGCTGCTGAAGCAGGGAGTGATTTTAGAGGGGCTGCATACTGGGGAACCATCACAAGGAGCAGGAAGTGGCCTCTGTGCTGGTTACCTTCTCCATTTAAACTATCTTCACTGTTTTTCAAAAGAAGGAAGAAAAGTAGGCAGGATGGAAGGAAGGAGGGATGAAGGAAGAGAGAGTAGGAAGGTGGTAAGAAAAGGAAAGAAGGAAAGAAATGATTTTTAAACAAAATATATCAAAACTATTAAAAGTAAAAAATACAGAAAAGTACAAAAATTTACTGAAATATTACCAGTGTGGGGCAGAAGAGATAGTGTCATCTTGTGTTGAAAATCATTTTTTTCCACATTTCCATACTTGAAGAATAAATAGATAAATGGAAGGAGGGTAGAAAGACAAAATAATTTTATGAAAAAAAAATCTTACATTATGTACTTTTAATAAAAGGAGTTGAATTAAATTTTACATAGTACCCACAAAAAGGAAACTGAAATGAAACTAAGGGAAATGTTACACTTCACATAAACGCTTCTTCATTACCAAAAAATATGAGTTCCTATTTCCAAACTCCCCAGTTCTCTACAATACTGCATACCCTAATCCCCCGTCTGACCTGACTCCAGTCACCTGTTGGCCTAACTTGGATTAAAGCAAAGTCCATTTTCAGATCAAGAGAGCAGGCAGCTTTGGCAATGAGTCTGGGGAGTATAAAGACAGTCCTTCTGCCCCTAAGAACTCTTTCATGATCCTGCTATGGGCTTTTCCATTTCCACCTTCAGTCACTTGCCTGGCGGAAGGTTCCTGTTGTGTTACTTGGGGAGGTGTCAGGGCTGCAGGTGTAGCTGTGCATCCTCCTTTAATGAGGGGAGTACAGTCAGGAAACGCAGGACTCAGAGCACAAGGGCAGAAGAAGCCACACCCAGGCCCCACTCCTGCCATTTCTTTTCTGCAACGGCATCTCGCACTAGCCTTTCTTATCCTTGAACTACTATTTTTCATTTCTGCTTCAAAACATGGAACAATGGTATCTGAGTTTCCTCCAGCCCTATTTTTGAGTGATGGTAAGCAAACATTTTAACTGTAAAATGCTTCTAATAACCTGGCCAGACTCAAAGCATCTCAAAAAAGCAAACACCCACAAAAATATTGCAATCTATGCTCATCTTAAAAGCAGAGCCAAACAGCTTATATTTTACAGATTCAAGAGAGAGTTTAATCTTAAATATGACCATACAATTCCATTTTCATTTTAAGGACAGTTATGCTAATAAGAGCCTTTCTGAAACACAATCTGATGAATATCTACCCTTCTTCCTTGATTCTGGAAAGCCCACTCCCTCAAGAAAGGGTTCCACAGCCCAAGTCAACCTGGTGGACTTCAGCATCATCATACTCTTCCTCGCCCAGTGAGAAGTTCCCTTTGAAGCAGCACCAGCACCCTCTTGCATTCCATTACCAAGACCTAGAAGATCCCTTGATTGTCAAGAGATCTTGCTTCCTCCCTTGAGGAGGAAGCAGGTCTTTGAGGTCCAGGCTGGACATGGCCCTGGGTAAGCACCATCCCCAGGAGACGGTGCAAATCTCCTTCCAGCTCCTGGACTTCTGACAACTGGGGCTGGGGCCACTAGGGGCAGCAGGAGAGAAGGTCATCACTGAAGGCTGTGGCTGAACATAATGTCACTGTTGCTTTGGGCACTCAGAAAGGTATCAGAAAACCTCTGACCAACATTACGGATGGACTTAAAATTAAAAAAGAATTGCCGCTAATAATAAAGGTTAAGTAGCAGGGTGCTACTATGCAGCTGTTGTCATCTCTAATGAGACAGTTCATCCTAGCAGTTGCAGAGAAGTCTGCTGTCAGCTTAGACCTGAGGAAGGGAAGAGCAGTGCCCAAAAGGAGAGACAGGAAAGGGAATCAGCATTCCCCATGCACCCACCCTGATCAACAAGGCCAGATACTACTTCACAGATGATATTTTTAGTATTAAAATTGCCCCATAAGTTATGTATTATTATCCTCATTTCACAGATGAGGAAACCAAAGCTCAGAAAGGTTAAGTCACTTGTCCAAGGTCACAATGCCAGATGCAGAATGCAAAGCCATGTCTCCCAGAGTTCTTTCCACTGCACAGGGTGCCTCAAGAGATGCACATATCAGCCTCAGCTCTCTCTCTTACTGGCTGCAAGTATGGCCTTGTGCCTAGCAAGGGGTGGAAATAAGTCAAGGCCAGCCTGTACAGGGTACAGAGTAATTGACTACATTCAAGGAGAGAAATTCAGGTGCCCTGGGGCCTCAGAGAAGCCTGTCTCAAACCTGGAATGATTTAGTTTTGGCTGGAGACAGTCAGAGAACAGGGTGGTCACCTGCAGAGGAACATCTCTGGAGAGCATCTGACTGTAAGGCCTTTTTCCAAGGAGCCTTAGATATAACAGTCTCCTTCAGCTGGCCTGTTTTAGATGCCCCAACAGCAGGAGAAGGTTCCAGGTGACTTCCAAAGGTCTCTATCCATCATAGACAAATCTGATCAAGCATGAAGGCAGGCAGTGCCTCAAGTCAAATCAGAAATATCTCTGGAATAAGAACTGAGGTTGATAGCTCTGACTGTAAGCCACTTAGGCAAGTCACCTAACATCTCTGTGCCTCAGTATCCTCAGCTGAAATGGGTTCTCCTCATTCATATCTCATGAGGATCCAGTGATAAAAATAGGATGGTGATTTAGGCCGTTCTTGCATTGCTATAAAGAAATACTTGAGATTTAGTCATTTATAAGAAAAGAGGTTTAATTGGCTCATGGTTCTGCAGGCTGTACAGGAAGCATAGCACTGGCATCTGCTTCTGTGGAGGCCTCAGGAAGCTTCCAGTCATGGTGGAAGGTGAAGGAGGGGTAAACATCTCATGTGACAGAAGCAGTAGCAGGAAAGAGGAGGTGCCACACACTTTTAAACGACCAGATTTCATGTGAACTCAGAGCGAAAGCTCACTTATCACCAAGGGGATGGCCCAAGCCATTCATAAGGGATCTGTCTCCATAATCAAAACACCTCCCACCAGGCCCCACTTCCAACATTGGGGATTACATTTCAACATGAGATTTGAATGGGGACAAATATCTAAACTGTATCCGATGGAAATATGCTTTACAAAAAAAAATTTTTTAATCTCTACATGCACGAGATATACAACTGCAAGGAGAAAATGTACAAGTCGTAAGACTAAAACTAAAGGTAAAATATAATCAAAGAAAATATTTAAAAAACAAAATCACTAAAGGTCTATTCAACTTGATGATTTATATACCACGATATATTCTTCCTGTATATTTTTAAAATGCAAACATTTATGAAAAAGTCAGAGGTCTTATTGGTGAGTTTGTAAGTTAACATCTTATTTAGTGAGTATCTATACAAATATCAGGACTCACCCCAGACAAGCAGAATCAAAATCTCTGTGGGTGAAGCCCAGGAATCTGCACCTTCATACATTCTCCTAATGGAGCTTATCCAGATAGTGAACAGAACCAACTCTGAGAAACCCTGCAGCAGGATCTTCTAATCACATTGTTATCCCAAGAGAAAGCATGGCACCTCAATGAATGAATGAGCTGAAGAAGAATGGATCAGACAGCTGTTAGGCAAGTAGAGCTGTTTAACTGAAGCTGCAGGAAAGCTTGTCATTGCAGGGTAAGGACGCTGGTGCTGGTACTGGGATACACACAATTTACACAAACTTGAGGAGAGGGGTGGGGGACGGGAAACTAATCCAGCACTTACATGAGTTCACTCCTTCAGCTCTCAGTAAGCCAAAACTATTTCACCTGAGGATGAAAGGGCCCACACAAAAGACATGTACACATGTCTTTTTCTCACCTCCTCTTTTCTTTATCCCCTTCTCTATGCCCACATCGACCTCTAATTAATAAAATGACAAAATGTTCCCTCCCATCTCCAGCTATAGCTAGGATTCCTAATACAGAAAGTAACCTGAATGCTTTTAATAATCAGGTTGGAAATGAATTTTTTAATTGCATAAATTGATTAAAATTGAAAGACATTGTTTAATCTTCTATCCCAAGAGAATTCATCAAGCTGCCTGCAACAAAGACCACTTTTAGATTGGGTGCAGTGGTTCATGCCTTTAATCCCAACCCTTTGGGAGGCTGAGGCGGAGAATCACTTGAGCCCAGGAGTTTGAGGCTGTAGTGCACTATGATTGCACCACTGCACAACCTGGACAACAGGGTGAAACCCTTTCAAGGGGTAAGCTGCTTGCTCGCTGTGGTCATTAAAAACCCTAGAAGCTGGTAGGATAATAGGTGTGCCTGCACTTCTCCAAGCATGAATTTTCAGTCCTTTACTTAAAACTTGCTCCATGCATTGTAGTCAAGCTGACTCTTTATACCTTTAAAATGTGCCCAAAAGGTGCACCCAACCAAGTCATTCACAGATAAAAAACGTGTAACCAGTAGTAAAATGATACAGCTGGTCCAGACAAGAACTCCACCATTTCAACTTCCATCATGTTTTGTGCCTGTGTGCCCATGGCTAGAGTTAGGGTTGCTTTTTAAGACCTCAGCAGCTATTCTCATCCCTCCTTTGGAACACAACTGTCCGTAAGATGCCACTGGGGGTGGAGCCAAAATGGCCCACTAGAAACAGCAGCAATTGGTGGCTCCCATTGAAAAAAATAAAAAAGCATAATAAGCATGTGAATCCTTCACCAGCAACCAAGGTATCCAGGTTCGCTCATCGAAATTGACTAGAAGGCTTGCGTGACCCACGGAGAGAAGGAAGAGCAGTGTGGTGTGGTGGCCCACCTGAGAGCCACACAAGGAAGGGGAACCCCCTCCCCCAAGCCAAGGGAGGCAGTGAGTGAGAGTGCTACCCAGCCCAGGAAACTGTGCTTTTCCCACAGAACTGTGCAACCCACAGATCCGAAGATCCCACTTGCTAAACCACACCACCGGGGCCGAGGATCCCAACCCCAGAACATGCAGATTCTTACAGCCTCTCAGCTGGAATCTGCTTAAGCCTACAAAACTCCCAGCAGGAGGGGCAACCAGCACCAAGGCTGCCTGCTGTCTAAGCCATTTGAGCTCTTTGGGGGAGGGGCAGCAGCCAGCACTGGGACTCACAACTGTCTAACACACTAAGCTCCCTGGGCAGGGGAAGGGGGGCACACATTTCTATAGCTCCAGGCTGTGCTATTCCCCTGCTGGAGCCAGGGAGGGTGGACAGCTTGGTCCCAAGACTTGTCCCCAGAGCCCACATACCTGCTGTGGCAGTGTGTGACCAGAATACCTCTTCAGGCCTAACCCTGACCCATCCTTCCTCAGTGGGCAGGGCTTCCCCGCAGGATCTCCAATAATTCCAGCCAGAAGCTCAGGGACAGAATTCAGATCTCCCTGAGCCTGAGCCCGTAGGGGAAGGGGTGGCTGCAGTCTCTGCAGACCAGCAGACTTAGCCTCTCCTCCTGGTAGTTCTGAGGAATCCAGGCAGCCCAGAGGAGTGGGTTTTTCCCCAGTGAAACACACTCTTTCCACCAAGGAACAAAGTGCTTTGTTAAATGGATCCTGCTCCCTGTGTCATCCAACTGGGTGAGACGCTCCAACAGGGGTTGTCAGACACCCTGTACAGGACCAATCCTACTAGCATCAGGTTGGTGCCTCTCAATGTCAGAGGCCCCAGAATAAGGAGCAGGCACCCATCTTTGCTGCTCTCCAGCCTCCCTGAGTGACATCTCAAGGCACAGGAGCAAATCAGATGAATAGGGCCTGAAGCAAACCCCCAGCAAACTGTAGCAGCCCTACAGAAGAGGGAGCCGACTATTGAAAGAAAAACCAACAAGCAGAAAGCGACAACAGCATCAACAACAATCACAACAAAAAAGGCCCCCACAAAAACCCCATCCAAGTGTCAGCAGCCTCAAAGACGGAAACTAGACAAACTCACGAAGATGAGAAAGAATCAAGTAAAAAATGCTGAAAACCCAAAAGGTCAAAGTGCCTCTTCTCCTCCAAAGGGTCACAACATCTCTCCATCAAGGGTGCAGAACTGCACAGAGGATCAGATGGACAAATTGACAGAAGTAGGCTTCAGAAGATAGGTAATAAAACACTAAGATGAGCCAAAGGAGCATGTTCTAACCCAAAGCAAAGAAGCTAAGAACCTGGATAAAAGATTAGAGGAATTGCTAACTAGAATAACTAGTTTAGAGAGGAACATAAATGACCTGATGGAGATAAAAAGCACAGCATGAGAACTTCATTTAGCATACACAAGTATCAACACTGAATCGACCAAGCAGAAGAAAGAATATCAGAGTTTGAAGACCACCTTACTGATATAAGACATGCAGACAAGAATAGAGAAGAAAGAATGAAAAGGAATGAATAAAACCTCCAAGAAATATGGGACTTCATAAAAAGACCAAACCTACAATTAATTGGAATACCAGAAGGAGATGGGGAGAATGGAAACAAGCTGGAAAACACATTTCAGAATATTATCCAGGAGAACTTCCCCAACATGAAAATTCAGGAAATACAGAGAACACCATTAAGATGCTCCATGAGAAAAACAACCCCAAGACACATAATCATCAGATTCTCCAAGGTCAAAATGAAGGAAAAACTGTTAAGGGCAGCCAGAGAGAAAGGCCAGGTCACCTACAAAGGGAAGCTCATCAGACTAACAGTGGACCCCTCAGCAGAAACTCTACAAGCCAGAAGAGATTGGGGGCCCATATTCAACATTCTTAAAGAAAAGAATTTTCAACTCAGAATTTCATATCCAACCAAACTATCCTTCATAAGTGAAGGAAAAATAAAATCCTTTCCAGACAAGCAAATGCTGAGGGATTTTGTTACCGCCAGACCTGCCCTGCAAGAACTCCTGGAAGAAGTCCTAAATAAGAAAAGGAAAAGCTGGTACCAGACACTGCAAAAACACACCAAAATATAAAGACCAATGACACCATGAAGAAACTGCATCAACTAATGTGCAAAATAACCATATAGCATCATAATGACAGGAAGAAATTCACATATAACAATACTAACCTTAAATGTAAATAGGCTAAATGCCCCAATTAAAAGACACAGATTGGCAAATTGGATAAGGAGTCAAGACCCATCAGGGTGCTGTATTCAGGAGACCCATCTTACAAGGAAAGGCACACACAAGTTCAAAATAAAGAGATGGAGGAAAATTTACCAAGCAAATGGAAAGCAAAAAAAGAAAAGCAGGGGTTGCAATCCTAGTCTCTGACAAAACAGTCTTTAAACCAACAATTATTGAAAAAAGGCAAAGAAGGGCATTAAATAATGGTAAAAGGAATAATTCAATAAGAAGAGCTAACTATTCTAATATATATGCAACCAATACAGGTGCACCCAGCTTCAAAAAACAAGTTCTTAGAGACCTACAAAGAGGCTTAAACTCCCACACAATAATAATGGGAGATTTTAACACCCCACTGTCAGTATTACACAGATCAATGATTCAGAAAATTAACAAGGATATTCAGGACTTGAACTCAGCTCTGCATCAAGTGGATCTAGTAGTGTCTACAGAACTCTGTACTGCAAAACAACAGAATATACATTCTTCTCAGTGCTGCATGTCACTTATTCTAACATTGACCACACTATAGGAGGTAAATCACTCCTGAGCAATGCAAAAGAACAGAAACCATAACGAACAGTCTCTCAGACCACAGTGCAATCAAATTAGAACTCAGGATTAAGAAACTCACTAAAAAACCAAAAAATTTCATGGAAATTGAACAACCTGCTCATCAATGACTCCTGGGTAAATAATAAAATTAAGGCAGAAATCAAGAAGTTCTTTGAAACCAATGAGAACAAAGCAACAATGTACCAGAATCTCTGGGACACAGCTAAAGCAGTGTAAAGAGGGAAATTTGTAGAACCAAATGCCCACATCAGAAAGCTGGAAAGATCTCAAAACAACAATCTAACATTACAATGAAAAGAGCAAGAGAAGCAAGAACAAGCTAATCCAAAAGCTAACAGAAGATAAGAAATAACTAAGATCAGAGAAGAATTGAAGACGATAGAGACATGAAAAACCCTCCAAAAAAAAACAAATCCAGGAGCTGGTTTTTTGAAAAAAAATAGCAAAATAGATAGACCACTAGCTAAACTAAAAAAGAAGAGAAGAATCAAATAGACACAATAAAAAATTATAAAAGGGATATCACCACTGATCCCACAGAAATACAAACTACCATCAGATAATACTATAAACACCTCTACACAAATAAACTAGAAAATCCAGAAGCAATGGATACATTACTGAACACATACATCCCACCAAGAGTAAACCAGGGAGAAGTTGAATCCCTAAATAGAAAAATAACAAGCTCTGGAAGTGAGGCAGTAATTAATAGGCTACCAACCAAAAAAAAAAAGCCCAGGACAGGATGGATTCACAGCTGAATTCTACCAGAAATACAAAGAGGAGCTGGTACCATTCCTTCTGAAACTATTCCAAACAATTGAAAAGGAGAGACTCCTCCCCAACTCATTTTATGAAGCCAGCAGCATCCTGATGCCAAAACCAGGAAGAGACACAACAAAAAAAAGACAACTCCAGGTCAATATCCCTGATGAACATACATGTGAAAATCCTCAATATAATACTGGCAAACTGAATCCAGGAGCACATCAAAAAGCTTATCCACCACGATCAAGTCAGTTTTATTCCTGGGATGCAAGGCTGGTTCAACATACGCAAATCAATAAACGTAATCCATCACATAAACAGAGCCAAAGAAAAAAAACCACATGATTACCTCAATAGATGCAGAAAAGGCCTTTGATAAAATTCAACATCCCTTCATGTTAAAAATTCTCAACAAACTAGGTATTGATGGAACATATCTCAAAATAGTAAGAGCTATTTTTGACAAACCCACTGCCAATATAATATTGAATGGGCAAAAGCTGGAAGCATTCCCTTTGAAAACCGGTACAAGACAACGATGCCCTCTCACACCACTCCTATTCAACATAGTATTGGAAATTCTGGCCAGGGCAATCAGGCAAGAGAAAAAAATAAAGGGTATTCAAATAGGAATACAAGAAGTCAAGTTGTCTCTGTTCGCAGATGACATTATTTTATATTTAGAAACCCCATTGTCTCAGTCCAAAAACTTCTTGAACTGATAAGCAACTTCAGCAAACTCTCAGGATACAAAATCAATTGCAAAAATCACAAGCATTCCTTTACACCAACAATAGACAAGCAGAGAGCCAATCATGAATGAATTCCCATTCGCAATTGCTACAAAGAGAATAAAGTACCTAGGAATACAGCTAACAAGAGATGTGAAGGACTTCTTCAAGGAGAACTACAAACCACTGCCCAAGGAAATAATAGAGGACACAAAAAAATGGAAAAACATCCCATCTTCATGGATAGGAAGAATCAATATCATGAAAATGGCCATACTGCCCAGAGTAATTTATAGATTCAATGCTATTCCCATTAAACTACCATTGACATTCTTCATACAGTTAGAAAAAACTACTTTACATTTCATATGAAATCAAAGAAGACCCCATATAGCCAAGACAATCCTAAGCAAAAAGAACAAAGCTGGAGGCATCACGCTACCTGACTTCAAACTATACTACAAGGCTACAGTAAGCAAAACAGCATAGTACTGGTGCCAAAACAGATATGTAGACCAATGGAGCAGAACAGAAACCTCAGAAATACCACCACACATCTACAACCATCTGATCTTTAACAAGCCTGACAAAAACAAGCAATGGGGAAAGGATCTCCTATTCATTAAATGGTGCTGGGAAAACTGGCTAGTCATACACAGAAAACTGAAACTGGACCCCTTCCTTACACCTTATACAAAAATTAACCCAAGATGGATGAAAGACTTAAATGTAAGACCTAAAACCATAAAAATCCTAGAAGAAAACCTAGGCAATACCATTTAGGACACAGGCATGGGCAAAGACTTCATGACAAAAACACCAAAAGCAATTACAACAAAAGCCAAAATTCACAAATTGGATCCAATTAAACTAAAGAGCTTCTGCACAGCAAAAGAAACTATCAACAGAGTGAACAGGCAACCTACAGAATGGGAGAAAATTTTTGCAATCTACTCATCTGACAAAGCTCCAATATCCAGAATTTACAAGGTACTTAAATGTATTTAAAAGAAAAATCAAACAACCCCATCAAAGAGTGGGCAAAGGATATGAACAGACACTTCTCAGAAGAAATTTACATGGCCAACAAACATATGAGAAAAAGCTCAACATCACTGATCATCAGAGAAATGCAAATCAAAACCACAATGAGATACCATCTCACACCAGTCAGAATAGTGATTATTAAAAAGTCAGGAAACAATAGATGCTGGCGAGGTTGTGGAGAAATAGGAATGCTTTTACACATTGGTGGGAATGTAAATTAGTTCAACCGTTGTGGAAGACAATATGGCAATTCCTCAAGGATCTACAACCAGAAATACTATTTGACCCAGCACTCCCGTTACTGGGTATATACACAAAGGATTATAAATTATTCTACTATAAAGACACATGCACACACATATATTTATTGCAGCACTATTTAAAACAGCAAAGACATGGAACCAACCCATATGTCTTTCAATGATAGACTGGATAAAGAAAATTTGGTACATATACACCATGGAATACTATGCAACCAAAAAAGGAATGAGATCATGTCCTTTGCAGGGACATGGATGAAGTTGCTGTGAGCCGAGATTGCGCCATTGCTCTCCAGTCTGGGCAACAGACTGGTCTCAAAAAAAAAAAAAACCCAACAACATATAAAGAATACGTATTCAAATTTGGAACATACCTGGAAATACATGAATGAGCCACCAAATAGCTACTGAGCCTCTCCAAAGCTGGGCAGCTCCAATGAGAGTGCACTAGTGTTCCTTATGGTATTGCAAGCAACCTCTGAAAGCCCTGGCTCTGTGTCCCCTGTCCTCTTCCCCCTCAACTTTTTTCTCCTGCACCTCAACACAGAGACAGAGGACCTTTTCTCTACTTCACTTTGGTTGAGCTCACAAGCCAAAAAAGATCCATTCCTGTACTTTTAAGGCTGCAGAGAATTTTCCCACACAGTCTCACAGTTTCCAAACTCAAATAACAGACTCAATGACGGTTCTAAATTCCTTTTCACAATTCCCTATGTGAAGGAAAGTGACACCTCTTCATATCACAGACCAGAAGCTATGTTGTTGAGCCTTGAGGTTTCTTAGTCAGATAAGCAAATTAAATTCTAACAGTAGCTCTGAGCTTATGGAGGGAGAGGAAGATCAAAATCATGTGATTTGATTTCAATGTCTTTGAAATGCAGTTCAAAGACCACCATATCAGAATCACCTGTAGGATGTTGAGACTCCCTGATCTAACTATTGAAGGTGATTAATAATGAGAATGTCAGAAGATAGATAATAGAAACTGTGCTCCATAAATCCTTTCCCTCCACCCAAAGACATACACAATTATCTTTGAAGAAGATATCTCTATCAGCTCAATTGTGAGCTGGATAAACCCAGCCCCAAAACTCTTCCTGCCTTGCAAATGTGCACCCTGGAGAGGGGCTTCCCTCCAGGATCCTCTCTTCCTTTGGGCCTTCCTGGCTTCCTAGATGGATTCGTGTGGTTGAACTTATTTTTCTGACAGATTTCCTTGTCCTTAACTATAAATAAATGCCTCTAGGCCAAATTGACTTTGATGATATAGTATGCATGGAAAAGAGAGAAAAAAACATCTCTAGGCCCTAAACTTTATTGTACTGTCTCCTTTTTAAATTTTTTTTTAATTTTAAATTGGCAGGTAATATGGCTCTCAATAGCTTATCCATTTGTTTAAGATCATTAAAAGAAAAAAAATGGCCAATATTAAATCCTGGGCATAAACATGACCAAAAAATAGATGAATGCTGACACTCATTTATAATACTGTAGTATTCTGTATAATGTAAGTTTTTCAATCTTAAGCAGGAGACATTTGATGACTCTAATAGTGTTCTCTTTACAGCTTTTACTCCCTTTCTGTTTCAAAACTGCTGATTTTTTTAAAATCCCAGGCTTTCTTATAGTTGCATTGCAACACAATTCTCTAAGTTTCAAAGTCAGGATCCACTTGGATGATGCTTGGTTCGTTGTATGGGCACTCACAGCTGGTGGCAAACAGGGCAGTCAAAGACTCACGGAAGAACAGCATTGGAATGCCTGCTCCCTGCTCTCTGCGGAAAGTCTCCACCACAGATATGCAAGAGGTAGTGCTTTGGCTCTAACTCTCTAAGAATTTGTCTTAATGATAATAATCTTATATATCACAGCATAAAAATTAAGAAATTTCTAGTCACATACAACCAAATCTCACTCCCATCACTCCATAGTTGTGAAATCTGGGGCACTTACTTGACTTCTGTGAGCCTCAGTTTCTTCATCTGTAGACTATAAGTGACACCAATACCCACCTCACAGAGTCCTGGTGAATATAAAACAACATAAAGCTTGTGTTTAGCAGAAAGCCTGGCACAGACCATGTACTCTGTAAATGGTGATTACAGCCATGCAGCTGTCTGTGTTCTCCTTCTTCTTCTTCTCACTGCCTCTTGCCATTGTGAAAACACAGAAGTGCCTTTGGCTCCACAGGTAACCCAGACCAAAGGCAGAGGGAATCCTGCTGTTTGACACTTCAAAATCCACCTGAGACTCGCCCTGTGGTCCATAACTAGCTTCCTGACATTTCCAGGGCCTCCTCTTCTCACCTTTCCACCCAGTGGACACCTGCATTGGCTTTTTAACTCATCTTTATTTCTATAACTTAGTGATCCCCATGATGAAAGCCCATTTAGAAAATAATAGTGTTTAAAAATTATTTATCACACGTAAAGTATAAAGACTGAAGTATAAAGTTTCATGAAGAAACTTTAAAGTTACCAACTTAGAAGTAATGATCTGTTTGACAACACTGAAGAAAAATATACGTTTTTCAAAGGGTCAAAGGAGAAAAAAATGATAATATGAGGAAAAGATATAAGGGATTTGTTTGAGGGATGAAAATATGAAGAGGACTTGTGAATTTAAAAGTGACTGCAGTCTTTTGTTCAGTATTTCTATGAAAATATAGACATTTAGTACCTTTGTTGGCATGCCTTACAGGATCTATAAAACAGTGTCTCTACATAAAATGTTCTCTGATTTCATTTGGATAGAGCTGTACTTATTAATTATAATATCGAGTAAATACTATATTTCTAAAATATGGTACCAATAATGATACTTAATTTCAAAAATCATTGGAAAAGCTTTCACATGTGAGGAAAGCCATGCTCCTCTCTATACACATGACAGTCTACAAACTGTTCCAACAATAATTCATAATGGCTTATTCATACTATCCAAAAATTAGAGACAACCCAAATCAACAGTCCATCAACTGGCAAATGGATAAACAAAGTGTGGTATATTTAGCAATAAAAGGAAAAAGATACAGATAAATCCTATAATATGGATGAAACTCCAAAACACTGTTAAGTGAAAGAAGTGAGACACAAAAGAGCAAACACTCCATTTGTAGATTGTATTTATATGAAATATCCAGAAAAGGCAAATCTACAGAGGTCTGTAAATTAGTGGCTGTCTGGAGGTGGGAATGGCAATGAGTATTAATTGCAACTTAACACAAGGAATCTTATTGGGATGATATAAATGTTCTAGACCTTACTTTGATTGTGGTAATGGTTGCACCATTTAATAAAGGTCATGGAATTGTATACTTTATGGAATGTAAATTATACCTCAATAAAGTTTTTTTTTGAAAAAAGAACACCCTTTATGAATATGTCCCTATGACTTGGACAGGTTGTGTCTTGAAAGGCAATATATTAATAAAACAAAACTTACCAGACTTCACTCACTGACATCAGAAGTTTCCGTAATTATTAGTTTCTGGGCATCTATGGCTTGATTCCGACATCGTCTTCTCCATCTGCTGATCAACATTCCACAGAAAAATTCACCCTCTTGTGTATACAAATCTGCCCAGCACCTCTTTTTCTCTTCTTTGCTTCCTCCCTAACAACATTCCAAATCACGTTTTTGTACACCCTGACAAATAGCCCTAGGGTTTCATGACACCAAAAAGAGATCTGGAAATTTAGTGTATGTACATCTCAAAGAGATCAAAATATAAAGCTGCTCACATATTCATTGCTCTCTTCTCCTAAATCTATTAATTCTCAGCCCCAGTGTGATTTGCAATGTCAGATTTCTTTTAAATCACTTGCTTTCCCTCTAGGATTTCCCTATTTCAACAGATGTTGCCCTCCATTTCTATTTAATACCTTCCTTTGCACATTGCTTTCTCTAAGATCATGAGCTCATAGATAACATGGCATAAAGTCAAATGTGGTCCCCTCTTTCACTGAATAATGCAAAGGTTGAAGTCCCGTCTACATTACTCTAAAGGTGCCCCAGACACTCTCTGTGACTCAAAGGGCATTGCCTCTTTTCCTCTGGGAATGTCATTCCAGCTACAGTAAATAAAAGAAAATCAATATGAGTGTCTATGATCACCTTCTGAAGTCAAAGCATTTAAAGGAAGCTGTCATCAGTGCTGTCCGCAGCCCTCAGGGGTAAAGGAGGTACATTCATAGATCAGAGCCAGCTGGAGGCTCATGAATGCTGAGTAGAGGGATAAGGTCATGCAGTTCTCCACCCTTTCTTCCTGACCCCATCATGTCAGTGAGCAACTTCAGGAGATACTGATGATAGTGGTCACATCAAACAACTACTCTTCTCAACCCTACCTAATGGGACAGTGGAGTCTCATTGCCTTTGTCATGGTGTTGCCTTTTTAGATGAGGTACTAAATCAAACAGGAAGAGCCAAAGCCACCAGTTGCTGATTCTTTTGATACTATAACACTGTTAGAGTCCAGTGCTTGACAGGTGGCTGGGGTAGGTCTCAGCTCCATCTTCACTGCCATTAACTAGACCCCTCCACCCCCAAACACCTAGATACACACATGCACACACCTGTGTTCCAAAGATCCAGGACAGGGAGCTCTCACTGCAGTGAGGACAACAGCCCCACAGCTCTCCACACAACCTCCACGGTAAACTTTGAAAACAGATGTGTCACTCCAGCTTCCCTGACTCAGACTGAAGTCAAACCTTCACACTGTGCCCTGTGCACTCCTGGTGATCTATCTACTAGCTCTCAGACCAGGGTAACTTCTGAAAGTATTGAGAAAGGGCAACAAAAGTGAGTGATCTGTTACCTTCCTACGTGGCTACATCCTGAGAGATTTGTCCTGGAAGGTGTTAAGCAGGCCCTCAAGCATTAAGTCCCCATTAGTCTCTCCTCCTGCAACCTATGTGTGTTCCTTATTCATATCCAGGATAAGCCTAATATTTTTTTCTAACTTGAATTTTCCCTAACATGTAGAAAATAAGCAACAACTCCGGGACTGAAATAAAACTTAATTCACATCTAAAAGAAGCATAATTTCTTCCTTGAGAAAATGCATAATTTTCACTCTGATAGTTCTAGCATTTGATTTTTTTTGCACCTTTTATCCCAATATCTTAATTTTTAAACCAGCCTGGCCCAGAGAAGCACATGACATGAAAGCAAAGCAAGCTCCTTATGGACCTAAGCAATCAACATGCTGTGGAGGGGGCAGTGCTGCCCCCACGCTGCCCCCCCAACTACCCCCCCGAACCCCCAACCCCCACCCCCTCGTCCCTTGCTGCTGAGTGAAATTCTGCTCCCTGCTCCCAGCTCATTTTCATCCCGTCCCACAAGCTCCCAGGTATATAGTTTCTTCTTCTGTAAGTGCCTCAGTCTGCCTCAGAGAAACATAGATATTTTTGTATACCTGGTGAGAAAGTGGGTTAGAAAGAGAACTCCTGGAAGAGAACTCACAGATAGCACAGATCAGGCTATCACTAAGCCCTAAGAATCCAGACTACAAGAGCCAGTGCCCAGTGGGAGACTTGGAGCCTTGGGACAAGATTAGGTCCTTCTGAGGAAGCCACAGTAGTGACACCTGGATCAGCAGGGCCCAGGGAGCATTATATGTCATCTACCCAGGTCCATTCATGAGCACACGAGACTCTCCTTGGGAAACCAAAAATAGTTCAGAGTGCCGTCAGCATAATTAGGTCTGATGGGAGATGCAGGGACAAGGGACAGTGATATGTGTGATTGTGACCCAACTCAACAGGCAGGCTGGTTTATCTTGGGGAAGCCAGGGCTACATTTAGGATAAAGCCATTGGACCTAGTTCTACAGTTCCTAATCCAACCAGTGCCACAGAGTCTCTTAAGCAGTGTATAACTGCAAATATCCAATACCAGCAGTCAAAAAAAAAAATTCTGATTCAATAGGTTCAGATTAGGTATCTGTATTCTTATCAAGTTTCACAGGTGATTCTTACAGACTGCTAGGGCTTAGACTCATTGAACTAATGTTTTTGTGTGTTTGTCTGTTTTACAAATTTTTATTTGCTGTTTGCCTATTTGTTTATCTATTTTAAATTGTTTTCAATGATCCAGTATCTACATTCAGGGCCCATCATGGTTTACCTCTAACTTTCAATTTTATATCATTTTTGGAAAGTGCCTTGAAAGGCTGAAAGCCCATTGTGTGAAAGTTCATGACCTTGACTATCCCTATGTAAGGAAAACCCCCTGAGGTAAGTACAGACACATTATTTCCCTCGTTAAATGTGTCTCATTTCTTACCACCATGAATGGTATCTCTGTATATGAATTTATTTTTATTCTTCACTATTCCCAAACATTTAGTTAAACAATCCCATTCAGCGACTAATTTTAGACAGAATTCTCAAAAGAAGATAAACAAGAACATATTGAGTAATGAAATCCCACTGTGGCCAAGTTAACTGGTGGATATCTGCCAATGCTTGGTTCTGATGCCCAGCCCCATACACTCCTTACAGTCAATCCCACAGAATTCATCGGAAGAAGACTTCAATGAAAGGGAGCCAAGTTAAGGAAATGGGAGATCTGAACCATGCCTTATTCAGAGAAAAATCAATCCAAAGAGAGAATAGGAAAGAAATAAAAGAAATAACAAAGACTAGAGCATAAATAAACATAATCAAAAATATAAAAACAATGGAGAAACCAACAAAGCTAAAAATTGGTTCACTGACAAGGTCAACAAAACTGACAAACTAAGCTAGACTGACAAAGCAAAAAGGAAAGAAGATTCAAATTATAAAATTCAGGAATAAAGAGGGGACATGACATCACTACTGATCTTATGGAAATAAAAAGTATCATAAGAAAATACTATATACAGCAGTGCGTCAAGAAACTAAATAACTTACATGAAATGGACAAATTTATAGAAAGATGTAAATTACTAAATCTGACTCAGGAAGAATTAGAACATCTGTAGTGATCGATAACAAGTAAAGAGATGAATCAGTAATTTAAGAACTTCCCATAAAGTAAAATTCAGGCCTGGATGGCTTCATAAATGAATTCTTATAAAATGTTCAAAGAAGAATTAATACCAATCCTTTGCAAACTTTTCCACAAAATAGAAGATGAAGAAACACTTCTCAACTCATTCTACAAGGCCCATATTATCCTATTATTATTCTGATACCAAAGCTAAACAAAGCCATCATAAGAAGAAAAAATAAAAACCAATATAGATTCAAAGACTCTCAACAAAGTACTAGAAAACTAAACGCAGCAATATTTAAAAAGGATTATTCATTATGACCACAAGGGAATTATCTCAAGTAATGCATGGTTTGTTTAACACATGAAAGTGAATCAATATATGATACAACGTTAATGGAATAAAGGACAGAAACCACAGGATCATATCAATTGATACAAATTTATTTTATAAAATCCAATGCCATTTCATGAGCATTATATTCAGTAACCTAAGAACAAAGGAGAACTTCCTTAATCTGAAAAGTGGCATCTATGTGAATAGTGAACATCATATTTAATGGTGAATGACTTAATGCTTTCCCCCTGAATTAGGAACCATTCAAGAATGTCCTCTTTATCAATTCTATTTAACCTTGTATTGGGGGTTCTACAAGGAAAATTTGGCAATAAAAAGAAACAAAAGGCATCCAGATTATAAAGAGAAAAGTGAAACTATATTTGCATATGATAGGTATATCACAGAAAATCAATTTAAATACTGTTAGTAGTACCAGTAATAAAATAAGTACTAATAAAAGCTAATTAATACTAATCAACTAATAGGTCCAGCAAGCCTGCATAATACAAGGTTAATATGGAAACATCAATTTTATTTGTACACACTAGCAATGAATATTTTGAAAATAAATTTTTTAATTCCATTTACAATAGTATCAAAAAGAATAAAATTACTTAGGTATAAAATGAACAAAAGCCATGAAAGACTTATACGCTGAACATTATAAAGTATTATTGGAAGAAATTAAAGAAGAACTAAATAAGTGGAAAGGCATTCCATTTTTATGGATTAGAAGACTTAATATTGTTAACATGACAATACTTCCCAAATTGATCTGAGATTCAAAACAATCCCTATCAAAACTCCAGCTGCCCTTTTTGCAGAAATTGACAAGCTTGTATAATATTGATAGAGAAATAAAAAGAATACAGTATAGCCAAAACAATCTTGAAAAAGAACAGAACTGGAAGACTGACATATCTCAATTTCAAAAACTACAATCTGATTAAGACAGTATAGTACTGTCATAAAATAGATATCCAGACCAATGGCATCAAATGGTAGGATCCAGAAATAGACTCACTCATACATTTATGTTCAATTGATTTTTAACAAGAAAGCCCAGACAATTCAATAGAGAATCAATAATCTTTTTAATAAATGGTACTGGTAAAACTGGATTTGTCTCATTAAAAAGAATAAAATTGAACCCCTACTCATACCATAATCAAAATTTAATTCAATGGCTTTTGTTAAAAAGTCAAAAACTTACAGATGTTGGCAAGGCTGTGGAGAAAACGGAACACTTACACACTGTTAGTGGAAATGTAAGTTAGTTTCATCACTGTGGAAAGCAGTTTGGAGATTTCTCAAAGAACTAAGAGTTAAACTACCATGCAACCCAACAATCCAACTACTGGGTATATATGCAAAGAAAAGTAAATTCTTCTACCAAAGTCACATGAACCCATATATCCATCACAGCATTATTCACAATGGTGAAGACATGGAATCAACCTAGGTGCCCATCAATGGTGGACTGGATTAATAAAATGTGGTACATATACACTATGGGAATTCTACACAGCTATAGAAAAGAAAGAGATCATGTTGTTCACAGCTACATGGATGCAGCTAGAAACCACTGCCCTAAGCGAACTGACACAGGAACAAAAAACCAAATATCACATGTTCTCACTTATAATATAAGTGGGAGCTAATATTGGGTACACATGGTCATAAAAATGGGAATAGTAGACACTGGGGAATACAAAAGTGGGGAAAGAACGAGTAAGGATTGAAAAAAATTACCTATTGGGTACTATGCTCACTACCCCGGTGATGGATTCATTCGTATTCCAGGCTTCGGCATCACACAATATCTTCGTGACAAACCTGCATTTCTATCCCCTAAGTCTAAAATAAAAGTTGAATAAAGAAAAAATAATAAATAAAAACAGTTCAGAGGCCTAAATGTAAGAAATAAAAACTAGAAAACTCTTAAATGAAAACATAGGAGTAAATCTTCATTGGGCAATGGTTTCTTATATATGATGCCAAAAACATAGCAACAAAAGAAAAAAATGTTATATTGGAGTATATCAAAATTGAAATGTTTTGTGCCACAAACAATATTATCATGAAAGTGAAAATACTCCCCACAGAATGGGATAAAGTATTTTCACATCGTATATCAAATAAGGAAATTGTTTTCAGAATATGTGAAGAATACTTAATCATAAAAAAGCAAATTAAATAATGAGTGAATAATTTGAATACGTATTGCTCCAAAGAATATATACAAGTGGCTAATAAGCACATACAAAGAATCTCAACATCATTAGTCATTAGAGAAATACAAATCAAAACTACAATAAGATGCCAGTTTAGATCTAATAGAATACTATAATAAAAAAGAAATATAATAATAAGTGCTAACAAGGGTATACAGAAGTCCGCACCCCCATGAACTACTGGTGGAAATGCAGAGTAATGCAGCAATTCTGGAAAAAAGTTTGACAGTTTCTCAAAATGTCAAACATAGAGTTACCATATGATTCAGCAACTTCACTCCCATATATATGCCCAAAAGAAATGAAAACATACCCACACAAAAACTTCTACATGAACGTTCACAGCATATTTATTCCTTATATCCAGAAAATGGAAAAACCCAAATATTCCTCAACTGATGAATGGATAAACAAAATGTGGATTATCCATAAAATAGAGTATTATGTTGCAATAAAAAGGAATAAAGTACTGATATACGCTACAATATAAATAAACCTTAAAAACACTGTGCCAAGTTAAAGAAGAAGCCAGTCACAAAAAGCAAAAGCATATTCTGTGGTTCCATTTATGTGCAATATGAATGGGCATATTTTAGAGACATAAATTAGATTAGTGGTTGCTTAGGGATTGGGGTGTTTTTATAGGAGAGAATGGGGATTGATAGCTAATGAATATGGAATTTCTTTTAGATGAAAGAAAAATATTCTAAACTTACATCGTGTGATGGTTATGCTGTCCTGTGAATACGCCAAAAAGCAGTAAATTGTATACTCAAAGTGGGCAAATTATATAGAATGTGAATTATATTTCAATAAAGCTGTTGAGAAAAAAGATTCAATGTGCCATATATCTTATAATGGTTTTATTCCATGAAAGGGCATTCATAGCCTTTATTCATTATTATGGTTATGCTATTGTGATTGTGATTTTTTTCACACAATCACAAAGCAAATATAATCACAAAGCTATGACAGTTTCTGTTTCATAATATTTGAAGCTTGATTTAACGTACTTTTGACAGTTCAAACCTATTTGCCAAAGTTACTGCCACTGAAATAAAAAAAGAGAAAAAAAGAAAAAAAAATTTGCTAAACAAGCTTTTCTAAATAAAAAAAAAAAAAAAAAGAGGCAATTTGTTTTCACTCTTTTAGTCCAGGGGATCTGACTTGATGTGTTTTCTGAGCTGCAAGTTCTTCTGTTCTAACCAGTATTCTGCTGCACGTGCCAGGATTCATGCCAAATATTTTGTGTAGCATTTCTAGAAGGTACACATTAAAATTCAGTTCCGTGAAAAAAGACATTTACTGTTTGTTTCCATTCTGGATCAGAAAATGGCCAATGCCATTAGGAAGGAAGAATAACACATTACAGCTAAAATAAATACTATATCCATGAGCCTGGAAAACAACCAGCGTTGGTGAACGAAAGAGACTGGATTACAGATGACAGAATCCATAGGGGGCTCTGGAGTTCAACTCCACTGTTGTTTATCACAGTTTAAGAGGTGGCCCAACTTGAGGCACAGGTGTTGAGCTTTTATAGTGCTGCAATGATTAGTCATTGGTTTGGGATCATAAGCAGAGGACTGTAAATTACTAAGCATTCCCTGCTCTGGTCTAAGAGGCTCTAGTAGCCCAAAGGTAATCCTCTAGAGAAAGTTGCAGGTGTGATTTCCTGGGAGAAGTACACAGAAGTTAGAAGCCATGCACCCAGAATTAATAAAGATGACTAGAAGAGACCTGGGCAGAGTACCTACAGACTACAATGTTTACAACGATAAAGAAAAAAATAAAACACATACCACAGTACCAATTAGAACTAAGCTAAAAATCTCAGTGCTGTACTCATTACCTGGGTGGCCCTAGGCAAACTACTTCTCATTCCTGAATTTCAGTTTTCTCATATGTAAAATAGAAAGGTTAATAGCATATACTTTATAAGTTTGTTATAAGAAACCAATTAGAAAATATATGCAAAACCATTTAAAACTGTATCTTAACTATAATAGCTACTAAATAAGTGGCTATTATTGTTACTATCATCATCATTATTCTTTCCTGGGCTAGAATAGTTCTTTGAATTAAACAGCATAGTAAATCTGGATTTCTTGACACTTCTTTACATCTAAATCTCAATCTCCTCTGGTTTTAAAATATTTAACTCTCTGCTCTGTTTCTCAGCCTTAGGAAATGTCCTCCTCTTCCGCATCTTCCTCCTTTCCCTCTCCTTGTTGCTTGACCCTCAAGTCTGTGTCCCCCTGACCTTGACTTTGGAAGCAGTCAATTTAGACAGTACCAGGCCAAACCATGAGAATGTGACTCCAAGACTAATGGATTGTGTCAGGTATCTGCATTCTGAAATTAATAGAAATACCACCAGCTCCCAGGAAGCCCTGCCAAAAAGCAAAGGTGAGAAGGACTTCCAGCAGCAACAGTGCTGCAGTAGTAGGGCCTTGATTAAGGTCAGCAAAGGACTGACTGCAGAACAGGACTTCTAGGGCTCAGGCAAAGAAGAAAAGACTTGGTAAGTTGTAGAAATTTTAAAATGTGATTTCATGTCTTCGCTGGGTAAAATTGTTTTTTATCTGAATGATAAAGGATGAGATAACATCTAGGACATGGTGTCACTCAGATCCCCTTCGGCAGCCAGGTTTTTCTGTTACCTTAAGATCAAGACCTTTCAGAGAAACCCTGCTTCTCATTAGCCCCACCTCCTAAGCTGTTAGTCAAGTATTTTTCTCTGGAAAGGCAAGGTTGTCCCATTTGCCCACTTTGTTAATTCCTTTGTGAGATGTCATTTGTGCCAGGGAAAACAGACCCCAGCTCCACATAACAGCTTCTCAGAACCAAGTTTTCCTCTGCCCAGAACTCATGACAAAGGCCTCCAATGGGGTACTTTGATGAGTCAGCAGGAGAAATATTGCCCTTTGACTCTTTTTCTTGATGTCAAGGTGTCTAATAAATAAAACTCCTTGAAGATGAAGGAAATACCAATCAAACTATACTAAACCTGAGAGTGCATTTCAGGTTAGAAGGGAAAAATTATTTTGAGACTATTCTTCTCTTATTGTATATTAATCCATTGGTCTCCATTTTTACTTATTATAAAATGCAAATTTAATATAGATTAGAACTTTCTCGCTGAAAGATGGCTCTAGGAGGAATATCAAGTAGATCAAAATTAGTTTTTACGTGGTAGCTCATTGCTATTTATTTGCTTACCAATTGCTCTTCGCTTGGCAGATAAGGTCCCCGGAAGCATTCAAACCATCTCCCAAAAGCCTTCGACATCCAAAAAGAGATAGTGCTAGAATAAACTGATCTTGAACACCCAGGCAGGCATGCCAGCATTCAACCTACAAAGACGTCAGTGGTGAGTGGAAATGTAGCAAAGAACAAAAGTACTCAACCTACTTGTGTTCCCAGTGGTCATGTGAATAAGCAGCACGGGAAGCAGCCACCAGTTACCAGTGTTCAACTCTGCTCCAAACCTAGGGAGAGATGGACGGTAGGGGTCAGAGAAGGTCCATGACATGACACATTCCAACTTAGCCCTTTGTTTCTTTACTGGCAAAAAGCAAACCTATGAAAAGAATAAGATTTATAGACACAACACAGGACTTCTGTTGCTTTTGTATAAAATGTCTGAGTACAAAAAGTAAAAAGAGCTGCAATTTCAGATGCCTCTGAGGCCCAGTAAATCAAAACACCAAGCAATCTTGTTTGAGAAACTATTATGTCTCCTAAACTGTGCTTCTGACTATGGGGATTCAAGATGCTATTTTCAAATAATGTACAATCTAGTTGAGATGACAAGACTAATCTGTATGAAAATATCAGGGCTTAGAGTTTGCTGCAATAAGAAAGAACAGCCTGAAGTTGTCAAAAAAGATGCTGCAGCCAACAGGAGTGTGGGTAACTGACAAAATTCTGCAAAACAGTTCAATAAATCATCTTCTTTGAAAGGTGCTTATAAAATAGAAAAACAGGCTGCATCTGGTTAGAGGTCCCATGATTCAGATGGAGGCGCTACAGCATAGTGGACAGTTGGTCAACCTGAATTGGACTTGGTGTGACAAAGAAATTAAGCTGTCAGGGATCTTTGGTTCATGCAGCAGAATCTAGCCTATTCTGATTACTAAAAACACTGTGTGTGTGTGTGTGTTTTGGTTTTGTTTTGTTTCGTTTTAGCAAAAATCTCAGGCCCAATTCTAATTCTACTTGTTTGAGTCTTGTGCCTAGCCTAGAACCATCCTTTGGACTATTCATACCCCAAGAGACCAATATGGGAAAAATCATTTGGTTGCATTACATGTTCCAGTTGCCCATTAATGGCCTTTTGGTAGATAAATTACCATATAGCCCTGCCATTTTCCTGCCAAATTTATCTTCAGCTAAAATTACTTTTTTAAAAAATACTGTAGAGTTGGGAAGTTAAACTTCAGGAATTATGATTGTATTGTTTTGGTGTAATAAATCATCAGCATTAGTCCCATTTGAGGGCTAATTTTCATTACCAAGTATCTTTTTTTCTCTTAGTAGGAAATATTTCTATCCTGAGACAATAGGGAAAAAACCTATCCTATGCATTCTGCAGTGAAATCAGAGAGGAGATCTTTAAGAGCATGTGGCTTCTCTTACTTGGTATTTTTTTAAATTTTTTTTTAGAAACAGGGTCTCACTCTGTAGCCCAGGCTGGAATGCAGTGGCATGATCATGCTCACTGCAGCCTCAAACTTCTGGGCTCAATAGATCCTGTCGCCTCAGCTTCCCAGGTAGCTGGGATTACAGGCACACATCACCACCCCCAACTATTTATTTTTAGTTTTTATTTTTTTATAGAGACAAGGTCTTACTTTGTCATGCAGGCTAGTCTGGAACTCATTGCTTCAAGTGATCTTCCTGCCTCGGCCTCCCAAAGTCCTGAGATTACAGGTGTGTGCCACCCCACCCCAGACTTAAAAGCATACGGTTTTTCTCACTTTGCATGTCAGATTCCTTAGGAAATGTTTACTGTCACAATTGGCAGTGAAAAAAAAAAGCATATGGTTAGCCTTAAAATCATATGGTTTCTCTCACTTTGGATGTCAGATACCTTAGGAAATTTTTACTGTCACAATTGGACAGAATCTCAAAGAAAAGCTCCTATCATAACAAATTCTTCCTATTGTCTGCAGCCACATTTTCTTTATGCTTCAAATGATGGGAAATGGGAACTGCACTGGTGCTCTAAAGAATACCAAAAAATTTAAAATAAAACAATTATGGGACTTGGAAGATAAAATGTGCAAAACTATATGCCCGGATTAGTAATACAGTGTTATTATTGAAATCATTCACGTCCACAACAAACATGAAATAAGAGTACAATGAAATCCTATATATGTCTTATCTCAATTCACCACTCTTAAAATCATCATCTTTTAATTATTTTGACTGTTCCAGTTATTCTGAACTTGGCCAGTAAGGACCCCTTCAAGACAACTCTTCATCCATTTAACATGACCCTCATTAATCTTTTAGTACTTCCTTGTTTTCTGTCTCAATAAGATGTTTCACGGTCATTTTCTAATCTCTGCTCCAAACCTGGAATAAGGCATCCCAAAGAGACAAAATTATTTTTAGTGAGGAATAGTCTTTAGAAATAAAGATCTGAGTGCCACAGAAGCTAAGAGTTCAACAGTACTATTTAATGTTTCATAGTAAATGTTTAGAATGTATTTTTTTATTATTATTATTATACTTTAAGTTTTAGGGTACATGTGCACAATGTGCAGGTTAGTTACATATGTATACATGTGCCATGCTTGTGTGGTGCACCCATTAGCTCGTCATTTAGCATTAGGTACATCTCCTAATGCTATCCCTCCCCACTCCCCCCACCCCACAACAGTCCCCAGAGTGTGATGTTCCCCTTCCTGTGTCCATGTGTTCTCATTGTTCAATTCCCACCTATGACTGAGAACATGCGGTGTTTGGTTTTTTATCCTTGCGATAGTTTACTGAGAATGATGATTTCCAATTTCATCCATGTCCCTACAAAGGACATGAACTCATCATTTTTTATGGCTGCATAGTATTCCATGGTGTATATGTGCCACATTTTCTTAATCCAGTCTATCACTGTTGGACATTTGGGTTGGTTCCAAGTCTTTGCTATTGTGAATAGTGCCGCAATAAACATACGTGTGCATGTGTCTTTATAGCAGCATGATTTATAGTCCTTTGGGTATATACCCAGTAATGGGATGGCTGGGTCAAATGGTATTTCTAGTTCTAGATCCCTGAGGAATCGCCACACTGACTTCCACAATGGTTGAACTAGTTTACAGTCCCACCAACAGTGTAAAAGTGTTCCTATTTCTCCACATCCTCTCCAGCACCTATCTTCACAGAATTGGAAAAAACTACTTTAAAGTTCATATGGTACCAAAAAAGAGCCCGCATTGCCAAGTCAATCCTAAGCCAAAAGAACAAAGCTGGAGGCATCACACTACCTGACTTCAAACTATACTACAAGACTACAGTAACCAAAACAGCATGGTACTGGTATCAAAACAGAGATATAGATCAATGGAACAGAACAGAGCCCTCAGAAATAACGCCACATATCTACAACTATCTGATCTTTGACAAACCTGACAAAAACAAGCAATGGGGAAAGGATTCCCTATTTAATAAATGGTGCTGGGAAAACTGGCTAGCCATATGTAGAAAGCTGAAACTGGATCCCTTCCTTACGCCTTATACAAAAATCAATTCGAGATGGATTGAAGACTTAAACGTTAGACCTAAAACCATAAAAATCCTAGAGGAAAACCTAGGCATTACCATTCAGGACATAGGCATGGGCAAGGACTTCATGTCTAAAACACCAAAAGCAATGGCAACAAAAGCCAAAATTGACAAATGGGATCTAATTAAACTAAAGAGCTTCTGCACAGCAAAAGAAACTACCATCAGAGTGAACAGGCAACCTACAGAATGGGAGAAAATTTTCGCAACCTACTCATCTGACAAAGGGCTAATATCCAGAATCTACAATGAACTCAAACAAATTTACAAGAAAAAAACAAACAACCCCATCAAAAAGTGGGCGAAGGACATGAACAGACACTTCTCAAAAGAAGATATTTATGCAGCCAAAAAGCACATGAAAAAATGCTCACCATCACTGGCCATCAGAGAAATGCAAATCAAAACCACAATGAGATACCATCTCACACCAGTTAGAATGGCAATCATTAAAAGTTAGAATGTATTTTTTAACTTCTAGTATAACAAATAAAGTAATCATATTTAACACATGAGAAAAGTCCCTTAAAAGAGATAAAATGCATTAAAAAATAATGACCAATACAAAAGAAGGCAGGATAAGAGAATCAAATAATCAGTGAGACAAATATAAAACAATTAGCAAGATGGCAGAATTAATCCCACATATGTTAAGTGTAAATGAACTAAACACTATAATTAAAACATAAAGACATCAGACTGGGAAAAATAAGATCCAGTTCTATACTACTTACAAGAAACACACCTGAATATAACACACAGATAGGTTAAAAGTAAAATGATGAAATAAGTTATATCAAAAAAACACTATATAAAATGTTCTGGCTCCATTAACATCAGCAGACTAGAGTATAAGGTAGGAAATACTATAAGAGTGCGAACAGATATATTTGCTGATGATAGAGAATTTGATAAGTATCATCACACATGTATGATAAACACTTTCAGCACACTAGGAAAATATGGGAACATATTTAATCTGATAAAGGGTATCTACAACAGAACTACAATTAACATCATACTTAAAGGTAAGCTATTGTATAGTTTTCTCCTAATTTCTAGGATAAGACAAAGGGGTACACTGAAATTACTGTCATTCAACATTTTGCTGGCACTTTTAGACTGTGTATTAAAACAAGATAAAGAAATGAAAAGCGTAACAATTGGATGGAAAGCATAACATAGTCTTTATTGTAGATGACATAATATTACATATAGCAAATCTGAAATCAATAAGTGAATTTAGCAAGGTACTAGATATAAGATCAATCTTCCATAATCAATTATCTGCACTCCTAAGGTTATTTCTTACATCTGAAATGAATGTTCAGAGTGTTCCACAAGGCTCTTCACTCTGGCTAGGCCCAGGGTCTAACAGCTATCAGCACTGTTTAGTCTCTGAAATCACACTGCAACAATCAAAAAATAAAATTAGAAATGTAATATGATTACAACATCAAAGATTGTTATATGTATGGTAATAAATATAATAAACAATGTTAAAGACATAGGAATTTTAAATAAATTATGAATTATTGCTTAGAGAAGTCTTAAAACACGTAAATAATGATATTCTACGTTCATGTATTTCAAGAAACAAAATAAGTTACCAATTATTTTCAAATTTCGAATTAATCTAAAAAAGCAACACAGTTACAGCCAAAACCTCAGCAACTTTTTTGTTTTTTTACATTGGGAAGCTGATTCTAAAATATAGTTAGAAATGCAATGGGCCTCCAAAAACAGGTGACAAATTGGCAAGTTGCTGAGAATGAGGGATTACACACAAGGAGACAGGTTCTGGAAGCTTCTGAGGATCTAAGGAGGCTTGGTCAGCGTCTTGTAGTAAAGGAAGGTTAATAATTCCAGTAGGAGGTTCCAGCATCAAAACAAGACCAGAAAGCATGCCCTGGAGAGTGGGCCAAGGAACTTTCTCTCTTGTGGTCATAGCTAAACATAGTCTTGACTCTCAGGAGTAGCCAGGTATGCCAAGTCTGTTTGTTTACACACAATTACTAACTCAGCATTCCTTCAAATTATATTGCATGAAGCTGAATATACCCTCACATTTCAAATATATTACTTGCACCAAAATTCAAATTACTGCATCATAAGAAGGTGTCATGAGCCTAATTCTGTCTTAGGGCCCACAAGCTTCAACTAATATAAAGGACAGTCCCGTGTCCAAATAAAATCTCTTTAAAAGGTGGTATTTGTCTGACTCAGGACCCACAAAAGTGTATCATTCTGAGACTTTAAACAATACATTGAGAAAATGTACATAATTTTATTATTTAACACAATGACTTGAAGATGCTTAATATATTAACTCATTGAAAATATAATAATTATGATTACAATTATTTTTATATAATGTTTTGTGTCTTTGGCCCTTTACTGAGCTCCTTCCACCCACCCACACCCACCCAATGCACACTGCTCAGAATTCAGCCCAACCAGCGTGTTCCTTTCTCTACTACCTGCTAATTTCCTCCTCTTGATCATTTAAACATTCCTGCAAAAGTCTCCATTGCACAATTCAATTATCTCCCTATCACCAAGTCTCAAGTCTGGCTTTTCTCTTGATAAAGAGGGAGAAAATATCATATCCTGAGAAAACACTCCAGATTTGCTATCTTAAATCTGGAGCCGGTTATCCTACTTAATTACCATATCCTGAGAAAATTACCATCTCCTAAGCAAGCCGCCTTGCTCTTTAAAATGCAAGGTCTTAATTTTCTTCCTAAATTCTTTTCCCGTTTGACTTTTTTTCTCACAATGAATAAATCCCTGTTCAGAAACAATGTTTAGGTCTCATCCAAACATTTCAATTAACAGTTCCCTTCATTTGCATTTATCTTACTTTTTACAACAAAAGAAACCCCTGCCTTCCATCAGAGGCAGTTTCCTGTTAGGGAACAACTATTTTACTTTTTAAGAGTCCAATTCCATGAATGCTACATTTACACAACATGGTTCATCTAAATGTATCAGCTCATGATATTTTAAAATTCTCACTGCTTCTCTTAGAACTTGGAGCCTGCTGAGACCCACTAGAATAAACCGAGGCAGCCCCAGGAAAACTCAACCCTCCATTTTGATGGTAAGATGTATATTCCTGAGAAAAGGGACAGCACTGCCTGTCATTTCAAGAATATCTTTAAAAACAAGAAGTTAGGATGAAACAAATGGGGGGAAAGATGAAAAGAACAAAAAAAAATTTGTTACCCACATTCTATTTACAATTTCCTTGCTAACTCTTTTCAGTTGTTTGTCTAAAGTTTAAGTTTTTTGTTTTCATGGTAATTTGAGAGAACAATGAATAATAATGCGTTTGGATTTTATAGCTATCTTGAGCAATCCAACAAAAATATAAAAGGGAGAATCTTGCCCAAGCTAGTAATTACAGATATCCTATTTTACAGGATAACAACGAATAGAAATTCTAAAGAAGGCTCTCATTCTTCTCTGGGCCCTTTAGATGGTTCTGTTTCCCGATGACTGCCCACGAGAAACTACCAAATACCATTGTTTCCTATTACAATGGAAGCCCTAGAGTCTCAAAGTGTCAAGTGGTACTAATTATTATTGTGATAAATGGAAAAATTCCTGCCTGCCCTTGGATAATGCTCTGTTGTTGAGGCACCCAAAGAATGCTCCAATGCACAAAACCCTTGCTGAGTGTTTTTTTTTTTTTTTCTGTTATACATCCTTTGCTACATTGATCTTATGATTCCTGCACAGATGGGCTCAAGAGATAAAGCTAAGTAACAGACTTCACTCTACACACAATTGTCACTCATCTCTAGCAATGATGCCTTTCTTCATCACCAGGTCATTCTTCCCTTAGACAGGGCTTTTTCTCTGGAGTTGCTTAAGGCCCCATGGAAATAAAATTTTGGCAGGTCATGCCACCAGTAGGGTGGCATGCATGAATCCCACTCACAAGTAAGCTCACTCAATCCCCCAGTCTCTTCTCCCTTTCAGCCTTCCCCACTCCCAACTATAAAATGAAATGTGGTATCTTCCTTGTTGCTGTTTCATCATTGACTTTATCTTTGTTATCTTAAATCTGGAGCTAGTTAGCTCACTTAATTAGCATGAGACACTAATGAGGCTAAAGTCTTGAATTTGTCAAATAGTTCAGCCTAGTCTGGCCATGGTTCCTAGGCCTAGATCATACCATTAAACTAGCCACCATCTTACAGTGTGTGCCAGGAGTGAAAGGGAAGCCCAGAAAAGAGTGAATCTTTGGACCATTCCAAGAATACCTGAAATTGTAGTGAGACTCTACTTCAGTCATCTGGAGGCATAACTGTCTTTGCCTTTAATTATGCCTAGTGTTCCATTATTGGAATACTAAGCTTGTGGGAGTTATTTATATCCTACTGCTCAAGTTTATTGCCAAGGTCTGATTTTTCACACAAAAACAATTTTACAACATCAGGCATAAACGGATTTAAGGAGTTTGAAATTCCTTCAAGGGGACAAATTTTCACTCATGAGGAAATTTAAAAATCATGGGATAGCATAGAATCAAATGCTTAATTATGTAACACTTCGGGAACTATATTAGTCAGCTTGGGCTGCTATCATGAAATTTCATAGACTGGGTGGCTTAAACAACAATTATTTCTTCCAGTTCTGGAGGATAAGAAGTTCAAAATTAAGATGCCAGATGACTGAGTTTCTGGTAAGGGCTCTCTTCTTGGCTTGTTGATGTCCTTCTTCTCACTGTGTCTCCACATGGCAGAGAGAAAGAGCAAGCTCTGGTGCCAGTTGTTATAAGGGCACTAATTCCATCACCAGGGCCCTATCCTCATGACCTAATTACTTCCCAAAAGCTTATCTCCAAACACCATCCCACTGGAGGTTTGGTTTTCAACATATGAATTTTGGGGAGATATTATTTGGGGTGACTAGAATTTGGAATAGTCATGGAAGATGGCACAGAAGCCAAAGGAACTAGGGAGAATCTTCAGATGTGCATAGAATTTGGATAGGTAAGAAGACCCAAGGATGGGCCTTCAAAGTGAAGGAAAAGACACTTTCACATTTCAAAAACACATACTGATTCAGATTCTGTTGTTTGTTTCTCATTAGTGATGATGACTTTCAGAAAGTATTTAAGTCAGGGTAAACTCAGGGGAAAAAATGAAGAAAATGTTTCTCATGGCAGACAGTGCTAAAGATAATTGTCCTTTAAGGACTGTTTCTTTTTTCTTTTCCTTTTTTTTTTTTTTAGAGTTTCACTCTTGTTACCCAGGCTGGAATGCAATGGCGTGATCTCCGCTCACTGCAACCTCCACCTCCTGGGTTCAAGCAATTCTCCTGCTTCAGCCTCCCGAGTAGCTGGTATTACAGGTCCCCGCCACCACACCCAGCTAATTTTTTGTATTTTTAGCAGAGACGGGGTTTCATCATATTGGCCAGGCTGGTCTCCAACTCCTGGCCTCAGGTGATCCACCTGCCTTGGCCTCCCAAAAAGTGCTGGAATTACAGGCATGAGCCGCCTTGTCTGGCCTAAGGGCTAGTTTCTATATAATAATAACTTATCTCTTACTAAACCATTTGACCACAAAAAAAAATTCTCAAACTTCCCAACTTCTCAACCAAATTCAAGACCTGAATTTCTTTTCAAGCCCAGGATATCTTTTCACATGGAATGAGAGTTAATTTGCTAAGACTTCCAAGTATAAAGCAAATGCTTTGTTACTTTTAAACCAAATTAGCTTTGCTTAATAAGCATTAAGCCTATGAATTTTTAGCCTTTAATGACCTTAAGCACCTTATTCTATAACCCCAATGCTTTGGCAAAGATAAGAAAAATCACAGTTTGTTTTAATACACTCATGATTTAGCAATCCAATAAACTTAGTAATAAGTTGCAAGAATAAGTCATTTTTTTGGACTAAAACCAACAACATAATTAGCCTGGTGTACCCTTGGGCTCTTAATCACAGAGCAGTCACCTTCAAAAGGAGTGAAAATGTTTAACACTTTAACAACAGAAGCAATTTCTGTTGAGAGAAAGAAGTTTCTCAGTGGAATTCACCTCGACTTTTCTGGCAGGGGGCAGTGGAGCAAGAATAAAACACTGTCTAATACAGTCATGAAGGATATTGGCCTAAATTATGTTACTATTTCTGTTTACTACCTAAATAATGGTAACAAAGTATGAGGAACTTAATGGCCTCCCATTATTCAATCTTCCATCATTTTTAACAATCTATTTATTTTATTTATTTATATGGACAATGAAGATTACAGAAACAAACTTATAAGAAAATATGCGGCCGGGCGCAGTGACTCACGCCTGTAATCCCAGCACTTTGGGAGGCCGAGGCGGGCAGATCACGAGGTCAGGAGATCGAGACCATCCTGGCTAACGCGGTGAAACCCCATCTCTACTAAAAATACAAAAAAATTAGCCAGGCGTGGTGGCGAACGCCTGTAGTCCCAGCTACTCGGGAGGCTGAGGCAGGAGAATGGCATGAACCCGGGAGGCGGAGCTTGCAGTGAGCCGAGATCATGCCACTGCACTCCAGCCTGAGCGACAGAGCGAGACTCCATCAAAAAAAAAAAAAAAAAGAAAGAAAAAAGAAAAGAAAATATGCTAGAAAGCAAACAGCCTTTATTTATGAGATGAGCTTTAATTTCAAAGCACCACAATGGAAGAGAAGGAAAGATACTGGGTTAAAAGGCCACATAATCCTTATCAGAGACAGATACTCTCCAGTTTGTAAAATTGGGACAAGATTACAAATTAGACAAGCTTGAAAAATGAGATCCATTCCACAAATAGAGGTTTTTTGTGTTTACATTTAATCTCTTCCCTATGATCTTGAAGAAAAACAAACGTCCTTTAAAACCCCTGCCATATTTACCATGGGTTGTCAGTTGATTTCCTCTAAAAATAATAGCTATCATTCACTAAGTATCTATTGGAGGAGAAACTGATAAGCATTTGACCTATTTAAGCTCATCGCCTCACAGTAACCTTGCAGGGGCATACTACTATTATTCTCATTTTACACATGAGAAAACCAAGGTTTAGAAAGGTTGAATTGCCCACTTCTTACAGATGGTGAATTGCAGAGCCAGTATGCCAAGCTTCATCATCTTCAATGGGGTTACAGCAACCCATACTATAATATAAAATGCTCCAATTTGAACCCTGGATCTGAAGAGTAACATTTATGTAATCCTTACCCTCCTGTGCTCATTGTCTTTTGAATTTCTGACTCAAGTGACAATACCTTTCTGAAAACCTAATAGAATACCTATCCATATTTTAAGTTCCTTGACATCAGATGTCACGTCTTATTCATTTTTTTGTCTCCTGCACAAAGCCCAGGGGAGAATTTGGCAGCCACATTCAGCAGTTCTCTAACTCTGCTTATAGTCTGACCCAACAGAGCTACTGAGGAAATGGAATCCTACACTCACTTAGTAAAGCAGATGTTTCCTGTAGAGACACACCCAAAAGACCTTTGCATGTAAGATGCATCCTTTACCTCTGAGAAGCTTTGGAGACCTGGAGAATTCTACATCAGGAGATGAACCAATTTGGAAGGACTGAGATGTCCATGATGACATCTCATTTGGCAGAAGAGCCTCATTAATCCTGGATTCTATAACTTTGTCATAGCCCCAGACAAGCTCACTTTTTACCTGCACCTCTCTCCCACTTCTTTCCATTATATCCACTATGACCCAAACAGGGTTTGCTGTCCCCCAAGAATCAGATAAGGATGCCCAGACACACTAAACTCCTTGATGTTTGTCAGTTAAACTATTAAAACCTATTTATAATGTTCCTTTTTCCACAGTGCTATGTAGACATTTGTATTGCAGCACTTGCCATGTCACCTTCTCTCATTAAACAAAAACCAGTATTTATTCAACTCTATAACTCAGCCTAAATGTGCTCTATAACATAGTACATGATTGACACTCATTAGTATAATAGTATCACTTAATAATTCTCAAACATTGAAGATTCCACTAAACGCTTTAAATGCATCTTTTATTTACTACTCACTACATCATTTTTAGATATTATAATTCCCTTTTTTATATAAGGGAAGCTGAGGTAGAGAAACATTAAGCACTTTTCCCTAGATCGCACTGCTGATAAGTGTTCAAGACAATTTAAAAGTGTGTCTAAGTTCAGAGCTTTTAAGGATGAAACCAAACTTCCCACCAATAACCCTAAAATCTTTCACAGCTCCCAGTTTATTCAGTAAGTGTGTGCAGCCTGACCAGTCAAGCACAAGGACTCAGAAGCAGCAGTTATGGTCAGAGCTATACCACCAGAAATGAAGTGCTTCTACTATGAGAATATTTAGCTCAGTCTTTGCAGCTATCTGAGCAGTGGCGATGGAAAGAAACACATATTTTCCTTTCCTGCTTCCCAATTTTTACAGCCTTTCCTATGCTTTTATCTCACCATTCTCTGTAGCAACTAGTGAGGCCAAGAATTAAAACTGAGGTGATGAGTTTCTAAGCCTCTCAGCAGCGAACCCTGGAGTCAAAGTGAAAACAATTACCAAGGGTGAGTCTACTCTATATGCAGTAGAAATGCATATTCATACTTCATTAGCAACTAACTGGGCATTTCATATTCTCCAATTTCCCTGTACTAATTGTCTATCTCAGTAAGGGCAAACTATTAGAAAGAAGCACAAGTACAGTATCTTTTGCATTATAGGGAAATGTAGCTCCATCATTAGGAAGAGATTTCAGAAAATGCCAATAGTAGATGATCTCAAAGCCAAGGTTTTGTTTTGTTCTCACTGCACAGTCTGATAAACACATATGCATTCCTAGGTCCCCAGGCTCAAGAAGTTAAGGTAAGATGGCATTTATGGAGATCAGGTACCATAAATATTTGTGAAAATGATAAATGAAGAAGCTACAGATCTTTTTAATACCATCCTCAATTCACCCCTTGAGTGAATATTTGGCCTAATTAAGTCTGTAATTGTAATAGCATTAGACAAATCTTGTGTAACACAGAAAGGCATGCTGTTTTGTACTGTTAGGAAAGAAAGAAAAAAAAGGGACAGAGATAAGCTGTTGAGAGAGAGGGGAAAGAAAGAAGCAAGGAAGGGAGTGAGGGAGGGAAGAAGAAAGGGAAGGAAGGAATAATAGTAAAACAATGTAGATACGATGAAGAAGACTTGGTACTAAGTACTTAGTACTTGGTACTTAGACTTTGGTACTAAGCAACAGTGGGCAATTTATTCACTAAACATCATTTATTATGTTTTAATATCATTGCCATGAAACTCAGCACAGCTTAAATCCAGAAAAACTAAATAGTAAAGTACATGGATACAGGTATTTGAAATGCATTATTTCCTTAATTCTAAGAAATGGCAACCTATAGTCTTCCATGCTTATGCAAAAAGCCAAAATCAGTTTTTTGTTCTACCAGTAAGTCACGTATCTTACCATGTTTTATTCTTTTCTGTCCCTTCCCACTTGCCCAAACTAATTTTGCCTGTCTATTCCCTTGAATGTTTAGTTACAGAAGAGCTAATTTTGAACTTGTGTTAGATTCTGGTCACTCATGGAGAAATTAAAATCTTTGAGACAGTGTAGACACTGCCTTACAGAAATATTCAACCTGGTCATAGAACTAGACAAGTTACATATTAAACAACTAAAGTACAATGCCAAAGCAATTGTCAATGAGTACAAAATAAGATGTTTCCTAAGATTTAATTACATATTTGTAATAGATATTTATGCTGTTTTTTGTGGCTTTGTTCTGCCATCCTGTTATTCTATTCAGAGTTTACAGAAATCCTTAATGAACATTGCTAAAAATAACTTCCCTCAGAGACTTATGTGGCTTACCTTAATAATGATGGTTTCATCACTTCTCTTATTTTATTTGTGCAGGTGATCATTAAAATTAAGCTCTTGATTAAAATTACTTAGGGTAATTTATCTCAGGCTGCATTCTCACTTAACAAATGAAGAGATCCATAAATACTGATGAGGCTGGTTTTCACCATGCTTCGTAATTCCTTGGAATAGAAGGTGTTATGTTAACAAAAAATCACGATAATTAACTGGAATCCAAGCCTTGGGTATCAATAGACATTCATAGAGTCATCAGCAAATGTAATAAAGAAATGGTCACTATTACGCATATTTCATATAAGATGATATTACAAAAGTATGGGCCATAAAGATTCTTTAAAAGAGGGCTTATATCTTTTTCTTATTTAGCATTATTCATCTAAAATGTTCGTTAGCAGCAATATTGCATAAAGTAACAACATTCTGCCATGTAAGAAAAGTAGTGGAGATAATAAAACTATAGTTCCGCGAGTAAACATAATCAAGATTTGCTCAAAATTCCCTGGGCTCTTCTTTGGCTTTCATCAAATAGATGCAACTCAGTGTTATTTTGCCCTGTCCTCACAGTGCTGTACATATTAACCTTACTGCTTCAAAGAGGGAGGACTCTGAGCTGCTCTGCATGGTACTTAGGCTAGTTTGGATACTGCCAACATGAGCAGATCACGCCCAGCTGAGAAAGAACTAGAGCTGATGCCTAGTCCTATTGCTTCAAGGACCCTGGAGAACTCATTACCTTGCTTAACATATCTCTAGATCATTGAAACTTGACACAGTGACCCATAGGAACAAAGAGAAATGGCTCTATTCCAAATCAAGAGTCCCACAGACTCTTCAACAGCATTTTTAAAGAGATTCATTATTTTACAGAAATATATTCTTTATTAAATCCAAGAGAGGAGAAGAAGGAGCTTGGTTTCCTGCCAGTTCTAAAAGAGGAGGAAAGTATTTCAGATTGTCTAGTCCCTCACGTCTTACTGAGCCCAGGCTCTCTCCTACACAAGAGCTGTCCTGTTCATTTGTTTTATGAAAAGTACAGGCAACACTAAATTTTAGAATTACATTAGTGTGGAATTTTATTCTTTATGGTAAAAGCATTAAGAAAAACTGCTATTCAAGTTTTTCATCATATATAATGAAAAAAATGAATTGCCAACCTATTAGAGCTATTTTAATGTTCTCTAAGCATATTATTTGCACATTTGATTATAAGCCTTCGATAAGTGCTTTCTAGAGATATTTTTTTCTTAGCAGGAAAAAAAGAGACAGGAGGGTATTTATAATTATGGAAACATGCAGAATGTATTTAAAACATCCAAGGTAGGCAAGATTTCATAATGGCATGTATAAGGGATACATTGGACTAATTATTTCTTTCTTATTAATAATTTCTATTTCTATAAGGGAGATAAATGGAGAAATTTATCTGGAGATTACACCTTTAAATACTTTCATAAAAAGCAGTTACAAAAATGGCTTTTGAAGTCTGGCTGCAATTGAAGCAGATTTGGCCAGGCCATTTCCATCACAATAGGATTTTTGAAGAGAGTAGAGTGAAAAAAGGGCCCATTACAGACAGGTCACCTGATCCAGCCCTAGAGATAATGTGAAATTGTTCCCTATAGTAATGTCTGCAAGGCTTTATCCAGACTCGTCTGAAATGGATACCCAGAAAAATGCACTGTTCTAATAGCCCCCTTTATTTTTGGCTTGAAAGCCTATTTCCTAATGGCAGTAATGACTAGTTTGCTTGCCCATCTTTATCTTCCATGAACGATGTAAAAGAAAGCAGTATTTTGGAGCCACCGGCCATAGGGGATTGCTGCTCACAGGTCCTAAGTGATAGTGAGGTGGTAGCTGAGGTTACATCAAGTGCTTTTTAAGCCCCAACTCATCTGGCATCTAGCAGACTAAGATTTGCTCCACAGGAAGCCTGAGACAATGAAGAGGAGCCTGAAAACCATGGAATGAGGTGTATGAGCTGTTTCAAGGGTGATGAAGGTATCTTGGAATTGCAGAGACAGGTTCTTCTCCCAAGTCTCTTCTGTAGCAGAGATAACTACTCCTTAAGCAGGAAAAAGATCTGTGTGTTATGATCTGCACCACAGTTGCCAAATGTCACATTAATCCCTCTGTGATTCCATACACAAATCATATCCTAATTGTTCCACTACTGCATAGATAATTAAGTTATGGGAAAAATGTAAGACTCAAATGGTACCGTGTAAAAATATCACTGCCTGACATAATTCCAACAGGGTGGCATTGTTGCCACCCAGAGTCAAGGGATTTTCCTTGACATTTTACATTATTCAACACGGTGCTGCCATCTCCTGGGAAGGTTTTCTGGATTCCCTCAATTCCATAACCTTCTGTTCATTCCATACTTCTGATTTCTCAAAACTCCAGAAACCACCATCCTCTGTATAAGATAACAGACTCTGCCTTCCTCACCATTTCAGCAGACACACAAGGAAAAGAGGAACAATTTGGGTGGAGAGGGAACAGGGCAGAGAAATGAAGAGTCCTTGTCATAAGCAGGTTAGAGGGTCCCTATCAGGGGCAGGAATCACAACTTACAATCAATGTATCCTGACATTCTGAGTGTAAATTGTTTGGGTAAAACAAAAAGGCATCATTTGAATTAATGCTCTGGTTCATTGGAAAGAGTACTCAGAAATGCAGGAATATGTGGGTGGCAAGTGTGACAGACCCCATTTGGACTTTTAAAATTAAGTGAGGAGATTCTTAAGGCCAGAAAGTGAAGGCTGAGGACTAACAAGCAAGTGGATATCACCTTCATTATGATTTCAACATTAAACATTAATGTGACTTTATTTGTCTCCAAAGTCTCTTATAGATGACAACATACCAATTATGATCTTTCAAACTAGATTATAAACTCTTTGAATTTAATAATGGTCAAATTTAAGTGTTGCATATTTCACTTTTATATTCCCAAACCTACATCAGTATTTAGCCCAAAGAAAAAATCCACTAAATGTTAGTTGAATGACTTAATGAAATCCAGCCACAGGAACCAAATAGGGTGACAATCTCTGCTTGTAACTGTGTCTTTATACCTTTCTGCTAACAATTGTTGGGGTAAAAAAACTATAAGTGCCACTTATAATCACTGAATTCAGACAAGAAAGCAGTAAAGTTAGAAAAGGGGGAAGAAATCATTTAAATCAAGGGGGATACAGTGAAAAGAAGTAAATATTAGGCTGATAGCAATAAAAATATCTAGCCCTAGAAGCAAAAGCCTGACATTTTCCCAAGGAGTTATCCAAGCACTGTTTTAAACATTTTTCATATAATACCTCATTTAATTCTCTGAAATCTCTATGAACAAAACTATTATTTTTCCATATTTTCCAGAAAACAACACAGAACCAGAGTTATCTAGTGTCTTATTCAAGGTTTCACAGCTCCCTGGTGGCAGAGGCAATATTTTAACACAGGCTCCTGCCTGCAAGGTTTATACTTTCAAACTCTGCACTATGCTGCCTTTCAAGAGTGTTAGATCCCCATAGGAGATGCAGCAGATTAAGCATCTTCATTTCATTTACTAAAAAGATTTTCAATTATTTATCAATAGAAATCAGGGAAAAAATAACATGGCTTTAATTTCACTGAAACCTAGAATGCACACATACACATGCACATGTGCACACATACAGATGCACGTGTGCACACACACATCCATGTATCTTGGAGTTTAATGTCCGTTCTTTCTAAGTCTAGTATTTTCTTCTTCAAAATTCAAGGACTTCAAGGCTTAAGTACTATCACAAGATTTCTCTGTTATTATTCAAAGATTAGAAGTTCTTGGGCACCAGGAAGATAACTGGCAAAGTACTATTTCAAGTTCCTCATCACAATATTGAATAAAATCCCACATAATCAGAACCTTAGTCAAGTGGAGCAAATGTTAGCATGGGACGATACAATCAAATTCCACCCTTATCTCCATGCCTGCAAGCCCAAGCCTTTCCACACTAGAAAGGATTTACCAGTCTCCTGAGGGACAGAGAAAAGTAAACCTCAGAAAAAAAGAGTGCTTAAAATGGCAGGAATATCAATGCCCCATGGTGACTGTAGCAATGCACAGAATTTACTGCATCCAAGGCATGTGCTTCAAGACATTAGAAAGTAATATCAAATGAAAGGTGTTTATTGGACTGGCCTCTGAAACAGACAAATGCCCAACTGCATAGCTGATGAAAAAATTAGCCTGCTACTAAACACTAAATGGATCAACAATCTATTAACTCTAACCTTGTTAGCAGTGAGCTTGCAGTAGAATACGTGACCTGCCTTTTTAAACAAACTTTCTTCAATGTCTATCTTGGACTGAAATGATTTTCTTTTTCCAAATTCAGCAATGATATACTTAATATTCCATATTAACTCAAAATGACCTTGTCCCTTTCTTCAAAGGCTATTCACCTTCAAGGCCTTTTGAGATCATTACATATGTACCATTTTATTCAGGTGATAATAATATTCATTTTTATTGTATGGGCAGCAACCACAGCAGAGGCTCAGATGATATTCAGTGAGTCTCTACAGTCAAGATGAAATGTTATGAAGACCTTGATGACAAATCATCATCTCAAAGTCATTGTCTTATCAGCAGAAATATTCTCATCCATACGCACCTATAGGCAAGAGTGAGGGCAGAGTCAGCAAACACCCACACAGAAATAGTTCTGATGGGAAGGCAGGGAGAATGGGAATAGGTTAATGGAGAGGGTAAAGTTGTAGGGTGAAATCTTTATATTCATGCAAGTTTAAAAAAAACAAAAGCTTATCGTGTAAAACAAAGCTATGTTGGGGTGGAAATGAGGGAACTGAAAGTAACCTTGATATAACAGGCCCTATTTGTGAATGAGAAAAAGACTGTAAAAGCAAGTATAATATTCCAACGATCAGGCAGCCACCAGGAACACTGCCCAGAGTGAGTGCATTTCAGCCAGACCTCCAGAAGCAAACATTAGTTTCTCTCCAAAGCAAACCTACATTCCTGCAATGACTCAAACCTACTCACCAGAAAGCTCCGGAAAAGGAGGTTCCAATGACTTCAGTCTTAAGAAGGCAAGAGAGAGAACAAAAGTTCTGAAGTAAGTTCTATTCCCATAAAACGAATGTTAAGTAAAGAAAATCAAGTGCTAGACTAAAAGCCAGGAAAAGTGAGGCACAGCAGTAAGTTTAAGGCCAGAGCTAAGGAAGTACTCCACAGAATTTAGAATGAACAAATACTGAAATGACTGTCTAAGCAGGTTTCATAAGCCCTTGGAGCGAGGTAGCAAATATGGCAGGAAAGAAAGTGCAGGCCATCCTTAACATCAGGCAAGTGTTTCTGGGGGCTTTTTAGAATGTAAGCGAGGAAAGAGGGACAAGCTCATCTTTGGGAATTGAAAGACTACTGAGTCTGCAGAAATCCATGGGCTGAAGCACCCAGTACTTAACAACTATTTTTTCAGGTTTTATGCCAAGTACTAAAGAATCAAAATTGGAAACTCACAATCTCCACTCTCAAGAGTTTCTAAAAGTCAAGAAATGAATGGTCTGACTTCTATATGAATGTGGCCACTTGTGACAAAGTGGTAGAAAAACTGTCCCGGGTGGTTTAAACGGTTGATATCAAGGCAGGATCTTTCTCTATGAATGTCTTAAAAAGGTATGGTGATTAAAAGAGAAATGACTATTAGACCTTTCCCCTGTGAAACCTGCTGGGAAGTTTAGTCATCCTAAAGTTTGCTTTGTATCATGTGGTATTTAGAAACTCCAAATTAAATCTATTCAACTGACACATTCTCACCCTGTTCTTCCTGCTTATTCAAATTTCTACACCACACCTGTTTCTGTTTAGAAAGTAGGCAGAATGTAAGTTATTACAAACGTGATATAAATTTATTTACTTTATGTCAGATACAGTATAACATATAATGGGAAAAAGCAAAAAAAAATAAGTTTTAGAATGAGACAGGCTATGTAATTAATTTCAGTTATTTACTCAGTAAATAATTTTCTTTTTCCAAATTCACAGAAAGACAAATACCATATGATCTCAATTGTGTGTGGAATCTAGAAAGTCTAATTTACAGAAACATAAAGTGATTAGTAGGTGACTATCAGGGGCTGGCCCAGCATGTGGGGGCAGGGAACGGAAAAATATTGGACAAAGGATACAAACTTTCAGTTATAAGCCAAATAAATTCTATAGATCTAATGTACAACATGGTAATTATAGTTACTAATATTGTATTATTTACTTAAAAAGCATGGTGATAGATATGTCGATTAATTTGATTGTGGTAATATGTATATGTATACCACATCATCATGTTTTTTGCCTTTAATCTATACAATTTTTATTTTTCAATTATATCTCAAGCTGGAGAAAACAAAGATTTGAAGCAAAATGTATTAGAACATATTTTTCAGTGTAAGTGACATTCTATGCAATTGGATGGAAGTGTAGAAGTATCTAATATTTTTTGGCTTATAGTAATTCCTAAATTCTACTTCAACAAAGAAATACCATAAAATTTTAAAGATTACCATATTCTAAGAATTTTTTATATCAAGTGAATACAATTACAACCATTTTCTGGGAATTATTTTAAAGTGACAGCCGATTTATAGTTACTAAACTCATTTCTAAAGTCCCAGTTTCCTAAGAAGCACCAAGATTACATCCTCATCATGACAGACATGTCATTTCTACCCCAGAAAAACCAAGTTTATGTTCTACGCTCATTTATGCTCTATTCATTTTACCAACTGAATTATAAAGTAAGAGATTCCCTTTTATTATCTGCTATGATCTGATGTTGACCATTGGTAATGAATTTTAGAAGCCAGTTGGATAAGTGCACAGAGGAGTAATTATTTAAAATAAAAATTTTCCCAGAATAACTGGTACTGAAGTGGATGGCATGTCAGAAGATAAGTGATCTCAACAAACCCATTTTCATTAAGGAAGAGGGTGAAGAGATTTCCTAAGGGAAATCATGATTACTCAGTATCAGCCATGGTAAAGTTCCACAGTGATCCACAGCTTGAATAGTCTGAACTTTCACCACGCTTGCTTACCAAAGTCATAAGCTAGGACCATAGTTTATCCATCATGGGGAGCAGCTTAGCCTAATAGACTGAGTAGCGTCATGCCAGCTGGACTTTGGGCAAGATACCCAGCACATTAGACTTATTCATAAAAGTCAGAGAATTTTACACAACCCCAAACCACAGGGCAACAGCTGTACTGTTAGAAAACAACAAGATATTGGGTTCAAGGCTAATCCTTATCATGCAGCTGAAGTTGAAAAAATAAAGCAAAACCAAAACTCACACCTCAGAATCTGCACCTGATAAACCTGGGGCATCAACTGGCTATCAGCAATATCATCAATGGGGTAATAGCAGAGGCTGGAGATTAAGTATATAGATTTTGAATTCAGGTTGTCTAGTTTGGATTGTGACTGTGCTACTCAGTAGCTGTCTGTCCATGGGAAATTATTTTACCTCTTCAGGCCTTAGTTTCTTTATGTATAAACAGGAATTTCTGTACTAAAAACTTCATAGCCTTGTAGAAAGGATATAATTAATTTAAAGCTTTTAGCACAGTGAGCATCATGCAGAAGTAGTTAATAAATGCTAATCATGATTAAGTTTATTATTTTACTATTATATAATGATAACCATCTAAATATATTAAATCCACCCAATATTTCCTTTTTTCTTGAAACCCTTGACCATGCAAACATGCCTATGAGCCTACAGTCTGCTTTCTATCTCAGTATAGATAACGGCAAAGGAACTCACACAGTAATGCAGTATGTCTGGTGGAAAGAGAAGTCCAGCCCCTCTGCCTGACTTCCTTTGCTTTTCATCTCTTTAATCCACCACCACTAAGCCCACGGGTCTCCCACCTGCAGATTCAGTTCTGCTCTAACTCTATGCTAAACTAGGCTTCTAGCAGAAAAAAAAAATATTCATTTTCACCCCTTTCCCTTGTTCTCCTCCCCAAATCTAGTGAAGCTTAACTAAGACCAGCCCATTCTTCTTATTAGGATTTCTAGAAAGGCAAGGTTCAGTGCTGACCACTAAGCTCCTTCACTCTCTAGCCACACTCCTTGTTACTCTGACACTATTGTATGGCTTCTAGTTCCCCTCCTGTGTTCCAATCCTATTCTCTGTGCTCAGGCACCAATCTCTTGAGCAATATTTTCTATCACTAACTACCCAGTACCCCCAGTTTATAGACTATGACACCACATTAGTTCTTTCAGAAATGAGAGCCAGGCACTGTCCTGAAAATTTATGCACAGCTTTCTCCTTGCACTCTTATATAGCATGGAATGACTCAGAACAAATGTATCAGTCCTCTAAATGAAATTTCTGAACTAAAGAGTTCCACAGGATGATTATTAAAAAATGTGTCTGTAGCCTAGATACAGATGAGGAAAAGCTCTTAGAATCTTATTGAAATCATGATGAGTCTGCCAGGATGCAATTTTGCTGTTTTTAAGTACATTAGACAGAGCTGAGCTGATTTTTAAATTTATTTCTGTCAAAAAAATCAATCATGAAATAGGTTTTATGAACCTATTTGTTAAATGCTCAGCACAGTATTAAAAGTTGTAAGTAATTAAAAAGAAAAGTAGACCACAGTCTATGATGTCAAAGACTTCTGGATCCAAGTGTGGACATGTACACACACACATATACACACACACACAAGCACACAACATTGGTGAAACAAGAGTATACAACAAAAGGTGAAAAAATATTTTTTTAATTTGTGTATTATTCATGGGGTACAAGTACAATTTTGCTACATTAATATATTACATTGTGGTGAAGTCAGGGCCTTCAGTATATCCATCACTGGAGCAATATACATTGTACCCACCAAGCAACCTCCCACCATCCAACCCCGGCAAACCCCCACCTCTCTAAGTCCCCACTGTCTATCATTCCATACTCTGCTTCCATGTGTACACATTATTTAGTGCCCACTTATGAATGAGAACACGTAGTATCTGTCTTTCTGTGTCTGAGTTGTTTCACCTAAAATAATAGAATCCAGTTCCATCTATGTTGCTGAAAAAGACATTTTTGTAAAGATTATTTTGTATTATTAAAAGATTATTTTGTATGGCTAAATATTATTCCATTGTGCATATTTACCACATTTTCCTTATCCAGTCCTCCCTTGATGGATGCTTAAGTTGATTCCATATCTTTGCTATTTTGAATACTGCTGCAATAAACATAAGAATGCAAGTATCTATTTGATATAATGATTACTTTTCCTTTAGGTAGACAGTTAATAGTGGGATTGCTGGATCATATGGTGGCTCTGTTTTTAGTGCTTTAAGAAATCTGCATACTGTTTTCCATAGAGGTTGTACTAATTACATTCTCACCAAATGTGTATGAATTCTCTTCTCTCCACATCCTCTCCAATATCTGTTTTTGTTTTTGTTTTTGTTTTTTTGTCTTTTTAATGACAGCCATTCTGATTTGTGTAAGAGGATATCTCATTATGGGTTTAATTTGCATTTCTCTGATGATTACTGATGTTGAACATTTTTTCATATGCTTGTTGGCCACTTGTTCGTCTTCTTTTGAAAATGTCTATTCATGTCCTTAGCCCACTTTTTTATGGGATCATTTGAGGTTTTTTGTTGAGTTCCTTGTAAATGTTGGATATTAGTCCCCTGTCAGATATATAGTTTGCAAATGCTTTTTCCCATTCTACAAGTTGTCTGTTCTCTCTGTTGATTATTTCTTTTATTTGCAGAAACTTTGCAGTTTACATCTCATTTGCCTATTTCTGTTTTTGTTGCCTCTGCTTTTGAAGTCTTAGTCATGATTTCTTTGCCTAGTGTCTAGAGGAGTTATTCCTAGGATTTCTTCTAGAAATCTTTTTTTTCTTAGATGGAGTCTGGCTCTGTTACCAGGCTGGAGTGCAAAGGCGCCATCTTGGCACACTGTAGTCTCCACCTCCCAGGTTCAAGCGATTCTCCTGCCTCAGCCTCCCAAGTAACTGGAATTATAGGTGTGAACCACCATGCCAGGTTAATTTTGTTATTTTTAGTGGGGACAGGTTTCACCATGTTGGCCAGACTGGTCTCGAACTCCTGACCTCAAGTGATCCACCCGCCTCAGCCTTCTAAAGTGTTAGGATTACATCTTCTAGTATTTTTATAGTTTCAAGTCTTACATTCAAGTCTTTAATTCATCTTGAGCTAATTTTTGTATATGGTAAAAGACAAGGATCCAATTTTTCCAGCACTATTTATTTTAAAAGGTGTTCTTTCCCCAGTGTATGTCTGTGTAGACTTTGTCAAAAACTAGTTAGCTCTAAGTATGTGGCTTCATTTTTGGGTTCTCTATCCTATTCTGATAAGCTATGTATGTGTCTGCTTTCATACCAGTACCATGCCATTTTAGTTGCTATAACCCTGTAGTATAATTTGAAGGCAGGCAATGTGATGCCTCCAGCTTTGTTCAATGAATGATGAAAAATAAATAATAATATTTGCCACCTATTGAGGCCCTACAGGGGTAGACACCTTACAAAGAGTGATTTTTTGCAGCCTCACAACAACTCTGGAATTTCTCACTTAATTTTCCATTTAACGGATTGAAGTTCAGAGGTCTCACCCTAAAGCCACAGCAAAATGGGTAGAACCAAAACTATCTGATGCCAAAGCTGATTCTCTTTCCACTAAAAAATTTTAGAAAGCAGAATACTAGGTTTCTTTCAGGTTCTTATTCGGTTGAAGCCGGGCCTTTTTTTTTTTTTTTTAGGATATCAGGTGCAGAACTAAACTAAAACAATAGTCATTATATGGCCCAAATGCTAAAATGTATACCTATTACAAAAGCTCAGCAAGTGAACATTTCAAGCAGGCCAACTAGGATGACACTATTTCCCCTACCACAGATATTTCTCAGCCACTAAGACTTTAATGTTAATCAACTTGTGCCAAAGTCATAACTTGACTTCAGGTCTATAAAGAAAAAGTAAATGAATAGATAGTACTAATATATTCATATCATTGATTAAAGCTTATATTGTATCTTCACATACATCATTTCATTTTAGGTATTGTAAGAATTTGGTAGTAAGTGGGAGTAGTTATTTTTTTTAATTTTATTTCCCACTGAAAAAAACAAGAACCAAACTTACTGCAGGTCACACAGCTAACCAGGGACCAAGCTCTGTGCTCATTTCATTACTTGATTCTGACTGGTCCACTCTAATGCCATTGCCGCTCAATGACACCCAGGACTGGCCACATAATTTGTGGGACCAAGTGAATAATAAAAATTCAGATCTCCTTGTCCAAAACGTATGAAGAATTTCAAGACAGAAACTACAGAGTATTAAACCAAATGCAGGGCCTCCTAAATAGCTGCAGAGGTCATGGGCTCATGAAGCTGGCCCTAATGACACCACTGCAAATTAAACTGTGAAATAAATAATTCAAGAAGCTGCTAATTGAACAAGGTAAAGAGTATGGATGTATTCAAAGTTACCACTTTTGCAGAACACACTGCAAAAGTGCCTGTGACAGATGCAATCCAAGTTGTATGATCATAATCCATAATCACCCACCGCTCCAAAAATTACTCAGATTAGGAAATGTATGGCCATCAGCTTTTGGTCAAATCAGATGAACACATTTCTTCCCAAGTTACTTATTGAACACATTATTATGATTTTTCCCAAATGTAACGCACTGATATCATTAAAAATGACAAGGGGAAGGCATCAGGAATGTTCATTCAAGAGCAAGGAAATGAAGCTTGTAGACTTCAGCAAACCCACCTATTTGGCCTATGCTTCCAGTATGTCATTTTGGAATAAACAATTTCAGGAAGGTGGCTGCACAGATGCTTTTACAACAGAGTAAAGAGCTGAAATAAGTACCTGATGGTGCTATCAATTAACAGCAGATGTTTGCAGGTGAGCTGGGATGTGTGGTTTGAATTTCCAAAGTGAAATGATCTTCTGGTATGGATAAGAGCCTGCTGTTGTCAGACATCTCTAAAGAATCCCTACACACTGTGGATCTAATTAGGTGTGAGAGCCACCTTCATTCTTATGAGGGAGAGGGAGGAACCTGCACAGTCGCCTTCTTGTCCTGTTATCCATACTTTCATCTTTCCAGAAGATCTCTGAAAATCGGAAATCTTGTCCAGACACTCTAGAAAGATTTTGAACCAGAAAATGTGCACTAGGGAGTGAAGGAAAGAAGGCAAGTTCCAAATGGTATCTTTTTTTTTTCCTTAAAAATTAACTACATGTGATCTGGAAAAAAGAAAAAAGCATTTAAATCAACCAAATACGAACGAAGGAAAAATTACACAAGGGCTCTTAAGAATTACCAAGGGCTCTTAAGAATATTAATCCCATTCATGAGGGCTCTACTCTCAGGACCTTATCTAATTCTAATTACCTCCCCAAAGACCCTATCTCCCAATACCGTCACATTAGAGAGTAGGGTTTCACTATGTAAATTTTGGAGGGACACAAGCATTTAATCCATAGCAGCTTCTTTAATCTGCAGCATTCCCACAATCTTTGTCTTTTATGATGTTGATGTTTAGAAATGAATATATTTCTCCTTCTGTGCTTTTTGGATGTTTTACTGTGATTAGTTATTTATTCTTAGTTAAGAATATTGAATCAGTGATGTGGTGTCCCCCTTAGGATATCACATTTTATTTCACCCTTGTAACTAATAAACAGTCTCTGAGGTGACACTTTAGGAACACACAAATATCTTGCCCATCATCAAAACTTCCCCCCAGATTTAGCAGCTATTAGTGATTCTTGCCTGGCACAATATTTATTATGGTGATCATAAAATGAGCAATTCCCTAACTCTAACCTGACCTCAACAATTATTGGTCAAGTCTCAGTATTTACTGTAAGTAAGAATCTATTTGTTTTTTAATTCATCAATCTATCTATTACCAGTGTGGGATTATCATTTTCTATGTTTTAGTAGCTCATAATTTATAACTATAGTTAATTATTTTGATGCTCACATATCCCAGATTTGGCCAGTGGAAGCCTTTTCAAACAGTGACTCCCATGCCACTGAAGTTTTTTTCTTTTTTACCACTGAAGTTTTCTTTTTTTTTAAGTATTTCTTTTCTTTGTTTTTTTCCTTTTCTTAAAAAAAAAAACTGTACTGATTTCAGTTCTTATCTTTATTAATTTATCTCTTGTACTTCGTTAGGTTTAATTCGGTCTTCATCCTCTACTTCTTTCTTAAGGCTTAAGCTTAGATAATTGCTTATAGACATTGTTTTTCAACATAAGCATTGAAAACTATACCACCCATCACAGCTTTAGCCATATTCCACACATTTTGATGTTCTGTATTCATTTATATTCACGTATATTTTCCCTGTTGATTTCCTCCTGGATCCATTAATTATTTGGAAGTGTGTAATGTTTAGTTACAAGTTTCAAAGGTATCAAAGATATCTTTCTGTTATTGGTTTCCGATTTACTTCTGTGGTCACAGAATATACTCCATATACACTTCAATCTTCATAATTTACTGAGAATTATTTGTGGCCCAGCCTGTGGCCCACCTTAAGCATTCCATTTGCATTTGAAAGGGTTATTTTCTGCTCCAGTTGAGTGTTGTGCTCTACAAGGGTCAACTAGTTCAAGTTGGTTGACCACGCTATTCAAACCTTCTCTATTATTACCGTTTCTCCTTGACAATTATTAAGTATTAAACCAAATATTAGAGTAGTGTTTTGAAATCTCAATCATAATTATGGATTTTACTTCTTTCAGTAATGCTAAATTTTGCTTTATGTATTTTGAAACACTGTTATTGTACATACACACTTTGGATTGTTGTCTTGTAGATAATTAACTCTTTTATCATTATAAAATTTTCCTCTTTATCACTAGAAATAATCCTTATTCTGAAGACTATTTTTACTGATATTACACAGCCACTCCAGCTCTCGTGTGATTATTCTTCATCTTAAATATGTCAACCTAAAGAAGAAGCAGAGGTACAAAATATAATGTTAAAAAGTGTATGTATTAGTCCATTCTCACACTGCTATAAAGAATACTACCTGAGACCGGGTAATTACAAAGGAAAGAGGTTTAGCCAACTCACAATTCCACAGGCTTAACAGGAAGCATGGCTAGCAGGCCTCAGGAAACTTACAATCACGGTGTAAGGCAAAGGGGAAACAGGCGGCTTCTTTATTAGGGCAGCAGATGGGGGTCTGAGCCTGTGAAGGAGGAACTGTCAAACACTTATAAAACCATCAAATCGCCTGAGAACTCACTCATAAAACAGTATGGGGGAAACCACGTCCATAATCAAATCACCTCCCCCCTGGTCCCTCCCTCAACACATGGAGATTATGGGGATTATAATTCAAGATGAGATTTGGGTGGGGACACAGCCAAACTGTATTAGTTTACTTGAGCCAAAGTGTGGACAGCTGCCCAGGAAAAAAAAATACTTCCAAGTTGCCTTGAGAAGTGCTCTATTCTGCCTTTGTTACCAATAGCTTTGTTTGCTTGTTTTATATTTTACTTTAAGTTCCAGGATACATGTGCAGAATGTGCAGGTTTGTTACACAGCTATACGTGTGCCATGGTGGTTTGCTACACCTATCAACCAGTCATCTAGGTTTTAAGCCCCACATGCATTAGGTATTTGTCCTAATGCTCTCGCTCCCCTTGCCCCACCTCCCACCACAGGCCCAGGTGTGTTTACCAATAGGTTTTTAAAGACAAAAGGGAACAAGGAGTAGGTTGATACAAAGTTATTTAACAAGAATCCTCACTGCTTTACAAAAATAACATGCATTAGTGATTAGCTATACACTGTTGAACTACAGAGTATGAGTTACAGTGTCCAGTATATGGCATTGTTAGGTTAATTTTAGGACTACTTAGCATCAGTCAGCCTAGAGCCTTATAGCAAGTGGCTTCGAGGGGTAATTACTTTCTTAGCTCAAGCTGGGAGTGACACTTAACTCCTGTCACATTTCAATGCCTTTTTGGGCCTGATAATTTAAAGGGGCCCACATCCCTCAGATAAAAAATTTCCTTTCTTTCTCAAATACATTTTCAGCCCTTTTCTTTAAGCCTATCTGGGTCTTTTCATTTAGGATGTGTTTCCAGTAAGCTGAATATAACTGGATCTTCTTTTTAAATCTAGTTTTATAATCTTTGCTTTTTAATTGTGCATTTAGGTTATTTAATTATCAACATTGTAATGTTCAAATATACAATTTTATTTTTTGATTCTGTTCTATGTAAACCATCTGTTCTTTGTCCCCTTTTTTCTTCCTTCTTTTGGGGTAACAGAATATTTTAGTATTTCATTTTAGCTGCACTTTTGGCTCATTAGCTATATATACATTTTTGTTTTATTTTGTCAGTAGTTACTCTATGGTTAAACTATGAATCTTTAATCACAATCTACCCTCAAATAATATTATACCCTTTCATGTATAAGACTCTTAAATTAGTGTACTTCAATTCCCCTTTGAGTCCTTTGTGCATTGTTGTCATACATTTTAATTCTACATATAGGATAAGCCCACAATACATTATTTTTTCTTTGATGATTCATTATCTTTCAAAGAAACTCCAAATTCACATGTTAGAATCCATGCTCTTGTTTGTCACTAAATTTCTGTGGGTTTTTGTCTTTTTTCATTCTTTGCCTTATTTTAATTAATTTCTATCTATACCCTCTTAATTTCAGTAATCTTTTTTCTATCTTTTATAATCTAATTTTAAGCCCATTTGGTAAAATATTTTATTAGAGATACTGTATTTCATGTCTGTAAAATTTGTTATTCTTTTTACATCTTTTTAAAAGATCATTATGTTCATGTTTTAAAATCATCAAGCATTTCGACAGTAGTTATTTATAGTCTTTGTTGACTCCTTCATTATTATTATTTCTGGGTCTGTTTCTATTGACTCTTTTTTCTCCTGGTTATAGTTAGCACTTTCCTACTTCTTACCCTGTGTAGTCATTTGTGATCAAAGAATGGCTTTTGTCAATTTTTTGTTGTCGAGTGCCAGCATTTATTGTTTTTCATTAGAATGTTATTTTCTTCTTTTCTATGAGGCAGACAAGTTACTTATGAATCATCTTTATCTTGGAGGTTTATTTTTAAGCTCCTTAGGGTTGGATTTAGAGAAATCTTTATTTTAAGGCTACTTTGTCCCTCCAACTAACTTATAGACCTTTTGGGATCTCTACTACATGAATTAGCTATTCAGGGAGAACTCCCTACTCTGACTGGTTAGAACTCAAATGTCTCCCAGCCACGGGTTGGGATTTGAATTAACAGAACCTTGAGGGTTGACAGAAGGGCTCCGTGGAGCTCAAATGAGACCTCTGAGGAACGGCTGCTGCTCTAGTACTCATGTTTAGGAGCTTGGAAAAGAGTTCACAGGGAAATGGGGCAGCTCCAAGATAGTAAATATGGGCTGTTTCCTATGAGAGGACACAATGAAGCTCTTTCTGGGAGTGGTGATAAAAACCTGTGCAAGGAGTGTTCATAAGATAACACTTACACCAACAGCAAGAGATATGAAAGACAAGTTGCTTCCCCATTCACCCTAATTTCCAGATTCCCACTGGACTTAACAGTTTTGCAGCATTCCAGACCAAAGCAGAATAGAGAACAGTGGATTTGGTGCCAAAATAGCAACTTAACATGAAGGATAGTTTCCTGAGGTTTTGTACCATGTTCCTCTCCTATAAGCAGAGTGTGAAAGTGCTAATTTTTAGCATTCTTACCAACTTTACCAAAACCCTTGGAATTATCACATTTAAAACTCATGCCACTATATGTATAAAATGATATATCATGATTGTTTTGCTTTGCTTTCCCAGATAAAATTTTTGAGGCTGAGCATCTTTTCGTTATTTACTAGCCATTGTGCTTTCTTTCTGCCAATGGAATGTTCGTATGTTTTATACATTTTCATTAAGTTGTTTATCTTTTTTTGTTGATTTGTAGGGGTTTTTATTTAATGAATTCTGAATATTAATCCTCCATTTATGCCCTGCAAATATTCTCCCTCTCTTAAGCTTGCCTTTTGACTGTTTTCTACGTTCTTCCATAAACAGGTTTTTTTTAATTTAGTGAAGTCAAACTTCTGAATCCTTTCCTCTATGCTTTACGCTTTTTATGTCATTAAAATAAATTCTTCCCAGTTCTGATATAATAGCCTCCTATATTTTCTTCCTGAAGTTTAAATTTTTTGCTTATCACATTGAGCCCTTTAATCTATTCAGAATTTATTTAACTTTGTACTCACTTTTTGCCTCTTTTTATGTGCCCTGCACAGAAGTACATTCCAACACTCCATCCCCTTACCTAAATCCTGAATTTTTTATAGTTCAGCTTAGTTACCAATGCCTTTATGAAGCCTTCCCTGACTGCTCCAGCCTTCAATGACTTTCCCTCCTCAGCCTCCTAAGACATTTATCACTGAATTTTATATTAATGTATGCCTATGCATGATAGTGAATTAAATATATGCAGCACTCAGGCAGGTAATCTTAATGAGTAAATAGGATGAGAATCAAGACTATACGAAGTGTAGGGAGTGGACTAGCACATGCTTCATTTCAGAGATAGTGGCTACTCAGCTCTAGCCAACTATTTCTTATGTGGTAGAAATAATGTTGCATAGGCCCAGAGTTGCCAGATCTACTATTATAATTTTCAGGACCACCTAGCTATCTAAAACTTGTATGTGAAATATTCTGATATTTAAATCTTACCAATTCATTTAAAAATATTTTTAAAGCATTATGTTGGGGGAGGGGAGAGTATTTCCTGATAAGATTCAGTCATTCCATTTCCAATCTCTAATCTCTGGTTTAACTGTTTTTAATATGTTAATTAATCTCATTATTTGCCTCTTGAATTAAATTATAAACCCCTTGATTACAGGAACACTCACTTTGTAGACTCTATAGAACCTACAGGGGTGAGCCAATGATAAATGCTCCATAAACTCATGATTGACTGTTGATTGACAGTATACATCATATTTATATGCTGAGCCACAATCCTCTCCACAATCATATGCTGAGGAGAGGACTAGCTTGCACAATGAGGTACCATAACCAAGAAGGCTGCTCATCTCATGAGCGTTTGTCATTACAGTGAGACCCACATTCATGGAAAACACATCTCCCAAAGCTGTGATCATCCCAGCCTAGGAGTGGGATGCCAGGACACATTCTGGACACTCTGCCAGAACATATCAAACCTAAGAACTTTTAAGTATCAGTGGTCTGGGTTGTACAAAAACCAGATGCCCACTTCTCATAGAAGCATAGAGGAGTAGAAAGAAGTAGGGAAGACCTCCAATGCCTTTGTCTTTTAGGAAAATAAAATCCTGACTCTGAGGATAGTCATGGCATGGCCATTGTTGTCTATTTATTGTCCTGGGTCCTTATGCTCAGAGTCAGCAACCCCACACTATCAAGCTCACAGACAGCCTAAGAAATGATCCAAAGACTCCTCTGTCTTATGAAAGCAGGCTTATACCAGGAACCAAACACTCAAATGCAAAGCCTGGGTTCATCTCTGAGGAGGCCTGGCTGAGATGTCTGGCCTCTCTGACACTCTATTTTCACTTTTAGGGAAAGAACAGGCAGACTGCATCTCCTCAGTGGGAGAAGCAGCAGTGCTGGAGTGGTAAAAGGCACAGACTCTCAGACCAGCCATGAATATGAACCTAGCTGAGAGACCCAGAAAAAGTTACTTAACTAACCTCCCTGTACTTGAGTTTCCACAGCTACGAAATGAGGTCAAATAGTAAACTTAGCCCACTAGGTTGTTCAGAAGATCAAACGACATTTTAACTGTAAAGCTCACTGCAAATTGTTGGTTTGAGATCACAGTCATGAGAGAAGTTGGTAGACTGCATGGTGTCCTTATTACAGGCTCTTTTGCTCTGCTCCCTAGAGCTCTCCCCACAGCATACAAAGTGATAGTTTTATTATTGTTATTATTGTTCCTTCTCCAAGATTTCAAATTCATGTGAGGGAAAATTTCTCAGTAGGATCTATTTCTGTTGAAAGTTAGTGTGTGGCCAACTCTAAGGCCATAAAGCTTTCATCCCCTGTTCCATACATTCACCTAGAAATAGGCCTGGGCAAAATCAGTTCTATGGGAGCAAAAGACTCCTTCAGGATCTTGCATGCAAAAAGTCCTAAAAGTTACTGAGACTGCATTTCTGAGTGCGTATCTCTTTATTATAGGGTGTCTGAATGTACCTCTCTGCGCCACTCTGTATCTCCGTGAATATAAGTCTATGTGTGTCAACTTCTGTGCATCTTTCTGTGTATCCTGGACTATTTCTATACATGGGAGTACTTGTGTGTGTGTGTCTTTTTGTGTATAACTGTGTGTCTCTCCATGAAACTATATCTATGTCTCTATGTGCACGTGACTCTGTCTCTATGTTGTGAAGGTGCGTCTGTGTGTATCTGTGCCTATGTGCATTTTTATTCTGTTTTTTTTTTTTTTTTTTTTTTTTTTGAGATGGAGTCTCACTCTGTCACTCAGGCTGGAGTGCAGTGGTGCGATCTCAGCTCACTGCAACCTCTGCCTCCCGGGTTCAAGAGATGCTCCTGCCTCAGCCTCCTGAGTATCTGGGACTACAGGCTCATGCCACCATGCCCAGCTAATTTTTGTATTTTTTTTAGTAGAGACGGAATTTCACCATATTGGCCAGGATGGTCTTGAACTCCTGACCTCGTGATCTGCCCACCTCAACCTCCCAAAGTGCTGGGATTACAGGCATGAGCCACCGCACCTAGCCTCTCTGTGCATTTTTCTAAGAAGTTCTAGGATTGCATTTCAGCACAGAGATGTGCCTAAATATGTGTCTGTGTCTGCTTCTGTGTCAGGAGCCATAGTCTATAACCGTGTGTGTGTATGTCTAATAGGGTTGTATGTGTCTGTTTTCTTCTGTCTGTGTTATATCTATCAGTGAAACTCCCCTTTTGTATCCCATGCCATGTACATGTGTGTTTATGTGACAAAGGACAGAACAGAGCAACTTCAATTTGGCTCATCAGTGATCCTAGGTTACTCCGTGTTGTGGTCAAACCAACTCTTAGAAAACACAGGCCATTAGTTCTCCAACCTGTCTGCTGAGGCTCCAAGGAGCTTTTAAAGAAACCCTGATGCCCAGACTCCACTTGTAGATATTAAAATTGCCATTTCTGGCTTTGCAGTGAAGTCTGGACATGCGAGCTTTGTAAAGCACCCCAGTTGATTCTAATGTGCAGCCATGGCTGAGAAGAACTGTACCAGGGTCTCTACCATTCTCCCTGGAAAGCCAAAAACTACTTTCCTTGCCTTTCACATCAATACTATCAGTGGGGAGGGTGAGGGAGTTTTGAATAATTTGCCCTGTATGAAAAGGACAGAGCCCCCTGCCTACTTTCTTGCTGAGGAGGGAGGCACCCCACCTGACTGGACCCTGTGAATCCACACTCTTCAAATTAACCTGTGAGATGACTGAGGAAAAAATTCTCCTCCGAGCCCAAACCTTCTTTCATATCAGCAGATACTCACTTTCTACATCTATATCTGTCTAATTAAAAAGATGTACTGCTACCTTAATTTCCATATAAACTCATCACATTTATTCCAAGTGTTTGGAAAACCAAAGGAGGATTTATTAGTACAATAAACAAAGTGTTTCATAGAAATTTAAATGCATTTTTTGGCATACTTTACCAATAAAAAGAAAGAAGAGAGGTCCAGAATGGAGCAATACCACTCATATGTGGAAATGGAAATCTAAAGACAGAAATGAGGGAGAATCTAAGAAGACAAAGGAAAAGCAATGAAACCTCAGATGCTTAGACCCTGAAAAGCAGGGCCACCCTAGCCCATAAAATACTTTTGTACATATTAGAGAAAGACACCCCTCCCCAGGATTCAGCCCCCCACTACCTTTAGAGAAGGGTGCCTGGGTTAATGTCCTGTGGAAGCCCCGTTGGAAATGTTTTACCGAGGAACAGTCTGTTCTCCCACCTGCAACTCCTGCTTCTTGAGAAGTATCTGAGAATCTAGGGTCTTCTACCCATGAAGATTCATTCAGGCCAGTAGACAGACTTTTATTTAGGCAAGAAAAAAGGTAGATTCCAACAGTCCTTTGGAAGCACTACTGCACCTGGTAGTCTACCTAAAAATCACCAAGTTCTCACTGAATATTTGTTGAATGAACAAATTTCTTTTTCTGAGTAGGACATTGAGAGGGCTCTCTCAGCCAACTAAAAGAAACACAGAGGCACTGAGTATGCTTTTGGGAGTTGCCAACTTTCTCACCAGAGGAGCCCTCCTGTGTATCAAAGTATCCATGGAAAAGGATCAAGGTAAGGAATGTGCTATGCTCATCTCACTAAGAGAAATGCGAAGAAAATATACTACACATTATGTATCCCAAGCCCACAATTTAAGGAAAGATTCATGAAGAAAATACGAGATTGGATTACCTGGGGAAGTTGAAGACAGGAACGATGGAAGCATCACCAAATTTTAGAGCAGAAATTGACTCTGGAGACTGTCCAGTCCAGCCCTTTCATTTTGTAGTTGAAAAACTGGTGCCCAGAGACACAAAAGTCTGCATCCAGCCCCTCAGCTAACAAGTGATAGATTGGATTTGAGAACCCAGCTTATTTACTCCTCATCTGGTGCTGTTTTCATGCTCTTGTCTCCCTCTAGAAAGACTTGAGCAAAAAAGTTTGGAGGTGGAAAAATAAACATGCTGACCTTATTAACCAGCGTATGGACCATTACAGCTCCAGGGTTTCTGCCACCCCAATTCACCGATATTTTTTAATAGAATGATCAAAATGTCTTTTTTTGGGGGAGGGGGTGGAATTAAGGATGCCTCTCTTTCCTCCCAGCCCCACTATTTTTTTTTCTTTTTTTTTTTTTTTTTGAGACAGAGTTTTGCTCTTGTTGCCCAGGCTGGAGTGCAGTGGTGTAATCTTGGCTCACCACAACCTCCACCTCCCAGGTTCAAGTGATTCTCCTGCCTCAGCCTCCCGAGTAGCTGGGATTACAGGCAAGCACCACCATGGCCCCAGCCCCACTATTTAGCACACAGTATAAATGGTTACAAGCATTATGTAAATGTTATCATCAGCAAGTGGAGTTTGAGACTACCCCATTACTGTTTATCCTCTGACTCAGGGCGACGGGCTCCCAGGGAGGTGGGGGTTGTGCCAGTGCCTGTTTATGCTGATGAAATCAAATCTCTGTGTGACAGTTTATAGGATGTCCCCCAAAACTTCCCAGGAATTATCCAAGAGTTTATGCAATCAGTGTTTTTTACATTAGTCGTTTGAAGTTGTTCAAGCAAACTGCCAAACTGGTCCTATCAAGCTGATCCAACAATCTTTTCTCTGTCCCAGAATCCCGGTTATCTCCGACACACCATACCCCACCCCTGCCTCTACACACAAACACTTGTGGCTGTCTCCCTTGAAAGCAACAGGCTGCCACCCACTGGTGAGAAATTAGCTTTCAGAAACCACAATATTGGCTTTTAAGACCCTGGAGATAACAGAAAGAAAATGTCAGGTTAAAACTTGGTAGTTCTTAAAAGGTGATAATAAGAAAGTGATCATTAGAGAAATGTTGCCAAGATTTAGTTTCCTAGGGTGGGAAAAAGAAAACATATGAGAAAAGAAATGAAAACATTGGGGCAACGCCTAAAGGGGAAAGAATTTTTCCTTGGTGAGTCCACAACTCTGAATTTAGCACTTGCAGTTACAGCAGGTTGCCGCATATCTCCTTTCTCCCAAGAAGAATACAAATCTCAGGATTGAAAGATTTTATTGCACCCATACCTCTTAAATTCCCCATCCCCCAACACAACGCTAACAAGAAGCTCCTCAGTCAGTTGAAACAGGTCTAGTGATTTTGGACTTGTAGTCTGGCTAAGAAGCTCAGCCCATGCTTGCCCATGCCTATATTAAGTTCCTCCCTAGTCAACAGAAAAATCAGTGGAAATCTCGATTAGTAAACAAGATAAGAAAACAATGTTATTCTCACTAGTAATCAGAGGAGTGCAAATTAAAACATCAAGGTACTGTTTTTCACCCAGAAAAGTAGTAGCAATATTTCTCATTGATAATACCCCTTTGTGTTAATACTAATGCAATAAAATTAGCACTTTCATACATTGCTGGCAGCAGTGTAAATTGTTACTACTTTTCAGGAAGGCACAGTGATATATCCACAGTTCACACTCTTTGATCCAGTGAACATATTTCTTGTAATTTTTATTTTTAAAAACACAGTGGGAAAACAATTATATACCCAAGCATGTTCATTGCAGGTTTGTTTTGAAATGACCTACTGTTTTAATAGAATTGCTACATCTATCATTATACACTGACACAATTGAGTAGAATCCAGAAATTGTAAATGATGGTCAGAGATAGGTCACATTATGGAGTTTGCATACAGTATAATATTAATTCAAAAGAGAAGGATGCTATATCAGCCACGGTTTACCCTCTAGGCACTAAGAATCAACTGGCATTAGCTTCATCACATAAATATATATTAAAGCAGTCGCTGGGATCTGGAAAGCCAAAGTGAGTGGCAATCCAGCCTAGAATGTCACAGAGTAGTCCGGGAAAGACAGTGTGGCTGCTGCTGACACAGCATAGACACCTCAATATTCATGACCACCAGCCTCTGCACTGAAGCCTATAGTCACTGACCACTAACTCCAGAACCTGGATGTAGCTGTCCCTAGAACATCAGTGTCTCCTGTGCAGTCCCTTCATCTTCAGGTCACCAGCTTTTAATTCAAGTCTAAGGTGCACCTGTTCATGAGCTTTAGGAGCTGCTGAGACAGTAAGGACCTGGCATTTGTAGTTGCCACAGCGGGAGGAAAATCTCCTGAAAATTTTTACCAAAAAGGATGTAAATGCTAAACAGTCAAAAAATGATATATTTCCACCAGAAACACATAAAACAAAAAAGATTATGATTAGAAGTATGATTATGATTATGACTGCAACCAGCAAAAACTATTTACATTAGGGAAGAATTAAAAGTGACTGGATTTACACACAGAAGTTTGGGTGATTTTTCCTCTTCTCTCATAATGTTCAATCTCTGAATCAAATGTCCTTTTCAAATACATGCATTAGTTTCCTAGGACTGTTGTAACAAATTATCACAAACTTTGTGGCTTAAAATAAGATAAATTTATTCAGTCCCAGTTCTGGAGGCTAGAAATCCAAAATCATGGCCCAGGCCATGCTCCCTCTGAATGCTCTAAGAAGGAGTCCATCCTACATCTTCCTAGCTTCTAGTGGATGCCAGCAATCTTTGGTGTTCCTTGGCTTACAGCTGCACCACCCAACATCTTGATTACATTTGCAAAGACCCTGTTTCCAATGAAGGTCTCATTCACAGGTTTCAGGCAGACATGAATTTTTGGGAGATACTCTCTAATAGTACAATATTTTAGAGCTTTCTTCCTTTTGTTGAGACAAAGATCAAATATGTGTTATAAGGGACTGGCCTATATTTCTTTGGAATCCAAATATGGCTTTTGTTATATCACCTAGCATAAGGTTCAGTACATACTGGCATTTATTAAACACTTGATGAATGACAGAGTAAAGGAAAATACCAGGTATGGGAGGAAAATGTAATAATTAAAAACAGATAAATGAATAAATCATTCTATATGAAGCTAATTTTAAAATCTACAAGAACAGAGACAATTTCTATAACCTCCTCATGATCAATTTTAATATCATCATCATGTATTAAAGAATCTGACAAAATCACACCTGTCTATCCTCCTCATAGATGTTACAAAAAGGCTGCTTCCTAAATAGAACCATAACAAAAATACTACTACTACTAATAAGCCCTGAACATGAGCTGAAAACCCTTTAACTCAAGGTCAGAGTAACACTGAGCAAAGCTATACAATACAGAAAGAATGTCATTGATTTCATTGGTAGATGCTCTTTATGTTTTGAAAAGATAGGTGCATAAATATAGGCACAAAGTAGGTTAGCAAACCAAGTAGTTTAGGAGCGTTGAGTAGGTTGGGAAGATAAGTAACTATGTAGGCAAATATATATATATATATATATACACATACATACATATAGGTTAGATAAGTAGAATAATTAGGTAAGTAGATAAAATTTAACTGTGGACCTATTTGCATTTTCCAGAACTCTCAGACAACAATATCCTGAGAAAAATACAACAACAGAAAGGGCTACAGTGGGACAGATTGAGGAGTGGGGATCTGAGTACAGGTTAAATTATTAGAAGGCAAAAGGGAGGACACCAGTAACTGTATACTAACAGTCCATAAATTGAAAGCAATTAAAATAGCATGCCCCTGAAATGCACCTACCACAGGGTGCATTCCAGTTCTGCATTCTCCAAATCCTTAATTACCCTTCACTGGATGGGAACTTTGATCCCTTATAAATTGCCTTAGCCCCCAGGGAACTGGAGATCCAGCTCTTGGGAGCCCTCTTGTCAGTGGAGCAGCCCCATTGTTTGGGAACAGAGCTCAGCAACAAAGAGAGAAAAGGGCAGACATCAATCAAGTCAAATGACAAGCTCCTCAAAGGGTCTGAGTGACCTCATTTTTGCCTAGTGAAATCCTATTAAGAGGCTTTCAGGAAGCTCACAGTTTAATTCAACAGTAATTACCTTTGTACAGTGAATAACAATCCTAATTTATTAACTGTATATAAATAGTATATGACTTAATTTTTAATAAACACAGCCCGCCTCAGGTGCCAGTGAGGAACATGGGCATATATTCATAGAAGTTCCTGTTCTGCTTGAGCAAAGCAAAAGAGAAAAGTAATTCAAAGCAGGTCAAGATATTACTTTTGCAGTCAATAAAAAGTTATGAGCATGCTCAGATGCCGTTCAAAACATTCCAAGATATGTCCTGGCTTCCTTGAGCCACCCACAGTTCAACAGCAGACAACAGAGAAATACAATAAGATGAAGGCATATATCAGAAATAAAATATGTATCAATAAGAATGTGTTCACCACAAGTTAACTTTGAAAAAGCTTATTAAAAAGGGCTTAAATAATAAAGTTATATTTTGTTTACTTAATAAGGAATTTGAAAAAAGTAACTCAGTGCAACAGCTCAATAACATCTCAAAAATCCAAGTTCTTTGTGTCCATTCGTTCTGCCATCCTCATTCTTACATCTGTGCCTTTATCATCACAAGAGGGCAGCCACCGCTCCAAGCACATTCAAGGCAAAAGACTGCTTCCTAATAAGAAATATAAATAAAACCATCTATGAGCCTAAGTAAATGTCTCTAGTTTTATGGTCCAGTAAAGGAATTATCCTTTTTGGAGTGCTGAGTAGGTTGGGAAGATAAGTAACTATGTAGGTGAATATATACATACATATAGGTTACATAAGTAGAATAATTAGGTAGATAGATAACATTTAACTGTGGACCTATTTGCATTTTCCAAACCTCTCAGGAATTATCCTTTTCTGAACCATAAGACTAGAGAAATTTGCTTAGGTTCATTGATGGTTTTATTTATAGCAACTATAAGCTATTAGGGAGCTTTTCCAAACTTTTCAGAAAATGTTTGTCTCCCTTCTCCCTCTGTTGGCTACCCCAGCAGAGCTTGTCTTTTGTCTCATTGGCCGCTAGGGCACAAGGCCACCCTTACCTACAAGGGAGACTAGGAAAATTAATATACGGCAAAGGACACAGTGCCAATTGTTACTGTCACTCCACTCCTCACCCTCAAATACAAACCATGGTGTGCCAGCAAAGAAAAGGAGAACAGACACAAAGACTTGCTGGGGTGGCATCTGAGACAGATAATGTCTCCATAGAACATTCACCCTTGATTCTGTCCCCTAATCCAGCCATACAAAAAGTATTTCTCACAGGGACACAAAAGTGAAATGTTTAAAATTGGGTTATGGCCCTCTATAATGTCTTCCTCAAAAAGTGAGAAATGTGTCCCCAAATCATGTATTAATTTGAAACCCACACATGAAAATAATCCAGACCTTTTCAAATGGGTTCCACACAAGACTTGTCTAGCAAATGCTGGAGGCCAAGGGGAATTCACATTTTTATATAAATTTGAAAATGCTCATTGAGCATTAGAATACTAAAATCTATGATAGGTAATGGAGAACAAGTAAGCATTGTTTAACCCAATGTTGTCCAAACAACTACCACAATAAAAATACATCTATTGTTTCATGTAACACCTACTAATGTCCCACAGAATATAGTTTGTTAAAGACTGGCAAGTCACTTTTCTTATCTCCATTACCCTAGAAGATGAACATGAATCTGGTTCTTAACTTATTTTCTAAGGAGAGATCTGGTTATACCACTGATAGCTCAGCTCAACGGAACAGTGCTACTCACCAAAGTACTATTTTTTTTTTCTTTTATCTTTCCCTGAAACTAACCATGATATGAATCAGGCCAGAGAGGGTGAGCCATCTAAAACCTATCCAACTAAGAGGAATAAAGAATTTAACTATGTAGAATCCAGGTTGAAACTAAAGACACAGCACCTTGGATTCTAACACAGCAAAACTACTATTACTTGATGAGATTTAGAGAGATTACAAAAAGTGACAGCCTATTCAGACTGTGATTATTTCAATGAAAGCTTTCATTTCAGTGATTTTAAACAGGACACTTACACAAATCCTAGCTGTGAAAATGGTTTTCAAGAAGGGAAGGATCATGGAGTTAGACGAGATGAGAAGTCATGTGTTTTCCAGCCTGCCTGTCTCTTCTCCCTCCCTCCTCAATTTCACCATCCAGTATCCTAGCAAAGTTGGTGTAGGAAACTACAGTTGAGGAAAAACACTGTCAGAGGGCTCAGGTGTACTAATTCCAACCTCTATGGCCTGACATCTGAATGGTCAGAAACTATGATCTTTACTAAATACTCTAACCACTTTTCAAAGCCAGTTTTCCACTGCTTTTATTTGTTGACATGGTAAGACAGACCAAAATCATAGTAGATCCACTGGTAGGCATTGGGCTCAGAAGTGATATTACAGAACTTCCAAGTTCCTAAGAGTTTCTCAACAAGAGCTCCACAAAATTCCCTTCACATTGTAATGACTCTGTGGGAGGCACACTTTGATGTTCTCTGAACACAAACAACTCCATGCACCTTGAGGTAACAGAATATTTCACCGAGGCTGCTAAGGTTTTCCAACAAATAATAAACTCTGACCCCTGTCAGTCAAAAAGGCTTCCATCTCTGGGTCTAGCCACATGTTTCTGTAGATCTGAACAGCAAGGTAAGCTAGAGAGTCATAAGCTACAAATACCATTCTCAGTTGTGTGAACTTTCTAGAATTACTACATTCTGTATCCAAGCATTAGAACAGCTAAAGTGGGAATTTAAACATCTTCCAAACTGTCATCTGAGATTTAATACTACTCCTGCTGTATCACAGAACACTGACTGAGCAGGAAATTTCTTGGTGTGCTTTGTATTTCTCCTCATCAATCCTGCAACACCTCATTTCATCTTCTCAACATCTTTCTTTGCTATCAACACTTCTATTGATTAACCCGTATAACTAGGAGTCCCAAGTTCATCTTTAAGTTATTTTCTGTCCCTACAAAAGAATCTCTGCAAAACCAGTAGCCTTGTCCTGACTATCACAGCAGCACCCAAAGCACCTACATGGTCTTCACTCAGCACCTATGGTTAAATAAGCTAGTAAAAAACAATGTCGGGTTATTTTCAAACATTGTTGAATTAATAACTACAAGGTCCCATTTGGCTTCGGGGGATAACTGACTTACTCAGGAGCATTAATTTGTTCAATGGCTACAGAACTTGAAGTCAGGATTTTAACCCGCTCACTATTCAGCTAAAGATCCCATAATCTCCTCCAAACCACTCTGCTTTGGCTGTTGGACTATTTAGCTGTATTTGCTTCACCCGTCCCCATCTCCTGCCATACTTCTGCAAACTAATGTTACCGGAGATATTTGTGCTCTGTACTCACTTCCCATCCTTGGAGGTTTTCTAACTCTTTCAGCTTCTCACACAAACCATCAGGCTCTCGCAGGAAAGGCAAAAAAGCACAAGATAGAAATATACCCTCAGTGGCAGAGCCACATCTTCCAATCTTGGTGCCACTCTCTGAACAGTTTCTGGCACATAGGTTGTGTGCAATAAGAACTGATGAATCTGCTCATAGTTAATATGACAGCTACCTCTGTATGCAGCCATTAGCAGGAGATGTCATCATAACCACATCTCATGATAGCTCATCCAGAGACCTGTGAGGACAGATAGTGCAGGACATCTCCCAAGGACAGAGAAGAAACCTGAATTCAGAGATCACAACTCAAGGTTTGTTGACAGAGCCAACTTGAACACAGGATTTCCTGTAACAACCTCCCAGCTTCCATCTCGAGTTTCTATATGATGAGCTGTTGCTGATCCTTAAAGATCAGTACATATTTACCTCCTGTGTGACAATGCCCTGGGGAATGTGAGCCCAAACTTGCTCTGCATTCTTATCACTTTTGTACATTCATTCTGTAACATTCATCACAATGTAATGGTCTTTGGTTAATAAGACACTCATATTAGACTGAGAACCCCCACAGCAAAACTTTTCTACTGTTATCATCTATGTCTCCCCAGTACCCAACACAGAGACTGGGTGCACGATAGGAGTTTGACAAAATATTGTTGACATTTTATTTCTGTTACACCATGCCAACAAGTTACAACCAAAATAAAATAAATATTCATAAATGCATTACTCTTTTCCAGATCTATTTGCTTGTTAAAAGGATAGCTGCAAATGAATCTCACAAACATAATTTGCACAAAGAGGTCAATAGCCAAAATAGTACATATTTACATGAAGTTCAAAATAGGCAAAATTAACCAGTGGTGTCAGAACTGCTATTATGATTTGTCTTAATGCAGTCTATGCCTGGGAACCAAAAGGATTCAGAAAAAGCAAGCCATAATTTTAAATGTCCACAAATTTCATTATAAGCTGACAATGAGCACAACTAAAAACGACACCTCTCTGGCAATGTTTCTGCCAACCTAAAACACCATGAAAGGTATCCTTCCTAGGTGTTAATGTTCTCATTACCTGGAGAATGAGACATTATAAAAATGGTCCTCAGCTACTGCAGACAAGCCTTTTTTTTTTTGTTAGGATGTTAAAGTTTCCAGGATCAGCTTAAATTATAACAGTTCTCTTTGGTTTACAAGATGCATTTTCTCAAAAACCTAAAACCTCCCTTGAAAGGGCCAAAGACTGCTGCCTTTCACATACTCTTTGTCTAGCTGAAGCCCACTGGCACCCACTCCCTCAGTTTCAGCCTCCTGTAATGCCACAATCCCTCTTCTCTCTCCATAAATCCGGAAGAGGGCTTAGTCTTTATTTGTGCTCTTCACTGGTGGAATCAAGAAATGGGGGGAAATGGAGTTGCTGTCACTGGGATATTTTATCTTCCTAGGACCGATCACGCCAAAGATCAATAATTCATCCATAGGCTGGAAAGTGCCAGGTCTGACCACACTCCCCATTGCTGTGAGAGGGAGTTCTCTCCCCATAGCTCGCATTTGGTCAGTGCCCAGAAACAAGGACTACTCTAATGACATTGATCGTCCATTGAAATTCTCCCTTGTCAGGGAAGAAGGAATAAGGGGCGGGGCTCCCCTACCTAATTACCCTAAATATACAAGCCTTTTTGGTCTAACATGAGCCCACCAGAAAGTCTAGCAAGTAAAAGGAAAGTCCCTAGGAAGAATGCCCGCCTGCCAAAATTTAACTCTTTCATCTCCATTTTTCTTTGTTACACCCAGCTCTACCTGGTCTTCAACAACATATACCCAATGTGAGCAGGGAGACAAGTCATATTGCTCACTTCGAAATTTTTTTAGGATTGGGGTTTGGAAAAGATTCGGTGGGATGGAGGTAGATATTGCAGAAGGAAACATCGCTTCAGTGGGAAAAATGGGCAAAGGCTCCTGTGCGGTACCTCCCAGTCCAAAAGCCCCATCAATCCACATTCACGTTAGGATCACCCAGTGGGCTTTAACTCTTTTCTCCTTTCATTCACTTGCCTCCAACCCCATCACCTCTCTTCTATTCCTGCTGCTTTTGTGACCAGAATAGTGGACCAAGGCTTAGATGTGCAGAGAGTCGCCTGTCGGAGCAAATGTGACGCTGATTGGCTTCAGCTCCCCAGCTGCAAATGGGTAGCTTTGCCGGGGTTTCTCTCTTGAGCTCCAGGCACTCTCAAGGATCCGGTTCATGTCTTCGCCCTGGCCCGCTTGGTATAGGGGGCGCACAGGAAGAGGCCAAGAAGTGGAAAGAACCTCATCTCGATGTCCCAAGTGACAAAGCCCCCGGGGCTCGGGGCTTTGGTACAGAGGAGCAGCAGAAGCCGCCGCCGCAGACGCCCGGATGCGGAGGACCCAGAGCGCTGCGCAGCTGAGGAGCACCTGGGGAGCCACCGCCGGCGCCAACTTTTGCCATCCCGGGAGCCATAGCGGCAGAGAGGGGGTCCCGGACCCGAGGTGGCAGCGAGGGGCTCTGCTTTGGCAGCTGTCGGGGCTGGAGCTCAGGACCCCAACTCCAGCCAAGTCGGGCCGCGGCGGGGCAGGCGTAGGCTGCGCAGGCAGGGGTGGCCGCGGGTGCTGAGCCAGTCGCCGCCGCGCAGGCGGGCGCTGGAGTCTCAGCTACCTGGCGCGACCGCCAGCAGCACCCAGCGCGGGGCCGGGAGCTGCTGGGGGCCCAGGCTCCGCTCTCCCCACCGCTCTGCACCGCTGCCGGCTGCGGACAGACCCGATGCGCCACCACCACCGCAGTTGCCACGACCCCCATGGAATCGCTGGCGCCTCCGCTCCGGTTCTCTAACCCGGCGCACTCTGGGATCCCAAAGCTTGCCGTGGGTTGGAGGCTTCCTACTCTTTGTGCGTTGAGGCTTTGACCTGACCCAGAGCGCAGCTTATGCCCTGGCTTGGGCAGAAAATAATATTAATTACTGATCCTTTGTGCTCCCGGTCCTGGCTTCCTAAAGCACTCCTCTCTCATTCAGCACCCTATCTTATTTAAAAGAGCACTTTCCTATTGGCCATCCTCTGCGTGCTTTGTAGTTATATATTTTAGCTTCCTCAAAACACTGCAAACTTATTGAAGGCAGGAAGATAAAATTGGACCCTCCATGAGACAAAGCACTATGTTGAGTTTTGCTCATCATTATAGCCCTGGTACTTTGAAATGTGCTTGGCACCGAGTATGACACATAGATATCAGGTAGGTACCCATCAAGATTGAGCTTGTCTTCACCATCAGGTCTAGCCCAGAGCTGGTGACATGTCCCTTGTAATGTCTTGGAATAAAACTAAATGAAGTTAGGTAACTTCAACTCTAGCACTGAAGTTAGGTAACCAACTAAATGAAGTTAGTTGGTTACCTAAATGAAGTTAGGTAACCAACTCTAGCACTCTGCCACTAGTTTGTAGAGGATCCTTGCTCAAGTATCTCTCAGCGGAACTGTAAAACGAAGGAGTTGGTTAAATGAGAAAGTCCGCTTCGGTACTTAAAATTCTGAATCATATGATAATATCTATCCAGCCCCTCCACTGCTACGTAAAAAGTTCAGGTGAAGATCTATGGTGGGTGAGTTTTAAATTACTAGGTTTTTCTTTAAAAGCCAAACCTTTTTCCTCCAGATTTATTAAGATATAATTGACACATAAAATTTTAGATAGTTGTGATGTACAAAGTGATGTTTTGACACATGCAGGCATTGTAAATGATTACATCAAACTAACACATGCATTACCTCCCAAACTTTTTTTTGTGTGTGTGGTAAGAGCGTTTATGGTTTACTTCTTTAGCAATTTTCAAGTAGGCAATACATTATTATTAATGACAGACACCATGCTGTACAATAGATCTCCAGAATTTAGTCATCCTGTCCTAGTGAAATTTTGTGCCCTTTAACCAACATCTCTTCATTCCACTTTTGGCCCCTGGTAACCACCATTCTACTCTCTACTTCTATGAGTTTGTCATTTTTAGATTCCACATATAAATGACAGCATGCAGTGTTAGTCTGTCTTAATCGCTTTGCATTGCTATAACAGAAGGCCAAAGACAGAGTGATTTATAAAGAAAAGAAATTATTTGGCTCACAGTACTGGAGGCTGGGAAGTCCAAGAGCATGGCACCAGCATCTGCTCACCATCTGATGAGGATCCTATTGCAGTGTCATCCCATGGAAGAAGGCAGAAGAGTAAGAGAGTGTGCTCCAGAGAGAGGAAGCTAAACTCATCCTTTTGCCAGGGACCCACTCCCTTGATAGTTAGTGCACTCCCACAATATGGGCATCAATCCATTCATGAGGACAGAGCTTCACAACCTAATTACCTCTTAAAGGTCCCAGCTACCAATACTGTTGCACTGAGGATTAGTTTTCCAACACATGACCTCGGGGGGCATACATTTAAGCCATAGCTAGCATTGTCTTTTTGTGCCTGGCTAATTTCACTTAGCATAATGTCCTACAGCTTTATCCATGTTGTCTCAAGTGGCAGGATTTCCCTGTTTTTAAGGCTGAATAATATTCCATTCCCCATATTTTCTTTATCTTTTTTTTTTTTGAGACGTAGTTTCACTCTTGTTGCCCAGGCTGGGGTGCAATGGCATGATCTCGGCCCACTGCATCCTCTGCCTCCCGGATTCAAGCAATTCTCCTGCCTCATCCTCCTGAGTAGCTGGGATTACAGGTGTGCACCACCACGCCCAGCTAAATTTTTTTTTGTATTTTTAGTAGAGACAGGGTTTCGCCATGTTGGCCAGGCTGGTCTCGAACTCCTGACCTCAGGTGATCCACCTACCTCGGCCTCCCAAAGTGTTGGGATTACAGGCATGAGCCACCACACCCAGCCTCTTTATCCATTCTTATGTCAGTTAACATTCAGGTTAATTCCATATTTTGGCTGTTGTAAGCAATGCTGCAATATACATGGGAATGCAAATATCTCTTCAACATATTATTTTAATACCCAGAAGCAAGAATCCTAGATTGTATGTTAGTTCTATTTTTAATTTTTTGAGAAACCTCTGTACTGTTTTCCATACTGATTGTACAGATTTACATTACCACCGACAGTGCAGAGAGCTCCCTCTTTTCCATACCCTCACCAACACTTGTTATCTCTTGTTTTTTTATAATAGCCATTCTTACAGGTGTGAGGTAACATCTCATTGTGGTTTTGATTTGCATTTCCTTGCTAATTAGTGATACTGAGCACTGTTTCATATACCTGTTAGCAATTTGTGTGTTTTCTTTGGAAACATTTCTATTCAGATCCATTGCCCATTTATTAATCAGGTACTTTGGTATTTGTTTTGGGGTCTTTTTTCTATTTTGTTTTGTTTTGCTACTGAAATGTATGAATCCCCTCTGTATTTTAGATAGTAATCCCTTATTGAATGTTTGCTTCACAAGTATTTTCTCCGATTTCATAGTTTGTCTCTTCTTTTTAAAAGTAGGGTTAAAATGTCCTCATTCTATTTCTCACGGACTTAGTATAATAACATTGCTGTTTGTATATTGTAATTATACAATATATATTCATGACGAAATAAATTCAGGATAATTAATGGCTATCACAATAAAAATAGTACTGATTCCAGAACACATATATCTGCTCAATTGCTTCCAGGATTAGGTCACTGAAAATCTGACTCCCATGTCTGTGATGAGCCTCCCTCGAAGACAACATGGGAATAGTACTTCATCGATGTTTCTAACAGGTCCAAAAACACTTCTTTTACACAAACCCTTCCCGAGACAGAATTACAACAAAGTACTCTGAGTGATCATTCTTAAGACCACTCCAAAATAAGAAAGAATAGATGGAGAGCAGCCGCCTCAGTCACTGAAGTTGAGTTTGTGGATATTTAATAGATTGGTGTCTCCCTCATCCCATACTGAAAGTGCTCTTTGTGAAATTCAAGCCAGCCATTTCTCTCTTCTCAGTAAGTTTTCAGAGCTTCACAGTATTGTTTGTTTAATGCCCTCTCTTCATGCTCTACTAACCTTCTTTCCATCCTGAATAAGTATGTGAGAATTCCTCCAGGAAAGGAAAACCAAATTAAAAAGTCAAAAACCCAAATTGAATTCACAAAGGTTACAACTCCTTCCTTCCTGATCTAACTTTCCTGGTCACCCCCTTGGAGAAGGGATGTTTGAAATTCATTTGAGAATAATTTGCTGATGCCCGATTTTTTGTAAATCTTCAATTTTAATATTCCATTTGAGGAAGGGCTTAATCAGAAAGATCTTAAGATGGCTCCAAGATTGGTTGCCTGGTTGTGGTTGTTGTTTTATGGTATTTTCTTCTAATTCATAGAGGACTGTTCTCCATTGTCCTCTGTCAACAGGCAGAAGGTTATAAAAAAAAATCACTAAACCCTAAACCTAACCCCTTTAACCAAAATGACAAAGAAATAGCCTAATTGGATGGAGAATTGGACTCATCTAATTCAATTGGTTTCCAATTCAGCAAACTCTTAAGCTCTTCCAAGAGGTTTCACTGATGGGATGCTAAAGGATGACCTATCCAGTGGGTGGAGGAGGGGAGAATTGATGTCAGGAGCCAGGCAGGGGATATAGATGGGTAGATATTACAAAAAGCCTGAAGACTCTAAATGTGAAAACTATATCTCGAATCTTTCTACAGCTCATCATGTCTATCCCAGCAGCTTCCACGCTACTCTCTCAGCTTCTCAGGAACTCCCTTCCTATCTCTTCTTTACAAAATTCACACTCAAAGTAGAGTTTTTATACCCACAGGCACCAGCCACAATGGAGAGAGAAGAAGGAAAATAATTTTTTTTTTTGGAGACAGAGTTTCTCTCTTGTTGCCCAGGCTGGAGTGTGATGGTGCGATCTCAGTTCACTGCAACCTCTGCCTCCCAGGTTCAAGAGATTCTTCTGCCTCAGCCTCCCAAGTAGCTAGGATTATAGGCGTGTGCCGCCACACCCAGCTAACTTTTGTATTTTTAGTAGAGACAGGATTTTGCCATGTTGGCCAGGCTGGTCTCGAACTCCTGACCTCAGGTGATCTGCCCACCTCACCCTCCCAAAGTGCTGGGATTACAGGTGTGAGCCACTGTGCCTGGCCTCATTTTTATATATACTAAATTTTTATATTCAAAAGCTATCAATTTATCTTTAGTAATATTTCCTTACTGAAGGGTAGCAACACAATTTATAAACAAATATGACCATTTTGGAAGTACATGCTGAAAATTCTTTCTATTATATGAGATATATGATCCAAACAGTATAGAAATCTTTGCCCTACAAAGCAGCAAAGTATTTTTTAAAGCATAAAAACATCACACAACTTAAAACCCTTCTATAGCTCCCCATTGTACTCAAAATTAGAAATGGACCATGAGGCCTGAATGAGCTGGCCTCTGCCTATGTCTTAACCTTGTTATTCCTCAGCCACTATGGTCTCACAAACCCTTCATCGTGTAATTTTTTTTGGCCAACTCATGGCGTTTGTGCATACTGTCCCACCTGTTTGGAATGCTCATCACTTCTCTTCACATGGCTGGTTTCTTCTCATCTCTTTAAGTCTCAGCTTATTCACCTTCTCTGAGTGGCCTTGGATGAAGGATTTAAGAACCCTCTTCTGTAAAATGGAAGAAAGGTCATCTACTCAATTCAAAAAATGCCATAAAAGTTAATTCAACTTTGTAAGTTTGTTGCCAATATCAATGATACTGCCTTGTATTTATGATACACCTATCTCATCAGATTGCTAAATGATTTCTAGATTTCTACATTGATAAATTTTATAGCAGTGCCAAAGACGGATAGAGGACAATATTTTTTACTCTCATAGAGTATAATGAAACCTACCTACATTTGCACATTTAGAGACAAAATCTTTAAATGGAACTCTACAATTCTTTAACCACAGTTGGTCCAATTGCTTCCCTGCTCTGTGTTTGTGTGTGTTGGTGTGTTAAAATGACATATTATATTTCACCTGTTGTGTACCATTTGCATAATTATTTAGGATTTATGAAGAATAACTTGTATAATTAAACTGAAATGGTGAAGTCTGAAATAATATCATTGCCAATACTATTGTTATTACCAGAAGTAGAAAAAAATTCATAAGTTAACCATATTCATATAACTTTTGTAGTCTTATTTTTAAAGACATTGAAGAGCTGTGAAAGCAAATAGGACTACAGGAATTAAAATCCAAGAGAAGAGTCCTTGTCATATGAGCTGAAATAATCCATGGGTGTAAGTACAGAGCACGAACTATGCTTTATTTCTTAAAAATATGTACAACAGAAAGTGCTAGCAAGGCTGCAGAGCAACTGTAATTCCCATACATTGATACTGGGATTGCAAAACAGCAAAGCCACTCTGGAAAATGGTTTGGTAGTTTCTCATAAAGTAGAACATACAAAGTTGTACATACAAAGCTAAAAATACTGCCAGATCCAGCAATTCCACTCCTAGGTATTTCCCCTAGATAAATGAACACTCATGCTCACACAAAAACCTGTACATAAATGCTTACAGAAATCTATTTGTAATTACCCCAAACTACAAGCAACGCAAAACTTCTCCAGTGGGTGAAAGGAATAAAACACTGTGGTATACAGCTATTCAACAGAATGCTTCTCAGCAAGAAAAAGGAGGATACTATTGTTACAAGCAACAATCTGGATGGACCTCGAAGGCATTATGCTGAGTGAAGAAAGTCAATCCCAAATGATTATGTACTACATGATTCCATTGATGTCTCAAAAAGATAAAACTATAGTAACAGAGAATCAATTCATGGTTGTCAGAGGTTAGGGATGGGGAGAGGACACGGCTCCAAAGAACAAGCACAAGGGAGTTGTTTGGATGTTGGAACTATTATGTCTCCTCATTGTGTTGCTGACTATGTGACTCTACACGTGTTAAAACTCATAGAGCTTTGCACCAAAATAAAAGCAAATTGTACCATATGTTAAATTTTAAAAAACAATTTAAAAGTGTGGAACTCTTGAGTCAAAATTCTTAAGAGATTCTTGGCACTACCTCTTTCCTTGATATTTTCTTGGCCATCACAAGAATCTTGTGAATCACATACTATATCTGCTTTGCAGATGTGGAAACTGAGGTTTATGAAGGTTAAATAATCTCCCAAATGTACATAGCCAGCAAGGGACAATCTACAAATGAGATCAGACACACCTACAGGCACATATGCATTTTTTTCCCTCTCATCTAAGTGTGACAGCTCTCTCTCTCTAAACTCTGGAATATTTACTAGCTGAAACTTTAAATATTGAGCATGACTGAGAATTATACTATCACCTCGAAGGCAACTAGACATACTGCTGAATGTTGAGTTCAAATAGTTATCCAATTTCATGAAAATAGCTTTTTTAAATATAGCCATGACATATCCAGAATTTCTCATTTTAAATATTAGAATACCTCTAATATTCAAAATACAAAAATATCAAAATCACACTTATTTTGATTTTCTAAGTATTTGCCCATCACAATGTGCTTTTTAAACTTAGTACAGATAAAATTGTTGTTAGGTTATAAAGTCTTTTGTTGGCTTCCTCCAGCATCTCACTGCACCTCCACATTTTACACATTATATTATACTTTAAATGTCCTCTATCTGGCTATAGCAACTTGAGTCTTTCTGTTATTGATGTTCCTTATATAATTATAGTTTTGTTGTTTTAATATGTCAGTTTTCTGAATAGTTTTATTAAAGTAATTTTAATCTCAATGAGAATATGGCTGTGCTTCCACTTTATGCATTTGCATAAAGGTTCAACTCATTTTCAAATTATCAAGGACTGCAATCTCTAATTATGAATTAGATGCTGATATTTTTATTTGCTCATTTATTTGGCATCCTTTTTCATATCATTACCTCTAAAAGTATGTACATTTCATTAATTATTTATGCTGACTGTTTTAATGGGTTGTAGAACAAAGCAGTAATTTTGAAAATTACAGCCATCTAACACCTACATTTAACAAAGGCACCACATTCTAAGGGACATTGTTAACTTGACAGTAATTAAAAACTACAGCACAAATCCTTCATGGCAAGATGCATTATGCTTTCAATAAATTTCTAAAATGAAATAAACAAATCCTTTAAAGTTTCCTTCTTGCATCGAAGTTTTGTAAATCACTATTAGAAAACAAATGCAAATAAATTTATAATATTAAGATTATTGAAAAAATTTAAAATTCTGGGATATATTAGGGAAATAAATGTATTGAAAACATATTTTGTGCCATTAACACATTATGTATTTATTTTCTTTCATTTTTTTAAGACAGGATCTCACTCTGTCACCCAGGCTGGAAAGCAGTGGCATGATGACAGTTTGCTACAGCCTCTACTGAGACCAGAGGTACTCGCCACCACACACAGCTAGTTGGTTTTTTTTTTTTTTTTTTTAAGAGATTGAGAGAGAGATGGAGTTGTTGTTGTATTGCTCAAGCTGGTCTTGAACCCCTGGGCTCAAGTGACCCTCCAGCGTGGGCTTCCTAAAGTGCTGGGATTTCAGGCATGAGTCACCACGTCCATCACATATTGTTAGCAACTCTGATCTGTGGCACTTTAATTCCCATTTTATGGATGGGATAACTGAGGCTTTGAGTGATTAAGCCTGGAGACAAATTCCAGGCAGAGGGCACAGCATGTGGTGTGTGGAGGCTAAGGCCAAAGGAACATGGAGAGTTCGAAGAGCTAAAGAGAAGCATCATGGCTAGAGGTGGGGAGCTGGGGAGAGTGGTCAGAGCTGAGGCCCAGAAGGCAGGCAGCACAGCACAGGCAGAGAGAGGCAGAGATTTGCAGCAAATGCTAAGGATGTGGGACTTCATCATGTATTCCTAACACTCACTGCAGTGTGAGGAATGGATTGGAGGGACACTTGCAGTAGTTCTTGGGAGATTATGGTCCCTGGAAGATTGTGGGTGGTCAGGGGAGGGGAAAGTGTGTGCTTTTGTGAGACACGTGGTAGGTAAGAGTAATAGGCATCACTTATTCCTGCAGAGTGATGGTAGGTGGCCAGGGAAAGGGAGATTTGAGGTGATTTCCAGGTTTTCAGACCTACTCAAGTGTATGGAAAGTGATAACCTTATTGAAATAGAGAACACTTAGAGAAGAACCATTAGCAGGAGAACTGTGTCAGTCTGTTTTAGGACATAGCAAGGTGCATTTGAGACATGCAGAACAGGTATTAATAGTAAGACATACAGATCCGAGGCCAGGCACAGTGGCTCATGCCTGTGATCCCAGCACTTTGGGAGGCCGAGGTGGGTGGATCACATGAGGTCAGCAGCTCGAGACCAGCCTGGCCAACATGGCAAAATCCCATCTCTACTAAAAATACAAAAATTAGCTGGGCATAGTGGTAGGAACCGTAATCCCAGCTACTTGGGAGGCTGAGGCAGGAGAATTGCTTGAACCCAGGAGGCAGAAGTTACAGTGAGCCAAGATCACACCACTGCACTCCAGCCTGGGGGACAAAGTGAGACTCCATCTGAAAAAAAAAAAAAAATAGTAAGATATACAGATCCAGAGTTTGATGGAAATATCTTGGCCAAAGATCTCGGTTTAGAAGCAAAAGTAAGGGCCATTAAATTGTTACTGCAGTATTTCCCAAGCTATATCTTAGAAATTTTGTATCAGAAGCCTCCACAAATCTATCCTATAAATCAATGTTCTCAGATCTTATGTGTATCAAAATCATGTGGGTATAGTAGAGACAATTTGTCTCAACTCAAGTTCTATTTACACCATATTTATATTATTTCTCATTAATTATTTATATCAAAGCATTAATTATTTATATCAAAGCATTTATATCAAAGTAATACATGGTCATGATCAAACAACAATTCAAGATAGGTTTATAATAAAAAGAAACAGCTTTCCGTCCCATGACTCCTCACCTAAAATTCCACTCCTGGAAATAATCAGCTTTAGTCATTTTTCTATTTTTCTAATGGTTAGTGCCATAACTCTTTAATATTAAACTCATCACTATAGCACATTTCTGTATCCTGTAAATCAGTTTTCTCAGATCTTATGTGTATCAGAATCACATGGGTGTAGTAACTCTGAAGCTACTGGTTTAAACTTACTTAACTCTCTGTTACTCTGCATCCTCTGTAAAATGGGGATACTCTGCATCCTCTGTAAAATGTGTAGTGTAAAAAAGTAGTGTAAAATGTACTGTAAAATGTACTGTAAAAAAGTAGTGTAAAGTGGTGATACTCTGCATCCTCTGTAAAATGGGAACTACTTCTAAGAGTTTTGTGAAGGTTCAGTAAGTTGCTATTTATAAAGCTCTAAAAATAATTCCTGACACACAGTAAGAACTTTAGACTATCATTACTTTCTGGGGAATTTTGTAAACTGCCTATCCATGAAGCCCAAACCAGCACTGTAGGATTTAGTTCACATTTTGTCTCATCTCAAATTCTTTTAATTGATGCTATATTTATATTATTTCTCATTATTTATATCAAAGTATTTATGGCAAAGTAATACATGTTCATGATTAAACAAAAATTCAAGATAGTTAATAAAAAGCAACATCTTTCCATCCCACGACTCCTCACCTAAAATTCCACTCCTGGCATTCAACTGTGAGGGGGTAACCACAAACCTGCTTTTCAGGACCCCTCTCTTTGCTGAGAGCTTTCCTTTTGCTTAATAAATTCTACTCCACTCACTTGATGGCTTCTGCATGCCTAATTTTTCCTGGTCATGAGACAAGAGCCTGGAACCTAGCTGAGCTAAAGAAGCAAAAATCCTGCATCAAAAACCTCATACTCTTTTGGAGTTAATAAGAAAAGGCTTAGGGATGACTTTGAGCGTTAACAAAGATAAATTTTTGTTAAGCATGTGAATATTCAGGTGAGATGCATAAGAGTATGAATGAATAACCAGGAAGAAGGCTGTCAATAAGGCATTCCTGCTTACCAAATGTGTAAACGTAAGGGAACTACTTTTAATTTGGTTGCAAGTGAAACATTTTGTTGGACACAGAATTTATTCTATAATAGTCCTGCTGTGGAGGATTGGCTAGCAAAGAAAGTTTCAGAGATAGTTGTTTATAAAACTGCTATTGTAATATGGTATCGCTTTCCCTCTAATTTTAGAAAGTCTGTCAGGAAAAGCTGCCCATTTTATGTCTAGGAGGAAGCAAGTAATAAGAAATAATGATGCAGTCATCCACTTGGACAGTGTTTTTAGCTTTACAAAACACTTTTGTATTTGCTCTCCTATTTGAATCCCCTGAGAACTCTGTGGAATGGTGAAGCAGGTGTTAGCAACTGTTTTGCAGACAAGGAACTGAGACCAGAGTTTAAATGATGTGTCCAAAGTTAAATGTGAGCAGCTGAACTGGGGCTCGAGCCACCTTTTTTTTTTTCTTTTTAAATTTTGTACAGAGTCTCACTCTGTCACCCAGGTTGCAGTGCACTGGCGCGATCTCGGCTCACTGCAACCTCTGCCTCAGGGGTTGAAGCGATTCTCGTGCCTCAGGCTCCTGAGTAACTGGGACTACAGGTGCATGCCACCACACCCAGCCCAGCTAATTTTTGTATTTTTAATATAGACAGGATTTGCCATGTTGGCCAGGCTGATCTCAAACTCCTGACCTCAGGTGACCTACCTGCCTCAGCCTCCCAAAGTACTAAAATTACAGGTGTAAGCCACCCTACCACAACTGGCCCTTGTTTTTTTTTTTTTGTTTTTTTTTTTTTTTTTTGTGACAGGGTCTCACTCTGTCACCCAGGCTGAAGTGCAATAGTGCAATCTCAGCTCACTGCAACCTTCACCTTCTGGGTCCAAGCGAATCTCATGTCTCAGCCTTCCAAATAGCCGGGATTACAGGCATGCAACATGAGGCCCAAATAATTTTTTGTATTTTTAGTAGAGATGGGATTTCACTATGTTGGCTAGGCTGGTATGGAACTCCTGACCTCAGGGGATCCGCCCGCCTTGGCCTCCCAAAGTGCTGGAATTACAGGTGTGATCCCCGCACCAGACCTTGACCCACTTCTCCGTAACTCTAAGTTTTATAATATTGGGCTAGAAATAAAGATCTAGCAGGAGCTAGAAAAAAAATTTTACTGTCAAACATAATTAAGCAAAGCAGCATTTCTCTCTCTTTTCTAGTTGGCCAATCACATACCTGTCTTCCAATCTACATAATTAAATTCTTTTTCCTCTACAAACTCTTTTATCATTCATTTTACCCTGCTCCAGGGTTCCCTACTTTATAGGCTTAGAGAATCAAGGTTAAGAATCTGGTTCTCCTTTATCTGCTTTTACATTGTTCTGTATCCATTATCCAGAGTTGTGTATAATAGTAACAGTCATTGCAAAATATAGTAAATAGTTTATTTTCAGTCAGGGTTTCATTTTGTCATGCAGGCTGAAGTGCAGTGGCACAATCACAATTCACTGTAGCCTCGACCTCTCAGATGCAAGTGATCTGATTCTCCTGCCTCAGCTCCCTAAGTAGCCGGGACTGCAGGTGTGCACCATCACGCCAGATAAGTAAATACCTTTAAGATAGGAACTAAGAAGCAATGTGGGTCTGTATGGGTCAATAACTAAGAGCATGGGCTTTCAAACTGTCAAACCTACAATCAAATGCCCTTCAACCACTTATACATGGATGATCTCCCTAAGCTTTGGTATCTTTATGATGAAATTTACCAGGAGTAGATGTCTGATTATTGTGTTTGCCCCTTCTACCACACAGTGCAAATTCTAGTGGGGCTACTAATCGTGAGATTTGTTTCCTTAGACTTCAGTACGACCCAGAACTTGCCAATGAGAACACTCTTACAATTGATTAAGGACAGACACGTGACCTTAGCCAAGTTGATCAGTGTTTTTCCTTGGGATTTCACAGGGTAAGCAAGCAGGCTGGATTGCTGCTTATGGCTACAGGCATCAATCAGTTCTGCCATAATAGGGAAGCATGTTTATGGAGGGCCTGAAGCCCAAGTTAAAGGGGGATGGAAAAGAAAGAGGGAATAAGGGCTGGAGCTATTTATACCTGATTCACATAGACTGACCAACCCTTCCCAGTATTTTGTGGGGCTGTCGCTGCTACTGCTGCTGCTGTTATTGATATTGCTTAAGATAGCTTGAATTGTGCTTTTCTTATTTGTAATTGAAAGAGTCATGGCTGATGTACTACCTTGTAGATTGTGATAAGAATTAAATGAGGCAATATATATAAGGTGCTTAAGACTGTGCCTGGCACATAATAAACCTCAGTGAATGTTAACTGTTATGGCGATGGTAATGACCACTGTGCAAATGAAACAAATGATGGCTTCTATTATTTTTCATCCTGCAAAGCCTCCAGTACACCATTGTACATTTAGGTAGATACTGACTAAATGCTGCTTGATAACTTGCTGCCTCTCTCTGTAAGATGGCAAGAAGGTTAATGAGTTAAGACTAGAAGAGTGACTTGAATGCTTCAGTTTAAATATATCTTTCTGTTGTCACCTCTCAGTACCTCAAAACTCATCACTACTATTTTCATTCTCTCCTGTCATTGTAAACTCATGATAACCTCAAATTAGGCTTCAAATGGTGAGAAGAAATAATTTAGTTCTGTTTGGTCACTCTATCTTTAGAGGAATAGGTAATTTGTTTTTTAATCAAGAGGGTGCAGTAGCTGGATGGTGCCCAAGGCAGCTGATGCTCATGGAAATTTAAAGCCCCAAGGCATGTTGTTCCCTCAAGAGCTTTCTACATGGACTTACATGAGAATCAGAATCCTGACACAGTTCAGGGCTCCATCTGTATAGGGTGGATGCTATGAAATAAATCTAAAGGCAACAGCAGATCTCATTCCTGTTTCCCTGGTTAGAAATGATGCAACAAAGGAGAAAAATTGTTGGAAGAGTTAGAAAAAAATCTAGAAGAAAGAGGTGATTAAAATCATAGGATAAGTAATTCTTGATCACAATTACTAATTATCACTTCAATAATCTGCATCCATGTCATCCATCATAAAACGGTGCTAACTCTTGAGCTCTCGAGTGTGGGAGTGTGTTTGAAGCAAGCATGTTGATTTACATTACATTTTCAGGAGCTTAGCATAGTCAACATGGTTTTAGGCAAAGACTGTAAGCAAGAAAGAAGCCCTATCCAAACCTGTTCCCAGGAAACTGTCAAAATCATTCATCTGTAGTAAAGTTTGAATGTCAGACATTGTCACGATCTGTTGTTACTTTGTTTGCTTTCCTGTGTCCTTTCTTTTAGGAATAGCCTCTCCCAGAATCTCTGTGACCTAGGGCAGGGTTGGGGACTGTCAGTCAAGGGACACTGTCTGTCTACCGGAAGTCTGGGAAGGTGATACAACAAGGACCAACCAGAGACCATTTTAAAAGACTAACTTTGGATGCTGGGTGAAGAAAGGTGTCTTTCTTTAAGAGATCACAAGCTGTAATGACTGTGTAAGCCAGGATCTTAGTCTTTTACATAAAGAAGAGGAAGGCTGTCAGAGAATGAAGACATCCAGAGGGGAGATACATACACACACACACACACACACACACACACCACACACGGAGAGAGAGAGAGAGAGAGAGAGAGGGAGGGAGGAAATATACTGGTGAATATAAATTGAGCCCCTACATCCATCTGTTCTGAAATTTAGGGTTCAATACAATAAATTTTTTATGTTCCTATAAAATAAAATTTTAGTTGGGTTTCTGATACTTGCAAACACAAGTCTTGTGGCTAATATATGTATTGTATTAGTCTTTCTTGGTGTTTGACATTTCAATGCTTTGTTCTTATAAAGTATGAACCCAATTATCACTCCTAAAAAAAAAAAGTTTTATAAACCAGAGGAAAGTATGTGTCATTTAATCTATGATGGCTCACACTCAGGTGAAAAGACAGCCAGCTGAATGTGTGTGTGTGTGTATTTGTGTGTGTTCTAAATAGCATTTAACCTTTTTAATCAGAAAGCCCCTCTGTGACCTAATTCAAATGGCTGAACTGCTCTGAATCACTAATCTTCAACATTGCCAAAATACAAGTATAAATATGTCTACATACGGGTTTGCAAAGGTCAATAAATCAGATGTCTGCATAAAATAAATAAGTACGTAACTTCTCAGAAACTACATAGAAGAAGAAACTATCCTTAGATAGTTTGATAAATATTGAGCATTCTAAATTTCTAACTACCTGGATTTTTCTCACAATCCATGTTGCTCTGGGTTCACGATTATGATTTGAAGCAATGCAAGGATGTGGTAAAGATAAGTGCACATAAGTTTTTCCTGTCTCTGCAGCAGAGTGGAAGGGGTACAAGGATGTGTTTTTCTGAAGGCAAGGAAGTAGTGCCCCTGCACTGGGGGAGGAGAGAGCCACACCCTGAGCAGGTGAGAGGAAAGGGTCCTAAGCCAGCTCCTAAACAGCCTCCAGAGAAGACTAGACATGAAGGTCACTTGGGGATGAGACCACCTGCACCATGTGGTTCATTGAGTCTCCCATCCCATAGAAGGAATCGATAAGAAGAGCACCCCAGCAGACTTGGACAATGAGAATGTCAGCAGCAAGTATGCAAGGAAAGGAGAGGCTGCCTCTCCTTTCTGGATGCTACCTATAACTCAAGATCTGGCATAAACCTGCAGATAGAAAGGTCCCCATAAAAGTGAAAACAGAATTGATATACAGTCTAGATGAATGATGCTTGGAGCTAAAATTATATTAATTTAAATGAATGCAAGTGAAATTCTTGCATTTCTGAGCTAATAGGTTACCATCCATAGCCTCAGAGTGCTGTGTGTAATTAATGTAGTCCCAGCATTTGATAATTAGCAATCTATACATGATCAATATTGGAACACTAGCATCATCACAGGCATTTATTGAAGACCATTGGCTAAACACAACACCCATATCTCATCCCAGCCTAGACATCAGAAAATTATAGTATTCTACAGTCAGGAATTAAATGTACATATTTTCTTGTACCCTTCTATTAAAGGTTCAAAGCATGAATGAAAGAGAAACTGATTGTCAAGTTTAGATTAAGCTTAGGCATGCAGGAAGAAATCCATTTCCATATACTGGTTACTGTCAAACTATTCAACATTTACCAACGTGACATCTGCCAGTTGGTTAAGGGCTACTACCTCTGGAAAGGCAAGAATTTTCTAGTCCTTCCACTCCGAATCTGGGCAAGCAGGTAAAGATTTAGAGAGGGGAGGGAAACACCTGAATAAGAGAATTGGGAGGATTATCTTCTCTACAGAGCTCAGATCCTCAGGGGGCAATAAGGACAAATGTCAAACCCTTATTAAATACAGGCAAAGATGATAGTATCTATTTATTTCTATTTGGTGAATGTGATTATTTTGACCTGGTCCAGGATGGGAGATACCAGCCTCCTGTGACTGTCAGTGTTTTCTGAAGGTCGAGGGTGTACCCACGCTGTAGTGCAGATTGTGGGTAACAAAAAGAAAGCCGAAGACAGCTTCTGTCCTCAGAAGCTTATGTCCCATTAAAGTCAGTCCTTGGGTTAAATTCAGAGCAAACATATATTTTTTTTTTTTGGCTCACATAATGTTTTAAATCATTTGCCAACATTTAAACATCAGAAAATTTCATATTAAAAAATCAGATTTCCAGCCTCTATTTAAAAATGTTAATATCCGACAACATTAACTCTACTTCCTGCAGCAATGAGCTGAAGCTGAGTAGTTGCTGTTCCTATAGATGGGCGTGGACTCTTCACTGTAAGTTTTGCCTCTCTAGTGTACTCAGCTTGCCCTATACTTCCTTTATTATTACCTGTTGAGTTTGCAGCAACTTGGTTCAAATTACTAGGTCAAAATGACAGCCGGAAGACAATGTTAACCAGATATGAACTCCAACTGACTACCTTTTTTTGTTGTTGTTGAGACGGAGTCTCACTCTGTCACCCAGGCTGGAGTGCGGTGGTGCGATCTTGGGTCACTGCAACCTCCGCCTGCCAGGTTCAAGTGATTCTCCTGCCTTAGCCTCCCGAGTAGCTGGGATAACAGGCACGTGCCACCATACCCAGCTAATCTTTGTGTTTTTAGTAGAGACGGGGTTTCGCTATGTTGGCCAGGCTGGCCTCAAACTCCTGACCTCAGGTGATCTGCCTGCCTCAGCCTCCCAAAGTGCTGGGATTACAGGAGTAAGCCACCACACCCCACCTCCAGTTGACTTTCAAAACTGTCAAAGTCAGAGCTATGCTAATAGCCCTTTAAAAGTCTTGCTTCCCCCCTTCCCCCCCACAGCTTTTTTGTTGTTGTTCTTCAGTGGATGAGTTGGGATTGGGAAGACACTGCATTTAGATGCCAATAAAATAAGGTTATAGGTAGGAAGGCAAATGAAGAAAATGATGCTAAAATATCATATACAATTGGTTTCTTATTCATTGAGTTACCTGTGGCTTTCTTGTTTGCTTCATCTTGAATCCCCTTGTCTCATGTTAGATAGTGCAATAATAGAAAGTTTCTGAAAGCAAAAGCCTGAAAATTTTTTGTCAAGACAGATGCTAGACAATAGTGAAAATTAGTTTTTGTAAGGACAACTAAAAGCTTAAGAGGTTTAAACCTCCCTGTGAAAATAAGCAAAGAGATTCCCCTCCCCGCCTTTTTCTTGGAGTATTTACCTTAGAAAATTATAAGTACTTTCTCCTCTCTTTGAAATGCATATATATCTTGTTGAAAACTAGACAGGTCTTTTGTCAGCTTTATGACTCAGGAATGTCTTTCTCCAGGATCTGTGAAACGTCTCTTTTGGTTCTGCCAGAGGATACGAGCCTAACCAGGCGCCTTGTGCCCAGGCAAAACTACCTCCTGTCATAAGATATGAGAAGTTTGTTTCTCCTCTGGATAAAGCCAATTAGCTAACACAGGTGGTCACTCCAATTGCCGGGTGAATCTAAGATGAAATGAGTGACAGTTGGTGCTGGCAAATCCTCAGGCTTGACAACCAGTTATTGTTTATATTGAGAACATGTGTGCAGTGGGTTGTCTCTATTACTTGACTGTCTAAAGGGTGAGTGTTCTCTCAAACCTCTTAGTGATTGCCTGTGATGCACATCACATAACTGCTTTTGTTTTGTTTTGTTTTGTTTTTTGTTTTTTTCCTCTACTACCTTTATGGAGAAGATTTCTGGTTTGGGAAATGTTTTTGTTTTTATTTCCCCAACATTTTCCATGAGCAATCAGTTCTTGCCACTTAGAAAAGATGCATGAGAAGTGAAAAAAGATCCATTCTCAGTCACATTTCTTCCTTTGTTGATACAAATAAAGCAGTTTTATAAACCAGAGGGAAAGTACGTATCAGCTTCCCAACATTTTATCTCCTTGTCGTCTCTCTTGTCTGCATGTTGAAAAGGCGCAGCCTGTCAGAAGTCCTTCACATTCCTTAGGAGGTGTCAGCATGCTTCCAGATAAATGAGCCAGAGAGAATAGAGGTCACAAACCACAAAGGCTTAAGAGGCACATAAACCCAGGTGCTTCCTTGCTCTCTCTTGAGAAATGAAGGACCATGGAAAGCTCTCTGGATGCATGCTGTGTGGGAATGGCAGCAGGCTTGCCGGCCTCTTCCTATCTGAGCTTCACATGGCTTCTGTCCTGATAAGGTTTTCCCAGCAGAACCCTAATCACCTTTAATTCTTTGCAAGAAGAGGAATTGTCTGTTCCAAGGCCCAGTTACCCAACTCTTTCTTGGATTCGGTCATTTTCTATTCAATTAACTATTGATTATGTGAAAGTAAAATAGCCTAATATGCAACCCTGACTTGCTGCTGGAATTTAAGCTCAGATCTGGTAGCTCCAAGATGGGAATTCTAAGTTCTCATGTGCAAATAATAGGTAAATTATGTTATTAACAATAATTTTTAAGAAAATATTTGCAATCAATACTTTTTTGAAGAATTAAATGTACATGTGGGCAATTTTAACCTCTTCATTTCTGGTTTATATATTTTTTAGTTGTCTTCAACATTATGATTTTATTTAATAGAAGATACATCTTAATCATTTAGAAACTTTTTCATCTTTCCTTCTTTATTCTCCAACAACCAATTAACAGATGTCTTGAATGTCCTAGGACCAGAAGTGTCCATTTTCCCCAAGTTTTCTAGAAATATAAAGTGATTTACAATAGGCCAAGAAGACAGCTGTGCTGACTTTTCTCTGCCACCTTGCACAGAATGACCTGGGTCTCCCAACCAGTGAGTTTCACAGTGTGTAGCAGTTCCACAAATGAGACCCATAACACTGGCTCTTCTAAGTTTTAGAAAATCATTTCACTCTGGGAATTAAAACCACAGATCGCAGCTCACTGGCAAACATCTGCTGTTCATTGATAGCACCATCTGGTATTTTAGCTTCTCGTTCTGTTGTAGCAGCTTCATGTAGCTGCCTGCTTCGAATTAATTATTCTGTAACAACTTGTTTTTCTGGAAGCACTGGCCAAATAAGGTAGCTTTGCTGAAAGCTACTAATTTGATGCTTTACCAGTGCTTCAGTGGGCATTCCTGTTCCTTCACTTGGTCATGGTCTGAAGTGTTTCAGTCCATTATATTTGGGAGAGTAAAACGGGGAAGGAATGCATATTAATGCCTGAGCAACTAGCACGGGGGAAAATGTATTTATCTGCATTTCACAACTCATGAGCATTCATGGCCTAATCTGAATAATTTATTTAGAGGGATGATTATGATAATACAGGCTGAGCTACATCTGTCTTAGGAACTTAAGGAGTGCTTGAGAGAATGGTGATGTGTTTTAATATAGCCATATCCTTCACCCCATTCAATTAGTAGCTTCTTCAATTATTGATCTCACCGTTCAATTTGCAGAAGTTCCAGTGCTGCAGGAGCAGCAGAGTCTGTGTAGCACAATGAAATGAGCACTGGATGGGGTCACTATCTAGCCAAGTGATGCTTAGTAAGCCACTTCCTCACTCTGGACCACAGTTTTCTCATTGGCAAAATTAATTACCTGTCCCATCACACCCCAGATTCTTTTAACGCTCAAATGAGATAAAGAGGTCAAGATACAGTGTAATCAGTAATGAGCAATATGCACATATTACAAATTTCATCCACTTACCTTTTCTTTAAAGACCAGAATCTGATGAAGTCAGGAAGACTTATTGTTGCAACTCTGGAGCAAAATGTTTAACCTGTTAAGTATGTGTTTTGGAGCATTTGTTTTAGGGGCAAGTTGTCTCATCCCAGCTCACCTGCTATACATTCTTACCCACCGAACTTTCTCTTCAGAATATACTTTTTTTTTTCCAGCATTTGACTGCACAATGGCATAATAGGTCTTTACCTTGGCCACACATTACAATCACCTGGAGCTCTTTAAATCTACCAATGCCCAGGTGTCAAATGTGCAGAATTTCTGATAGCACGGCCCAGACATCCATATTTTTTTAAAATGCCTCAGTTGATTCAAATACAGAGTGAAGAATGAAAACTATGCATATAGAGGAAAGAGCCCCAGCTTTGGAATAGGACACAATTGCTCTACCCTTGCACTGCCTGAGTGACCTTGGACTGAAGTCTCTGAACCTCAGTTTATAATGTGAAAATCGGGGAAGGGGGAAATGACAACTTTCAGAATTGTTGTGAGGTTATAAGATCACTTAAATTGCCCATCCTAGTAGAAGCTCAGAACATGATAACTGTTATTGTTTATATACTGACTTTTAGTGTGTACTCTTTTCCTGAGTGGGACTGTATGTGTTTGGGGGAGATGTAAATAAGTGTGTGTCCACAACTGTATTATAAACTCTTTGGGGACAGACTGTGATTACCTTTTCTCTAAATTCCCTCCAGCTCCCCACAAAGTGCTAAGGATATAGTAAATGGGTATGTAACAGCTATAGCAATTATTTTTGATCAATATATTGACAGAAAGGAAATGCAACATTATCTTTAGCTCTACTAAGTATATTTAAAAACATCAAAACTACACCCTCATAGATTCACTACAGCTTTTGATAAGATCCTAAGGGCATTTGAACATCTGAGTCCAAGCCACAGAAAATCTTTTTCACATCAAACCGTGAGCCCATCAGCCTAAATATTGCACTTAGAGGAGAGTCGTCTTTGCCCCAAGGCATTTCATTTGATACAAGAGTGAAGGAAGGAAGTTGTGCATAAATCATGAAGGCAGAGCTGGTTTTCATTTCTGAAAGAACAAATGCAGGTGTCATGCTCCCGAAACTGGAGCTATTGGAAAGAAGAGGAGAAAGTATTAGCTCAGGTGCTTGGGTGCATGAAATTGGGGAATTGGGAATTGAATGGGCTCATGAAGAAGGAATGGACAGGGACACTGGAAACAGTGTGAGGAATCAGAAGGTTTTCTTTACTGTGTCAGACCTGCAAAGAGCTACCTTTCTGACTCAAGCCCAGATTGTTCTTAGAAGTAAAACAGAGCAACCTAAGGGGCCATTTGAGGCAAGGAAAGAGAGACAAAGCAAGGGAGGTCAGGCAGAGGGGCTGCATTCACTCTCTGCTGGATGTGCTGCATCATTGCACGAGCATCCTTGCTGCTCTACACCCTATGTTTGAAAGCAGGCATGAGCTAGAGCAGACTAGCAGCTTGCAGACCCATTCTGTGCAGCTCACATACCTACTCCACACAGAATTTGCACAGTGCACAGTGCCACTAAAAAGTGTTGCTCTAGATCTTAACAAAATTTACCAACTTTCTCCTTTTTCATGCCTTCTGCCCCTGCCCCTGTATAATTTTGTGTTTGCAAACTCTGAGTTAAAACCTGTTGATAGTCATGGAGGCCAGCTGTTGTCTCTGTCAGGCATTGAAGCTGCACTTCATTGTACTGCATATTCCAAGTTTCACTCCAGTGTTCTCTAAGAGCCTCCCTCACACATGCACACATAAAGATAACAGTCATTCAGACCAATGAGGAAGCAAAGATTCGATTCTTATCCTAAATTATCATAAGTTGCAGAGTGCCCAGTAGCATTGGCACATACGCCATAAGGTGTGAATGGGAGTGGAGATCCAGGGAGTTGTACAGAAGTGTACTCTTGTAAGAAGTCAAGCAAAAATGGTCTCGAACTCAGACAAGCAAGACAAGCGTTTAGGGCAGCCCAAATTGGAGATCAAGGAAAACTAAGACCATGAAGTCGTGGCTTACGATAAGTCAAAACTTGGTCATCTGAGCACGAGGATGTGGGCCAGGATTGGAAACAAGTCCTGCCTCAATCATAAATCTCTTATGTACTGTTCTCTCGATGGGTGCAGGGGTGATCCCAGGCATGACGTTGCAGGAGTGGTAAGTTTAATGGGTTTTATCTGGAAAAGAAGAGCTGTCACTAGCTCCAATTTTAAATATATCTCTGGTTTAAGGAAATTGCCGCTCTTTCCATTCTCAGGTCTCAGAAAAATCACTTTCGTCGAGTAATTAGTCAAATAACTAGGTCTTTTCTCGGGAAAAATATAAAGAGCCAGTTTGAAAGAAATGATTCTGTGAGCTGGTGTTTTTCTATTTATTGGATTTCCATTAATACCTTATTGCCCTGTAACTACTTTCATAATGCATTTTTATAATTTGATTTTTACTCATGACTTTTATGCTATGAAATTCATTACTAACACCAGTTTTAATTCTTCTTGTATTCCTTTCTCATGTGTTGTGAATGTACTGTATATTACATTATTACATTTGTAATATAATACGGTTGTGACTTTTTGCTATATGTCATAATGCTTTTCTCCTAGAAAAGTATGATTTTTATATTCATGAAGACAACATTTTCTGTGACAAAGTTAATATTATATTAACATTAATAGAACATTAGTATAATAATCCTGTACATTAGCATAATAGTCATTTATACTAATACAACATTCAATTGTATTTACTGAAGATAAATTACCTAAAATAGATTAAGTATGTTCATGCAAATTTCAGTTCTTTCCAATTGTTTGGTATTTTTAAGAGGCTTCCTATTTCTTTGTAATTCTTTCCTTAGAATAAATCCCATAAATTGGATTACTGAAACAGTGATTCTGAATACAAAACAAGACTTAAGTTAGCAAGGAATTTCCCCATAAGTTTTAAATTTTAATTCTAAACTTCCCAGTAAAGTGAGCAAAACATGAATCATTTCATACATTTTACAAGCAGAAAAGCAGCCTAAGAGAGGTTGGCTTACCCAAGTCAAATAAACTGTAACAAGACCCCAAATAAAAGTCTTCTAGTAGTTGGCTTTTCCCTCTAAACAAGAGAAATTAAGGGGGATTTTTGTTGTCTATGTTTTATTTTTTAATTGTCATTATAATCCCCAAATTTCTAATTTTTTCACATTTGTTATATTTTGTAGGAAGGCAAGAGAGAGGACAAATTTTGTTTAGTCAATTTCAGTAGTAATAAAATCCATAACAAAATAATGATAAAATATATGATCATAGTCAATTACAATAACTGAGTCCTTTGATATTCCAAGCACTGTGCTAAGTGATTTCCATCAGCGATATGTGCTGTGGCCACACAGCTGACCATGTGCACATCTTCCCAGATCAAAATGGCCCAGGTGGGAGCATTTACACCATGGAAATCAGCAGATACTGACCTCTCCTTCACCCAAGACCTGATTGTTAAACATTTACTGGCACACACCACAAAATGCATATTTCATTTAATGAGTATAAACAAGCCTACAGATCTTTCATCATAATAATCCTAATCCACAGTTAAAAAGACTGAGGCTCAAGAAGGTTAAATAATATCCAATATAAAGGAGCAGATTTGGAATCAAAACTAGGTAGTCTGATACCAAAAATTAACATTTAACCACCAAACACTATTATTTCTTATTGATCCAAAACAATGAGGATGGCTAGAGAATACTCAGGTATTACTGAGGACAGATTCTGGGTTGTAGATTTTCACTTTACTTTTTATTCTCCCCTAATATGGTTTAGCTGTGTCCACACCCAATCTAATCTTGAATTGTAATTCCCACAATTCCCACATGTCATGGCAGGCACCGGGTGGAAGGTGATTGAATTATGGGGGTGGGTCTTTCCTGTGCTGTTCTCATGATAGGGAATGAGTCTCACGAGATCTGATGGTTTTAAAAATGGGAGTTTCCCTACACCAGCTCTTTTTTTGCCTGCTGCCATGGATGTAAGACGTGACTTGCTCCTCCTTGCCTTCCACCATGATAGTGAGGCCTACCCAGCCACGTGGAACTGTAAGTCCAATTAAACCTCTTTCTTTTGTAAATTGCCCAGTCTCGGGTATGTCTTTATCAGCAGCATGAAAATGGACTAATACACCCTCAACTTCAAAATGATGATAAGCTCACCTTTGAAAGCATCTTGCTGCCATGCACCAATCCCACTGTGATTGTTCATGGTAAAATAATATTTCCACTTTTATGAATGAATCATGTGTTCCAAGGGCATGAGTATCTCACCCAGTGTTACTAAATCAGTCAACACCCCATTTAGCCCACACAGTCCAGTAAGCCCAGCTGTTTCCCATGATAAATGAGCTAAAAGCCTCAAGCTTGTGCCTCAAGCAAACAATGGAGAAGAATGCTCAGCCTGTTTCAGCAATGAAATGTCATGTAACTCCACTGTTACATCTGGTATTGAACAGCCATAATTATTTTTTCTTCCTCCCTTAAAAATAGTGAACTTGTTAAGAGGTTCCTTCATATGTGCCATTTATGCCAGTACCAGTTATTCAAGGGATTTTCTGTGCAGAACTATTTTACTCTGCTCTTACTCTAGATGACTTACATAATTGGTTTATGTTACCGCTACTTTTACTACTTTTAAGCTCTGCTCTCTACTTTTGCAAATGAAGAGAAAGATCAGAATGTAAGCCAACATTGTATATAGCAAATAATAAAAGGGAGCTATTTCAGTTGATTACTCACAGCGCAAAACAAGTATATTTGGTATGTTAACTACAGGCATCATGAAAAAAGTACCCAGTTTTTCTGGAGGCTTAGGAACTGTCTGTCAATTATATGAGATGAGGAGGTGGTCTTGTTGCTGCTTGAAAGACTAGGACTTTGTAAATGAGCTTAATAATTACATTACTAAATAATAATTCCCTTTGAAATAATTTCCAGAAAACTTGTATAATCAAAATTATTTTACAGCTTTTAAAAGCTTATGAATGTATACAATCCTGGGGATACAATTCTCAGAGAGGTGATGTAGCTATTAATATTTAAGGTCATACAGCTCTTCTGTGGTAGAAAAGCTGAGGCCTTCTGACCTGAAGTATATTTTATTTTCTAATCTACCAGTACCATATTGTGTCTCTGGACAACAGGCGTACTATTTAAGGTGCATAAAATAGACATTCAAACTCCAAAACAATGATCTTTAGGAGTGCAGACTTGCTTGTCATTGATGCTTTTCTTATTAACTCTCCATTCAACATTGACTTCAGAAAGCAGTCAGAGGACAGCTTTTCAGTGAAATATCCCAGATGCATAATTTAGGATGGAACTTGGAGATCATTAATGCAATTTTTACCTAATATCTCTTACATTGTATCTGAAAAATTATCACCAGTCTCTTACTAAATATTGCTGGAGATGGATTGTTTTGTTATATATTTGGAAAATTGTGAGTCTAAGAATTTTTTTCTTAATATGAGTCAAAAGTTGATCCTTCTCTACCTTGATTTAGAACTTCCATGTAGTGAACACAAAAGTCTACTTATGGGATATCAGAAAGAATGACAGATTAGATGATTTCAATATTCACTCCAATTCAAAAATTTCACCTGAAAAATCTTCAGATATTGAAATTCCATCATTTAATCCCGGCTACAGACTTTTAAAAAATATACCCAAATACCTTTTTCCTAAATAGTTTAAAGCATGACTGTATGAGATGGGACCAGGTTCCTCGCTAAGCTGGAAATTTTTAGTTTGTCACTTCATTGGTCGATAATGTAAAGAACATTAAAATTATTCAAGATATGCTAAGCCACAACCTTATTCAGCATGTCTGCTCTTAGTGGGAAAGTCATAGTGAAAGGTGCTTTAAATAGAGACTGATTTTAGGAAAACCTTTTGGGAAATGGCTGCTTGGTTGCTGAGAACAATATGATTCACCTTGTTTAATGGTCATGGTGATTTATTTCGTGAAGAGAGAATGGAATATTGGTCAAACAAGTGGAGTAAGTGTGATGAGAGCTAATAAGAAGTATGCTCTGCAGCAAACAAAATTAGGCAGAATCAGTCAATAAAGGAATCGTTGTACTTTAAACAGGGAAAGGTTTCCAGGTTAGAAGAAACAAAATTAATGAATTTAATAAATGTGGGAAAAAAATCTGCACAGGTCATCAAGATTCTACAGTAAAACAGACAACATAGGAGAAATATGCTGCAAAATTCCTGAATTTGGGGCACCAAAAGAGTGGTTCAAACCAAATATACTTGGGTTCTTATTCCTAATCAGCTAAATTGCTTTTTCGCAGTGACCCTTAGGGCCCCTGCCTCTGAGAACAATAGTATAATGATAAAAGACACATGTATGTATAGTAAATAGGGGCTACTAGAGCTTCAAGTCTGATAGAGCAAAATCCCAGCTTGCTCACTTTGAGAAACCCATGGGGAGAGTTTAGGAAAGGTTTTTTAAGTAGAAAAAGGAATAAAAAGGGGGTAGATTTTGATTTGGGATGAGTTGCACTGAGCCATGTGTTAGGGAACTTCTTGGGTATTGCAGACCTATTGGATCTCTTGCAAATTTTGCTCATGGTCAGTACAGATAAAAAAAAAAAAAAAAAAATGTCTTGTGATCTACATTGCCTTTTATGTTGTCTGGTAACATTGTGGCATGGAGAAAATCCCACATGGAGCAACCGTTTAAATTTGAAAGCCTATGGAGAGGATGACTAAGAAGGGCAGTTTCTTTCATTACAACTCAGGTTTAAGAACACTTGGGTTTGTAAGATCTAGTATTTGACAGCACACCAGGGTGATTACAGTCAGCAATAATTTGCTGTATATTTCAAAATAACAAACGTAATTGGAATATTTATAACAGAAGGAAATGATAAATGTTTGAGGTGATACCCCATTTACCATGATGTGATTATTATGCATTGTATGCCTATATCAAATATCTCACATACCCCATAAATATATACACCTACTAAGTACCCATAAAAATTAAGAATAAATAAATAAATAATAAAAAAGAACACTTGGGTTTGGAATTGCTTCCTGAAAAGAAGCACCTGAATATTTACTGCAGCATGACTATGTTAGGGTAATCCAATAGGGATAGTGGAACAGTACAGAAAAGGGTAAATCAAGCAAAAAATAATATTTACTTATTAACTCCTCTCTCCAAAGACAAAAACTGATAACATTTTGCTGTAAGCTTCCAGTTCTTTAATATCTGTGTTGCTTATTCATCCATATTTTATAAAATTAGGGGTATATTTGATCTATTGTTTTGTGACCTGTTTTCTCACTTAATACACCATGAACATTTTTCATGTCATTTGATATTCTTTTAAAATTTGATTTTCCATGGCTGCATTATTTCTGCAATGTGTTTAGTCAATGTCCTGGATTTTATGTGGTTTTCTGTTATTCATGTTATCCTCATTCATAAATATTGTGTGCATCTATGACTATTGTTTAGGATCAATCCCTATATGAAGAAATACTGGATAAAAGAGGATGAACGTTTCTAGCTTTCAATACTTATTGTCAAATGGATATTTCTATGATCTATTGCCAAACTTGGTATTAGCATTTTTGAAAACGGAAATTTGATGGGTCAAAAACAGCATTTGATACAGTTTTTCCCTAGTGATTACTAGTGAGGATGACTATATAATTTGTCCATTTGGACACTTTCTAAGCTGCTCCTTCATACTCCACAGAACAATTGTAATTTGTCTCTGGACTAGAGCAGCCAGCTGTCACTGACTTCCACACTCCTCTTTAGTCAGTGGAGATGCTGGTGGCTAAAGCAACCACAGCTCTGAGAGCAGCTTGATACATAATCTGCACAAATTAATTCTTCCCTGTACCCTATATTTTTCATCTGAATAAGAATAATCTAAATTCTATAGTCCATATAATCTTACATTTTTGGAAAGGGTAATGCTATTCTAATCTAAATACTATGCTCCACATTTATAAAATTATTTAAAAAAAATTTTTTTCTACATTAATTTTAGATTTAGGGGGTACATGTGCAGGTTTGTTACCTGGGTATATTGTGTAACACTAAGGTTTAGGGTATAAATGATTCCATCACCCAGATACTGAGCATAGTAGCCAATAGTTAGTTTCCCAACCCTTACCCTCCTCCCCTAGTAGTCTTCAGTTTCTATTGTTGACATATTTATGTCCATGAGAACCTGATATGCAGCTTCTACTTATTAGTAAGAATATGTGGTATTTGGTTTTCTTCTCCTGCTTTAATCTTAGGATAATGATCTCCAGATGTTTCCATATTTCTGCAGAGGACATGAGTTTATTTATGTTTATGGCTGTGTAGTATTCCATGGTATGTATGTACCATATTTTTCTTTATCCAGTCCACTGTTGGCAGGCACCTAGATTGATTCTGTATCTTTAGTATTGTGAATAAGGCTGTGATAAACTTGCAAGTGCATGTATCTTTTTGGTATACTGATTTACTTTCTTTTGAATGTATACCCAGTAATGGGATTGCTGGGTGAAATGGTAGCTCTGTTTTATGTTCTTTGAGAAATCTCTGAACTGCTTTCCACAGTGCCTGAATTTATGTTCCCACCAACAGTATATAAGCATTCCTTTTTCTCCTCAGCCTTACCAGCATCTGTATTTTTTTAACTTTTTAATAATAGCCACTCTGACTCATGTGAGATGATATCTCATTGTGATTTTAATTTGCTTTTCTCTGGTGATTAATAATGTGGAGACTACTTTTATCACATTTGTTGGCTGCATATATGTCTTCTTTTGAGAAGTATCTGGTCATGTCTTTTGCCCATTTTTTAATGGGCCTATTTGTTTTTTGCTTGTTCAATTGTTTAAGTTCCTTATAGATTCTGGATGTTAGACTTTTGTTGGATGTATTGTTTGTGAATATACCAAATGAGTTTATGATTCAGATCCTCTTAGGCCTCAGCTGTCTTCATATCCTCATTGTGTTACTTAAATTAAGGGTGGCATCTGGGCATATTTCTTTGTCTTTTCATAGTCCGGAAAGCTTTCAAAGTAGGAAGAAGTTTAGAATCCTAGTATTAATAAATGCTGAAACATTACTGAGTACTTTCTGTGTGTCAAGCATTGCACTGAGGATTCTTTTCCTCTTTTTTTTTTTTTTTTTTTTTGAGATGGAGTTTCACTCATGTTGCCCGGACTGGAGTACAATGGTGTGATCTCGGCTCACTACAACCTCCACCTCCTGGGTTCAAGCTATTCTCTTGCCTCAGCCTCCTAAGTGGCTGAGATTACAGGCGCCCTCCACCACATCCAGCTAATTTTTGTATTTTTAGTAGAGACGGGGTTTCACCATGTTGGTCAGTCTGGTCTCCAACTCCTGACCTCAGCTGATCCACCCTCCTTGGCCTTCCAAATGCTAAGATTATAGGCATAAGCCACCACACCCAGTCTGCACTAAGGATTTTATATGCATTATCTTCATATAACACACACAAAGGACCTATAATCTCTGTAGATCATTTTTTAGATGAAGAAAGTAAGGCTAAAAGAATTTTTCATAATCTACCCAAATTCATGTAGTTAGTAAATGACAGAGTTGGGCCTCAAACCCTGGTTATCTGACACCAACCAATACTTGTTCTAAGTATTTTGGTAGCAAAGCCTGATTTAAAAGCAATGTACCATAACTTCTCAAATGCAGTACATATGTAATTAAGTTCGTTCTGGCACCCAGGATCTCCCTAGGCCATCTTTTCCTACTATCAAGTTAATGTGAAATCATGATATGCAAATAAAATTTGATATTAGTCTCAACTAGATACAGTTAACAGAATTTATTAATTTCTGAAAAGCAAAGGCAGAAATTCCCTGTAAAATGCACTATAATGTCAAATATGATAGATTTGACATCAGTTGTATTGAAAGTCTGAAACTGTGGAGTGCCTTAAAGATAATTTTCAAACTTCTCTCTTATGAATATGCAAACTGAGATGGCAATGAAGAAGTTAATAGAGACCAAACCTAGGATTTGAATCTAGGTGTCTTGATTCCCAGTCCACTACTTTTCCTACTAAAACATTTTGCAACTTGTGACAAATGATGAATATTCTTGGATTTAGGAGATATATACAAAAGAACAAGGAGATGTATCACAAGGACATTTCACTTAGAGGTTATAATAGCATAAAATTGAAAACAACCTAAATTTCAATCAATAGGACATTTGATAAACAAGAGTACATAAAAAACATGTCCTACTCAGCCATTCAAAATGATGATATAGAGCTCTGTGTATTGTCCTAGATAGATGAACATGATGTATTATTGTTTAGAAGGAAGAAAGCATGTTACAAAACAGCATGTATAACGTGGCTTGCTGTATATTAAATATCAGCATTCATAGATGATGCAGTTTTGGCTAGATGATGAGATTAAGAAGATTTTTTTTTTTTACTTTTGTCTATTCCCTTGACTTAAATTGGTTTTAATAAGAATATGTTGTAAAAAAAATGCTTTAAAACAAGAAAGCATTTCAATTCTCTGTGCCTTTTGCCTTTTTTCATTTTTTGGCTTGTTTTTGTTTTTGTTTTTTGAGACAGAGTTTCACTTTTGTCGCCCTGGCTGGAGTGCAATGGCATGATCTCGGCTCACTGCAACCTCCGCCTCCCGGATTCAAGCAATTCTTCTGCCTCAACCTCCTAAGTAACTGGGATGACAAGCACACCCCACCACGCCTGACTACCTTTTGTATTTTTAGTAGAGACAGGGTTTCACCACGTTGGCCAGGCTGGTCTCGAACTCCTGACCTCAGGTGATCTGCCTGCCTTGGCCTCCCAAAGTGCTGGGATTACAGGCATGAGCCACTGCACCCGGCCTCTCTGTGCCTTTTAAATTAAACCAGTGTGTCTCAAACTTCAATCAGCGAGAGAATCTTGTTAAAATGTATGCTTTGATTGAGTAGGTCTGGGGTGGAGCTGGAGAACCTACATTTTCAACAAAATCCCAGGTGATGCCAATGCTGCTGAATGGAGAACAGTGCATTGCAAGGGTCTGGTTTTGTTAATTATTCCACGAGGCCTTTTTCTCATTCACTCCATATGTAGTTTCTGGCAATCTTCGGCTGAAATTGTTTTCCTTTGCTTATTAGTGCTGTAGTGATTTCTAGGTGAATAGGGCCCTAGAGTTTTCTTCTTTTTCTTGCAGTTAATAAACATAAACACTGGGAGACACTATTTTAAATTTCCAAACATCCATTATACAACTGGAAATATTACTCAGAAATTGCCTTTCCCACCGGATAGTTTTTATCTTGATACTCTCAAGTGAGGATGTAATAGCAGCATTGATTGTTTAAATGTATGAGCAATCGGGGAGCAATCATGATTTTAAAAAAACAACAACAGTAATTGATAGACTGCTCAGCAGGAGAAATGAGATTGTAATATGAATGTTAATTTTTGACACATCTCTTTAATGTATTTTCAGGAAGAAAATCAAAATAAAGCATTTTAAGAATGACTGGGTATGGGAATACCCTAGCATTTCTTTTATAAAAACAAAACGTTAAAACATCGAACTTGGGAAAAAAGTTGCGTGAAATAAAATACCTTAGAATTTATAATGTAATCAGCAAGAATAGAGTAAACTATGGCTACTACTATTGTAAATATTCAGTATTTATTAAGTGTTTACTATGTACTGGGCTGGTCAAGTTGATTTATATGAATTACCTTGTTTGATGTCTTATTTAAGGCTTATACAAGTTCAATAACTTGTCCAAAGTAACACATCTAGTAGGTAGTAGTATTTTGATTTACATCCATTAACTCAAAACTCAAGATCATAACCACAATGCTGTACTTTGAGAGTCATCCAACAAACAGAGTTCCTGCCTAACATGCAACAGACTTTGTTCTAGGTAATTGGGGAAAATTTAATGAATGAACAAGACAAAAACCTTGCCTTCATAGAGTTTACTTTCTAGTGATGATAAAGAGATACTGCATTTATATTGGACCTTACTCGCTTAGTTGTGGAGTGCTGAATGAGAAATAGAGAAGGCATTTCCCTCTTTGGGCCTCAATTTCTTGAACTACAGAATGAAGATTTTGTACTCTAAGTTCAGTTTAGTCTCCCAAACCTATAGGTGCAAGAAAATTTAAACGACTTTATGTATCTTTGCAGTTCCTGCTTCCAATTCAAACTACCAATAAGCCACTTCACCAAGGCCTCTTGATTTCATGTCTTTAATTGGAATTCCTTTTACACTAATTATTGTTATTTATATCGTTATCAAAACTGCATTTGTGAAATTATGAGAGTAAGAGAAATCTAACATAGTTGACTCCATCTTGCTCTGATCTCTATGCTGTCCTTGGTAATTCCTGGGCATAGACCAAGCTAACTTTGGGAGGAATTTAGTTTATACTTTTACTTTAAAGCAAAGATATTAATAGCCCTTCCCAAAACTAAACCACCTTCATAAAACTAATGAAAGGCCACAAGGTTAGGATTATGAGAGGGGGCTGAATTATGATAAGACAAACATAATTTCTATAATCCCTTACTACTCAGGAGTCATAGACCAGAGGTCATAAGATAGGCCTACTTTCTATAATCTCTTACTACTCAGAGATCACATGGTAGAGGTCACAAGATTTGTGACTGTATTAGTATGTTCTCACACTGCTATAAAGAAATGCCTGAGACTGGGTAATTTATAAAGAAAAAAGGTTTAATTGGCTTATGGTTCCTCAGACTGTACAGGAAGCATAGCAGCTTCTGCTTCTGGGGAGACCTCAGGAAGCTTATAATCATGGCAGAAGGCAAAGGAGGAGCAGGCACTTCACATGGCCAGAGCAAGAGGAAGAGAAAGGGGAGAGGTACTGCACACTTTTAAATGACTAGATCTTGCAAGAACTAACTCACTACCATGACAATAGTACCAAGGGGGATGGTGCTAAACCCTTCATGAGAACCTACCCCCACTATCCAATCACTTCCCATCAGGCCCCCACCTCCAGCACTGAGGATTACATTTCAACATGAGACTGGGGCAGGGACACAAATACAAACCATATCAGTGATTTTTCCAATTGCTCCTATAGATAGCATCACCCTTGTAGAACCTAAGGTTGTTTTATGAAATATCCTTAAGACTGAACCCACCCAGACTTATAACTCATGACTCCTGTGGTCCCATCAGGAGGCAGACTCAGGGCATGGGGACAGTTTTCCACACACTTCTGATTTCATCCCCAACCAATCAACCCATTCTTTCACCCCCTTCCCACCAAATTGTCCATAAAAACTCTAACCTCCAGGGCTCCAGGGAGACTGATTTGAGTGATAACTCCAGTTCTCCTGCATAGGCCAGCTTCATGTCAGTTGAACTGATTCTCTACTGCAGTGCCATCATCTCTGTGTGTTGATTTTTTCTGTGCAGTGAGCAGAAAAAGCCCATTAGGCCATTACACAATTATCATTACCAAAGGCCACAAATGCAAGGTCAGGCTGCTATGGAATACTTGGAGGCTTTCTGCAGCAGTGTTTCTGCCAATACCGTTTCCCCCAAGCCTTCTCCTTCTACTTGAGCTGGACTGCTGGTGGCCTGCCATCTTGCTTGCAGGCTCTCTTATGCTGTCACAGTTGAGACATTCAATGAGACCAGTTGAGATAATGAACCAGGAGTCAGTGTATGAGAGTCAAATGCTGTCATCAGAAATTATTGAGAGCTTTTCAGTAATTGCCATGAAATAAAGAAATTTACCCATCTGAGTCAAAAGGCTTTGATGAATTCTTTACTTAATGTCCTCTTCTTCAGGAGTTTCACGCCTAAAGATTTTCTTCTCCTTATGGAAAAAAACGGCAATACTAGAACTTGCATAAAAGAAATGTGGAGGCCGGGTGCAGTGGCTCATGCTTATAATCCTAGCACTTTGGGAGGACGCGGCAGGTGGAACACCTGAGGTCAGGAGTTTGAGACCAGCCTGGCCAACATGGTGAAACCCCGTCTCTGCTAAAAATACAAAAATTAGTCGGGCATGGTGGCGGGAGCCTATAATCCCAGCTACTCTGGTGGCTGCAGCAGGATAATCGCTTGAACTAGTGGGGCAAAGGTTGCAGTGAGCCTAGATCGCACCACTTCACTCTGGCCTGGGCAAAAGAGCAAAACTCCATCTAAAGAAAAAAAAAAAAAAGGAAGAAACTTGGGAGTATATTTTTGCTATAACATTTTGGAAAATAGATGTCAGTAGGCAACTCAAGTCTCTCTTGATTTGCCAGTGATCCTTTCAATCATAAATTCACTTGTCCTAATAATAATGTGTCTGGTTGCATACTACATGCTGGGCCCTAAGAATATAGAAACAATTAAAGGGCCATGCCTTTAAAGAACTGGCATGGTTTTTAAACATGCAGAGCTCTAGAACTGGAGTGACTATTGTTGACTGAATCATGCCTCCCGGTTCACATGATGGAGCCTCAATCCCCAGTGTGACTATATTTGGAGATAGGGCCTTTATAGAGGTAATTAGGGTAAAATGAGATCATAAGGATAAGACCCTATTCCAACAGAACTGTGTCCTTATAAGAGAAGGAAGGGACACCAGAGCTTTCTCTCTCTGCACATATGCATGCTGAGAAAAGGCCATCTGAGAGCATAGCAAGAAGGCAGCAGTCTGCAAGCCAGGAAGAGAGCCCTCACCAGAAAGACTTAAACAGACCTGGCTAGACCTTGGACTTCTAGCCTCCAGAATTGTCAGAAAATAAATTTCTGTTGTTCAAGTCACTAAGCCTGTGGTATTTTGTTATGGCAGCCTGAACTGACTAACACAGTGGTATTGAACATTTTAGATAATTCTTGGTATGAAAAAGTAATGACAGGAAATCAGAAGCTTTCAGAAACTTATGTGTAGGAAAGAACGGAGATGTGGTCATGAACTATGTGTATTTGGTAACCAACAAATTTTGAAGCATATAAGGTGACTGGCTTTGTAGGGAAAGGGGATAAAGATTACTTTTATAGGTGGGGTGATAATGGGGGGAGGCTTTTGATTTGGAAGACCTTACCATACCCTTAAACTTCGGAATATGTAAGTAAAAAAGAGAATGTTACATATATTGTCACCTATGTGTAATAAAAATAATTTGAGTTATCTGCTGTGGAATTACTTTCCTATTCAAATAGAGACACAGTCTATATCAATGTCAAATTTTCTCTAATTTTACACATACTGTCATTCCTTTTGAACAGTCTCCCTCAGTTTCATGTATGTAACTAGCAGAGGCAAAAGAAATTCTTGTCTTGCCAAGGAGGACTCCAAGAACCTACAAATTGGTCCCAAACCCTTCACACCTCCTTGGGAATAAAATAAGATCTAAGGTGATTAAAAGTCTCAGTTCACTCAGAATATGCCCTGCTTATGCCTGCAGTCTGGCATCCCGATCCAATTAGCACCCCATTTTTCTTTCCAAAAAGAATTCCCATTTGAATAACAAATTATGCAACCATCTGAATTTAATCAATAGAATGTCTTTACATCCATTTAGTTCCAAATTAAGTACTCCAACCTATCTGTTGTATGATAAAGAATTTATTTTGCCTTTGTTCCCCATTTCTGGCATGGAGCTTCTAAAATCCTTGGAATATCCAGAGTGATAAGAGTGTCATTGTTGCTCATGAACCCCTTGGATCATATCTGACTTTATGCTAGTGAGATTAAATAACTCAGGATACAGACTTGTCACCAAAAAAATTAATTATATGATTATAGGGTTGGAGCTTTGAGCCAGTTCAGCCTCCAGGGAGTCCTGGGGGCTGGAGATAAAGTTCAATCACATGGTCAATGTTCAATCAATCATGCTTATATAAGGAAACCCTAATAAAAACTCTGGACACAGAAGTGGAGCTTTCTGACTGGTGAACACATTGATGTGCTATGAGGAGGACAGGCCCTGATTCCATGGGAAAAGAGCATGGAAGTGCTACATTTGAGACACTCCCAGGCCTCACCCTATGTGTCTCTTATTTGGCTAGTCCTGAATTTTATCCTTCATAATAAAACTATAATTATAAGTATAGTACTTTTTTGAGTTCTGTGTATTGCTCTAGCAAATTATCAAAACCTGAGTGGGAACTCCTGAATTTATAATCAGTAGGTCAGAAGTATGGTTGGCCTGAAATTCTCTGAAGAATGGCCTTTAATGTGAGGACAGGCTTGTGTAGGACTGAGTCTTTAACCTGTGGAGTCTGCACTAACTCAAGGGGATTAGCACCAGAATTGAGTTTCATTACACCAGTTCTTATGAGGATACCATAACAGGAAGAAGTTTGATCACCAAAGGAAACAACACTTTTATTTCTGCTCACTCTAGCCAGAATAAATATTTTTATATAGTCTGAAGTTTATTAATATAGCTTTTGCCTTTTTTTGCTTTAAAATCAGGGTTAGAAGGATTGGCACAAATAAAATGAAAACAAGGTTCAATTGCATGTTTAAATAGATTTCCATTTTTGGCACAGAAAGAATATATATTTAACAAGCCATGGATAAATGTCATGTGGTCACAAACAGGAAAATGGTTGAAAACAACAGACTGCACCACTGCTCCTCAATGGTGGCCACTCTTCTGTAGAGTGGGAAGCTTCACTTTCACCCACCACAGCTAGACACTAATTCCACAAGAAAGCAGTGACAACAAAACATGGCTTTTTTTTTTTTTTTTTGAGACAGAGTCTCACTCTGTTGCCCAGGCTGGCGTGCAAAGGCGCAATCTCGGCTCACTGCAACCTCCACCTCCCAGGTTCAAGTGATTCCCATGTCTCAGCCTCCCGAGTAGCTGAAATTACAGGCACCTGCCACCATGCCCGGCTAATTTTTTGTATTTTTAGTAGAGATGGGGTTTCACCATGTTCGTCAGGATGGTCTCGAACTCCTGACCTCAGGTGATACAACTGCGTCAGCCTCCTAAAGTGCTGGGATTACAGGCATGAGCCACCGTGACCGGCCAAAACATGGCTTCTTAGAAGAGACATATTTGGGAGACTGAGGCAGGAGGAATACTTGAGCCCAAGGGTCAAGGCTGCAGTGAGCTATGATCATGCCTCTGCAAGCCTGGGCAACAGAGTGAGACCCTGTCTCAAAAAAAGAAAAAAAATTATGCACTTTAAGATTTTGCAGAGCTAGATGAACTCCTGGCTATGGAAAGAATAATTAGGTATATGTTCATGGCCCTGTTACTTAATAGTCTGAGCCTCAATTTTCTCATCTGTAAAATGGGTAATGCTTTCTTACTAGGTGGTCATTAGGATTGAGTGAGAATGAATAAAAGGTAACAAAATGTGCCTGAAACTTAACGAGTACTTAGTAAATAGTACATTTAGGGCTGCTCTTCAGCTTGAAGCTGCAGCTTTTTGTCATCTCTCATTCTCTTTCGTCTTTATCTTGTTTTTGCCCCAAACTGACTTCCTATGGAAAAGTTTAAAATTTATCTATTGTTTATAACCTCAAAGCATTTATAGAACCTTCAAAACAGTAGGCATTTACATTGATCTCCAAGACAGCCTCACTACTTTCTTGTTCTTCTGATGATTTTTCTTTCTTGACAGCTCATTAGAGTTGGGTTAGTTGCGCAGTATTTTCAGTGTTTGTGTGTGTGTGTGTGTCCCCAAGCAACTGGTATTAAAACATTTTCTTCTTGCAGACAAGCAGAACACTATTTCTACATTTTGCCAGTTTATTATTTTGCATGTTCTTTGGTTTCTTATTCTAAAAAATGCTACAGGCCATCTCTTTTGTTTGGATTTCATGCAAGTAAGTATCTGTGATTCTCTCTGTAACCACAGCAGCACCAAACGGGATTTATGAATGCTTTGTTTCCTGACTTCAGAGCACCTGTGTGCTGAATTCAGAAATCAGAAGCTCCCTCTCCTCAGGTGTAAATGGAGGTGGCCACAAGTCCCTTTTTAGAACACAGCCTTCTCTGCAGGCATGGCTGGAGTTGGAAGATATCAATAGATGGAGAGGAGAGAGATTGAGGATTGAGAAAAATAAAAATAAGGGACTAAATCAGGGGAAGAGAAGAATTACTCTGCCAAAAACGAGTAGGTCATGTGGAAAATTATAAATGGTCAGTGGATAGTGGATGGTCAGCGAATAGATAATATGGATGGTCAGTGGATAGGTAATAGATCCTTCAAGAATCTCGTCTGCTCTGGAGCAGAATCCTGGCCAGTGAGATCCATCTACAATCCACAGGAGAGGATGATGGGGGAAGTTAACTAATAGAGTCATGCTGAGGCACCATAGAATTGCAGTCATAGGCCCCACCATTAGAGTCTGAGAGACTTATTCAAACACAGGTTCTGTTGCCTTTTTTTCTGTGTGGTCTTTTCTTAACCCCAGTGAGTCTGGGTCTTCAGCTATAAAACTGAGATCATTACAGTTCTGGGCTCATTTGAGGCGGAGAGAAGATATTGATTATGAAGAAATTTTTTTGAAATATCATAATTGCTTAGTATGTGTAGCTAATAGGATAAATATTTTTGATGGGCTACTCTGTTCCCAGATATTTTACCACCATTTTCCATGCAATTCCTTATTTAACCTTCCTAATATCATAGTACAGGTTATTACCTCCATTGCACAGATGAGGGAAGTGAAGATTCAGAGAAGTTAGATGATGAATAGCAAAAAGCAGAAGAAAATAGTAGAACTTGGATTAAATCCTATGTCCATCCCTTTCCTAACAATGGAACCCTCCACTGTATGTCATACTAGACCCAACCTTAAATAAATAAATCTGCTTCATACTTAACGTCAATTCTGTGTGTATTCTCAATAAAAACATCAATGTAGGTTAGAAATTTGAATTAGGGAAAAAAGAACAAGCATCACTAATCATCGGAGAAATGCAAATTAAAACTATAATGAGATATCATCTCACCCCAGTTAAAATGGCTTATATTCAAAAGACAAGTGCTGGTGAGGATGTGGAGAAAGGGGAACCCTCATATAGTGTTAGTGAGGATGTAAATTAGTATAGCCACTATGAAACAGTATGGAGATGCCGCAAAGAACTATAAATAGAACTACTATATGATCCAGGAATCCCACTGCTAGGTATATATCCAACAGAAAGAAACTCAGTATATCAAAGAGATATCTGCACCCCAGGTTTATTGCAGCATTATTCACAGTAGCCAATAGATGGAATCAACCTAATGTCTAGCAATAAATAAATGGAAAAAGAAAATGCGGTACATATACATAATTAAATATAATTCAGCTATAAAAATAATGAAATCTTATCATTTGCAACAACATGGTTGGAACTGGAGAATATTATGTTAACTATAATAAACCAGGCACAGAAAGACAAATACCACATAATCTCATGTATATGTGGGAGCTAAAATATGTTAAGCCCATAGAAGTAGAGAGTAGAATTGTGATTAATAGAAGGTAGGAAGGGTAATGGGGAGGGGAAGACAGGGAAAGGCTGGTTAATGAATCCAAAAATTTACAGCGTGATAGGAGTAATAAGTTCTGGTGCTCTGCAGCACTGTAAGTTGACTATAGTTATTAATAATTTGTTGTATATCTTCAAATGTCTAGAAAAGAAGATTTTTTAATGTTTCCAACACAAAGAAATGATAAATATCTGTGATGATGAATAGGCTAATTATCCTTATTTGATCATTACATATTGTGTATATGTATCAAAACATCACTCTGCACCCTATACATATGTACAATTACTTCCTGTCAATTAAAACTTTTAAAAGTGCCGGTCATGAATGCACAAATGGAGAATTCCAGTGCCAACAAGGATGGAACAAGCCTAGTATAGCCTGGCTCTTGTATTAATTGCAACTGAAGACTCCGAAAATACAAAAAGCAACTACCTAAGAACTCTGAAAAGTAAACAGCAAGCAAATTGCAGAAAGGAGACAAAACTTGGAGAATGACCTGCGTGGGATGAGATTCTTGCTTTTTTCTTTTTTTCTCTCCCCTGGGTTGACTCAAGGGTAATCCCAGTGTGTAACTGTGTAGTGAGCAGGCGCAAAAAAATACCTGAGTAAAACCCTGTCTTTCTGGCCAGAAGACAAGAAAAAGGAGTCCTTGTGGGTCTGAGAGGATAGACGGAATTATTTTCATTTTGTTTTGCTTTTCTCTTTCTTACTCCCAACCCTGGTTCAAAGGCGGCCCTAACCACAGTGGTAGAGGTGGCAACAGAACAGTCATCTAAAACCAAGATAAAACCTGTCTCTCGAGTCCAGAGGAATTCGGGAGAGGGACCCCTGTGTAGAGAAATTCCATTCTTTTTCTTTCACTACTTTGTGCCCAGAGTGGTGCCAGCCATGTGGAACTGTGCAGAAATAAGTGTGGATAAAGCTCCAAAAGGAATCCAGTCTTTCAGATGAGTAGGAAATGGAACACAGAGTAGGAGAGGGTGAGGGGGATTCCAGAGGAGAGACCTGGAAAAGTGTCTCTCCCTTCATTCTGTTATGAACGAACACAAGTCCCAGGCTTATCACCAAGACGCACATGATGGGACAGACCACAAGCAGGATGGCAAAGGCTTTGAAAACCGAACCGGTGTTGGAATCCTCACATGAAGAAAAGCTAAACAGAACTCACGAATTGAATATTGCTGGGTTTGATTTCCTTATTTTTTTAAAAGCAACATTCTCCAGAGGACTTAAACAGGACCAAGAGTCTTACAATAAAATATTCAAAACACCAAAAATATAATTCAAAGTCACCTAAAATGAAAAGAACATCAAAAAGTACTCAAGTCTCAAGAGAGAAGACAATTAACAGATGCCAACACAAGATATTACAGATGTTGAAATTATCAAAGGTTTTAAAGCAGCTATTATAATCAGCTCTAGGAATAAAGGTAAATGCTTAAGATTGATGGAAGCATATATACATTCTCTGCAGAGAAATAGAAATGATAAAAATTTGAATTTCAAAACTGAAAACTATAATATCTGAAAACTATAAAAATTCACTGGGTGGGCTCAATTGAATAATGTAGATGACAGAGAAATTAGTTATTAAACTGTTAAGATAGAACAATAGAAATTACCCAATCTGAAAAACAAAGAAGAAAAAGAGATTTAAAAAAATTAACAGACCCTTGGGAAACTGTGGAACAATGTCAAAAAGACCTAACGGTCTTGTCATCTGAGTCCCACAAAGGAAGAAGAAAAACACTGTTATGGAAAAACGTCGGCAAAATAACAGGCAAAACCTAAAATTTATGAGTGTAAAGAGTTAAGACTTTTTTGCAACCCTCATGTAACAGAGACAAAAGAGAATGCATTTTTCATTGACTGATATAAACTGACAATTTTCTTGATAAATTCAAAACTGCAATGTCATTTTCCTGGACTTACTTAACCCTAGACCATCTTTTAAGGACTGAGAATGATTAATCTCTTGAATATATATTTCTGGACTTTTAGACCATCTTTTCAAGAACTGAAAATTGCTTAATGGGATATCTTCCTTGCTCTTATATCATGTTTCCTGTTTCTCATTCCTATTCCTCATTTTTCCCTTACCTACTGCCTTTAATTAATAAAAATCTTTGCTAACTGCTAGAAATCTAAAGTGGTCATATTTTGGGACAGTCACTCTTACTGTAGCAGACATAAAGCTGTTCCTTCTCTCATGTATTTGTGGAGAACTTACCGAGCTTCCCAAACACCAGCCTATAAGAAGGAACTAAAAACACATATTAGATTTTCTCCTGGTCCTCACTACATTGAAAACTTCAGAGAATTTTCTACATGAAACTGCATCTAATATCCCAGGCCCTTGTCATCTCTTACCTGGATGACTATCACAGTGTCCTGCTCTCCCCCTGTGTCCAATACTGTTTTTTAAAAACCCATCCAACACAGCTACCAGAGTGATATATTAAAATGAAAACATGACTGAGTCACTCCACAATTAAAAGCCTTTCCATATAGTTTCATGAGACAAGTTGTCTAATATAATATTTTGCAAATATTCTCATCCAGAATGTGGGTTGCCCTCTCATCATCTTTTATGACCAAAATGTTTTTATCTTGATGAAATCTAATTTATTGTTTTTTCCTTTGTGAATGCCTTTTGCATTCTAATAAATCTTTTTCTATCCTAAGGTCATAGAAAATATTCATCTGGTATTCTAGAAGTCTTATGATTTTTAGCACTAGTGTTTAAGTCAATGACTCATCTCAAATTAAATTTTGTGTATTCAGTGAGATAAGAGTCCAGTTTTGATTCTTACATACATATATCTAGATACTGCAAAGCCAACCCACCTCCATCTATGATAGTCTCAAGATACTATATTCTTTTCCATCTTAAGGGGAGATTAGTCATCTGGTGCCATCCTCAGTGCATTCTAGCAAGGCTTAGCCATCTCTAAGATAAGTGAAATCTTAAAATATCATCATCTGATATGTTGAGATGAACCATGTAAATATCATGATCTGATACATTGAGATGAACCATGTTGTATAAATGTGGCATTCATGGAGTTGGGTTGTTAAGAAGTGAAATAAATTGTTCCCTTATAGAAACCTGCCTCAGATGAAAGGCAGTGGTTTCTTTTGTTGTAAACAGCAAGAGAAATTAAAAGAGAAAGCTGATAATGAAAGTGTTTTAATTAGAGCTAAACACTGTTTTCTTTTTTTTTTTTTTTTTTTTTTTTTTTGAGACAGAGTCCCACACTCTTGCCCAGACTGGAGTGCAGTGGTGCCTCAGATGAAAGGCAGTGGTTTCTTTTGTTGTAAACAGCAAGAGAAATTAAAAGAGAAAGCTGATAATGAAAGTGTTTTAATTAGAGCTAAACACTGTTTTCTTTTCTTTTTTTTTTTTTTTTTGAGACAGAGTCCCACACTCTTGCCCAGACTGGAGTGCAGTGGTGCGATCTCAGCTCACTACAACCTCTGCCTCCCAGGTTCAAGCAATTCCCCTGCCTCAGTCTCCCAAGTAGCCGGGGTTATAGGCACCTGCCACCACACCCAGCTAATTTTTTGTATTTTTAGTAGATGGGTTTCACCATGTTGGCTAGGCTGGTCTCAAACTCCTGACCTCGTGATTCGCCCACCTCGGCCTCCTAAAGTATTGGGATTACAGGTGTGAGCCACCCTGCCTGGCTCTAAACACTGTTTTTAATATGGATTTATTCATTGTGAGCCTGATTTTTTTAAAAGTCAAATGGCTAAAGACTTCAGGAATAAAAAAGAGGACTTGATATTTAGTTAAAGAGAAAAAGACTTGTGTTTTGTCAGCATATAGTATTTTCTCCCCTTCTAACAAAAGAAAAACCAGACTTGAGGCTTGGTGGTACGGAGATAATTGTGTAATAGGGATATTTGCTGGAATGTTTATGTGATGAAGAGAAGAAATGACCAGGTAGTAGAGAAAGGCACACGCTGTGTGGGCTGAATTCTGAGCACTACACATCATGTGGGTGTGGGTGGGTGGAAGAAGCTCAGTGAAGGGCAGCCACAGAGAAAAAACTGGTACTTCATAGGCACTCATCCAAGGTTTCTAATGACCCTCAGGGAAAGCTTTCTACAAGTGAGCACATGTGTCAAGGGGCTAGATGGGGAGAGTACGGGTACTGGATGTCACTGTCTCCATTGCAGAGGTTGAAAGAGTAAAGAAGGGGGAAGAGAATCCAATATACTAGTTTGCAATATCCAAAAAGTGGTATTGTTGATATTCTACTAGGAGGAGGGATAAAGGGTTTCTTAACCCAATAATTCATTGAATTTCTTATCTCCCTTATTTCTGCCTCCTCAGAGTATGGTCCCAACAAAACACCTTTTCCAGAACAAGGAAAAGGCTGGTCTTGGACACAGTGTTTACTTGTGGGGCTAGGTTGGAGACAACAGCTATCAGGGAAGCTCTTCTCATGATGACGACAGAAGTATATAAGAGGAACCGCAGTTGTGCAAGCATGACTGAAGCTACTGCTTGAGATACTCCTGCTAACTTCCGACTGACCAAAGCAAGGACAGACTGGAAAAATGCATTCCACCTATGAAACGGTATGTATATAATTACATTGCTGAGCCCAATAACACTTAGAAATGTAATATCTTTGACAATAAAAGCACAAAACTGTGGATAGGAACAAGTGTAGAAGAGGGAAATGTTCATTAGATGGTGACACAAATTCACAGAAAGAAATGATAAGAAGAAAGGGTAAAGAAAGTTGATGTTACAATGTCTATAAATATATGCTTGTTCTACTTTCTTCTCTCATTTTCATTAAAAATATAAGATAAGATAAAGTAATTATAACAATCTGTTCTCAGGTTTTTATTATAACATACATAGACATAATATGTAAAAAATAATACCACAAAAAGAGAAGATAGAATGGAGCTATATAGGAACATAGTCTCATATTTCTTGGGAATTAAGTCAATATAAACCTCACTTAGGTTTAAAAGGAGTGATGATGTACTAATAAATGCTATAATATGATCAAATTTTGTAAACTATGCTAAGTGAAAGAAGCTAATCACAACAGATTATATATTGTATCAATTCATTAATCGGAAATACCCCAAATTGACAAATCTATAGAGCCAGAAAGTAGATTAGTGGTTGCCTAGAGCTGTCTTGGAGGAGAGGGCCACTTGGAGACTGAAGGAGAATAGCGAGTGTTGCTGATGGCTACAAGCCTCTTTTTGGGAAGACAAAAATAAAAAAAAAAAGTTATGTTAAATATATCAAAATAAATTTATTGTGTATTTAAATGAGCAAATTGTATGATATGAAAGTTACATCTCAATAAAACTATTGTTCTGTTTTGTTCTTCGGTATATGGCTGGTTCCGTGGCTGGAGCAGGGAGGGTAATTTAAGCATTTTGTTAGACCAGAAATCAAGTGAGTGCTAAAATATTAATGTTTTTCTGTCAAATAAATGCAGAGTTTGCTTGAAGTTGTGCCCCTGGCCAAATTTGAAATAATTCAAGCAACACAAATAAAATCATAATGTATAAGAACAACTAGACTTAAATAATCCATGAGTCCACAGTGATATTAAAAATGAACACTATATAAATATATATAATGCATAGAAAGAAAAGATAAAACAAATGAAAACTTTTTTACAAAGGAATGTCTAATAGCAAAAGTACAAGGAATAATGGAATTAGGAAATCATATTTTATAACATCCATTATAATAATGATCCAAGCAAGAATCATCAATAAATATTAAAACCACTGGATGAAAATTCATTGGACAATGAATTCACATTGTCTCAAAATATCACCCAGCAGATTACCAACTAATTACAGAGGGAAAATTGTACAATGGAGCAATCCAACAGTTACCATTTTCACCAAATGGTCAAGGTTCCATGGCCAATAGTAGAATGTCCTGATATCCTGTATCTTCTAATATGGGCAGTATGAGACACACATCATCTTTTTGGGATTCTTGCCAGAAAGGTGTGATCTGAATTTAACCAAGATGTAACAGTAAGAAAAATTCAAAAGTTGGAATGTTTTGCAGAATATCTAGTCAAGAATTGTCAAAAAAATCCAATATCATGAAGACAAAAGGGAAATGAAAGTTCTAGATTATAGGAGACTAAAAACACACAACAGCAAATATTATGTCTATATCTTAAAATGATTCTTATTTTGTAAATTAGTAAAACTATAAGGGACTTTTTGGGGAAAATATTAAAAACTTGTGTATGGACTACATGTTTGATGATATTCCTGTGTTAATGCTGATTTTCCTAAGTGTGGTAATGGTATTAAATCTGTTTAGGGGGAAAAATATTCTTGTTCTTGGGTTAGTGAAGGATAGTGAAGTATTTAGTGGAGAAATGATATGATGTCCTCATGCTGCTGTCGGAAGATTTGGAAAAAGGAAAGTATCATAAGCTTATATGTATCCACATGTGTGTATGTGTGTATGTACTTGTATGCACACACATGCATACACACACAGACAGAGCCATTGTGGCAAGATGTTAAGAGTAATGAAACTACATGAAGGGGGCACAAGCATCCTTCTTTTTTTCAAATTCCTGTGGGTTTGAAATTTTCAGTACTAACTTATTGCCTATATTACTAATCTGGGCATTTAGTTCTGCACGAAAATCTGCTTTTTTGAGTCTCATGTATTTTGTAAAATTCTGTCCAGCCCTAGTAAAATGTCTACACCATAACACTGGAAGTGCAAAACTATGTAATTGCTCCCCCTACAAAAAAAACAATAATCTTGAAAGAAGTTGCCTTTAAATTTTGTCCAATTGTGGAAATAGAACATTCCAGAGATATCTGAAATTCATGAAAATCTATGTCACTAAAGAAAAACCTATGTCTGCGCTGTTTGTAGTGTAAAAACTCTAGTATGGAGAATAGAATGGATTTTCCTATGATCTCAGTATGCTAACATTCCCAGCCCTATTTCTTCAGTGTAAGAAAGATTTTCTGTAATAAAAATTAGTCCCAGCATTGGATTATTATAGATGAGATTGCCCAAGTACAATATGAATCATAATCTCTGGAGTTTAACTTTTCAATTCTGCAGGATTTGCAAAGAAAAAAATTAATTTTTCCCCAAGATAAATGTATTACTATTTAATAAAAAAACAAAGCCAGATTACAGTGTTAGTGAAAAATAAGGAATTTACATAAAGCCCTTCTATATTTGAACAAACACACTAAATTGAGTAACATAAATTCCCAGATGTGAAAAGGTTGTGAAGAAAAGAAAACTTTTTAGGTTGATAAAATGCTTAATAACTGGACTAACACATGTCCATTGAATTTGTGTTGGCAAAAGTGACCAAACTTCTTTTTTCAGAATGACAATTCTTGTAGCTCTCAGTAGATTTGTGAGCATGTGTTCTATCAATGATCCAGGAAATTGGGCATGATATATAGTAATTCATCTCTCAAAAGATCAGTAATGGCCATGGAAGAATGTAGGGCAATTTTTTTTTCCCATCTCAGACCATATGGGGAATGTCCTCTCCTAATATTTGATTAGCTTTGCTGGAGCTATTGCAAAGTTGGGCAAAAGTCCAAATGAGTAGAGAGTTGGTCCTTGGAAAATTGGGAAAATTGTGTTTAAATTTACATTAATCTAGATAGGCTAGACCATGCTGAAGGAACAAAGAAAACCTCACATCTCAGTGGTTTAAGATAATAAACTGCCGAGACCAGCTCGGTCGTGGAGACCCTAACCCAGCGGCACTAGAGGAATTAAAGACACACACACAGCAATATTGAGTGCAGAGTGGGAATCAGGGGGCTGACAGCCTTCAGAGCTGAAAGCCATGAACAGAGTTTTACCAACATAATTATTGACAGCAAGCCAGTGATAAGCATTGTTTCTATAGATTATAGATTAACTAAAACAGGAAACAAAGGGATGGGCTCTGGCTAGTTATCTGCAGCAGGAACATGTCCTTAAGGCACAAATCACTCATGCTATTGTTTGTGGTTCAGGAACTCCTTAAGCTGTTTTCCTGCCCTGGGTGGGCCAGGTGTTCCTTGCCCTCATTCTGGTAAACCAAAAACCTTCAGCATGGGCGTCATAGCCATTACGAGCATGTCACAGTGCTGCAGAGATTTTGTTTATGGCCAGTTTGGGCCCTGTTTATGGCCAGATTTGGGGGCCTGTTCCCAACAATAAACTTTATTTTTGGTCCACAGAATGTCCAATTCTGGTTGGCCCCCACTTTACTATGTTGTAGCTCCTGCATCTGAATCATGGGGCCTTGAAGACATCATGACAAAGGGACGAGAGAGAGCTAGAAGGCATCAAGAGTGGTTTATGAAAGCCAGGGTTTGAAGTGGCTTTAGTCCCTCTTACTCATCTTTTCCTGGCCAGAACTCAGCCATTTGGCCACAATCCAACTCCTCATCCTGAAAGAGGAAATAATATGGGGATGGCCTGCATTGCTCTAGCCACAGAGTTCTATCTCCTGGATAGCTACTCTTATACAGTGTGAGACCCTGGGGTACCTGGTGGTCAGTTTTCCACAAATATGGAAAGACTCTGACTAGGAATGAAGCCATCACAGAAGGAAACAAAGCAGAGACAGGGAGCTTTTGTTCTTCACATTGTTGTAGTCTATGAATCTTACCATGACTGTGAGCTAATAAATAACTCCTACCTCTTTTTTGCTCTTTAATTCAGTTTGACTTGCATTTATGAGTCTTCTAACCAATAGTCATAACTAACTCAGAGTCTTTAAAAACCCCATGCTTGCTGAAGGTAGCTTAATTAATTAATAATTCAACTGATTATTAATTGGCAAATACTATGGGTATCTACTGTGCTGTGCTTAGTAAACTTTCACTCTTCTATCAAATTTTGTCTGAGTATTACCTCCAACATGAAGTCTTTCCATTACATTCCGGGCCTGGTTTTGTCAATTCTCAGGGTTCTGATAAATATTAGAAACATACGGAAACTGTGAGAGGCAGAGCTTATGTCTAAGATTAAATCCAGATACTATTTATAGTTGTGTGACCTTAGGTATGTAATTTAACCCCTGTATGTCTCAGTTTTATTAACCATAGAAATAATATAATGTTATTATGAGTATTAAATAAGCTAATACATATAAAGCACTTAGAATAGTGCCTGGAAGGTTTTATTCCATACATATTAGCAATTATTATTAATAATAGACTATAAACTCTTCATGGTCAGGATAGTGACAATTTGCTGATTTCTTCTGTTTAATACTTAGATTACCACCTGGCCCAAGAGGATTCTCAATCTATATGACTTGAAGGAATAGCCACAACAATGGAAATAATAATGATATAAACTGATTGCAAAAAAATGACTTTAATACTCTACCATTTCTTTATCCCTTGCTATGTGGCTTCATTATCTCCCTCCAAGAAATTGTGTCTATTTCCTCTTCTCTTAAATCTAGGAGGCCAAGGTGGGTGGATCACCTAAGGTCAGGAGATCAAGACCAGCCTGATCAACATGGTGAAACCCCATCTCTACTAAAAATACAAAAATTAGCCAGGCATGGTGGTGCACAACTGTAATCCCAGCTACTCAGGAGGCTGAGGCAGGAGAATCACTTGAACCCAGGAGGCGGGGGTTGCAGTGAGCCACGATGGCACCACTGCACGCCAGCATGGGCGACAGAGCATCTCAAAAAACAAAAACAAAAACAAAAAAAAACTGGGATGGTCTTGTGACTGCTTTAGCTAATAGAATATGGCATAAATAACATTATACTGGTTTTAAGTCCACGTGCGAAGACGCCTTGCCTTGTTTATTCTCTTCCTTACTCTCCTGCATTTGCCATCTTCCACGCTCATGCTGGAAGATGAGATACCACCTGGAGAAAGAGCCAAGCCGCCCTACAAGGGAAGCCACAGCTGGATGCAGACATATGAGTGCTCCTGGCCAAGACCTGAAGAACCGCCTCGCCTGGCTGACCCCAGCCTAAATTGCCTTCCCTTAGAATCACAAACCAAATATGTGACTGCCATTTTAAGGCACTTAACTTTGGAATGGTTTTGCATAGCAATAACTAACTGATACAGATAGGAATGATAACATCTATCGAGCACATACGTTATGCTAAAATTCACTCTAAGTTCTTTCCACGTTTTAGCCTATTCAATAAATGAATAGAATACATAGAATTTTAAGCTGATTAACACAACAGCTGTAACAAAATTCCAAATTTCTCAATGTTTTAACATAAATGCATTTATTTCTTATTTCTATGAGGGACTAAGTGGTTGAAAAATTATCTTGGGCAGCTCTTCTCTAATCAATAACTCAAGCATTGGGGTCTTTTCAATGACATCTTCAACAGGCAGCTTTCAAGGTCACTGTGAAAAAGGAAGAAGCAGGATATCATACAAGGAGAATTTTGTTGGGCCAGGTCATAAGAGAGTTTTTACATGTATTCCATTGGCCAAGCCTAGTCATGTGGCTCCAATTAGCTGCAAGGGGGCTGTGTTACAAGGGAAAATGAAACATCTTTGCCACATAGAAACCCTACCCTCAAAACATTTAGAATCCATTTGGAAGTGTCAAAATGTATAAAGTCTGTTGTAATTTGAAACAGTTTTATGAAGGAAATAAAACTTCAGATGGGCCTTGAAGATGAAGTGTAGGAAGGAAAAAAAAAAACAAAAAACAAAAACAAGAAAAAACAGTGACTGGCTTGCATTAGCAAAGATGCGGAAGAAAGCTGACTAGGATGCTGTCTTCCTAGAAAGCTGAGTCCTCCAACCATGCTTCAATTCCCTCGTTCAGGGATCCCATCTCTAGCCATCTGGATCTGATCTTCATTATATGTATCCAAGCTTCCCATCTTAATTGTTCTTTCAGTTAAAAGACTAGCTTTATTTCTTCTTTCTCAGACTGTAGATCCACTTATTCCCTGTGTTGACTTGGGTTTTCCCCCTTGCTGTGGAAATTTCTCAGGTGGGTAAAACCCATTTGAGACCTGATTTTAGTGTCCTCTGGACTGGCATTCTGCCCTCAAGGATTCTGTCCCGACCCAGCATCATAATTCTCCTTGTCACTGTGTAGGGCCCAGCAGAGCAGGTGGATAATGAGACACAGAAGGCAGGTTGCAGGGAAGTATAGGCTACAGATGACATTTTGAATGTGAACCTCACAAACTCTAGTAATTTTGATTGTATCACAAATAGCATTTGTATTACACAATGTTCTTTCTTAGTTTGTTTCCAAAATTGTGTTATCTAGAGAATTAGAAATACTTAGAAGTGGCCAGGTGCAGTGGCTCATGCCTGTAATCCCAGCACTTTGGGAGGCCGAGGTGAGTGGATCACTTGAGGTTAGGAGTTTGAGACCAGCCTGACCAACATGGTGAAACCCTGTCTCTACTGAAAATACAAAAATTAGCTGGACTTGGTGGGGCATGCTTGTAATCGCAGCTACTTGGGAGACTGAGGCAAGAGAATTGCTTGAACCCGGGAGGTGGAGGTTGCAGTGAGCCAAGATTGCGCCACTGCACTCCAGCCTGCTGGGCGACAGAGCAAGACTTTGTCTCAAAAAAAAAAAAAAAAAAAAAAAAGAAATACTTAGAAGTGCCTCGGAGTGTGATCATTGGTTGTCTAGTGTGAGTAACAAATTACTACAAATTAAGCAGCTTCAAGCAACACTCATGTATATGTCCTAGTGTCTGACTCAGGTGTCCAAGCATAGCTGGGCCCTCTGCTGAGGGTCTCATAAAGCTGCACCCAGGTGTTCACCATAGCAGGATTCTCATCAGACCCTTTACTGGGGAGGATCTTACTTCCAAGATCTCCTAAATGGTTGATAGAATTCACTTCCTTGAGGCTGTAGAATCCATGTAAGTTTGCTTCTTCAAAGTCAGAAGCAGATAGAGAAGGAAGGAGGAAGACAGAAAGAATCTGCTAAAACAATAGAACCATTCAACTGGCCACAATCACAGGAGTAACATCCCATCACTTTTGCCATATTCCATTAGTTGGTTGCAAGTCATAGGCCATGCCCATACCCAACAGGAGGTGAGGATGAAGAGGGGCCACCTGAGGGTGTGACCTAACAATCTCCCTCCAAGGGTCAAATTGTGCCCCTGGGCACTGACCCTCACTAACAAAAAAGTCTCAGAGTTTGTGATGATCTTTGACATTTGTGACTTCTACAAGATTCCACGATCTCTCCTGAAATTTGGTAGCCAGTCCCACTTTACTCACCAGATCCACCACAACATATTTGGGGCTAAGCAGTGATAGCAGATGCTTACAAGTAAAGAAACTCATTACAGGAGTACTTATGGGCCTGGCCTCAAGCGGACCAAGTCTGAGCTGCATTCAGCCCCAGCTAGAGTCCACTTCTGCTCTTTCCATAGCATAGTCATTACTTGGGTCAATACAGAGCTTTCTTTTGCTTCCATCTGATGTGCCTCTGTAGAACAAACTGGTTTAAAAATTTGGGTCCATGATGGTAATTCTTTATCTGAGATGAAAGATGCAAAATTATCAAATGCAAAGAGCATGAGAGTGAAACTTATGCTTCTTCTATAGCAGGATGTCTTATCCAAAATAAGTTTCACTTCAGCCCCAGAATCATTGCTTCTGTTAAGTTGTCAGGAACAAGTCTAGCTGGAAAAAGGATGACAAGGAGGAGCAGGAGGAGGAGGAAGAACAAGAATTAGGCTCATCACAGATATATATAAGGAGCATAGATGGGCAAAGAGAAAGGAGGAGTGGTTCTTGGAGACCCGCTGTTGACTTCCCAGGAAAGCTCTCAGACTATGGCCATGCAGGTAGATACCAAGCTCACTTACCTTCAGTTGTACTCACTCAAATCTTTCCTAAGTTACCCTGATCAGACAGCTTGCAGCCAGATCATGAGGTACATGTAGGACATGGCATGAAGTTTTAGTTTCATTCTGAACCAAGGAAAGCCACTGAGGAATTCTGAGCTGCAGAAAGTCACTTTGACTGATTTATGGAAAGTGGATTGAAGGGGAATAATTGAGGAAGCATTTTGGAAACCAGTGAGGAGGCCATAGCCATTGTTCCCATGAGAGCTCCCAGCCAGAACTGTGGGGAGACACTTTAGATGTAGCCATGGGACATAGGTGACTCAGACTGCTAGTCGCCAGGGCAGGCTATACCAGAAGTAGAGACACTCCCCAGACTTCATGAATGGATCCCTCTTCCTCCTGATTAGCTTTAGGCAATATTTCTTCTGTGAAAATAATTTCTGGAGAATGATTTTCCTTCTTCAAACACACAAAGATGTGTGAAAAAGCAAAACTAGATATATTAATGGCTCAAAATAATAAGAGAGGAGTTAAAAAAAAAACTTTACACTATAAAAACAGTTTCCTAAAGTTAAAGACAAAAATGCCATTTGGGTTTCACAAATATGTTTTGGATCATGTAAATCATATTAACAATTAAAATTAAAGAATGAGATCTTTCATTAAGGAAGCTACATACAATGTTCAGCTGCAGATTTTATGTCTTCTCAAGCTGTAGGCAGCCATCACCTCAAACTATTTTCTGTTCTCTCCTAGATTACATGTGAGAAGGATTAGCCAGGTCAAAGTCTTGGTAAAGTAAAAGTGTAGGAAGAGGAGCCATCTCCTGAGCCTGATGCATGTCTTTTGTTGGAATATTAGGCTGCAGTAGTTTAACGGCACATATTAGGGACCATATTATCTTCTTTTTTCTTATTGTTAGAAAATTGGTAGGTGCCCATGTATGGGAAATTATGTTTCTAAGTTGTTGTTGTTTTTTTAACTCTAGTACTGCTGTAAGATTCTGCACAACTTTTTTTTCTTTTAACTTTTATTTTAGGTTCAGGGGTACATGCACAGCTTTGTTATATAGGTGAATTGTTGTCATGGAGGTTTGGTGTAAAGATCACCCAGGTACTAAGCATAGTACCTGACAGGTAGTTTTACTGATTCTCTCCCTCCTGCCACCCGCCACCCTCATGTCGGCCCCTGTGTCTATTGTTCTTTTCTTTGTGTCCATATGTTCTCATTATATTGCTCCCATTTATAAGTGAGAGCATGTGGTATTTGGTTTTGTGTTCCTATGTTAGTTTGCTTAGGATAGCGGTCTCCAGCTCCATCCATGTTGCTGCAAAGGACATGGTCCCATTATTTTTTATGGCTACATAGTATTCCATAGTGTATACGTACCACATTTTCTTTATCCAGTCTATCATTGATGGGCATTTAGGTTGATTCTATGTCTTTGCTATTGTGGATAGTCCTGCAATGAACATATGCATGCATCTTTCTTTATGGTACAATGATTTGGATTTCTTTGGGTATATCTCCAGTAATGAGATTGCTGGGTCAGATGATGATATGGTTTGGCTGTGTCCCCACCCAAATCTCATCTTGAATTCCCACGTGTCATGGGAGGGACCCGGTAGGAGGTAATGGAATCATGGGGACAGGTATTTTCTGTGCTGTTCTAGTGATAGTGAATAAGTCTTATGAGATCTGATGGTTTTAAAAACTGGAGTTTCCCTGCACAAGCTCTCTTCTCGTCTGCTGCCAGATGAGAAGTCTCTTTCACCTTCTGCCATGATTATGAGGCCTCCCCAGCCACGTGGAACTGTAAGTCCATTAAATCTCTTTCTATTGTAAATTGCCCAGTCTCGGTATGTCTTTATCAGTAGTGTGAAAACAGACTAATACAAATGGTAATTCTGTTTTTACTTCTTTGAAGAATCACCACACTGCTTTCCACAATGGCTGAAGTAATTTACATTCCCACCAGCAGTGTATAAGTGTTTCCTTTTCTCCACAACCTCGCCAGCATCTGTGGTTTTTTACATTTTAGTAATAAGCCATTCTGACTGGTGTGGGATGGCATCTCATTGTGGTTTTGATTTGAATTTTTCTAATGATTAGTGATGTTGAACATTTTTTTCATATTCTTTTTGGGTGCATGTATGTCTTCTTTTGAAAAGTATTTGCTCATGTCCTTTGCCTGCTTTGTAATGGAGATGTTTGGTTTTTGTTCTTGTAAATTTGTTAAAGATTCTTATAGATTCTGGATATTAGAACTTCTTCAGAAGCATAGTTGGCTAATATTTTCTCTCATTCTGTAGGTTGTCTGTTTACTCTATTGATGATTACTTTTGTTGTGCAAAAGTTCTTTAGTTTAATTTGATCCTATTTATCAATTTTTGCTTTTGTTGCAATTGCTTTTGACATCTTTGCCATGAAATCTTTGCCAGTTCCTATGTCTAGAATGGTATTTCCTGGATTATCTTCCAGAATTTTTATAGTTTTAGGTTTTACATTTAAGTCTTTAATCCATTTTGAGTTGATTTTTGTATATGCTATGAGGAGGAGGTCCGGTTTCAATTGTCTGTAAATAACTAGCCAGTTATCCCAGCACCATTTACTGAATAGAGAGTCCCTTCCCTAATGCTTGTTTTGTCAGCTCTGTCGAAGAAACAGATGGTTGTAGGTATGCAGCTTTACTTCTGGGATCTCTATTCTGTTCCATTGGTCTATGTGTCTGTTTTTGTACCAGTACAATGCTGATTTGGTTATTGCAGCCTTGTAGTATAGTTTGAAGTCAGGTAATGCGAGGCCTCCAGGTTTGTTCTTTTGCTTAGAATTGCCTCGGCTATTTGAGCTCTTTTTTGGTTCCATATGAATTTTAAAATAGTTTTTTTTTAGTTCTGTGAAGAATGTCATTGGTAGTTTGATAGGAATAACATTGAATCTGTAAATTACTTTAGGTAGTATGGCCATTTTAATGATATTGGATTCCTCCTATTCCTAAGCATGTAATTTTTTTTATTTGTTTGTGTCAACTCTGATTTCTTTGAGCAGTGTTTTGTAATTCTCATTGTAGAGATCTTTCACATCCCTGGTTAGATGTATTCCTAGGTATTTTCTTTTTGTGGCAATTATAAATGGGATTGTATTCTTGATTTGGTTCTAAGCTTGGATGTCATTGGTGTACAGGAATGCAACTGATTTTGTACATGTAATTTGGATCCTAAAACTTTGTTGAAGTTGTTTATCAGCTCAAGTAGCTTTTGGACAGAGGCTATGGAGCTTTCTAAATATAGAATTATGTCATCTGTAAGCAGGGGTAGTTTCACTTCGTCTTTTTCTATTTGGATGCCTTTTATTTCTTTCTATTGCCTGGTTGATTAGGCCCAGACTTCCAATACTTTGTTGAATAGGAGTGATCAGAGAAGGCATCCTTGCCTTATGCTTGTTTCCAAGGGGAGGGCTTCCAGCTTTTGCCCATTTGGTATGATGTTAGCTCTGGGTTTGCCATACATGTTTCTTCTTATTTTGAAGTATATTCCTTCGATGCCTAGGTTTCTGAGGGTTTTATGATGGAATGTTGAATTTCATCAAAAGCCTCTTCTACATCTATTGAGACAATCATGTGGTTTTTCTCCTGAGTTTTGTTTATGTGACAAATCACATTTATTAATTTGTATATGTTGAACCAAACTTGCATTCCAAGGATAAAGCCTACTTGATCATTATTAATTTGATTTTTAATGTGCTGCTCTATTCAGCTTGCTAGTATTTTGTTGAGGATTTTTGCATCTATGTTCATCAAGGATATTGATGTTTAGTTTTCTGTTTGTTTAATTGTGTCTGTGCTAGGTTTTGGTATCAGAATGATGCTGGCTTCATAGAATGAGTTGAGGAGTCCCTCCTCCTCAATTTTTTGGAATAGTTACAGCAGGAATGGGACCAGCTATTCTTTGTATATCTGTTAGAATTCAGCTGTGAATCCATCTGGTCCTGGGATGTTGTTTTTTGTGGGTTTTTTGCTTTGCAGGCTATTTATTACCGATTCAATTTTGAAATTCATTATTGGTCTTTTCAGGAAATCAGTTTCTTCTTGATTCAGTCTTGGGAGGATGTATATGTCCAGGAGTTTATCTGTTTCTTCTACATTTTCTAATTTGTTTGCATAATGGTGTTTGTAGTAGTCTCTGATGGGTATAGGTATTTCTGTAGGGTCTATGGTAATGTCCTCTTTGTCATTTTTAATTGTGTTTATTTGGATGGTCTCTCTTTTCTTATTAGTCTAGCTAGCAGTCTATCTATATTATTAATTTTTTCAAATAGCCAATTCCTGGATTCATTAATCTTTTCCATGGTTTCTAATGTCTCAGTCTCCTTCAGTTCAGCTCTGATTTTGATTATTTCTTATCTTCTGGGAGCTCTGGGGTTGGTTTGCTCTTGCTTCTCTAGTTCTTCTAGTTGTGATGTTAGGTTGTTAATTTGAGATCTTTCTAACTTTTAGATGTGGGGGTTTACAGCTGTAAATTTCTTTCTTAACACTGCCTTAGCTGTTTCTCAGAGATTCTGATATATCTTTGTTCTCATTAGTTTCAAAGAACTCAACTTCTGCCTTAATTTTATTATTTACTCCAATGTCAATCAAGTGCAGGTCATCTAATGAAATTGTATCGTTCTGAGTGATTTCCTTCATATTGAATTCTATTTTTATTTCACTGTAGTCTGAGCATGTGGTTGATAAGATTTTGTTTTTTCTTAATTTTCTGAGGATTGTTTTGTGTTCAATTGTGTGATTGATTTTAGAGTATATGCTATGTGGCAATGAGAAGAATGTATATTCTGTTGTTTTGGGCTGGAGAATTCTGCAGATGTCTATTATGTCCATTTGATCCACTGTTGAGTTCAGGTCCTGAATATCTTCATTAATTTTCTGCCTTGATAATATAATACTGATAGTCGTGTGTTGAAATCACCCACTATTATTTTGTGGGAATCTAAGTTTGTTTATAGAACTCTAATAACTCAGTTTATGAATCTGGGTACTCCTGTGTTGGGTGCATATTTATTTAGTACAGTTAGGTCTTCTTGTCGAATTGAACTCTTTACCATTATGTAATGCCTTTCTTCATTTTTTTTATATTTGTTGATTTAAAGTCTGTTTTATCTGAAATTAGGACTGCAACCCCTGCTTTTTTTCTGTTTTCCATTTGCTTGGTAGATTTTTCTTCATCCTTTTATTTTAAGCCCGTGGATGTTATTGCATATGTGATGGGTCTTTTGAAGATAGTCTTGCTTTTTTATCCAGCGTGCCACTCTGTGCCTTTTAAATGGGGGTATTTGGCCTGTTTACATTCAAGGTTAGTATTGATATGTGTGAATTTGGTCCTGTCATCATATTGTTAGCTGGTTATTATGCAGATTTGTTTGCGTGGTTGCTTTATAGTGTCATTGGTCTGTGTCCTTGCATGTGTTTTCATAGTGACTGCTAAGAGTCTTTTCTTATTTAGTGCTTTTTTCAGGAGCTCTTGTAAGGCAGGTCTGGTGGCAACAAGTCCCCTCAGCATTTGCTTGTCTGAAAAAGATGGTATTTTGAATTCTGGACTATTTTTAAAGTGTCTTTTCAGTTACATTTATCATAAGATGAAAAGACAAAGCTTCAGAATTTTTCTTTAGGTTCTTTATCATTCTTGCTAAGTGATTGGGTATTCTTTTTGTACATGACTTCAACTCTGAAACAACTTGAACAATGCCTAGGAAAATATTTGGTGTTTTGGTGGAGAAAGGCCTCACCATAGTCTCTTCCTAGGGGCCCTAATGTGTCTGTCTTCAGAGTCAATGCAGTTAACTGTGAACATTCATTTCATAAACATCAAACTATGACCATGTTCCAGGCACCATGCTTGATGCCAGGCATGAAGTGAACAAAAGAGACTCAGTTTTGGGTAAGTAAAATGAAACCTTAGGAAGAATGCATTCTTTCTTAAGGAGAAGAAGGGAGTAACAAATGTATGTATAATTGTACAATAATGTGGTTAGTACAACAATAAAACTCTGGACAAAGTTTCAGGAAAGCACAGAGGAGGAAGAAACTGATTCTGCCTGGGAGAATCAGAAAAGGGGTGTGAGAGGAGGTCATGTGTGCATTGATTCTTTAAGAAGAAGAAAGAGCATTTCAGGTTGGGGGATAACCAGGTGGGAAAGACCTGTTTTTTGTTGGACTTATGTATCATCCAGACATGGTTTACAGAGAGTAGGAAGTACTTTTATTTCTTTTAGCAAGTGAAGAGAAGTTAATCCGTCAGCAAGGACTTCCACTTATATTATTGGTGGAAACAACACACTTCTCTATCAAGCCAGAAGGTAGCCATATCCATCACCCCATTACATCTGTCACTATCTACAAAGCCTTCTAGGTTTTGCCTCCATGAGACTTTCCATGAGCCAAGGAATGAAAGAAAATTATTTCTCAGCCCCAGAGCTTTCAGAATTACTACATATTAGAAGCATGGTATCTCCATTTGACATACCTTCACAGCCATTGTATCAACTAACATAACATAGTGCACTTAAAAAACATTGTTCGGATGACAATGAGGTTACTGACCCTGTGCTAAGCTATGTGCTATTTGCTTTACATGAACTCTTACTTATTCCTCATACAACCCTGCAAGGATTATCATCAACCTTGTTTTACACATTAGGGAACTAAAACTCAGGAGACTATTTGCCTAGAGCACAATTTGCCCTAAAACACACAGCTGAGTGACTGAAAAAGCTAAGATTAAAACTCAGATTGTTCAACTTTAAATCTCAAGGAGTTAATAACTATAAATAACTATACCACACTAGATGGATGAATCCATCTGTCATCTTTCATCTCTGGAAACTTGACTTAGAGGACTGACAACATTCTCATTTGGGCACTGGGTGAAAATTTAAAGCAGGCATATGAAAGGACTAAATATAGATTATAGTTCCTGATTTAGAGCAACTTTTGCTTTTCTGTAGTTTCTAGAGTATGGTGAGAGTAGTAGAGTTGGTCAGGGTAGCATATTAGTATCTCCTGGGGTGTAGGTATGTGGAACTGAAAAAAATGTAATAAGTGGAGGTGATAGGCCCTTGCCCTCTGCCATAGATGATGCTACTAATCTGAGGTTAGGGTCTTAGAAACATATGGAAACTGTGAGAGGCAGAACAATGGCCCCTAAAGATATCCACACACTAATCCTCAAGACCTGTGAATATGTTATCTAAAATGCCAAAAAAAGAATTTGCAGAATGATTATAATTTAGAAAGCTTGAGATGGAGAGAGTAGCCTAGATTATCCAGGTGGGCCCAATCTAATCATGCAAGTCATCAAAAGAGGAGAACCTTTCCCAGCTGCAGTCAGATTTTAAAGTGGAAAGCAGAAAAGCGAGTCTGAAGATGGCAACATGAAAAGGATTTCACATCTCTTTGCTGGGTCTGAGATGTAAGGGATTATATACAAAGACCAGAGGGAAGCAAGCCTCTAGGAGCTAATGTCAGTGTCCAACTGACAGCCAGCAAGGAAATAGAGATCTCAGGCCTATAACTGCACAGAACACCTGATTCTTGCCAACACCTGAGTGAGCAAGGAAATGGATTTTCCCTGGAGCTTATAGAATGGAAATCAGCCCTACCAACACCTTGATCTTAGCAAGGTGAGAGCTCTGACTTTTGGTTTCCAGAACTTCCAGATGATAAATTTGTGTTGTTTTAAGCCACTATTTGTGTAAACTTTTGATTGCAGCATAAAAAACTAATATAGAAAGAATTTATAAAATCATTTCGTCTATACCAGGGGTGTCCAAACTTTTGGCTTCCCTGGGTCACATTGGAAGAATTGTCTTGGGTCACACATAAAATACACTAACACTAATGATAGCTGATGAGCTTTAAAAAAAAATCACCAAAAAAATCTCATAATGTTTTAAGAAAGTTTACAAATCTGTGTTGGGCCAAATTCAAAGCCGTCCTAGCCTGCATGCAGCCCATGGGCCTCAGGTTAGACAAGCTTTGTCTATACATTCATTTTATTGATAAAAAGTAGTGTGGCCAAAGAAGTTGAATTGCTTGTTTAAGGTCTCAGTCTCATCCTGAATAGTGGTAGTGCCTGAAGTAGAGACTACAATGAGGATAAACACAAAATGATTTGCAAAAATTAGGTATTAACACAGTTTCTTATAAAATCAGAAAAGTAAGTAAGTATATTTGAGATTCATAATGAAGAGATGCAACTGGCTAGCCCAGTGGTTCTTTTAAAAATGGGCCACATATTCCTATCGTTTGAAAAATGTTAATAACGGGCAAGGTTAAGGACTAAAGTAGAAAATTTTTTATTTTATTTGTTTGTGGTAGAATCATGACATCAGTGTTGTACTTTACAGGTTCCTGGGGTGATTTAATGTGTAAGCAGAATGAAGAAACACTGTCCTGACAAGTGTTCAGCTTGCTAAGCTTCCTTATGTTATCTATGATGTATTTATCTATATTCACTTACACTGGTCCTAGGACAACACTAAGAAACCCATTGTGTTATGCCTCATAGCTCTCATTTGATAATGATAGGCATATCTGCACTACCTCATCATTAATAAGCCCTATTTCTTTGATTACTCCTTATTCAACAGTTTCTATAATAATATAGTACTTATCTATTGCTGTATAAAAATCACTTCAAAATTTGCCATTCTAAAACAACATTTATTATTTCATAGTTTCTGTGAGCCAAGTATCTGGATGCAGCTTAGCTGGGTGCTTCTGGTTCATGGTCTCTAACAAGCAATCAAGGCACTGACCAGTGCTGCGAGTCATCTCTAGGCTCAACTGCCTGAGGATCCTATTCCAAGTTCATTCTCATGTCGTTGGCAGCCTCAGGTCCATGCTGGTTGTTGGCCAGAGACATATGATTCTCTCCACATGATCCTTTCCAGAAGGGTACTGACAATACGGCAGCTTGCTTCCCAGAGAAAGGGCTTTGAGATACAGAGAGAATGAGAGAGTGAGACAGCAGAGGGAAACGGGGAGAGGGGAGGGAGGTGTCCATCAAAACAGAAGTCACAGTCTTTTTGGAACTGAATTTAAGAAATATTACCCCATCATTTTTGTCATATTTTATTAGTTAGAATTGAGTCAATTAGTCCACTTTACACCCAAGGGTAGGTAAGTACACAAAGGTATGAATGCTAGGAGGTGAGCTCACTGGGGGCTATTTTAGGAGCTGTCTACTACAGTCCACTCTGGTTCCACTCACATCTTTCCCATAGTAAAATATACTCATTCCCTCTCAAGGTTCTCAGAACTTACCCCTGCACAAAACCCAGAATTTCATAATCTAAATAAGGTCAGATATGGATGAGGCTCCTCAGGTGAAGCTAAGAATTGCAGCTCCTCAAGAACAGTTCCTGCAGACTTGTGAAAATAAAGAGGTTATCTGTCCCCTAAACAGTCAACATACAGTGATGGGACAGTCAAAGCATTTCTGCTGTAGAAATCCTACACAAAAAGAAGGAAAATGAAAGTCAAAAAAAGAGTCACTGGTCCATAGCAATTATGAAATGGTCAGATCTTGAAACTTCCTTAATTAGGTTTTAGGGTTGAGAATAATTCCCCATGACTTTGGCTCTTCTCTCTGTGCTCCTGATTTCATCCTTTGAGTTATTTTTCCTTTCATTTCAGCTGAATAGTTTTCTCAGTTTATTTCCTGCCTATAGAGTTTTGGTGATCTAATGCCCTCTTTGCATTTTGAACTCTTTCTCTTCCAGTCCAAATGGGCATTCTTCCTGCTGATACAAGTCTCTCAAAAACTTTGTGTGACTCCTGTGAATCTCAGTGGAGTTCATGCCATTAAGTAAAAGCCACACCCACAAATCTCTTAAAGGAAAATCCTTAGGTTTCTTAGGATTCCTACGGTTTTATTGAGAGCCTCTGTGAAGTACATTCTTAATCTTTTTAATGGACCTTTTAAAGGCTGAATAGTACTCTGAAGAACCACCTTTGATCTTTGAGATGTAAAACATAAGGTTCCTGGCTTCATCTCTAGAACATATTTTTCTGGAAGTGCCCTGAATTGATCTTTGCTTCAAAGCTATTTCTTTTTTTTTTTTTTTTTTTTTTCTTTTTTTGAGACAGAGTCTCGCTGTGTCACCCAGGCTGGAGTCCAGTGGCCAATCTCGGCTCACTGCAAGCTCCGCCTCCCAGGTTCACGCCATTCTCCTGCCTCAGCCTCCCGAGTAGCTGGGACTACAGGCGCCTGCCACCATGCCTGGCTAATTTTTTGTATTTTTAGTAGAGACAGGGTTTCACCGTGTCAGCCAGGATGGTCTTGATCTCCTGACCTCCTGATCCACCTGCCTTGGCCTCCCAAAGTGCGGGGATTACAGGCATGAGCCACCGTGCCCGGCCGCTTCAAAGCTATTTCTTAATCTTAGCATCATTTGCTATCTGGAAAGGCTAGGAATTTTCAAAAACATGAAATTCTGGCTCTCTTTTGTTTGACAATACTTTCCTCAATTTTTTTTCCTCTCTTCTTTCACATTTTATTATAAGCAGAAGTATAAAGCAGGTAATACATTTAATGCTTTGGAAATCTCCTTAGCAAGACAACTCAGTTAATTAGGGTCATTTTCTAATTTCCATGTTACTGCAGGGAAGAGTGTTGCTAAGTTTTCTGCCATTACATAATAAGGGTCACCCACCTTTCCTCTAGTTTCCAATAACATGTTTTTCATAACCCTTTTAGGCAGAAATCATGATTTCCATTAACAGTTTAATCAAGCAACTTAAGCTTTCTCTAACATACTCCTCAAAATCGGTCCAGCCTCCTCCACTGCCCAGTTGCAATGCCACACATGTACTTTTTCTTATTTGTAATGACATCACCCCATTTCCAGGTATAAAAATCTGTTTTAATTATTTATTTTGTGTAACAAATTATCCCCAAACACAGTAACTTAAAACAACAAACAATTATTATCTCACAATCTCTAAGATTCAGGAATATATAAATGTTTAAAGCAACCCTCAAAGCATAGATTTTAAAAACTTTCCACGATGGTCTTTAGATAGAGGAACTGGGTGACTTGGGGAAAGAGCAGAGGGAAAAATAGTTTTTGCCATATATTCTTTTAAATTTTGTGTCATATATGTGTATTACCTATTAAAATATAATAACAATTAAGATGAAATATAATAATAAAGATGATCTCAGTTTATAACATGCCAGTGAGAAAAAGAGAATCCTTCAGGGTAAAAGTGATTAAAGGGAAAATATGAAGAGATGGATCTAAAAATATGGAAGCTGTAGGGCAAGTTGCCTTTCTAATGGTCAAACAGGTAAAACAGGTGAGTCTCACCTTCTAAGGTCAAGAGATTCTGAAACATCCAGACAGTGGCTGAGCGAGATGGAATATATTTTGTGGAAAATTTTTTATTTGGTTCTGGAAGAACTGGAGAGCATAACTCATGGAAGCTTGTAGTGGTAGTGCAGTGGGCTTTGGTGTCACATGCACCTGGATGCAAATTCCATTTCTACCATTTTGATGCATTATCATGAAAAATCATTTGAATTATTTACAAATGTCTTGAACTCAGTTAGAGATAATCATAATGTTGCCATTGTGAGAGTTAAGGAAAAATCTATAATGATCTAACAAAGTCTGGCACAGAATAAACTATTAATTGAAGATAGTACCTATGATTATTAATAATTATGATGATATCACAATACTCTTTCTATACAACAGAATCAATCAACATGTCTATGCTAGTTTACCAGGACTATCAGGGCCTCTTAGAAATACCAGATTTGCCAAAACCTGGTTTAAAATGACAACAAATTATAAACCCTGAAAAGTTCATTCCTATAGCGCCCTTAACATAATGCTAGATTAAGATACAGTTTGTGGTATTGGAGGCAAAAATATTAATTTTTGGATTCTCTTGAATGTCATGCCATACTCCCTCCTAGTTGAACTTCCTTCTTTGCCTTCCTTATGTCTGCACTCAAATTGTTGAGCATTGCTGAGGAAAATGACCCAGTAAGGCAGCTTAGAAACATTGTAAATGTATGATCAATGAGCCTTCAACATGCCATCAAAAGGCCCAGCCACTTAAACCTAGTTTTCTATTTAGAACTCCCACCTACCACCATATTTGTACATTTCATCCTCCTTTCCATCTCTCTTCCCATTTCATCCCCTATTTCATTCTATCCCCCATCCCACCCATTATATGGAGGAGCTGTTCCCATTATGAAATACATATTCTCCTACCTGTACTCTGAATCCTATAACTGCTTGCCTTATTAAAGCCTTAACCTATTAATAATGCCCTCACCTATATCTTTAATTTCTTTCTCTACCTCACATTTCCCATGAGCTTTCAAACATGCTAAAATCGCTTCCATATTTAAAATTTAAAAATTAAAATAACTTAGTTGAATCACATATTCTCCTCCAGCTACTGCTCTGTCTTCTTTTCTTCAAACCAATCATCTCAAATGAGGACCCAATCTGGACCTCTTTACCATCTTAGGTAATGGTATTGCCATTCAGTTGAGCAAATTAAAAACCTTACCATCTCCACTTCTTAATCGCTCCAGCATGTCTTCAACATGCTCTGTTTCATCAAAACTGCTCTCACTAAGACCAACAATGACCTTCCCTTGCATTTTGTGGGCACTTCTAAGACCTCATTTTACTTGGCCTCTCAGTAACATTTGATACTGTTGAAAACACCCTCCTTCCTGCAATTCTCATCCCCCTTGACTTCTCTTTTCCCACTCTCTCACGGTTTTTCTTCTACCTTGCTGGCCACTCCTTCTAAATCTTCTTTTTTAGCTCTTACTTTCTATCTGGCTTTAAATATTTTAAAAATATGAAGGCTTAAATGTAGACCCTGTTTTTGGTTTACATTTTCCCATAGGTAATTTTATCTTCATAATGGGACTCCTAGACATATTCCCAGCTAAAAAACCCTCTTCTGAGTTCCAGATACACAGGTTCCCCACATATTTCTTCTTCAATGTTTAAAATTCATATCAAATCCAATAAATTTCAGTAAACTCATGGTCATTTCTCCCCAAACATGTTTTCTCAGTCTGTCCAGGCTGCTATAACAAATAAATAAACTGGATACCTTATAAATAACAGAATTTTATTTCTTACAGTTCTGGAGGCTGAGAAGTCTAAGACCACGGTGCTGGCAGGTTTGATGTCTGGTGAGGGTCCCCATGCTGGTTCACAGAAGATGCTTTCTTGCTTTTTCCTCACATGGTAGAAGGGGAAAAGGCAGCACTCTTGGGTCTCATTTAAAAGGGCACTAATTGCATTCATGAGGTCTCGTCTACCATAATCTAAACACCTCCCAAAGGCCCTATCTCCTAATATGATCACATTGGTGATTAGGTTTTCAACATATGAATTTTGGAGGGACACAAACATTCAGTCTATGGCACAGGTCCTCTCCCATATCTTGAGGAATGGCACTGCAATCTAGAAATCCAGATGTCACCATTGACCCTTATCTCTTCCTTACCACCTATATCTACTCCAGCACTGAATAGACATTTTACCACTTAAATATCACTTGTTTGTGATTTTCAGGTACATTACTCAGTACAGATTTTAGTAATAATATTTCATATTTCCAAATCCCACCTAAATCAGTTAATCTGTGGAGATCCCCTTAAAGCTCCAAGATGACTCTGGCCCTTTTGGAATTAGTTTATGATATGAGAAGTCATTTTATGGTTTATAGTTGAACAAATTCAGTTAACTCTAAAGGATTCTTTTAGTTCTTCACTGGCCAGAGTTAATTTCCACAATTGTAGTTTCAAGTAAAATTTTTGTTTTTATTGCTTTTTACATTTTTTAGCTTAAGTTTTTGAGTCATACACTGTCAACCTAAAACAAACTCATTTTTTCCCTTAATCTCCCCTTGGAAATAAAATATATTCCTCTCCATACTTCCCTTAGCCTACAGTGAAAAGTCCAAAAAATTGTGAAACAGGACTACTACCTTGCTCCTGTAGAGCTGTTCCACATTAAGTTGACAAATCTTGCAGGCAGAGGTCATTTGTCAAAAAAAATACTATATTTATTTGAGTTGAACTCACTTTAGGTGCATGGTGTGCTGGGTTGATTATCCAGCTCTTCTTAAATATTTTATCAAACTCTTAAATTGTTTGAAAAATAAAAAATAAAACCTCATAATAAAATTTTAAAATGTTCTTGTATCTCAAACTGTGCATTAGAGAAAACACAATTATAGCTCTTCACCATATTATATACCTCCATTATGCTAAATTCAGTAGTCAAGTGGTTGCAAGTGTATTTCAAAATAAACACAAATAATAGTGTGAAAGACAGAGAGCTGCTCTACTTTCTTTTTTTTTTTCTTTTTTTTTTTTTTGAGACATAGTCTCACTCTGTCACCCAGTCAGGAGTGCAGTGGTGTGATCTCACTCAGCTCACTGCAACCTCTGCCTCCTGGGTTCAAGTGATTCTCCTGCCTGAGCATCCCAAGTAGCTGGATTTACAGGTGCCCGCCACTATGCCCAGCTAATTTTTGTATTTAGTACAGATGGAGTTTCACTATGTTGGCCAGGCTGGTCTCAAACTCCTGACCTCAGGTGATATGCCCACCTCGGCTTTATTATTTATCTTTTTCTTGAGGTCCTAACCAAACTCCAGTATATGAGAAATCATCATCTTATAAATTGCTCTAGTGTTCAAAGGAAAATATAGTATCAGCTATATTTGGAGTTTGGTGGCATGATCATGACCCACTGCAGCCTCAATTTCCTGGGCCCAGGCGATCATCCCACTTCAGCCTCACAAGTAGCTGGGATCACAGGCACATGCCACCACACTGGCTAATTTTGTTTATTTTTTGTAGAGACAAAGTCTCACTATGTTGCCCAGGCTGGTCTCAAATCCATAGGCTCAAGAAATCCTCCTGCGTTGGCCTCCCAAAGTGCTGGAATTACAGGCATGAACTGCTGCATGCGGCTAGTATCTGCTGTTTACAAAACCTTAGGGACTCTCTTAGAACTCAGGAAAAGTAACATGCCCTGTATATAGATATTTAAACAATATGGATCAATGACCTAAATGTAGGAGCTAAAACTATAAAATTAGAAGAACATATAGGAGAAAGTCGTGACTTGGATTTGGCAAAGTATCCTTAGATATGAAATAGAAGTCATACGCAACAAAAGAAAAAATAAATGAGACTTCATCAAAATTAAAAACTTGCGTGCTGCAAAGGACACCATCAATAAAATAAAAAGGAAACCCACTAAATGGAAGAAAACATTTGCAAATTATATATCTAAGGGACTTGTATCAATACTATATTAAGCTTAATAAAATGACAGAAATGTTTATTAAGATCAATTTTTAAAATGATCTAAATATCCATTTCTCCAGGTGGCTAATAAGCACATGAGTGAAACGATGTTCAACACCCTTTGTCATCAGGGAAATGCACATCAACACCATGAGGTATCACTTCACACCCACTAGGATGGCTAGGATCAAGAAGACAGATAATAAGTGTTGGTGAGGATGTGGGAAAATTGGAAACTCAGGCATTGCTGGTGGGAATGTAAAATGGTGCAGCCACTGTGAAACAGTCTGGCCATTCATCAGTTAAACCTAGAGTTACCATCTGACCAAGTATTTTCTACTCTTAGGTGTTTTCATTTCTCTTCCAAGGAAAATAAAATGTTTTGTTTGTGTTCACACAAAAACTTGTACACAAATATGTATTGTAGCATTACTTATGATAGCCAAAAGGTGGAAACAACCCAAAAAGAAACAGAATGTGATATATTTCTACAATAAAATAGTACTCAGTTATCAAAAAGAATAAAGTACTGATACATGCTACCACTTAAATGAGACTTGAAAACATACTAAGTTAAAAAAAGTCACAAATGTGTACACATTATATGATTCAATTCATATGAGGGTCCAGAACAAGTCAATTTATAGATATAAAATGTGAATTGGTTGTTGCTTAAGGCTAAGGGTGAGGAATTAGATGGGGATTGGGAGATATAGCTAAAAGATGAGAGTTTCTTTTTGAAGTAATCAAAATGTTCTAAAATTTACTGTGATGATGGTTTCGCATATCTGTGCCTATCCTAGAAACTATTGAACTGTACACTTTAAATGGATGAATTCAATGTCATATTAATGATATATCAATAAAGCTGTTTTCTTTTTAAAGAAAATGCCTAGTTTGAAATAATAGGTGGTGAGAGGGGTGGCTCTTCATCAGCACCAGAGGGATGGGCAACTTTTTGCTCTGTGCTCACCAACGTTGTCCCAGCAAATAGGAAGGAATATGCATAGCAGTTAGTTGTGCACATTCTGGAATCAAACTGCTCAACTTTGAACACTGAAGCATTTTCTGTCATTTCCTAGCTGTGTCATCCTACACCCATCATCTCCCTTCTCTAAGTCTCAGTTTCCTCATCTTAGTAGCAATAGCACATATGGCTGAGGATGTTGTGTGGAGTAGGGGTTGATCAAGTCAGAAAATCCATGTGTCTGACAGAGCATAGGCACCCTATTGCTTATGCTCTGGGGTAGCTTAGTTGACATTCCTTTACCATCTCAAAGTATTTAGTCAGGGAGAACATCATCTTAGCCCGTAGCTGCCCAAGCCCCTCTAGCTGGAATTACTTGGGCTTTCTACCTGCCAGGATCTATCCAGGTTACTCCTCACTCAGTCCTGAACTACACAGTATTTTGTTTCAACAGTTTTAGCCCAGCAGGTCATAGAGTGTGGAATGGATCTCACAACCATAGATTTGGCATCAGGTGTGCCCACACTGAAATCTAGAATATAGACTCTAGACACCCGAGTGTCCTTTTCAACTCCAGCTTTCTGGTAGATTACTTAGTCTTTGACTATCACCCTGAACCAAGGTTACCTATTGATACTATAGCCAGATCCTGAAGTGACCTTCTTGGATGCAGCCTCAGAACTCTCCTCTGAATATTGTTCTAGTACTTACCAGCTAATCACTGGCATCTTGTTATAAGTGGACCAATTACATGGAGCCATACCCCTCTGCCCACCGAAATTAGGGTGCTCTACTTCCTAGGCTTCTGCTGCCATATTCAAATGTCTGACCATCTACTCCATTTAAAAGAAATCCTGTCTAAAATTTTACCTAAGTGGCCAAATCTTCAGACCCAAATAATTAGAATGCCAGCAGTCCATTGAGTTGGACACAGTAGAGCAGAATATTAGCTGTGTAAAGGACACAGCCTTCAGCCTGGTCAGTTTCTTTGTATGGAATCAAGCCTCTTCCCTTCTGCCATGAATCAGCACCTGAGCCTCCAGCATGCATTTTGCTGAGCCCTAGCTAGGAAGTGAATTAATAAAAGATGTTGAATATTCCCTTGATTGTAAATAGGTCTTTTGATGGTTGGAAGACTGGGGAGATTGGCAATTGTAAAATTCAACATGTGGGGCTTAACAGCTTCTCAGAATAAAGGTCACCCCCTGGGTTATTTTGTTGGTTTGCTTTCCTCCATTTTGTCTGTGCCCTAGAATCACTAGCAGTGAAATCTGAAACGTCACAATTTTACTCTGGAATTTTGAAAGCTGCCAGTACTCCAACTAAAACATACCCAGGTTTACATATTTTCTTTTTATTTTCCTCCTGTTTTCATAGAAGTTGAATAGAATTAGAAGACAAATTAGTCATCAAAACAAACTCAAATCTCGCCTGTAATCCGAGCACTTTGGGAGACCGAGGCGGGCGGATCATGAGGTCAGGAGACTGAGACCATCCTGGCTAACATGGTGAAACCCTGTCCCTACTAAAAATACAAAAAAATTAGCCGGGTGTGGTGGTGGGCACCTGTAGTCCCAGCTACTCAGGAAGCTGAGGCAGGAGAATGGCATCAACCCAGGAGGCAGAGCTTGCAGTGAGCCAAGATCGTGCCACTGAACTCCAGCCTGGGCGACAGAGTGAGACTCTTATCTCAGGAAAAAAAAAAAAAAGACACATTACAAAGTCTTTTAAAGCATTCCCTCTGTTGTCCATTGACTCTTGGGGAAAGAAGTGCTCTAGTTTTTTTCTGCAAAACTGGGCATGTAGTTTAGCAAGATCGTTTACAAGATTCTCTCTTTCTCTCTCTCTCTTTCTCTCTCTCCCCCCACCTCCCTCCCTCTCCCTCCCTCTCCCTTTCTCTTCTTCTCCCTCCCTCTCCCTCTCTCCTCTTTCCCTCCCCATCCACCACCTTTCTTACCTTTACAAGATGAATGAGAGCTGGATTTTTTAAAATTTTCTGTGGGGTGTTGTCTAAAATCAGGACACCATGGTGACAGTTTAAAGGGGCAAAATGCTTTTTAAAGGATGACGAGAGGAAGGAATAGTTTAATGTTCTAACTTGGGAGTCATTGATACTGACTCACAGGTCACTGAGATCCTTCTCTAACAAACTGTAGAAATCAAGAAGTAGTCGTTTGTTTGTTTTTTCCCAAGATTGGCAGATTAGAGGCATTCAGCATGCCTCAGCCACTTGCAAATAGCAAGATAGTACATAAAGATCAAGTCTGTGAGCTTTAATTCAAGAAGCAAATGGTAATCCACCAGAATCTTAAAGAACAACCCAGATCCCAGAGAAGAAAACACCGGCAAACAGCCTTCATGGTAATGTCCAGCTGATAAAAGGATAGAAAAAAAAAAGAAAAAATCCTACCAGCGTGAAAATAATTACAAAAATTAGAAGTGCTAGCATCTCCAGATGAGAAGGAACCAGAGCAAGAATTCTAGCACCATGAAAAATCTGAATGTAGTGATACTATCAAATGATTACAATAGCTCTCCAGCAATGGTCCATAGCCAAAATGGAAACATGGAAATGACAGATAAAGAATGTAAAGCATGGATTGCAAGGAAGCTCATTGAGATGCAAGGCAAGGCTGAAAATCAATACACCGTTCTCCTGCCAGCATTACCGACCTGAACCCTCATGTGAAGGGTACAATCCCTAAACTGGAGTTGGGTAGTAGTGAGCTGGCACTCCCTTATGACCTCTGGCGCAATAGCCTCAGAATCAGACATGGTCCAGAACTTGAAGGACTTAGAGGAATGGCTGCATACTGACTCCTGGGACATAGTCATGGCACTGAAGCTGCTGCTAGGGGCCAGCACTGTGGCCTATGGTGTCCCCAAATCCAAGTTCACCATGGAAGGCAAACACAGCCATCTTCTTCAATTATATCGGTGGCATGCAGCAAGACACTATCCTGGCCAAAGGCTTCATTTCAGGATTCCCTGGTCTCGGTACCCCATCAACGATGACATTCTGGCCGGACCTTGAAAAATTTCCTCCCTAACAGGCTCAAAAGACCTGCAGATGGTGAACATATCCCTGTACATGGTGTCTCAACCCAATGTTCAGGAGCTTCCTAGCATGCACAAGCACCTAGGGCTAGACAACAAAGAATGAGTGTTGCCATCCATTGTCAAAAGAGTACTCAAGAGTGTGGTGGCCAAGTTCAATGCCTCATAGCTGATTACCCAGTGGGCCCAGGTATCCCTGTTGATTCATTGGGAGCTGCCAGAGAGGGCCAAGGACTTCAGTCTTATCTTGGATGATGTAGCCATCACAGAGCTGAGCTTTAGCTGAGAGTACACAGCTACTGTAGAGGCCAAACAAGTGGTCCAGCAGGAGGCCCAGCAGGCCCAGTTCTTCGTAGAAAAAGCAAAACTAGAACACCAGCAAAAGATTGCCCAGGCCAAGTGTGAAGCTGAGGCTGCTAAGATGCTTGGGGAAGCACTGAGCAAGAACCCTGGCTACATCAAAATTCACAAGATTAGGCAGCCCAGAACATCTCCAAGACAATCACATCATAGAATCATATCTGTCTCACTGATGACAATCTTGTGCTGAACCTACAGGATAAGACTTTCACCTGGGGAAATAAAGGCAGCCTCATTAAGGGTAAGAAATTAGCCTGGTAACCAAGAATTTTACCCCCAGAGAGAAAGTGAATCTGCTTCTCCAGTTTTTGAGAACCCAGTTAGGAACCCAGCACAGCCCCACCCTGCCCCAGTACCATGTGAAACTTCCTTGTACCTGAAGCTATCCTCCCAACTCCTCCTGAATAAAGAAAGACTGAAGATCAGCCCTTTTTCTGTGGAATTACTTTCCTCCTCCCTGTGTTGGCCAAGGGTGTTGTGACAGTGTGTGATTCCTCAATGATTTCCTACAGTGTTGTTTCCTCCCTCAAGACTGGGAGGAGATAACCACTAACCTAGGAATTCTCAATACATTTTTATTACTTAAAAAAAAAAAAACAACACAAAAAAACTTCTAAAGCAATCCAGGAAATAGAGATAAACATCCTAAAAGAAAATCAATCAGAGTTTCTGGAATTGAAAAACTCACTTAAGGAATGTCAAAATACAATTGAAAGCTTTATCAATGGACTGGACCAAGCAGAAGAAAGAATTTCAGAGCTTGAAGACTGGTCTTTTTAACCCAATCTAACAAAAATAAAGAAAAACTGATTATAAAAATGAGCAAAGTCTTTGAGAAATATGGTATTATGTAAAGTGACCAAACCTATGAATTATTGACATTCCTGAGAAAGAAAGAGTAAAAATAAACAACCTAGAAAATGTATTTGAGAAATTAATTTAAGAAAAATTCCCTAATTGAGATCTGCTGGCAAGATGGCTGAATAGGAACAGCTCCAGTCTGCAGTTCCCAGCAAGACCAACACAGAAGGCAGGTGATTTCTGCCTTTCCAACTGAGGTAGCCTGTTCATCGCAGACTGGTTAGGCAGTAGGTACAGCCCACAGAGGGTGAGCAGAAGCAGGGTGGGGTATCACCACACTGGGGAAGTGCAGGGAACAGGGTTTAGGGGGGCCTCCTTTTCCCAGACAAGGGAAGCCATGAGGGACTGTGCTATCCAGCCCAGATACTATGCTTTTCCTAAGGTTTTTGCAATCCACAGACCAGGAAATTCCCTCACGTGTCTACATCACCAGGGCCCTGGGTTTGAAGCACAAAACTGGGTGGCTGTTTGGGCAGACACGAAGCTAGATGCAGGAGTTTTTTTTTTTTTTTTTTTTGTACCTCAGTGGCACCTGGAACCTCAGCGAGACAGAACCATTTACTCTCCCGGAAGGGGGGTTGAAGACAGAAAGCCAAGTGGTCTCACTCAGCGGGTCCCACTCCCACAGAGCTCAGCAAGCTAAGAACCACTGGCTTGAAATTCTCGCTGCCAGCCCAGCAGTCTGAAGCTGACCTAGGATGCTCGAGCTTGGTGGGGGGAGGGGCTTCTGCAATTACTGAGGCTTGAGTAGGCAGTTTTCCCCTGATAGTATTAAAAAGGCCTGGAAGTTCAGAATGGGCAGAACTCAACACAGTGCAGCAAAGCAGCTGTGGCCAGACTCCTTCTCCAGATTCCTCTTCACTGAGCAGGACATCTCTGAAAGAAAGGCAGCAGCCCCAGCCAGGGACTTACAGATAAAACTCCCACCGCACAGGGACAGAGGACCTGGGGGAAGGAGCAGCTGTGGGTGCAGTTTCAGGGACTTAAATGTTTCCGCCTGCCGGCTCTGAAGAGAACAGTGGATCCTGACAAGGAGGGTACTACCAGGACAGCACTCTAGCTCTGCTGAAGGACAGACTGCCTCCTGAAGTGGGTCCGTGACCCCTGTGCCTTCTGGCTGGGAGAGACCTCCCGAAAGGGGTTGACAGAAACCTCATACAGGAGCGCTGTGGCTGGCATCAGGCTGGTGCCCCTCTGGGACAAAGCTTCCAGAGGAAAAAGCAGGCAGCAATCTTTGCTGTTCTGCAGCCTCTGCTGGTAATACCCAGGCAGATAGGGTCTGGAGTGGACCTCCAGCAAACTACAGCAGACCTGCAGAAGAGGGGCCTGACTGTTAGAAGAAAAACTAACACAGAAAGCAATAACATCGATAAAAAGGACCCACACACAGAAACCCCATCCAAAGGCCATCAACCTCAAAGATCAAAGGTAGATAAATCCACTAATATGAGGGAAAAACCAGTGCAAAAAGGCTGAAAATGCCAAGAACCAGAATACCTCTTCTCCAAATGATTGCAACTCCACTCCAGTAAAGGCACAAAACTGGAAAGAGAATGAGTTTGACGAATTGACAGAAGTACGCTTCAGAAGGTGGGTATAACAGACTCCTCTGAGCTAAAGGAGCATGTTCTAACCCAATGCAAGGAAGCTAAGAACCTTGAAAAAAGGTTAAAGGAAATGCCAACTGGAATAACCAGTTTAGAGAAGAACATAAATGACCTGATGGAGCTGAATAAACACAGCACGAAAACTTTGTGAAGCATACACAAGTATCAGTAGCCGAATTGATCAAGCGAAAGAAAGGATACCAGAGGTTAAAGATCAACTTACTGAAATGAGGCGGGAAGACAAGATTAGAGAAAAAAGATGGAAAAGGAACGCACAAAGCCTTCAAGAAATAGAGGACTTTTCTTGCAAAAAGACCCAAACTACGATTGATTGGGGTCCCTGAAAGTGACGGGGAGAATAGAACCAAGTTGGAAAACACGCTTCAGGGTATATCCAGGAGAATTTCCCCAGCCTAGCAAGACAGGCCAACATTCAAATTCAGGAAATACAGAGAACACCACTAAGACACTCCTCTAGAAGAGCAATCCCAAGACACACGATTATCAGAATCTCCAAGGTCAAAATGAAGAAAAAAATGTTAAGGGCAGCCAGAGAGAAACATCAGATTACCTACAAAGGGAAGCCCATCAGACTAACAGCAGATCTCTCTGCAGAAACCCTGCAAGCCAGAAGAAAGTGGGGGCCAATATTCAACTTTCTTTTTTTATTATTATTACTTTTTTATACTTTAATTTCTGGAATGCACGTGTAGAACATACAGCTTTGTTACGTAGGTATACACGTGCCATGGTGGTTTGCTGCACCCATCAATCCATCATCTACATTAGGTATTTCTCCTAATGTTCTCCCTCCCCTTGCCCCCCACCCCCCGACAGACCCCAGTGTGTGATGTTTCCCTCCCTGTGCCCATATGTTCTCCTTGTTCAACTCCCACTTACGAGTGAGAACATGCAGTGTTTGGTTTTCTGTTCCTGTGTTAGTTTGCTGAGAATGATGGTTTCCAGCTTCATTCATGTCCCTGCAAAGGACATGAACTCATCATTTTTTATGGCTGCATAGTATTCCATGGTGTATACATGCCACATTTTCTTTATCCAGTCTATCATTGATGGACATTTGGGTTGATTCCAAGTCTTTGCTATTGTGAATAGTGCTGCAATAAACATACGTGTGCATGTGTCTTTATAGCAGAATAAATTGTAATCCTTTCAGTATATACCCAATAATGGGATTGCTGGGTCAAATGGTATTTCTGGTTCTAGATCCTTGAGGAATCACCACACTGTCTTCCACAATGGTGGACCTAATTTACATTCCCACCAACAGTGTAAAAGCGTTCCTATTTTTCTACATCCTCGCCAGCATCTGTTGTTTCCTGACTTTTTAATGATAGCCATTCTAACTGGTGTGAGATGGTATTATGGTTTTGACTTGCATTTCTCTAATGACCAGAGATGATAAGCTTTTTCTCATGTTTGTTGCCGCATAAATGTCTTTTTTTTTTTTGGGAAGTGTCTGTTCATATCCTTCACCTACTTTTTGATGGAGTTGTTTGTTTTTTTCTTGTAAATTTTAGTTTCTTGTAGATTCTGGATATTAGCACTTTGTCAGGTAGATAAATTGCAAAATTTTTCTCCCATTCTGTAGGTTGCCTGTTCATTCTGATGATCAGTGCACTTTTTGAACTTTATATATATATTTATGTCTAAATAGAAAAGGGAAAAAACAATATTGTTTGATATTAAGGAACATATAACAATGAATCTTGTGATAATAGTTGGTTTATTTACAGTAAGAATATTCATAAATATATTTGCTTTATGAAAATCTCTTGGGGGAGGCTGAGGTTTGCAGATCACCTGAGGTTGGGGGTTCTAGACCAGCCTGACCAACATGGAGAAACCCGGTCTCTACTAAAAATACAAAATTAGCCAGGCATAGTGGTACATGCCTGTAATCCCAGCTACTTGGGAGGCTGAGGCAGGAGCATTGCTTGAACCCAGGAGGCGGAGGTTGCAGTGAGCTGAGATCATGCAATTGCACTCCAACCTGGGCAACAAGAGCGAAACTCCATCTAAAAAAAAAAAAAAAAACTTCTCTCCAGTTTTACTATGATCTGTGCTTCTGTTGCATCTGAACATATATTTATTTTTATTTCATAACTAGAACTTTTATTTTCCTCTTCACTTTGGCTGCCAGGCAGCCATAGGTCCAATATGCAGTCAATCCAAGTATCTGTGTATCTGTGTAGTATTGTTCATGTGTTTTTTAAGCTAATGTCAATCTTTTTTTTTTGTTTTTTGTTTTTTGAGACGGAGTCTCGCTCTGTCGCCCAGGCCGGACTGCGGACTGCAGTGGCGCAATCTCGGCTCACTGCAAGCTCCGCTTCCCGGGTTCACGCCATTCTCCTGCCTCAGCCTCCCGAGTAGCTGGGACTACAGGCGCCCGCCACCGCGCCCGGCTAATTTTTTGTATTTTTAGTAGAGACGGGGTTTCACCTTGTTAGCCAGGATGGTCTCGATCTCCTGACCTCATGATCCACCCGCCTCGGCCTCCCAAAGTGCTGGGATTACAGGCGTGAGCCACCGCGCCCGGCCGCTAATGTCAATCTTACCGCAGGCTTTAGCTCATTTATTTCCAATCTTACATATCCCCCCCATCAATTTCCTCACTTATTATTTTTGACAATCAAAACTGCAGACACCAAGACTTGTTGTAGAGTTGGCTTCAGATGATGCAATTAATAACCTCTTAAATATTTTAAAAAGCTATAATTATTTATTGACTTCTTTCATGGAGTCTATTGAGTTTGTTTCTGTAGATAATTATTCTTTTGTTTAATGTTGGTGCTTCTCATTTCTGATCCTAGCTTTCCTAGATGTTTGGTGATTCCTAATTGTTGTCTGATCTCTTCCAGAACAGTTCTCTTTTGCACATTTGTCCTTTGTGTGTGTGTGTGTGTGTGTGTGTGTGTGTGTGTGTGTGTAAGGCTGAATATGTAGAGTGACGGGGTGGGGAGCAGCTAGATCTGACTTCACCACATATCTAATTTTCAGAAATTCTTTCATTTTCAATCCACTACTCGAAGTCCTTTTATTAGACAGCATCATTGTTGAAATTTTTTGAAAAATATTTTCTTTCCGCTCTTATTTCATGGAATTTAAGATGAGAAGGAAAGTAGGCTCATGGGCTCAGCCTGCCATCTTCAGATCACTTGAGGGTATAAAAGAGCTCAGCAACAGGGGAGAAATATAAGCTGACAGCTATGGAAATAAGCCCAGCAAAGTCACTAGAATTCAATGGCCAAGCTCTGGAGTTATGAACTGCAGAATCAGAAAAGCAAGGAGGCCTCTAGCTGCCATCTTGTATTCCTGCATATGTGCACCTAATCTCAGCTGTTCTGCTCGAGACTCCTGAGTGCCAGGTCTAGAGCTCCTCTCAGTCTCTTTTCATTCCAATAAGATGAAAGTAAGCATCATGAACTGGGAGAAACTTGCCAAACTAGAATCATAAGTGTGCAGCAGTGAAAAAATAATTGCTAGCAGAAAGAAGATGGTTCATAGAACATCTATAGCAAATAATTAAAAGTTTGGTTCTCCTTAAAGAAGGTAGAGGTCAACAATATTTCTGACACTGAAGAGAGGAATATGTTTACAAACCAAAGAATGGTGATGTACTTTAGCAATGCTCTAGGTCAGGCATCTCTAGCAGTGACCACTACTATTACAGCCCATGCTGAGACAAAGCAGCTGAGATAAATGCTGCCCAGCATCTTAAACCAGCTTGGTACAGACAATCTGACTAGTTAAGGGAGACTGACAAGTTATTCTGCCCAAATAATCTAGGGGATAGAAAAGCATTTGCTGCTGGAGATGATGATGAGGATGAAGTCCCAGATCTTAGGGAGGATTTTGATGAGGCTTCCAAGAGTAAGGCAAAATGAGTCAACTTTTGAAGAAGATAAAACTTGAAGAAGTTACTGGGACCTGCTATTTTATATTATCACTGCTTTTTAAAATTTTCATTTATGTATCTGATAAAATCTAGATTTTTAATATTTTTAAGCCTAAGCCTCTTGGACTCTGCAGCTCTTTCCAGGTTTTGCTTATACATTATTCATTTTTTGCAGCTAATTAAACTGAAGAGATGGTAATAAAATTTGAACCAAAGGTTTAAAAAGTTTTCTGGCTGGGCACGATGGCTCATGCCTATTATCCCAGCACTTTGGAAGGCCAAGGCAGGAGGATCACTTGAGCCCAGGAATTCAGGACCAGCCTGGGCAACATTGCAAGACCCTGTCTCTACAAAAAAAAAAAAAAAATTTAAATAGAAGCTGGACATGGTGGCAGGTGCCTCTAGTCCCAGCTACTTAGGAGACTGAGATGGGAGGATCATTTGAGCCCAGGAAGTGAAGACTGCACTAAGCCATGATCACACCACTGTACTCCAGCCTAGGTGATACAGCAAGACCATGTCTCAAAAATTAATTAAAATAAAATAAAATAGAAAGTTCTCTGCCTCGTTAAAAAACATTGAAATGCAAAGTCCTGGGTAGCAGGTGAAGTTGGCAAGCAATTCAAGCTCCTTGTCTGGAAATAGATTTGATAACCTGTATCTGTCTCCTATCTGTCATTGTAGTGCAGGTTATGGAGGGGCCAGTCATTTGTAAACAACCAGAGATGTGGCAGACAAGAGCCACCTCATCCTGTCACCCCCTTGAGACTCCAGAAAACTTTATATCTGTCATCTACTACCCTCCTCCCACTGATTGGCAGTCTCTGATTAGATATGCTCTCTATTGCTGATGTCAAGTATAAACCTCTATGAGGGCAGACAGCCAGCCATATGGTGACTGAGTTCCACATGGGGAAAACTAGTGCTTTTTTTTACTTCTTCAGGCTGAGGATGAAAGGCTTTGGGTCAATTATTTCTGGCAATGGCATGGGGGTAGCATTAAGGAAGGATTTGTCAGTATTTTTGATGAAGACATTTTTGAAGAGAAGGACCAGGAATTTGAGAGCTTTAGTTCTAGTCGAAATAAAAATTGTGTGATAAACTTAATATTTATTTCTTAGTGAACTAGGGATGATTTAACAAAATAGTCTATGTACTTTTTATTTTATTTATATATTTTTTGAGATGGAGTCTCGCTCCATCCCCAGGCTGGAGGAGTGCAGAGGTGCAATCTCAGCTCACTGCAATCTCCACCTCTCAGGTTCAAGCGATTCTCCTGCCTCAGCCTCCGAAGTAGCTGGGACTACAGGCGTGTGTCACCATGCCTGGATAATTTTTGTATTTTTAATAGAGATGGGGTTTCACCATGTTGGCCAGCATGGTTTTGATCTGCTGACCTCGTGATTCGCCCACCTCAGCCTCCCAAAGTGCTGGGATTACAGGCATGAGCCACCGTACCCAGCCTCTATGTACTTTTTTTTTTTTTTAATTTTACTTAAGTTCTGGGATACATGTGAAGCATGTGCAGTTTTGTTGCATAGGTACACATGTGCCATGGTGGTTTGCTGTACCCATCAACCCATCAACTGCATTAGGTATTGCTACAAATGCTATCCCTCCCCTAGCCCCCACCCTGGACAGGCCCCAGTGTGTGATATTCCTCCCCATGTGTCCATGTGTTCTCATTGTTCAACTCCCACTTATGAGTGAGAACATGCAGTGTTTGGTTTTCTGTTCTTATGATAGTTTGCTGAGAATGATGGTTTCCAGCTTCATCTGTGTCCCTGCAAAGGACACGAACCCATCCTTTTTTATGGCTGCATAGTATTCCATGGTGTATATGTGCCACATTTTCTTCATCTAGTCTATCATTAATGGACATCTGGATTGGTTCCAAGTCTTTGCTATGGTGAATAGTGCCACAATAAACATACGTGTGCATGTGTCTTTATAGTAGCATGATTTATAATCCTTTGGGTATGTAGCCAGTAACAGTATTGCTGGGTTGAATGGTATTTCTAGTTCTAGATCCTTGAGGAATTGCCACACTATCTTCCACAATGGTTGACCTAATTTGGACTCCCACCAACAGTGTAAAAGCGTTCCTATTTCTCCACATCCTCTCCAGCACCTGTTGTTTCCTGACTTTTTAATGATTGCCATTCTAACTGGTGTGAGATGATATATCATTGTGGTTTTGATTTGCATTTCTCTGATGGCCAGTGATGATGAGCATTTTTTCATATGTGTGTTGGCTGCATAAATGTCTTCTTTTGAGAAGTATCTGTTCATATCCTTTGCTCTCTTTTTGATGAGGTTTTTTTTTTCTTGTAAATGTGTTTAATTTCCTTGTAGATTCTGGATATTAGTCTTTTGTCAGATGGATAGATTGCAAGAAGTTTCTACCATTCTGTGGGTTGCCTGTTCACTCTGATGAGAGTTTCTTTTGCTGTGCAGAAGCGCTTAGTTTAATTAGGTCCCATTTGTTGATTTTGGCTTTTGTTGCCATTGCTTTTGGTGTTTTAGACATGAGGTCTTTACCCATGCCTATGTCCTGAATGGTATTGCCCATGTTTTCTTCTAGGATTTTTATGGTTTTACGTCTTATGTTTAAGTTTTTTATACACCTTAAGTTGATTTTTGTATAAGGTGTAAGCAAAGGGATTCAGTTTCAGTTTTCTGAACATGGCTAGCCAGTTTTCCCAACACCATTTATTCAATAGGGAATCTTTTCCCCATTGCTTGTTTGTGTCCAGTTTGTCAAGGATCAGATGGTTGTAGATGTATGGTGTTATTTCTGAGGCCTCTGTTCTGTTCCATTGGTCTAGCTCTCTGTTTTGATACCAGTACCATGCTGTTTTGGTTACTGAAGCCTTATAGTATAGTTTGAAGTCAGGTAGCGTGATGCCTCCAGCTTTGTTCTTTTTGCTGAGGACTGTCTTGGCTATGCGGGCTCTTTTTTGGGGTTCCATATGAAATTTAAAGTAATTTTTTCCAATTCTGTGAAGAAAGTCAGTGATAGCTTGATGGGGATAGCACTGAATCTATAAATTGCTTTTTCACTATATTGATTCTTTCTATCCGTGAGCCTGGAATGTTTTTCCATTTGTTTGTGTCCTCTCATTTCCTTGAGCAGTGGTTTCTAGTTCTCCTTGAAGAGGTCCTTCACATCCCTTGTAAGTTGTATTCCTAGATATCTTATTGTCTTAGTAGCAAATGTGAATGGGAGTTCATTCACGATTTGGCTCTCTGTCTGTTATTGGTGTACAGGAATGATTGTGATTTTTGCACATTGATTTTATATCCTGAGACTTTTCTGAAATTGCTTATCAGCTTTAGGAGATTTTCGGCTGAGACAATGGGGTTTTCTAAATATAAAATCATGTCATCTGCAAACAGAGACAATTGACTTCCTCTCTTCCTATTTGTATACTCTTTATTTCTTTGTCTTGCCTGATTGCCCTGGCCAGAACTTCCAAACTATGTTGAATAGAAGTGGTGAGAGAGGGCATCCTTTTATTCTGCCAGTTTTCAAAGGGAATGCTTACAGTGTTTGCCTATTCAGTATCATATTGGCTGTGAGTTTGTCATAAATAGCTCTTATTATTTTGAGATATGTTCCATCAATACCTAGTTTATTGAGAGTTTTTAGCATGAAGTGCTGTTGAATTTTGTCGAAGGCTGTTTCTGCATCTGTTGAGATAATCATGTGGTTTTTGTCTTTGGTTCTGTTTATGCAATGGATTACGTTTATCGATTTGCATAGATTGAACCAGCCTTGCATCTCAGGGATAAAGCTGACTCAATCATGGTGGGTAAGCTTTTTGATGTGCTGCTGGATTCAGTTTGTCAGTATTTTATTGAGGATTTTTGCGTCAATGTTCATCAGGGATACTGGCCTGAAATTTTCTTTTTTTGTTGTGTCTCTGCCAGGTATTGGTATCAGGATGATGCTGGCCTCATAAAATGAGTTAGGGAGGATTCCCTCTTTTTCTATTATTTGGAATAGTTTCAAAAGGATTGGTAGCAGTTCCTCTTTGTACCTCTGGTAGAATTCGGCTGTGAATCTGTCTGGTACTGGACTTTTTCAGTTGGTAGGCTATTAATTACTGCCTCAATTTCAGAACTTGTTGTTGGTCTATCATGGATTCGACTTCTTCCTGGTTTAGACTTGGAGGGTGTATGTGTCCAGGAATCTATCCATTTCTTCTAGATTTTCTAGTTTATTTGCATAGAGGTGTTTATATATTCTCTGATGGTAGTTTGTATTTCCGTGGGATCAGTGGTGATAACCCCTATATCCATTTATTTTATTCTTCTGTCTTTTCATCTTTATTAGTCTGGCCAGTGGTCTATCTATTTTGTTGATCTTTTCAAAAAACCAGCTCCTGGATTCACTAATTTTTTGAATGGCTTTTCGTGTCTCTATCTCCTTCAGTTCTGCTCTGATGTTAGTTATTTCTTGTCTTCTGCTAGCTTTAGAATTTGTTTACTCTTCCTTCTCTAGTTTTTTTAATTGTGATGTTAGGGTGTCAATTTTAGATCTTTCCTGCTTTCTCTTGTGGGCATTTAGTGCTTTAAATTTCCCTCTACACACTACTTTAAATGTGTCCCAGAGATTCTGGTATGTTGAGTCTTCATTCTCATTGGTTTCAAAGAACATCTTTATTTCTGCCTTCATTTCGTTATTTACCCAGTAGTGATTCAGGAACAGGTTGTTAAGTTTCCATGTAGTTGTGCAGTTTGGAGTGAGTTTCTTAATCCTTAGTTCTACTTTGATTGCACTGTGGTCTGAGAGACTGTTTGTTATTATTTCTGTTCTTTTGCATTTGCTGAGGAGTGTTTTACTACAAATTATATGGTCAATTTTAGAATAAGTGTGATGAGGAGCTGATAAGAATGTATATTCTATTGATTTGGGGTGGAGAGTTCTGTAGATGTCTATTAGGTCCACTTTTTCCAGAGCTGAGTTCAAGTCCTGAATATTCTTGTTAATTTTCTGTCTTGTTGATCTGTCTAATATTGACAGTGGGATGTTAAAGTCTCCCACTATTATTGTGTGGGAGTCTAAGTCTCTTTGGAGGTCTCTAAGAACTTGCTTTATGAATCTGGGTACTCCTGTATTGGGTGCATATATATTTAGTATACTTAGCTCTTCTTGCTGCATTGATCCCTTTACCATTATGTAATGGACTTCTTTGTCTCTTTTGATCTTTGTTGGTTTAAAGTCTGTTTTATCAGAGATTAGAATTGCAGCTCCTGCTTTTTTTTAATTTCCATTTGCTTGGTAAATATTCCTCCATCCCTTTATTTTGAGCATCCGTGTGTCTTTGCACATAAGATGGGTCTCTGAATACAGCACACTGATGGGTCTTGACTCTTTATCCAATTTGCCAGTCTGTATCTTTTAAATGGGGCATTTAGCCCATTTACATTTAAGGTTAATATTGTTATGTGTGGATTTGATCCTGCCATTATGATGCTAGCTGGTTGTGTTGCCCATTAGTTGATGCAGTTTCCTCATAGAGTCAATGTTCTTTACAATTTGGTATGTTTTTGCAGCGGCTGGTACCAGTTGTTCCTTTCCATGTTTAGTGCTTCCTTCAGTGCTTCTTGTAAGGCAGCCCTGGTGGTGACAAAATCTCTCAGCATTTGCTTGTCTGTAAAGGATTTTATTTCTCCTTCACTTATGAAGCTTAGTTTGGCTGGATATGAAATTCTGGGTTGAAAATTCTTTTCTTTCAGAATGTTGAATATTGGCCCACACTCTCTTCTGCCTTGTAGGGTTTCTGCTGACAGATCTGCTGTTAGTCTGATGGGCTTCCCTTTGTAGGTAACCTGACTTTTCTCTCTGGCTGCCCTTAACATTATTTCCTTCATTTCAACCTTGGTGAATCTGATGATTGTGTGTCTTGGGGTTGCTCTTCTCGAGGAGTATCTTTGTGGTGTTCTCTGTATTTCCTGAATTTGAATATTGGCCTGTCTTGCTAGGTTGGGGAAGTTCTCCTGGATAATATCCTGAAGAATGTTTTCCAACTTGGTTCCATTCTCCCCATCAATTTCAGGTACCCCAATCAAATGTAGATTTGGTCTTTTCTCAAGAAAAGTCCCCTATTTCTTGGAGGCTTTGTTCGTTCCTTTTTATTCTTTTTTTTCTAATCTTATCTTCTCACTTTATTTCAGTAAGTTGATCTTCAATCACTGATATCCTTTTTCCCACTTGATCTATTCAGCTATTGACACTTGTGTATGCTTCACAAAGTTCTCATGCTGTGTTTTTCACCTCCATCAGGTCACTTATGTTCTTCTCTAAACTGGTTAGTCTATTAGCAATTCGTCCCACCTTTTTTCAAGTTTCTTAGCTTCCTTGCATTGGGCTAGAAAATGCTCCTTTAGCTCGGAGGAGTTTGTTATTACCCGCCTTCTGAAGCCTACTTCTGTTAATTCATGAAACTCATTCTCCATCCAGTTTTGTTACCTTGCTGGCAAGGAGTTTTGATCATTTGAAGGAGAAGGGGATTTCTGGTTTTTGCAATTTTCAGACTGTTTGCACTAGTTTCTCCCCATCTTTGTGGATTTATCTACCTTTGGTCTTTGATGTTGGTGATCTTTGGATGAGGTCTTTGAATGGATGTGCTATTCCTTTCCATTTGTTAGTTTTCCTTCTAACAGTCAGGCCCCTCCGCTGCAGGTCTGCTGGAGTTCGCTGGAGGTCCACTCCAGACCCTGTTTTCCTGGGTATCCCCAGCAGAGGCTGCCGAACAGCAAAAACTGATGCCTGTTCTTTCCTCTGGAAGCTTCGTCCCAGAGGAGCACCTGCCAGATGCCACCCAGAGCTCTCCTTTATGAGACGTCTGTCAGCCCCTACTGGGAGGTTTCACCTAGTCAGGATACACGGGGGTCAAGGACCTACTTGAGGAGACAGTCTGACCCTTAGCAGAGCTCAAACACTGTGCTGGGAGGTCTGCTGCTCTCTTCAGAGCCATCAGGCAGAGACCTTTACGTCTGCTGAAGCTGTGCCCACAGCTGCCCCTTCCCCCAGGTGCTCTGTCCCAGGTAGATGGGGGTTTTATCTATAAGTCCCTGACTGGGGCTGCTACCTTTTTTTCAGAGATGCCCTGCCCAGAGAGGAGAAATCTGGCAGTCCGGCCACAGTAGCCTTGCTGAGCTGCAATGGGTTCTGCCCAGTTCGAACTTCCTGGTGTCTTTGTTTACACTGTGAGCATAAAACCGCCTACTGAAGCCTCAGCAGTAGGGCACGCCCCTCCCCCCACCAAGCTCAAGAGTCCCAGGTTGATCTCAGACTGCTGCTGTGCTGGCAGTGAGAATTTCAAGCCAGTGGGTTTTAGTTCGCTGGGCTCCATGGGGGTGGGACCCGCTGAGCCAGACCACTTGACTCCCTGGCTTCAGCATCCCTTCCCAGGGGAACAAACGATTCTGTATCACTGGCATTCCAGGCGCCACTGGGGTATGGAAAAACAAAAACTCTTGTAGCTAGTTCATTGTCTGCCCAAATGGCTGCCCAGTTTTGTGCTTGAAGCCCAGGGCCCTGGTAGGGTAGGCACTGCAGGGACTCTCCTGGTCTGTGGGTTGCAAAGACCATGGGACAAGTGCAATATCTGGGTTGGAGTACCCATTTCCTCAGGCTTAGTCCCTCACGGCTTCCTTTGGGTAGGGGAGAAAATTCCCTGACCCCTTGTGTTTCCTGGGTGAGGTGACACCCCACCCTGCTTCAGCTTGCCCTCCGTGGGCTGCACCCACTGTCCAACCAGCCCCAATGAGATGAATCAGGTACCTCAGTTGGAAATGCAGAAATCACCTGCCTTCTGCATTGATCTTGCTGGGAACTGCAGATGGGAGCTATTTCTATTCAGCCATCTTGATCCAGATGTCCCCTATGTACTTTTAATGGCAAAATACTCTATTACTTTTAATAGCCAAAGCTGCAATTACTTTTGAACCAACCTACTATATCCTACTTCATAATGCTTGGCATATATTGAATACTTAATAACTGTTAGCTGTAATTATTTCTTTTATTATGTGCTTGGTTATCTATTTTGAATATTACAGTGGATCTGTGTCATACCTCTAAATGCATGGAGTGTTCAGGGGTACAGATTTAAAAAGAAATTGTTTCTATATTATAGAGTCTTTTTAAAGACTGTAGTGAGGTGGCAGTGATTTTATAAAATACAAAATAGCTGCAGCTACCCTGAAAATTTTAGGCTACAGATAAAATTACTTCTTTCAAATGCTTCTCAGCTCCAAATTCTGTGAGGAAGATTTAAAGGGGAGAGATTCTGAAGCCATATACTTAGTCATCCACAGACATAATATCATTTCCCTACCAAGCCCTTTGCAACTTCTGAGGTTTCCATGCTTGTGAGAAAGCAATTCCTTTCCGGTAAATGGGAGTTAATGAGTTTGAAAACATCTCCCAGCAAGTGAGCGGACAGGAACCAACCATCCCCTGACAGCTTCTAGAGAAATTTGAATTTTGTCAATTTGCTGACACAATGAAGATTGATGATGTTTTGTTTATATTTTTAAGGCCTTGCTGCAAAACTTTTGCTTTTTTTAAATTCTTCACACCCCTCCATTTCTATTCACTTAATGTCAACAAAGATCAAGGCTCTAAGTAAAAAAGATCTCTTTTTAAATAAAAACTACTTCCACAAATGCCTAAAATCAGATACATTACCTGATTAATTGCTTTGGTGGTTCCCAAGGCACAATTAAAGCCTATTCCGGCAAATTTCAAAGAAAAGCTTCCTTCTTTTATTTAAAATGTCTTTGAAATTATATTTTCCCTGTCATAATTATAGTTATTCCTTTGTAGAAATGTGTAATGGATTTTTTAAAGACAAGGGCAGAAGGAAGTATGGAGGCCATGCAATTAGCCCTAGTGGTTGATGTAGAATTTTTTTTCTTTATTTCTTCAAGCTTCATACTGATCTTCTCTGTTTACCTGGGCCTGCTAATTTGCACATGTCTGCATCAAGCCCTCCAAGATAGAAACAGCAGAGTCCAGGATCCTGGGAATATGAAGGATGCTTTCCTAAGAGAAGGGAAAGCCTGTAAGGGCATTTCTTTAAATCCACACCAAGCCAAAGACCAAGAATACTGGTTTCTTAACATTTCTGAGACTCCAATACAAGACCTCAATCTCATCAGTTACTCTATTCATTCTCGACACAAATAGAAAAACAGCTCACATGATTAAGCCAAGCGCTGACCATCTCTGGCTGATACAGGAGCACAGGATGTAAGGAACGGGGGACTCCAGGCCAATTATTATATGTGATCTCTCTCGGGGATGCTTTCTGGGAAGGCATTTTTTGTCCCAGCTGGCTTCCAGGCTTCAAGCTGCAGCAGAGAAGTTCCCAGAAGAGAATTATATAAGTTTTTAAGAGTGAGCCCTAATCTATCCTTCCTGGGCCACCTGAGAACATCAGCAATATGTTTTTGTTCTTGCATTTTGACTAACTCGTCTTAAGTCTTCTCTGTAGGTCCCAATTAAAGAAGCATTGTTCCAAAAAAGATAGAACGATAAAAGTGGCATCTAATTATAATTGCATATATATTTTTAAAAATAGATATTTAAATTGCATAGTTTAAATTTCAAAAGGTACAAAATATAAACAGTTTGGTATAAATTTTCCTCCTGATGCCAGTAACCCAGCCATGGCTCTCCTCCCTGGAAGCAAACAAATTCATTATTTTCTTATGCTTCTTCCAAAACCACTTTATCCAAAATCAAACAAAATTATGAATGCCTATTTTTTCATTTTTAATTGATACATAATAGTTGTACATATTTATATGGTACATGTGATATTTTCATACATTCATAAAATATACAATGATCAAATCAGGTAATTGGGATATCCTGAAACATTTATCTTTTCTTTATGCTGGGAACATTCTAACTCTCTTCTAACTATTTTGAAAGATGCCATAGGTTATTTTTATCTGTAGTCACCCTCCTGAACTATTGAACACTAGATTTTATACATTTTATCTAACTGTATTTGTTTACCCATTAATCAACATCTCTTCACCCCCTTCTTTAATCACCCTTCCCAGCCTCTAGTACCCATAAATTTACTCTCTATCAACATGAGACCCACATGTTTAGCTCCCACAAATGAATTAGAACTTGTGGAGGATCCGTTCCAAGACGGGTGGATCCATTCCAAGATGGCCGAATAGGAACAGCTCCAGTCTGCAGCACCCAGCATGATCGACACAGAAGATGGGTGATTTCTGCATTTCCAACTGAGGTACCCAATTTATCTCATTAGGACTGGTTGGACAGTGGTTGCAGCCCACAGAGGGTGAGCCACAGCAGGGCAGGGTGTCGCCTCACCCAGGAAGCACAAGGGGTCAGGGGATTTCCCTTTCCTAGCCAAGGGAAGCCGTGACAGACTGTATCTGGAAAAACTGGACACTGCCACCCAAATACTGCACTTTTCCCAAGGTCTTGGCAACTGGCAGACAAGGAGATTCTCTCCCGTGCCTGGCTTCATGGGTCCAACACCCATGGAGCCTTGCTTGCTGCTAGCACAGCAGTCTGAGATTCAACTGCAAGGCAGCAGCCTGGCTTGGGAAGGGGCGTCTGGCATTGCTGAGGCTTGAGTAGGTAAACAAAGCAGCTGGGAAGCTTGAACAGGTGGAGCCCACCACAGCTCAGCAAGGCATCTGCCTCTATAGACTCCACCTTTGTGGGCAGGCCATAGCTGAACAAAAGGTAGCAGACAGCTTCTGCAGACCTAAAGGTCCCTGCCTGACAGCCCTGAAGAGAGCAGCGGTTCTCCCAGCATGGTGTTTGAGCTCTGAGAATGGACAGACTGACTCCTGAAGTGGGTCCCTGACCCCCATGTAGCCTAACTGGGAGACACCTCCCAGTAGGGGACGACAGACACCTCCCAGTAGGGGCTGACAGACACCTCATATAGGCAGGTGCCCCTGTGAAACAAAGCTTCCAGAGGAAGGATCAGGCAGCAATATTTGTTGTTCTGCAATGTTTGCTGTTCTGCAGCCTCTGCTGGTGATACCCAGGCAAACAGGGTCTGGAGTAGACCTCCAGCAAACTCCAACAGTCCTGCAGCTGAGAAACCTGACTGTTAGAAGGAAAACTAACAACAGTCCATTCCAAGATGGTGAATAGGAACAGCTCTGGTCTGCAGCTCCCAGCATGATTAACACAGAAGACAGGTGATTTCTGCATTTCCAACTGAGGTACCTGGTTCATCTCCTTGGGACTAGTCAGAAAGTGGTTGCAGCCCACAGAGGGTGAGCCAAAGCAGGGTGGGGCGTCGCCTCACCCAGGAAGTGGAAGGGGTCAGGGGATTTCCCTTTCCTAACCAAGGGAAGTCATGACAGACTGTACTGGGAAAATTGGTACACTGCCACCTAAACACTGTGCTTTTCCAATGGTCTTAGCAAACGGCACACCAGGACATTATATCCTGCACATGGCTCAGTGGGTCCCATGCCCACAGAGCCTTGCTCACTGCTAGTCTGAGATCAAACTGCAAGGTGGCAAGCCTGGCTGGGGGAGGGGTGTCCACCATTGCTGAGGCTTGAGTAGGTAAACAAAGCATCCGGGAAGCTCTAGCTGGGTGGAGCCCACCACAGCTTAAGGAGGCCCACTTGCCTCTGTAGACTACACCTCTGGGGGCAGGGCATAGCTGAACAAAAGGCAGCAGAAACTTCTGTAGACTTAAACGTCCCTGTCTGACAGCTCTGAAGAGAGCAGTAGTTCTCCCCAGCATGGTGTTTGAATTCTGAGAATGGACAGACTGCCCCCTCAAGTAGGTCCCTGAACCCTGTGTAGCCTAACTTGGAGACACCTCCTAGTAGTGGCCGACTGACACCTCATACAGCCAGATGCCCCTCTGAGACGAAGCTTCCAGTGGAAGGATCAGGAAGCAATATTTGCAGTTATGCAATATTTGCTGTTCTGCAGCTTCTGTTGGTGATACCCAGGCAAACAGGGTCTAGAGTGGATGTCCAGCAAACTCCAACAGACCTGCAGCAGAGGGATCTGACTGTTAGAAGGAAAACTAACAAACAGAAAGGAAAAGCATCAACATGAGCAAAATGGACATCCACACCAAAACCCCATTTGTAGGTCACCATCATCAAAGACCAAAGGTAGATATAACCACAAAAATGGGGAGAAACCAGAGCAGAAAAACTGAAAATTCTAAACACCAGAGGTCCCCCTCTCCTCCAAAGGATTGCAGCTCCTCGCCAGCAATGGAACAAAGGAGGATGGAGAGTGACTTTGACTATTTGACAGAAATGGGCTTCAGAAAGTTGGTAATAACAAACTTCTCCAAGCTAAAGGAGCACGTTATAAACCATCGCAAGGAAGCTAAAAACCTTGAAAAAAGATTAGATGAATGGCAAACTAGAATAAACAATGTAGGGAAGACCTTAAATGACCTGATGGGGCTGAAAACCATGGCTCGAGAAATACGTGACGCATGCACAAGCCTCAGTAGCTGATTTGATTGAGTGGAAGAAAGGATATCAGTGATTGAAGATCAAATTAATGAAATGAGGTGAGAAGTTTGGAGAAAAAAAGAGTAAAAAGAAATGAACAAAGCCTCCAAGAAATATGGGACTATGTGAAAAGACCAAATCTACGTTTGATTGATGTACCTGAAAGTGACGGGGAGAATGGAACCAAGCTGGAAAACACTCTTCAGGATATTATCCAGGAGAACTTCCCCAAACTAGCAAGGCAGGCCAACATTCAAATTCAGGAAATACAGAGAACACCACAAAGATACTCCTCGAGAACAGCAACCCCAAGACACATAATTGTCAGATTTACCAAGGTTGAAATGAAGGAAAAAATGCTAAGGGCAGCCAGAGAGAAAGGTCAGGTTACCCACAAAGGGAAGCCCATCAGACTAATGGCAGATCTCTCGGCAGAAACCATACAAGCCAGAAGAGAGTGGGGGCCGATATTCAACATTCTGAAAGAAAATAATTTTCAACCCAGCATTTCATAACCAGCCAAACTAAGCTTCATAAGTGAAGGAGAAATAAAATCCTTTACAGACAAGCAAATGCTGAGAGATTTTGTCACGACCAGGCCTACCCTACAAGAGCTCCTGAAGGAAGCACTGAACATGGGAAGGAACAACTGGTACCAGCCGCTGCAAAAACATGCCAAATTGTAAAGACCACAGATGCTATGAAGAAACTACATCAGATAATGGGCAAAATAACCACCTAACATCATAATGACGGGATCAAATTCAACATGACAATATTTACCTAAAGTGTAAATGAACTAAATGCCCCAATTAAAAGACACAGACAGCAAATTAGATAAAGAGTCAAGACCCAACAGTGTGCTGTATTCAGGAGACCCAGCTCATGTGCAGAGACACACATAGGCTCAAAATAAAGGGATGGAGGAAGATCTACAAAGCAAATGGAAAGCAAAAAAAAAAAAAAGCAGCGGTTGCAATCCTAGTCTCTGATAAAACAGACTTTAAACCAACAAAGATCAAAAGAGACAAAGAAGGCCATTACATAATGGTAAAGGAATCAATTCAACAAGAAGAGCTAACTATCCTAAATATATATGCACCCAATACAGGAGCACCCAGATGCATAAAGCAAGTCCTGAGAGACCTCCAAAGAGACTTAGACTCCCACACAGTGATAATGGGATACTTTAACACCCCACTGTTAACATTAGACAGATCAACGAGACAAAATGTTAGCAAGGATATCCAGGACTTGAACTCAGCTCTGCACCAAGCAGACCTAATAGACATCTGCAGAACTCTCCATGCTAAATCAATAGAATATACATTCTTATCAGCACCACATCACACTTCTAAAATTGACCATAAAATTGGAAGTAAATCACTCCTCAGCAAATGCAAAGGAACAGAAATCACAACAAACTGTCTCTCAGATCACAGTGCGATCGAATTAGAACTCAGGATTAAGAAACTCACTCAAAACTGCACAACTACATGGAAACTGAACAACCTGCTCCTGAAAGACTACTGGGTAAATAACAAAATGAAGGCAGAAATAAAGATGTTCTTCAAAACCAATGAGAATGAAGAGACAACATACCAGAATCTCTGGGACACTTTTAAAGCACTGTATAGAGGGAAATCTATAGCAGTAATGCCCACAAGAGAAAGCAGAAAAGATCTAATATCGACACCCTAACATCACAATTTAAGAAACTAGAGAAGCAAGAGCAAACACATTCAAAAGCTAGCAGAAGGCAAGAAATAACTAACATCACAGCAGAACTGAAAGAGATCGAGACACAAAAAACCTTCAAAAAATCAATGAATCCAGGAGCTGTTTTATTGAAAACATCAACAAAATTGATAGAACCTCAGCAAGACTAATAAAGAAGAAAAGAGAGAAGAGTCAAACAGATGCAATAAAAAATGATAAACAGGATATCAACTCTGATCCCACAGAAATACAAACTACCATCAGAGAATACTATAAACACCTCTACACAAATAAACTAGACAATCAAGAAGAAATGGATAAATTCCTGGACACATACACCCTCCCAAGACTAAACCAGGAAGAAGCTGAATCTCTGAATAGACCAATAACAGGCTCTGAAATTGAGGCAGTAATTAACAGCCTACCAACCAAAAAAAGTCCAGGACCAGACAGATTAACAGCTGAATTCTACCAGAGACACAAAGAAGAGCTGGTACCATTCCTTCTGAAACTATTCCAATCAACAGAAAAAGAGGAAACCCTCCCTAAATCATTTTATGAGGCCAGCGTCATCCTGATACCAAAACCTGGCAGAGACACAACAAAAAAAGAGAATTTTAGACCAATATCCCTGATGAACATCCATGTAAAAATCCTCAATAAAATACTGGCAAACCAAATCCAGCAGCACATCAAAAAGTTTATCCACCAAGATCAAGTTGCCTTCATCCCTGGGATGCAAGGCTGGTTCAGTACATGCAAATCAATAAATGTAATCCAGCATATAAACAGAACCAATGACAAAAACCACATGATTATCTCAATAGACGCAGAAAAGGCCTTCAACAAAATTCAACAGTGCTTCATGCTAAAAACTCTCAATAAACTAGATATTGGTGGAGCGTATCTCAAAATAATAAGAGCTACTTATGACAAACCCACAGCCAATATCATACTGAATGGGCAAAAATGGGAAGCATTGCCTTTGAAAACTGGCACAAGACAGGGATGCCCTCTCTCACCACTCCTGTTCAACATATTGTTGGAAGTTCTGGCCAGGGCAATTAGGCAAGAGAAAGAAATAAAGGGTATTCATTTAGGAAAAGAGGAAGTCAAATTGTCCCTGTTTGCAGATGACATGATTGTATATCTAGAAAACCCCATCATCTCAGCCCAAAATCTCCTTAAGCTGATAAGCAACTTCAGCAAAGTCTCAGGATACGAAATCAATGTGCAAAAATCACAAACATTCTTATACACCAATAACAGACAAACAGAGAGCTAAATTATGAGTGAACTCCCATTCACAATTGCTACAAAGAGAATAAAATACCTAGGAATCCAACTTACAAGGGATGTGAGGGACCTCTTCAAGGAGAACTACAAACCACTGCTCAATGAAATAAAAGAGGATACAAACAAATGGAAGAACATTCCATGCTCATGGGTAGGAAGAATCAATATCGTGAAAAGGGCCATACTGCCCAAGGTAATTTATAGATTCAATGCCATCCCCATCAAGCTACCAATGACTTTCTTCACAGAATTGGAAAAAACTACTTTAAAGTTCATATGGAACCAAAAAAGAGCCCGCATTGCCAAGTCAATCCTAAGCCAAAAGAACAAAGCTGGAGGCATCATTCTACCTGACTTCAAACTATACTACAAGGCTACAGTAACCAAAACGCATGCTACTGGTACCAAAACAGAGATATAGACCAGTGGAACAGAACAGAGCCCTCAGAAATAATGCTGCATATCTACAACTATCTGATCTTTGACAAACCTGAGAAAAACAAGCAATGGGGAAAGGATTCCCTATTTTATAAGTGGTGCTGGAAAAACTGGCTAGCCATGTGTAGATAGCTGAAACCAGATCCCTTCCTTACACCTTACACAAAAAATAATTCAAGATGAATTAAAGACTTAAATGTTAGACCTAAAGCCGTAAATACCCTAGAAGAAAACCTAGGCAATACCATTCAGGACATAGGCATGGACAAGGACTTCATGACTAAAACACCAAAAGCAATGGAAACCACAGCCAAAATAGACAAATGAGATCTAATTAAATAAAGAGCTTTTGCATGGCAAAAGAAGCTACCATCAGAGTGAACAGGCAACCTACAGAATGGGAGAAAATTTTTGCAATCTACCCATCTGACAAAGGTCTAATATGTAGAATCTACAAAGAACTAAAAAAAAAATTATATAAAAAAAACCAATCCCATCATAAAGTGGGCAAACAATAGGAACAGACATTTCTCAAAGGAAGACATTTATCCAGCCAACAAACACATGAAAAAATGCTCATTATCACTGGTCATCAGAGAAATGCAAATCAAAACCGCAATGAGATACCATCTCATGCCATTTAGAATGGCGATCATTAAAAAGTCAGGAAACAACAGATGCTGGAGAGGATGTGGAGAAATAGGAATGGTTTTTCACTGTTGGTGGGAGTGTAAACTAGTTCCACCATTGTGGAAGACAGTGTGGCGATTCCTCAAGGACCTAGAACTAGAAATACCATTTGACCCAGCAATACCATTACTGGGTATATACACAAAAGATTATAAGTCATGCTACTATAAAGACACGTTCACATGTATGTTTATTGCAGCACTATTCACAATAGCAAAGACTTGGAGCCAACCCAAATGTCCATTAATGATAGACTAGATTAAGAAAATGTGGCACATATACACCATGGAATACTATGCAGCCATAAAAAAGGATGAGTTCATGTCCTTTGTAGGGACATGGATGAAGCTGGAAACCATCATTCTCAGCAAACTATCACAAGAACAGAAAACCAAACACCACATGTTCTCACTCATAAGTGGGAATTGAACAATGAGAACACTTGGACACAGGGTGGGGAACATCACACACTGGGGCCTGTCGGGGTGTAGGGGGCTACGGGAGGGATAGCATTAGGAGATATACCTAATGTAAATGACAAATTGATGGGTGCAGCAAACCAACATGGCACATGTATACCTATGTATCAAACCTGCACGTTGTGCACATGTACTGTAAAACTTAAAGTATTACAATAATAAAAAAAGAACATGTGATATTTGTGTTTTTGTGCCTGGCTTATTTTACTTAACATAATGATCTCCAATTCCTTTTATGTAGCTGCAAAAGACAGGATTTTAATTTTTATGGCTGTATAATATTCCATTGTGTATATATACACCACAATTTCTTTATCCATTCATCTGTTGACGGACACTTAGGTTGATGCCATATGTTGGCTATTGTGGATAGTGCTGCAATAAATATGGGGCTTCAGACATCTCTTCAACATATTTTCTTTCTTTTGCATATATACCCAGGGGTGGATTCTTGGATCATATGACAGTTCTGTTTTTAGTTTTTTGAAGAACCTCCAAACTGTTCTCTATAGTGTCTGCACTAATTTATATTCCCACCAACAATTTATAAGATCTCCCCTTTCTCCAATTCCTCACCAGCATTGTTACTTTTTGTCTTTTTTATAAAAACCATTTTAATCAGTGTGAGATGACATCTCATTGTGGTTTTAATTTGTATTTCCCTGATGATTAGTGATGCTGCACATTTTTTTCATTCCAGTTGGCCATTTGTATGTCTTCTTGAAAAAAAAGGTCTATTCAGACGTTTTGCCCATTTTTAACAGGATTTTTTTTATAATTTCATATTTTTAACTTTTGTACATACATACTTGGTGTATATACTTATGGGGTACATGAGGTATTTTGACATAGGCATGCAATATGTAATAATCACATCATGGAGAATGAAATATCCATCCTCTCAAGCATTTATCATTTGTATTACAAATAATCCAATTATATTCTTTTAGTTATTTTTAAATGTACAACTAAATTATTATTGACTATAGTCACCCTTTTGTGCCATCAAGTAGTAGGTCTTATTTATTGTTTCTAACTATTTATTTGTACCCATAAACCAACCTCACCTCCTCCCCACAAACCCCCCGCTACCCTTTCCAGCCTCTGGTAACCATCCTTTTACTCTCTAGGCCCATTAGTTCAATTGTTTTGATTTTTAGATCCCACAAATATGTGAGAACATGTGATGTTTGTCTTTCTGTGCCTGGCTTATTTCACTTAACATAATAACCTCCAGTTCCATCCATGTTGTTGTAAATGAGAGGATCTCATTAGTTTTTATGGCTGAATAGTACTCCCTTGTATATATATACCACATTTTTCCTATCCATTCATCTGCTGATGGACACTTCAGTTGTTTCTAAATCTTGGCTATTGTGAACTGTGCTGCAGCAAACATAGGAGTGAAGGTATCTCTTTGATATACTGATTTTCTTTCTTTTGGATATATATATGCAATAGTGGGAATGCTGGATCATATGGTAGCTCTATTTTTAGTTTTTTGAGGAACTGTTCTCTGTGGTGGTTGTACTAATTTACATTCCCACCAACAGTGTACAAGGGTTCCCTTTTCTCCACATCTTCATCAGTATTTGCTATTGCCTTTTTGATATAAACCATTTTAACTGGGGTGAGATGATATCTCATTGTAGTTTTGATTTGCATTTCTTTGATGATCAATGATGTTGAGCACCTTTTCATATGCCTGTTCGCCATTTGTGTGTCTTCTTTTGAGAAATGTCTATTCAAATATTTTGCCTATATTTTGATCAAATTATTAGATTTTGTAATACAGTTGTTTGAGCTCCTAATATATTCTGGTTATGAATTCCTTATCAGATGGGTAGTTAGCAAACATTTTCTCCCATTCTGTGGGTTGTCTTCACTTTGTTATTTGTTTCCTTTACTTTACAGAAGGTTTTTAACTTGATGTGATCTCATTTGTTGACTTTTGCTTTGGTTTCTTGTGCTTGTGGGGTATTCAAGAAATTTTTACCCAGAGCAATGTCCTGAAACTTTTCCCCAATGTTTTCTTGTAGTAGTTTCATAGTTTGAGTTCTAATATTTAAGTATTTAATCCATTTTGATTTGATTTTTTTGTATATGGTGATTTGATTTTTTTATATGGGTTTTTTGTATATCATGAGAGACAGGGGTATAGTTTCATTCTTCTCCATATGGATACCCAGTTTTTCCAGCACTGTTTATTGAGGAGACTGCATTTTCCCCAGTGAATATTCTTGGCATCTTTTTTGAAAATGAGTTCACTGTAGATGTATGGGTTTGTTTCTGGGCTCTCTGTTCTCTTCCACTGGGCTATGTATCTGTTTTTATGCCAGTACCATGCTGTTTTGGTTACATAGCTCTATAGTATAATAAGCTCAGGTAATGTCATTCCTCCGGTTTTGTTCTTTGTGCTCAGGATAGTTTTGGCTATTCTGGGTCTTTTGTAGTTCCATAAAAATTTTAGGATTTTTTTTCTTTTTATCTAAAGAATGTCATTGGAATTTTGATACAGATTGCATTGAACTTGTAAGCCACTTTGAGTAGTATTGACATTTTAATAATATTAAATCTTCTAATCCCCTTTGTGTAGTATTGACATTTTAATAACATTGAATCTTCTAATCCATATGCATGTAATATCTTTCCACTTTTTGTGTATCCTCTCCAATTTCTTTCATGGTATTTTATAGTTTTCCTCGTAGAGATCTTTTACTACTTTGGTTAAATTTATTCTGAGGTATTTTATATTTTTGTAGCTACTGAAACTGGCGTTGCTTTCTTGATTTCTTTTTCAGATTCTCCACCATTGGTGTATATAAATGCTACTAACATTTGTGTGTTTATCTGGTATCCTGCAACTTTGGAATAAGTCCAATTATTCTTGTTCACAGAGGACATAATCTTATATTTAGAAAAACCTAAAGACTCAACAAAGTCTGTTAGAATATATATTTCTTTTTATTCATTTTTAAACAAATAAGCCTTCGTTTGTATCTTGCATTATTCAGTTTTGCTTCATAAAAGGTTTGCTTCATAAAAGCTTTGCTTCATAAAAGCAAAATTATGTGAGATTTTTCATGTTTTGCCAACATGAAATATGAAAGATAGCATTCAGTATAGTTTTAAATTGCGTTTTTCTCATATGTGAGACTGAACATCTTTTCATGTATATAAAATCTATCTTCATTTCATGTTCTGCAACTGTTTTCCAATCTTTTCCCAAATTTTTGCTAGACTCTTGGTATTTTTTTCTTACTGATTTATAGGGTTCTTTATATACTAGGAAAATTAATCCTTGCTGATATAGATATTTAGAAGGCCTATTCCACATCAAGATTTTATGTGGGGGTTGGGGGCATGTATAGGCACATTATTTAAATACATACCTACATATTCTCTTGTTTCTTCTAGTAATTTCATGGCTTTAATTTTAAAATATTAACTAAATTAATTATTAACTAAATTAAATATTTAAATATTTGACTCATTTAGAATATATTCTGACATGAGACATAAAACCAGGTTTATTTTCCTCCAGATAAAAGCCCAGTAGTTCTAACCTAAATTCACTTTTTTAAAAAATGCTCTCTTAACACTCAATTATTCTTTAACAAAATATTATGAGTGTTTCCATTTCTTATAAATCTTTCTCCCCAGAATCACGGCATACTTTCATGATATATCATTCATCCTAGATTTTTAGACAGTCTAGGTCCAAGTGAGTGGAATTTCTAGAGAGGTGAATTTTGAGTCTTTATGAAGCTTTCTTTCTGAAGATTTCCATAAAATATCCTGAACATGTCAGTTTGATTTTTATTCATCATTTTATTTCAATAGCTACAGAAACTTACGTTGAATTTTTATATGTAATTGCATCCCTACTGGAATGTGGCTTTTTGCTGCATTTTAAAAATGTTTGTAAATATATTTGTGTGGTGTGGTGTGTGTGTGTTTGTGTGTGTGACACTCTGCCTATCTGACACTGCAAGGTATATAAAGACATTGGAGACATAACTTCAGCTTCTTCGAAACACCTGCAAACCAGAATAGAGATGAAACAGACTAATTCTAAAATTAAAAGTAGAGAAATGGTATGTGTCTCAGGAACATACAAAGTGTGGAAGTTTAAAGGAAGGAAAATTTACATATGTTTGGAAGGGAGTTAAACAAGAAAAGGCTCAAGAAGGTTATATTTGAGATGGCTTCTAAGAGGTTGAGACTGGAATGGGAAAAAGCCTTCTAGGAAAAGGGAATCCTGTGTGAAAATGCTTTACAAAGGTGGGAGGAATGTTCTCCAGCAGAGAGCAGTACAATTTGATTGGAGGGAGGACATCATGTAGGAGAGGGAGAAAAGAGAGCAATGTAGAATGGGAAATGGGGGCCAGATCACTGAGGGCCTGGGCTGAAGAGTTTGCAGGTTGTGGGAAGGTTAACATTGGTGATAGGTGGTGGGTAGGAGCAACATGGTCCAAGCTCTGTGTTGTGAAAATTAAACATGAGAAAAAACATATGAGAGTATTGTCAGAAATTGGAGTCCATGTGTGAAGTTTTCAGGAAGTTGGCATTACCTGTGCACTAGGATACAATGAAGACATGGCCCTGGCCCTCTAATAGAGATCTGTCTTTTTATGGGGGAGGCACGATAGGACTTGTTAATAAAAATGAGGCTAAGGCCCCTTCACAGAATATGAGAGTTACTAGTATCATGATATTGAAAACAAATAAACAATAAACAACTATAAATAGCTTTGGTTTTTTCTACTTGATTTTGGTAACTTATAAGACAAGGCAAGAACACCTTGACAAAGGCCATGATTATCTGCCATTCCATTAGGCACACTGGGAGAAGAAGTTGCTTGAGGGGACAACCAGAAATAGAATTGTCCCCCTGAACCTGTCTTGGGAATAGTAGAGATATTAATGTTGACCAGAGCTTCATGTGGAGACAGGAGAATATGATTTTTAACTCAGATTCCTACCAAGATTATCTTTTTCAAATGATCCTTAAAGACATCTAGTTACTAATGCATTAAAATAAACATCTTATAATACAATTTATAAAAATCTTGTTAATAAATAAACTAAACCACAACCTAATCAGGTTTTCTGAAACTGGCATAATCAAATGATGGTGACCCACAAGACAGGGTGGAGGGCTGAATGGGAATGATGTTAATACTCTGCCCCATGCTCATATGCCTTCCCTACTTCCTCCTGCAAGCTCTGCTATATAAATATGCTTCCTTTACCCATGACAGCTGCAGAGAACATTGATAATAGCCCCTTTGGATACTCTAACATTCAAAGGTCAAAGACGACATTTTAATTTAGCACATAAGCATCTGTATTCATCTCTTTTCAATTACTATAGATGAACTGGCTTTCCTGGAAAAATTAAGATACGCAATAGCAGAGCCCTTGAATAACACATAACATTTAGACTACCTTAAGAAAAATGTAGATAGGGTTTCTAACCTAAGAAGTGCAAGAGCAAGCCACATTTCTCTTTTCATCATGTCACCTATTAGAACATCGGCCTGGAGATAGTAATATACAAATAAAGATGTTTAAAAAGCGAAGGCTATGACTTCTAGAATAAGAAAGCCTCATAGAAAAACATTTGATTAAAATATATTTGACTTTGAAGCTTTCTTTAGGATTTCAATTTATAAAATTAAGAAGAGGGAAGCATTAATATGTTGGTGTTTTCACATTTTTGACCTCTCTTGGTACACAGACCCTATAATTTCATAGCTATTTCGGCGTAATGCCAACACTAGTGATTTTTGGTTCATAGAATTAAAAAAGAATAAGGAATAGTTTCAGGTAGAAAGATGAGCCTACCTAGAGAATAATAGGAAGGTCTGAGTGATGCCATGCAAATTACTATGCAGATTAGAGGCATGATATTTGTAGCATGTGGCATGGCAATCTATAGATGAAAAAGACAATATCAGAATCAAGTCACAGAAGCACAGAAGCTGACCATTGTTAGCCTCTTTAAGATGTTTTAAATCCAGGGTAAATTGTGTTTGCATTGCCTCTCAAAGGTCCTGATTACTCCTTCCAGGCCACAGAGGTTACTGTTGGAACTATTTGGGGCTGTCAGGTATAAAGATGGTGGGATGAGTTAACTCAATTTTCAAGGTCTTTCATGATGATTTTTGAAACTAGGTATAACTATAGCACCTGACTTACTAAATACATTTTGCTGCTGTCTTAGTCCATTTTTTACTGCTATAACAAAATATCACAGACTAGGTAATTTATAGTGAACAGGAATCTATTGGCTCAAAGTTAAGCTGGGAAGTCCAAGGCTGAAGATCTAGCATCTAGTGAGGGCCTCCTTGCTGTGTCCATATGGTGAAAGGTGGAGAGACAAGGGAGGGAGGGATGGGGAGCAAGGAGGAGGAGAGAGAGAGTGTGAACTTGCAAATGCACTCCTGTGATAACAACATTAATTCATTCATGAGAGCAGAGCCTTCATTGCCTAATCACCTCTCATTAGGCCCCATCTCCCAACACTGTTACATTGAGAATTAAGATTCCAACACATATGTTTTGGGGAACACATTCAAACAATAACATTCTGCCATTGGATCCCAAAACTCAGGTCTTTCTCATATTCAAAATACATTCATTCCAACCCAACTGCTCCAGTGACTTAACTCATGCCAGCACCGATTCAAAAGTCTAACATTCAGGGTCTTATCTAAATCAGACATGGATGAGACTAAGTGTTTTACTTATGCTGAGGCAAATTTCCTCCAGTCATAATCCTGTTAAATCAAACAAGTTATCTACTTCTAAAATACAATGGTGGGAAGGCAAAGGACAGATATTTTCATTCCAAAAGAGAGCAACAGGAAAGAAGAAATGAGTAACAGGTCCCAAGTAAGTCCCATACCCAGCACAGTAAACAATATCAAATATCAAGACTAGAGAATAATCTTTTTGGACTCCATGTCCCACCCTATGGTCACACTGAGATGGGGGCTGGGTCCCCAAGGCTTTGAGCATCCCTGATGTTATGGCTTTGCTGGGGTCAGTTCATGGAGCAGATCTCACAGATTGCAGTCATGCTTGCCACTTTTCTAGGCTGGACTTCTGCACTGGTGGCTTTCCAGTTCTGCATTCTTGGGGGCAGTCCCACTCCCATGGTTCCAGTAGGCATTACCCTAGCAGGGACTCTCTGCAGCGGCTTTGCTCTTGTGACAAATATCTGTCTGAGCCCCACGGCTGTCCATGACATCCTTTGAAATCTAGGTAAAGGAAGCCATGCCCCTAGAACTCTTGCATTCTTCATGCCTGCAGAATTAGCTCCATGTGGATTATGCACCTTCCCGAATGGTAGCCCAAACTGCACTTAGGCCCACTTAACTGATGGCTGGGGTGGTTAAGAAGTGCTGAGCCAGAAAATTGGACACAGGGCTGTAAATGCTGCAGTCCCATGGGTGCCTCTCTGAAAACCTTCCCTAAGGGTTCTAGCTTGCCTTTAAGATCTCTGAAATGTTTTCAGAGTCATTCTCCCACTGTCTTGATGAATAGGATCTGGCTGTCTTCCATCTATATTAATTTATTTAGCAAACAGTGGCTTGCTCTCCTAAATATGACTTTTCATTCTTTACATGTTCTGGCCGTGAATTTTTAAAACCTTTCCATTCCACTTCCATTTTAATTATAAATTCCATCTTCAAATAACTTCTATCCTCTCTCATTTTTCTATATGCAGTTAAAAGAAGCCACACAGCACCCTAAATGCTTTGCTGCTTAGAAACTTCTACCAGATATTCTGGTTCATTGCTCTTAAGTTCTGCTTTTCTAAAGCCCTCAGGCATGGATGTAATTCAGTCAAGTTCTTTGCCACTTTGTAACAGTGATGGCTCTTTCTCCAGATTCCAATACTTTGTTCCTCATTTTCATCTAACACCTCATCAGAATGGTGTTTATTGTCTGTATTTCTACCAGCACTCTATTCAGGACCACTTAAAGAATCTCTAACAAGATTCAGACTTTCCCTACAACTCTTCTTCTGAGCCCTCAAAAGAGCCTTCTGAGAAATGCTCTTAATGCTCCATTCACAGCAATAAAGAGTTTTGCTAGCATTGACTTCAAAACTGTCTCAGCCTCCACCCATTACCCAGTTCCAAAGCTGCTTCTACATTTTAAGGTAGTGGTTATAGAAACAGCCCCACTTCCTGGTATGATTTTTTTTTCCTAGTCTATTTTGTGAGGCTATAACAGAATATTACAGACTGGGTAACTTATAATGAACAGAAATTTATTGGCTCACAGTCCTGGAGGGTGTGAAGTATGAAACTGAGGCAAGATTGAGGTGCCAGCATCTGGCAAGGAACCTCTTGCTCATGGTGAAACACAAAACGTCAAGAGAGTACAAGAGAGGGGAAAAAAGGGATCCAAACTTATCTTTTTGTAACCCATTCCTGTGATAACAAACCCATTCTTATGGTAATGGCATTAATCCATTCATGAGGGTGGAGATTTCAGGACCTAATCACTTCTCATTAGGCCATACTTCCCAACACTTTTGCATTTGGGATTAAGCGTACAACATGTGCTTTGTGGCGGACACATTCAAAGCACAGTAGGTGTTCAATATTATAAATGACACAAATCAGTCCTCTCCCAATAAAATCAAGGGTGGTTTTGTGTAGGAGGATTGGCTTATAGATCCCATAGGGTACACTGCCATACAGTTAGTCAAATATTTGTACTTTTATAGAACTGTTGCTGTATATGTCTGGTATGATTTCTATTTTCCCAACTCCTTCTCAGTTCTTCATCACAAAAACAACATTCTTACAGCTTGCTGTCAACACCATGTATTTTAGTCCATTAGCCATCTAAAAAGAGTGGTTTTTTCTTCCATCTTGGCAAAGAGATCAATACTTCTAATATAATAAGTTCAGAGTTTCTTATGTGGCTCAGCCTTCATGGTTTCTATGAGATAAGAGATTGTAAAAGACTACTACTTTCTGAGACTTGATAGGATATCAGAAATTGATGGAGACAAGTTAGCTTTGGGTAGGCTCTGCACAGAGGAAAGGGGTATGAGAAAATCACAGAATAACAGAAATGGAGAAAGTTAAGTTAGAAAGCAAACGCAGGAGTGCCCTGACCAGAAGATATCAGGAGTGTTGGGGTATGAGACAGACTGATTGGGAAGGGCTGGAAATGGCCACAGATCCTATTGCATGTTAATAAGAAGAATTTCTTCTGCCATTGGTTTGGTTTACCTGTGAACCAAAAGCATTTCTTTGCTTACACAATGACAAGAGGCAGAGATAAGGAAGGGAATAAGAACATAGACATCTATGTGTCTGTGTCCACCATTTACAGAGCACCCAGTATGAACCAGGCATGAGCCTTATATAATTTTATTTTCATCAATACTCTGTGAGGTGGGTATCAGTGTCACTTAGATTCTGCAGCTGAAGAAACTGAAGCTTAGAGAAGTTAAGTAAATGCCCCCAAATTTCACATCTATGGAGTGGTTACATTCATATGTTGTATATGTAACAGGTTATTATTATTAAACTCAATTCCTAGAGAGTTAGACAAAAGCAATGCCTCTTGCATACCTAAGGTGGAGACTTTCTGCAAGAAGCAGGAAGCAGGCATTCCAACACTGACCTTTGTCCAGTCCTTGAGAGCCCCTGCTTGCCACCAGCTGTGAGTGCCCATATTATAAACCAAGCATCATCCAAGTGGACCCTGGCTTTTAAACTTAAAGATGTGTGTTGAAAACAAATTGTAGAAGAGCCAGTGTTACAAAAAAAATGAGCAGTTTTGAAGCACAAAGGAAATGGTTTATGAAGAAAACTCTATTAAAGTCATCAACTTTCTATTGCTTAAGGTCAAAAACTTACGGTATGCTACAATACAATTTATTATATTACAAATGAGTGCCAGCATTCATCTATTTCCTTGCTCTTGTCATGTTTCTGCCTGGGGTATTTATCTTTGATCATTGTTCTCTTAATGGATTGAACTAATAAACAAGCATGTGAAAGCTATAGTACCTGCAGATCTGATATAAAAAGGAGTTATAAAGTTTATCAACTGAACATTTGTTATTTTCTTTCCCAGAGTATCATAAGGGAAGTCAATTTGGCAAGCACAGTATTGATTTATGGTCAAGGATAAGGAAATCTATTTGGAAACTAAAGGCAACCCAATTAATTCCTCTTAGAAGAAGAAAGTCGCAAAGAGGGTAGCATAGAAAAGCCCCTCTTCTGTATGGACTTTGGGATTTTTTTTTTTTTTTTGAGATAGGGTCTTTCTCTGTTCCCCAGACTGGAGTACAATGTCACGATCATGGCACTGGCAGCCTCAACATTCCAGACTGAAGCAATCCTCCTGTCTCAGCCTCCCTAGTAGCTGGGATCACAGGCAGGTACTACCACACCAGGCTCATTTTGTTGTTTTTAGAAAGATAAGGTCTCGGCTGACTCTCTTTTCGGACTCAGCCCACCTGCACCCAGGTGAAATAAACAGCCTTGTTGCTCACACAAAGCCTGTTTGGTGGTCTCTTCACACAGATGCAAGTGAAATTTTGGTGCTGTGACTCGGATCAGGGGCCTCCCTTGGAATATCAATCCCCTGTCCTCCTGCTCTTTGTTCCGTGAGAAAGATCCACCTACGATCTCTGGTCCTCAGACCAACCAGCCCAAGGAACATCTCACCAATTTTAAATCCGGTAAGTGGCCTCTTTACTCTCTTCTCCAACCTCTCTATCCCTCAACCTCTTTCTCCTTTCAATCTTGGCACCACACTTCAATCTCTCCCGTCTCTTAATTTCAGTTCCTTTCATTTTCTGGTAGAGACGAAGGAGACACCTTATATCCATGGACCCAAAACTCCGGCGCCAGTCACAGACTCGGGAAGACAGTCTCCCCTTGGTGCTTAATCACGCGGGGATGCCTGCCTGATTATTCACCCATGTTTCAGAGGTGTCTGACCACGTGGGGACGCCTGCCTTGGTCCTTCACCCTTAGCAGCAAGTACCGCTTTTCTGGGGGGCAAGAACCCCCTGACCCCTTATCTCTGTGTCTCTACCACTTCTCTGCTTTTCTGGAGGGCAAGAACCCCCCAACCCCTTCTCTCCATGTCTCTACCCTTTCTCCGCTTTTCTGGGAGGCAAGAACCCCCTGACCCCTTCTCTCCATGTCTCTACCCCTTCTCCGTTTTTTGGGGGTCAAGAACCCCCCACCCCTTCTCTCTGTGTCTCTACTCTCTTTTCTCTGGGCTTGCCTCCTTCACTATGGGCAGCCTTCCATCCTCCATTCCTCCTTCTTCTCCCTTAGCCTGTGTTCTCAAGAACTTAAAACCTCTTCAACTCACACCTGACCTAAACATAAATGCCTTATTTTCTTCTATGATGCCGTTTGACCCCATTACAACCTCGATAGTGGTTCCAAATAGTCAGAAAACAGCACTTTTGATTTTTCCATCCTACAAGATCTAGATAATTCTTATCGTAAAATAGGCAAATGGTCTGAGGTGCCTGACATCCAGGCATTCTTTTACACATTGTTCCCTCCCTAGTCTCTGTTCCCAATGTGACTCTTCCCAAATCCTCCTTCTTTCCCTCCCATCTGTCCTCCCAGTCCCAACCCCAAGCGTTGCTGAGTCTTTCTAATCTTCCTTTTCTACAGACCCATCTGACTTTCCCCCTTCTCCCCAGGCTGCTCCTCGCCAGGCCAAGCCAGGTCCCAATTCTTCCTCAGCCTCTGCTCCCCCCACCCTATAATCCTTTTATCACCTCCCCTCCTCACACCCTGTCCAGCTTACAGTCTCATTCCACAGCTAGCCCTCCCCCACCTGCCCAGCAATTTCCTCTTAAAAAGGTGGCTGGAGCTAGTGGCATAGTCAAGGTTAATGCTCCTTTTTCTTTATCTGACCTCTCCCAAAATCAGTTAGCATTTAGGCTCTTTTTCATCAAACATGAAAAGTCCAGCCCAGTTCATGGCCTGCTTAGCAGCAACCCTGAGACGTTTTACAGCCCTAGACCCTGAAAGGTCAAAAGGCCAACTTATTCTCAATATACATTTTATTTTATTACCCACTCTGCTCCAGACATTAAATAAAGCTCCAAAAATTAAATTCCAGCCCTCAAACCCCACTACAGGACTTAATTAACCTCACCTTCAAGGTGCACAATAATAGAGTAGAGGCAGCCAAGTAGCAACATACTTCTGAGTTGCAATTCCTTGCCTCCACTGTGAGACAAACCCCAGCCACATCTCCAACACACAAGAACTTCCAAATGCCTAAACCGCAGTGGCCAGGCATTCCTCCAGGCCTGTCTCCCCCAGGAGCTTGCTACAAGTGCCAGAAATCTGGCCACCAGGCCAAGGAATGCCTGCAGCCCAGGATTCCTCCTAAGCTGTGTCCCATCTGTGCAGGACCCCACTGGAAATCAGACTGTCCAATTCACCCAGCAGCCACTCCCAGAGCCCCTGGAACTCTGGCCCAAGGCTCTCTGACTCCTTCCCAGATCTTCTTGGCTTAGCGGCTGGAGACTGACGCTGCCTAATCACCTCAGAAGCTTCCTGGACCATCACAGATGCTTTAAGTAACTCTCACAGTGGAAGGTAAGTCCATCCCCTTCTTAATCAATACGGAGGCTACACACTCCACATTACCTTCTTTTCAAAGGCCTGTTTCCTTTGCCTCCATAACTGTTGTGGATATTGATGGCCTGGCTTCTAAACCTCTTAAAACTCCCCAACTCTGGTGCCAACTTAGACAATACTCTTTTAAGCACTCCTTTTAGTTATCCCCACCTGCCCAGTTCCCTTATTAGGCCGAGATATTTTAACTAAATTATCTGCTTCCCTAACTATTCCTGGGCTACAGCCACACCTCATTGCCACCTTTTCCCCCAGTTCAAAGCCTCCTTCACATCCTCCCCTTGTGTCTCCCCACCTTAAACCACAAGTATAGGACACCTCTACTCCCTCCTTGGTGACCGATCATCCACCCCTTACCATCTCATTAAAACCTAATCACCCTTACCCCGCTCAACGCCAATATCCCATCCTGCAGCACACTTTAAAAGGATTAAAGCCTGTTATCACTCGCCTGCTACAGCATGGCCTTTTAAAGCCTATAAACTCTCCTTACAATTCCCCCATTTTACCTGTCCTAAAACCAGACAAGCCTTACAGGTTAGTTCAGGATCTGTGCCTTATCAACCAAATTGTTTTGTCTATCCACCCCATGGTGCCAAACCCATATACTCTCCTATCCTCAATAACTCCCTCTACAACCCATTATTCTGCTCTGGATCTCAAACATGCTTTCTTTACTATTCCTTTGCACCCTTCATCCCAGCCTCTCTTCGCTTTCACTTGGACTAACCCTGACACCCATTGGGCTCAGCAAATTACCTGGGCTGTACTGCCGCAAGGCTTCACAGACAGCCCCCATTACTTCAGTCAAGCCCAAATTTCTTGCTCATCTGTTACATATCTCGGCATAATTCTCATAAAAACACACGTGCTCTCCCTGCCAATCATGTCCGACTGATCTCTCAAACCCCAACACCTTCCACAAAACAATAACTCCTTTCCTTCCTAGGCATGGTTGGATACTTTTGACTTTAAATACCTGGTTTTGCCATCCTAACAAAACCATTATATAAACTCACAAAAGGAAACCTAGCTGACCCCATAGATCCTAAATCCTTTCCCCACTCCTCTTTCCGTTCCTTGAAGACAGCTTTAGAGACTGCCCCCACCCTAGCTCTCCCTGACTCATCCCAACCCTTTTCATTACCCATAGGCAAAGTGCAGGGCTATGCAGTCAGAATTCTTACACAAGAACCGAGACCATGCCCTGTAGCCTTTTTATCCAAACAATTTGACCTTACTGTTTTGCCTAGCCCTCAAGTCTGCATGTGGCGGCCGCTGCTGCCCTAATACTTTTAGAGGCCCTTAAAATCACAAACTATGCTCAACTCGCTCTTTACAGTTCTCATAACTTCCAAAATCTATTTTCTTCCTCACACCTGACACATATACTTTCTGCTCCCCGGCTCCTTCAGCTATACTCACTCTTTGCTGAGTCTCCCACAATTACCATTGTTCCTGGCCCAGACTTCAATCCAGCCTCCCACATTATTCCTGATACCACACCTGACTCCCATGGCTATATCTCTCTGATCCACCTGACATTCACCCCATTTCCCCATGTTTCCTTCTTTCCACACCCTGATCACACTTGGTTTATTGATGGCACTTCCACCAGGCCTAATTGCCACACACCAGCAAAGGCAGGCTATGCTGTAGTACAAGCCACTAGCCCACCTCTTAGAACTTCTCATTTCCTTTCCATCGTAGAAATCTATCCTCAAGGAAATAACTTCTCAGTGTTCCATCTGCTATTCTACTACTCCTCAGGGATTATTCAGGCCCCTTCCCTTCCCTACACATCAAGCTCGTGGATTTGCCCCCACCCAGGACTGGCAAATTGGCTTTACTCAACTTGCCCCGAGTCAGGAAACTAAAATACCTCTTGGTCTGGGTAGACACTTTCACTGGATAGGTAGAGGCCTTTCCCACAGGGTCTAAGAAGGCCACCATGGTCATTTCTTCCCTTCTGTCAGATATAATTCCTCAGTTTGGCCTTCCCACCTCTATACAGTCCTATAACAGACTGGCCTTTATTAGTCAAATCACCCAAGCAGTTTGTCAGGCTCTTAGTATTCAGTGAACTAATGGTCTTTTAAAAACACAGCTCACCAAGCTCAGCCACCAACTTAAAAAAAGGACTGGACAATACTTTTACCACTTGCGCTTCTCAGAATTCGGGCCTGTCCTTGGAATGCTACAGGGTACAGTCCATTTGAGCTCCTGTATAGACGCTCCTTTTTATTAGGCCCCAGTCTCATTCCAGACACCAGAGCAACCTGGACTGCGCCACCCCCTCACCCAAAAAAAAAAAAAACTTGTCATCCCTACTATCTTCTATCTGGTCATACTCCTATTCACTATTCTCAACTACTCATAAATGCCCTGCTCTTGTTTACACTGCCGGTTTACACTATTTCTCCAAGCCATCACAGCTGATATTTCCTGTTGCTATCCCCAAACTGCCACTCTTAACTCCCTCTTAAAGTAAATAAATAATCTTTGCTGTCAGGGCTATGCTGAACCTCCTTAGGCACTCTCTAGTTAGATGCCCTGGGTCCTCCCAATTCTTAGTCCTTTAATACCTGCTTTTCGTCTTGTCTTATTCCGTTCTTTTTTCAATTCGTACAAAACCATATCCAGGCCATCACCAATAATTCTATATGACAAATGTTTCTTCTAACAACCCCACAATATCACCCGTTACCACAAAATCTTCCTTCAGCTTAATCTCTCCCGCTGTAAGTTCCCACGCCGCCCCTAATCCCGCTCGAAGCAGCCCTGAGAAACATCGCCCATTATCTCTCCATACCACCCCCAAAAATTTTCCCCGCCCCAACATTTGAACATTATTGTTTTATTTTTCTTATTAATATAAGAAGACAGGAATGTCAGGCCTCTGAGCCCAAGCTAAGCCATCTTATCCCCTGTGACCTGCACGTATACATCCAGATGGCCTGAAGTAACTGAAGAATAACAAAAGTGATATTTAAATGGCCTGTTCCTGCCTTAACTGATGACATTCCACCACAGAAGAAGTGAAAATGGCCAGTCCTTGCCTTAAGTGATGACATTACCTTGTGAAATTCCTTCTCCTGACTCATCCTGGCTCAAAAACTCCCCCACTGAGCACATTGTGACCCCCACTCCTGCCCACCAGAGAACAACTCCCCTTTGACTGTAATTTTCCTTTACCTACCCAAATCTTATAAAACGGCCCCACCCCTGTCTTCCTTCTCTGACTCTCTTTTAGGACTCAGCCCACCTGCACCCAGGTGAAATAAACAGCCCTGTTGCTCACAAAAAAAAAAAAAAGAAAGAAAGATAAGGTCTCACTATGTTGCCCAGGCTGTTCTTGAACTCCTGATCCCAAGTGGTCCTCCTACATCAACCTCCCAAAGTGCTGGGGATTACAGGCGTGAGCCACTGCAGCCAGCCCTGACTTCGGTATCTTTTTGATACCAAAATTCTATTCCAGAAAATTATACTTCAGGGAGGATTAGATTCTGTCATTTTCATAATACATCAAAGTCAGAAATGAACTTATCTTAATCACTTTATGGGATATACATGATAGACCTTTGATGACTGGGGCTCTGATTATCATCAAAGATTGAACCTACAGAGCTCAAGCAGGGGTGCCTCATCAAGGCAGGGATATAGATTGGTGAGATTAATTTTAAAGAATCAGTGGAGCCAGAACACGCAAAGTAACTGTTTAATAATTATTTGAGTGCATGAAAGAATGGAAAGAAAAACAAAGAACAAAATTGGTGGTCCCCATGGTCAGGATTCATACTCCTGGCCTATGATTCTAGAATAGAGCAATCATTTTATATGAAGATTTTAATATATGAACTCATTCTATTTTGGGGATCGTATTCTGGTTTACCACCTATCTTAGGTGACAGAATTTAGTTTTGGTGAAATAATGTCAGGGATCATCCACTTTAGTTCCCATATTTTATAGAGGAAAAAATTGAGGCTCATAGAGTAAGGTTATAACCATAATTAAAGGCAGAGATAGGGTTAGACTTAAAGTTTCCTAAGATTCTCTTCAGCACGTAGTCTGATTTTCCATTAGTATAAATCCAGAGATCAGGATCAAGAACATTTTAGTTTACTGACTTCTCTTTCAATTATATTTGTACCATGTATTAACTTATTTATTTTTAAAGTATTTATTGAACATCTACTGTATGCCAAGTTCTGTGCCAGGCACTGGAAATACAGCATTAAATGAGGCAGCTATTGGCTTTGCACCCATAGGCCTTAGAGTCTAATGTAAGGTGAGCACTAAATAAGTAATTACAAATCAAAAGTCTTCTTTGAAAAGGGGAGTTTTTCAGGTCAGGCATTACTTCTGCTTTCTAAACAAGAAAACCGAATGGCCCAAGAGGCTCTTATACAGATGTAGGAGCAAGAATCTGGAACTTTGACTCTCAATTCAAGACTCTTACCATTTCATAATTATCTTTACAGTATGTAAAGAACCTTATTTCTTTATTTCTAATGTATACACTATGATGAAATCTTTTGTTTGCATGCAAAATATTCATCTTTATTTCTCATGATAGCAACAAGAATTGCCTTTCCAAAGTCAGCTTTCCACTTTTCTTATCTGGCATGTGTGTGTGTGTGTGCACGTATGCATGTGTGTGCGTGTACGCATGTGTGTGCATGTGTATACTTGGGGGAAGCATAAACTCCATCTGGCCAGAGTGTTTGGTTCAGAAGTGAGCACTCAGTCCCTGCTGGTCCATCTAAAGCTGCTGTGAAGGGGAAATTTTCTCCTGTTGGATGTGAAGTGAGAAGACTGGAAGACTGGAGCTGTGGGGCCATCACAGGGAAGAGCCTGCCTGAGAGTGAAGCCAACACTCAGGAAAGCGGAGTCAACAGGTCCTCTAAAGGCAGCAATACATAGATCTTGAAATGTTCACTTATGGAAGTGAATAAATATCCATTTTTTGTTTAAACCATATTGGCTTGTGTTTTCTGATCCTTCCAGCAGAAAGAATCCCTACCGATACCCCAACTATACAACCAGGTATTTATCAGACGCATTTTATTACGTCCAGACTCCAGATTAAGCAACCCTGGTTTACATAGTTTGTAATTCAGGGAGATTTGCTGGGCTTGGTTTTTCCAGCACAAGTAATTAATGTGACTCCCACAAGGATAATCCAGTGTAACTGCCTGAGGGGTACGGAAAGATTTTTGGATCACGAATACTAGTCCTTCTCTCTTTCTTGGGTTTTTCATCAATCACTTCCAATAATTAGATGAAGGTTTGCCAGGTTTGAAGTGCATCAAAATCACCCAGGTGCTGTGATGTGCTTGGACCACACTTTGAGGACACTGATATGGGAGCAAATGAATTTGATCACTTCCTCCCTGCATAACGGCAAAGCCACTGTTGGAATTTAGTGTATGCAACTGACAAAATAAACTTCAGGCTCAACAGAGTAGCTTCTGATTTTCAAATTCCTCGGTGCAAATAAGGATTTATGAAGCTGAATTTGGACTGTCACTACATCTGTTACTGGGTTTGAAAACTGAAAAGGTATAGAAAGTTCTCTGCCACCTTGAGAGCAAGAGGAAAGGTCTTTGTCTGGTATGAGAGCTCACCTTATGGGGACAAGACCCTCTGTCCTCCATGAGGCTAAAGAGAAGGTAGCTGAGAGGACAGATACTGAGGGGGCTTTGAACCAGAGCTTTCAAAGACGAATCGTGGCACCATATCCATTACCAATAGGCCCTCAGTAGGGCCTATTGTGAGCAACTTTCCAGAATGAAGTAAAATGGAGCTGTCCAGCTTCAGGGGAATCCAAAGGCTGTTTGAAAGTTTCCGAGAAGGTGAGAAACATGCAGGACTCCACAGAAACAGCCTTGGGAAGTTACCACTGAGAGAAGTCGCTACTGCAGTTTCTCAGTAAAAAGAATAGAAGCCACAGCTCAGAGCTTCGGACAGCAGTTGCTGACGGTCACCACAAACATTTATGAAGCATTGACCATGCACAAGGCTGTTATTAGGCATTGCAGGAGGTGGATGCCTGGAAAAGCTGGACAAACTACTATACCAGAAGATATTTTGGTCTGGAAGGAGAGAAAAGGTGGGTACCCAGAAAACAGTGAAACAAGAGTAAGCATCAACATGAGGAGAACAAATAAAGTACCACGAAAAAGCTGAGATGCAGGAGAGGGCACTCGTAACTAGAGAGCCCAGGCCTGTTTGTGGACAGGCAAGGAGAACAGAACTACAGAGAAGAGCAGTGGAAATGTCCCCTGAAATCTGACAGTGAATGGCCTCAGTTTCCAGACTGGCCACTGGGGATGCCTTGAAGACATCTAAGCAGGGAAGGTGATGGGCAAAGCCAGGTTCAGAACGGTTAATCCTGTCCTAAGGTTTCTGAGTTTCTAAGAAATGGAATGAATCTATGCCCAAGGGTTGGAAAGGACCTTCAAATGAAGACATTTCTTCCACTAAAGAATGAGGAAAACACATGTGACCTAGCACATTCCAGATCAGCTCTCAAGAATGAGATTTTAAATTTTGATTGCAGTTCTCAGAATATCCATCTGCATACCAGTATTTTTCTAAATGACAAATGATCATTCCCTGGACTCAGCAACCAATCTCTGGAGACCTTACCTCCAAAAATACATGTGTGAGATGGCACATGTCCAGGTTGTTCCCCGCAGTATCCCTTGAAATAACAAATATTGGAAATAGCCCAAATATCCAATAGCAAATTGATGGAATCTATTATTGTATATACCTACAATGAAACATTATGTCCCTATAAAACAGAATGAGAAATCTTTCCATGTTCTTAAAAATTGAGATGCTGCCAACCGGAGGGTATGGGGAAGTTTTGCAGAACAGTGTGCTTCCTTCTATGTAAAGAAAGAAAAAAGAAGCATATCTATGCGTATTTTGTTGCATGTTTAAAAACCAGGCAGGGAGGAAATTGGGAAGATGTTGGTCAAAACATAAAAACTTTCTGTTAGATAGTGGAAATAAGTTTAAGAGATCTATTGCACAACATGATGACACAGTTAATAACACTATATTGTATTCTTGAAAATTACTAAAAGAGTATATTTAAAGTGTTCTTTCCACAAAAAACATAGTATGTGAGGTCACGTATATGTTAATTAGCTCAAGTTAGCCATCCCACAATGTATACGCATTTCAAAACATTGTGCTATACATGAGAAATATGTTTTTTGTCAATTAAGATTGTTTAATTTTTTTTTTATTATTATACTTTAAGATTTAGGGTACATGTGCACATTGTGCAGGTTAGTTACATACGTATACATGTGCCGTGCTGGTGTGCTGCACCCACTAACTCGTCATCTAGCATTAGGTATATCTCCCAATGCTATCCCCCTCCCCCCACCCCAAAACAGTCCCCAGAGTGTGATGTTCCCCTTCCTGTGTCCATGTGATCTCATTGTTCAGTTCCCACCTATGAGTGAGAACATGCGGTGTTTGGTTTTTTGTTCTTGCCATAGTTTACTGAGAATGATGGTTTCCAATTTCATCCATGTCCCTACAAAGGACATGAACTCATCATTTTTTATGGCTGCATAGTATTCCATGGTGTATATGTGCCACATTTTCTTAATCCAGTCTATCATTGTTGGACATTTGGGATTGTTTAATTTTTTAATGTAAACAAAAAGCCAGAGAGATACATAGAAAACTACTTAAAAATGGTTGCTATCTAAGGGAGAAGGATGTAAACTTGAAGGAGGAGAGATAGGAGTGGGAATGAATCTTTTTATTCTAATCCTCAACTACATTTGAAATATGTGAAGGCATTATATAGTCAACATATTAAGTGTTTGATCAAATGCCAGTGAGCAGAACACATCTGATATCAGACAAAGCTGATACCAAAGATACCCATGGAGGTATAAGTTCTCTTGCAGCAGAACTCATACCTCCACGGAGGCCTTGGGAGTTATCAGCTGCAATGTGCCCAGTTAGCAAGACACCATCACCATGACGACCCATTTCCTATACCCAGTCCTCCTGGCAGAAGAGAGCAGATAATCCAGCACTGGCCAGTTCCCAGAGCCCTGTGGGTACCTGTGTGCAGAGTCAAAGGCTTCTACTTTCCAGCAAACATCCCATTTTACAAATCTTACCTGACACAAGGGTGACGACTTTCATTAGTGTCATCATCAGCAATTCAGGAGTTGCCTCCTTGTTCACCCTTGTAGATATCACCAATACCTGTCTTTTTTGCCACTCAACTTTTTCACTGTGGAGGTGTGTGTGTATGGGTGTGTGTGTGCGTGCATCCATGCGTGTGTGTTTGTGTATGCACATGTTCTTGGCTGTGGAAGAAAGTAGACCATAATGGCTAAAAAACAGAGGATTTAGGCCAGGTGCAGTGTCTCAGGCCTGTAATCCCAGCATTTTGAGAGGCTGAGGCAGGAGGATTGCCTGAGACTACGTGATCATTACCAGCCTGGGAAACATAGCAAAATCTCATCTCTACAAAAAATTAAAACAAAAAATACAGGATTTAGTAGGACAAATATAGCTTCAGAACCCAATCTGGCACGTAGCAGCATGGCCTTGAAAATGTTACTTCACTTACATAGCCCAGTTTCCTCACCCAGAAAATGAAGTTGTTTTATAAAATAAAAGATAAAATATTTTTAAAGCATTAGCTCTGTTTCTGGCACATAGAAAGAACTCAAAAAAGTTGTTACTGTTGATGATGATGATGACCTTCATCTCCTGGGTGTGAAACTTCTGATATAGAATAACCTGGAAGCTTTTGATAGAAAACATATTGAACAACATTTACCAGCTTGTTTACATCAGTTGCATTAAAGACCCATGGAATCTCCTTCAAGAGTTCCATGGAAACTTCTTTCATTTCCTTGAAATAATCTATCTGAAACCAAGAGGTGCTAGCTTCTTCATGTATTTCTGTCCCTAATTCTAACCATGTATTTGTTTATATTTGTAGCCAGAGTGGCTGGCAGTCATTTAAGCTACATCAGGCTCCTTTGTTGTAACCTCCTCCTCTAATTAAGGCCTGTAATTGCCCAGCAAGGACAAATTGGTTCAGCTTCTGCTGGGAGTACAGCCACAAGACAGACTCAGCATCTTCCTATCTTTATAGTCTTTAAACAGGTTCACAGCACATGCCCCACAAAAAACAAAAGCAGGTGCCACTGCTGCTCACATGGCCTCGGGACTGGCTCCTGGAAGGAAGCTGCTGCTCTGTTCGGGTTCACAAGGACAGATTTCTGTAGGAAAGCAGTGACTGTTCAGGGCATTCCCTCTCTTTACCTGTCTTCCTGCTTTCCTTTGTTTCCCAGTAATAATAAATAATTTTCCTAATAAACCTAAAAGTACTTACTACTAATATGTCCATTTTAAAAGCTTAGTCTTTATTTTAAAGAGGAGACAACTTCGTCTGGAAGACATTAAGGGACGTATCCAACAATGATTCAGATAATGGTGAACTGGGTTGCAAAACAGGTTTGTCTGACTCTGGAGCCTGTGTTCTGAGCTACCTCATGTTATTACCTCCCATTTCGAAGGTGCTTGATAGGTTAATTGCCTTATACAGTTTGAGAGGGACACATCATTGGACATTCTCCCTCTTTCCCATTTCACTGACAAACAGAAAAACCTCACTGCTTGGGCTGATTGGAATGGGAATGTTGGAGAAGAGGCTTATTAATGGCCCAGGGTTATTCTCAGGTTTCAGTAATGCAGGGGTCATCCAACTCAAAACCATCGTATGCTATAATAACCACCCCTTTCCAGGGTATTATTCAGTATTCAAAGTAGAGTTCAGAGGTAAAGAGTGTTTGACAGAAAATCAGCATGGCATCCGCACAGGAAAAAAGAAGAATCTTCACTTGCCCTAATTCTAATACATCTTCTAGTGAACCTAATTTGTACTCAAGGCTTCCCTATTGACTATGTAAATGGGATTAATGACATGATACCAGTAGAGAACAAAAAGTACTTAAGGAACTGCTTTGGCCAGATGATACATTATTAGTAGTAATAAGGGGCGGAATTACTTGGTATTTATATGGCCCTTTATGTGCAGAGATTATCTGATGGCTTTCTTGTGCACATATTGTAACTCTAATGGTCATTTTGTGCTCTCCTGTTTGTCATTCTTGTATGTATTTGCAACATTTACACATTTGTGATACAAAGTAAAATTAACACTCCTGAAAGCCTGCAGCTGCCTGCCCTGTGTAGTTTGGTCCATCCTTTATTCATAGAACACTTGCCGCCCCTCTGCTGAAAATCCTAAATCCAAGTCTTTTTGACCATGAAAGGCCTCTGCAGCCTGTTTGGGGTTATAACCCACAGGATCAGTAGTCTGCTGGTAGGGAAGAGTTTAATGATGCTCTGGTGTTGTTTGGCTCCCTTAGGAACCTTCCACTTGGGGCAGTTTCTCTGTTTCTAGCTGCAAATTCTCTTCTAGGTTTTATTTCCACAGTCATTCAATGCCTCTAAATTGGGTTAGTCTGAAGATGACTGAGATTTATTTAACCAAATCTTGACTGCAGGTTTATCTGGGATAATGCAGAATAAATTCAGATTTGCTGTAAATAATATTGTTCCACCACTCTCCATTGTAAATCCCTTTCTGACACCTCTATTTCTGTTTTGTGAGTTGCATGGTGATGACTATAATCAAAAGAGAATTTATTGAGTATTTAGATGGGAAGCACTTAGCTAAGTACTTCACTTGCATATTCACTTTACTCCTCACAAGAACCCTAGGAGGTAGGTATTATTATTATTATTCCCATTTTACAGAGGCAGGAGCTGAGGCCCACCTCACACAGCTGACCAGTGCTGCACCTGATATTCACATCCACGCCAGCCAACTGTACACCATGCGCTTGTAGCCATTGTGCAGCTTTCATTTGCTTCAGATTTCTGAAGAGTTGTGAGCTGAGAGAATTTTGTGCAGGTTTTTGAAAACAACTGTCCACAGTTTAGTTTCATATATGGTCTACTTAGGAAACCTCTGTGATCTCAAATGGCTTTGACCCTGAAGGCTAAAAGTGAGGGAATTACTCTCAGCCCTCATGCTCCTCTGTCTTTCTTTTCTTTTTTTCTTTATACATATTTTTACTCCTCTCATGTAGGAAGGTGACCTAAGATACTGACTCACACTGGGTCTTGGTCACATAATGTGATTCCTCTGTCAAGTGACACTAAAATAGATAATTGTGTGTGAGGATTTAAGGTAAACGAATGTTTCTTAGATGGTAGCATTTTAAATCAAAGCAAGAACAGTTAACAGGTGTCACATTCTTCCTCAGTTCCAGGCACCACACTAAGTTCTCCCCATCCTATCCCATTCAAACCTCACACAACCTTACACAACAGATCATTGATCCCATTTTAGTAAGAGAAATGGTAAGTGATTGGCCTCATGTGTCACAGCAGGTAAATAAAGGAAGTAGGTTCAAACTCTGGTCTGTTTCTTCCTAAAACTCTACCTAACCTTTGTGGTCCACCTGACGGAAGGCTCTGCTGTAGGTGAGAAAGCCTCCTCTGTGACAGGCAGCCAGAGGCTCTGACCACTCCACCTGCACACAAACTGCCCCTGACAAGGAATTAGCTGGGATCTTCCTTCACTCCTAGGGTGATGATGTTTCCTTTCCATCTGTGGTGGGAAATTTCCTGGTGGCCATGGGTGAAAATGAGGGTGATTCCTGAACTCTGGCTGTGGCTGAGGGATCAACCCAGCAAAGCCTCAGATCCAGCTCTCCTTTGGACAGAATTAACCTTCTTTCATTTTCCATGCTCAGTAGGAGAGGAGCAAGGATCCTACATGAGGAAGAAAGGAGGACCCACTTATTGAGGACCCACAGGGTATACATTATATGCCAGGCCCTTTTAGGTTTATCTCAAGGACCATTCATTCCTTTTTTTAATTTAACAGAGATCTATAGACTAAGTGCTATTTGGGGAAAGCATATGATTGGAAAAGAAACCACAGAGAATTCATTTGGCTTGGCCTTTTGACTTTTGCATCATCTTCACCAGATAGAGCATTAGATCAAAGCCTGCATGATGAATAGTTTTATGTGTCAACTTGGCTGACTTATAGAACCCAGTTACTTAATCAAACACTACTCAGTGTTGTTCTGTTATTTTTTAGATGTGATTAACATCTACAATCAGTTTATTTTAAGTAAAGAAGATTACCCTCAATAATATATGTGGGCCTCATCCAACCAGTTGAAGGCCTTAAAAAGAAAAGCCGAGGTTTACCAGAGAAGTGATTCTGCTTCAAGACTGCAACATTAACCCCTGCCTGGGTTTTAAGCCTGCCAGCCTGCCTTACAGGTTTCAGATTTGCCAGTTCCCACCATCACAGGAGCCAATTTCTTGAAAATCTACCTATCTATCTATCTATCTATCTATCTATCTATCTATCTATCTATCTTTCAAATCTATAGTGTCATCTGTTTCAGCCTGAGACTTTAAAAACTCTGGAAAGTATACGAATGGGAGCTGCCAACTCTGGGAACAACGCTGTTGCCTCTGTTTTCTCTTGGATGGTATTCTTTCATTCTTAGCATTCCCCAAAGGTCTCTTTAGATGTCACTGGCACCTGACTCAGGGGATGAGAGACCACATGGTTCTGAGTTCTTTCATTTCTAACTCTATTGAAAGTTTAGAAAAGAAACTGCGGATGAGCAGTTGAGTCACAATGACCTGCAGTTCTGTGTCACCCAAATAATATGGGACCTTCAAAAGGAGAGGTGATGGCCCACAATGAATGTCTCCATTCCACTTCTAATGAAGATGTGGTGCCCATCATCACTTTGCTGTCTTCCATGCCAAACACCAATTGGAAAGGTCTATGACATTTTTCAAGGACTTAGACTGCTACCATTTGTAGCATTGAGTCAAATTTAACTGGTTTCTCTCTGGCAATTTTAAAGTCCATCAGGTCCTGGGGAGAGATCATCCAAAAGGCCTGAAGATGAGATGATTTGCCTCTCTTCAAAGACAAAATAGTGAAAAAATTCAGCAGATGATTGTTTAGCAGGTTAAAGCTCATAAATCTGTCGGCAAAATTTACTGTCCATGTACATGAAATTAAGCAAGGCTTTTTTCCCCCCTTACCTCCAATGTAATTTTGAATTACGTACTCTATATTATAGATAAATCAGCTGCTTGTTGGCTGGTAGCCAAGCTTTTGGAAGACAGAAGGTGGTTTTATTTTTATTTCAACCTACTTCTGATTCACAGATTAGGGTGACATATAGTAAGGCATCAGAGTTTTTAAGATAATCTGTAATCAAGCAGTCAAACTACTTTCAATTATGCCCAATGAGATATAATTGGTGATATTGACAACCCTTGGATTGCATTGATTTTCTTATCCAAGCTGAAAATCTTGGTAACACTTCTCATAGCACAACTCTATTAATTACAGAAAATTCTTACTTCCCTTCTGTTTCTCAAACGTTATACTTTTGCTGTGGCTTTGCCATTACCCAAAGCATCTTAGGATGCTCCCCAAGGAAAATGGTCTCTCCTGACCCTTATAATAACCTACAGAGATGAGACCTTTTTTCAGGTGGAGTGATGCTGGATGAGAGAATGTTTGTAGGAGTGAATCCATGTGTGCTAAGAAGCGCAAGATGCTTGTTTATCTCAAATCATCAGACAGGAATAGCTAAGTTGGTGACAACCATGAATGCCTTTTTTGATTACACTAGACTTGGAAACCAAATGATGTTCCCCGAGATGCTGCAAATTGGTATTTAAACATTATAGTGGGGACATAGAGGAAGGCATAATGTAATCAGAATACTACAGTGGGGAAAGTTATGCTACAGCAGGTCTGGTGGTGCTTCAAGGCCTCTACAAATAGATGATGCCTCTCCAAGGCCAGTAAGAGGTTATGGAGGCACAAAACAGAGCGATTGTAACTCACCTCAGACAACTAGAAAATTGTCCAAAATAAGAAGTTGTTTTTCTCTGAGGCTTGGAGAAAGGCCAGGTATTTTCTCCCAGGAGAAGTGACGGTGAGGAGGATCTTCCACATAAATAATTTCCCATCTTTATAAATCTTTATAAACCTTTCCAGAAGGAATCTATAATTTAGAGGTCAGCTCAGCAGAGGAAGAATACATTTATTTATGGAAGAGAAACTTGGTCTGCAAGCTACACTTGGAGCAAGGTAGGGGAATGAGATATCTCCATTTTTCTGTTCCTCAAATTTAAAGATACAGACACCAGTCTCAAGGGGGTCTGGGGAGGGATGTGTTTTCAACAGTCAGTCAACCACCATTTTTGTACCAGACAGGTAGAACATGTAGATATTCAAGAAACTGTTTCTGTCCAACACTGAACGCTCTCTTTTCATCTCCCGTAGCCATTGTTCCGATTTTCATTGTCTCTTATCCTGTATATTCATTACCCTCCTAAATTTGTCCTTGATCTTCATGAGGCACCTTCCTGGTCTTTGCCAGACAGAGATATTTTTCAAAATCACAAAAGATGAGAGGTCTTCGAAGGGAGGATGGTTAAGAATTTGGACTCACAGGTAGATAACCAGGGTTCAAATCCCGCCCCCAGTTATGTTCTTAAAGGATGGCGTTGGTCAAGCTGATTTTTTCTATAACTGAGTTTCCTCTTCCTCGATCTGTGAGTAACAATAGTACTCTCTCATAGGCCTGGAGTAGCACAGGTAAGTAGTGTATGTAGAACAAGGGTTCCTGGTGCCTGGTAAATGCACACTAATTACTATATGTTATTATGAAGTCACTCACCAGGTTAAAATACTCCTGTGGACTTCAACTGCCTCACAAATTCATTCAATTCCTGACAGTGATGCCAAGGCCCTTTGAAATATGGCTTTAGGTTCCTCCATCTTCATCTCCTGCCACCCCACCCTGACTTTTATCAGGCCTTCAGGACTCTGTTTCCTTAGTGTGGCACATGCTTTTTATTCCTCTGAGCCCTGCACACTCTGCTCTCTCTATCGCTCTTTCTCCTCTGCACTCAGCAAACAACCACTCATCCTTCCCAAGGAGGTCTTGAGAATTCAGTGGTTAGAAGTGTTGAGAAATCAAAGCAGACAGGATTTTAATCTTGGCCCCAATACTCACCCACCAAGTGATCTCAGGTAAATTCAGCTAAGAATAATTTCCTGTGCCTTAGTTTCCTCATCTGTACAATGGGCTCAAGGCTCCTCCCTCCCCAGCATAGTTATAATAATTAAATAAGACACTGAGCACAGGCACTCATCAAGGATCTGGCACAGGTAAGGTCTGAAGTGAGCACAGCTGTGAGTGTGACCCACCTCAAATTTCATTTTCTTTGTAAAGCCCCCCCCCCAATCTTTTCTCCATGCTTCCAAAGCCCTTCTTATACAGCATTATCATGATATATATTAAATTTTAGAGGACTACTTGATCATTTCTACATGATCATACTACAGATCAGACCTGTTTCTACATGAACTGTATCTGTGTAAACACAGAGAATCATGTTGTATTCATCTCAGTAGACTTAGTACCTTGCAAAATCCCAAGAACAGCATTAAGTGTTTAAATACGTATTGGATGAATTAATTAATGGATGAGTAAATGAGTATCTGGATAATGGGATGGATGGGTGGGTGGATGGAGAGATGAATGGATGATAAAAGCAGATAAATGACACTTTTTTTTTTTCTTTTTAGTGACTGGGTCTCACTCTGCCACCCAGGCTGGAGTGCAGTGGTGCAATCTTTGCTCACTGCAGCCTTGAACTCCTAGGCTCAAGCAATCCTCCTGCCTCAGCCTCCTGAGTAACTGGGACTACAAGCACACAACACCACACCCAGGTATTTTTAAAATTTTTTCGTAGAGATGAGGTCTCCCTATGTTGCCCAGTGTGCTCTCAGAATTCCTAGGCTCAAGCGATCCTCCCACCTCAACCTCCCAAAGTGCTGGAATTGCATGCATGAGCCACTGCTTCCAGCCTAGTAACACACATTTTAAAGATAACTATCAAAAATCGGCAAGGTATGTTTTAGAGCTTAACAGATACTCCAGACTCTCAGTGCTGTACAGATTTAGAGGACAAAGAGAACTTTGTACACTAGTACATTAGGAATGGCTTTCCAGAGGAGAGGAAATGAAGTAGGCCTTTAAGGATGGGTGAGTTTAGAAAGGACCAAGGACCCTCCAAGTGACAGTGGTGTAGCCAAAGTGGCTCAAAAATTCTAAATCAGATAATTCTCAATCAATTGTGTATGAGGTTGGATGGAAGGTCACTGATAAACACAAAATACGATTAGAACAAACCTGTCAAAACGTATTACAAAATGAACTTAAAGCAAATGCATTTAATTACTGCACTTGGTAATTAGAAAAGCACATCTATCTGTTACAGAGCAACCTACCTTTGTTTTCTGCACGATCTACTAGGCACACAGATAACCAAACGCAATACCAGACTGCAGTAGTTAGTGCAGGCTGCCCAAAATACAAATCGTAAAACATAGTAACAGTATTTCTTGCTTAAGTAACAACCCAAGGACTATGTTTTTGATTGGGGGTGACTTCCCTATCATGACTCAGGGACTCAGAATCCTTCCATCCAGTGGCTTTGCCACCCCTGAGAGTCTCTTTGTGAGCTACTATTTAAAGGGCAAATGACATTAAGAGCACATGCTGAAGGACTTTCATGGGTCAGGCCAAAAGTTGAAGCACAGTTCTTCTTCTCAGACTCCATGGGCAAGAGCGCAGTTACATGGCCCCATCTAACCCGAAAGAAGGCTGAAAATACTGTACAGCTCTGAGCCCAGGAAGAAGAGGACACTGGCTTTACTGAGCAACCAGCAAGGTCAGCCATGGGTCCGTCTGGTTTTGCCAATGGGCACTTCTCCCTCACCCTCTTGATCATTTTCCTCTTCTCCTCAATGATAACACAATGTCATCTGCACCTAGTGTCTAAAACTCTAGCTTATGTATTTTCTGGTTTATTAGACCAGGTGACTTTTCTCTAAGAATAATACAGCCTGCATGTGCTAATGTTATAAGTAGTCAATTTGGGGGCTGAGTGGTACCATGTTCTAAATGAGAAATACCTGCTGGTTTGTAAATGTTTTAACTGATTTCAAAACTATATATACAGTTGACCCCATAACAACATGGAAGTTAGGGCCACCAAACCCACATGCAGTAGAAAATCCACATGTAACTTTTGACTCCCCAAAAACTTAACTACTAATGATCTATGGTTGACCAGAAACTTTACTGATAACATAGCCAATTAATATATGCTTTGTGTGTTCTATGTATTATATGCTGTATTCTTAAAATAAAGTAAGCTAGAGAAAAGAAAATGTTTTAAGAAAATCATAAGGAAGAGAAAATATATTTCCTATTCACTAAGTGCAAGTGGATCATCATGAAGGTCTTCACCCTTGTCATCTTCACATCGAGTAGGCTGAAGAGAAAAAGGAGGGGTTGGTCTTGTTGTCTCAGGGATGGCAGAGGCGGAAGAAAATCTATGTATAAGTGAATCCATGCAGTTCAAACCCATCTTATTCATGAGTCAACTATATATACATATTTTTTTAACAAATGCAATATCTCTTCTCATTGTTTACTGTTATTAACATACACAGGATAATCAACATTTAGCTAAAGTAATCACTATTTATTCAGTGTGTACTTTGTTGCGGATTTGTGCTTTACACTATATACATCTGAAAACCATAATCCAGGGGTTATTAATTTCTGTTTTAAAGTGAGACAGCTCAGGTGCAGAGAGGCTTAATGACTGAATCAAGGCCCTTTTCCTAGTAATTGTCACTGCTGATACTGGAATTCAGGTTGGCCTGTCTTTAAGGCCCACATTTTTTATTCCATACAATCTTTCATCCATTAATAATACACCACAGATTGATGATAACAAGGTCACAATCTAATCATGATGCTTCACAATCATAGTGGGAATTTAAGGTTCTTTGGCCCAACCCAGAACCCGTATACCTCACTTTTATCATGGGAGCAGTGAGATAATCTAGTTTTTCTATGCAAAATATTACTGTTATGAATATCTATGATTCTTGCCCTCTGAAAGTGATACTAGTGACTTGTAATGAGCATATTGGCTCAATACTGGGAAGAGAAAAATTAACATTTGTGTACCTAGATTAATGAAGAGTTAGTTGGTGGCCTGGGGATAGGCTGGGCAATGATTGTTCATGATGATAGCAGAAATTTCTTCAAAGGCTCAGAAGGCATGATCTAAGACCTCTCATGATGGGGAGAGAATTTCTGAAGGGCTCAAATTCATTTCTGACACAAAATCATAATGAGATGATGCATTTAGTTATACAGATATCTTGAAATAAAGAAGATGTTTGGTAAATAACTTTACACTTATGAACTACAAGGTCTGTAGTATACTATTAAATGCGGTGTTTTTTTTTAGCCATTATGCTAAAAGCATCAAGTTTTAAAATATGAACGTTTAAATTATTCCATAATTTTATAACTCCTGTTTGGGCATTTCTCCATATTTTTAAACGTACTATTAGGTTGATGCAATTGAAAGCATAGCAAAAATCTCAATTACTGTTGCACCAATCTAATAGTGCTCACAGGAGAAAAGAAGAAGGACAGGCTTCCCTCAACTTCTGAAGCATGGTTCTACTAGTTCTTCTTAGGGCTGTGGAAGTTCCTAAGTGTGATTATTTGTTGGGAGTGGTTTAAGCTGGATGTGTTTTGGGTTCCTGAGAACACTGTAGCTATACACCTGTGGTTTTCCTATGAGCTAGGCAGTTGGATGTACACGCCATGTGCACAGAGGATACAGGCTTTGAGAATTGATGACTAGTCTAAGTTATAATTTTTGAATGCACAGCATTGTAAGGACAAAGAAAAAGTCTATATATATATATATATATATATATATAATTTAAATACTTTGAAATTTATTGACGCTCATTTTAAGGGCCAAAATATAGTCCATCTTGGCAGATGTTCAGTGCAAACTTGAAAAGAATGTGTACATTGTTAAGTGGAGTGTTCTGTAAATAATCAGATAAAGTAGGTTGATAGTGTTGTTCAAGCCTACTGTATCCTTTCTGATTTTCTGCCTACTTTTCCTAAGAATTATTGAGGTATGGGTATTAAAATCTCCAACTATTATTATGAGATTACCTACTTGTCCTTGAAATTCTAACAGATTTTGCTTCATGTATTTTGAATCTTTGTTGTTAGCTGCATAAATGTTTAGAATTGCTATGTTCTCTTGATAAACTAACCCTATTATCATTATGAAATAAACTTCTTTATCCCCAGTAATACTCTGCTTTGAAATATATTTTGTCTCATATTAATATAGCTGTACCAACCTTATTTTGATTCATGAAACAACAAGCTACAGACTGGAAGAAAATGTTTGCAAAGCAAAAAATGTCTAATAACAAACTTACATCTAAAATGTATAAAGAATTCTCAAAATTCAATATTTAAAAAGCAAACAAAATTTTTAGAATGGACAAAAGTTTTGAACAGGTATTTCACTATACAAATATACAGATGGTAAATATGTGCATGAAAAGATACTCAATATTATTGTCATTAGGGAAATGCAAATTAAAATCAAATGCAATCTTACTCCATGCCTATTAAAATGGCTAAAATTAAAGACTCTCTGTAATAAGATGGCAAGGATCTGGAGGGTGGCAACTCTCATGCACTGCTGGTGGGAATGTAAAATGGGACAACCACTTTAGAAAATGATCTGGCAATTTTTTACAAAGTTAAACACCTACCATATAATTCAACCATTTCAATCCGGAGAATGTATTCAAGAAAAAAGAAGGCATATGCTTATATAAATATAAATGTTCACTGCAGCTTTGTTGTAATAGCCAACAACTGGAAACAACCTAAATATCCATCAATAGATGGATGAACAAATTGAGGTACTGTATATACAGACAATAAAATATTTATCAACAATAGAAAGGAATGAGCTATTGATATTCACCACAACACTATAAATTGTAAAATACTTACGCTGAGTGAATGAAACCAGACATGCTCTATAATTCCACTGATATGAAATCTAGAAAATGAAAAGTAATCTATAGTGATAGAAAACAAAGCAGGGGTTGCCTGCAGATGTGGAGTGATGGGGAAGAATAAGCAGGGATTTTGCAGAGCAGAACAAGGAATTATTTGGGGGTGACGGAGATGTTCATTTTCTTGATTGTGGTGATGGGTTGACAAGTGTGTACAGATGTCAAAACTTACCAAATTGAACCCTTTAAATATGTGCAGTTTATTTTATATCAATTAAAACTCAAGAAAGCTGTTAAAAACATAATTCCATATCCACCCAAGGAAATGAAAACATGTGTCCACACAAAGACTTGTAAACAAATGTTCTTAACATTATGCATAATTTGCAAATATGGCAAATGACCTAAATGTCCATTAAGTGGGAATGGATGGACAAAATGTAGTGTATTCACATAATGGAATACTATGCAGCAATAAAAAGGAATAAACTACAAATGCATGTTACAACATGAATGAACCTCAACACATTATGTTCATTGAAAGAAACCAGACACAAAAGACCACATATTGTATGATTCCATTTATAAGGAATATTCAGCAAAGGCAGAGTTACAGGGACAGAAAGTACATTAGTGTTTGCCTTGGATGTGGAAATTAGGGTGTGGCAAGTGTGCATTAGCAATCTTATTGGGATGATTTAAATTTCCTCAAATTGATTTATGGTGATGGTTGCACAACGTGGTTAGTTTACTAAAATAATTCCAAATTCTGGCCCACATTGTCTCCATGCTGAGATCATGGTGAAATCTCAGAACAGGTCTGCATACTGGGAAGCAAAACTTGGGGGAACTTAACAGAATGAGCTGCAGCAGCTGAGATACTGCACTGTGCACTAATCAAATGACTCCTCTGGAGAATGCTGTAACCTTGCAAATGTGATCTTAGAAGAGAGATATTTGAACAATGAGCACATTATAAGAATATGGCCATGAAAATGAACTGCAGACATTTAAGAAAATCAATGGGGAGAACAAGGATCTCATTGGCTCAGCAAGCTAGATTGGTATCTATCAAGAGATACTGCTATCATCTAAGTATATTAAGTGTAAGATCTGAATTTAGGGCAATGAAAGCAGGGAAATTGTATTTTAACCTACAGCTTAAGTTTTATGTATGCTATGAGTACAGGATAAAGGAAAAGTAAGAAAAGGGGTTTGTTTGTTCTGGAAGTTTTTCTTCTATGATGGTGAATATAAAATTCACCTCTAAAATGGAAAGGCAAGAAAATAGAAATATAATTGTATATACTTCTGTGCACAGACAGACAGCAATTATATCTTCCTGGGATTTCTGTATCACAGAAAATATTGTGATATTATATTTATACGCAAAACAATAGGGGCCCTGGTAATGGTGAACTCAGTGAGGGAGGAGGTAGAGGAGCCTCAAGGATGATGGTTGAAGTTAAGCTCAGCAGAGCCTTGCTGTCCATTGACATTGGCTCCTTGTGTTTGTTTACACATAAGCCAGAATTCAATCATTTGTTACACCTAGACAATATTTCCTTTATGGGAATAAAGGTAAATGAAATGCTTCACCTGCAGATGTGCCAACAACAAACGGGGAAAGCCTGGTGAGGGACCAGTCTACAGGGTCCTCAAGGATTATGTTCTCTGCTTATCAAGATCCCTGTGACCCTCTGCACAATGCCACTAATGCTCAGAACTAAGGAGATTTACTTTCTTTGCCCCTGAAAAGAAATACATCTCTAGAAAGAGTGGAGATGACAGTAACTGTACTGAAAATGGTGAATGCATTGATTGTGCTTCCAAGGAGATCCAGCCTGCAATGCAGCAGGAATTTTTGCTTTTGTAAATATAGCAAGAGAGGCACCAGCCGTGTTTGGATGTACAAATTGCCTGAAGTACTAAAAGTGCTGCTTAATAAAGAGATGGAATAGACTCAACCATCTCCATCGGTTTTACTTTGTTTTTATACTCTTGGGCTGGACAATTTAAGTTACTTTCAACAGTTTGTCTCAAATACAGATTCTCCTTTTCAACATTGGGGGCGAAGATTTCAAATGGTTGTAGCTAGAGATGAAACCATGGCTAACTGTATTGGAGGGTGGAACATTAAGTAAACAGACAAATTGGAGAAGAGAAAACATTGAGTAAACTCATGAGTAAGGGACTTGTTTTTTCTTCTGCTGGGAAGGGTAATTTATTCATCTTATGTTTGGGTTAATTATAGAAATATAATCTAAGTGGACTCCTGCTGTGAAATGAAAAAATAAATAAGGTTAACATACAAATGTGGGAATACGCACAATTTCAATTTAATAATAGATACTTATGGCTTTAATGAAGGCATATCATCTCACAGTTATCAAAGAATTGGCTTTGACCAATAAAAGCATGACTAATGAATTGGCTTATTATTCTCCTCTGCTCTTGATTTAAGAGCCATTGTTCTCTGACTGTGACAACACTCACTGTGGTCTTCATGTTTAAACATGATGCCCACTAATAATGTTGCCAACTGTGTGAGCAGAGGTAGCTGCAACAGCTGGTGAGTGTTCACCTGCTTTTCTCTTATTCTCCGTGGCCAGAGCTACCGCTAGAGACTGTTGTTGTAAGAACTTGGACTCCTATGACTCTCTGCACTTCTGGTGAAACCAAAACACGTGTTTAGACTCAGCTGGTCCATACCTTCTAGTCTCATATTATACTGTTCCTTTTTACTGCTGCTCATCCTTTGGCTTTTTGGATGGAAAGGCAATGAATCAAACAAACAGTTTATTCTAATGGATGTAAACAAAATTAGAGGGAGAGCAAACATCACAACAGTTCTGTATCCTAGAATGGTAAAGCATCTCAGTGTCTCTTTACACTGGCTGGAAGGAGGCTGAAAACTAAATTTGCCTCACGCCTCTCATGAATAGCAATAACTTTATGTCAATCCTTCCTGGAATGAGGTGGATGGAGTATTAAATAAATAAACTCTCTTGGTTTAAAGATTGGCATTTGCATGAGACTTAAATGAGATGAACACATACAAAATATCTGCAGCCGCGTCTAGCACACAATAAATGCTCGTTGAATATTTGCTTTTATGTTTTTTGTGATTAATGGATATGTCTGTTTAAAATAAAATCATCTTCAATTCTAGAATTCTGGACAACATTGTCTTGACTGAGGGATTGTCCCAAATGAAATAAAATATACAATAGTTGAGTTGGGTTGTGTCCAAGTGGCTCTCCCTAATGGAGGTCTCTGGACAGCATGAAAAAACAGATTTAAGACCTTCAGAAGTTCACCAGGGAAAATGAAGAGGGCAATGGAGGGAGGAGGGGTAAAAGTTAAAAGAAAACTGTCTCCACTTTTGTTTTGTAGCACTACAGGAATGCAACACTTCGGAGACGAGAGTAGGGTTCCTCAGGGCACGGCCTTGGAATGTGGTTCTTAGAAGTAAAGAAAGGAAGATGCAGATGCTGTTAAAACTAAGTTGTGGCTGTCATTATTTCTGACCCTGAAGTTCCACTACTCTGACCCCCACAGAACTATATCAGTCTCCATAAGGTGATGTGCTTAGGGGAGGCCAAAACCAAAATGATTTGGAGATCATGAGACTTATTGGTCCCACCTACTGCAAAGTTTATTTTTAAGCAGGGCTGTCTAAAGATATAACAGGTAGGGAGTGGTCAAATCCTCTTCATGTTCACATTTCTTTTTACTGCACTTCGTGTCACCAGCTCACCTCCAGCCACCATTATTGGTTCTTGGGCATCACTATGGTTTCCTGATGAAATTAAAGCCCCCTTTTAAAAGTTGATTCCCAAACCCCTTTGAGGGGTTTAAAATGAATCCCATTTAAAAAGAATATGCCTACAACTTAATAATAATATGTAACAATTATTGAGCACCTTCCAAGTGGTAGGCCCTGTGCTAAGCACTCCCCAGGCCTTATTTCACTTAATTCTCATAATTACCCTCTCTATCCCTTCTAGAAATGAATCACACAAAGACAACTCTGAAAATTCCTAAATTCCCAATATTTCCCAATTCTACTGCTACTCCTATTTTTGCTCTATTTTCCATGAACATCCTCAATTCTTCCCAAGCTCAAAGGGAACGGTTCACGCTTCAGACATGCCAAATGAGTTCAAGAAGCTCACACACTTTAAGAGGCCAAGGTGGGTGGATCACGAGGTCAGGAGATCGAGATCATCCTGGCTAACACGGTGAAACACCGTCTCTACTAAAAAAAAATACAAAAAATTAACCGGCGTGGTGGCTGGCGCCTGTACTCCCAGCTACTCAGGAGACTGAGGCAGGAGAATGGCGTGAACCCAGGAGACGGAGCTTGCAGGGAGCGAAGATCACGCCACTGCACTCCAGCCTGGGCAACAGAGTGAGACTCCATCTCAAAAAAAAAAAAAAAAAAAAGTTCACAGTACCTCGTGGGCAAGGCAAGGGAGAAAACAGAAGCCTTCAAGCACCCAACCCAGCTTTCAACTCTATAATTCAATTAATGATTTCCCAAAATTGTCAGGTAAGGAGAGGAGAGAAAGAATGATAAAGTAGCCTGTGGTCTATGCCACCCAAGATGAAAGAAGGACTCACAAAATTAGCATGTGGAGGAACTCCGCTTGCTCCCTCAGTAAATCTCTATTTCTGTTTCTAAAGGTCACACAAGTGTATATGCATCCCATAAATGATTCTCTTATTATATCTCTCTCTGTTAATGCTCAACAATCCTACACATACAAAGACCATTTAGCAGAATGCCAATATCAGCTTTAGAGTTTATCATTTTAAAAAGTAACAACTAAGTGCTGCTCTGACTCATAAAATATGCAATAAGGGGTTTTGAGTAAGATTGAAAAATAGAAGGGAAATCTGTGCTCCCAGCAGGCAAAATATTCCTGACATTTTTAATAATAATGAAACATAAAACCTCCTTAAGGCACAACTGAAATCCATTTTGCATGTGAAAAAAAAAATAGGTTCCATTTAATTTGTTTAGGTTTCTTTGTTTGGCTTTATGTTTCTTATTGAAAAGTTTGAGGATATGAAAAGTATAATAAATGTCTCAGCTCTTGAGGGGAGGTGTGGAATAGAGAGTCAATTTTTCTAATCAGACAAGGGAAACTAAGAAATATTTATGCAAAAAATTATTTCCCCAATTTCCTTCACAAATTCAGTTTTGTTTTACTTTCAGAAGGCAAAAAGGAAAATAAGTATAAGCTTACTTGACTTTATTTACATAATCTATATCATGGCTCCTGGCAGTGCAAATATGAAGAGGTATAGCATATTTCACATCCTAACTAATGAGGTTTGCCTAATTCACATTAGAGAGGGAGAAAAGGAGAGAGCAAGAAGATGAGTATTTTCAAATTTTAAAAGAAAATATGATCAGGCCGGGCACGGTGGCTCACGCCTGTAATCTCAGCACTTTGGGAGTCCAAGGCAGGTGGATCACTTGAAGTCAGGAGTTCCAGACCAGCCTGATCAATGTGGTGAAACCCTGTCTCCACTAAAAATGCAAAAATTAGCCAGTGGCACACACCTTTAATCTCAGCTACTTGGGAGGCTGAGGGACGAGAATCACTTGAACCTGAGAGGCGGAGGTTGCAGTGAGCCGAGATCATGCCACTGCACTCCAGCCTGGGCAACAGAGTGAGACTCTGTCTCAAAAAAAAGAAAAAAATTGGAAATATAATCATTATCTTCAAATACTAGATGGAGTTGTCCTATGGTACAACAACAGTACGTGGCATTTACTGGCATGACAGTTCAATCAGGAAGAATGCAATATTGTAGTTATTCATTTCATCTTGTCTGACATTCAATTTGAAGGGCCCTGAAGTTGGGATCATATGTCTCTTGTTCACTGCTGTGTTCCTACTGCCCATAAAGTAAGCATTTCATTAGGGACATAACTGAGTAATGGGGTTAGAGCTGTCCAGTCATGGAAGTGGTGAGCTGTCCATCACCAAAGACATTCCAACATTGCTGACACAGGTGAGATTAGAGCAGAAATCTCAAGGTGCAGGGTTGAATTAAATACATATATGATCGTATGTCTGATCCCAATCTCAGGGACCTTAGAAATGAGTATAAGACAAAATGAAACCAGTAACTACAGTATTAATTTAGAATACATATTTTGCTTATGTGTAACTATCTGTGGAACTATGCTGCCTTTTTTTTTTTTTTTTTTTTTGAGACAGTGTCTCACTCTGTCTCTCAAGCTGGAGTACAGCGGCATAATCACTACACTGTAGCTCACTACAGACTCCAATTACTGTGCTCAAGCAGTCCTCCTGCCTCAGCTTCCCAGGTAGTGGGGGATTACAAGTTCAAGCCATCATGCCCAGCAATTCTGCCTCTTTACAGTTTTTATGGAAATTTTTCTCCCCATCTGCAAAACATTCCTTAAGGAATGAGTTATAATTCCATGTGTACTTTTTTACAGGGCTTTGTTATATTGCAAGGAATCAAAATGCCCTCTCTTTTATTCCCTTTACCCTACTGCCTTCTTGATGAAGCCTTCCCCTGCTACCTGTATTTCAGAAGGTGCAGGTTACTCAGACTGATGATAAAAGCCTCACTCCCTGGAAGGCTAGCTTTCTTCTTAAATGATGGCTGAGTATGAGGCTTCTAAAGAAAATTCACCATGGAAATTGGGTCATAGTCAGTAGAATCATGTTGTTAAATGTTCCTTGTGCATTTCTCCTGGGTGCCATCTGAGTGCTAGATGTTGCTGTGATTACATGTGCGTGTGCTGCTCCTCACATGAATCAGGTGAGTCAGCAGATAGCAATGAAAGCAGTGCCCTCAGTGCCTGCTGGGCTCCCAGATCTTCCTCTTTGAGAGACAAAATCACACCATTTGGAATTTCTTCTTTTTCAAAATACTTTGGTGTTGGAAGACATACCCAGAACGGCCACCTAGCATTGTCTTTCTCCCTGAGAGTTGCTGTTTTAAAACAACACTTGCTAGTTTCTTAATTTACCTGGAAGTAATGGTGTGTCATTTTGTTGTGTTTACCTGCTCACTTCATCTCCTATCTACATGCTGATTGGCAGTATTGCAATATTAAGTGTTTTTATTTATTCTTAATTTAAAATTTTGTGGGCTTTGGGGAGCAGACAGAAATAACAATTTGGAGGAAACAGTGAATATAGAATACTAAATACCTGCAAATGGAGAAACATAGAAGGCATCAGAAGGGAGCCTCAAAAGACACGAGGAATTGGAGCTGGTGCACAAGAACACACCTGAAACTACAGGCTAAATTGCACAAGCTTTCCAGAAAGAAAAAGGGAGGAGGGAGTAATACACACACTTGATCTTATTTAACATTTACCCTTTTGAATGTAAGCCAGATAGGAATTAGGTTATTCTGATTTGACAGAGGAAGAAACTGAGATTCTGAATAGTCAAGTGAACGGTCAGTCACTTAATATGATAAGCTAACATCAACACTTAGTTACTGAGCCATGAGCACTGATGTTTAAGCTCCTTGGAGTTATGGAAATGACTAAGAATTCTTGGAAAGACTTTCTCCCCAAGCTGCAGGGAACGTGTGGCAAAATTTTATGATTCATTTCAGAGAATTCCCAAATCCCGGAAGTCCTTAGATTCTGTGTTAAAGAGCTTCCCTCACCTGAGAATCATTTCCCAGTCTCCTAACTTCATGTAGTTTATGGCACCAGTTGGAGCTATTAAAATTGAGGTATTTTGTAAATGCATTTGAAGGTCATTCACAAAATGAATGAGGAATGTCTTTAGATGACTGACATGCTTATGCTCTTAATCTAAAATATCTAGAAAGTAAACCTAGGATGTGGATTAAAAGTTCTCTGTTGCTGAAGATTTGGGCCAGAGCAGGCCTTTGACAAGATTTCTGAAATTATTTCTTTCCCATATTTTTGGTAACTTTTGGTAATGAATATTTACGGAGTTTGTTTTAAAGGAAATGGTGGTATTGAGAATCCAGGTGTTGAGTAGTTAGCAGTCCAGTCTCTGGTACCATATTCCTGGGCTCAAAGCCTAGCCCTACCACCCACCAGCCAGGTTAGATCAAAGCAGGCAATGTGCTTAGCCTTTGTGAGCTTCTCTGTTTTATTATGTGTAAAACAGGAATGTTAATAGTACCTATATCGTAAGTGTTGTATAGATTGACTATAAGGAGTCATTCATAGATGGCGATTAGAAGCAGCTGCAGTCCACGGCACTCACAGAGAGGAATGAAAAGGGGTGAGTGAATTCAGCACCTTCACCTGAAATATCCAGGTTCTCACATTGGGACTGACTAAGCAACCAACTCAAACCATGGAGAATGAAGAAAAGTGGCGAGGGGGCTGGGGAGGGTGGTGACAGCCCACAGGGAGTGGCACAGAGCTAAAGGGACCCTCACCCCCAGCCAAGGGAAGTGGTGAATGATTGTGTGACCCCACCCGAGAAACCATACTTCTCCCATGGATCTTTGCAACCTGCAGACCAGGAGATCCCTTAGTGAGCCCACGCCACCAGGGCCTGGGGTCTGATACACAGAGCTGTGTGGACTCTGAGAAGAGCAGCCGCTCAGACACACACAGAGACCCAGGAGTTGTACATACTCCAGCTCTGGGATACCCGGCAAGGTGGGATGTCCATTCGTACATATCCCTAGAAAGAGGGCTGAATCCAGGGAGTCAAGCAGCAGCACCATTCTCTGGGCTCCGCTTCCATGGCCACTTCTCTAGTTAAGACCCACTGGCATGGAATTCCAGCCAGCCAATGGTGACAGGCTGGAATCTGCCTGAGACAGGGCTGAGTTCCTGTGGTTCAGTAGACTCAGCCATTCCAGCCTGCCAGCTTTGGAGAATACAAACAGGCTGGATGATGAAGCATCCCCCATGACACAGCACAGCTGTCTTGCCAGACTGTGGCCAGACTGCATCTTTAAGCAGGCCCCAATTCATTCCTTTTCACTAGGTGGGACCTCTCTGTGGGGGCTTCAACTATTCCAGCCAGGATTCTACGGATAGAGCTCTGATCTCTCCCTGCGACAGAGTTCCTCGGGGGAGGGGTAGCCACTATCTCTGTGGTTCAGTCAACTCAGCTATTCCAGCCTGCTGGCTTTGGAAAATACAAATGGTCTGAACAAAGAAGGGTTCCACCCAACACAGCACACCTGCTCTACCAAAAAGCAGCCAGACTGCTTCTTTAAGTGGGTCCCTAATCCCATTCCTCCTGACTGGGTGAGACCTCCTACCAGGGGTCTCCAGCCACCTCCTACAGGTGCATTTGGGCCAGCAACAAGTTAGTACCCCTCTGGGACAGAGCTTCCAGAGGAAGGAGCTGGCTGCCATTTTTTCTGTTTCACAACCTTCACTGATGATACCTCCAGGTACAGGAAAAACTGAGGCAAGTAGGGTCTGGAGCAGACCCCCAGCGAACCACAGCAGCCCTAAAGTGGTCTGACTGTTAAAAGAAAAACAAACAGAAAATAACAACAACAGTATCAACAAAAAAGATCCCATAAAAACTCTATTCAAAGGTCAGCAACCTCAAAGACTGAAGGTAGATAAGCCCACAAAGATGAGAAAAAAATCAACACAAAAACACTGAAAACTCAAAAAGCCAGAGTGCCTCTTCTCCTCCAAATGGCTGCAACACCTCTCCAGCCAGGGCACAGAACTGGGCTGAGGCTGAGATGCCTGAATTGACAGAAGTAGGCTTCAGAAGGTGAATAATAACAAACTTAACTGAGCTAAAGGAGCATGTTGTAACCTAATGCAAAGAAGTTAAGAATCGTGATAGAACAATACAGGAGCTGATAGCCAGAAGAGCCAGTTTAAAGAGAAACATAACTGACTGATGGAGATGAAAATCAAAACACAAGAACTTTACAATGTGATCACTAGTATCAATAGCAGAATAGACCAAGCAAAGCAAAGAATCTCAGAGCTTGAAGACTGTCTTTCTAAAATAAGAAAGACAGATAAGAATAGAGGAAAAAAGTTATAAAAAACTGAATAAAACCTCCGAGAAATACAGGATTATGTAAAGAGACCGAACCTATGACTGTTTGGGGTACCTGAAAGAGATGGGGAGAATGAAACCAAATTGGAAAACATACTTCAGAATATCATCCAGGAGAACTTCCAAAATCTAGCAAGTAGGCCAATATTCAAATTCAGGAAATGCAGGGAACCCCAGTAAGATAATCCATGAGAAGATCAACCCCAAGGCACATAATCTTCAGATTCTCCAAGGTCAAAATGAAAGGAAAAAAAATGTTAAGGGCAGCCAGGGAGAAGGGCCAGGTCACCTAAAAAGGGAAACTCATCAGACTAACAGCAGACCTCTCAGCAGAAACCCTACAAGCCAAAAGAGACTGGGGATCAATATTCAACATTCTTAAAGAATTTCCAACCCAGAATTTCATATCTGGCCAAAGTAAGCTTCATAAGCAAAGGAGAAATAACATCTTTTTCAGAAAAGGAATAGCTTAGTGAATTAGTCATCACGAGGCCTGCCTTGCAAGAGCTCCTGAAGGAAGAACTAAATATGGAAAGAAAAAACAATTACCAGCCACTACAAAAACACACTGAAATACACAGACCAGTGAAACCATGAAGGAGTCACATAAGGAAGTCTGCAAAGTAACCAGCTAGCATCATGATGACAGGATCAAATTCACATATAACAATACTAACCTTAAATGTAAATGGGCTAAATACCCCAATTAAAAGACATAGAATGACAAGCTGGATAAAGAGCCAAGGCTCATAGGGATGGTGTCTTCAAGAGACCTGTCTCACAAGCAATAAAATCTATAGGCTTCAAGTAAAGGGATGGAGAAAAATCTACCAAGCAAACAGAAAACAGCAAATAGCAAGGGTTGCTATTCGAATTTCAGGAAAAATAGAATTTAAACAATAATGATAAAAAAAGACAAAAAAGGTCATTTCATAATGGTAAAGCATTCAATTAAACAAGAAAACATAACTATCCTAAATATATATGCACCCAATACAGGAGTACCCAGATTCATAAAGCGAGTTCTTAGAAACCTCGAAGAGACTTAGAATCTGTATTAGTTCACTTTCATGCTGCTGATAAAGACATACCTGAGACTGGGTAGAAAAAGAGGTGAAATGGATTTACATTATCACATGACAGGAGGCCTCACAATCATGACAGAAGGCAGGAAGGAGAAAGTCACATCTTACATGGATGGTGGCAGACAAAAATAAAAACCTTGTGCAGGGAAACTCCCATATTTAAAACCATCAGATCTCATGAGACTTATTCACTATCACGAGAACAGAAAGGGAAAGACCTGCCTCCATGATTCAATTATCTCCCACCACGTCCCTCCCACAACACATGGGAATTATGGGAGCTACAAAATGAGATTTGGGTGGGGACACAGAGCCAAACCACATAATTCCACTCCTGCCCCTCCCAAATCTCATGTCTTCACATTTCAAAACCAATCATGCCTTCCCAAAAGCCTCCCAAAATCTTAACTCATTTTATCATTAACTCAAATGTCCACAGTCCAAAGTCTCACCTGAGACAAGGCAAATACCTTCCATGTATGAGCCTGTAAAATCAAAACAAGTTAGTTACTTCCTAAATACAATGGGGATACAGGCATTGGGTAAATACAGCTATTCCAAATGGAAGAAACTGGCCAAAAAAAGAAGCCACAGGCCCCACAAAAGTCCAGAATCTACGAGGGCAGTCAAATCTTAAAGCTCCAACGTTATTTCCTTTGACTCCATGTCTCACATTCGGGTCACACTGAAAACTGATGCAAGAGGTGGGTTCCCATAGTCTTGGGCAGCTCTGCCCCTGTGTCTTTGCAGAATATAGCCCTGCTCCTGGCCGCTTTCACAGGCTGGCATTGAGTGTCTGTGGCTTTTCCAGGCACATGGTACAAGCTGTTGGTAGATCTACAATTCTGGGGTCTGAAGGATGGTGGCCCTCTTCTCACAGCTCCACTAGGCGATGCCCCAGTAGGGACTCTATGTGAGGGCTCCAACCCCACATTACCCTTCTGCACTGCCCTAGCAGAGGTTCTCCAAGAGGGACCCACCCCTGTAGCAAACTTCTGACTGGGCATCTAGGCTTTTCCATATATCCTCTGAAATCTAGGCAGAGGTTCCCAAACCTCAATTCTTGAGTGCACCCACAGGCTCAACACAGCATGAAAGCTGCCAAGGTTTGGGGCTTCTACCCTCTGAAGCAACCTTGGCCCCTTTTAGCCATGGCTGGAGCAGCTGGAACCCAGGACACCAATTCCTTAGACTGCACATAGCAGAGGGACCCTGGACCCGGCCCATGAAATCATTTTTTCCTTCTAAACCTGTGGGCCTGTGATGGGAGGGCTGTTGCAAAGACCTCTGACATAAACCTGGAGATATTTTCCCCACTGTCTTGGTGATTAACATTCAGCTCCTCGTTACTTATGCAAATTTCTGCAGCGAGCTTGAATTTCTCCTCGGAAAATGGGATTTTCTTTTCTATCACATTGTCAGGCTGTATATTTTCCAAACTTTTATGGTCTGCTCCCCTTATAAAACCGAATGCCTTTAACAGTACCCAAGTCACCTCTTGAATGCTTTGCTGCTTAGAAATTTCTTCTGCCAGATACCCTAAATCATCTCTCTCAAGTTCAAAGTTCTACAAATCCCTAGGGCAGGGGCAAAATGCTGCCAGTCTCTTTGCTAAAACATAACAAGAGTCACATTTGCTCTAGTTCCCAAGAAGTTCCTCATTTCCATCTGAGACCACCTCCGCCTGGATTTCATAGTCCATATCATTATCAACATTTTGGTAAAAGTCATTCAACAAGTCTCTAGGGCGTTCCAAACTTTCCCACATTTTCCTGTTTTCTTCTGAGCCTTCCAAACTGTTCCAGCCTCTGCCTGTTACCCAGTTCCAAAGTCACTTCCACATTTTCAGACATGATTTCAGCAGTGCCCCACTCTACTGGTACCAATTTATTGTATTAGTCCATTTTCATGCTGCTGATAAAGACAAACCCGAGACTGGAAAGACAAAGAGGTTTAATGGTCTTACAGTTCTGCATGGCTGTGGAGGCCTCACAACCATGGCAGAAGGCAACGAGGAGCAAGTCACATCTTGCATGGATGGCAGCAGGCAAAGAGAAAGAGTTTGTGCAGGGAAACTCCCGTTTTTAAAACCATCAGATCTCATGAAACTTATTCACTATCACAAGAACAGCATGAGAAAGACCTGCCCCCATGATTCAATTATCTCCCACCAGGTCCCTCCCACAACAAGTAGGAATTATAAGATGAGATTTGGGTGGGGACACAGAGCGAAACCATATCAGACTCTGACACAATAATAGTGGGAGACTTTGACCCCCACTGGCAATATTAGACAGATCATCAAGACAGAAAGTTAACAAAGTTATTCAGGACCTGCACTCAGCTCTGGATGAAGTGGAACTGATAGATATCTATAGAACTCTCCACCTAAAAACAGAAGAATATACATTTTTCTCATTGCCACATGGCACTTACTCTAAAATTGATCACATAATCCAAAGCAAAACACTCCTCAGCAAAGGCAAAATAACTGAAATCATAAAAAACAGTCTCTCAGACCACAGCACAATCCAATTAGAACTCAAGATTAAGAAATTCACTCAAAGCTACACAACTACACAAAAATTGAACAACCTGCTCCTGAACAACTCTTAGGTAAAAAGTGAAATTCAGGCAGAAATCAAGAAGTTCTTTGAAACTAATGAAAACAAAGATATAATGTACCAGAATCTCCAGAACACAGCTAAAGCAGAGGGAAATTTATAGCACTAAATGCCCACATTAAACAGCTAGAAAGATCTGAAGTTAACAACCTAACATTACAACTAAAAGAACTACAGAACCAAAAGCAAACAAACCCCAAAGCTAACAGAAGACAAGAAATAACCAAGATCAGAGCAGAACTGAAGGAGATACACACGCAAAAAAAATCCCTTCAAAAATCAACAAATCTAGGAGCCGGTTTTTTTAAAAAAATTAATAAAATGGACAGATTTCTAGTTAGACAAAGAATAAAAGAAAAGAGGAATCAAATAGACACAATAAAAAATGATAAATGAGATATCACCACTGACCCCATAGAAATACAAACAACCATCAGAGAATATTATCACCTCCATGCACAGAAACTAGAAAATCTAGAAGAAATTGATAAATTCCTGGATACATACACCCTCCCGAGACTGAACCAGGAGGAAATTGAATCCCTGAATAGACAACAAGTCCTAAAATTGAGGCAGTATTAAACAGCCTACCAACCAAAAAAGCCCAGGATCGATGGGTATATAGCCTAATTCTACCAGAGATACAAAGAGAAGCTGGTACCATTCCTTCTGAAACTATTCCCAAAAATTGAAAAAGAGGAACTCCTCACTAACTCAGTCTATGAGGCCAGCATCATCCTGATACCAAAACCTGGCAGAGATACAACAAAAGAAGAAAACCTCAGGCCAATATCCTTGATGAACATTGATGCAAAAATCCTCAATAAAATACTGGAAAACTGAATCCAGCAGCACATCAAAAGCTTATCCATCACAATCAAGTTAGTTTCATCCCTGCGATGCAAGATTAGTTAAGTATATGCAAATCAATAAATGTGACTCATCATATAAACAGAGCTAAAAACAAAAACCACATGATTATCTCAATAGGCACAGAAAAGCCCTTTGATAAAATTCAACATCCCTTCATGTTATAAACTCTCAATAAACTAGATACTGAAGGAACATACCTCAAAATAATAAGAGCCATTTATGACAAACCCAAACAAACCAGCATTGGGGGAAGGATTCCCTATTTAATAAATTGTGCTCAGAGAGCTGACTAATCATATGCAGAAAATTAAAACTGGGCCTCTTCCTTTCACCTTACACAAAAATTAACTCAAGATGGATTAACAACTTAAATATAAAACTCAAAACTATAAAAACTCTAGAAGAAAATCTAAGCAGTACCATTCAGAACATAGGCATGGGCAAAGATTTCATGATGAAATCGCCTAAAGCAATAGCAACAAAAGAAAAAATTGACAAATGGGATCTAACTAAACTAAAGAGCCTCTACATAACAAAAGAAACCGGCATGAGAGTTAACAGACAACCTACAGAATGGAGAAAATTTTTGCAATCTGTCTGACAAAGTTCTAATGTCCAGAATCTACAAGGAACTTAAACAAATTTACAAGAAAAAATTCAAACAACCCCACTAAAAAGTGAGCAAAGGACATGAACAGACACTTCTCAAAAGAAGACATTTATACAGCCAACAAACATGAAAAAAAGCTCAACATCACTGATCATTAGACAAATGCAAATCAGAACCACAATGAGATACCATCTCATGCCAGTCAGAGTGGCTATTACTAAAAAGTCAAAAAACAACAGATGCTGTTGAGGTTGAAGAGAAAAAGGAATGCTTTTATACTGTAGGTGGGAGTGTAAATTGGTTCAGCCATTGTGGAAGACAGTGTGGTGATTCCTCAAAGACCTAGAGGCAGAAATGCCATTTGGCCCAGCAATCCCATTACTGGGTATATATCCCAAAGGAATATAAATCATTCTGTTATAAAGATACATGCACATGTATGTTCACTGAAGCACTACTCACAATAGCAAAGACATAGAATCAACCTAAATGCCCATTAATGGTAGACTGGATAAAGAAAATGTAGTACATACACACCACGGAACACAATGCAGCCATAAAAAGGGATAAAATCACATCCTTTGAAGGACATGGATGGAGTTGGAAGCCATTATCCTCAGCAAACTAATGCAGGCACAGAAAACCAAATGCTGCATGTTCTCATTTATAAGTGGGAGCTGAATGATGACACATGGACACATACTGGGGAACAACACACACTGGGGGCCTACTGGAGGGAGGTGCGGGGCAAGAAAGAGCATCAGGAAGAATAGCTAATGGATGCTGGGCTTAGTACCTTTGTTATGGGATGATCTGAGCAACAAACCATCATGGCACACATTTACCTGTGTAACAAAACTGCACGTCCTGCACATGTACCACTGAACTTAAAATGAACATTGAAGAAAAAATAAAAAGATAAAAGAAGAGTCATTCACACATTAAACTCTCAAATATTAGCTAATATTTAAAGTAGATGGTATGATATATTACTATCAATAATATGTATGGTACCATATATGTGTATACACATACACATAAAAATAGCAAAAAAGTTGACAATTCTACATAAACCCCTCAAACTATTATTTTTTTATTTTACTGTGGTGCAATTTGCATGTCTAGAAATTATTTTTCTGGCATGTAAGAAAGAAGGAGAGAGAGAAAGGAGAGAGTGTGTGTGCACACACCCAGGAGCAGGAAAATGAAAAGAAAATGATCTGATTAGCTCTTTCTTGAAAAACACCTTCTTTTTCTAGAGGGATGGGAGAGAGATCCAATCATTTCCATTGCATTCAGCCTCCTATTATTTGAGGTCTACCAGGTTTAGTATACCTTGTGCCTGTTTTCTGTCTCTCTCTAGAAAACCAGTTTTCTGGCCCAGAAACTGTCTAGCTTGCTCCCTGCTCTATCCAACACTGCCACAGTGAAGAACACTCAATTATATTCATTGAATGAACAAAATAAGGTTCGATAAATCCATTAATGCCAAACACCTTGGGCATTGTCTTGACCCACTTATCCCCAAGGTTGCAATTTTTTGAATTTTTGCACCCAGACCTTGGTGATGACCTTTAGCAGTAGGATGTAAATAACGCCCACATGCTTAACATTCCAATAATGGAACACTAAGCATAAATGTATAATGCTGCAAGTGCTCTGCCCTAATTTTGCCTCCCTTGGCTACTAGCATTCCACCAGTCAGGGCACAGCCTTTCAAATCAGTTCAGGAGCTATCACTGCTGAGGGCAGCTTGAATCTTTTCCTAGTATGTGCCACAATACAGGACACGAATGGTGCCAGGCAGTCTCTCTCTGTCTCCCCCCATATCTTTTATCCCTATCTCTATTTTTATAAATTTTTCAATAAATTTTACACAAAAATTCACTGAATACATTTTCTATATTTTATAGTTTTTAAATAAATTGTAATGTGGAATTTCAGCATCTAAGATCACATACCCCACTAGTTTGTCAGCCCCAGGCACCTGATTACAATTGGTTTTTGGTGTCAGGTTGCTGTTGCCAACTATAAGATTAAAAGATTTTTTTCTTTATTTAAGGGGAGAGAAAGGCTTTACCTAGGAGGGAGTATAATGGTGATATGAGAGACAAGCCTATCAGTTGTGATTTTAAAGTACTGGCACTTTTAATATACAAGAATAAGGCCATGCCTACTTCAAGAACTGAACTTCTCTTTAATGGGAGTGTCCTGAGGGTGAAAGTGGGGCTTTTATTTCTTTTGTCACACAATACAGAAAGTGAACAAATGTCAAGTTCATTAAGGCAACACTGAAGGCCACCATTCAAACACTATAAACACAAATTACTCTGACTACTGATCGGGTGTCATCATATGAGAGACCACATCTAACGTAAGCAGGCACGCACTCCCCACCAGCATCAAAGTGTCCTTCTAAGTCACAGGGTTGATGCCTATTACATTCCCACTTGATTTGAATTGATTTTTAGATAGCTAAAACATAGCCCAAAATAATAGAAAAGGAAAACAAAAACAAAAAAACTAGACCTTAGCCTAAAACCAACAAAATACAGAAATTTTAAAAACTATATTATTAAACACAGTCCAAACTGAATTAACTTTCATCCCTATGATTCCTTGAATATGTAAAGAGAAGGAATAGCAGGTTCCTACTTTATTTATCTAATAAACTGACACTGAGGTTATTAGCTGAAGGGTAAGGTTTGGTAACTTCTGTTGTTTGTCTATGAGATGACTTGGATTTCTAAATATTATTGAAATTTGAAAATAATTTGATTTGTAATCCTCCATCCTGCCTTTATGAAAGAGCCTCATAGAAAAGCAGGGACTGGAGAGGAAGGGTCTTAAAATGAAAATTTATACTTCACTACTCCAAGAAAGGCACATATAAATAGATTTAGAGAGAGAAACCAACTCTTCTTTAGGGAGTTCATGTAATATCCATTTTATAGATGATCATCTCCTAGACAACGGAGAGGGAAGAGGGCAGCAGGTGAGCCAGGAGAGTGACACCAAATAGGAAAGGCAAATATGTTTTCTCATCCATCACAGTGTGGTTTCTCCAGTGACAACCAAGTTGAGATTAAAACATTTATTATAACCAAGTACAGTGGGTCCAAAGAATAAAAATAATCAATAAGACCTACTATTTGGTAGCACAACAGATTAACTACAGTCAATAATAACTTAATTGAATATTTTCAAATAAAGAATGTAATTGGATTCTTTGCAACTCAAAGGATAAATGCTTGAGGGGATGGATATCCCATTCTCCATGATGTGCTTATTTCACATTGCATGTCTGTATCAAAACATCTCATGTACCCCATAAATATATATTCACCTGCTATGTACCCACAAAAATAAATAAATAAATAGATAAAATATTCATGGTTTAGTCAGGAAAAAAAAACAAGTACAGATGCATTTTTTTAAAATCTAAGTTTTAGTAGTTATTATTCGCATAGATGAGCACTTCCCAGGACTTTTCTGCCATATATAAAGTCTTTAGGCATTAATAGATGTTAATTGAAAAGTGGTTTCTAGCATTAAATAAGTTTACTTAACCCAGGGCCTCCCAAAGGTAAAAGTATGTGCCATAGAGAAAAAATTTTGCTGCTTATAAAGGTGAAAATGAACCTCCTGAAGTGCTATAAAATGTCACATGGTGGAAAAGCATGGTTCTGTCTATAAAAGTAATAGCCCATTAAAAAGTACTTAGAGATAGACAGGCAGTGGGCTAAGAGCATATACAAGTTATGATGTCATTTAATTCCAACGATGAGCTTATGATGAAGACGGAATTACTGTTATTTGCCTTTCACAGATGAGGAAACTGGAGCTCATATAGGTTAAATAATGTCTGAACTCAAACGGCTTGAGCTTTGAATCCAGGAGCCTGACCCAAGATGTACATACTGAACCTCTACCCATCTTGCCATTGGAAGTCAGAGGTTGTGACTCAGGTTTGGGGACTTGGGCAAATCCTGAGCCTCAATTAGCCTTTGTTTTCCCATTTGAGAGTGGAAAGAGTAGAATGAGATTCTTCCCAAATTGGACAACTAAGTCTCTACAAGTGGCATTCACCTTATTTTTCTTGCAACCACCAGATAGGGCCTTGTACAATGTCCAAATGACATTTTTACTTTTAAAAGATCTATTTGATTTTGCTCCCACAAATACCCTACAGATTGTTCTCAGTTCTCATTCTTCTTAATCCAAGATCTCTTTGACAAAGGAAAAAAGAAGGAACATAGCCAGGACCTTAATTGTGTGGTCTAAAGTGTTACAGGTAATTTTTATTTTTTCTGTATTTGTCAGTTTTTCTACAACAAACTTGCATTAGTTTTCTAGTTTAAAAGTGTAAATAAATGAAAAAAGAAAGATTCATTGATTAATCCCAGTTACTCTAATGTGCCTTCCTGCTCTGTCCCCACCGCTGGCACATGTTCAGTCTCTTACACATGTCTTATTGATACTTTGCTTGTATGTTTTCTCAATTTTATCTCCATGTGTGTTCTTCCCCATTCAGTTGGTTGGCAAGCTCCTTGAAGAGCAGACAGTCTTGGTATGACAGCGTCTATCTTTGTATCTCCTCGTGTTTAGTACCTGTTTTAACGTTACAAAGATAATATATGTGCCATAAGAAGATCTTTAAAATTACTGATTATATATTTTTACTTAAACATATCTCTGTATTTGAAAGTGTGGGTTGAAAATATCTTTGTGCTTAAAGATTCTCCCATATGTAGGACTGTTTTTTAGTATAGACTCCTTAATTAGCATACTATCAAGTCAAAGGTTTTGAACATTTTCAGAATTTGATCCAAATCATCAAAGAGCTTACCTGAAGAGGGCACACTCTCATCAGCACTGTTTGAGCACCAACTGCATTCAACACTGGTCATTTTCATCTTTTAAAAAATCTTAGCCATTTTGACTGATGGGTATAGTATCTCCTGGTTGCTTTCATTAACATTTCTAAAAAATAGAACATTCTTCCACATATTTATTTTACAATTTTATGCCCTTTTTAAAAATTATAAATCATATTTTATGTCCTTTTATTTATCAAGGTCTTAGTTGTTTATCCATTTGTACAAACTCTTGTAAGAAAAGTTTAAAAACCTTTTGACATACCTCCTGGAAAGAGTCTTCCCAGTCTGCCTTATAATTTGATGAAATAAGATATTAAAGGGGGAGGAGCCAAGATGGCCGAATAGGAACAGCTCCGGTCTACAGCTCCCAGCGTGAGCAATGCAGAAGAGGGGTGATTTCTGCATTTCCATCTGAGCTTTGAAGAGAGCAGTGGTTCTCCCAGCACGCAGCTAGAGATATGAGCAGCTGGAGATCTGAGAACGGGCAGACTGCCTCCTCAAGTGGGTCCCTGACCCCTGACCCCTAAGCAGCCTAAATGGGAAGCACCCGCCAGCAGGGGCAGACTGACAACTCACACGGCTGGGTACTCCAACAGACCTGCAGCTGAGGGTCCTGTCTGTTAGAAGGAAAACTAACAAACAGAAAGGACATCCACACCAAAAACCCATCTGTACATCACCATCATCAAAGACCAAAAGTAGATAAAACCACAAAGAGGGGGAAAAAACAGAACAGAAAAACTGGAAACTCTAAAAAGCAGAGCGCCTCTCCTCCTCCAAAGGAACGCAGTTCCTCACCAGCAACGGAAAAAAGCTGGATGGAGAATGACTTTGACGAGCTGAGAGAAGAAGGCTTCAGACGATCAAATTACTCTGAGCTACGGGAGGAAATTCAAACCAAAGGCAAAGAAGTTGAAAACTTTGAAAAAAGTCTAGAAGAATGTATAACTAGAATAACCAATACAGAGAAGTGCTTAAAGGAGCTGATGGAGCTGAAAACCAAGGCTCAAGAACTATGTGAAGAATGTAGAAGCCTCAGGAGCTGATGTGATCAACTGGAAGAAAGGGTATCAGCGATGGAAGATGAAGTGAATGAAATGAAGTGAGAAGGGAAGTTTAGAGAAAAAAGAATAAAAAGAAAAGAGCAAAGCCTCCAAGAAATATGGGACTATGTGAAAAGACCAAATCTACGTGTGATTGGTGTACCTGAAAGTGACGGGGAGAATGGAACCAAGTTGAAAAACACTCTGCAGGATATTATCCAGGAGAACTTCCCCAATCTAGCAAGGCAGGCCAACATTCAGATTCAGGAAATACAGAGAATGCCACAAAGATACTCCTCGAGAACAGCAACTCCAAGACACATAATTGTCAGATTCACCAAAGTTGAAATGAAGGAAAAAATGTTAAGGGCAGCCAGAGAGAAAGGTCGGGTTACCCTCAAAGGGAAGCCCATGAGACTAACAGCGGATCTCTCAGCAGAAACTCTACAAGCCAGAAGAGAGTGGGGGCCAATATTCAACATTCTTAAAGAAAAGAATTTTCAACCCAGAATTTCATATCCAGCCAAACTAAGCTTCATAAGGGAAGGAGAAATAAAATACTTTACAGACAAGCAAATGCTGAGAGATTTTGTCACCACCAGGCCTGCCCTAAAAGAGCTCCTGAAGGAAGCACTAAACATGGAAAGGAACAACTGGTACCAGCCACTGCAAAATCATGCCAAAATGTAAAGACCATCGAGACTAGGAAGAAACTGCATCAACTAACGAGCAAAATAACCAGCTAACATCATAATGACAGGATCAAATTCACACATAACAATATTAACTTGAAATGTAAATGGACTAAATGCACCAATTAAAAGGCACAGATGGGCAAATTGGATAAAGAGTCAAGACCCATCAGCGTGCTGTATTTAGGAAACCCATCTCACATGCACAGACACACATAGGCTCAAAATAAAAGGATGGAGGAAGATCTAACAAGCAAATGGAAAACAAAAAAAGGCAGGGGTTGCAATCCTAGTCTCTGATAAAACAGACTTTAAACGAACAAAGATCAAAAGAGATAAAGAAGGCCATTACACAATGGTAAAGGGATCAATTCAACAAGAAGAGCTAACTATCCTAAATATATATGCACCCAATACAGGAGCATCCAGATTCATAAAGCAAGTCCTGAGTGACCTACAAAGGGACTTAGACTCCCACACAGTAACAATGGGAGACTTTAACAGCCCACTGTCAACATTAGACAGATAAACGAGACAGAAAGTCAACAAGGATACCCAGGAATTGAACTCAGCTCTGCACCAAGTGGACCTAATACACATCTACAGAACTCTTCACCCAAAATCAACAGAATATACATTTTTTTTCAGCACCACACCACCCCTATTCCAAAATTGACCGCATAGTTGGAAGTAAAGCACTCCTCAGCAAATGTAAAAGAACAGAAATTATAACAAACTGTCTCTCAGACCACAATGCAATCAACCTAGAACTCAGGATTAAGAATCTCACTCAAAACCACTCAACTACATGGAAACTGAACAACCTGCTCCTGAATGACTACTGGGTACATAACAAAATGAAGGCAGAAATAAAGATGTTCTTTGAAACCAATGAGAACAAAGACACAACATACCAGAATCTCTGGGATGCATTCAAAGCAGTGTGTAGAGGGAAATTTATAGCACTAAATGCCCACAAGAGAAAGCAGAAAAGATCCAAAATTGACATCCTAACATCACAATTAAAAGAACTAGAAAAGCAAGAGCAAACACATTCAAAAGCTAGCAGAAGGCAAGAAATAACTAAAATCAGAGCAGAAATGAAGGAAATAGAGACACAAAAAACCCTTCAAAAAATTAATGAATCCAGGAGCTGGTTTTTTGAAAGGATCAACAAAATTGATAGACCGCTAGCAAGACTAATAAAGAAAAAAAGAGAGAAGAATCAAATAGACACAATAAAAAATGATAAAGGGGATATCACCACCGATCCCACAGAAATACAAACTACAATCAGAGAATACTACAAACACCTCTACGCAAATAAACTAGAAAATCTAGAAGAAATGGATAAATTCATCAACACATACACTCTCCCAAGACTAAACCAGGAAGAAGTTGAATCTCTGAATAGAACAATAACAAGATCTGAAATTGTGACAATAATCAATAGCTTACCAACCAAAAAGAGTCCAGGACCAGATGCATTCACAGCCGAATTCTACCAGAGGTACAAAGAGGAACTGGTACCATTCCTTCTGAAACTATTCCAATCAATAGAAAAAGAGGGAATCCTCCCTAACTCATTTTATGAGGCCAGCATCATCCTGATACCAAAGCCGGGCAGAGACACAACCAAAAAAGAGAATTTTAGACCAATATCCTTGATGAACATTGATGCAAAAATCCTCAATAAAATACTGGAAAACCCAATTCAGCAGCACATCAAAAAGCTTATCCACCATGATCAAGTGGGCTTCATCCCTGGGATGCAAGGCTGGTTCAATATACGCAAATCAATAAATGTAATCCAGCATATAAACAGAACCAAAGAAAAAAACTACATGATTATCTCACTAGATGCAGAAAAGGCCTTTCACAAAATTCAACAACCCTTCATGCTAAAAACTCTCAATAAATTAGGTATTGATGGGACATATCTCAAAATAATAAGAGCTATCTATGACAAACCCACAGCCAATATCATACTGAATGGGCAAAAACTGGAAGCATTCCCTTTGAAAACTGGCACAAGACAGGGATGCCCTCTCTCACCACTCCTATTCAACATAGTGTTAGAAGTTCTGGCCAGGGCAATTAGGCAGGAGAAGGAAATAAAAGGTATTCAATTAGGAAAAGAGGAAGTCAAATTGTCCCTGTTTGCAGATGACATGATTGTATATCTAGAAAACCCCATTGTCTCAGCCCAAAATCTCCTTAAGCTGATAAGCAACTTCAGCAAAGTCTCAGGATACAAAATCAATGTGCCAAAATCACAAGCATTCTTATACACCAACAACAGACAGAGAGCCAAATCATGAGTGAACTCCCATTCACAATTGCTTCAAAGAGAATAAAATACCTAGGAATCCAACTTACAAGGGATGTGAAGGACCTCTTCAAGGAGAACTACAAACCACTGCTCAAGGAAATAAAAGAGGATACAAACAAACGGAAAAACATTCCATGCTCATGGGTAGGAAGAATCAATATCGTGAAAATGGCCATACTATCCAAGCTAATTTACAGATTCAATGCCATTCCCATCAAGCTACCAATGACTTTCTTCACAGAATTGGAAAAAAACTACTTTAAAGTTCATATAGAACCAAAAAAGAGCCCGCATTGCCAAGTCAATCCTAAGCCAAAAGAACAAAGCTGGAGGCATCATGCTACCTGACTTCAAACTACACTACAAGGCTACAGTAACCAAAACAGCATGGTACTGGTACCAAAATAGAGATATAGATCAATGGAACAGAACAGAGCCCTCAGAAATAATGCTGCATATCTACAACTATCTGATCTTTGACAAACCTGAGAAAAACAAGCAATGGGGAAAGGATGCCCTATTTAATAAATGGTGCTGGGAAAACTGGCTAGCCATATGTAGAAAGCTGAAACTGGATCCCTTCCTTACACCTTATACAAAAATCAATTCGAGATGAATTAAAGACTTAAACATTAGACCTAAAACCATAAAAACCCTAGAAGAAAACCTAGGCATTACCATTCAGGACATAGGCATGGGCAAGTACTTCATGTCTAAAACACCAAAAGCAATGGCAACAAAAGCCAAAATTGACAAATGGGATCTAATTAAACTAAAGAGCTTCTTCACAGCAAAAGAAACTACCATCAGAGTGAACAGGCAACATACAAAATGGGAGAAAATTTTCGCAACCTACTCATCTGACAAAGGGCTAATATCCAGAATCTACAATGAACTCAAACAAATTTACAAGAAAAAAACAAACAAACCCATCAAAAAGTGGGTGAAAGACATGAACAGACACTTCTCAAAAGAAGACATTTATGCAGCCAAAAAACATATGAAAACATGCTCACCATCACTGGCCATCAGAGAAATGCAAATCAAAACCACAATGAGATACCATCTCACACCAGTTAGAATGGCAATCATTAAAAAGTCAGGAAACAACAGGTGCTGGAGAGGATGTGGAGAACTAGGAACACTTTTACACTGTTGGTGGGACTGTAAACTAGTTCAACCATTGTGGAAGTCAGTGTGGCGATTCCTCAGGGATCTAGAACTAGAAATACCATTTGACCCAGCCATCCCATTACTGGGTATATACCCAAAGGACTATAAATCATGCTGCTATAAAGACACATGCACACGTATGTTTATTGCGGCATTATTCACAATAGCAAAGACTTGGAACCAACCCAAATGTCCCACAATGATAGACTGGATTAAGAAAATGTGGCACATATACACCATGGAGTACTATGCAGCCATAAAAAATGATGAGTTCATGTCCTTTGTAGGGACATGGATGAAATTGGAAATCATCATTCTCAGTAAACTATCACGAGAACAAAAAACCAAACAGTGCATATTCTCACTCATAGGAGGGAATTGAACAATGAGAACACATGGACACAGGAAGGGGAACATCACACTCTGGGGACTGTTGTGGGGTGGGGGGAGGGGGGAGGGATAGCACTGGGAGATATACCTAATGCTAGATGACGAGTTAGTGGGTGCAGCGCACCAGCATGGCACATGTATACATATGTAACTAACCTGCACATTGTGCACATGTACCCTAAAACTTAAAGTATAATAATAAATTTTTTAAAAAAAGATTTTAAATTTTACAAAGCAAATCCCTGTAGTTTTTTTCCCATTATTTCTAACTTACATATTACTCTCTGTTTTCTTTTAATTTTGCTTTTTTTCTATGTTTTCATGGTTCTCATATTTTCAATGACAACTCTGTATATTAACTTGAAAAGCACAATTTATAGACAAAAACAAAAAATAAATTATCTGGGATAGATAGATAAGTAGGGAAAGGAAGTCGTTGATTCAGGTTATGCTTTTCCAAAGGCTAACCAGGCATCTCTTTCTGTGCCTGCAATGTATTCCTTCTCTTGAGTGCGACTGGCTCTGTGTTGAATAATAGGAACTTTCTAAACTTCAGGTTTGGTATTCAACCTCCATAGGTAAAGAGAGAGAAAACAGGTAAAGAAGAAAAGTATTTAGATTAGAGGACATTTCTCCTAGGCTTCCTTTTCCCTTTCTTTTCCTTGGCTTTTTTTTTCCTACCTCTCCAAAGTGGTGTAAAAATTGATTCTATGAATTGAAGTTATCTTGTCATATCCAACTAAATTAGAGTCCAGAGACCAGAGGAAAAGAAAGGCAGTCAGGATATAAGCACCTGCCCAGGGATTACATCACAAGTCAGCTGCCAATAGGATCTATAACAGTATAAACTTAAGAGCAATTTTACCTAGAGCTGCTGAAATGACCTGCTGTGACTCTACGACTAGTTTGACCTACTGACATTACCAATCAGAGCTTGCTGCCTCCCAAAAACTTAGCTAGTGACAATGAGTCTTCTTTTAAAACATTTCTCTAATACAATTTTTTCTCCTTCTAACAAACCTTCAACTTTCTTTTTGTTGTTTAGAGTTAACAAAGTCCACTCCTGTCTGTGTATAGGCCCCGAATTGCAATTCTGTTTTCCCAAATAAAACATTTTGTTTAGAGGTTTGTCTCCATGTTTTTATTTGACTTCGAAAATGGGAGGTATAGAATATGTTCATTCTCCTCTTCTAAGAAGTCCTCTCTGACCACCCCAGGTGTGTGCTCCAGGATATGTACTTGCCTCAATACTTTCATTTTTTATTTGGTCTAATTTCACAGCTAGAATATAAGCTCTTTGAGGGTAGAGACTGTTACAATGAATAAGGATTGTAGTGGTGTGTAAGCTTTACAGAGAAACGGGAATGCATTAGAACTCCTCTCCTATTCCCACATTCACTTCTGGGTTCAACAGTTATCTTAAGGCAGAAAGATTCAAATCCACAGACAACAGCGTGTACACCATCACCATGTTTGTTCTTTCCAGCATTCTGGCTGATTGTTTCAGGATATTCCTATGACTCACCAATATGCTTGTTGCCTAAAGATGTCTCTGACCCTGGTAGGGAACTAGTTTACTCTCTATCTCTAAGAGCTAGAAAATTTAAGGCCCCAAGTGAGAAATTCTAATCTTGACTCCAGGTAGTCTGAGATAGTCTCATGGAAGCTACTTTTTTTTTATTATACATTAAGTTCTAGGGTACATGTGCACAACATGGAGGTTTGTTACATATGTATACATGTGCCATGTTGGTGTGCTGCACTCATTAACTTGTCATTTACATTAGGTATATCTCCTAATGCTTTCCCTCTCCCCTTCCCCCACCCCACAACAGGCCCCAGTGGGTGATGTTCCCCACCCTGTGTCCAAGTGTTCTCATTGTTCAATTCCCACCTGTGAGTGACAACATGCGGTGTTTGGTTTTTGGTTCTTGCGATAGTTTGCTGAGAATGATGGTTTCCAGCTTCATCCATGTCCCTACAAAGGACATGAACTCATCGTTTTTATGGCTGCATAGTATTCCACGGTGTATATGTGCCACGTTTTCTTAATCCAGTCTATCATTGTTGGACATTTGGGTTGGTTCCAAGTCTTTGGTATTGTGAATAGTGCCACAATAAGCATACGTGTGCATGTGCTGTTATAGCAGCATGATTTATAATCCTTTTGGTATATACCCAATAATGGGATGGCTGGGTCTTATGGTATTTCTAGTTCTAGATCCTTGAGGAATCACCACACTGTCTTCCACAATGGTTGAACTAGTTTACAGTCCCACCAACAGTGTAAAAGTGTTCCTATTTCTCCACATCCTCTCCAGCACCTGTTGTTTCCTGACTTTTTAATGATCGCCATTCTAACTGGTGTGAGATGGTATCTCATTGTGGTTTTGATTTGCATTTCTCTGATGGCCAGTGATGATGAGCATTATTTCATGTGTCTGTTGGCTGCATAAATGTCTTCTTTTGAGAAGTGTCTGTTCATATCCTTCACCCACTTTTTGATAGGGTTTTTTGTTTTTTTCTTGTAAATTTGTTTGAGTTCTTTGTAGATTCTGGATATTAGCCCTTTGTCAGATGAGTAGATTTGCAAAAAATTTCACCCATTCTGTAGGTTGCCTGTTCACTCTGATGGTAGTTTCTTTTGCTGTGCAGAAGCTCCTTAGTTTAATTAGATCCCATTTGTCAATTTTGGCTTTTGTTGCCATTGCTTTTGGTGTTTTAGACATGAAGTCCTTGCCCATCCTATGTTTTGAAAACTGGCACAAGACAGGGATGCCCTCTCTCACCACTCCTATTCAACATAGCGTTGGAAGTTCTGGCCAGGGCAATCAGGCAGGAGAAGGAAATAAAGGGTATTCAACTAGGAAAAGAGGAAGTCAGATTGTCCCTGTTTGCAGATGACATGATTGTATATTTAGAAAACCCCATCATCTCAGCTCAAAATCTCCTTAAGCGGATAAGCAACTTCAGCAAAGTCTCAGGATACAAAATCAATGTGCCAAAATCACAAGCATTCTTACACACCAATAACAAACAGAGAGCCAAATCATGAGTGAACTCCCATTCACAATTGCTACAAAGAGAATAAAATACCTAGGAATCCAACTTACAAGGGATGTGAAGGACCTCTTCAAGGAGAACTACAAACCACTGCTCAAGGAAATAAAAGAGGATACAAACAAATGGAAGAACATTCCATGCTCACGGATAGGGAGAATCAATACCGTGAAAATTGCCATACTGCCCAAGGTAATTTATAGATTCAATGCCATCCCCATCAAGCTACCAATGACTTTCTTCACAGAATTGGAAAAAACTACTTTAAAATTCATATGCAACCAAAAAAGAGCCCTCATTGCCAAGTCAATCCTAAGCCAAAAGAACAAAGCTGGAGGCATCACGCTACCTGACTTCAAACTATACTACAAGGCTACAGTAACCAAAACAGCACAGTACTGGTACCAAAACAGAGATATAGACCAAGGGAACAGAACAGAGCCCTCAGAAATAATACCACACATCTACAACCATCTGATCTTTGACAAACCTGAGAAAAACAAGCAATGGGGAAAGGATTCCCTATTTAATAAATGGTGCTGGGAAAACTGGCTAGCCATATGTAGAAAGCTGAAACTGGATCCCTTCCTTACACCTTATACAAAAATTAATTCAAGATGGATTAAGACTTAAATGTTAGACCTAAAACCATAAAAACCCTAGAAGAAAACCTAGGCAATGCCATCAGGACATAGGCATTGGCAAGGACTTCATGGAAGCTACTTAACTTTTCTGAATGCCAGCTGACTTATTTGCTACAATGGGAATAATAGTAACTACCTCAAAGCTTTTGGGATGCACTTTACTTTGAGAAAGTAAGGAAAAGCAAAAGAAAATGTCTTGCCTGTTCTATGTTCTCGTTAAATTATCACACCTGGGGGAGTCAAAGAAGACTTACTAGAGACCAAAATGAACATATTCTGTACCTTCACTTCTCAAAGTCAAATGTAAACATAGAGACAAACCTCTAAATAAAATGTTTTATTTGGGAAAACAGAATTGCAATTTGGGGCCTTCACACAGACAGGAGTGGTCTTTGTTATGTCTGAAGAACAAAAGGAAAGTTGAAGCTTTTGTTAGAAAGAGAAACAAATTGTATTAGAAAGAGAGATGTATTGTTTTGAAAAGACTCATTGTCACTAACTAAGTTTTTGGGAGGTGGCAAAAAAACTCTGGATATGCTCTGCATAATTCATACAGGAGAGATGGTGGCCAGGGCAGTGGTTGGCCAAGCCCTTTATCCTAGCTCAAGCTCCAGACCCTTAGTTATGGCCCAGATTTAAACTTTCTTTGAGAAGCATGGATCCACTTAAAGGACCATTCCAGTTACTCATCCTGGTTCAGTCCATTTCCCACAGTAAACTGTCACATGGCTTTTATTACAATGTGCCGTGCCTTGTACAATATGAACTTAGCCTCCTTATAAGATTATCACAAGCAATCTAAGAGCCAAAAGAGTGTCTTAATCATCTCCACACCTCATAGCATCCAGCACAGTGCTCAATAGCAGATGAGTGTAAATGCTTATTGAATTAAATTTCCCAACCATGCCATGTTTACAGGAAAGGTGTATTAGGCCTCAATTGGAAAAATAAGAAAAGGGAACCCCCAAAGAATCAAACAACCAGTTGTATGCCTGCCCAAGAATCACTCCTGGGTGTTCATCTTACAGGTGATATGAGGAGCACATACTTTTCAGTTTTCGCCAAATTATGTCACTATTATTCTTTTTTCCAGAGACTGGTTTTAAGACTAGACCAAATAGCCATGAGGAAAGCTTTGTCTTCTGAGAAAAGTGTCTGCCCTTAAAAAGAATCACATGAGAAGAAAGAATCTAACTTCTTTGGAAAGATACATGACCATGAGGGGAACTAGGCTGATGGACAATTCCAACTCACTAAGGGGCAGGAAGCAGGGCAGATCTGGTCTAGCAAGATGGCAAGATGGAGGATACCCGTGGCTTCAAATACTGGATCCAGCAACCTCCACTTCTTTTTTTTTTTTTTTTTTTTTGAAACGGAGTCTCACTCTGTCACCCGGGCTGCTGGAGTGCAGTGGCACGATCTCAGCTTACTGCTACCTCTGCCTCCCAAGTTCAAAGGATTTTCCTGCCTCAGCCTCCCAAGTAGCTGGGATTACAGGTGTCCACCACCACACCCAGCTATTTTTTGTATTTTTAGTAGAGATGGGGTTTCACCATGTTGGCCAGGCTGGTCTCGAATTCCTGACTTCATGATCCACCCACCTCGGCCTCCCAAAGTGCTGGGATTACAGGCATGAGCCACCACACCTGGCCCACACTTCTTAATATGTAAGATATCAAATGTGTTCACTGTTAAAGCCAGTTGATTATTTGTGGCTCAAAGCAGACCTAACTCTAAACCCTCCCAAGAGATCCCAGGCACTTAGGAAGATCTAGGTCTGGAACAAGTAGCAATACAGGTTTTTGATCTGGCCTAAGCTAAAAGGACAGAACATCAGTCACTTGGTGAGTGTCTTGTCTTGACTTAAAGCATGCACAGGGCACTCTGTTCTCTTATGTTGTCTTTGCAACAATAGAATAAGATTCAGAACATCATTCATGCCCTTAAGGAAATGTATGTCTCCCCATAGGCCTGAGAAGTGGCTTGCTCCCTGAGATATACAACACAGCAGGCCACTGTGTTTCTCATCTCAGCAATTCTCAGTGCACGGTAGGTCCCTACACAACATAGGCAATTGACTGACCGATCAAGTGATTCAGCAAAGTGTTCCCAGGAGACACAACCACAGAAGCAGAGGAGAGGAAGGAAACTGCAGGAGGGAGAAGAAAAAGCAGCCTCAACTCATTTCTGTGGTGAAAAATGTATCCTAGTTTTTGCTTTGAAACATCACTGGCCTCATCTCAGATACTGGCAGTGACTTGCACTTAAGAGTCTAGAGGCCCCATGTGGATGTATGAGAAGCACCTCTTCAATTATACAGCAGAAGCTGTTCTGTGGAACTCCTTCCAAATTACCATCTTAACATGATGATTTTTTTTATATGTGTGCTCTGAATAGATTGTTAAATATAGAAGCAGAGAAAGATCTTGGGAGAGACATGTATGTGCACGACAAAAATGCTTCTTTAAGAGAGTTTGAACTCCTTTGAGCTGCTATGTATTTCATAAACATTTCAGAGAACCGGCAGACACTCTGGCTTGGGGCTTTGTGGAACCGTTTTTTAAAGTAGAAAACGGGACCTTGTCTACACATTTATCTTGTTTTATTTTTCTTGTGTTATGTAGGAAGCTCCACAGTGGAATCTATCCTGACCTCTAATGGAGATGGGCAGATGGGACTGAACTATTATTTAACTTCCACAGTATTAACTTGGGTTGTATTTGTTTAAGTAAAGTGTAGCTCTAAATTTGGGTTTAGAGCTCTTGCTCTTCTCTGCCTCTAGATCCTGTGCTCCTAAACTCCTGCTCCAGGGTATTTCAGGCCAGGGTAAAAGCAGAAAAGCTAAAGCTGGGGAACAGCAGGGACTCAATCTGGCCGTAGCCAGGAGCTACCTGAGGGGTATGATGAGAAGAGTCATTAGAAATGACTGACAGGGCTGTTCATAATGGGCTGTAGAAAATAAGACATTTGGGCTTTACTCTGCAGAAAATGGAGACCCAGGAAATATACTTGGGCCAGAGAGTTGTCTTGGTCGATTTTTCCTAGAAGCATGAGAGGAGGATTTGAATCCAAAGAGTTCCTTTGGGAAGTAATCCCAGGAATAACAGAAAATGTACAGTGAAAGTAGGTGAATTGCATTAATTCCTGAACTACTTGCCACTGTCACAAAGCCACCGTGAGACATAAAGCTCAGGGCCAGTCCTAGCACCAAGGTCTGCTTGTGCAACAGTGACAAACGTAGAATGGAGAGGAAGAGGGCAAGCTCAACTTAGAAAATCATAATCCTCAGCTAAGTCTCAGCTTTTTTTTTCCATATAAAACAAAGCTATTTCTAAAAAATGGAGGTAATGATTCTGCCACAGAGGCCCATTACAGTTAAGAATAACCTGATCATTCATATATATATATATTCTGCCCTCTAGGCTTTAGGGAAGCTATCAGAAGTAAACTAAGCATGAATCAAAGTGCTGGCAATACCAGAATAGGTTAGATGTCAACAATATTGACTGTAACAAATAATAACAAATGGATATGCTGCCATTAGAACATGGATGATCTATGTCTATTGATATGGAGAGATGCTCATTCCATGTATTGTTGATTGAGAAAATAATCAGATTTAAAAATTAAATAAACAGTATTATGGCATTGCATTGGTTTAAATGTGCAATGCATATTTCAAAATTCTGGAAGGAAAAACAACAGTGTCAGTGATGTGCATCTCTACATAGTGAGTGTAGTGATTTTTTAAAATCTATAACATTTTTAACAGTAAAAGTAGATTTATTGTATAATTTTTAAAGCATGGCCAATAAAGACATTGTTTAAAGATGTCATTTCTCCTCTCAAAGTGCTGCAAATATTGTTCTGGATGAAGGAAATAAATGCTAAAGTTTCCTGAGCAGGAAAGAGTTAAAATAAAAATTCTTGAAAATGAAAACAATTCAGCTTTTCTTTGCAATGACATGTGCTATCTCATGTTGAGATAATTACAACTTGTCGGGGGAAATTGGTACAATCATGTTTAATTGGTTCCAGAGGTTATTGTCTATTTCAACCTTTGCCTCTGAATAATACCAGCACAGAGATGAAACCTGTGTGTGATTTTTGTCTTATCAGGAATTACCATAGGCATAATAAAGTAGATTATTGTTTCTCCTATTACATATTATTTCAGTAGTGTCTATAAAATACAAATAAAAATAAATCTCAACAATATTGGGATAAAATGGAAACTATTAATAAGAGAGTTCATCATAGACTTAAATGTATTTTTAAAACCAACAATGTGTTAAGTGTTGACAAAATTGCATTGCAATGCCAATGAATTGCTCTACAAAGTTTTTGTTAGTGAGTAATTAATATTTAAAAATGCCAACTATTCTTAAGTACCATGGATACTGAAAAAATAGAGGGGTGCATGACAGGAAGTACATGGAGCATCTAATTATTTTTTAATTACAGGTGACACCTTGGGTACAAAAATCTGCAAGTCATCTATCCATCCATTTTACAGCTGTGTTTCCTATAATAAATAAATATATTAGGGCAGCATTTTTATAAAAACCAAAGAAAATATAAACATACCTATACACAACATGTATTCCCCAAATGGGACCCCAGGAGGGAAGAATTTGACCCAATCAAGGGTAGCTAAATGGCACGCTGTGTGGGTAGAGTGGGCAGGCACCAGGAGATGGGCACAGCAAAGCAGCCTTTAGATAGGGGCTGTTAATGGTTGGGAAGTTTTCTTTTTCAGATAGATGAAGATATACTTAGTAATATCTGTGTTTCCCAGAAACAAATGTGTATGGCAAACTACCATCCAGGTTGCAGATATATAATTTATTATGCCATTTTAGACTCTGTGTAACTCATAGGGCCAGAGTTGAATGAGACAGATCTAAGCCAACTTCCAGTGCTATAATTGAAGCTTTGTAATTGAAATTTTATTGAAATAATCTTAGAGTCACATGCAGTTTTAAGAAATAATACAGAGATATCCTTATATACTTTGCCTAGTTTTCATCAGTGGTGACTTGTGCAAAACTGTAGTATAACGTCACAACCAGGATATTGACATCAATCTTATTTAATTATTTATTAACTGTTTTCAGATTTCTTCAGTTTTACTTGTATGCATATGCATCTGTGTGGGTTTAAACTGTTAAAAACTTCATTCATTAGATTATGGTAAGAGTGGTCTTTACGATCAAGTAAATAGCTGGACTGTTACATAGTCTCATAAGTTCCCCTGTTAGAGTGGGATGGGGTGGGACAGTGGAGGAGAGACTGAGTCAATTCATCAAATAGCATATATTTATTGGCTGCCAGCTATTTTCTCAGCTAAGTCTTAGGAATTCATTCTGTCTGCAAGTACCCCATGCTGACAAGGCTTTACAGAGAGGGCTGTGCTACTTACTTTCTAAATAACATCTCTATATTCCATATGTCTGCTCCACCACTCCATACTTCTCTTGTCAATTGTATCCTTCACTATCTGTCCAGTGGGTCCTATATTTAAAAGCTCTGTCCTTGAAAAATTCAGAGTAAACTCAACTGTGTGCACTGGTAAGGGCTTGGATTCTGGCCTAAGACCCATCTAGGCTCTAATCTCAGGCTGTTAGCTTCCCAGCCTTGGACAATTTATCTCAACTATCCAGGAATTAGCTACTATATCTGAAACATGGGGCTGATAAGAGTCTCTATCTCATAGTATTGCAACAGTAAATTCAACACTGCCTACAAAGCACTTACCAAGGAGACTGGCATGACATGTACTAAATATAATATTCATGTTATATTGATGTTACACGGCAATGTAATAATACAGTTCTATTATACATTGTCATGATCTTTAATAAACACAAAATTTTTATTTTGAGGAATAAGAAGCAAATTCTTTTGTAGAGAAAAGACCTTTATGTCAGCTAAGTAAACTGTTTTCTCAGGTTTGGTAGCTCAGGGCAGATGGTTTCCTTAAAGCAGGCCATTTGCACACAGGATTTATGTGTGAGGAAAGAACCAGCGTGCCCACCATGCACATTTATCCAGTGAAGCATGAATTCAACTTCATTTCCTCCAGGTCATGATGAGAGGGCTGCACAGATGTCAGTGACTGCTGTAATAGGGACTAAGGCATCTATGGGATGGCGTTGATAGGACTGGGGGAGAGGTAAATTTGTTGACAGTATTTTATGCACCAGGCATGAGGACTTATAGCGTGAAAAAGGATTTGAGGTCATTCCCAGGCTGTGTCTCTGCTGTGGCAGGTCATTCTTTCAATCAGGGGGTAGGTGAGGTGGAAAATCCAGTTTGGAATTATCACAGGGGTCGTGAAGCAGTGCCTAACCTTCTCTCAGCAGTTCTGGCATAAAAACACGGTAATATGTCATTATTCTAACAACAGGCACTAGGACTCCATTAAAGGAGGGAAATACATGTAATATGGAAATTCGAGTGTTTGGTGCAACGGGTGGAACTCAAAAACCTAGGAATCAGGTGGCACCAAGGACTTTGGAGAAAAGTCTCGAGTTCCTTTTGGCTCTAGGAAGAAAGATGAACAAGAGAAGAAACAGGAATAATTTGAGAGGAGAAAGGATTTGGGGCTGAATCCTGAGTGATGGATGGGATTGCAAAAAATTTATCCGTGGAAGAATAGACCTCTTTGTTGGCTCTGTGGTGTGAGGTGACACCCACTTCATGAAGTTATGCATGTTTCATGTGAGTTTTGAATGCAGGTGGTGGTTAATGAAAAATCAGTGAAGGGACTGGATTTCAAGTCTGGGTCAGTCTGGAGAAGAACAGTGTATCAGTCAGTTTTCATGCTGCTGATAAAGACATACCCAAGACGGAAGAAAAAGAGGTTTAATTAAACTTACATTTCCACATGGCTGAGGAGGCCTCAGAATCATGGCGGGAGGCAAATGGGACTTCTTACATGGCGGAGGCAAGAGAAAATGAGGAAGATACAAAAGCGGAAACCCCTGGTAAAACCATTAGATCTCGTGAGACTTATTTGCTACCATGAGAACAGCATAGGTGAAACCGCCCTATGATTCAAATTATCTCCTACCAGGTCCTTCCCAGGACACATAGGAATTATGCGAGTACCATTCAAGATGAGATTTGAGTGGGGACACAGAGCCAAACCATATCAAACAGGAACCTTGAATGAGGAATCTAATCTGGAGCCCAAGAGGCAAGGGAGGCCACAAGAACAACGGCTCCCTAGGTATTCTCAGAAATAGTAAGGAGGGATGTGGACTCCCACAAGCCACGGAATGTTAGATATGTTTTCTAGGGAGGACACGTTTTCAGAGTTGCCTGCCTAGATTTCAATGGTCAAAGGGCTCTTGCTACCTCTTGTTTACATTCCTTTCTTGCATATGCTCAGTTAGGTCCTTGGAAACCTATATGACATTTGATTATAAGTATGGGCTTTCTGGAAACAGATGAGAAATTCTGGGGGAGTTGGTTTGCTTACAAGGGCTACCGAGGAGAGTTAGTCACACACATCCCCACCTCTTGCTGTGTAATACACAGAGGACATTTTTGTCTCTTGTCAAGCAATATGCAGAGAAAACAGCTGCTCACTCCAAGATTCTCAGAAGTACAACCTATACACACTCTGGGCTCTTAATCCCTGAGAAGCTCACATACTTTGACTATAGAATTTAACTTTTTGGTGAATTTGCTTTGTGCCAATTTTATTGAATTCAGGCAAGAAGAGAAACACACAAACCTATGATATATTATCCTGTTTCCAAGTAATGCTTTAGTTTACAGGTTTTCTCCAGGACATTGATTTTTCTCTAAAGTTCATATTTATTCATTTATTTGAGTCTCTGGGCAGGTGACTGCCAAGGTTATGGCCTTTACAGGGAAGAACAGTGTGAGTAGAAGAAAAATTTTTAGTTATACAGATTTGGGGTTTTCTAAATGAATGATTGCAATGTTATGGCAATAAACTAGCAACAGAAGAGCACCTTCATATCTGCAATTGAAGAATGGTGAGCTGGAGGGATTTAGACCTAATCTTAATGTGAATCAGTCAGTAACTACAGAAGGAAACTAAGAGGAAGTCCACATTTTTATTAAAACCACCAAACCAAAATCTCACTCAGTTCCTGATCATGTGACCTGGTCCTCATTTCTAATTTATTTTTATATTTGGTGGTAGGGAAACTCACTTCAACACTGATGACTGTCGAGGCAGCTTTAGCTTGCTGTGTGCATGCAAACACCTGGCTAAACTGTTCAGCAAATCCATCACCATTCAGAACCAGCGGAAGCACTCCCAAGAGAGACAGGGAGAGAAGAATCATTGTCGCATCCTGTCAAGTCAATATAATCAAGAGTCAGAAACTGCCTTTAAGTGAAAGTGTAGCAGGGAGGACAACTCTTTGGAGCTGGAGTGCAAGGGTTAGTATCCAGCACAGGCAGCCCTGATTCCATTTCAGGACTCCATTTCCCCAGCCCCCCACCTCTTTTATCTCTACATCCTCACCCAAAAGGTCCCAACTGCATATCAGCTTCTTTGACCATACAAATCAACTATAATTTTCTGAAAGGAAGCCTGTTTTTGTTTTGCACTTTCAGCAGTATTTCTAACTCCATCACTGCATATAAATTGGTCAAGACACCTTCTGAGACCGTTAACAGGGTGCATTGTAAATTCAGATCATGCTGCAATACTCAAGAGCTTCACAACAAACACAAGCAGTCTCCTCTCTATCAATTGGAAGCCCATTTGTCCTTCAAGGGAAATCTGTTCCACATAAACTCCCCTGAATACCTCCCCTCACAGAGACTGCATGTGTCTTATTTCTTAGAGTACAAATAATGGTATCTTTATTCAGACATATCTTAAATGTCTTGTATTATTGTCATAATCGTATGTGTTTATATATGTATATTTATTTATTTATTTATTCTATCAGGACATAGATTTGTCATGTTCTATCTTCTTTTTTTTTTTTTTTGTCTGAGACAGTCTCTCTCTTTTGCCCGGACTGGAGTGTTGCAGCAGGATCTCAGGTCACTGCAACCTCCATCTCCAAGATTGAAGTGGTTCTCCTGTCTCAGCCTCCCAAGTAGCTGGGATTACCTTCACATGCCGCCATGCCTATTTTTTGTATTTTTAGTAGAGACTGGGTTTCACCATGTGCGAAAGGCTGGTCTCAAACTCCTGACCTCAGTGATCTGCCTGCATCAGCTTCTCAAAGTGCTGGGATTACAGGTGTGAGCCACCACGCCTGGTCATATCTTTTTAATTAAATCATAACCTCCATCAAAATATAAGATCTGATCTTAAGAATAACCAGCATAATGTTGTACAATTCCAAAGCCACATCTCAGTGGCTTCGGTTCCCTTAAAATTTTATCAGTAAATGTGTTTTCACCCACTCCAATGAAACATTCCAAAAAGTCTATTGGAAAAGCAAAATATAAAACAGATTAAATCATAATGTGTCCCATTTTGGGAGGCCAAGGCGGGCAGATCATGAGGTCAGGAGATCGAGACCATCCTGGCTAACACGGTGAAACCCCGTCTCTACTAAACAAAATACAAAAAATTAGCCGGGTGTGGCTGTGGGCGCCTGTAGTCCCAGCTACTTGGGAGGCTGAGGCAGGAGAATGGCATGAACCCAGGAGGTGGAACTTGCAACGAGCCGAGATCGTGCCACTGCACTCCAGCCTGGGCAACAGAGCGAGACTCCATCTCAAAAAAAAAAAATCATAATGGGTCCACGAGGCAGCTCAGATGTGTACTTATAAATCTTCCCACGCTTCTAACATGAAATAACGTTCAATCTGTTTCATTTCAAATGCTCTTTTTCACTTTAGTATTGTTCCTAGTGAAAGAAAGGCCCAAGAGTTTGGGGAATTTGGTTTATGTAATGTCCAATTTTTCAAGCTCCATGTAAAAATGTCACTGAATTGATTCAAGGCAGAATCTTACTTTTCTGCAGGGCAGAGATTCAAAAATCACCAAAGGAGTCTGCATGTGCTAATTCATTCAGGAGTTCAGCAAGCTTCCCTTAGAAAAGGCCAAATAAAAACCCAATACCTGAATCTTGAGAACTTTCCTCCAAGAGTTCTTTGCAAAGAAGTCATTATATTTTATGAACCTTTAGAGTCCACAATTACCCTGGCATGCCTAGGAGTAAAATGTTTTGCCCCCTATCTGTCTGTGAGAATGACTTTGAAATCTTGTTTTAAATAGTATTCAATGGTTCTGCATTGGGAATATTTTGGTTTTGGGGGGATAAAGCTGCCATACACCTGTGCTTTAATTTGCTCTGATCTGAGACATTAATGATGTTCCTCCCTGAAAATAAGCAAAGACTACAATTTACCACCATTAACCAGACAAATGACTAACTTTAGCTTAGTGTTAGCAATCTGTCCACAAGTGAAAAAAAAAAAAAGCCCTAGGTTGTTCATTTAATTCCAAAGAAAAAAATGCATTTAATAAATTCACTCCTATATCTTCATGGAAATTTTTACTAAAAGGGCACAGCTTTCTCCCACATTTTGGTAAAAGCCATTTCAAGCTTCAGTAGAGTTTGAGTCTTGGAGGGAAGAGAGGGACACACTGTGCTGTGGAGGAGGGGTTGAGAGAGTCAGGTCTCCCATGGCATTCTTGTCTATAATTGCAGAAGCAAAGAACAAAGGTCAAACACAGTTGTAATTATTTCAGTCCAGTTCTCGCAGGACTTCAGTGTACTCTAACCTTTACCCAGACCTAAAATCCATACCATGCTTACCAACCAGGTCACACTTACCCAATTACCTGAAAAATTCCATGTGTCAGAATTGAGCGGATTTTCAAGAGAAAGGATGGTGACCATCATAAACTTTTCAGCATGAACTAGTATCAGAAGCTCCAACAAGCATTTTACATGTATTATTTCATTTGATCTTGTGGTGGATACTGAGGTACACCATCCAGATCCCCCTCCTTCAGGACTGAGAGACTTATTCCCCCAGCTACTGGGAGTCTTAGTGACCGATGGCTCTCCAGTAATTTCACCTTGACCAAAGTGAGCTGCCTCACCAAGTTTATGTACCCTCCTCTATGACAGCCCTCATCCAAAAAACTGCTTAATGTAAAGTACAAAAGCCCAGCCCCCTTGCCTCAAAGAGGAACAACTGGAAAAAAAAATACCAGTATCAGAAATTCTAATAGGACCAGCTAAATATTCTATTGTAATTGCATGGCAGTTCAACTTCTTCCTCTCCCCTTTCTTGCTTTTCTTACCTCTCCTAGGTGTTATTCCTGAAAATATTCCCTAATAATATTATTGCATGAAAATCTGAGTTTTAAAGTCTGTATCTGGATAAGCCAAGCAGAAGTGAAACAAGAAGTGATCCAAGGGAGCAGACTCTAAAATGAAATGCACTAGATTACTAGCAGCAAGGCTGCAATGAGGACCTGGCACTGCAGAAGCTGAAGCAATGGAAAGCCTCTGGCAAGTGAGTGCAGTGCTATTGTGAAGCTTGTGGTGAATGGGATTACAGGAATGCACTGGTGGATATAGCATACCATGCATTTGAAAATTTCATGGGAAATAGTCATTATAAGGACACTGGATTAAAAGAGTTAAGAGGACCATGGGTGTATTGGAGAAAAGCAATGAAAGACAAGGGAGGTGTGAAAACCAGAGGGCCTTTGTAGTAGTTCGTTTTTGCGCTGCTGATAAAAACATACCCGAGACTGGGCAATTTATGAAAGAAAGAGGTTTAATGGACTCGCAGTTTCATGTGGCTGGGGAGACCTCACAATCATGGTGGAAGGCAAGGAGGAGAAAGTCACATCTTACATGGATGACAGCAGGCAGAGAGAGACACCTTACGCAGGGAAACTCCCATTTTTAAAACTGTCAGATCTCGTGAGACTTATTCACTATCATGAGAACAGCATGGGAAAAACTGGCCCCCATGATTCAATTACCTCCCCCAGGTCCCTCCCACAACATGTGGTAATTCTGGGAGATACAATTCGAGTTGAGATTTGGGTGGAGACACAGACAAACCAGATCATTCTGACCCTGGCCCCTCCAAATCTCATGTCCTAACATTTCAGAACCAATCACGCCTTCCCAACAGTTACCCAAAGTCTTAACTCATTTCAGCATTAACCCAAAAGTCCACAGTCCAAAGTGTCATCTGAGACAAGGCAAGTCCCTTCTGCCTATGAGCCTGCAAAATCAAAGCAAGCTAGTTACTTCTTAGATACAGTGGGGGTACAGGTATTTGGTAAATACAGCCATTCCAAATGGAAGAAATTGGCCAAAACAAATGGGTTACAGGGCCCATGCAACTTTGAAATCCATTGAGGCAGTCAAATTTTAATGGTCCAAAATTATCTCTTTTGACTCCAGGTCTCACATTCAGGTCACGCTGATGCAAGAGGTAGGTTCCTATGGTCTTGGGCAGCTCCATCCCTGTGATTTTGCAGGGTACAGCCTCCCTCCTGGCTGCTTTCATGGGCTGGAATTGAGTGTCTGCGGCTTCCAGGCACACAGTGCAAGTTGTCAGTGGATCTGCCATTCTAGGGTCTGGAGGACAATGGCCCTCTTCTCACAGCTCCACTAGGAATTGCCCTAGTAGGGACTCTGTGTCTGGGTTCTGACCCCACATTTCCCTTCCATGCTGCTCTAACACAGTTTCTCCATGAGAGCCCTGCACCTGCCACAAACTTCTGCCTCAACATCCAGGCACTTCCATACATCCTCTGAAATCTAGGCAGAGGTTCTCAAACCTCAATTCTTGACTTCTGTGCACCTACAGGCTCAACACCACATGGAAGCTGCCAAGGTTTGAGGCTTGCACCCTCTGAAGCCATGGCCTGAACTGAACTTTGGCCCCTTTCAGTCATGGCTGGAGTGGCTGGGACACAGGGCACCAAGTCCCTAGCTGCACATATCAAGGGGACCCTGTGCCTGGCCCACAAAACCACTTTTTTTTTCCTTCTAGGCTTCTGGGCCTGTGATGGGAAGGGCTGCCATAAAGACCTCTGACATGTCCTGGAGACATTTTCCTCACTGTCTTGGTAATTAACATTGGGCTCCTTGATCCTTATGCAAATTTTTACAGCCGTCTTGAATTTCTCCCCAGAAAATGGGTTTTTCTTTCCTATTGCATTGTCAGGCTGCAAATTTTCTGAACTTTTATGCTCCGCTTCCCCTTATAAAACTGAATGCCTTCAACATTACCCAAGTCACCTCTTGAATGCTTTGCTGCTTAGAAATTTTTTCTGCCAGATACCCTAAATCATCTCTCTCAAGTTCAAAGTTTCACAAATCTCTCAGGCTGGCACAAAATGCCACCAGTCTCTTTGCTAAAACATAACAAAAGTCATCTTTGCTCCAGTTCCCAACAAGTTCCTCATTTCCATCTGAGACCACCTCAGCCTGGATTTTATTGTACATATTGCTATCAGCATTTTAGGCAAAGCCATTCAACAAGTCTCTAGGGAGTTCCAAACTATCCCACATTTTCCTCTCTTCTTCTGAGCCCTCCAAACTGTTCCAACCTCTGCCCGTTGCCCAGTTCCAAAGTAGCTTCCACATTTTTGGGTATCTTTTCAGCAGCACCCCACTCTACTGGTACCAATTTATTGTATTAGTCTGTATTCATGCTGCTGATAAAGACATGCCTGAGACTGGACAATTTACAAAAGAAAGAGGTTTAATGGACTCACAGTTCCATGTGGCTGGGTAGGCCTCACAATCATGGTGGAAGATGAGGAGGAACATGCCATGTCTTACATGGATGCAAGCAGGCAAAGAGAGAGTTTGTGCAGGGAAACGTCCATTTTTAAAACCATCAGATCTCGTGAGACTTATTCACTGTCACAAGAAAAGCATGGGAAAGGCCCATCTCCATTATTCAATTATTTCCTCCAGGTACCTGGTCACATGAGACTTGTTACCCAGCCCTCCTCCTGCCAAGACTTGCAGAAAATATGCTGGCTGGTGTCCCACTCCCCAGTGTAGGGAGAAATCAGGCCATATTTTTCTAAGGCCTGTTACAAAACTCTCTTCCTGGATTTCCTCAACTCTTAAAATTAGCTGTTTGATGATTATCTGCATGCTGTTTTTCATACAGCATTTTGCATTGCTCCAGTGGATATGTGGGTTGGTCAGCATGTGGGTAATTGTCTGATTTAAGGCTGATGGACATGGAGAGACCCAAAGATCAGTATGTGATACAGCCCAGATCCTACACACTCAGGGGCCAAATTTCACAAAGTGCTGACTCTTGTGAGAGCTTCCAGGAGAGCTGAAAAGGGAACCTCCCAGGAAAGCTGTCTGTGAGTTAATACTCTCTTAGCACATAATGTGAATTCTTTCAGAGACTGGAGAGATTGGGACTAGGATGAATTATACAGTAAGGAAGGGCATTTTTTCCTCTTTCTTATAGAAGCCATATTCAGAATGTCTATTCTCTAACCAGACTGAGGATATCAATGACCTGGCTTCCACAATGAATTTTTTAAAGCTGTACTCATATAAGAGTTAATACATGCCATACACTACAAAAATCATTTTACAAATATAAACTCATTCAATTCTGAGTACAATCCTATAAAACAGGTAGGATTATAAACTGCATTTTAAAGTTGCAGAATTTAAAGAACAAAAAGATTAAGGGACTTACCTAAAGTCATATAGCTTATAAGCGGTAGTGTAACGAATCTAGACAGCTGGAGACATCATACTTTTATACAGGGACCATAACCTTAATAAAGGTCTCATTTAAGGTTCTACTAGTCTGACTGGCCCCAAAAGGCCACCTACATGTCCTTGAAATGGGATCCTGGCACTAATAGTGAATATTCATAAGCACCTACCAAATTCAATGACTTGGAGATATTGTTTTACAATGACCATACAAGGCAAATCTGTTTTTATTCACATTTGACAGGTGAAGGGAACAATTCTCAGAAGGATTAATTTATTGTTCAATGTCACACCACCAGTAAGAAGCAGAGGTGACATTGGCACCTAAGTCCTCCGTCCTCAGAGCCCAAGATCTTAACTACTACCTATATTATTTTAGATGTAAATGTTGGAAAGAGACGGAGCTTGGGAGTTTCTAGGTGTTAGATAATTATAGCCCAGCCTCCTGCTCTATTTTGAAATAAGTGCTAAAACCAAGACCAAAATAAGACTAAGGGCAGCAACACTGAGGCCCCACCTTTGAGTCAGGTATCACCTTTCCCATTTATAGCTGTCAAGGTGGGTTGTGGGTAAGACAGACAGGCCTAGAAGCACTACTTCTCATTCTTGGCTCTCTCCAACATAGCATGAGGACCTAAAGAACATCATTAAAGCAATATTAGCCATTTATTTAAATTATGGCTTTGAGTTCTGGTTTTATTTACCTGTCTGCTTAAATATCATTTCTGGTAGATTATATTAGTGATTCTCAGAGATTGGCTGGAAGATAGCTGCTGTTTTCTTTCTTGGCATCATCCTAAATACAGCTTTGCAATGCACCTTAAATTTTCAAGAAAACCCTATGGTAAAAAAGTTATCTTCCTCTAAATAAGTTCAAAAATGTTAGACACTATGACATCAGTTTCTGGGTAAGAAATATGTCTTTAATTTTTATTTTTTAATAGTTGTGTATTATTTTTTCCTTTATTATACTTTAAGTTCTAGGGTACATGTGCGCAACGTGCAGGTTTCTTACATATGTATACATGTGCCATGTTGGTGTGCTGCAACCATTAATTCATCATTTACATTAGGTATTTCTCCTAATGCAATCCCTCCCCCACCGCCCACCCCACGACAGGCCCCAGTGTGTGATGTTCCCCACCCTGTGTCCAGTTGTTCTCATTGCTCAATTCCAACCTATGAGTGAGAATATGCGGTGTTTGGTTTTTGGTTCTTGCGATAGTTTACTGAGAATGATGGTTTCCAGCTTCATCCATGTCCCTACAAAGGACATGAGCTCATCATTTTTTACGGCTGCATAGTATTCCATGGTGTATATGTGCCAAGTTTTCTTAATCCAGTCTATCATTGATGGAGATTTGGGTTGGTTCCAAGTCTTTGGTATTGTGAATAGTGCCACAATAAACATACGTGTCCATGTGTCTCTATAGTAGCATGAGTTATAATCCTTTGGGTATATACCCAGTAATGGGATCACTGGGTCAAATGGTATTTCTAGTTCTAGATCCTTGAGGAATCACCACACTGTCTTGCACAATGGTTGAACTAGTATACACTCCCACCAACAGTGTAAAAGCATTCCTATTTCTCCACATCCTCTCCAGCACCTGTTGTTTCCTGACTTTTTAATGATTGCCATTCTAACTGGTGTGAGATGGTATCTCATTGTGGTTTTGATTTGTATTTCTCTGATGGCCAGTGATGATGAGCATTTTTTCACATGTCTGTTGGCTGCATAAATGTCTTCTTTTGAGAAGTGTCTGTTCATATCCTTTGCCCACTTTTTGATGGGGTTGTTTTTTCTTGTAAATTTGTTAGAGTTCATTGTAGATTCTGGATATTAGCCCTTTGTCAGATGAGTAGATTGCAAAAATTTTCTCCCATTCTATAGGCTGCCTGTTCACTCTGATGGTAGTTTCTTTTGCTGTGCAGAAGCTCTTTAGTTTAATTAGATCGCATTTGTCAATTTTGGCTTTTGTTGCCATTGCTTTTGGTGTTTTAATCATGAAGTCCTTGCCCACACCTATGGCCTGAATGGTATTGCTTAGGTTTAGGTTTTCTTCTAGGGTTTTTATGGTTTTAGGTCTAACGTTTAAGTCTTTAATCCATCTTGAGTTAATTTTTGTATAAGGTGTAAGGAAGGGATCCTGTTTCAGCTTTCTACATATGGCTAGCCAGTTATCCCAGCACCATTTATTAAATAGGGAATCCTTTCCCTATTTCTTATTTTTGTCAGGTTTGTCAAAGATCAGATGGTTGTAGATGTGTGGTGTTATTTCTCAGGCTTCTGTTCTGTTCCATTGGTCTACCTATCTGTTTTGGTACCAGCACCATGCTGTTTTGTTACTGTAGCCTTGTAGTATAGTTTGAAGTCAGGTAGTGTGATGCTGCCAGCTTTGTTCTTTTTGGTTATTATTGTCTTGGCAATGTGGGCTCTTTTTTGGTTCCATATGAACTTTAAAGTAGTTTTTTCAATTGTGTGAAGAAAGTGATTGGTAGCTTGATGGGGATGGCATTGAATCTATAAATTACCTTGGGCAGTATGACCATTTTCACGATATTGATTCTTCCTATCCATGAGCATGGAATGTTCTTCCATTTGTTTGTGTCCTCTTTTATTTTGTTGAGCAGTGGTTTGTAGTTCTCCTTGAAGAGGTCCTTCACATCCCTTGTAAGTTGGATTCCTAGGTATTTTATTCTCTTTGAAGCAATTGTGAATGGGAGTTCACTCATGATTTGGCTCTCTGTTTGTCTATTATTGGTGTATAGGAATGCTTATGATTTTTGCACATTGATTTTGTATCCTAAGACTTTGCTGAAGTTGCTTATCAGCTTAAGGAGATTTTGGGCTTAGACAATGGAGTTTTCTAAATATACAATCATGTCATCTGCAAACAGGGACAATTTGACTTCCTCTCTTCCTATATACCCTTTATTTATTTCTCTTGCCTGATTGCCCTGGCCAAAACTTCCAATACTATGTTGAATAGGATTGGTAGCTGGAAACCATCATTCTTAGCAAACTAACACAGGAACAGAAAACTCAAACACCGCATGTTCTCACTCATAAGTGGGAGTTGAACAACGAGAACACGTAGACACGGAGGGGAACATCACACATGGGGGCCTGTCAGGGATGCTAGGGGAAGGATAGTATTAGGAGAAATACCTAATGTAGATGATGGGTTGATGGGTGCAGCAAACCACCATGGCATGTGTATACCTATGTAACAAACCTGCACATTCCGCACATGTATCCCAGAACTTAAAGTATAATTAAAAAAAAGAAAGAAAATAACACCATAAAAAATTTTTAAGTGCACTGTAGAAGCATAAGGTGGTCTAACCTCATAATAATTCTCCCTTTTTGGAGATTCAGGATTCACCGTGGGTTCTGCCCACAGAACAGAGATCCAGTTAAAAGATAGGTGGTCCTTATCTAAACAAAACTGGTCTCCTTATACAATCCTGTGACAGATTTCTGTAATTTTATGTTTGATTTGGCATCCATCTTTAATCTCCCTCTAATACTGCCAGATTTTTTCCTCTCTGTACATTATGAGGTAAATTTTGCTATTTGATTTTCACCTGAGTTGTTTCCTTTACTATCCAAATTTATGGCTACTTAGCTGACAAGGGTCTAGGCTTGTAAAACAGGTTATCAAGAATCTTAAAGTCTAAGATAGGAAAAAAAGGTTTTTATGAATATCTAATAAGTACGTCTATTGGCATGCCTAATATGTCTATGTATGTGTTGTGTACACAATGTTTCACTACTGAAAATATATAAAAGAGCTCTAATTAATTAGCTTAAGAAAATAAAAGTGCTTGAATCAAATACTTTATCAGGAAAAAAGATAAGGCTAGTCAAATGCTTTTTCAAGTTTATGTAACTTAAGTAAAATCTTTAATAAATAAGCTAGCTTTAAAATTATTGGTAAAGTAATATTAGAAATATCTTAAGAATTGCCAGCCTGCATTTTTGTTTGCATTTATTAACCAAACAATTTCATGCTTATCCCTGCCAAATACCAGAATGTGTCAACATTTGGCATAAGGGTTACAAAACTATAAACCCAGCCCAAGACAGAATGATCTTTGCTTACATAATCCTTAATAGATAAGATATTGATATTCATTTAATAAAAATACCTACATCTTGAATTTAGTAAGATTACTGTAACTTCTAATCTTGTGGCTTTAGGCAGTCTAGTCCACATGCAGTAAGATTTGCTTTGGGGAAGGACTGCTATTGTCTTTGTTTCAAAGCTAAACTATAAACTAAGTTCCTCCCAAAGTTAGTTTGGCCTATGCCCAGGAATGAACAAGGACAGCTTAGAAGTTAGAAGCAAGATGGAGTCAGTTAGGTCAAATCTTTTTCACTGTCTAAGTTATAATTTTGTAATGATGGTTCCATAACTTTAAATAATGACAATTGCAGTTTTTATAAATAATCTAGGTAAGTGATTAAAATAAAATAATTAAGTAACTGTAATAGGATAAAATACTTGTAGGCAAACATAATTTAGAATCTAAAGTTAAATTAAATAATAGATATTTCATTAATTGGGTTTTCCAATAAAAGTATATTTGTAAGAAAACATTCTTTCTTTAAAAAAAGTATATTTTTTTTAAAAGGTGAACAATTTTTATCTAATTCAAAGCTTATTTAAAGGTCATTTATAACACAAGGTAAAAGGAACCAGGAAATAAGAGATGTAAAGAAAGTTATAAAAATAAAGAGGGTTTTTTTTTTTTTTTTAGTAAGAAAGCTTAAAGAAAAGGAATTTCATATCAGAAAGAATCTTGTATGGTAAATTTAGTCCTAGAATGAAATGACTGATTAAGAAAGAGGGATCTTCAGGACAAACTAGAAAGTCCAAGCATGTCATAAACAGTCTGTGTAAGTCACAATAAGAATATTTAAAAATTTTTATATGATCAAGTTGTCTATGATTAAAGGGAAATTATAATGGTCTTTCTAGAAATTGGGTTTGATGTAAAAAAAAAGGCACTTATACACCAAAGAATTGGTTAGAACAATAAAATTTTCTTAGGGGTTGATTAAATAAATTTTAAGAGATTTAATTTTTTTTATTTTATCCCAAGGTTCAACTTTTATTTCATCTTGCCAGTTTTGGTTTTCTCTCCCCTGTTCAAAGGCACAAAATAGCAACATGCCCCTTCAACACATTTTCAGCTCATATAAGTTTTTTTTCCTTCTTGGGTTCTGATTTTTGTGGCCTAATGCTAACAATGTTTTCTTAAAGGTCTAAAAAAATTTTTTCTTCTGACATATTCTGTGCACTGCAGAAGTCCTTTTAGTTTGCGTTTTGGTAACTGGCCTAAAAGATTTTATGTTTTATCAAAATAATTTATATGCCATTATTTTTAAGTTTGGTTTGCTTAGGAAAAACTGAGATTTAAAAAAATTAATGAAGGTTATTACATCCTTGTGTCTTCCTGTATGTGCTTTTAAAGTCTCTGTGACATTGAGTTACAGGGCTTTGACTCCTAGGTCTAAAAAAACAGCAAGTCTTGCTAAATCTTAAACATTGACAGCAATTAAAACCTCATCTTCAGGCATGGTAGATGATGCTAATGAAAACAAACTGCATTCCTGAGACATAGGACCAAAAACTAAAGCTATTCAGAAGAGGTGGGCATGTGAGATTGTAAGCACCAATTTTGAAAGATAAAATAAGTTTAGTTTCTCTATAAATTAATCATTAATATCAAAGGCACACTGATGCACAACTAGCATATGGGCCTCTGTGTCAGATTAACAAGGTTTTCTTGAAGAATTAACTGACTCCTTAATAAAGGTTATAAAGGCTTATCAAAGTTATATCTTGTGATCAGGATGAAAATTTTATAGATTGCTTATAAAATTTTGAAAAAAAATTTAATTTGCTTCACAATGTTTTTATTAGGGCTTATTGTTTGGAAAATTAAGTTTCCTCTCTCGAAGAATGAAGGTTTCCACCTTTTTTAAAAAATCCTTCAGTTATCACTATGGTTAAATGAATGACTTGTTTTACAATGACCTGTGATTCTGTTTCGTAATATCAAATGTTTTAAACCTTTGATATCTGACAAACTTTCCAAAATCAAATTATAAGTTGTCTCTCTCTGACCTAATTAATCCTTTAAGATATTATTAATAGGTTCCCTAAAGTCCAAAACTGATATATTTGGTATAAAAATTATACAGAAAGCATTGTCAAATATAAAACAGTGTTTGGTTTTCTTTGGGCTATATTTGTACAAATATGTTATTAGTATGTGTTCCAAAATTATGGGAAACTCCTATAATTGTGGTAAGACTTAATGTACATTATCAGTAATAATTATAATTTTTATGTCAAATTATTGTGTGCCACAGAGGTAACAAATTTCCTTGTCAATTGTGTCTTTGACTACAGCTGCCCTAAAACTTTTTGTCATCCATGAACAACTGTTGTCTTGTTTTAGTCCTCTTTAGAAGATGGTTTTATAATCAGCTATAAACTCTAACAGGTGCTCTTGAATGCAGGTTTCTGATAGCTTTGCAGCTTGTGACAGCAGAATAGAGGAAAAACTTTCAGGACTCATGGAGAGCTGAAATGTTCATGAATATCACACAGAACAGGAATTAACCACATGACTAAACTAACAAAAGTCTGAAGTAATTTTTTTTTAATTTTGCTTAAAACATTTGCTTTGTTCCAGAATCAGGAAAAGTTTTAAGCTACTTACAGCTTTTACCAATTGACTAAAGTATACTCCTATGAACAAAATTTGGAGCATATTTATTTATCTCTACCAGATTTTTACAGAATTTGGAAACTCTTTGTATGTATTCTTAACTTATGACAATACAGTTATTTGTATAAGTGCAATAAAAATCTGTTTTCAGCCAGGCGCAGTGGCTCACACCTGTAATCCCAGCACTTTGGGAGGGAAAGGCAGGTGGATCACAAGGTCAGGAGTTCAAGACCAGCCTGGCCAATATGGTGAAACCCCTTATCTACCAAAAAATACAAAAATTATCTTGGCATGCTAGCAGGCACCTGTAGTCCCAGCTACTTGGGAGGCTGAGGCAGGAGAATCACTTGAACCCAGGAGGCAGAGGTTGCACTGAGCCGAGATTGCACCACTGCAGTCCAGCCTGGGTGACAGAGTGAGACTCCATCTCAAAAAAAAAAAATCTGTTTTCATTTGTAACGAAACACAATTGGAGAAACGTTTTACCAAGGCTTTGACTGGAATGGTGTGCTTTCATTTAAGGAATCAAGCTTGATTTATGGAGACAATAAAAGCCCCTTGAAAAAAACTAGCCTCATACCTTTGTCTGCACAGTACCTGTACAGGGTTCCTGACCTATGGTAAGTAAAGAATGTCACTTTCTGACATGCTCAGGTGCCCCAGGTTTACTGTGGAACCTCAAGAGGAGAGAAATTTACCCAATGCAATTATTTTAGCTGCACTGTATGCAAATAATTAGGCCAAGTATAATAAAGCAAACCAGTTCTACCATGACTTGTCTTTAGTAAAAATGGGAAACTGGAGAGAGAAAAATAATGTTTCAAAAACTATAGTATACCTATTGTTAGATTCTAATCTTGCCTAATGTTTTTCAATTTTTATTGTTTTCTACAGTTTGAACTGAATTCTAATTTTTCTTGGCTGCAAGTCTTCAAAATAATGTTTTCAATTATTTTCCTTTTTTCCCATTTTTCCTAATTTGGAGTCACTGAAAACTAGGCTGTGCTTTCATAAATCCCTGCAAACTTAAGCTAGACAACTTAAACTTCAAAAGAAAATAACAGCAACTTATTTATATATATAAGCCACTTTCATATCTACCTACTGATGTATGGACTTCAGAGTAATGTGGCCTATATTGATTTTCCAGGATTGTTCTTTTGTTTGTTGTTGTTTTATTCCCTTCATCCCCCTATTTTCTCTTCATAGGACATGAGACTTTACGATCTTCTAAATATGAGCTTTCCTAATAACTTGGGACCTACCTGTCTAGGAATAAACCATCCTAGCCATGAGAGATCAAATGAGACCTGAGATGAGAGACTCATTTTTTTATAAAATGCTTTCTCCAAAATATTTTTAAAAAGAAAAGGGAGGAAATATGAAATGAAAATATCTTGGGGCCCCAAAATCACTAAGCTAAAGGAAAAAGCCAAGCTGGGAACTGCTGAAGGCAAACCTGCCTCCCATTCTATTCAAAGTCACCTCTCTGTTGACTGAGACAAATGCATATCTGATTGCCTCCTTTGGAAGGCCTAATCAGAACCTCAAAAGAATGCAACCATTTGTCTCTTATCTACCTATGACCTGGAAGGCCCCTCCCCACTTCAAGTTGTCCCGCCTTTCCGGACTGAACCAATGTACATCTTACACACATTGATGTTTCACGTTTCCCTAAAATGTATAAAATCCAGCTGTGCCCCTGCCACCTTGGCCACATGTTGTCAGGACCTCCTGAGGCTGTGTCACGGGCATCCATCCTCAACTTTGGCAAAATAAACTTTCTAAATTAACTGAGATTTGGCTGCTCACGGTGGCTCATGCCTGTAATCCCAGCACTTTGGGAGGCCAAGGCGGGTGGATCACATGAGGTCAGGAGTTTGAGACCAGCATGGCCAATATGGCAAAACCCCGTCTCTGCTAAAAATAAAAAAATTAGCCAGGCATGTTGGTGGATGCCTGTAATCCCAGCTACTCAGGAGTCTGAGGCAGGAGAATCCTTGAACCTGGAGATTGGAGGTTGTAGTGAACCAAGATTGTGCCTCTTCAATCCAGCCTGGGCAAAAGAGTGAAACTCTGCCTCAAAAAAAAAAAATAATTAACTGAGACCTATCTCAGATTTTCAGGGTTCACAGTATCCACAGGTCAAATTTTCCCTTAGATATCAGAATTTATGTGGTAAAGCCAGAGTTAGTTATACCATTAAAAAATAAGGAGTTTCAAAATTTAAATATCTAAAAGAGTTTGACCTTATTTTATCCTAAAGGATAATTAAAGGTACCTTTAACCAGGTTGAGGAATGGACTGACTTTTACTTGGTTTTAAAAGGAAGGTTGTAAAGCAAACATGACTGTAGAAATAAACAGAATAATGCCTGGCACATAGTAAGTACTTAATACTTAACAAAAATTGGTTGAATGACAAATGCAGTATATCAGCCTATTTCTGTGTTATATGTGGAACATTGTTAAGGTTCTTAAGTTCATTTGGCATAAGCAAATGTACATTATCTTATAATTTTATTTATAAACACATATAACAATGGAGTTTCTATAAACCATGCAGAAGAAAAATATTGCCATTATTCCCACAAGTTTGTTCCACTATAGCGTAAGTTTGTGCAAAAAAAAAAAAAATCACCAGAAAGTCCTTCAAGAAAAGCCATTATGGTCTATTCATTAAGGAAGACTTACATGGCAAGAAGTAATGAATTCCTCCTTTTAAATTGTTTTTTATAATACTTATAATACAAAATCACTGTAGAAAAGAATCCTCTCTCTAGCCCTATATTCCTGAACTGAGTGGACTATTTAAGTGGCCAAAAATGTCCACGTACACAATAATTTTAAGCTAAATTTAACAGTATACCATGTTTTTATTAACACTAATTTTTTTAAAAGAAAAAGGAAGGTTTTCAAAATCAGTCTTATTCTATGATGACTGCTTAGTTGTTTGCATAAAATAAAATCAGTTTTGTTTTGGAACATGAAGTACACAATATAAAATAAAGATTGGTTTTAAAGTAAGACAGCACTGCTGTCTAGCTGGGAAATAGAAGAAAATATTCAGCTCATTTTTGATAAATTATTAATCTTATTTTTAATTTGTTAATGTCTATGAAAGAGAAGGGAGAAATCAAAGCCTGACTTTCTCAGCCAGCAGCCTGATGAAAGAAGAAAATTGCCACATCTTGGAATACATTTTGTTGGCAATAGGTAGTTTATAATCCAAATATATAATTTTATCATTTTATGACTGTGTTTTTAATGAAATATGTGGAAAAGGTATCAAATAACTAAGATTCTTTTATTTAATTTCCAAATCACCAGAGTTCATGCTAGATGAGTCTGAATTCATTAATGAAGCTGCATTCAATTTCATTTGCCTCATATTTTACAACAGCTGTTTATTGAGAATCTATCAAACTTAAGACACAATATAGGCTTGGAATTCAACAGATGATAAGTAGAATACTTGTCCTCAAAAGCTCCTAACCTAACTGGAGAAAAGTGAAACATACCCCAAAAGAGAAATAATAGCTCCAGGCAAAGCAGAGGTGTGTCCTTCCACAGGAGCTTTAAGAGAAAAGCCCCTCCTAATTTTCATTATATCAGGGTAGGTGCTATGCCCCTTTCTCTTGTTATATATTTCATAATCCCTCTTAGAATTTTGTTTCAGCATCTTGCTTCTCTCTAAGTTTGAATATTTACTCCCAAGATCCAATTTTGCTACAGTACCTATAAGGGCACATTTAGCTCACAACCTACATGAAAATACTCATGTCCTCTGACTCCAGAATATGACAGAGCATGATAATAATTTTTTTTAAAAAGACAATGAACCAGGACAGTGTTTCTCAACCTTGACATTATTGACATTTAGGGCCTCTAGACAATTCTTTGCTGTGGGCAGGGAGTGGGAGTGTTGTCCAATGCATTCTAGGATGTTGAGCAGCCTCCCTGGCCTTCACCCATTCAATGCCAGTAGCACCCTATACCAATTTTGGCAAGCAAAAATGGATCCAGACACTGCCAAATGCCATATACTCCTATGAACAAAATTTGGAGCTTATTTATTTCTCTCTACCAGATATTTACAGAATTTGGAAACTCTTTGTATGTGTTCTTAACTTATGACAATACAGTTATTTGCATAAACACAATAAAAATCTGTTTTTATTTTTATTAAGGGGAAGGAGGAGGCAAAATTATTTCTGATCAAGAACCACTACCTTAGAATGATCAGTTATACCTCAGAAAATGAAAGTTACATATGTGTATACATATGCATATAGAAGATCCTAGCCAGTCTCAAGAATGAAGCAACAAACAGTGTTAACAGATTTCAGCCACACCAAACAAACTATCAGGATTCAAAACGCCAGCAATTACATATTTTATTAGAATGAATAATTTTTAAACTTTTATTTTAAGTTCAGGGATACAGGTATGGGTTTGTTACATAGGTAAAATTGTGTCATGGGGGTTTGTTGTACAGATTATTTCATCACCCAGGTATTAAGCCTGGTACCCATTAGTTATTTTCCTGATCCTCTCCCTCCTCCCAGCCTCCACCCTCTGAAAGGCCCCAGTATGTGTTGTTTCTAGGTGCCCAGGTGTTCTCATCGTTTAGCTTCTACTTATCTTTTTTTTTTTTTGAGACAGAGTCTCACTCTGTCACCCAGGCTGGAGCGCAGTGGCACAATCTCAGCTCGCTGCAAGCTCTGCCTCCCAGGTTCATGCCATTCTCCTGCCTCAGCCTCCCGAGTAGCTGGGACTACAGGCGCCCGCCACCACGCCCAGCTAATTTTTTGTATTTTAGTAGAGATGGGGTTTCACCGTGTTAGCCAGGATGGTCTCGATCTCCTGACCTCGTGATCCGCCCGCCTCGGCCTCCCAAAGTGCTGGGATTACAGGTGTGAGCCACCGCGCCCGGCCAGCTTCTACTTACAAGTGAGAACATGCGGTATTTGGTTTTCTGTTCCTGTGTTAGTTTGCCAAGGATAATGGCCTCCATCTCCATCCATGTCCCTGCAATAGTATATGCAAGCTTTTTTAGAGGCTCCTATAATGGAGTCTATCTCCATTCTTAATTAAATCCCACCCTGACCTACAGAGTGATCACTGAGTAAGAATCTCTACATGGAGCAAGATGACAGACTGGACGCTGAAACCTGACTCCCAAGCCCTCAAGGCTGCTCTTATTACTAAGAAATCTCCCTCATGCCACAACTGCCACCATGGAGAGTTCTCTGTCCCTTACCAACCTTAAGAACTGAGGTTTGAGTTCATTAGAAGAGATGTCAAGATTCTTGTACTTTACAGTTTCTTTTAGAGAGGGAATCAGTGCAGCACTGACAACCAATCTACAGAAAAATAAGGAGAAAACGGGAGGTAGAAATCATTCTAACATCATTTGTAGGAAATGGAAGGCTTCTCCTTAATCAAATCAGGTATCAACTCCTTTGAGAAAAATATATTGGAACATTTTTTGAAGAAAAGAAAAAAATCACCCCAGCCTCATATAGTAAGTTTTAAACATGAGGCTTAGATATCATTTTAGTTAGTAAATTTCCAGCTTCAAGTAACTGAAAATTGGCCGCCTTGGCTTAAGCAATTAGGGGGTCTTTTTTTGCATTAAAAGTAGCTTAGATATTGGCCCTCCAGGACTGGGGTAACTAAAATCTCAGTAATGTCATTAGGGACCCACAAGGGTGCCAAGCTACTCTTATCTTTTCATCTGCCACCCTTAGCTATTGCCCTTATTATTATTACCTCATGACCGACCACAGGTTGCCAATGTTCCAGACCTCACATCCGCATTCAAGCAGGAAAGAGATGAAAACAACACACTTCTACTTATGTATTATTGGCCAGAACTGGGCCACATGGCCTCCTTATTCTACAAGAGAGCCTTAAAGTTTGAGGTTTTACATTTTAGATTCTCTACAATAGGAGATGGAGATCAGATCATACAACCCACAGGATCTGCCAGAGAAAAGTTCCATACAACTTGGGAATTTCATTCCTTTATTATCTACTATTTTTCCTTCCAACCATGTCAGAGAAGACTTTACAAAGAAATTAAGATCCCCTGAAAATGACATTTAATGGCCAAAGCCTCGACTAACATTTACTAATGGCATCTCCAATGTAAAGGGAAATGAAAGAATATCTGTCACTGTCTCTTTTGCTCTGTATCTAGTTGACATTGATGCACAAAGATTGGCTCCGTCAATTTAGTAAAAAATAAATGCAATTAATCATTTGTTATGTTTATGGCCTTTGTTTCTCTGGCAAACTTTCGGCTATTGTTCTTCTCTCCAGCTTTCAGATAGACCTGAGTAGAGAAAGTTATTGTGGCGTAGCTGACCCAGTGGTCTAGAGCTCATCCTGAGACAGTCCCGTCTCAACACTGACCGTGTGGGATCAAGCTCTTCACTGTGGTGCCAGATCAGGTCTGAATTCAGATCTTGACTTAACTTGAGTTGCCTCCTTGCTCTCCTCGGTGCACTTTGGTTCCATTCCTAGATCCCGTCTCACTCTTGGTCTCCTCCTCCTCCAGCTTTTCCTTCCATGTGATAAGCTGGAGAAGGAGGCGAGCGATTAAGGGTAAACCCCTCCCACAGTCTCTCCTGTCTTGGATTTGAACATCATAAGCATCATTTGGAACTGAGAAAGCCCCAGCAGCAGCAGGGATTCTTTTACTGCCTTGGCCCTTTGGAGCAGTTAGACTTCTCTTGTGCACCAAATACAAATGTAAAATGCTTTCCACTATTTAAAAACTAAATGAAGAATCATAAAAAGTCTGTCAAGGGCCTTTGTGCATTTAAAAGGCTAAAAGCTTTTGGCAAGGGCAACTCTGATGAAGCAGGCTTTTCTTTTCAAGGAACCAAATCAGAGGTTAACAGCTGGAACAGGAGGCCATTAGCCATAGAGGTGTGTGCATATCATGACTGTGACGACAGAAGAGACAGATGAGCTAAACAAGGTGCAGGCAGGGGCTGTTCCTGTCACACCGACAGACTGGCCCAGCATCCCTCTTCCTGCCCCAGCCCCACCCCACTCTGTCCTCCTTCTCCAAGTCTTCATCTACAAAGAGATATGTATTAGAAGACTCTTTGGGTGGGTCTGTGCTACAGTCAACAATTTAACTTAAAGTCATAGGCATTTTGCTATGTATATCTCTGAAGAACTAGTAGTTTAATAAAGTAAGTATTATAAATAGCAAAGAAGAGGGTGGCCAAGCAAGAGGCAGCTGGAGCTGGTGGAAGTTTTGGCATCAGGGTGATCAGGGTTCAATCCTGACTCCACTATTGGTTGCTGTGATAGTTTGGACAATTATCCAACCTCTGTGAGCCTCTGTTTCCTCATCTCTAAAATGGGGAACATGATTCCTCAAGATAGTTAAATGAGATAAAACAATGTATACCAATGTGTGCCTAGTAAAATACGTGGTACACAGTACATGCCTAAGAAGCAAGATCCAACATTATTAAAAATAAATAATTCAATTTCACTAGCAGGAAGCTCAGGATTCAGATAATCCCAGTTATGTAAGTATTGGGACCAGAAGAACAGGTGTGATTTTAACTGTCTTTGTTTTATTGCCTTCCACTCATATTTCTCTACTGAGGGAAGAAGTACTTGATTACAACTGCATGCTAGAGAATAATCATCTTCATTTTCACAAACTCCTTGATTTGTGATACTTTTTGACTATTCTTCAACAACATTTCGATTGCTAATTTTTGATTCTTATTTTCTTCAGATCCCTTTATCCATAAGTTCCTTGAGGAAATTTATAGTCACTTTATAACTACTGTATTATACTTTTATATTGCATTGTACTATTTTATACTATTATAGTACATTAATTGACATTGCATCCAAACATTAACAATTTCATACAGCATAAAACTCGTTGTCATGAACACACACGGTCTGAATCTGACCTACAGTAGCCTTTCTTTCTTTACTATTTTTCTTATCATTCAAGCACTCTTAAAAGGATATTTTAATTACCAAGGTGTTTTTAAATCTCATTCTATTAGCAACACCCACAATATCTTCTGGAACCTTCTAAGATAGTCGCCCGTCCCTCTCCTACCAACAAACTAAACTTATAATTAATTTCCCAACCAAAGGAGGCCAGAGAAGACCTGGTGTCTGTAGAGACATAGTGCTTTGTTGAGACCTCCCCCAGGACTGGGCTGTTGCCTTAAAGGTCAATTTCTTTTCTGTTATTTCCCTCCTAAAGCTTTGCTATCTTAGTCTGATATCTTGAGTTGTAATTCCAATTCCAAGTCACAAGAAGGCCATATGTCACCTCCACCACCATTTCTGAAACTTAAATTTCCGCATCTTTATAATGAGGGAATTGGACTGGATTATGTAAAAGTTCCATATAGCTCTAACTTTTAAAATAAAATAAAAAATGAAATTAAACACAACTAGTCCTTAATCAGGTATGTGCTGAAACAGCCCATCATCAGCTTAGGGTAAATGTTAAATGTTCAGAGACAAAAGCCATACCAATTATTTGAACAGAGAAATCAAATAACTTCTAATTAGGCATAAAGCTGTAGGTAATTAAACAATCAGAAAAAAAGTCAAGTATCACAGAGTGGCAAATGTAGAAAGGGCTATACCCCTAGAAATGGAACTTAAAAGGGAAGGGGTTGGCATAAGCAATTCTCAGAAGCTGAAAATAGGGTCCCATGCAGTCAAAATTCAGACTTCTGAAGAGGAGCACTGGCTCAAAGGTGCTACTGCTCCAAAGAGGATGCCATGAAGCTGTTTCTAGGAATTGGAAAAACTGAAAACTGAATTCAGCTATGACTAGGGAAAGGAACAGCCATGGCTTAGGTTATGCTTATAAGGAAGAGGAGAAAACAGGAAGCCACAGAAAGCAGGAAGGAAAGAAAATGTCACTTCTTCCTCCTCCAGCCTTGTAGTGCTCCTCCGGCCTAACAGTGATCCAGCCAGCAGAGCAGAAATGTATTTTGTCTAGTGCTAGCCCTGGCATCACAGAGGAGAGCATAGAGGGCTATATCTGGAACTGACAAGAAGGGCTATATCTGGAAATGACATGCAAACTGTGTCCTAAAGCAGAAATAATAATCAGACTTCATCTGTATACCAACTCTAATAATGTCAGGATGTTGTACTGAGGAGGATCCTGAGGCTCTACCTATGCATCAGGAGAGAGTTCCACCATCATTTAGATTATCTGCCACAGGCAGGAGGAGGGCATAGTGGCATATAGTTGCCATCTCTGGCCTAGAATCACATAGCTGTCGCACGCACCCTTTAGACATGAGGTCCTGGAGACAGAGACTTGAACTCCTTTTCAGCAGCAGCAAGTACCCAACCTCACTCCATCTGGTGGAGAGAGTGCAATGGGGAGTTAAAGTAACTCAGAGTTCCTAATACATAGCCTCATTTACTTCCCAATACATGGCAGAGCTCACTTTTAGACAGCATCATAAAATCATTGAATTTTAAATCTGAACAAGAGGTAAGCTTTTTGGCTATGCTTGAGCAACTCTAGGGACAGAGAAAATCATTCCTATATTCAGACCATTTTGATCCCAAGAAATCTCTTCTTTATGAAGAACTGAAATCAACTTCAGTGTAAGTCTTATCCACTGGTCTCACATCTACCTCTTCCAGAAAGACAGGTCAAATTCTTTCTCTACATGTCATCTTTTCAAATGTTTGAATTCAGCCATCACATTGCACCAGATTTTTCTTCTTCAAGTATAGTAGCCTTAATGTCTCCAACTGTTCCTTACATGAATTATATAGAAATATCCCTGTCCCTGTTCTCTGGGTGCACTTTGATGTATCTCAGCCCCTTATCAGAGGTGACCCTGAAATCATTACTCCTGTTGTGATCAGAATAGCACCAAGGAATGAAGTAGAGAGTGTAGCTAATTCTTTTTTAAGATGTCATCAACATTTCTGATGACCACATCACACTGAAAACTCCTATGGATTTTTATCATCTTTCACCTGAAATGATCTTCAGCCATTTCACCCCCAAGATAAAGAATTCCACTTGCTTCAAAGTTTCCCAAGGAAAAATATGTTGCAGCCAGTACAAACTACCGAGACATTCCCTTGGAAAAAAAGGCAAACGGCTTTGTGAATGCTTAAATAAATTAGAAAATTAAGCTCTTACTTGCTGATGGTGGATGTCATAAATGTATGCCATAATCAAAGCAAGCTTCCATCAATTTTGGTGTTCTCACTGAGCCGCAAACTTTGTTATTGTTCCTCCTGCAAAATATAGATGCCATAAACCATGCCTAAGTGTGCAGAAGACATTTACTTCCACTGGGTTTTTGAGTCGGATGAGATTTTATAAGCAGCTATGTTCTACCTTTTAACTACATTTTAATTTAAATATATCTTTAATCATCGCTTTAAAAATTATCTTCAGTAAGTAACCAAAGTTTAAAGTAATGGCCTATTTTAAAAATACATGCAAAACTCTCTTAGTCAGGGTTTTTAAATATTTCACTTGCATTATTTCTTTTAGGTTCATTTAGTTACACTATAATTTTATGGAGTTTTAAAGTGGTGGGGCATATGATGTGATTACCAATTATTTTGGCCCTATTTCTGCGCACATGATTAGAAGAATCTGTGAAACATTAGTTTAACAAGCAATCTTTAAAAATGACAACTGATGAAAACTCTGTAGATACAAACTTCTAAAGGTAAAAAAAAACAGAGGTAAATACAATCAAATACAAAGAAGTCGGGAGTAAGATGTGAAAAACAGAAGGTATAATTCTGATTTACACACCGCACACTGAAGGATAGATGATCTGCTGAAATGAAATATCAGACTTCAAATTCTTATATTCAAGGCAAATTCTCACTTCCAATTACTTCATTTTGAAGGACAAGGGGGTGTGCCACTGGAGTGGGAGGGAATTATTTGGGGGCACAAAAGGTAAAATACATGCCATTTTATTTTACATATTATTATAGGGGGAAAAGGCATGTCCCCAAAGACTGTGTCTTAGTTTTGTATTGCTGCTGTAACAAATTATCACAAATTCAGCGGCTGAAACAACGTAAATATCTACCTAACAGTTCTGTAAGTCAAAATTCTGACATGGATCTCACCCATCTAAACCAAAGTGTTGGCAGGGCTACATTTCTTCTGGAGATCCTAAAAGAGGTTTCATTTCCTTACCTTTTCTGGCTTCTAAAGGCTGCCTGCATTCTTTGTCTCCTAGCCCGTTCCTCCACCTTCAAAATCAGCAAGGGTGTGTCTCTCAATCTGACTTCAGCTGGGAAAGATTCCTCACTTGTAAAGACTCCTGTGATTACATTGTGCCCACCTGGATATTCTATGATTCTCTCACCATCCCAAGTTTCTTAATCATACCTGCAAAATACCTTTTATCACATAAGGTACCGTATTCACAGGTTCTGGAGAGAAGGGGTTGGGCATTGGGCTTTTGGGCGGGGGGTGGAGGGGTGGGCATTTTTCCACCTACCACACTGTCTAAAGCAAAGATGAGACAACACTCCAGGAAACAAACTGATCTCCATGGCCTTCCTCTGATGAAAATTAGAGTCACGGCCTACCCACATCCACAGGTGCAGCTCTTCAGTCACTATCTGTTGTTGCATGCATAGTTTAATGAGAAAATTAATGATGAAATGGCTTCAGATCATGTAAAAACATTATCAGAAGACTGTGTCCTGTGCTGCTGTGTGTCAGCCACTGTGCCTGAGTTCACAAGTTCCCTCCAGCTAATGTACTTCAGGACAAAATTCATGATTCAGGTTTGTCTCCTCTTAAAAGACAAGGAGGTAGTTATCTGCAAGGAAGACAGATTAACTGATGGCAACTGACCTAGCATGATGGCTAAGTCCAGCTTAGGCCTAGAGAGGGCGTGCCAGGGACTTTTCTAAATACCTGCTACACGTGACCTCATTTAGCCATCACAATAGTCCTGTACAATAGGAATATTTTCATCCTGTTTTACACGTGAGAAACTGAGGCACAGACAAAACACAGCCCCTGCCCCAGAGTCTGAACTTTAAAGACAACAATATACAACCTATTTGTTGATCAATTAGGGAGCGGGGCTGCGAGTACTTTGTGACTAACAATGCTTTTTTAAATTTATGACTAACGATGTCAGTCATTTACATTTGAGTCAAGATTATCTTTATGACATCTCTCTTGCTGTTATATTCTGATGTGGATTTCTGGTTTTAAGATCATGTTGAAGAAAGAACAAATATTGAACTAACCAATTAATTTAAATCAGTGGTTCTCACACTTCACTGCACACAAGAATCACCTGGGGTACTTTGGGGTTTTGTTTTTGAGACAGTCTCACTCTGTCACTCAGTGTTGGAGTGCATTTTTCTAAAATGTAGATTACTGAGGCATAATCTCAGAGATTCAGTAAATGTTCCCTCACAGCTTGGAATTTATATATTTTTAAACATTTCAAAAGTTTCTGATACAGGTGCCCTGGTACATATTAAGCGCAATGTAAGGTTTTGGAAAAACTGCTTCTGAATGATCTCCCTGAGCCTCCCCAGCTCCCACCAAGTCAGGATAAGGCACACACAAAACTCCTCACTTATTCAGTCAAAGCACTTACTACACTGTATGGTGATTGCCTATTTACTTATGTGTGTTTCCTTCTAGACAGCGAGGTCTTTAACATCAAGGTTGTGCCTCCATCATTGCCTTACCACTCCCGCCGACCCACGTCCACAGGTGCAGCTCCTCAGTCGCTATCTGTTGTTGCATGCAGCTTAATGAGAACATTAATGATGAAATGGCTTCAGATCATGTAAAATCATTATCAGATGAATGTGTTTAAAATCCAGAGTGCCTTATTTAGTTGAATATCTGAGTTCGAGATCAGTCTGGCCAACACAGTGAAACCCTGTCTCTACTAAAAATACAAATATCTATCTGTTGTTGTATCCATAGTTTAATGAGAAAATTAATGATGAAATGACTTCAGATCATGTAAAAACATTATCAGATGAATGAGTTTAAAATCCAGAGTGCCTTATTTACTTGAATATCTGCAGGCAGTAGGAGAAAAAAAATTAGAAAAAAATTACAGCATAAGCTAAGTTCAGCATTGAAGGACACAGACAGAGCATTTCAGCAGAAGCTCTTACAGAGCAGAAAAAAATAGGCAGCAGTCTCAGCATTGGTAAGGGATGTCTCCTCCTACCAGCAAGAGACTGTCAGCAGCCCCGGGGGGCAGACTGTGTCCTGTGCTGCTGTGTGTCAGCCCCTGTGCCTGAGTTCACAAGGAGGTGATTGCTGATTGACCAGAAAATTGGCACATCTGAAATATGATAACTGAGTATATTGGTTTTCTATCAGTGAGTGTGTTTGAGGGTGGCAGAAATTTGTCATTGCTTGGAGTCTTTATACTAATAACCTATGATAAAAACTTCTTTGGGAGTTTTAAGTTTTTCAAGAAAATGTTGGGCCAGGCGCAGTGGCTCAAGCCTGTAATCCCAGCACTTTGGGAGGCCAAGGCAGGTGGATCACCTGAGGTCAGGAGTTCGAGATCAGCCTGGCCAACACAGTGAAACTCTGTCTCTACCAAAAATACAAAAAATTAGCCAGGTGTCGTGGCATGCTCTTGTAGTCCCAGCTACTCAGGATGCTGAGGCAGGAGAATAGCTTGAAGCCAGGAGGCGGAGGTTGCAGTGAGCCAAGATTGTGCCACTGCACCCCAGCCTGGGCCAGAGGAGCGAAACTCTGTCTCAAAAAAAAAAAAAAAAAGAAGAAGAAGAAAGAAAGGAAATGTTAAAATTAAATTGTTTATTGATTCAATTATGTCCATCTAATATTAGCTAAATGCCTATTGAAGTGTTTGTCCTTTCATTTAGGAACACAAAGCTCACTTCAGTTTTCATGGAAGTGAAAACAGATTACCCCGATTGTAGTAGTGCCTGAGCCAACCCCAGTTGCTTCATGAGTTCTACTTGCGAAGTTGCACCATCTTCCCTGAGACTGGCCTTGCCTCTGAGCCTCACTTCTGACCTTTTAGGGCAGGCTCCTTCCTTACTCCTGAGGTGTGGCCTTCCTTTTTTCTCAGCTGGACACCTACCCAGGTGTTAACGTGTTGTCTTCACTCTGGCCCAGCTGAAGGAACTCCATCTCCAGCACTCCTCAACCGCTAAGATCTGTGATCAGTGCTCAGGCCCCGTGTTCTGTGAAGATCACCATAGTCTTGTCCTGCATCTGTGTGGTCCATCAGCAAATGACTAGTTTAAAAAGCTCCCCAGACTTCAGATCCCCTGTGTCCTTCTCCCCAGACTACATTACCTTTGTGGCTCTATACTCAATGTCCGGCTTTCCTATCCACAGGCCTGCTCTGCTCTACTCCAGCCCCTGGGCTGTATCACAAAAGGTCCCCAGGAAGAGTCTGGGCTCACCTGCTGAGTTTCCATTCACCCTGAGATTGCAGTCTTGCTCTACCTGTTGTCCAGTGCCTGAAGGCAATTGCATCATGGTTTATTCCATTTATATTGACTTTTGGTGAGGTTATTGTATTTGCTTTTTTCAGACAAGGATTAGTCTGGTGCCAGTTCCTCCCTCCTGGCCACAAGCAGAAGTTGATGTATTTATTAATCTTTTTTTTTTTTTTTTTTTGAGATGGAGTCTTGCTCTGTCAACAGGCTGGAGTTCTGTGGTGCAATCTTGGCTCACTGCAACCTCCGCCTCCCAGGTTCAAGCGATTCTCCTGCCTCAGCCTACTGAGTAGCTGGGACTACAGGCATGCACCAGCACACCCAGTTAATTTTTATATTTACAGTAGAGACAGGGTTTCACCATATTGGCCAGGATGGTCTTGATCTCTTGACCTCGTGATCTGCCCACCTCAGCCTCCCAAAGTGCTGGGATTACAGGCGTGAGCCACCATGCCCAGCCAAATTAATCTTTTTTTAATTAGAAATACTATTTAATGCTGCTAAATTTCTTTTTGCTGGCATTTGAATTTTGATATTAACTAACCCTATACCTGTCTGTGTCCCTCACCCAAAACAAGGAATAGTGATTAAACTGTTCCTCAACCCATCCCTGAATCTCCGATCAAGGTGATTTTGAGCATTCAATGACTGTGAAGGCTCCAACTAGGTTAGTTATTCTGTAACACTAAAGACTAATATAGGTAGGAAAGGTCCCAAAGACTCACTTTGTTTCTTTTTGCTTTAAATTCAGTGGTTTTATTTTCTCTCAGTTTCAGTGTCATTTCTACCTCCACCTCTCAGATCTTCGTCCTAATGCCCATGGTCTTCCTACACCAAGACTCTTTTCACAATAACATATTGACTCCAAATTATTTTGCATTTTGGAGAAAGGGTGATATTCCATAAATAAAGCAATAAATAAGGAAAAATACTGTGACGTCTCAAAGTAACCTCAGCCAGCCAAAGTAAATTCTTCATAGGGTAATTGTGAACAACCCATGAGATAATTTGTATGAAGTGTCTAGCACAGCCCCAGGCATTTAGCAGGTGCTCAGTAAAGACTTGTTGAATAATTAAGTCTCAGGAAAATTTGATAAGCAAAGACTTGACTCTATTTTCACCATGACAAAGGAGACCCAAGCTCTTAATCACAGGGAAAGTCACAACAAGACTCTCCTTGGTCACTCTTTCATTAAATTTTAGATTTATTTTTTCTTCTGGAATAGCTTTCTTCCTGTAAGAAGCACATTTAGTGTTATTCCATTATGCCAAGAAATTTGAGCCAGCAATTTTCAGAGTAAACTGTGACTCAGGACTAACTGCAACTCGTGAATTTTGACCCCAGGTTCTTCCTGAGACTAGGACCCAACAGTATGGCCACCGACGATGTGATGCATTTCAATGATTCAAAATGCGTGCTTGCAAGTCATGATGTTGTGGAACTTGTTCCCGCCATTATAGTAATGCCAGGTAATGCCCTGGTGCACAGTAGCATTTATTAGCCATTCCCCATAAGAGAGTTAAGAGTAATCAAATGTTCTTGTGTCAGCACATAAAACAAATGCCTGCAGGAGCAGAGAGCAATCTTCTTTCCATGGTACAATTACTGTACAATTTTCTGGTTGTCTTTAATATTGGAGTTTTGAGGAACTGTTGATTCTAGGGACAGAAAGAACTGCATAACTGGATGAGGCAACTTTAACTCCAAATAATGCACACCTCAACAAAACTGGCAAGTCCACCTCCCCACTTGGCCACAGAATCTCTGCGTGCTAGTCTCCAAAGGACTAAAGATATATTTTCACGGTTCCCAACCTTTTTTTAAAAAATCGATAAAAGACTAAAAATTAATCTTGGATAGATTCTTTTTATATGCAAAATAGGCACAAGATAAGCACTCCATTGAAGCTCTGAACTTTCATTTTAGTTCCTCCAGCTACTAAATTTTGAAATATAAAATTAAGAGGGTGGAGCCAAGATATCCGAACAGGAAGAGCTCCAGTCTACAGCTCCCAGCGTGAGCCACGCAGAAGACGGGTGATTTCTGCATTTCCAACTGAGGTACCGGGTTCATCTCACTGGGGAGTGCCGGACAGTCAGTGGGTGCAGGACAGTAGGTGCAGCGCACCGTGCGTGAGCTGAAGGAGGGCAAGGCATCGCCTCACCCGGGAAATGCAAGGGGTCAGGGAATTCCCTTTTCTAGTCAAAGAAAGGGGTGACAGACGGCACCTGGAAAATCGGGTCACTGCCACCCTAATACTGCACTTTTTCAACGGGGTTAACAAATGGCACACCAGGAGATTATATCCTGCACATGGCTCGGAGGGTCGTACGCCCATGGAGCCTCGCTCATTGCTAGCACAGCAGTCTGAGATCAAACTGCAAGGCAGCAGCGAGGCTGGGGGAGGGGCGACTGCCATTGCCAAGGCTTGAGTAGGTAAACAAAGCAGCCAGGCAGCTCGAACCGGGTGGAGCCCACCACAGCTCAAGGAGGCCTGCCTGCCTCTGTAGGCTCCACCTCTGGGGGCAGGGCACAGACAAACAAAAGGCAGCAGTAACCTCCGCAGACTTAAATGTCCCTGTCTGACAGCTTTGAAGAGAGTAGTGGTTCTCCCAGCATGCAGCTTGAGATCTGAGAATGGGCAGACTCCCTCCTCAAGTGGGTCCCTGACCCCCAAGTAGCCTAACTGGGAGGCACCCCCCAGTAGGGGCGGACTGACAACTCACACAGCCGGGTACTCCTCTGAGACAAAACTTCCAGAGTAACGATCAGGCACAGCATTTGCGGTTCACCAATACCCGCTGTTCTTTAGCCACCGCTGCTGATACCCAGGCAAACAGGGTCTGGAGTGGACTTCCAGCAAACTCCAACAGACCTGCAGCTGAGAGTCCTGACTGTTAGAAGGAAAACTAACAAACAGAAAGGACATCCACACCAAAAAGCCATCTGTACGTCACCATCATCAAAGACCAAAGGTAGATAAAATCACAAAGATGGGGAAAAAACAGAGCAGAAAAACAGGAAACTCTAAAAATCAGAGCGCCTCTCCTCCTCCAAAGGAATGCAGCTCCTCACCAGCAACAGAACAAAGCTGGATGGAGAATGACTTTGATGAGTTGAGAGAAGAAGGCTTCAGAAGATCAAACTACTCTGAGCTAAAGGAGGAAGTTCGAACCAATGGCAAAGAAGTTAAAAACCTTGAAAAAAAATTAGACGAATGGCTAACTAGAATAACCAATGCAAAGAAGTCCTTAAAGAACTGGATGGAGCTGAAAACCAAGGCACAAGAACTACGTGATGAATGCAGAAGCCTCAGTAGCCAATGCGATCAACTAGAAGAAAGGGTATCAGCAATGGAAGACGAAATGAATGAAATGAAGCAAGAACAGAAGTTTAGAGAAAAAAGAATAAAAAGAAATGAACAAAGCCTTCAAGAAATATGGGACTATGTGAAAAGACCAAATCTATGTCACGTCTGATTGGTGTAACTGAAAGTGACAGGGAGAATGGAACCAAGTTGGAAAACACTCTGCAGGATATTATCCAGGAGAACTTCCCCAATCTAGCAAGGCAGGCCAACATTCAAATTCAGGAAATACAGAGAACACCACAAATATACTCCTCGAGAAGAGCAACTCCAAGACACATAATTGTCAGATTCACCAAAGTTGAAATGAAGGAAAAAATGTTAAGGGCAGCCAGAGAGAAAGGTCGGGTTACCCACAAAGGAAAGCCCATCAGACTAACAGCTGATCTCTCAGCAGAAACTCTACAAGCCAGAAGAGAGTGGGGGCCAATATTCAACATTCTTAAAGAAAAGAATTTTCAACCCAGAATTTCATATCCAGCCAAACTAAGCTTCATAAGTGAAGGAGTAATAAAATACTTTACAGACAAGCAAATGCTGAGAGATTTTGTCACCACCAGGCCTGCCCTAAAAGAGCTCCTGAAGGAAGCACTAAACATGGAAAGGAACAACCAGTGCCAGCCACTGCAAAAACATGCCAAATTGTAAAGACCATCAAGGTTAGGAAGAAACTGCATCAACTAATGAGCAAAATAACCAGCTAACATCATAATGACAGGATCAAATTCACACATAACAATACTAACCTTAAACGCAAATGGACTAAATGCTCTAATTAAAAGACACAGACTGGCAAATTGGATAAAGAGTCAAGACCCGTCAGTGTGCTGTATTCAGGAAACCCATCTCACATGCACAGACACACATAGGCTCAAAATAAAGGGACGGAGTAAGATCTACCAAGCAAATGGAAAACAAAAAAATGCAGGGGTTGCAATCCTAGTCTCTGATAAAACAGACTTTAAACCAACAAAGATCAAAAGAGACAAAGAAGGCCATTACATAATGGTAAACGGATCAATTCAACAAGAAGAGCTAACTATCCTAAATATATATGCACCCAATACAGGAGCATCCAGATTCATAAGCAAGTCCTTAGTGACCAACAAAGAGACTTAGATTCCCACACAATAATAATGGGAGACTTTAACAACCCACTGTCAACATTAGACAGATCAACGAGACAGAAAGTTAACAAGGATATCCAGGAATTGAACTCAGCTCTGCACCAAGCGGACCTAATAGACATCTACAGAACTCTCCACCCCAAATCAACAGAATATGCATTCTCTTCAGCACCACACCACACCTATTCCAAAATTGACCACATAGTTTGAAGTAAAGCACCCCTCAGCAAATGTAAAAGAAAAGAAATTATAACAAACTGTCTCTCAGACCACAGTGCAATAAACTAGAACTCAGGATTAAGAAACTCACTCAAAACCGCTCAACTACATGGAAGCTGAACAATCTGCTCCTGAATGACTACTGGGTACATAACGAAATGAAGGCAGAAATAAAGATGTTCTTTGAAACCAATGAGAACAAAGACACAACATACCAGAATCTATGGGACACATTCAAAGCAGTGCATAGAGGGAAATTTATAGCACTAAAAGCCCACAAGAGAAAGCAAGAAAGATCTAAAATTGACACCCTAACATCACAATTAAAAGAACTAGAGAAGCAAGAGCAAACACATTCAAAAGCTAGCAGAAGGCAAGAAATAACTAAGATCAGAGCAGAACTGAAGGAAATAGAGACACAAAAAACCCTTCAAAAAATCAATGAATCCAGGAGCTGATTTTTTGAAAAGATCAACAAAACTGATAGACCACTAGCAAGACCAATAAAGAAGAAAAGAGAGAAGAATCAAATAGACGCAATAAAAAATGACAAAGGGGATATCACCACGGATCCCAAGAAATACAAACTACCATCAGAGAATACTGCAAACACCTCTATGCAAATAAACTAGAAAATCTAGAAGAAATGGATAAATTCCTCGACACATACACCCTCCCAAGACTCAACCAGGAAGAAGTGGAATCTCTGAATAGACCAATAACAGGCTCTGAAATTGAGGCAATAATTAATAGCTTACCAACCAAAAAAAGTCCAGGACCAGATGGATTCACAGCCAAATTCTACCAGAGGTACAAGGAGGAGCTGGTACCATTCCTTCTGAAACGATTCCAATCAATAGAAAAAGAGGGAATCCTCCCTAACTCATTTTATGAGGTCAGTATTATCATGATACCACAGCCTGGCAGAGACACACACAAAAAAAAGAGAATTTTAGACCAATATCCTTGATGAACATTGATGCAAAAATCCTCAATAAAATACTGGCAAACCAAATCCAGCAGCACATCAAAAAGCTTATCCACCATGATCAAGTGGGCTTCATCCCTGGGATGCAAGGCTGGTTCAACATATGAAAATCAACAAATGTAATCCAGCATATAAACAGAACCAAAGACAAAAACCACATGATTATCTCAATAGATGCAGAAAAGGCCTTTGGCAAAATTCAACAACCCTTCATGCTAAAAACTCTCAATAAATTAGGTATTGATGGGATGTACCTCAAAATAATAAGAGCTATCTATGACAAATCCACAGCCAGTATCATACTGAATGGGAAAACTGGAAGCATTCCCTTTGAAAACTGCCACAAGACAGGGATGCCCTCTCTCACCACTCCTATTCAACATAGTGTTGGAAGTTCTGGCCAGGGCAATCAGGCAGGAGAAGGAAATAAAGGGCATTCAATTAGGAAAAGAGGAAGTCAAATTGTCCCTGTTTGCAGATGACATGATTGTATATCTAGAATACCCCATCGTCTCAGCCCAAAATCTCCTTAAGCTGATAAGCAACTTCAGCAAAGTCTCAGGATACAAAATCAATGTGCCAAAATCACAAGCATTCTTATACACCAATAACAGACAAACAGAGAGCCAAATCATGAGTGAACTCCCATTCACAATTGCTTCAAAGAGAATAAAATACCTAGGAATCCAACTTACAAGGGACGTGAAGGACCTCTTTAAGGAGAACTACAAACCACTGCTCAAGGAAATAAAAAAGGATACAAACAAATGGAAGAACATTCCATGCTCATAGGTAGGAAGAATCAATATCGTGAAAAGGGCCATACTGCCCAAGGTAATTTATAGATTCAATGCCATCCCCATCAAGCTACCAATGACTTTCTTCACAGAATTGGAGAAAACTACTTTAAAGTTCATATGGAACCAAAAAAGAGCCCGCATCACCAAGTCAATCCTAAGCCAAAAGAACAAAGCTGGAGGCATCATGCTACCTGACTTCAAACTGTACTACAAGGCTACAGTAACCAAAACAGCATGGTACTGGTACCAAAACAGAAATATAGATCAATGGAACAGAACAGAGACCTCAGAAATAATGCCGCATATGTACAACAATATGATCTTTGACAAACCTGACAGAAACAAGCAATGGGGAAAGGATTCCCTATTTAATAAATGGTGCTGGGAATACTGGCTAGCCATATGTAGAAAGCTGAAACTGGATCCCTTCCTTACACCTTATACAAAAATTAATTCAAGATGGATTAAAGACTTACATGTTAGACCTAAAACCATAAAAACCTTAGAAGAAAACCTAGGCAATGCCATTCAGGACATAGGCATAGGCAAGGACTTCATGTCTAAAACACCAAAAGCAATGGCAACAAAAGCCAAAACTGACAAATGGGATCTAAATAAACTAAGGAGCTTCTGCACAGCAAAAGAAACTACCATCAGAGTGAACAGAACAACCTACAGAATGGGAGAAAAATTTTGTAACCTACTCATCTGACAAAGGGCTAATATCCAGAATCTACAATGAACACAAACAAATTTACAAGAAAAAAACAAACAACCCCATCAACAAGTGGGTGAAGAATATGAACAGACACTTCTCAAAAGAAGACATTTATGCAGTCAAAAGAGACATGAAAAAAATGCTCCTCATCACTGGCCATCAGAGAAATGCAAGTCAAAACCACAATGAGATACCATCTCACACCAGTTAGAATGGCGATCATTAAAAAGTCAGGGAACAACAGGTGCTGGAGAGGATGTGAAGAAATAGGAACAGTTTTACACTGTTGGTGGTACTGTAAACTGGTTCAACCACTGTGGAAGACAGTGTGGCGATTCCTCAGGGATCTAGAACTAGAAACACCATTTGACCCAGCTATCCTATTACTGGCTATATACCCAAAGGATTATAAATCATGCTGCTATAAAGACACATGCACACTATTCACAATAGCAAAGACATGGAACCAACCCAAATGTCCAATGATGATAGACTGGATCAAGAAAATGTGGCACATATACACCATGGAATACTATGCAGCCACAAAAAATGATGAGTTCATGTCCTTTGTAGGGACATGGATGAAGCTGGAAACCATCATTCTCAGCAAACGATCACAAGGACAAAAAACCAAACACCACATGTTCTCACTCACAGGTGGGAATTGAACAATGAGAACACATGGTCACAGGAAGGGGAACATCACACACCGGGGACTGTTGTGGGGTGGGAGAGGCGGGAGGGATAGCATTAGGAGATATACCTAATGCTAAATGACGAGTTGATGGGTGCAGCACACCAATATGGCACATGTTGTGCAGATGTATTCTAAAACTTAAAGTATAATAATAATAAAAAATAAAATAAAAAAATAAAAGCATTTCCACTGGAAAAAAAATATATATATATATATAAAATTAAGAAGTCACTTACCTTCTCTAAGCCTCTGCCTCAGGGATGATTCTGTTTTGTTTTCTTAATCTTAGAATGAAAAATAATGCTTGACTTTAGGATCAAGAATGCTAACATTTGAGAATATTTTGTAAATAATAAAAATACCATACTCATCTAAGGTATTATTATTACATGAAAAGGTAAACACAATGTAAAGCATGATGAAACTATAAATGAATGGTTTAAGTTATAGTTATAAAGAAAGAAAATGATTTTAGGTAGTTTATACAAAGACCCTTTTCTGTCTATTCTTAAATTCCCAAAGGTTAGGATTTCTCATTTCTCATAGCTGGGGTGTTTAGAATAACACTAAATATGGTCATAGATCAAAGATGACACATTGATTTCCTCTGAAATACTGAGATGTTCTGCCTGAAAGGATGGGTTAATGAGAGTTTTGAGGTAACTCAGCACTCATCAGGGAAGGTATGATGGGAAATTAGTGATGTCTGCTATGAGTTGAAGATAAGAATAATGCATATTTTCCTTTCCTGTCAGATTAGTTTTACTTCTTTGTTTATATTGCCCCTTTTCTCTTTCCCAAGTTTTCTTTCCTAGGTCCTTAGCATTAGGATATAAGACATTTCACAGGATAGCTGGAGACCACCATTAGCAAAACTGTCAGATGGCACTGGGGATTTAAAGCTCAGGAGTTCTACTACAGTGTGTGCCTCAGTCTTCTGAGCCATGCTAGCTGTTTTTAGTCCCTGCTAGCTGGCCAGCCATCAGGGGCATTCCTCCATCATACACTGTCTCCTCTATACTGCATCAGGTTTAGAAAATCACCTCAGATGATGATGATCCATTATGGTTCACATCAACTGGGATCTGACAAATCCAATGCTATAACATTGTAAATGTTATCTTCCTTCTCTCTGATACATTTTCAACATGAATTCATGTGTGCTGATATGATTTGGCTGTGTCCCCACCCACATCTCAACTTGAATTTTTGTTTTGTTTTGTTTTGCTTTTTAAGATGGAGTCTCGTTCTGTCACCCAGGCTGGAGTGCACTGGTGTGATCTTGGCTCACTGCAACATCCACCTCCTGGGTTCAGGTGATTCTCCTACCTCAGCCTCCTGAGGAGCTGGGACTACATGAACATGCCACCAAGCCTGGCTAATTTTTGTATTTTTAGTAGAGACAGGGTTTCACCATGTTGGCCAGGATGGTCTCAATCTCTTGACCTTGTGATCCACCCACCTCGGCCTCCCAAAGTGCTGGGATTACAGGTGTAAGACACCGTGCCCGGCCCACCTCTTCTTTATATACCTGGTAGAATTAGACTGAGAATCTGTCTGGTCTTGGACTTTTTCTGGTTGGTATTATTGGTCCATTCAGGGTTCCAATTTCTTCCTGGTTCAATCTTGGAAGGTTGTATGTTTTCAGGAATTTATTCATTTTTGTAGGTTTTCTAGTTTGTGCGCATAGAGGTATTCATCATAGTCTCTGAGGGGTTTGTGTATTTCTGTGGGGTCGGTGGTAATGTCCCCTTTGTCCTCTCTGATTGTGTTTATTTGGATCTTCTCTCATTTTTCTTTATAGTCTGGCTAGTAGTCTATCTTATTTATTATTTCAAATACCAAACTCCTGAAATCATTGTTCTTTGGGTTTTTTTTTGTTTTTTGTTTTGTTTTGTTTTGTTTTGTTTTTTGCATCTCAGTCTCCTTCAGTTCAGCTCTGATTTTGGTTCTTCCTTGTCTTCTGCCACCTTTGGCATTGTTTTGCTCTTGTTTATCTAGTTCCTGTTAATGTGATGTTCAGCTGTTAATCAGATCTTTCTAACTTTTTCATGTGAGTATTTAGCACCATAAACTTTTTTCCTCTTAAGACTGCTTTAGTAGTTTCCCCCAAGATTTTGGAATGTTGTATCTTTGTTCTCATTAGTTGGAATGAATTTACTGATTTCCAGCTGAATTTCACTCTTTACCTGAAAGTTACTCGGGAGCAGGTTTTTATATTTCCATGTACTTTTATGGTTTTCAGCAGTCTTCTTGTATTGATTTCTATTTTTATTGTGCTGTAGTTCCAGTGTGGTTGGTATGATTTTGGTTTTTTGAATTTGCTGAGAATTGTTTTATGGCCAATCGTGTGGTTGATTTTAGAGTACGTGCCATGTGCAGATGAGAAGAATGTATATTCTGTTGCATTTGAGTGAAGAGTTCTGTAGTTGTCTGTTAGATCCGTTTGGTCAGATGTCATGTTTAGGTCCTGAATATCTTTGTTAGTCTTCTCCCTCTATGATCTGTCTAATAATGTCTGTGGGGTGTTGAAGTCTCCCACTACTATTGTGTAGGAATCTAAGTCTCTTTGTAGGTCTCTAAGAGCTTGTTTAATGAATCTGGGTGCTCCTGGGTTGGGTGCATATATATTTAGGATAGCTAGGTTTTCTTGTTGAATTGAACCCTTTACCATTATGAAATCCCCTTCTTTGTCTTTTATGATTATTATTATTTAAACTCTGTTTTGTCTCACATTAGACTAGCACCTCTGCTATTTGCTGTTTTCTGTTTGCTTGGTAGATTTTTCTCCATCCTTTTACTGTGAGCATACAGGTGTCGTTGCTTGTGAGATATGTCTCCTGAAGACAGCATACCACTGGGGCTTGCTTCTATTCAACTTGCTAGTCTATGCCTTTTAATTGGGGGCGTTTACACCATTTACATTATAGGTTAATATTGATATGTGCAGATTTGATCCTGTCATCATGTTGTTATCTGGTTATTATGTAGACTTGATTGTGTGGTTGCTTTATAATGTCAATGGTCTGTGTACTTAAGTGTGTTTTTGTAGTAGCTGGTAACGATCTTTCCTTTTTGTATTTACCACTCCCTCAAGGACCTCTTGAAAGATAGGTCTGGTGGTAATGAATTTCCTTAGCATTTGCTTGTCTGAAAAGGATCTTATTTCTCCTTTGCTTATGAAGCTTAGGTTGGTTGGATGTGAAATTCTTGGTTGGAATTTCTTTTCTTAAGAATGCTGACCAGGGCCTATAGGTGCGGCTGCAGCCACCCGGCCTCTCTGTCGCGCCCCCTCCCCAGGGCTGTCAAAGCCCCCCAGCCCCTCATTTCCACAAAGCTCTGTGGCAGATCTGCCCTCCTTGTCCCCGTGGCATGCTGTGGCCTGTGGCACAGCCCCACTCCCACCTAGCCACGTCAGCCTCCTTCCCCTCCCGGAGCAGCACGTAAGGACGGCTGAGGCCGCAGGAGTGATTGGGAGAACGATGCATGTAAGTCTGACATCATGGTGTCCATCTGGCAAAGAAGAGAAATAAGAGCCACAGAAGTTTCTGAAGACTTTCCAGCCCAAGAAGAAAATGTGAAGTTCGAAAATAGATTGCCATCTGGTTGTACCAGTAGAAGATTATGGAAGATTTTGTCATTGACAATTGGTGGAACCATTGCCCTTTGCATTGGATTTCTTACATCTGTCTACCTTGCCACATTACATGAAAATGATTTATGGTTTTCTAATATTAAGGTACAGGTTAAGTATCCCTCATCTGAAATGCTTGGGGCCAGAGTGTCTTGGATTTCAGATTTTGGATAATTTGCATATACATAATGAGAAATCTTGGGGATGAGATTCAGGTGTAAACATGAAATTCATTTATGTTTCATGTATACCTTATGCACATAGCCCGAAGATGATTTTATACAATATAGTTCATAAGTTTGTGCATGAAACAAAGTTTGTAGTCACTGAACCATCAGAAAACAAAAGTGTCACTATCTCAACTATCCTAGTGGACAATCTATGGTTATTTGGCATCACCATTGCTCCTGACTCTGAATTTACATGGTACCTTTATAAGTAATCATTTTGTTATACTTATTTGCACATAAGTACTTAACAATAAAAAATATTACATACCATCAATACAGTGAAAAAAATAACACTTTCAGGGTAACTTGTGGCATCACGTTGGCTCTCAGAAAGTATCCAATTTTAAAGTATTTCATTTGGATTTCAGCTTTTCAGGTTAGGGCTGCTCAATCTATAAATAAAGTGTATCATCTAACAGTAAAAAAAAAAACAAAAAAATGCTGACCATAGGACCTCAATCTCTTCTGGCTTGTAGGGTTTCAACTGTGTTCAGCCAGCCACCAAATCTAAAGCTGAATTAAATAATTAGAGATAGTCTGGGGAACATGCTTCCTGAGAAGGATCCCACTTGAATGGACTATCTTAAAACAGTGAGGTTCTATGGAGTTTTGTCCAACCATTGAGCATACGCAATTACAGAGAATAAGATTCAAAAGAATTGGTATAAGAGTAGCTGTATTGGACACACCTTTTAGCATGGTTCTTCTTCTTCTGGTCCCCATTCTCCTTCCAGTAACTGCTTGACTTTGATTAGTTCAGAAAAGGTGCAACCCGACAGAGCTTTGCCTTAGGCTTTGCTTCATTGCCTCTTCCTGCCCTTGTGATGGCAGCAGCACGCTGTCTGGAAGAGCCACTGCCATCTCGCTGTGTGCAGCAGGGAGGCATGGCCAGAGCTGCACGCTCCATGAAGCCAGCAGGAGCCATGGACAAGCAGAAGCCCCATCCCTTCTGAGTGCCACTTCAGCTGCCCAAGCCACAGCTGTGGACCTGGGCATCCCTATGCTCTCACAGCCCAGGAGCAGGTGGGAGTGCCACCCTCCCACGCACAGCTGCAGCTACCCAAGTTGCAGCTGCAGACCTAGGCCTCCTGCTCCACGGGGTAGGCAGGAGGACCACCTTCCTGGGTGCAGCTGCAGCCGCCCAAGTCACAGCTGCAGACCCAGGCCTCCCACTCCATGGAGCAGGCACGAGCCCTGTCCCCCCGGGTGCAGCTGAAGCTGCCCAAACTGTCACTGCAGACCCAGGCATCTCTGCACTCTTGCGGGCCCAGGAAGTACCCCCTACCCCCTACCCTTGCAGGCTTGGAACTGCCTGCTCCTGCTGCTTGGCTTCTCCTGCTGTCAGTGCTTGCTCTGAACTCGGAGCACAGTTGAGGCTAAGCCCAGGTGCTGCCACAGCCTGGATTGGCATGAACACACTCAGGGCAGTGCTGACACACCAGCCCCTTGCCACATCTGCTGTCTGGATTTTGGGCACCAATGATCATAGGAGGGAAGCCAAGGAGGGGCTGAGGGCAGCTCAGCACTGGCCTGCAGGCTCCCCTCGGCACCAGGCCAGGGAGGGCCTAAAGGCTTGGGGACAGGCTGCCAGTCCCGAACTGGAGTGGGAACTTGTGGTGCCTTTTCTCTGCCCACATATGGCCACCCACGGGCCAATTAGCATGGGCCAATGAGCATGCACTTTCTCCCCTCTGAGGCCCATAAAATCCCTGGACCCAGCCAAAGCTGAGCAGACGATGGGATGACCAGCTACAGAGAGGAGCAACCCACTCTAGGGCCTCCTCTCTGCTGAGACTTGCAGAGATGATGGAAAGATGTCAGGGAGATGATGGAGAGATGGTGGCTAGATGATAGGACAACCTGCCTGCAGAGAGAAGCCACCTACTCTAGGGCCTCCTCTCTGCTGAGAGCTGCGCAGATGTTAGGATGACCAACTGCAGGGAGGAGTTACCCTCTCTGCTGATAGCTGAACACTTGTCAGGATGACTTGCCTAGAAGAAAGGAGCTACCCTCTCTGCTAGGAGCTGAAAACTCATCAGGACACCCTGGCTACGGAAAGGGCTTCCCCCTGCAGGCTTCCTCTAAGCTGTTCTATCACTGAGTAAAGTTCTTCTTCATCTTGCTCACCCTCTACTTGTCTTTGTACCTTTTTCTTCCTGGTCACAGGACAAGGACTTGGGACCCACCAAATGGCAAGGCTGAAAGAGCTGTAACACAAACAAGACTGAGACATGCCCTTTGCTCTCCACATTGCAGGTGAAGAGAAGGAAAGAAGAGATGTGGCCCTTTGGAGAGCTCAGACCTGGGAGTTCCCTGAGCTAGTTCTGTTACTCTCTCTTTGGGGTCCTGTGGTTTCCGGCATCTCCAAAATTCTGAGCACGACTGTGTTCTCCGGTGCCAGCTTTGGAAGCTGTTTGCAGTGCACCTTTTCTGGCTGCAGCCTCACAGAGAGCTGGTGCCCATGCTGGCACCTGGAGCTGCCCACCCTGCTGCAGTAGCCAGCATGTCTGACCGTGCACAGAGGCTGGACCCCACACTTGCTCACACACCTCTCACCATACATGCCTGACTTGCCCTTGGCAGGCGTGGGACCCAGGGGGGTGGCATGAGCCAAGTGCAGCCTGCCAGGCCAAGTGGGTGAAATGAGCCTAGCAGGCCTGAGCAAAACTCAGGCAAAAGCACCACAAGCCACAGAGGTTCTGGCCAGAAAAAAATCCCATAACATTTTGGGGCTTCTGTGTAGCTGTGGCAGCTGATACCCCAGGACCCACTCAGCACTCATGCATATACAACCCGGAAATGCAGAAGACCTAACACCTGTGGAGCCACCTTTGACTGATGAGGGAGGAAACCTATGTACAAATTTTTTTTCCCTTTTGTTCCATAGGCAGATAATTGTAAAATATATTTTCCAAGGCTCCCCAAAGGTATGCTGAAATAAAGTACTAGTCAACAGTAGCAGTAGCCAGCTCAGTAGTGCATTCTTATATTGACTTTCCTTCACTCCCTGTTCACTCCCTTTGTCCTCACAGTCATTCCCCAGGATCACATTCCCAAGAACCTCCTCAATGCAGCCTTTATCTTGGCCTCCGTTTAAAGGAGAACCCAGGCTAAGAAAATTTCCCTTTTTACTGTTTTACAGACAGCATTTATAAGGCATATGTGCTGATGTTCTTCATTACCCATTAATCAGTTATGGAATTCCTCTACAGGCATGACCTCAAAATCCCTCTAAACACAAGATTCCTGGGAGGCATTGTCAGTTCACTGAAATTGGAATCACCACTCTCATTCTGGAATGGGTTGTTTTCCGTAAACCCTGAAAGATCTAAGCTTCCCATGTACACAGGGAAGTATGGTCATTTGTTGTGATATGGATGTTGAGCAATAGGCTAGCCTTACTCATGGGCTTAGTGACTCTTATACCAACATATGGCATTTGGGATTCAAATCCATGCCTCAATAAAGTTACAATCAGTTGGGAATAATTTAAACCTTACATGTTAATTCTGTAAATTACGTTATCTATCATATAAAAGTAATCATATAGGGCCGGGTGTGGTGGCTCATGCCTGTAATCCCAGCACTTCGGGAGGCCGAGGTGGGTGGATTACCTGAGATCAGGAGTTCGAGACAAGCCTGGCCAACATGGTGAAATCCTGTCTGTACTAAAAAATACAAAAATTATCCAGGCTTGGTGACAGATGCCTGTAATCCCAGCTCCTCAGGAGGCTGAGGCAGAAGAATCACTTGAACACAGAAGGCAGAGGTTCCAGTGAGCTGAGATTGCACCACTACACTCCAGCCTGGGTAACAGAGTGAGACTCCATCTCTAAAAATAAAAATAAAAAATACTCATATATATATCTATCACATAAAATTCTCCTACCCATATTTTGACCTTGGGGTCCAGAGCTATTGCTTTATTTCATCCCTGTTCCCTGAGTAATCACATTTATTTCATGGACCCAAAACTTGCTTGTCAAAACTAGAACTAGGTTTGTTGAAAGTCACTGTATAATATAAACAAGGAAAGTCTAGGACCCTAATATCAGGAAGACAAGCAGCTTGAGAATATTCAAGCATGAAGATGGCAAATAGATGTCTTACCCTGTGACAGTTCTTACAGGTAATGCCCACCTGAAATTTACTGTTCAAAGAATTCTGTTGACTCATATGGACTCAATGAGAGAGTTCTGTGAGTAACTAGTGCTGTCTACCATGGGCAATAATGTTTGGCCATCTCTGTAGCAACATATAGGAAGAAAAAGTCTAAGAAAACAAGCCAAATATGAAATTAAGGGAATCTGGTAGAAGATTTCTTCAACTGCCACCTTCTTTAACTTGCTGAGCCAAAGCTTATTCCATCTAAATGAGTCTAGGAAACCATAATACATAGTAATTTTTATGTACTTGGCTCTTCCACTAAACTGTGAGTTTCTGAGGACAAAAAGCCAAGCAGGGATTCCTAAATTCAGGCAGGCAGTAGTCATTGAGAAAAATCCTTCTGGCAAATTGACCCACACCTCAAACTCAAGAGATCATTAGAGAAATCTGAAGCATTTATGATGCACTGAGGATAACCATAGTAGCAACGAATTTTAAACTTTAAACCCAGCTCAACTCCCTGATTAAAAGACCTAGCAGAAGGAAAAGCACACTTCTCTCCAGGCATAAGAAATATTTACTTTATGTTTACTCTGATAGACTCCATGTAAAACTGTCAAGAAAAAACTTTCAAGGCATATTTTAAAAAGGAAGAAAAAACACAGTCAGAAGAGATATAAAAAAAAGCAGAAGCAGACTCAGATATGACAAAAATAATAGATTTATCAGGGAAGGGATTTTAAATAACTGTGATTAAAATGGTAAAGTCTCCAGTGGAAAAGATAGACACCATGCGAGATCACAGAACACCAAGAAGGATAAATCACGCACATGCACGCACGCACGCACGCGCACACACACACACATACAGACACATACACACACACCCCAGGCATACCATAGTCAAACTGCTGAAAAACAAAACCAAAGGGGAATTCTGAAGGTGGCCAGAGAAAAATGCACATCACTTACAGAGGAAAAGGCTAAAAATTCTAGCAGACTCCTTTAAGAAACCATACAAACAAGAAGACAGTGGAATGACATTTTTTAAGTTCTAAAAGGAAAAAAATCAACACAAAATTCTATAATAGCAAAAACATTTTTCAAAGATAAATGGGAAATAAAGACTTTTTCAGAAAAATTAAAAACTGAAAGAATTCATTTCCAGCCAAGCTAGTATATAAAAAATGTTAAAGGAAGTTCTTCAGGCAGAAGGAATACGACATAGGTCAAAAACTTAGATTTACAAAAAGAAATGAAAAGCACTGTAAATGGCATAAAGATAAAATTAAATCTTTTTCTTATTTTTCACTTCTGTAAAAGGTACTTGGCTGCTTAAATAAAAATTAGTAATATGGTGTTTACAGTATATATAAAAGTGAAATATGTGATTAAAACTCCAGAGACGAGTGGTCCCTTTAAAGTCATTACTCTATACATGGATAGGTATGTTATTTTAATGTGCACTCAGATTATATTTAAGTGTATATTGTAAAGCCTAGGGCAACCACTAAATTTTTTAAAGATGTGTAAATATTAAGTAATGGGGGGTATAAAATAGGATAATAAAATCTCTTCCATTAAACCACAAGAAAGCAGAAAAGGGGAGAAAATCAAAGAGCAAATGGAACAAACAAAAAAAAAGCTGGCATTATGATAGATTTTAACCCAACCATATCAAAAATCACCTTAAATAAAAATATTGAATAATGTATTGTGTCTAATCAGGAAGTCTTTATAATAAACAGAGGGTATTTTACTAGCAAATCCATGGCACTGAAAAGACAGCATGTTTCATGGAGAAGATACTGAGTTGAAAAAGAAAGGACAAGTTGTTGAATATGTCTAATATAGTAAGTTTCTTTTTAAATCTATGATGGAACATCAAGTCACAAAAATTAACCTGTTTTTCAGGAATTTATGCAGCCATTCTAGTTGGGTCAAAGGGAAATATATTGAGTGTCCATTTTGTAGCTCTCTAGCTGTACAGAGTTAATACACTCAGGTACTGTTGACAAGGCCAGACACTTGTCCCTGACTCATGTCATAAGAAGTGTGAAAATCTGACTCACAGCAGCTATCGAAGAGTAAATTGTCAATGGAGGATGCAATGATGAGTTGACAGTAATGGGTTTAGTTCTTCGGTTGCCTATTTAACTTCATTGCTTCCTGGCCTCAGAGTGCAGCTCACGCCCTCACCAGTCTTTTATTAGTTTGAGGTAACATTGTCACGAGGAGGGTGGAAGGAGAAAATATGTTTGCCCTACTGGGAATAGTCCTTAGAATGCGTGATTTACAAGTGCTAGGTTAAGACATCATTTTTAATACAAAACATGCAGCAAGTGGAACATGATTCATGCACAGGCAGGTGGTCAAGGTTGTCCAAGCATTGGAGAACGGGCCCAAATTCTCCATCCCATCATGTAGCTACTGCAAGAAAATAGATCCTAAAGGACTTTAAAATCTCCTCTTGGCTTTCTCCTAAAGGCTTCCTCACCTTAATAGGTGTCCCATTAAGAGAACTAGACCTTCTTTTTACAACTGCTCTAAACAATGTCTCTGTTTAAAAAAAATAACTTTTAATGGTGTGAATAATCTTTCAGTGTCAGCAATTTTTTGAATCTAATTCAGCTCTTTCAGCACTGGGAAGAGGCAGGCACAATCTCTGATGTAAAGCCAGGATGTGCCTTTCCCAGGAGAATTCACACCAGTTCCCATGACCATCACAAGGCTAAGAAGGGGTTGGTGTCACACTTGCACCACTAATATTCCCCCTGGCTTCAAAAGTCCATTAGACAGAAACTTCCTGCAGGCAGGGAATGTAGCAACCAGCACAATGGTGGACACAACACTGAAAACTTATGAACAAATGTTTAAAAAAAATCCCTGTCTTCATAATGTTTACATTCTACTACTGGAAGATGGTTAAAAAAACAAGTAAAATATATGGTATGAAGGACTGACAAACACTTAAGGGAAAAATCAAGTAAGAGTGAATTTTAGTTTAAAATAGGTGGTCAGGGAAGGCTGTATGAGCAAGGAGCTGAAGGAGGTGAAAAAGAGAGCTATGCCTCTCTGGAGGAAGAGCATTCTGGGAAGAGGATATTAGAAGTCCAGTGGCCCTGTGTCTGTTAGACTGGAGAAACAACAGAGGGGCTAGTGTGTCAGGAGTGAACTGAGCAAAGTGCCTAATCTTACTGAGGTCATCATTCCTTTCCTAGCCTAGATTTTTTTTTTCTTGGTGAAATAAAGGTACTGGATGCTCCTCTTAGTGCCTGTAGCTTGCAATATGTTTTCTGTCATCATTCCCTACATACAAAGGCTTGTTTTTCTGGGCCCTAGGAAGGTGAGCTAGACCTAGGAATATTGGATTTAGTTGTCCTTCTCTTTGTCTTTTTAATCTAGAATAGTCCCCTTAACTTTTTTCTGTCCTCCATAGCATTGGCATCACATCAAGAGTTACATAATGTCAATATATCTCATTATTGAAGATCCCATGTTTTGTCAATCATTTAAATTAACATCACTCAGAATTTGTAATAAACATTTCTCCCTTTGAAATAAATAAGTAATCTATGGGATGGTACATTGAGAGCACGTGAACATTCTCTTCCCTGATAAATTTTCACCTCCCTATAGTTTTGGTAGCAATTGGTGATTCTTACCTGAATAATTATATTGATGATTGCAAAATGGTGATTTTCTAATTTCATAATCTCTTCTATTTCTTAGCTAGAATTCCTTAGTAAAGAGGAGCTTTTCCTTTTTGATGTTCTGTTAGATTTGGCTTGCTGGTATTTTGTTAATCTTTGCAACTACGTTCATGAGAAATATTGGTCTGTAGTTTTCTTTTTTCGTTGTGTCCTTTCCTAGTTTTGGTAATGGGGTGATATTGACTTCTTAGAACGAGTAAAGAAGGATTCCCTCTTTCTCAGTCCTTTTAAATAGTTTCAGTAGCATCGTTTCCAATTCTTCGAATGTCTGGTAGACTTTAGCAGTGAATACATCTGGACCTGAGCTTTTTGTTGATGTTGGCAATTTTTTATATTACTGATTCAGTCTCACTTCTTGTTATTTGTCTGTTCAGGGTTTCTTTTTCTTCCTGATTTAATCTAAGAGGGTTGTATGTTTCCAGGAATTTATCCATTTTCTCTAGATTTTCTAGTTTGTGTGCATAAAGGTTTTCATAGTAGTCTTGAATTATCTTTTGTATTTTTGTGGTTTCAGTTGTAATGTCTACAGTTTCATTTCTAACTGAGCTTCTTTGAATCTTACATCTTCTTTTTTGGTTAATCTAGATAATGGTATATAAATTGTGTTTATCTTTTCAAATAATCAACTTTTTGTTTCATTGATCTTTTGTATTGTTTTTGTTGTTTCAAATTCATTTATTTCTGCTCTGATCTTTCTTCTGGTAACTTTGGGTTTAGTTTGTTCTTATTTCTCTAGTTCCTTGAGGTGTTACATTAGGTTATCAATTTGTGATCCTTCAGACTTTTTGATGTAGGAATTTAGCACTATAAACTTTCCTCTTGGCACTGTCTTTGCTGTCTCCCAGAGGTTTTGATAATTTGTATCACTATTATCATTCATTTCAAAGAATTTTTAAATTTCTATCTTGATTTCATTGTTAACCCAAAAATTCTTCAGGAGAAGATTGTTTAATTTCCATGTATTTGTATAGATTTGAGTGTTCCTTTTGGAGTTGATTTCTAGTTTCATTTCAATGTGGTCTGAGAAGAAACTTAATATGATTTCAATTTTTTTTCATTTATTGAGACTTGTTTTGTGGACTATCATATGGTGTATCTTGGAGAATGTTTCATGCAGGGATGGTTTAGCATATGCAAGTCAATAAATATGATACATCACATAAACAGAATTTTTTAAACTCCATATGATCATCTCAATAGAAGCAGAAACAGCACTTAGTAAAATTCAGCATTTATTTATGATAAAAGCCCTCAAAAAAACTAGGTGTAGAAGGGACTTATGTCAAAATAACAAAGCCATATATGACAAACCCACAGCTAACATCATACTGAATGAGAAAAAGTTGAAAGCATTCTCCCTGAGAACTGGAACAAGACAAGGATGCTCATTTTCACCACCTCTTTACAACATAGTACTGGAAGTCCTAGCCAGAGCAATCAGGCAAGAGAAGGAAATAAAGGACATCCAAATTGGAAAAGAGAAAGTCAAACTATTGCTGTTTGCCAGTGAGATCATTATATACCTAGAAAACCCTAAAGACTCCTCCAAAAGACTCCTAGACATGATAAATTCAGTAAAGTCTCAGGTTACAAAATCAATGTACACAAATCAGTAGCAATGCTATACACCAACAATATATAGCAGTGAGATCAAGGAGAGAGTGTAATCTATAACTCAATCCCTTTTTCAACAGCTGCAAAAAATAAATAAATAAAATACTTAGGAATATACTTAACAAAGGTTGTGAAAGATCTTTACAAGGAGAACTACAAAACACTGCTGAAAGAAATCATAAAGGACACAAACAAATGGAAATACATCCTATGCTCATGGATTAGAAGAATCAATGTCGTGAAAATGACCATACCGCCTAAAGAAATTGCAGATTCCATGAAACTCCTATCAAAATACCCACATCATTTTTCACATAATTTTTTAATCCTAAAATGCATATGGAACCACAAAAGTGCCCAAGTAACCAAAGCAACCCTAAGAAAAAGAACAAATCTAGAGGCATCACATTATAAGACTCCAAATGTACACTACAAGGGTACAATTACCAAAACAGCATGGTACTGGTATAAAAGTAGACACATAGACCAATGGAACAGAATGGAGAACCCAGAAATAAAGTCAATATGTACAACCAACTGATCTTCAACAAAGCATATAAAAATGTAAATTGGGGAAAGGACACCCTATTTAATAGATGGTGCTGGGAAAACTGTACAGCCACATGTTGAAGAATGAAACTGGATCCCCGTCTTTCACCTTATACAAAAATCAACTCAAGAAGCAGGAAAGATTTAAATCTGAGACCTCAAACCATAAAAATTCTAGAGGATAATGTAGGAAAAATTCTTCTGGACATTGGCCTAGGCAAAAAATTTATGACTAAGACCCCAAAAGCAAATGCAACTAAAATTAAAATAAATAAATGGGACCTAGTTAAACTAAGCAGCTTCTGTACAGCAAAAGAAATGATCATCAGAGTAAACAGACAACTCACAGAATGGGAGAAAATATTTGCAAATTATGCATCCAACAAGGGACTAGTATCCAGAATCTGCAAGGAACTCAAACAAATCAACAAGAAAAAAAAACAAATAATGAAATCAAAAATGGGCAAAGGACATAGACAATTCTCAAAAGAAGATATACAAATGTCCAACAAACATATGAAAAAAATGCTCAACATTACTAATCATGAAAGAAATTCAAATTAAAACTGCAATGAGATACCACCTTACTCCTGCAAGAATGGCCATTATTAAAAAGTCAAAAAAGAATGGCATGGATGTGGTGAAAAAGGAACCTTACACACCACTGGTGGAAATGTAAATTAGTACAACCTCCATGGAAAACCCATATGGAGATACCTTAAGGAACTAAAGTAGATCTACCATTTGATGCAGCAATATCCCAAAGAAGTCAATATATCAAAAAGACTCCTACACGAATATTTATTGTAGCACAATTCACAATTGCAAAAATGTAGAGCCAACATAAGTGCCCATAGACCAATAAGTGGATAAAGAAAATGTGGTATATATACAACATGCAATACTACTCAGCCATAGGAACGAATGAAATAATGTCTTTTGCAGAAACTTGCATGGAGTTGGAGGCCATTACTGTAAGTGAAGAAATTCAGGAATGGAAAACCAAATACTGTATGTTCTCACTTATAAGTGGGAACTAAGCTCTGGGTACACAAAGGCATGCAGAGTGATATAATGGACTTTGGAGACTCAGAATGGGGAGAGTGGGAGGAGGTGAGGGATAAAAACTACACATTGGGTACAATGAACACTACTCAGGTGATAGTTGCATTAAAATCTCAGACTTCACCACTATATAATTCATCCATGTAACCAAAAATCTCTTGTACCACAAAAGCTATTGAAATAAAAAATATACTAATAAAAAATAAAATAAAAATCCTGAAGAAGAAAGAAAAAGAGGAGCTTTTTTCATTGGAAGGTGGATTTTTTTAAATGGCATGTTCTGAAATTTTCTTACAACTTTTGATATATAAAGTATTTAAAACTCATAAAATATGTTTCATGGTTCAGAAACTACTGAGCTGAACTCTAAAATAAATCTGTGGGCTCTGTAGACTCACAGGGTGTATGCAACTGAGAACATCACACTCTTTACACAATAGAGAGCATGCCTGACAGCTTGTCACCTGCTCATGGGTAGTTGTTCTTCTCTCCTATCAGCTATTTCTGTCAGGACTGGCTCTTCATGTGTTCTCATAGGGATAACTCCGTTAAGTAGATCTCTCAGTGGGTTTATGGCAGAGTTTTGGAGGAAAATAAAGGTATTGAGTTATGCTGTTTGAGGAAAACTGAACTAAGTATATAGAGTTGTGGGAACTAATCTAGATTCTGCTGCTAACAAGCTCTGGGGCCCAGTTACTACGCCTGAAAAATGAAGTTCTGATGTGTTGTCATAGGATTCTGTGCCTATACACAGTTCCTAATGAATCATTGTTGTTGTTTTTATATCTTAGAGTTCTTTATAAAGTTCACTTTCAAGATTTTCAATAGTATCTATGTGGAGAAGAGTTTCTACAATAAAAAAAAAAAGTACTATTCCAAAAAATATTTCTGTAAGGCAGGGCCATACTGTAGGTACAATATCTGGAATTACCATAAGCAGAAGCATATTGAGTGCTATTGAGTGCTGACTCTATATCAGACATAGTGCAGAATGCTGATCTTCTACTCTTCCATTTACTACTCAGTAAGTCAATGTAAGAGTACTATTATTACTCTGACTTGTACAGATGGGAAAACTGAATCTTAGAAGGAGCTTATCCAAACTACAGGAGGGTACACTTAGGTGTCAAACTCAGGTCTATCTGATTCAAACCCAACCAATGGTCTTAATCATCGTGCCACAGTCACTTCCATATGAAGATCAGAAGAGCAATAAATGGTTTGGAGCTTTTCAGGGCCTTTTATGAGACCCAGATGTTCTGCAAAGATTTGAGTTTTATATTTTCAGTCACAAGCTTCTATTGAGTGCCTGTGGAATGCTATCCTCAGCATTACAAGAAAAAAGAAAAAAGAGACATGGACTCTGTGATCAGGAAATCCATCATCTAAATTATATATGACCATATTGACATATACATATATATATACACACAGACATACATATACACATACAAATACATGTGTCCATCATTTATAACATACTCACTATGCAATAAGTGCTTCAGATATATCACTTTGTTCTCCACATAAGACCTGTGTGGTTGATGTTACCATCTCTATTTTACAAATGTTAATAGACAATCGGTGCAAAATGTATATAATCCTGAATATCCAATCATAGTTCTGAGTACCCACTGTCCATACCAGATGACCACAGAATGAGCAGCATGAAAGGCCAGGGGCCTCCCCTATGGGACTTTCCATTCTGGTTGAGAAATTAAAACTAACACACATGAAATGTCAGAAAAGACCACAGGGATGGCCTATTATTAAGTGCCAGGTTGGGTTACATAGACTGTTGTCAGAGGGATCTTGGCAGAGAAAAATCCAACCAAGGGTCATGTAGTCAATGGTCAGAGACAGACAGATCTGATTATTTTGTTAGAATGTTTGGATTAAACATAACCTGAAGGCAATAGTTGGGCTTCCAAACTTTGTTTATTTGCTTATTTGTTAAGTTATATTTAGGTTTTTGTTACTTAGAACCAACACAGTCCTGATTAACACAGAATGAAAAAATGGATGAACAAGATGTGGGACAAGTGATTGGCAGGGGCCGTCTAACAGAAGGGCTGGAGAAATTACTGCATCATTTTTTGAGAGGCAACTCTCTTGAATTTAACTATCCAATCAATAAAACAAAGTTACACCTTTACCCCCATGAAGCAGAACTTGCAAAGTTCTAACTAAGCTGACTGAAGGAGCTTGAGTTCTCTGGACTGAAGGTAAAGCAGTAAAAGATACTACTTATTATCAAACATACAAAATTAAAATGTGGTAGAAGCTAAAAATAAATGCATTTTTCAATAACTAAACATCATTTATTTAACTTGCACTGTTTTATGATTTCTTTTTTAAGAGACATTTTGCATCCTACTGCTTTCAAGAGAGCTACTGCCTTCCTGGTCAACAAACCCCTTGTCTCTACTGTTTCTCCATCATTTATTTAGTCCATCTGTCAGCCAATCCGCCTTTCTCTTCTTTCTCTTTTCTTTTCCTTCATTTTCCACCTCAGAAAGAAACTTCTAACTAAACTCAGCAAATGGCTCCTAGATAATTATCTTCTAAAGGAAGTATAATGCATTTTTTATGTATCCACCAAATGACACATTCTCCATTCCTCATCCCACCCTCATACAGAGAGCAGTGACTTGCCTGCCTTCTCACATCTTAGAGAAGTAAACTTCAGTCTTTAGCTCTGGCTTCTAACGGCCATAACTTATAGTAGTAAAGGTTGATGTATTGGGTGCAAGAAAAGTAAATTTAAGTTAATAATGAGAGTGATTATCATTCGTGACAGTTCTTGATCTCTGTGTAGACAGTAAAGAAGAGCTTCAAAAACCGGCAAAAAAAATCAATAAGATTCCTAATAAAAGATCTTTATTATAGCTACACCAAGCTGAGCCCAGAATACCCTCGCAGACTTTGTCAAGGGGCTTTTTCAGAAATCACACAGGGAAAAATATTGGGCAAATAATGTTAGGATCCCTGCCAGTGGGCAGCTCTGCCCTCAAGTATGCATAGAAATATGGAGAGGACTTAGAGGGAGCAGCCACGCCCCTTAAAAGTTGACCAGAATGGACCTCTGAGAAAAGTCACAGACACCAGGACCATTTGGATCGGTTCAAGAGTCTGGAGGTGACTAACGTCGGTGAAGGTGACAAATGTGAATGGCTCTTGTAAAGGATAAATGATGACCAGCATTTCTTAATATCTACTGAGGTCTGAGCTGTGCCCTGTGAAGACGTTAGGCTTTCAGCAGGGCAGCCTTCTGGCTGGGTGAAACTTTAGAAAGGGTGATGAAAGTCTGCTCAGAAAAAGTCTCACTTGGGATGAAGCTTCCTCCAACGAGCTCACAAGGTTTCTTCTCTTCACAGATGTAGGATTTTGAGTTATGTGTTTTGGAAAAGGATGCAAAATTGAATGAATAATTTTCTTCTCTTGACCATAATGCATAAGGAAGGAGGTAATGAGAGGAATACTAGAAACAAATGCATGGACCAGGGGAGGCATGACAAGCAAGAAGGTGCTGGGAAGCAGGAGAGTTTAGAGCATGTGGATACATACAGGACAGGCATGTATCCAGTGGAAGCAACATAAAACATATATTTATAGACTTGAAGGGGAAAGGAAGAGGAAGAGGTGCCACTGAGTCATGAGGTCAGGAATGTGTGGAATCTGGGAAGGAGTGTTACTCCAGGGCAACCTGTAATAGTCCTTCTCAAAGTCAGGGGCATGTCTGGGGAGCTGGTAGTTACTTGCAGATCATATGAATTCCCAGGCCCTTTGGCATTTGGTAGTATCACCTTCTTCTTCTTCTCCTTTTCCTCTCATGAATCAATGCATCTGACCACCCATTCTCCAGAGCTTCCCAGAACTAAGCTCATCCATCCCAGTTTACCACACTCCATTGAAAGCTGAAAATGTAGGAGAGAGAATAGAGCTAGAGTCACTAGGACTGGGTTAATGGAGCACTTTCCCCAGTGGGTAAGAAGTAAACTTATCTTTAGTTTTACTGAGCATAAGGAAGCGGATGGTCCAAGGGTGGTTGGATTTTGGTGTCAGACCATCCTGAGCCAAAATTCCAACTCCCCCACTTCCCCACTATTTGACCCATTATATGATCTCTGAATTCCATTACATGATCTCTGAATTTTAATATTCCCCTCTATTAAACAGAAATAACAGGTATCTTGAGGCTGTTGCACTGCTAGTCATTATGCTCAGTCAGGAGAAATGAGGCATAAACTGGAAGTGGAATGGATAATAGAAGGTAGCCGGGGAAAAGCACTTAACAACTTCACACTTCTCTTGACTTTGGCAGGAAAAGAGTCAAGTGATGGCATGTAGGTCCAGAAGGAAAACAACTTCACACTCCTCTTGACTTTGGCAGAAAAGATTCAAGTGATGGCATGTAGGTCCAGGAGAAAAATATCATCTCAGCTGCTAGCTCCCAAATCAGATGCTATGTAACCTGCCTTGACTTTTTGAAGGAGGGCTGGGGAATATCTTTCACTGGGAAATGGGATGATTATCTGAAGGCTGGAGATGGTGAGGTGTTTTTTGTTAAGTATAAGGAGCCATGCTAAGACCCACCAACACAGCGGTCATAAAAAAAGTGAGATGGCTTGCAAAGAACTAGAAATACCATGGCTTTGCCTAGCTGTGTTTCCTCTGGCCAGCATCACTCTAACTCACCTTGATGACCCAGAGTGCAGCCAGTCCTCAGAAAGAGACTGGATCTGGCAAACAAAAATGTGAAGGAACCCAGAATACAGCATACCTTTGTTCCTCATCTCTATTTCTTTCTGCTTCTCTCTCTCTCTTTCTCCCTTCCTTCCCCCATCCCACATCTCTTCAATGCTGGGGTCCCATAGTGGCAGAAGACAGTGGCCAACTCCAATATGTTATTTTATGAGCACAAAACAGGTAAAGACTGGCTCTGTACAAATCTCTAAATTCCAATTCCAAATTTCTAAGAGACAGAAAGTGATGGACTCAACTTAAAACAAGTAGCAGCCAATCCATTGTGACCAGAAGGTCAAGGTCACAAACATAGTTATCAGCCCCTCCTCTGGATCAGTGAACCAATGTCCACGAGGAGATCTGACAAAAAAAGAAATTGAACAAGCACTACAAACTGGGTCATAAACTGAACAGGACTCATACACCTTTTGCAACATTCAAAGGATGGTAAGCACTCCTCACACATGGTGCCATATTTGTCCCCAGGTCAGGTGAAGGGCTAAACTGGAGGTAGTTAGAGGAAGGATGATATCCAGGACTGTGTTCCCCTAATCATTGGGTCAATGGAGAATCTTCCAGCACTTATTCCATGCCTTTATTTCACTTCTAAAAGCTTTCTATCTTCAATTTGGTTAGAAATGTTTCTAATCAAAGGTCATGCACAAGTGTCATGACCCAGATAACAATGATACCAAAGTAAATTATAAAAATCTTTCATCAAGAAATCTTTTCTTTCTATAATTTTTGCATTGAGAGTTTATCAGCCTTCCTATAACTGATATAATAAATACAAGAATACTTCTCCACCCATTAAAGCAAATTGCCAGATGACACTCTTTGCAGTATCCACCCCACTCAGGAGTACAGATAAATTCTGCTGTCATTTTTATAGCAGCTCTTATATAAATCTGGATATTTGATTATTTGAGATTTTTCATTGACAAATTTCCAAAATTAGCTCATTTTATATTATTGCAAATCATCACAGTAGGGTAATGAAGTGGGGTAATGGGTGTTTATGACAGGAAATGGCTTACAGATGCTGCAGAGTACATCAGTCATCTTTTTTGTTATCTTCCTTCCTGCTTTAGTCCCTTCCTCTATGCAATTTCTTTCCTGAACTATGTCAATATTATGAGACTGAGTTTCTAGAATAAAGATGGCCAATAGGCTACATCTCATGAGCTGACTCTAGTTAACAGTGCTGTCCTGACTTTGTATCAAGAAGAATTCTGAAAGCTTGTCTGAGCTTAGTGGGAGAAAGTACTGGGACCGATTGGTGATGACTGTCATTGGCATAGGAAAAAAGATGTATTAGCACATGTGCCAGATACTTCCTACCCTGGCATCTTTCAAAAGAGATCATGAGGAAAATAAAAGCTTATAACTCATAATATGGATCAAATATCATGGAACCCAGCATCTGAGAGAGGGTTGTTGCTGCTGTACTGACATTAAAATATGGGGAATATAGTTTAACCTTGACATTCTTGAGTAATATTATGAGAGAGTTTTGCAAACCCACAATCTTAAAAACAATCTTTAGCATCTATTAAACATTTAGTGTGAGCCAGGCACTATTCCAAGTATTTTTCTTTTTAATTTTCACAATAGTCCTGTGTACTAGGCATTATATTTACATTCCTTTTACAGAAGAGGAAATAGAGAAGTTAAATAACATGCCCATGGTTGCAGACCTAGGGAGTGGCTGAGCTGGGACTCTAGGCCAGGAGGTCTGAGTCCAGCATTCTAACCCCTTTGCTATATGGGCTCTAGAATGCAGGGAACTAACACCAACTGAGATGTGGACATAGGACAGTCAGGTAGGGATGCTTATTACCTGCTACTCCTTCACACCAGCCTCATGGCCAATATGATTCAGTCCTACCACTTTCCATTCACTGCCTCATATAAACTACAAAAAAATTCTATGGGGTCGCTGTGATTATTCCTAAACACACACCTTCAGGGTTGCAAGCAAGTGGTCAAAATTGTGAATACTGTAGATATAATAATCTCCAACAGGCTATTAGTGCTGCGTAACTCATCACCACATTTCAAAGATCAGGATATGGAGAACAACACAATAGGGACAAGTAGAAAAAAACTTGTGGAAGTCCCTGTTCATTCCCAATGATGGGACCTTTTAATAGAAATGCAAAAAAGTGGTGTGCCATGGGAAATCTGGATGTAGTAATGAGCTAAACTTTTTTTTTCTATCTTCAGATAGTGTCAAATCCTACTTCACTGCAGGTAAATATTTTCTGGAACTTGTTTGTATTTATAACTCATTATGTATCTCAGTTCTTTCTGTTTGGTTATCTCTGGTTTATTTTAAAGTATATCCCTTAGGAACCCTATTCTGAAAGAGCTGGTTAATCAGGACATTGAGCCATAATAAAATGATGGGACCCTCTTTCTAGCCTTGGGGAAAATCTCTAAGAAAACATACACTGGCTTTAGGTGAAAGTGATAAAGTGCTTTCACTGTGGAGGAGGGCTAACTGATTGGAAGCCCAGTGAAGACCCTTGGGAACAACATGCTAAATGGTATCCAGGGTGTAAATATCTGTTAGAACAGAAGGGACAAGAATATATAAACAATATTCATTTAACTCATTCACTTGAGGAGTGTCTGCTAAGAACTACTGAGAAAACACCATCACTAACTAGAAGAATTGATGATACCATCTTCCAAAATCCTATGGTACAAGAAGCTATATGAATGGGGTTCAGTTTCAAGGATGTTAAGAAAATAATGGAGGAAAAAATGCAGATATCTGGGAGCAACTATAAATAACTTGAGGTTCTGGTTGCAGATCTAGTGAATGCTCAGAAAGACAGTACACAAGATGAGTCAAGTCAGACTTCATTACAGAAAGAGATTAGTACTGAAGAGCAGCTAAGGCACCTGCAAGTGGAGAAGCTTTGCAAAATCTGTAGGGATAGAAATATTGCTATCGTTTTTGTTCCTTGTGGACATCTAGTCACTTGTAAACAATGTGCTGAAGCAGTTGACAAGCGTCCCATGTGCTACACAGTCATTACTTTGAAGCAAAAAATTTTTATGTCTTAATCTAACTCTATAGTAGGCATGTTATGTTGTTCTTATTACCCTGATTGAATGTGTGATGTGAACTGACTTTAAGTAATCAAGATTGAATTCCATTAGCATCTGCTACCAAGTAGGAAAAAAAATGTACATGGCAGTGTTTTAGTTGGCAATATAATCTTTGAATGTCTGGATTTTTCAGGGTATTAGCCATATTATCCATTTTTTTACTGTTAATTAATTGAAACCATAGACCAAGAAGCATCATATTATAACTGAACGCAACGTGTATTCATAGTATACTGATTTAATTTCTAAGTGTACATGAATTAGTCATCTGGATTTTTTATTCTTTTCAGATGGGCTTAACAAATGGAGCTTTCTGTATATAAACGTGGAGATTAGAGTTAATCTCCCCAATCACATAATTTGTTTTGTGTGAAAAACGAATAAATTGTTCCACGCTGGTGGAAAGATAGAGATTGCTCTTAGAGGTTGGTTATTGTGTTTAGGATTCTGTCCATTTTCTTCTTTTTTTCTTTTTTTTATGATTATTACACTTTAAGTTTTAGGGTATGTGTGCACAACGTGCAGGTTTGTTACATATGTATACGTGTGTCATGTTGTTGTGCTGCACCCATTAACTCGTCATTTGGCATTAGGTATATCTCCTAATGCTATCCCTCTCCCCTCCCCCCACCCCACAACAGTCCCCAGAGTGTGATGTTCCCCTTCCTGTGTCCATGTGTTCTCATTGTTCAATTCCCACCTGTGAGTGACAACATGCAGTGTTTGGTTTTTTGTCCTTGTGATAGTTTGCTGAGAATGATGGTTTCCAGCTTCATCCATGTCCCTACGAAGGACATGAACTCATCATTTTTTGTGGCTGCATAGTATTTCATGGTGTATATGTGCCACATTTTCTTGATCCAGTCCATCATTGTTGGACATTTGGGTTAGTTGCAAGTCTTTGCTATTGTGAATACTGCTGCAATAAATATACCTGTGCATGTGTCTTTACAGCAGCATGATTTATAAACCTTTTGGTTTATACCCAGTAATGGTATTGCTGGGTCAAATGGTATTTCTAGTTCTAGATCCCTGAGGAATCACCACACTGACTTCCACAATGGTTGAACTAGTTTACAGTCCCACCAACAGTGTAAAACTGTTCCTAATTCTCCACATCCTCTCCAGCACCTGTTGTTTCCTGACTTTTTAATGATTGCCATTCTAACTGGTGTGAGATGGTATCTCATTGTGGTTTTGATTTGCATTTCTCTGATGGTAAGTGATGATGAGCATTTTTTCATGTGTCTGTTGGCTGCATAAATGTCTTCTTTTGAGAAGTGTCTGTTCATATACTTTGCCCACTTTTTGATGGAGTTGTTTGTTTTTTTCTTGTAAATTTGTTTGAGTTCATTGTAGATTCTGGATATTAGCCCTTTGTCAGATGAGTAGGTTGCAAAACTTTTCTCCCATTCTGTAGGTTGCCTGTTCACTCTGACTGCAGTTTCTTTTGCTGTGCAGAGGCTCTTTAGTTTAATTAGATCCCATTTGTCAATTTTGGCTTTTGTTGCCATTGCTTTTGGTGTTTTAGACATGAAGTCCTTGCCCATGCCTATGTCCTGAATGGCAATGCCTAGGTTTTCTTCTAGGGTTTTTATGGTTTTAGGTCTAACACGTAAGTCTTTAATCCATCTTGAATTAATTTTTGTATAAGGTGTAAGGAAGGGATCCAGTTTCAGCTTTCTACATATGGCTAGCCAGTTTTCCCAGCACCATTTATTAAATAGGGAATCCTTTCCCCCATTGCTTGTTTCTGTCAGATTTGTCAAAGATCAGATAGTTGTAGACATGCAGCATTATTTCTGAGGGCTCTGTTTTGTTCCATTGATCTATATCTCTGTTTTGGTACCAGTACTATGCTGTTTTGGTTACTGTAGCCTTGTAGTATAGTTTGAAGTCAGGTAGCGTGATGCCTCCAGTTTTGTTCTTTTGGCTTAGGATTGACTTGGCGATGCGGGCTCTTTTTTGGTTCCATATGAACTTTAAAGTAGTTTTTTCCAATTCTGTGAAGAAAGTCATTGATAGCTTGATGGGGATGGCATTGAATCTATAAATTACCTTGGGCAGTATGGCCCTTTTCACGATATTGATTCTTCCTACCCATGAGCATGGAATGTTCTTCCATTTGTTTGTATCCTCTTTTATTTCCTTGAGCAGTGGTTTGTAGTTCTCCTTGAAGAGGTCCTTCACATCCCTTGTAAGTTGGATTCCTAGGTATTTTATTCTCTTTGAAGCAATTGTGAATGGGAGTTCACTGATGATTTGGCTCTCTGTTTGTCTGTTATTGGTGTATAAGAATGCTTGCGATTTGGGCACATTGATTTTGTATCCTGAGACTTTGCTGAAGTTGCTTATCAGCTTAAGAAGATTTTGGGCTGAGACAATGGGGTTTTCTAGATATACAATCATGTCATCTGCAAACAGGGACAATTTGACTTCCTCTTTTCCTAATTGAATGCCCTTTATTTCCTTCTCCTGCCTGATTGCCCTGGCCAGAACTTCCAACACTATGTTGAATAGGAGTGGTGAGAGAGGGCATCCCTGTCTTGTGCCACTTTTCAAAGGGAATGCTTCCAGTTTTTGCCCATTCAGTATGATATTGGCTGTGGGTTTGTCATAAATAGCTCTTATTATTTTGAGATATGTCCCATCAATACCTAATTTATTGAGAGTTTTTAGCATGAAGCGTTGTTGAATTTTGTGAAATGCCTTTTCTGCATCTATTGGGATAATCATGTGGTTTTTGTATTTGGCTCTGTTTATATGCTGGATTACATTTATTGATTTGCATATGTTGAACCAGCCTTGCATCCCAGGGATGAAGCCCACTTGATCATGGTGGATAAGCTTTTTATGTGTTGCTGGCTTCAGTTTGCCAGTATTTTATTGAGGATTTTTGCATCGATGTTCATCAAGGATATTGGTCTAAAATTCTCTTTTTTTGTTGTGTCTCTGCCAGGCTTCAGTATCAGGATGATGCTGGCCTCATAAAATGAGTTAGGGAGGATTCCCTCTTTTTCTATTGATTGGAATAGTTTCAGAAGGAATGGTCCTAGTTCCTCCTTGTACCTCTGGTAGAATTCGGCTGTGAATCCGTCTGGTCCTGGACTTTTTTTGGTTGGTAAGCTATTAATTATTGCCTCAATTTCAGAGCCTGTTATTGGTCTATTCAGAGATTCCACTTCTTCCTGGTTGAGTCTTGGGAGGGTGTATGTGTCAAGGAATTTATCCATTTCTTCTAGATTTTCTAGTTTATTTGCATAGAGGTGTTTATAGTATTCTCTGATGGTAGTTTGTATTTCTGTGGGATCGGTGGTGATATCCCCTTTGTCATTTTTTATTGCATCTATTTGATTCTTCTCACTTGTCTTCTTTATTAGTCTTGCTAGCGGTCTATCAATTCTGTTGATCTTTTCAAAAAATCACCTCCTGGATTCATTGATTTTTTGAAGGGTTTTTTGTGTCTCTATTTCCTTCAGTTCTGCTCTGAGCTTAGTTATTTCTTGCCTTCTGCTAGCTTTTCAATGTGTTTGCTCTTGCTTCTCTAGTTCTTTTAATTGTGATGTTAGGGTGTCAATTTTAGAACTTTCCTGCTTTCTCCTGTGGGCATTTAGTGCTATAAATTTGCCTCTACACACTGCTTTGAATGTGTCCCATAGATTCTGGTATGTTGTGTCTTTGTTCTCGTTGGTTTCAAAGAACATCTTTATTTCTGCCTTCATTTTGTTATGTACCCAGTAGTCATTCAGGAGCAGATTGTTCAGTTTCCATGTAGTTGAGTGGTTTTGAGTGAGTTTCTTAATCCTGAGTTCTAGTTTATTGCACTGTGGTCGGAGAGACAGTTTGTTATAATTTCTGTTCTTTTACATTTGCTGAGGAGTGCTTTACTTCCAAGTATGTGGACAATTTTGGAATAGGTGTGGTGTGGTGCTGAAAAGAATGTATATTCTGTTGATTTGGGGTGGAGAGTTCTGTAGATGTCTATTAGGTCTGCTTGGTGCAGAGCTGAGTTCAATTCCTGGATATCCTTGTTAACTTTCTGCCTCGCTGATCTGTCTAATGTTGACAGTGGGCTGTTAAAGTCTCCCATCATTATTGTGTGGGAGTCTAAGTCATTTTGTAGGTCACTAAGGACTTGCTTTATGCATCTGGGTGCTCCTGTATTGGGTGCATATATATTTAGGATAGTTAGTTCTTCTTGTTGAATTGATCCCTTTACCATTATATAATGGCCTTCTTTGTCTCTTTTGATCTTTGTTGGTTTAAAGTCTGATTTATCTGAGACTGCGATTTCAACCCCTGCCTTTTTTTGTTTTCCATTTGCTTGGTAGATCTTCCTCCATCCCTTTATTTTGAGCTTATGTGTGTCTCTGCACGTGAGATGGGTTTTCTGAATACAGCACACTAATGGGTCTTGACTCTTTATCCAGTTTGCCAATCTGTGTCTTTTAATTGGACCATTTACCCCATTTACATTTAAGGTTAGTATTGTTATGTGTGAATTTGATCCTGTCATTATGATGTTAGCTGGTTATTTTGCTCGTTAGTTGATGCAGTTTCTTCCTAGCCTTGATGGTCTTTACAATTTGGCATGTTTTTGCAGTGGCTGGCACTGGTTGTTCCTTTCCATGTTTAGTGCTTCCTTCAGGAGCTCTTTTAGGGCAGGCCTGGTGGTGACAAAATCTCTCAGCATTTACTTGTCTGTAAAGTATTTTATTACTCCTTCACTTATGAAGCTTAGTTTGGCTGGATATGAAATTCTGGGTTGAAAATTCTTTAAGAATGTTGAATATTGGCCCCCATTCTCTTCTGGCTTGTAGAGTTTCTGCCAAGAGATCAGCTGTTAGTCTAATGGGCTTCCCTTTGTGGGTAACTTGACGTTTCTCTCTGGCTGCCCTTAACATTTTTTCCTTCATTTCAACTTTGGTGAATCTGACAATTATGTGTCTTGGAGTTGCTCTTCTCGAGGAGTATCTTTGTGGCGTTCTCTGTATTTCCTGAATTTGAATGTTGGCCTGCCTTGCTAGATTAGGGAAGTTCTCCTGGATAATATCCTGCAGAGTGTTTTCCACCTTGGTCCCATTCTCCCCGTCACTTTCAGGTACACCAATCAGACGTGACATAGATTTGGTCTTTTCACATAGTCCCATATTTCTTGGAGGCTTTGTTCATTTCTTTTTGTTCTTTTTTCTCTAAACTTCTCTTCACACTTCATTTCATTCATTTCGTCTTCCATCGCTGATACCCTTTCTTCTAGTTGATTACATCGGTTAACTGAGGCTTGTGCATTCATCACATAGTTCTCGTGCCATGGTTTTCAGCTCCATCAGGTCCTTTAAGGCCTTTTCTGCATTGGTTATTCTAGTTATCCATTCGTCTAATTTTTTTTCAAAGTTTTTAACTTCTTTGCCATTGGTTCGAACTTCCTCCTTTAGCTCAGAGTAGTTTGATCTTCTGAAGCCTTCTTCTCTCAACTCATCAGAGTCATTCTCCATCCACCTTCGTTCCATTGCTGGTGAGGAGCTGCATTCCTTTGGAGGAGGAGAGGCGCTCTGATTTTTAGAGTTTCCGGTTTTTCTGCTCTGTTTTTTCCCCATCTTTGTGATTTTATCTACCTTTGGTCTTTGATGATGGTGACGTACAGATGGCTTTTTGGTGTGGATGTCCTTTCTGTTTGTTAGTTTTCCTTCTAACAGTCAGGACCCTCAGCTGCAGGTCTGTTGGAGTTTACTGGAGGTACACTCCAGACCCTGTTTTCCTGGGTATCAGCAGCGGTGGCTGCAGAACAACAGATATTGGTGAACCGCAAATGCTGCTGCCTGATTGTTCCTCTGGAAGTTTTGTCTCAGAGGAGTACCCAGCCGTGTGAGGTGTCAGTCCACCCCTACTGGGGGGTGCCTCCCAGTTAGGCTACTCGGGGGTCAGGGACCCACTTGAGGTGGCAGTCTGCCCATTCTCAGATCTCAAGCTGCATGCTGGGAGAACCATTACTCTCTTCAAAGCTGTCAGACAGGGACATTTAAGTCTGCAGAGGTTACTGCTGCCTTTTATTTGTCTGTGCCCTGCCCCCAGAGGTGGAGCCTACAGAGGCAGGCAGGCCTCCTTGAGCTGTGGTGGGCTCCACCCAGTTCGAGCTTCCCAGCTGCTTTGTTTACCTAGTCAAGTCTGAGCAATGGCAGGCGCCCCTCCCCCAGCCTTGCTGCCGCCTTGCAGTTTGATCTCAGACTGCTGTGCTAGCAAAGAGCAGGGCTCCATGGGCGTAGGACCCTCTGAGCCAAGTGCAGGATATAATCTCCTGGTGTGCCATTTCATAAGCCCGTTGGAAAAGCGCAGTATTAGGGTGGGAGTGACCTGATTTTCCAGGTGCCGTCTGTCACCCCTTTCTTTGACTAGGAAAGGGAATTCCCTGACCCCTTGCGCTTCCCGGGTGAGGTGATGCCTTGCCCTGCTTCGGCTCACGCACGGCGCACTGCACCCACTTTCCTGCACCCACTGTCCGGCACTCCCCAGTGAGATGAACCCAGTACCTCACTTGGAAATGCAGAAATCACCCGTCTTCTGCATGGCTCTCACTGGGAGCTGTAGACTGGAGCTGTTCCTATTCGGCCATCTTGGCTCCACCTCCATTTTCTTTTAAAATTATAAACATGTACTTGTGCAAATTATTTTTTTAAAGTGATTTGCCATTTTTGAAAGGGTATTTAATGATAGAATACTATCGAACCAACATGTACTGACATGGAAAGATATCAAAGATATGTTAAGTGTAAAATGCAAGTGGCAAAACACTATGTATAGTCTGAGCCAAATCAAAGTATGTATGTTTTTTATATGCATAGAAGGAAAGATTTGGAAAGATATACACCAAAAAAAAAAAAAAAGAAAGAAAACATACACTGGACCCTTTATGAGAAAGCAGTTAAGTCAATTTATTGAAAAACACTAACTACAGGGAAAAACTGTGTTCTTAGAAAGGGGTTTGCACTAAAAGAGATCAAGTCATTTAATGACAACATTTGAGTTTTTTTATTCAATCCAAAAAAAAGCATATGCCACAGACTCCCTTTTTCTATTCTTCCAAGTCCCTAACCAGTCATGAAATTATGTTTTTAAAACTATAATTCTTGAATACAGAAAAATAGAGACCTCAGTGGATGAAGTACCATTTGGCATGTTTAAATGATAGAAAACAAAAGGGAGTGATTGAAGTGGGAAACCACAGCTCTAGTGGACTGCAGCAGGAGGCAGGAGCTTCACCAAAATTTCTCCATCCCTGGAGTGAAGAATGCAGGAAGCATGAGGGACCCATGAGAATTGACCCCCACCAATCCTTTTCTTTTTATTGAGGTGAAATTCACATTGCATAAAATTCACCATTTAAGAGGGAACAATTCAGTAGCATTTAGAACATTCACAATATAGTGCAATCATTAGCTCTAACTAGTTCCATAACATTTCATCACCCCAAAAGAAATTCTGTACCCATTAAACCATCACTTCCTCATTCTTCTTCCCCTGCAATCCCTGGCAACCACCAATTTGCTTTCTGTCTCTATGAATTTACCTATTATGGTTATTTCATGTTAATGGAATCATTCAATATGTGTATGATTTTTTGTATGGCTTCTCTCACCAAGCATAATGTTTTCAATGTTCATCTACCTTGTAGTAGGTATCAGTAATTTATCCCTTTGTATAGTTGAGTAACATTCCATTGTAGGTATAAAACATACATATTTTTTACCCATTCATTTACTGATAGACATTTGGGTTGTTTCTAGCTTTTAGTTATTGTGTATAGTGCTGCTATGAATAATTGTATACAAGAATTTGTTTGAGTATCAATTTTCGATTCTTTTGACTATATAGCTAGTTATGGAATTTCTGGATCATATGCTAATTCTATGCTTAATTTGTTGTGTAAATACCAAACTGTTTTTTCCAGTGGCTGTACCATTTTATATTCCCACCACAAATGTTTCATGCTTCCACTTTCTCCACATTCTCACCAACACTTATTATTTTCCACTTTTTAATTATCATTATTATGACCATTCTAGTGAGTATAAAGTGGTATCTCATGGTTTTTATTTGCATATCCTTAATGACTAATGATGTTGAGTCTTTTTCCGTGTGCTTGGTGGCCATTTGGATATATTCTTTGGAGAAATATTTGTTCAAGTCCTTGGCCTATTTTTTAATTGGGCTAATCTTTGTGTTATTGATTTGTAAGTGTTCTTTATGTATTTGAGATACTAGACCCTTGCCAGATATATGACCTGCAAATATTTTCTCCCATTCTGTAGGTTGTTTATTCACTTTTTAAATAATATCCTTTGATAAGTAAATGTTCTTAATTTTGATTTGGTCCCATCGAAATTTAACTATTTTCATCTATTTTTCTTTTATTTATGTGTATCTTTCTTTCGTTGCTTGTGCTTTCAATGTCCCACCCACTATGCCTCTTGACGGCTGCTCATGTCTCAGTCCTCCTCCAGTTCTGTGTTTTTATGACCTGCAAGTCTCCTTGCCTTCTGCTCTCTCTTGATACACACTTCTGATAGTTTGATCTACCCCTCTCCATCCTGCCCCAGTGCCTGCCTATGGTTATTCTTCTATGGTTATTATCCTGGTCTTCCAAATGTCCCTTCAGTTTTCCTTTTTCATTCACACAATCCTCATATTTTCAAAATACTTTTCCTGATTCCTAGCCTATAAACAAGTCCAAACTACTTACACTGAGGAATCAAAACAAAGAAATTCCTCCCCAGATATCCTGCAATCTTCTCTAGAAAACTCCCTGCCTCTCTCCTCCTATCACCAAAACCACTTGGGTCACCCACATTGACATTCTCCACATTCTCACCAATTTGCAATCAAGCCTTGGCCACATCACTGAAACTGCTCTCAGAGAAGCCACCCATAACCTCCAGTTTGCCAAATTCCAAGGACAGTTTACAACTCTATTGTGTCTGTTTCCCTCTGATGCATAACACATGGCTTGTCAATTCTTTCTTGTTAAGTTTTTTTCCTCCTCTTTGGTTTCCATAACACGAACTTCAAAAGGCAACAATGTCTGGAAAATGGCTGCAGGTCTCTACTATTTATTGAGCACTCATCATAGCTGCATTTCACTAGAGGAAATAAAAGATGTTATTGTTGTGAGTGTTTATTTTATTCCCATTTTATAATCTGATTTATGGCTATGGCCTTGTGGTACACAAAAATAAAGCTCCTTTGACATGATTTGACATGAAAAATCAATCTGATACAAATACTACAATTCTGCAAGGAGTACTTAGGATTAAGGAAATAGGTGTTAAATGTTTCAATAAGTAAGTAGCATTCCACATTTCTTTCCAAAGGTGATTGATGGCTGGGAGACCAGGAGCACCACCAGCCAGAGCTCAGAGATGGTCTTAGGAGTCGTACCTGCTCAAGCAGATGAAAAACAGAATCTGCAAAGCTGTTACTTTAAAGTATGGCTAACAATTTACAAGAGGATGCTCTGATTTACAATGGTATTTAACTATGAAATTCTTTAAGTGGGCAGCTTTCCTCATGTCTGTAAGTGTTTTAATAGCACATTAGCTAGAAAAGAATTGAGGTAGCTTAAAAGGGCTTAGAACTAAAGTATAATTACATTGATCCACTAAGATTCAATATAAAACAAAGACATAGTATTTCTGAAGTAGTCGATGAATGTCAGAAGAAGCAAATGCTTTGACTTCAAATTCAGCACATGACCCAACCATAAATGGCTTAATCATAATAAGACTTTATTTTCTCACAGAAATAAAAAGTTTAAGGATAATATTTATCTCCCCACGTGGCTTGACCCAGGGGCCAGTGTCATTATCCTCACAGTCTGTCTCCTTTGTGTTGGTTCCTTTCTCATCTTGTTGTGATAGGTGACAGGAAGAAAGAACTGGAACTTTTATACTGGAGAAAGGAAATTGCCTGTCTCTTTCCTGGCCACATCAGTCAAGCCCTGATACTAGTTTTCATTGGTTCATGCTGGTTCTGTGAGTATCCCTCCACCCAACTTTTGAATATGCCAATTGGCTCAGGCCTAAAGGCACATGCCCACCTCTGCAGCAGGAATTGGAGTCGGCCGCAAGTGCGGCCTTCCACAGGGAAATTGAGGTGCTTTTTATTGAAAGAAGGGAAAATAATTTTGGGGTAGCTAAAAAAAGAACAAGGATTCACTATCCTCAGCATATAATGAACATCCTGGGTTACAGGAAGTCTCGCACCAAGCAGGAGTCTCACAGCAACACCTGGGACAGATGTATTTATGCCTTCCACTAGTAGTGGAATATCTGGCCTTGCTACAATACGGCCACCAGAAAACTCTTCCGTATAGTAAATGCTTCCAGTTACCATGGTTATCTTCCACTAAGAATCCCAAGCAAAATTTTTATAGGCTAAATCTGTGCGTCCACACATTCCTCCAAAGATTCTACCTTACCACATAGTGCCATCCCCAAGCAGTGCAAATGAACAATATTGGCCTAGTTAAGATATAGAAAGAGGAAGGGCAAAACTTTCATTTTTTCCAATGTTCCAAGAGTGGACAATAGAGGGGGATAAGCTAGTGTTATATGCGTTTTCCAAGTGATCTGGAATCTAGCATAAGAATAATGCATTTTAATAATTCATTGCAACCAGGAAAAAGAATGCAATTCTATGTTTTAGTCTTATTTAAAATCAATGAGGCCACCAGTTCCCATTTCAGCAACAGTATTTAAAAAACTAAACTTTGTAGGTCAATCCTGCCACACACATGGATTACTGCAGAGGTGTGGCTTGGGTTTCCAGAGGAGAAGAGTGGTCCCTTGAAGCCACATTAGAAAGACAAGCAGAGGCAGGTAAATCTCTGGCCTTTGCCTCACTTCTCTCCTTTTTATTTCTTCCTTTTCATACAGAGTTTTGGTTGTTCTCACAAATGCTGTGTTGAGTCTTAGCTCAGTTTATCATCTTCTTCTGCCTAAAGTAGAGCTGTCCCACACATTTCCAAGCTGAACTCTTTGACTGAGAGAAGATACTCTGGATGTCAAATGTCCCAGCAAACTACACCATTCTAGAATGACTTGGGTGCCCTCTAAGATGGATAAAGAAATGTTTTTCTAAGACTCTACAATGCAGCATTGAGAACCAGAATCTCAGGTCTTGCCTTGACTCCTCTTAGAAGCAGTAACACAAATATGTAAATTCTTTATCCTGATCCATCCATCCCATTTTCCTCACCTCTAAACATCATATTTGTTACCAGCTCATCACATTTACTTATATTGCTCCCAACCTGGAAAAGTCTTTTTTTTCTCCATCCTGTATTCTACATCCTAATAACATTACTTCCTTCTCAATTATATCATCCCCTTCCCAGATCATTCTTTTCTACACTGGTCACTTCATCCCTGATATTCCACAGCACTTATCACCAGGATTACCTATATTAATAGTTAGTCATGTAATTTCTTGTTTTGCCTCATGTTTCTTATGTTTTTACCTATTTGTGGTCTCAATTTCATACTCTCCTGAAGACTGGGCTCATCATTTAGTATCAACCATGATACCTGGTTCATAGTAATAACTATTGCGGGAGTAACCCCAATTCTTTTCTCAACTCTACAACAATTCTCAATTTCTCATATTTCTCTAACCAGTGATTTCTGGATTCATTTGATCAGTAATCCTCAAACTGCAGTATCATCAAGGGTACTCATTTAAATGCCTTTGTGTTTCAATAGGTTTTTGGTAGATTCAGCAATCTGACTTTGTAAACAATTGCCCCCAAGTGATTCTGAGGCAGGTGATCCAAGGACCAAATTTTGAGCAAAGATTTCAAAGAAGTTTTCCAATTATAACCACTAGACTCCTCAGGCATCAGGATGTACCATCTCAAAGAATGGAAGCCTCTCTGCCCCTCTAGTCTGAATTTTTCTGCTGCCACATTCAGCTACATAGCCCCCAAAGGTCTACCATAAGAAACAGATAAAAGTACCAGAGCTTGAAAAAGAAGAGACCTGCTGAGAAAATGAAGTTTTCAACACCTAGCCACTTATTCATCTGGTGATGATTGATTGGCCTACATTTCTGGCCCAGGTAAAACTTGCAGTTTGGTTTGGTTCAACAGAGGTAAACCCATGCATTTGGCTGGCCAATCAATTGTGCAAAGCACTCACTGTGTGCTGTAAAAAGGAAATCACTTGGAATCCCGTGGCCATTGATTTATCTAGTAAAGCATGAAATGTGATTACCTTCATCTGATCAGGTAGGACATTGAGACAGTTCAGTGGCTCTTCTAGTGCACCAGGCAGCCCATGAGACCCCCAAAAGATCAGTGAACCCTATAAGACCTCCAGTTTATGATGCTTCAAGAGCTGGGGACAAGGAAAGCTCATGAGCCACATTGGATGTAGCAATGTCATATATTAGGAGAGTGGGAGGAGCTTCACATTCAGTGTTAGAAGGCCTAAATCTTTTTCCTAGTCTGCAAGAAATACCAATAGCTAAATCTGTTAGGCATGCTGCCAAAAGTGTTCTTACATTTTCTCATTGAATTCTCTCAAAATGCTAAGAGATGGACACTGCCAACATCATCATCTTCATTTTAAAGATTAAAAAAATCAAGTGTTACACTTCTTACCTGATGATATACAAGTTTAAGTTACAAAATTGGGATTTGAAGCCAGAGGATATGACTGTAAAGATCCAGAAAGCACTGCACGACACTCCCCTGCCTAAGGCATGTTAGGGAACTTGGGTATCCCTTCTACACACATCTAGGGGGTATACATAGGATTACACCAGCTCCACCCACAGCACTGGATTGACCTAAAGGTTCAAGTAAAAGCATAGATGCGTAAGTACTTAAAAAGTACATAATACCAAGTGTGTCATGGCAAAAGTAAGTGTCTATAGAGGCCAGGTAGGTGATGTGGAGAGTGTGAGCCCTCCCTATCTAAAGGCAACAGGCTCCACCAAGCTTTAGCCCATTGTTGCTATGTAGCAATGCAGGCAAAGAATGGCAAAATTTCTAATGTTTCAAGAGAAGCCATAAATCCATAGCTTTATGTAAAGTATTTTGACTTTTAAAATATTTCTCTGTGTGTTTTTTTGTTGTTGTTGTTAAAAAAAAAAAAGAAGAAGAAGAAGAAGCCTTTGCAGATCAATAAAACAGGTCTGGAAGACCCTGACTTGAGACACTGCATATATAAGTAGAAAGCCTTATTGTTAAAAGAATGCCTTATACTATGAGCTAGGAGGCAGATACTATTTATATGTACTTTGATAATTCAAATAACCTCCTGCTGCCTCAATTTCCTAATCTGTAAAATGGATCTGACGAAAAGAAGTCAGGCTAGGCATTGTCTCAGTCCCCTTACCTCCATCTCTCTCTGAAACTAAATATCTTGTTTTCTCATATTAAAAGTTATGGTCAGGATTTTGAGCAGCTGCATTACATTTGAACAAACAGAAAGCATTTAGATGGAATATGTAAGATTCCATTTGATGCATCATACAAATGAGAGCATCTTTTATCCAAACTTTCCAAGAAAAAGAGTGGTTGGGAGAGGGGAATGAAATACTCTAAAGCTAGGTCAGCTCTCCAAGAACAGGCTAGGCACAGCAGTTGGGACTCCAGCTATAGGGATGCATTTGGCAACGGTTAGAAAATGAGGGGTAAAAATTTGGGGACTGGCACTTCAGTGCAGGATGTACAAACTTAGAAAAGAGAGTACTTTAGGAGGCATGGGAAGTGTTTCCAAATATCTGAAGAGCTGTCAAATGGGAAGAGAGGTTACATTTGTTCTATATGAACCCAGGAGTAGAATTTGAATTAGTAGGGGGAAAAAATACTAGAGACAGCTTTGGTTGCATAGTAGAAGTATTCTGAAACCTGCCAAATATGGACAAAGATGCTCCAAGTGGTAGTGAGAATACTGTCTCTGGAGATATTTAAACAGATGCTGAAAGTACTATACACTTGGTGAAGATGTTGCAGAAGGTATTTGGGTATTAGAAGTTGGAGGTGGGATGAATGACAGTCTCCTGCCTCACCCTTGGGCTCTGAAGTGGCTTTTGCAGTATATGAGTGCAATTAATTTAAAAGACAGGGGAAAGGGAAGAGGGAGGAGGTGAGAGAAAATCTGAAAAATACATTTTCAGTGGAATATTTATCCGATTAATGCCTTGGGCTTCCCACCCATGTTTAATGAAAGTCTGACCTCAGATCCCCACCAAGTTTTCTATAAGGAACTGGTAGAGCAGGAAGGTGATAAATATGTACAGAAAACCCAATAATACGTACACAATCAGGGTGACCTGTTTCAAAGGAAGGGTAGTGCTCATGGTGTTGTAAATTTCAATTTCCAATGCCTCCCAGCTGCAGAAAGTCAGAGCAGCCCTTTGTGATGATGAGGCAGCACTATTCTTTAGTTTGTTTTTCCCTCCAGGATAGGACAATGAAAATGAGAAAGTCAATTTTCTTTTTATCCCAAGCAGATTGAATTTTGCTAAACTAAAATGGGCTATGGCTAAGTAAAGGTCAGTCCAGCCACAGATTTTTTTCTTCATCAACAAAAAATCAACACCAGCATTGTTGCTTCTGGGTCTTTTACCAGGCAGAAATACTTAGAGATGCCATCAGTAGAGCCCAGCATTACTTTATGAAACTCATAAATAGCCAAGGCAAGAGCCAATTATTGCTATGTCAATACATGTATATTTTTCATGAAAAACATGGTTAATATATTTCATCTGGCTAAACATAATACTGTCAAGACTAGAGGAACGGATCTTCCTATTTAAAAAATAATGGGATCAATCTTGTTGTCCAATTCTGCTTACTCAACTGCTGTGTCCTTCAGATCTAGAAGTATTAACAAAGGAAGTCAGATGGCCTCTGAAATATGCTGTGCTACTTCTCTCTTTACCAAAGTCTTGAGCTATGTTGATACCCTTTAATGGCACAAAAACATGTGGGATCTCCAGAGATTGACTTAAAATTCTATCAATAGATACAATCAGGAGAGAGAAGTGAAATAAAAGTCAGGAAGACCAGGAAGAAGACTGCAATAAGGAAGCAATAGAACTGGGAAGACATAAATGAGAATATAACTTGCTTCAGAGGAAGGTTTTTCACCTAGTATCATGCAAGGACATAAATAAGCAAACTTTTTTTAGAAAAACTGTAAGGGAAGTTGGGGTTCCAGATAGGTGACAAGAGACATCAGACATGCTCCCTTTTCAGAAAGAAGAACCAAAATCATGAATAGGTAATCAAACTTCTAATAGAATATCTAGAAAAGAACACTAGACTCCAACAAAGAAGTCACAGGAAACACCCAAGGCACAGAAGGAGAAGGAAGCGTGCAGGGAGCTCAGCTGAAATTGGCTGTTATGGGGAAAGAGTGTGTGAGAGAACTTCAGTAGTCCACATCCCCAGTTCAGATTGTGGCAATAAGAACCACAGGAGAGCTCCTCTGTCTGCATGAACCCTGGCACTACAAAGACTCCACAAAGGCATTGATTGCACCAGACAGGGAACTCGCACTAAGTCACTTACACCTCTGAGACCTAAGCAGCTGTGGCAGGGCACCACTGTGACAGCACAGTCATCACAGGACTGCACCCTGCCCTGAGAACCACAACCTTTATATCTCCACATCCCCAGACTTCCCACTAACATTCCCCAGTGTTCACCTAGAGAGTGACAGCAGCACAGCACTGCCTGGACCCAAAGGTGCTGCAGGATCCCCAGTACTCTATCCCATAGGGAATACTATTCCCCCAGGAAAGGAATATGGTATATTTTGCCATATACCAAAAATGCAGCCCCTGGGACAAAGGGAACCAAAACACATGCTTTCCAGAGCCTGAGATCCCCCTCTCTGGGGCTGTGAGAAGTGACACTGCCCACAACAGCAGTATAAACTGTGTGCTCAGGCCTGCAAGCCGAAAATAAGATCTCCTTTCTGTCTCCACACACTGCACACAGCCACAGCAGTTGCTGCCAGTGAGAACCCAGGCAGGTGAGCCTGGGAGCTCACTGTCTAGGGCTGAGGGCAGTGACCCCAACCTACTGGTGGAGCAAACTCTGTGCTCAGACTCATGCATAGAGAGTGGGACTCCCCTACCCCTCTGTACACTACTGCAGCCACAGCTACTGCTGCTACTCCCAGGGGCTGCGGCAGAAAAGACAGAAGACTGACTGTCTGGGGCTGTGAGTGGTAACCATGCCCCCACTGACAGCATGGCCTACATGCTTGAGATTGCAAGTAAAGAGCAAGGTTCCTCTCAATCTCTGTGCAGCCCTATGGCACTGCTGCCATCAAGAGTGGGCAAGCCTGAAAGCTGCATGTCTGGGACTGTGTGTGGCAACCCCACATTGCAGCCACCACCAACAGCAATGTGTACTTCCCAGCCACCACCAACAACAGTGTGTACGTCACTACTACTGTCATCATCCACATCACACCAGCTGCCCAGGAATCCAAGAACCTGCCCACCTGCTGGGCCCAGCATTGCCACTACCAGCATTCAAGCGAGCCACCTGGAGACCCAAGAATCAGCCCACCTGGTCCTGCTAATACTGGTGTCAGTGTGCACTGGCCTAGGGCCCAAGAACAGACACGCTTTGTTCTATTCTGTGGCAATATGAACCACAGGAGAGCTCCTCTATCCACATGAAAAAAATAGATTTTGAGAGCTAAACCACAAACTGGTAATACAAAATCAACGTTTCATGCAAGTTCTTGTTACACCAGGAATGGCAAAGGGAGCTTTGTTTCAGCTCTGATATCTTGAGATATCTACCTCTATATTTCCTACTTCACAAAAAGGGAGAGCTCCCAGAGGCCGGATTCCCTTGGCTTTGCAGCCCCTGCCCATTTCCAGCATCTGTCTTCACAGTCCCATGGGTCTCCAAAATGATTCACAAATGTGAACTGATGGTCGCTGCTTTCATGGAGCTTACAGCCCAGTAGAGCAGACAGAAATAATCAAGTAATCACAGCACTGAATATATACTCACAATCGTTATATGTAATATGATAGGAAGAAGTTCAAGGTATTATGGAAGCTTGTAAAAGGAGGAATTTCATCCAAGCTAGGGAGTCAGGAAAGCCCACAATCAATCCCAGATGCAGGAGCAGCTTCACATGAGCCAGCTGTATGAGCACCTGCTGCCCAAAGTGAACAAACAAGAAAGCTTCCACCACAAGGCAGCTGATGACATGGTGCACGTGGTCGGGAAAGAAGGGGGATTACCAGGATGCATCTACAACTGACACTCAAGCACCAGCTCCTCTCTCTCGTAGTATGCAGTTGCTGTGTGCCGCAAGGAAATTACTGTAACTTTGTGGCAAATAACTTACTGACCTATATATGACTTTTAGCAGGATAGGCAGTATTTCCTGCTTTGTTCAACCTACACTGACAAATGTAGAACATAATATCTTAACATGTTCTTTAAAATAAAGGCAAGGGAAGACTCAGCAATTGGAAGAGTTGAATGTAGGAAGGTAACAGAGCAGGCTTTGTGCAATTATTGAGACTACTAGGGATTTTTTTATAATGTGCCCCTCATTCCTCTCACAGTGAGCTGCAGAAAATGTGGCTCATTTTAGTAAGTTTTTGTATGCCAACAACATTTTATATTTTTTAAAAAGAGAAAGAAACTACAGTTCTTTTCTATTTTGAAATATAGCCTGTAAATCTATTTAGATTTTAGGCATAGCACAACAATTCAGAAATGATCATTCTGCTGAAAGCTTTATTTTTCTTTTCTTGTGTTTACTCTTCTCCTACTACAAACAAATATTATAAAAGATAAACTCTCTGTCACAGGAGAAATGACCCCACTTTACATGGCTTGTTCATAACTCTCCACTGCCATCTCCAATGTGTGTCCTGGCATGTGGTATATTTCTGATGACATGGTTACAACGGTGCTTTGTTCATCTGCAAGCCAGTGACACATCAGGCACTAACTGGCTTCATTTATCCTCCATTTTCCCTGGGGAGGTAGGAGATCAGAGGGACTTGTTTTCCAAGCTCCAGTCACAAGACCCTGCCGATCAAAACAGGATCTGATCAAAACAAGATGCAGCAAAGAAACAGGCCAAAACCAGCTAAAACCAAGAAGACAACAAAAGTGACCTCCAGTTGTCCTCATTGCTCATTATATTGAAATAATTTAATAATGCATTAAAATGCAAAAAGAAACTCTCACCAGTGCCACGACAGTTTACAAGTGCCATGGCAACTCCAAGAAGTTACTTTATATGCTTTTAAAAGGGGAGGAACCCTCAGTTCTGGGAACTACACACTCTTTTCCAGAAAACTCACAAATAACCCATCCCTTATTTAACATACAATAAAGGAATCGCCATAAACACAGCTAGCCAGCAATCCACGAGGGCTGTTGCTACTACTCTCTCTGTGTAGCAGCCATTTTCCTATACTCTGTTGCTCTAATAAATTTGCTTTGCTTTGCTCCATCTGCTTGCTCTTGAATTCTTTCCAGCACAAAGCCAAGAACCCTCTTGAGCTGAGCTCTAATGATGAGGTTCACCTGTATCACCTGGACATAGTCTGGAATATTACAGTCACCACATCTAATATTGAGAGGTGAAGCCGGCTCAGCTTCTGGGTCGGGTGGGGATTTGGAGAACTTTTCTGTCTAGCTGAAGGATTGCAAACACACCAATCAGCACTCTGTGTCTAGCTAAAGGTTTGTAAATGCGCCAATCAGCACTCTGTGTCTAGCTAATCAGGCAGGGACTTGGAGAACTTGTGCGTCTAGCTAAAGGATTGTAAGGGCACCAATCAGCACTCTGTCAAAAGGGACCAATCAGCAGTCTGTAAAACGGACTAATCCGCTCTTTGTAAAATGGACCAATCAACTCTCTGTAAAATGGACCAATCAGCAGGATGTGGGTAGAGCCAGATAAGGGACTAAAGGCAGGCCACCAGCGCCACCAGCAGCAACCTGCTGGGGTACCCTTCCATGCTGTGGGAGCTATGTTCTTTTGCTCTTCCAATAAATCCTGCTGCTGGTCACTCTTTGGGTCCCCGCAGCCTGTATGAGCTGTAACACTCACCGTGAAGGTCTGCAGCTCCGCTCCTGAAGCCAGCGAGACCATGAACCCACCGGAAGGGCGGAACAACTCCGGAGGGGAGAAACGAACAACTCCGGACGCGCCACCTCTATGAACTGTAACGCTCACCGCAAAGGTCTGCAGCTTCACTCCTGAGGCCAGCCAGACCATGAACCCACCGGAAGGAACGAACAACTCCAGACACGCTGCCTTTAAGAGCTGTAACATTCACTACGAAGGTCTGCGGCTTCACTCTTGAAGTCAGTGAGACCAGGAACCCACCAGAAGGAAGAAACTCTGGACACATCTGAACATCTGAAGGAACAAACTCCGGACACACCATCTTTAAGAACTGTAACAGCGCGAGGGTCCGCGGCTTCATTCTTGAAGTCGGCGAGCCAAGAACCCACCAATTCCGGACACAATATTGCATGCATTAATAGAAAGGCCAAAATGAACTGCATTTCAGGGGGAAAAATGCTGACCCTAAAACAAAACTAATAACCACCATTTAAAATAAAGAATTATATGCATAAGAATGAGCAGAGCTGCTCTGAGGGAAAGCTGGGAGCATCCCCACTCCAAAATGAAAATCTGAACTTTTACTAGTTATTCAACACTTTTCTGAGCACTTTCCTTATTCACAGAATAAGAGGAATCTTGGGTTTCCCAAGGATTCACTTCAGGCTTTTCTTAATTAGCAAGTTGTCCTGGATTATAAAAGGAATTCAGTTTATAAAAACTAAATCATTCTTCTAAGTTTGAGCATAGATCCTCACTCCTTAATGGGAGACTGTGCAAAATGACTCCCATCCAATGAGTACAGTATGGAAAGGAAGAAGAAAGAATGACTTCGCCATAGAGAAACCTGACAGCTTATGAGAAAAACATCAAACAAACCCAATTGAGGGACAAAATTCCTAACCAGCACTCCTCAAAACATTCAAGGCCATCAAAAATATGGAAAGTCTGAGAAATTGGCCAGCCAAGAGAAGCATAAGGAGACATAACAATTAAATGTGGTATTTATAATAGGTCCTGGGACAAAAAAGAATATTAAGTAAAAAAAAAAAAAAGGAAATCCGAATAAAGTTGTAGTGTTTAGTTAATACTATCATTATTGGTTCACTACCATAAATGTACCATACTAAAGTAAGAGGTTATTAACAGAGGAAATTGGGTGTGATATAGATATATGGGAACTCTCTGCACTATCTTTGCAACATCTCTTTAAGTCAACAACTGTTCTAGCAAATAAAGTGTATTTTGGGGAAAAAAAATTAAACCTAACTACCTTTGACTTCGCAGGAATGTGGCTGGTTACCCTTTTATGTAACACTAGAGAGAATTGGGTGGATTTTATTAATAGCATCACCCACCTGTGGCCTGGTGGGGGTCTCTTCTCCATGAGAAATCCCATAAATCTATAAGCATTTTTTTAATCCACAGGTCGGTGTGGTGGGAGGTTAATGGGTAACCCAGAAAGATGCCTTCCAATTTCCTCCCTGGGAGTCAGTATTTTATAGCTGCTGTTCCACCTATAATGGCTCTTGACAGTGGTGGAATTAGTGAACACAGCAAACACAATCAAAGGCAGCTTTGAGGCCAGGAAAAGCCTTTCACTTACCCAGGGGTGTGTTGTCCCTGGCTTCTCGAGATTTATTTTCTTTGTTTGGCTGCCATTCCTTGAAAATGATGGAGGGTATTACTCATCAAAGATGATGCAGCTGTCAGATGAGGCCACTGTCCATCTTGAAAGACAGAGTTCGCCTGCTAGGGAAGCCGAGGGAAACAGGAGGTCAGGAGTGAGAGAAGCAGGCTCAGAGCCTGACCTGCTGCTGCTCATAGGTTACACCTGTGCATCTGACAGTCCATCGTTTTATCTCTGCAATGTAGGTGAAGAGTCAACATATCTTTCTGTTGTGCTTCCAAGGAAAGGTTGGTTTCAGTTAATCTTATCATTTTAAATAGCAGATCTTAGCTTTGCCACTTTATTATATGTCTCTACATTTTAATTGTGCCATTCTTATTTAGAGCCACCTTCTGTTGGATTATAGGGGATACAAAATATAGACAGCCTTGGTGGTCTAGAAACATCTGAATGGATCCAGGATTCAGTTCATTCCTTTAGGCCCAGAGCCACTGCACCCAACAGTGAATTAACCATCTCTTCCCTAGAATAAGAGGCAACTCCATGCCCTATGCTCACTAGAGACTCTATGTGGGGTTGTCTGTCTTTAACAAGGAGGCTTTGGATCCCCTTGCCTTGTCACCAGTTTGATACCCACCCCCATCCTCTTGTGCTGTAGTCTGACTTGACAAGTGTCTTAGTCTGTTCAGGCCACCATAACAATATGTGTGGCTGACATAACAGTCATTTATTTTCTTACATTTCTGGGGTCTAGAAGTCCAAGATAGTGTCATCACGGTTGTATGTGGTGAGGCCTCTCCTCCTGGCTTGCAGACACCTGCTTTCTTGCTGTGTCCCTCACATGGCATTCCCTCTGAGCTTGCAAGGGAGAGACAGAGAGAGATCTCTGGTGCCTATTCCTCCTATAAGGGCGCCAGTTCTGTTGGATTAGGATTCTACCCTCATGCCGCATTTAACCTTAATTACCTCCGCAAAGGTCCTATCTTCAAATAGAGTCACATGGCGAGTTAGGGCTTCAACATATGAACTTGTGGGGAGATACAAGTCTGTCCATAACAATATGGAAACTTAAGACAAGTAATTTTTAAAATGTAATAGAAAAATCATTAGTTTTAGAGTCCAAAAAGCTGTGTTTGAAACTAAGCTTACAAGAGGGATCACAGAATATAGGCCACTTGCCTTCTGTAATCTCAATTTCCTACTATAAAAAATGAGAATAAAAACAACCCCTATAAATCAGTTGTCACAAAGGTAAAAGATGACAAAGCTTGTGAAAATGTATTGTAATTGTTAGTAATCCTCAATTATTATTATTATGGGCCCTCTGGTTCTGGAAGTAAGTGCTACAAAAAATAAAGAATTCAGAAGATGGAGGCTACAGACTCCAGTGCTGTCTTAATCCATAGAGCAACCACGGCAATCTCAGGGATCCCTAAGTGTGATAAGCTGTGCACTTGCTTTATCTCTGCTGCCCCAGAAGAACACAAGCTGCTACCCTTATCTGAGTAGGTTCCTCATACAAAGTGGTCAGGTAAAATCTGCACCCTTAAGCATTTACTGCTGCTAATGAAACGATTTTAGGAAATTAGGTTGAGGCAGTTAAGTGCCGCTAATTTCCTAGATCCAAGCTTTTAACTCACTCCTGTAATCCCAGCACTTTGGGAGGCCGAGGTGGGCGGATCATGAGGTCAGGAGTTCGAGACCAGCCTGGCCCACATAGTGAAACCCCATGTCTACTAAAAATACAAAAATTAGCTGGGTGTGGTGGCAGGTACCTGTAGTCCCAGCTACTTGGGAGGCTGAGGCAGGAGAATCACTTGAACCTGGGAGGCGAAGGTTGCAGTGAGCCGAGATTGCACTGCTGCACTCCAGCCTAGACGACAGAGCAAGACTCCGTCTCAAAACAAAACAAACAAACAAACAAAAAACTGACACTTCCACTTAAAGCATTTATCAGCAAATGGGTTGAGTCCCTCAATGGGCAAGATCTTTGCTTTGTACAGATAAATAAATCTGAATATGAAAGACAGAATTTCTTTGATCCAAGCAACATTCCTTTATTCCTAAGGGCATGCCATCATGGCAATTGGAGGCAAAGCCAAGACCTGATTTACCAAGGCCTCCTGGTTTAAAGTTAGCCAATGTATCTAAGAAATAGTAGTAATTTCTTAGATATCAAGGATCTAGGGTTCCAAGAAGACAACAGAGAACCTAGCAAGATATTGTTTCTAACACCGCATGTTCTCACTCCTAAGTGGGAGTCGAACAATAAGAACACATGGACACAGGGAGGGGAACAACACACACGCGGCCTGTTGAGGGGTGGGGGACAAGGGGAGGGAACCTAGATGACAGGTCAATAGGTACAGCAAGCCATCATGGTACACGTATACCTATGTAACAAACCTGCAAGTTAGGCATGTGTATCCCAGAACTTAAAGTAAAATTAAAAAAAAAAAAGATATTGTTCCTGCCATCATAGAGCTGACACTCTGGGAGGAGACAGACACTAATCAATAATTACACACATTTTTAAAAATGCAATTACTACTCTCAGAGGTACACGGTGTTATGAGAGGTTGAGGTGAGGGACTTTGAGGACATAATTGACCTCAACCTCATGAGTCAGGATCTGGAGGATGCGCACCAGTTAACTAGGAGGTCATTAGTGCAGGGAGAGGATCAGGTAGAAGTTTCGAGGGCAAGAGGGAGTGTGGCACGAATGAGGGGCAGGGCAGAATGGTGTGGTGGGTGTGCTTGAAGCAAAAAGAGAAGGGGGAACGTAGTGTGAGATGAAGCTGGAGGGACAGGCAGTTGGGGGAAAAAAAAAAAAAACCTACACAGGCCCTTAGAAGACATCTTGCAAATTTTTATTCTCCTAGGAGTGATGAGAAACCACTGAAGTACTTTAAGTAGGAGTGATGAGAAACCACTGAAGTACTTTAAGCAGGGAAAAGAAGAATGATGTGATCAGATTCGCTTTTCTGGATACATCTTTTTTGTTATAATATGGAGAACTGTTTAGATGGGGGGAACACAGGTTGGCACAACCCATATCGGGAGACGCTGTTCTCAGGAGGCCGTTCTGGCCAGAGCCCACAGGTGGAGATTCACTCATTCACGCATCAAGTATTTATTGAGTTCCTCTATGTGCAAGGTTCTGTCCCAGGTGCTAGAGATGGACAGAGGTAGAGAGGTTTGAGCAATAGTAAGAGATAAAATAAACACGACCTGCTGATGAACTGGACATGAAGTGAAAGAAGAGGCAGCTGTTGAGAAAAATGTTCTAAGTTTCTCACTCATCAAATACAGAATGGATAGTGGAGCTGGGTGTTTGGGGAAAAAGACCGATTATTTGAACCTGGACATTTTGAGTTTGTGATGGCTTTGAGACATCCAATGGTGATGGGCCCAGTGGGTCAGTAGGTTAAGAGACTCCACAGCACAGAGGGGAGGAATGTGAATGACCTCCACACAGATGATATCTGAAGCAATGGATGTGGTCAGAGTTTTTGGGGCAGCTGCAAAGGGTGAGAGAAGATCAGGGCCTAGGGCTGCTCTCAAAGACAACCAACACTTCATGGCTGAGTTTGGAGGAAGTTAAACCTGAAAAGGAGTCCAAAAAATAGGAGTAGGAAGAGAGGTAAAAGGATAACTAGGATTGCGTGGAGTCATGGAAACCGAGAACAGAATAAGTTGGTCAACAGGGAAAAATTCTGCCAATGGGTCAAGGTAGAGAAGGACTAAAAAATATTCATTCATTCCAGAACATGGAGATCATTGATTATGCTTCTGAGAACAACTAGAGTAGAATGCAAGGACAGTGGTAGACAACACTCTCTAGACATGTTTGGCTATGAGGAGGAGAGGGAAGAGACAGGATGGGTACCTGGATAATTTTCCTACTACAAGGCACAGCTTTGTTTCTGCTCTGAAATCCTGAGATTTCTACCTCTCTGTTCCCCGCTTCACAAGAAGTACAGAAACTCAGACCTCAAGTTGTCACAGAAAAACCCTGGGGCTTAGCTCAGAGCAGCCACCCTAGCTCTGAAATGCAGGTGAATATACTGTATTTGTCAAATCATTTCAGGGAATAGGGCTCCAGAAAGACCATGGCCCACAGTCAGGAGGCTGTTTGGAAGGGTTCCAAGGATGAGAAGGAAATATTTGACAGCCAACATGAGACCTATATCTTTATTAACAAAATCACTATTCTGGGTAATATTTCAATATGAGCAAATGTTTCTGTTAATGCAGTTCCATTCACAAGTAACAAATACACTGCTTTACATGGCAAGCAGTGGTGACAGATCTATGTCCCTAAATATTTCATTTTCTTAGCTGAAGCTGTCTTCTTCCTTAAGCATTAACTCACTGAATCCTGCCACTTAGATAAACTGCCTGAAGCAGACATATATTCCTTATGATTCCACAAACCTTGCTTTTCTGTAGCTCTTTTTCATTTTATTACATGAGCTTTATGGTGGTAAAAGGTTGCAAACTGTCATTTGTCACTTTTCAGTGGCAGTAATTTAGCATCTAATGAGCACAACTCACAAGCCTGCCAGGAAGTGCAGAAGCTCAGGAAATAATGGTGTGGGTGCAAATGGAACAGACTTTATAAGGGGAGTAATTGTGACTCAAACGTAGAAATCAGACTGAGAAAACAGGCTCCAGAGTATGCTTGAAAAGAAAATAAAGGAAGAAACTTTAAAGGCAGGTTACTGATAGATGTAGACTAGACTAAAGAGGGGCAGTTAATGCCATGATAGGAGTGGGAATAAAATAATAATCATATTGGCGATGGTAACCCTCATTTATCAAGTGTTATGTGCTATGGCTTCATTCACTGCACTGAGGGTTTTGCAATATGATTTCATCTGATCATTACAGCCATCCCTTGGATTGTTCAAATAATGGACACCAGAAGCACAGGCAACAAAGCAAAAGTAGACAAATGGGATCTCATCAAAGTAAAAACTTTCTGCACAGCAAAAGAAACAATCCACAGAGTAAAGCGATGACTTATGAAATAGGATAAAATACTGGCAAGCTATACATTCGAAAAGGATTGATATTCAAAATATATATAGAACTCAACTCAGTAGCAAAAACACACACACACAAATAACCTGATTTTAAAATGAGCAGAAGACATATAGACACTTCTCAAAAGAAGACACACAAATGGCCAACAGGTACAGACAGACCTCGGAGATATTGCGGATTCTGCTCCAGATGACTGCAATAAAGCAAATCGTACATAATTTTTGGCTTCCCAGTGCATATGAAAGTTATGTTTACATTACACTGTAATCTATTAAGTGTGCAATAGCATTATATCTGAGAAAACAATGTACATACATTAATCTAAAAATACCTTATTGCTAAATTATCTGAACCTTCAGCAAGTCATAATCTTTTTGCTGGTGGAGGGTCTTGCCTCCTTGTTGATGGTTGCTGACTAATGAGGGTGGTCGTTGAGGAAGGTTAGGGTGACTATGGCAATTTCTTAAAATAAAACAATAAAGTTTGCTGCATCGATTGACTGTCATGAAAGATTTCTCTGCTGTTTGATAGCATTTGACCCACAGTAGAACTTTTGTCAAAATCAAAGTCAGTTCTCTCAAACACTGTTGCTGCTTTATCAACAAAGTTGATGTAATATTGTAAATCCTTTTTTTTTTTTTTGAGATGGGGTATCACTCTGGCACGATCTCAGCTCACCACAGCCTCGACCTCCCCAGGCCTCAGGTGGTCCCTTCCACCTCAGCCTCCAGAGTAGCTGTGACTAAAGGCCTGTGTCACCATGCCCAGCTAATTTTTGTGTTTTTAGTAGAGATGGAGTTTCACCATGTTGCCCAGGCTGTTCTCAAACTCCTGGGCTCAGCATATTCACCAGTCTCAGCCTCCCAAAGTGCTAAGATTACAGGCATGAGCCACAGCACCCAGCCATTTCTTGTCATTTCAACAATGTTCACAGCATTTTCACCAAGAGTACGTTCCTCCTCAAGAAACCACTTTCTTTGTTCATCCGGAAGAAATAACTCCTCATCTATTCAAGATTTATCATGGGATTGCAGCAATTCAGTGATATCTTCAGGCTCCACTTTGAGTTCTAGTTCTCTTGCTACTTTCACCACATCTGCAGTTACTTCCTCCACTGAAGTCTCGAACCCTTCCAAGTCATCCATGAGAATTGGAATCAACTTCTTCCAAACTCCTGCTCATGTTGATATTTCGACCTCCTCCCATGGATCTCAAATGTTCTCAGTGACATCCAGGATAGTGAATTCTTTTCAGGTTTTCAATTTACTTTTCCCAGATCCATCAGAGAATGGATCCATCTGTCTATGACAAAAATAGCCTTTTGAAATGTATTCCTTAAATAATAAGACTTAAAAGCCAAAATGACATTGATCCATGGGGCTGGACATTATATGTCTTAACAGGCACAAAAACTACATTAATCTCCTTGTACATCTCCATCAGAGCTCTTGGGTGGCCAGGTGCATTGTCAATGAGCAGTAATACTCTGAAAGGAATATTTTTTTCTGAGCAGCAGGTCTCAACAATAGGCTTAAAATATTCAGTAAAGCATGCCAGAAAGGGGTGTGCTGTCATTCAGGCTTTGTTGTTCCATTTCTAGAGCACAGGAAGAGTTGATTTAGCATAATTCTTAAGCACCCTAGAATTTTCAGAATGGTAAATTAGCATTGGCTCCAACTTAAAATCACCAGCTGCATTAGCCCCTATCAAAATAGTCAGGCTGTCATTTGAAGCTTCAAAGCTAAGCATCGACTTCTCTCTAGCTATGAAAAGCCTAGATGGCATCTTCTTCCAATGGAAGGCTATTTTGTCTCTATTAAAAATCTGTTTTTTTAGTGTAACCACCTTCATAAATGATCTTAGCTAGATCTTATGAATAACTTCCTGCAGGTTTTATATCAACAGTTGCTGCTTCACCTTGCAGTTTTATGTTAAACAGATGGCTTTTTTTCTTAAACCGCATGAACCCACCTCTGCTAGCTTCAAACTTTTCTTCTGCAGCTTCCTCACCTCTCTCAGCCTTCATACAATTTAAGAAAGTTAGGGCCTTTCTCTGGATTAGGCTTTTGCTTAAGGGAACATTGTGGCTGGTTTGATCTTCTATCTAGACCACTAAAACTTTCTCCATTTTTTTTTTTTTTGAGATGGAGTCTTGTACTGTCACCTGGGCTGGAGTGCAGTGGTACGATCTCGACTCACTGCAACCTCCACCTCCCAGGTACAAGTGATTGTCCTTCCCTCAGCCTCCCGAGTAACTGGGATTACAGGTGCCCGCCACTACACCCTGCTAATTTTTTTTGTATTTTTAGTAGAGACAGGGTTTCACTATGTTGGCCAGACTGGTCTCAAACTCCTGACCTTGTGATCCACTTGCCTCAGTCTCCCAAAGTGCTGGGATTACAGGCATGAGCCACAGTGCCCAGCCTGCATCACTTTCTTATCATTCATGTGTTCACTGGAGAAACACGTTTACTTTCCTTCAAGAACTTTCCTTTTGCATTCTCAACTTGGCTAGCTATTTGATGCAAGAGGCCTAGCTTTCAGCATATCTTGGCTTTCGACATGGCTTCCTCACTAAGCTTAATCATTTGTAGTTTTTGGTTGACCTAATTTCAATGTTGTTGTGTCTCAGGGAATAGGAAAGCCTGAGAAGATGGAGAGAGACGAGGGATTAGCTAGTCAGTGAAGCAGTCAGAACACATACAACATTTATCAATTAAATTCAGTCTTATTTGGGTGGGATTTGGTGTGCCCCAAGACAACTATAATAGTAACATCAAAGATCACTGTTCACCATAACAGATATAACAATGAAGAAAAATTTGCAATATTGCAGTAATTACCAAAATGTGACACAGAGACACAAAGCGAGGACATGCTATTGGAAAAGTGGCACCAATAGACTTGCTCAATACAGGGTTGCCACAAATCTTCAATTTGTAAAAAGCTTATCTGCAAAGTACAATAAGGTGAAGTGCAATAAAGCAAGCCATGCCTGTGTACTAAAAAATGCTGAACATCACTAATCATCAGGGAAGTGCAAATTTGAACCATAAAATACCACCTCATACCTGTAAGAATGCCTATTATCAAAAAGACAAAAGATAAGTGCTGGAAGGGATGTGGAGAAAATAGAATCCTGGTACACTTGCTGGGAACGTAAACTAGTATAGCCATTATGGAAAACAGTATAGAGGTCCCACAAAAATAAAAATAGATCTCTTATATGATTCAGTAATCCCACTATTGGGTATACATCCAAAGGATATGAAATAAGTAGGTCAAAGAGCTATCTGTACTCCCTTGTTCATTTCAGCATTAGTCACAATAGTCAATATATGGAATCAAATTAAGTGTCCATCAACAAATGAATGGATAAAGAAAATGTGGTACAGGTACACAATGGAATAGTCTGCAGCCTAAAAAAATAATGAGATCCTGTTACTTGAGACAATCATGGATGAACCCAGAGACACTAGTTAAGTAAGCTAAGTCAGGCACAGAAGTACTGATCTCACTTGTACATGATGATCTCATTTGTACAACATGATCTCACTTATACATGGAATCTAAAGAGGTCAGACTCAGAAAGCAGAATGATGGTTATCAGGAGCTTGGGGGTGGGGGTGGGAAGAATTGGGGAGATGTTGGTAAAAGAATTCAAAATTTTGGTTAGGATGAACAAGTTCAAGGGATCAATTGTATTCAATTTTTGATTATACAGTACATTGTTACAGTATAGAACACTTAAAATCTGCTCTAGGCTGGGCGCAGTGGCTCACGCCTGTAATCCCAGCACTTTGGGGGGCTAAAGCGGGTGGTAAGTCAGGTGGATCATGAGATCAAGAGATCAAGACCATCCTGGCCAACATGGTGAAACCCCATCTCTACTAAAAATACAAAAATTAGCTGGGCGTGTTGGCACATGCCTGTGGTCCCAGCTACTCAGGAGGCTGAGGCAGGAGAATCACTTGAACCTGGGAGGCGGAAGTGGCAGTGAGCCGAGATCGTGCCACTGCACTCCAGCCTGGTGACAGAACAAGACTCCGTCTCAAAAAAAAAAAAAAAAAAATCTGGTCTTACCAAATTAACAATAGTTACTGTACCTATAGTTAATAACAATGTACTGTATATTTGAAATTTGATCAGAGCAGATCTTAAGTGTTCTCACCACACAAAAAAAATCAGTACACGAGGTGATGGATATGTCAGTTAGATTGCTTTAGCCATTCCACAATGTATGCATATTCAAAACATCGTGTGTTACACCATAAATATACAATTTTTTGTTTGTCAACTTTAAAAACATTTAGAAATGTTATTAAAATGCAAAAAAATTATAATAATGACTAAGGCCACAAAATAACTTCAAGTGTTGGAGACAGACAGATTTTTAAATCCAGGTCCATCTGGCTCATGAGAACAAGTTTTTAATAATTGTGCCACAGACTACACGAGAATAAAGAGAGTTGGGATTTTTTTCTACACATGGCTATATATGAACTGTGTGACTCAGGACCAGAAAGGTAAAATAACTTTCTCTAGTTTCACGTCCATAAAATGAGGAGGTTGATTTAGGTGAATTCTCTACTCCTCTGAAGAATTAATGCTACCATTTCACTGGCCTCACTGACAAGTGATTGCCTGAATTGTTGTTTGAAAACCTCTAGTGACAGAGCCAGCAATTTTAAGAGCTGGCCCATGCTTTTATTTCAAGAATACGAAAACATTTTATGCCACAAGCAATATTCACTTGAAAAATACAGTTAACCTTCTTGAAGTTTTAGCTGTGCTAACCACACATCCACCCTCCGCTCTCAGCTCTAACCACTGATAGCAGACAGTTAAAAACAAAAGCCAAATAAACATGATACCGATTTTTATGCCAGCTTTATCACTTGTAAAACAGGACTGGAGAATGGCTTGTGACCTACTGTCTAACAACTTATTTTTTCATTATGCAGCTTTACTGAGGTGAAGTTGACATAAAATAAATAATACATATTTAAAGTATATAATTTGAAAAGTTTTGACATAGGTACACACCCATGAAAGCATCAACACAATCCCAACCAGACAAGAAGCATATCCATCCCCCATAAAGGCTTCCTCGTGTTCCTTTCCTACCTACCCCCCCACCCCTCCTTTCCCCCGTATACCCCCAGGCAACTACTGTTCTGCTTCCATCACTATAGATTAGCTTGCATTTTCTAGAATGTCATGTAAATGGAATTATACAGAATATACTCCTTTTGCCTGGACTCCTTCACTGAATGTAATTATTTTGAAATCCATCCATGTTGTAGTATGTATCAATAGTGCATTCTTTTTTTATGGCTGAATATTCCATCATATGGTTATATAAAGGTTTTTTAACCATTCATCTATTATAGGACATTTAGGTTGTTTTCAATTTTTGGCTATTACAAATAAGATTGCTATGAACATTTGTATACAAGTCTTCATATGGTCAAATGCTTCCATACCTAGAAGTGGAAGGGCTGAATTCTATGATAGATGTATATTAGTATGTTTAAGTATGTAAACTGAAGAAATCACCAACCTACTTTCCAAAATATGTGTACCATTTTACATTGCCAACAGCAGTGCCTGAGTCTTCCCATTCCCTTATATCCTCAGCAATGCTTGATGTGATCAGGGTTTTGTTTTGTTTTGTTTTAGCAATTCTAATATATTTCACTGCAGTTTTAATTCACATTTTCACATGAATAATGATGTTGGGCATTTTTTCACTTCCTTATTTCTCATCCATACGTCTTATTTGGTGATGTGTCTATTCAAATATTTTGCCCACTTTTTAATTGGGTTGTTTGTTTTCTTATTGTTGGGTTTTGAGAGTTTTTAATATATTCCAGATACAAATGCCTTATGAGATATATGATTTACAGGTATGTTCTCCCAGTCAGTGGCTTGTCATTTAATTCCATTAACAGTATCATTCAAAGGCAGACATTTTTTATTTGCATGAAATCCAGTCTATTAATTTGCTCTCCTATGAATTGTGCTTCCGGTGTCATATCTAAAAAGAATTTTCTTACTTTTACAGTTTTTAGTTTTACATTTAGACCTGTGACCCATCTACAGTAAATTTGTCAACATGGTGTGAGGTATAGGTCACAGTTATTTTTCTGTGTACAGATACCTGTATCACTTTATGGCAGCTAGGGTTGCCATCACAAAGTACCGCAGACTGGTGGCCTAAACAACAGAAGTTTATTTTCTCACTGTTCTAGAGGCACGCAGTCTGGAGATGAGAGTGTCAGTGAGGGTGGTTTCTTCTGAGGCCTCTGTCCTTGGCTAGAAGACAGTGTCTTCTCCTGTGTTTTCACATGCTCTTCCCTCTGTGGATCTGTCTGTGTTCCAATCTTTTCCTCCTAAAGAACACCAGCCATATTGGATTAGGGCTCACCCTAATGACCTCATTTTAACTTAATTACCTTTTTAAAGACTATCTCTAAATACAGTCACATTCTGAGCTACTGGGGGTTAGGATTTCAACACATGAATTTCTGAGGGACACACTTCAACTCATAACAATGCTCAACTGTTCCAGCACATTTCATTAAAAAGACTTGTCTTTTCTTCACTAAACTGTCTTTACAACTATGTCAAAAAATCAGTTGTCCTTGTATGTGGTTTATTTGCTGGACGTCCTCTTCTATTCCATTGGTCTATTGTTGATCTTCATGACAACATCACACTGTCTTCATTACTGTACCTTTATAAGTGTTTAAGTCAGGTAGGGTTAGCCCCAACTTTTTCAAAGTGATTTGGGTTATTCTAGGTCCTTTGTATTGTCATATGAATTTAAGAATTAGTTTATAAATATCTTCTGAAAAAAGGCTTCTGGAATTTTGATTGGGATTGCAATATGGGGAGAATTAACAATATTGTGTTTTTTGACTGATGAACAAGGTGTATGTCTCCATTATTGTTAGTCTCTTTCAGTTTCTCTCAGCAGTGTTTAGTAGTTTTCAGTGTACAAGTTTTGCTACAGTGGGTGGCTAATAAGGTACGAGCAGGGCAGGAGAGGGCTACATACACACACACACACTCACAAACACACACACACACTCACACACACACACACACTCACACACACCAGGAGTGTCGAGCGACCATCAGGTGATAGCCAGGCTGTTAACTGGCTCTCTAAAGTAATAATTGGCCACAGCTGGCACCATGAACAACAGTCTCCTAATAGATAGAGAACACCTGAAACTGGTGATCAGCAGCTTCCCAATAAGATCTCAGGAGTTGGGCAAGTTGGGAGAAGTAATGCAAGACCTCAAAAGTAAGCCACCATATAAAACCCCAAGTCAAGAGGTCAAACTACACACTTGATCTCTCAAGTCACCCACTTGGCCCTCTACCAAGTGTACTTTCCTTCCTTTCTTTCCTGCGCTGAAGCTTTTTAATAAATTTTCACTTCCATTCTAAAACTTGCCTCAGTCTCTCCTTCTGTCTCATGCCCCTCAGTCAAATTCTTTCTTCTAAGGAGGCAAGAATTAAGGTTGCTGCAGACCCTTACAAATACAGATTCACCACCACTCGCATATTTGGGTACCATGTTGACTCCAATACCTTCCACCGGTAACAGTTTTTCACACCTCTTGTCAGATTTATCCCTAAATAGTTCACATTTTGATGATATGGTAATTCCAATTTCAAATTGTTCATTGCCAATATATAAAAATACAATTAATTTTTTAATATTAATCTTGCATTCTGCAATATTTCTAAACTCATTTATTAGCTCTAGTAGCCTTTTTATAGATCACATTGAACTTTCTACATAAAAGATAACGGCATCTGTGAATAAAAAGTTTTACTTCTTTTTTTCTAACATGGAGATCTTTTTTTCTTCATCTTGCCTTATTTCATTGTCTAGAACTTCTAGTATAATGCTGAATACAGGTCGTGAGAGTTAAATCCTCATCTTTTTCCTGACCTTACAGAAAAAGCACTTAATATTTTACAGTTAAATGTTATGCTAACTGCAGATTTTTCTTAGATACCTTTCCTCAGATTGAGAAAGTTACCTTCTATTCTTAGCTTGCTAGAAATGTTTATCAAGAATGGCTGTTGGATTTCCTCAAATGCTTTTCTTTTTATTGAGATGATGACGTGGCATTTCTTTTTTAGTTTATTAATACAGTAAATTACATTGATCAATTTTTGATGTTAAAAAAAAACCTTGCATTCCTGAGATAAACCCACTTGGTGATGATGTACTACCATGTTTTATATATTGTTGAATTTTATTTGCTAAAATTTTATTTAGAAGTTTTACATCATGTTTATCAGAGACTTTGTTGTATAGTTTATTTCTTGTAGCGTCTTTGTATCATTTTGGTATCAGGGTAATATTGATATCATACAGAAAGTTGGGAAGTAGTCACTCTTCTAGTTTGGTAATTTGGACAGGACTCAGCTAGGACAGCTTTCGTCTGTTCATTATGGTGTCAGCTGAGTTCGTTTATACATTTGTGGTTAGTTGGTAGGTTGAATGGGGACTGGCTGGTCCCAGATTTTCTCATTCAAATGACTGCAATTGTCTATTAGATGGCTTGGTTAGAGTGACTGTGATAGTCCAGTCTGAACTAGATTTTGGGGTAATAGAGAGGATGTAAAAGGAGGCGTCGTCCCTTCCCTCAAGCAGCTTATAAGCTATGAGGGAATGTGGCACGAATGTAAAATAAGTACGGAAGAATGAGATTCCACATTATATTCTATATTTTTTAATGGAACCCAATGAGAGAAACATAAAAAAATTAAAAATTGATGTTTCTTTGTTCTACCTATCAATTGTGAATTTTGGCCTGTATTTATGGTGGCATAGCCAAAGCTGTGCACTCTGATAAAGAGTTACATCCTCCTCTTTAAGATAAATGTCTCTTTATTAGAAAACCTTGTTGATTAGGCCTGATTTTATCTGGCACCATTCAGTCTTCCTGAGAATAGTAAGCATGTATCAGAACCTTGCAAGTGGAGGTACAATTGGATAATAAGGATGACCTCCTTGACCTGCTTAGAGAACCACATAATGCCAGAAAGAACCAGGACTGCGGCATCAGCCAGCTGTGGATTCAAATTATAGTTCTACCATTTACTGGCTTTATATCTTTGAGATGACTCATGCTTTCAGAGTCCCCATTACCTCAACCATAAAATGGTACTTTATACAGTATCTACTACCTAAGATTGTTGTAGGCATCAAATAAGGAGGTAAAATGCTCAGCAAAAAAAAGGCACTCAGAAATATTAATGATAGTAGTGATGATGGTGACAAGGATTACACTGATGAAGTTACTAGCAACTGTAGTCAAAAATGCAGACCTGGGCCCATCCAGCTCTGAACTTCAATCACAGCCCAGAAATGGGAACCATTTTGTCCAGGATTCTTTGGCCTTCTTTTCCTCTGATCTCTCAGCATAAAAAATATGTAGCACATTTCCATGACAGAATCTCATCCTGTCATGGAAGACTGAAATCTTCCTCAATGTATACCTATCCAAGAGAGTAACAATCTAGTCTGTTACTACATAATATTTTGTCATTTAAAATTATTTTATTAAATGGTTTAATAAGTGGAAAGAACTTAAAAGAGATTCCAGAACCTAGTATTATATAAATGTTAGTCATTATTATAATTAATATTATTATTAACATTTTCAGTTCATTTGATTCTCACAGAAATATTGTGAAATAGGCACACTAGATATTTAAATATTCATTTACTAGATTAGGACAATACATTTAAGACAAGTCAAGTCTTTATTAAGTTTCAGCCTTGCTCCCAAGGGCAGGGGTACTTTCTAGGCTCAAATTTATTCATCAAAGCACTTAGTACAGGGCTGGTCATGCAAAAGGTGCTCAATCAAAACTCAATTATTAATTGAATAATTTATGGAGGCCAAAAGAAAACATTGGGTTTACAGGTCCAATCATGTCTAAGGCAAAGTCTTAAACATCACCATTGATTGTATTGATGAGTATACCATTCATAAACTCATGAATATTTATGGATAATTAAACAAAAAACTAAATATAGGCCTGAGGATTCTGTATACAAACAGCTTTTAATATCTCATGTTCTTGAATAACCTCTGACCCAGAGAAACAATCTCAAAGCACTGGTGATAAGTGCTTTATTCATAGAGTTGGAAAAAAGAAGTAGATTTCCCTTCCTTAACTGGCGCAGGGATTACTGCCATGCTCTCTGAGATGATCGCTTACGTGGAAGTTCAAGTAAAGATGGAGGGAGCACTGCTCTTTCCATTTGTAGGTGTGGGAATAGGAGACAATGTCCTGGAAACTAGCAACTAGACTAACTCACAATAATATGGGTATAATTTTTAACTGAGGCCAAAATATAAAAACTCCACAGTGAATGAAAGATATTGTTTCTTAAGAATGTTCATACATGTTCATAAATCTGAGCTGTCATACGGGATTGTTAAGTAGTATTGATTCCCATCTAGTGCAAAGCCTGCCTTTCCTCAGTTGAGTCCCCACCTCAGGAATTGTAAAGATTCCTCCACCATTTGGATCAAGATAGAATGCCTCTTTCTAGCATTTAAGGATTTCCACAGCTAATCATAGGATCAGAGAAATGCATACAAAAGAGAGAAATGTAAGGGCACCTAGCATAACCTGAGTTACATAATTTCAGTATCTTGAGTGCGTAGCAGTTTGACAATATTAGGGCTGCAATAAGTGTTTATTGATTGTTGAATGTCTAATGGCCTGCCCCCTTCTCCTCTCAGAAATCAACTCAAAACAAGAAGAACAAGAACAAAAAATGCAAGCTCTAACATTGACAAACCAGAGGACTTCTATAACTCTCAACCGCAATATATGAGGAACAACTACCAATGCAGTGGTGGTTGTTCAGTGGTGGCGTGCGTACAGCTACATATTACAAGCCAAGCTGGCAGAGCAAAGTTCTCCAGAGTACATGTTATACCCTGAGGAGAAAACCAGTAATTCCTTGTTGGGATATTGGGAATGCCTGTGAGCCAGTGGGTGCATCCTTGGACCCCATAAGCAGCAGGAAGGAGCAGGGCTGAGGGGCAGAAGGAAGGATCGCACCAATGTGCTGTATTTGCAAGAAAGTTTCCCTTGATAAGACAAAGTAGAGGCAAGAGTCTACATCAATGCCATGCCACAGCAGCTGATCTCTATTTTCTTGTGAGAAGTAAAAGCAAAGTCAAGTGATACTCACAATCTAGGCCATAAGCAAACCTACTGTGAGACAAGCCTATGTCCAGTGAGCCTATAGCTCTTCCATCACATAAAATTCCTACCAACAGCGAATCCAGGGAGAACTCACCATTTTCAAAGATGAATACTATAAATATGCATCAACTCAGAAAGTATCTATATAAGTGTACCAAAAGGAAAGGGGAAAAAAAGAACAGAAACAGGAAAAACACATGGAAGATGGAAGTTCACTCACCACGTAAATGAAACCATGAGTCACATTTAAATTGTTTTAATAAGCGTATTACCAGAATTTTTTATGAAAAACTTAAGCAATTACTCAATGAAACAAAAATCCAAAACAGGGAGCTTAAAGGGCTCAGGGAAGGTGAGGCCACAAAAAGAGTTGAAAAACTATTCTCAGAAGAGAAGTAGAAAATAAATAGAAAACCATTAGAGACTGAGGGTCATATTGGGAGCATCTCAGAGAAGGCTAGAAATGGCTGAAAGTTCATTAGGAATATGAATTATGGACTTCACGGGGAAAAAGGCCAAATTAAATGAAAATCTATTTTAAAAATTAACAGGGTAGGGAGAAACTGACAAATAGTAAAGATCAAACAAATCCAACATGTGTAAAATCAGTGTTTCTTAAAAAGAATGCAGAATTACTAAAGAACTCTTACACTGGTGTGTAAATAATATTTAAAATACATACATAAGTCCAAAATTTTTTTCAGAAACAAAAGAAGCCTTTGATGTAGCAATCAAAAAGTCATACTGGGTTCCTGGAAAATTTGATGTAGAATGGTCAGTACCAAATTAAATTCAAACAAAATTTCTGGACTTCAAAGTTTAAGAATTTTCTATGCACCCAGGGAAAAAGATTAAATCGCATTAAAAAGAATCAATAGGCCAGGCACGGTGGCTTATGCCTGTAATCCCAGCACTTTGGGAGGCCAAGGCAGGCGGATCATGAGGTCAGGAGCTCCAGACCATCCTGGCTAACATGATGAAACCCTGTCTCTACTAAAAATACAAAAAAATTAGCCAGGCGTGGTAGCACATGCCTGTAGTCCCAGCTACTCGGGAGGCTGAGGCAGGAGAATTGCTTGAACCCAGGAGGCAGAGGTTACAGTGAGCCAAGATCATGCCACTGTACCCAGCCTGGGTGACACAGCAAGACTCCATCTCAAAAAAAAAAGAAAAAGAAAAGAATCAATATACCTCGGACTCTTCCACAGTAAGAATCAATCTAGAAGACAATGGAGAAATGTCTGAAAGTCACCAAAGAAAGAAAAAATGGAATCAAAAATTTTATTCCCAGCCAAATTACCATTCTAGTATAAAGGCAACAAACATCTCTGAGCACGCAAAAACACTGGGAATGTAATCTCCACGAGTGTTTCTAGAAGGTGACTTTGCAGAAAATTCTAAAGGGCAAATTTCACCCAATTAAGAAATGAACAGAGAAACTATGGCAAAACTTAGTCTTATTAGGGAAGAGGACAAAAATGAAATAAATGTGGGGATTGTAGTTACAGAATAGAATGTAAATGTTTTATAATCCCTGACAAGTAGAAATGATAGAACAAAGTTCAGGTAAGAAGTAGGAGAAAAAAATAGAACCTAGTATAAGCACCTTTACAGCTGGTAAATCAAGTAATAGAAGTAGATGTCAAGAACTTTGTCTGAGATCTTACACTGTTTGCAAGCTAAGAAGGTATTCTGCTACAGTTTCATAGAAATTTACAGAAAAACTGAGACTCCTTGGTATGATGGTTAATACTGTCAACTTGATTGGATTGAAGGAGGCAAAGTATTATTTCTGGGTGTGTCCGTGAGGGTGTTGCCAAAGGAGATTAACATTTGAGTCAGTGAACTGGGAGACGTTGACCCACCCTAAATCTGGGAGGGCACCATCTAATCAGCTTTCAGGCCGGCTAGGATAAAAGCAGGCAGAGGAACCTGGAAGGACTAGATTGGCTAAGTCTTCTGGCCTCCACTTTTCTCCCATGCTGGATGCTTCCTGCCCACAAACATAGGACTCCAAGTTCTTCAGCTTTTGGGCTATTGGTCCTACACCAGTGGTTTGCCAGGGGCCCTCGGGCCTTTGGCCACAGACTAAAGGCTACACTGTCGGCCTCCCTACTTTTGTACTTTTGAGGTTTTGGGACTTGGACTGGCCTCCTTGCTCCTTAGCTTGCAGATGGCCTGTTGTGGGACTTCACCTTGTGATCGTGAGTCCTTAATAAACTCCCCTTTATATATACATCTATCCTATTAGCTCTGTCCCTCTAGGGAACCCTAATACACTTGGTCAGATACAAAGTAGCATGAGCTTCATACTCACAGCCGTTCTTGCCCCCAAGCCCTACAGAGATAGTGCAGTGCAGCCTGGGTTGATGCTATGCATGTAGTGGGTCTGCATCACAGCTGAAGAACCTCGTGTTCAGGAAACCCCAATCTTTTAGAAGGAATCTATTAGCAAACCTGCTCAAACTTTGTCCCAAAGAGAAACATTATCTTTATTATCCTGAGCAGCAAACAAACCTCGCTCTGCCCTAAATGGTGACACTATATATATTTGAAGGCTTTTTATATATAACCATCCTTGAAAAATTATCTCAAATGAAAGCTGATACAAGGCACGCAGACACAGAAGAGACCCATGGATAATTATTATCACTCAGTCATATAATAATATTGAAATATTTAAAGGTAAGCACTAAAAAAAAATCTTATAATCCACTATAATCAGGAGGTGAAAGGAAAAGAGGCAAGCTGAGAAGTCGTAGTATACTGATGTCACCATTGTTCATAAAAAGGAGTCAATGGCACTAGCTAAAATTTGTAGAAGATAAATTAACAGCACCCAAATATACTTACAACATGAGAAATAAGTCATGCAGCATCATTTGTAAATGGAAAATGCCATTTAACCTTGTTTCAACTGAAATGTCACTTCCTCCTAGAGGCTTTCCCTGAACACCCAGCTTGGGTTTGCTGTCCTTGATATAATCTCCCATAACTACCAAGATCACATAACTAGTTAATGGTGTAGCTGGGATTCGGGCCTAAAGATCTGGTGCTGAAGTCTACACTCTGAATAGCTCAGCTCTGCTGGCCACTCACCGATGCATCTAGTTCTGTTCCATTCACACTTGATAGTACAGAGTTTGTTTTGCCTTCTGAGTTTTCATAAATACAAATCTTAATTCTCCAGTGCTCTTCTAAGGTACCCTGTTACATATCTTACGTTTCCTCGTTTCCTGATTATGGCCCCTAGGACCTCACACAAAACATGTACACATTGCAATCATTCAATGAGTGATCATGAACACAAATGGACATTTAGGGAATCCAAGTAAATGCTGAGTAACTGCAGTGCCATGGAGTACACAGCAGCAGAATGAAGGAGAAAAATCTGGACTGACTCTCTGTCCTGGTCCTAACCACTAGATCATTATCTGTCTCTAATGAATTATGTGGGAAATTTCCAAGGTTATAAGGGGAAGCCACACACAGATCTTGAAATAGCTATAAAGGGTGAATAATGCATGCCTTATATTTAATGCATGAGAACGCAAAACACAGAAAATTGCACAAAAGAGGTCAAATGCTTATTCCCTGCAAAAAGGATGCTTTCTGTCTTCCCACAAATAAATCAATCACTGGTTGTTATATATTTTTAAACAACTGAACAGCACCCCAGGGATCCATAAAGCCTAATTTTCCCTGATCTCTTTGTGGCAAGCCATTCCTCTTATTGTGCGCATAATCGCCTGCATAAGTGATGCCATGGATTTTGCACTCTCCTAGAAAGTGGGCACCACAGTTATATTTTCTATAAAACTGGTTGCCATGTTGCAATTAGAGGAAAAATAAATCTCACCATCTTGATGACAGCCTGTACAACTGAAACCAGGGGATATAGATGACTGAGAAAATACGATCTTTGACAGCATCATCTTAACACTGCCAAATTATTCAGCTTATTTCTTAAAACTCAGTACTTTGCAATACTTTGCAAAGATATTACTTTTGTCATCAAATATCAGTTTGAAAAACATTTATATTTCAGAAACTTGTATTTTTTTTTTAGTTTATCGTAGGTTCAGGGGTACATGTGCAGGTTTCTTATATAGATAAATTGTGTGTCATAGGAGTTTAGTGTATAAATTACTTTGTCACCCAGGTAATAAGCATAGTACTCAATAGCTTTTCAATCCTCTCCTTCCTCTCATCTCTCCCTGCAAGTAGGTCCCAGTGTCTGTTATTTCCTCCTTTGTGTCCATAGATACTCAATGTTTAGCTCCCATTTGTAAGTAAGAACATGTGTATTTGATTTTCTGTTTCTGCATTAGTCTGCTTAGGATAATGGACTCCAGCTCCATCCATGATCCTGAAAACAACATAATCTCATTATTTTTGTGGCTGTATGGTATTCTATTGTGTATATGTACCAAGTTTTCTTTATCCAGTCTACTATTGATGGGCATTTAGGTTGATTCCTTGTCTTTGCTATTGTGAATAGTGCTGCAATGAACATATGTGTACATGTCTTTATGATAGAATGATTTATATTCCTTGGAGTATACACCCAATAATGGGATTGCTGGGTCAAATGGTGATTCTGTTTTAACTTCTTTGAGAAATTGCCACACTGCTTTCCACAATAGCTGAACTTGAAACTGGACCCCTTCCTGGAACATCACATACTGGGGCCTGTTGTGGGGTGGGGGAAGGGGGGAGGGATAGCATTAGGAGATATACCTAATGTAAATGACGAGTTAATGGGTGCAGCACACCAACATGGCACATGTATACATATGTAACAAACCTGCACGTTGTGCACATGTATACATATGTAACAAACCTGCACATTGTGCACATGTACCCTAGAACTTAAAGTATTATTTATTTACATATATATATATATATAAAAGAAAGAAAGTGGACCCCTTCCTTACACCATACACAAAAGTAGATTCAAGAAACATTTATGTATTTTTTTAAATGCAACTAATCCATGGGATATTATAACCAGTAAGTTTGGTGTGATTGCTGCAGACTCAGACTAGGGTGTCAGAGAGAAGGAGGTAGCAATAAGGAGGCACTCTCAGTGAGCTGGAGGCCAAGGAGTCAGCAGCAGCATTGGAAATGTTTTAGGAAGATGTTGTGACTTTTATTTGGAGCAGGGACATTTCTTATCCAGTAATAGTCTTTCACTTTAAAGCTTTTTCTAAAACTTAAAAGATCTTGTTATTGAAAAGACTTAAATCTTTGAACTGAAGCACACTGGTAAGGGTAAATGCTTTTTTTGACAATGGTGATGATGACGATTGAGTTGACTGAGTGCTCACCAGGCAGCAGGTGCTGTCCTTGGTGCCTTACACATGTTAGCTAGCTTAATTTCCTAAAGTACCACATACCACGGGTAATATCCTTATCCCTCATTTTACAGATGTGAACGCTGAGGCACAGAGTAACTTGACTAAGGTCATACAGCTAGTATGAGTCATAGCTGCTACAACCACTACATTTTACTGCTTCCTAGCAACATCTACCAATTACATACCTGCCAATGGGCCCTGCGGCAAGCATTTTCTCATTTGATCCTCACCAAAAACTGAGATAGATCTCTGTATTCTCATTTTGCATATGAGGCAAATGAGGATTATAGACATCAACAACTTGTCCATAAACCATGCTGCTCCCATTACCTGATTTTTTAACTCTCTACTGAAATATGTCTCAGTGCATTAAAGAGTGTTTAATTTTGACTATTTTCTGAAGGTTAAATTTTTCTTGATTCCACCAGGGGTGCATCCTTCTCAATTCATCTCAGCATACACAGAGCCTTTGCAAGTAGAAAGATTCACTGGGCTCTGGTAGAAGCTTTCTGCCTTTAGGACCCCAACCATATAGGACCTGCCGACTGACAGCCATGCTTCTCTGAAGAAGAGACCTATGTGCAATCATGAGAAACACCCCTGGGGATTCCAGAGGATGGGTGAGACTGTGACATCGGGGGTGGTGTCACTGGGCCCCCTTCTTTTGCATGCTGCCTTTAATTGCCCAAATCACAGCTTTCCAGCAGAAAGAGAAAGGACTGAGTGTGCCTGAGCCTCAAAGTGGTGATGCTGCGCTATATCCCATATATCTCTCTCTTCCAATACAACTCTCACCCTCAGCAATGTCTCCTTGGCAACTGAGAAATGTGTCCATGAAGATATGTTTCTCTGCCTTTCTACCTGTCTTCAGGTTAAATTCATTAACCCCTTTCTTTGTCAGAACATGATGGTTTCCACCATTTGAACCCACTTAGTGATGCACTGTGAAATCCCAGAAATCCAGCTGCACTCTTTCAAATCCCTGCTATGCAGCCTGTCAGCTATGTATAAACTTGGGCAAGTTTACCTCAATGAGACCCAGCCTCCTTCCTCACCTGTACAATGAGGGTAGAAATATAAGAATGTTGACAGGATTTGATGGGATAATATATGAAAAGGAAAACTTAGGACAGTAATTGGCCTCTAGGAAAAGCTCAGTAAATAATAGCAAAGACTTGGAACCAACCCAAAGGCCCAACAACGATAGACTGGATTAAGAAAATGTGGCACATATACACCATGGAATACTATGCAGCCATAAAAAATGATGAGTTCATGTCCTTTGTAGGGACATGGATGAAATTGGAAATCATCATTCTCAGTAAACTATCGGAAGAACAAAAAACCAAACACCGCATATTCTCACTCATAGGTGGGAAATGAACAATGAGGACACATGGACACAGGAAGGGGAACATCACACTCTGGGGTCTGTTGTGGGGTAGGGGGGTGGGAGGGATAGCATTGGGAGATATACCTAATGTTAGATGACGAGTTAGTGGGTGCAGCGCACCAGCATGTTGCATGTATACATATGTAACTAACCTGCACATTGTGCACATGTACCCTAAAACTTAAAGTATAATAATAAAAAAAGAAAAAAAAGAAAAAAAAAAAAAGAAAAAGCTCAGTAAGTGTTAACCTTCACCATTGAAGTGCACCGGGCAACTTTCCATCCTTTTAGCAGTATAAGGCATGAATTAAATGAACATGGCAGATGTGCCCCAGTCTTTTACTCTCAAAGGTTTCCAAACCCTTCCCTTTTAGTGATAGTGATAGCGTCTCCCAATGTGTCAGGCTCCAATCATGTTTTCCAGTTGGCTCTCCAAGGGTTATCTCAGAAGCCCGGCAGGGATAATTAGGGGACATCCAGGTCAGAGAACCTTGCGGAGAAATGCATAGTGTAAAAAACCAGTCAACCCCACACCATGCAAGCCAAGTTCCTTTGGCGACTACAGAGCATTGTCTTTAATCACTAAAGTACCATCTTCTAAATTGCCTCCCTGTTTGAGAAAATGAGCTAGGAGGGATTGAAGAAGACCACTTCTTTCCTATCTTAGGATTTTTAGATATGGAACTAATAAAATCCTTGCCTCTGCACACCACCAGTCAGAGGAAAAGACTACCCAGATTTCTTCTGGGGAATTTGAGATAAGAATCCCGAGTGTTCATTAATTCATCTGTTCATTATGAATGTTCAACTGTTCTATGAAAGTTGCCTCATGTGAGGCTCAAAACAGGATGAAATCCAGGCAAATTTCCCTAATGTGCACAAATGGGAGCAAAGCCCTATCTGTAACAAATGGCAAAGCTCAAGATTTTCATGCTGTTTTTTTAATGGTGCTATATTCCAAGTAACCCCAAAGTGATGCAAAATTAATACTTTCCATATTTCCCCAATGCACACCAACTAGCCTAATCTAACTCACTAACCTATGTGGTACACACAAGCAATGTTTGTATACAGGTTTTCACACCTGCCCCTGTCAGCCTTGGAATGCTTCTCTTCACCCCTACACCACTATCCATCCTCTAAACCCAGAGCATGATCCAGTGTCTATACCTTCCATGAGCTTTTTTCCTCAAAGCTTCTGCTCTCACTGATGCCCATCCTCAGAAACTCAAAGGAACTTATTATCTCTACCAAGCAGTATTTCTTACATATGGAATTTTTACTCATTTTCTATAAGTGCTAGAAAAATGCTTTTTTCCTATTAATTATTCAAAGACAAAAACTATGTCATATATTTATTGCCTTTTTACAGTATGATAGGCTCAGTAAATATGTGTTTGTTGGTTCATAATGGCTTCTGTGTGAATCAATTCTACAAAAATTGTAACAACCGATCGACTTGAAATTCTTCACAATAAAATATTCCCTCCCCATCCCTGATCTTAAGAATACAGCATTTTAAAGCCAGAAGAGGCCTTAGAGATTGCTTATTCAATTTCTTCATTCTTTAGATGAAATGACTGAAGCTAGGGGGTTGAGGCGACTTGATTAAGGTCACAAGCTAAATAGGAGCCAATCTGGGGCCAAGGGCCCAAATCTGCAGACTTGCAGTAGTGTGCTCTTCCTGATTCACAGCACAATGCCTCCAGATTATGCTGTACTTGTACTATGGCCACAGCAGTTCAGTAGAGGGATGAACAGACTGGGAGTTAGCTGGCATGGGGCCAAGTCCCTGTTCTGTCATTAATTCACTGTGTGGTCTTCGGTAAAGCACTTAACCCTTTGGCTTCAGAGTCCACAGCTCAAAAGGAGGGATGATAAATCATACATAATTTAATTCAGAGTTGGGTAAACTACTACAGCCCAGAAGCCCAATCCAGTGTGCACCTGTTTTTGAAAATAAAGTTTTAAGGGCAAACTCATTCGTTTACTTATTGTCTTTGGCTGCTTTTATGCTACAAAAGCAGAGCTGAGTAAATTAACATAAAGATTATATGACTGGCAAGACTGAAATATTTACTATTTGGCCCTTTACGGAAAAAAAGTTAACTCCTGATCTAATCTATAGATAGTGCGGTTGTATGAATCTGAAATAATTAAATACTTTACACATACCCTCTTTTAAACTGGAAAGTGCTATACTCACAATGTAAAAATTGAGAATAATAGTAGCATTAGTAATATTAAATCATGAAAGATCATTGCAATGAGGACAATTAAAATTTTCTTTGTTTAATAGGTAGCATCTAAATGTTAGCCTTGCTTGGTTTGAGATTGCTTCCCAATTGGTCATTGTAATATGTTTTTGCAGAACTGAGTGATACCTTTAATAAATTAGGGGAAATACTCCAGAAATAATCTGATTATTTATGTATAAAATGCAAAATGACTGCTTTCAGAAGAATAGCAGGTCATCTCCGGTGGGCTTTGCCCTTTCTTTCCTTACTAACCTGACTTACCAAGGGGTCACAATCCTATGTTGTAAGTACCTGTAACCATCATGTGATAGAATAAACATTCATGTGGAAATACTGACTGACACAAACCAAACTTTGATGTTGCTCTAAATGTATTAAACTTTTCCACTGCCATTTTTGAGGGGGAGGTTGGTGGCTCTGAGTGGTTTTGCCCTGGCATGTGCTCTGAGAATGGCCAGTGGCCAAAGAAAACAAACTGTTCTCGGGACACTGAGAAAATTAATTATTGGCCATGACCAATTCACTACCCTTCTCACTCTTGGACCAGAAATTAAAGCCCAGGAGTCAGAAGACAAATTCTGCTCAGCATCCCCAAATGGATGACTGGGGTAAGTTATTTAGCCATCCTGAGCTTCAGTTTCCTCACTGAAAACAGGGAACTAATACCTGCCTTCCCTTCTTCATGAGTATTAAGAGAAAAAAGTGAAAGGTAAAATATTACAAGTGCTAATAAACACAAAGAGTTTTAAAAAAAAATAGCCTGAAGCAGCTGGGCACAGTGGCTCACGCCTGTAATCCCAGCACTTTGGGAGGCCGAGGCGGGCGGATCACGAAGTCAGGAGTTTGAGACCAACCTGGCCAATATGGTGAAACTCCGTCTCTACTAAAAATACAAAAATTAGCCAGGCATGGTGCTGCGCGCCTGTAGTCCCAGCTACTCAGGAAGCTGAAGCAGAAGAATCACTTGAACCCGGGAGGCGGAGGTTGCAGTGAGCCGAGATCATGTCACTGCATTCCAGCCTGAGTGACAGAGGGAGACTCTGTCTCACACACACACAAAAAAAAAAAAAAGCCTGAGGCTCTATGGAATTATAAAATGTATTATGTATAAAATGAGTTACCATGTATGTAGTGCTTATTAGATTCCAGATAGCATTCTAAGCACCCACATTTAAAAAAAATGCAAAACAAGGCACTTTTGTAAGTTCCCTACATGCATTACTCAATGAATCCATCTGACATCCTATGAGACAGGTACTGTTAGCATCATCACTATTTTTCAAATGAGAAAACTGAGACATAGAGATATTAAATAACTTGCCCAAAGCCACAGTCTAGTGAGTAGAGTTGTTGGGATTTGAACCCTGGCCATCTACTCTAGAGCTCACTCTACTAACCCCTGCACTTTACTACTGCCCCTGTGAGAAAGGGGATATGACAGGTCCAGGCATGATCACAGTCTGTTCAGTGCTACCCAAATAGTTCATAAAACATGCTTCAAAGAAGGGAGATGGTTGATCAAAGAAGTCTTCATTGAGGAGAACGGTTGTAATAGAACCTCTCTTTCCTTATGTTATGTAGCATGCAGGACTTCACAGGCAGGGCTAGGTGGAAGCCACCTGCAGCTCATCGGACTAGCACTTGCAAAGTTATCTTGGTGCAACTAATAATAGTGAAGAGTCGCTTACCATTTCCAGCGTATAGGGCTCACTGGCCTCCCATTCTCTGATCTGATTTGCATGGCCACCTTTTCAAGGTAAGTTACACTTATAAGTATTTCACAGTTTATCTCCTAAAATTCATCTCTTAAATTGAAGGGCATTTTTCTATATATCTAAAGCATCATGTTTAAACTTAAGAGAAATTATAATAATTCCCTGATATCATCTCATACTGAGTTAATATTCAAATTTTTGCATTGTCCAAAAAAATCTTCTTATTTGTTTTTTCAAACTAGGATTCAATCAAGGTTCACCCATTGTATTTGGTTTTTATGTTTTTGTTTTGTTTTGTTTTTTTGAGACGGAGTCTTTCTCTTTCGCCCTGGCTGGAGTTCAGTGGTGCGATCTCAGCTCACTGCAAGCTCCGCCTCCCAGGTTCACGCCATTCTCCTGCCTCACCTCCCGAGTAGCTGGGACTACAGGCACCCGCCACCACACCCGGCTAATTTTTTGGTTTTTTGTTTTTTTTTTTTTTAGTAGAGACGGGGTTTCACCGTGTTAGCCAGGATGGTCTCGATCTCCTGACCTCGTGATCCACCTGCCTCGGCCTCCCAAAGTGCTGGGATTACAGGCGTGAGCCACCGCACCTGGCCCTGGTTTTTATGTTACCATGATTTTTATTTATCTTTTCCTTTCCCATTTTCTTTTGGATAGGTAGAATTTTTTATTTCCCCCTTTTGTTTCTATCAGTTGCAAAGTTATATCAGGTGTTATATTCTGTTCTTTCAGAGGTTATGAGTTAATATTAACATGCATGCTTGCCTTTGAAAAGTTAAAAGTTAATTACTCACCTCCTAACAAAATAAAGACTTTAAAATGCCTTGACTAAAATTATATCCTGATAGTTTCCATTTTTTAAGTGTCTAATATTCCAAATTTAGCTTTTTAAAAATCCTCTATAGATGGAAATGGCTGTAGTGAATATTATGGTTATAGTCACTACTTACTTAGATTTATCTATGTAGTTACCATTCACAATAATTTTCTCCTTTCCATTGTGTGTGTGTGTGTGTGTGTGTGTGTGAGAGAGAGACAGAGTCCTTTCCACTCTTTTCTTTTTGTGTTGCTATTTTCATACTGAAGCATACTCTTAATAGTTTTTTCAAGATTAGCTAAAAACAAACAAAAACACCAGCATCAAGGGAATTTTAGAACATTATGCTAAGTGAAATAAGCCAAACACAGAATGTTCTCATACTGAATGTTCTCACTTACATGTGGAATGTAAAACAATTGGACTCATGGAAACATAGCAAAACCCCATCTCTACTAAAAATACAAAAAATTAGCCAGGCATGTTGGCAGGCACCTGTAATCCCAGCTACTCGGGAGGCTGAGGTGGGAGAACTGCTTGAACCCGGGAGGCAGAGGTTGCAGTGAGCTGAGACGGCGCCATTGCACTCCAGCCTGATGACAGGGCAACATTCTGTCTCCAAAAAAAAAAAAAAGGTGGTTACCAGGACTGAGGGGTGAGGGGAATGGGAAGATGACAGTTTAAGGGTACAAGGCCCTATCAGTGAGATAGGAAGAATACATTTGATTTCTTTCTCTTTTTATGGGATCAATTACACAACATGGTAAATATAGCTAATAATTGAGTGCTGTACATTTAAATTTCATTAAAAAGAATAAATTGTAAATGTTCTTATCACAATACTGTTACATATTTCAGGTGATAGATATGTTAATTCACTTGATTTAACCATTCCACATTGAATTCAAAAATCATAACACCACTTTGTACCCCAGATATATACACATCTATGAGCTGTCAATTGTAAAAACAACTCAGAGAGATAAATGTAAAATTACAAGAACTGTATGTTACAAAAGAGAAATGCATGGTACTATGAGGCTGAAAAAAAAGGGAGACACAATCTGGACAGGTTTTCAGAGAAGCCTTCCCTGAAGAATAATGACTAAGCTCAGATCTGCAGGATAAGCAGAAAATAACTACTGCAAGGGGAATGGGAGCAGAGACAAAAAGCATTCAAAGCAGAGGAAAAGCACACACAAATGCCCTGAGTTCCAAACACTAAACGATCAGTGACACTGGAGCCCAGAGGCGCTTGTGTGAGATGAGCAGATAGAGGCAGGCAGGGGTGAGACCATGCAGAATGGGCCACAGTAATGACATGGGATTTTGTTGTTGTTGTTGTTGTTGTTATTTATTTTTTTATTATACTTTAAGTTCTAGGGTACATGTGCACAACGTGCAGGTTTGTTACATATGTATACATGTGCCATGTTGGTTTGCTGCACCCATTAACACATCATTTACATTAGGTACTTCTCCTAATGCTATCCCTCCCCCATCCCCCCACCGCATGACAGGCCCTGGTGTGTGATGTTCCCCACCCTGTGTCCAACTGTTCACATTGTTCAATTCCCCCTTATAAGTGAGAACGTGTGGTGTTTGTTTTTCTATCCTTGCGACAGTTTGCTCAGAATGATGGTTTTCAGCTTCATCCATGTCCCTACAAAGGACATGAACTCATCCTTTTTTATGGCTGCATAGTATTCCATGGTGTATATGCGCCACGTTTTCTTAATCCAGTCTATCATTGATGGACATTTGGGTTGCTTCCAAGTCTTTGCTATTGTGAATAGTGCCACAATAAACATACGTGTGCATGTGTCTTTATAGTAGCATGATTTATAATCCTTTGGGTATATACCCAGTAACAGGATCGCTGTATTTCTAGTTCTAGATCCTTGAGGAATCACCCACCACACTATCTTCCACAATGGTTGAACTAGTTTACAGTCCCACCAACAGTGTAAAAGTGTTCCTATTTCTCCACATCCTCTCCAGCACCTGTTGTTTCCTGACTTTTTAATGATCCCCATTCTAACTGGCATGAGATGGTATTGCATTGGATTTTATCCTAAGAAATATAGACAGTCATTGGAGGGCTTTCTTCTGAACCACAGTGTAGAGAATGGGTTTGTGGTGCAAAAGCGGATGAGAGAAGTACTTAGGAGGCTGTAGTACCAATCCAAGCAGGAGCCAAGGGTGACTTTGTCTAGAGAGACGTGGAGGTGGGGATAAGTAAATCCATCAATGACACCTGCAGGTGGGGTGATATGGGAAGAGGGAGGAGGTGGGACAGGCATTGGCTTTGTATTTACCCAAACCTAACTCAATACTGTACAAGAACAGTTAGTGGGGACCCAACTGGATTGACCTTTCCCTCAGATTCATTGCCTGTCCCTATTAAAAATGAACTTAGAAGCCCATAAAACTAATTTGAATTAGGGCCCTTTATTCCTCTCCAATAAAACTTAAAACTTCATTAGATCCAGTAAAATTCCTAACAACATCTTCTTAATTCCCTCTTTAAAAAGCCACTTTGCATGGTCTAAATATAATAATTATTTGGTAGTGGCAAATGTATTCCTAAAATAATTATTTTATTACATATTATCAGCTTAAAATGCTTAGAGCCTGAGATCTGTCAGGGAAATAAATTATTTTATTTACAAGAGTTAGGTTGAGAAACCTGATCTTCCCAGCAGAGATAAGTCAGAACCTACTGCTCTGATGTGAGGCAGGATTTATTAGACCCTGTGCCTGGAGTTCCCATTTCCTCTGGTGAATTTCTCCACCTGTACTTGTATGTGCATATTTGTGTGTGTGTGCATATGTGTCTGTATGTGTGAATACATGAAAGAGAAGTGTCTATGAGACAAGAATCCTCTCCTATCCCCATCACTAAAGTATTCCTCTGAAATCTGTATGTCAGAAAAGAATTTGAAACCCCTAACGATTAAAGGCAAACATCCCTCAGAGAGATGAAATAGGAAACTCTGGTAAGCTATAAATGACTCATTGAACCATATGTATCAGATCTTTCAACTTCTCCAACAGCTGAAGGTAAAGCATTGGAGCCATGGGAGCTTTGATGGAGGGCATGGATATCATAAATTGGAGACCTGACACTTCCAGGAACCATGACGTAAATATTTAGAGCACTGGGCACTCATTAGTGCTCAGTTGGTTGAAGGAATGATAACCAAAGGCCAAAATTCCAATCTCACAACTTTGCCGAAGCCAGCCCTGACTCCTAAACAAGTTATTATTAAAGTTGGTCTTGGTTTCCATTCATGAGGACGGGCTTCTCCAAGACTTGCCCTGGCCCAGCCCACAGCCCCAGAAGTTGGTTATCTTTATATTATGAAAATAAGTGGGCTCTTATAATGTGGGACATGCACTTGGCCTTGTGAGTTTAATTTCTAACAACAGGAAAGGACTTGTACAGACCCATTCACCTCTTGGGCATGGGTCACTTGGGTTCTGAAGTCTGTATGAAGAGGCCAGGACAGGAGGTAAAGTGTAGGATGCATTTGGCCATAGAACTGAGAAGTCTGATCTAAATCATGCATTCTTTTTTTTCCCCCCCAAGATGGAGTTTCACTCTGTCGCCTTGGCTGGAGTGCAGTGGCACAATCTCAGCATACCGCAACCTCCATCTCCTGGGTTCAAGCAATTCTCCCACCTCAGCCTCCCAAGTAGCTGGTATTGCAGGTGAGCACCACCACGTCTGGCTAATTTTTTATTTTTTTAGTAGAGATCGGGTTTCACCATGTTGGCCAGGCTGGTCTTGAACTCCTGACCTCAAGCAATCCACCCATCTCAGCTTCCTTCCAAAATGCTGTGATTACAGGTGTGGGCCACCACGCCCAGCCTAAATCATGCATCCTTTTATTCAACCACTTTTTTGTCGGTTTATTCATTTATTCAACTTTACAACAGCTTTTTCCTGACCACCCACCTGGGCCAGGGCCTCTGCTGGAGACTGGGACATGGGGCAAGCAAGAGATCCCTGGTCCTGCTTTCATGAGAACAATACCTAGTGGTGACAATAATACTTATATTATGAATCTGAAACAAACTCATAGAAGTGGAGAGTGGAATGGTGGTTGTCAAGGGCTGGGAAGATGAGGAAACAAGGAGGCATTAGTCAAAGGATACAAAATTTTGCTTACACAAGATAAGTAAGTCTTAGAGATCTCCTATACTGCATGGTGTCTATAGTTAACAATACCATATTGTGTGTTAAAACTGTGCCAAGAAGGTAGATCTTATGTTGTGTTTTTATCACAAAAGAATAATAATAATAATAAGCAAAGACAGCAGGAAGGAATTTTGGGAGGTGATGCATAAGTTTACAGCATAAACTGTAGTGATGGTTTCATGAGTGTATACTTATCTCCAAACGTATCAAGTTGTTTTCATTAAATATCTACAGCTTTTGTATGTCAAGCATGCCTCAATAAAGTGGTTTAAGAAAATAAAATAGTAGTGGACTGTGACTGAACTTCACTGGTAACACATCATCCTAGAAGGCACTGGGGAGAGCCACCTGACCCTGTATCTGCTTCACTCTGTGACCTCCGGAAGCTCTCTTGTCCTTTAAGCCTCAAATTTCTCATCTGAACTTGAGACCAGACACCCTCCAAGGTCTATAATTCTATTTCTCAGGGACTCCAACCAAATATGACCTAGTGACTGACAGCCATGTTTCTCTGGAACACAGAGTATCTGGATTCTTGAGAAGCGCACCTGTGGGATGTCAGAGGTGGGCAAGACTGTGTCATTGGGCATGGTTTCACTGGGGACCCTGGCTTTCTTCCATTCTTCCTTCACTTTCTAAATCTCTGCTGTGCACTGGCTAGAGAAAGTAAGGCACCTGTCACTGCCATGCTAAGTGTGTTGGTGTTTCTTTGGTTGTATGTTTGTTTTAGCCTCAAAGTGGTAAGACAGGGGAGGGACTTTGAGACTTCTTATCTAAAATCTTGAGTTTTCAGGGAGTGAAGTGAAGTTTTTCAGGCAGTGAAGTGACTTGATTAAGATCTCACAGCATGCTGGGCATGGTGGCTCATGCCTGTACTCCTAGCACTTTGGGAGGCTGAGGTGGGAGCATCGCATGAGCCCAGGAGTTCAAGACCAACCTGGGCAACATAGTGAGACCCCCATCTCTTAATAAATTTTTTTAAATTTATCCAGGCATGGCCATGCATGCCTGCAGTCCCAGCTACCCAGGAGGCAGAGGAGGGAGGATTGCTTGAGCCTAGGAGTTTGGGGCTGTAGAGAGCTATGATGATGCCACTGCACTCCAGCCTGGGCAACAAAGCAAGACCCTACCTCTAAAAAAAAAAAAGAGAGAGAGAGAAGAAAGAAAAGAAAAAGATCCCACAGCAGGAAGGAGTCAGCCTTGGCCAAGATGTGCATGTCCAGACTTTCAGTGGCATGCTCCTCCTGACACCAGCACAGCATCATGTTGTTCCACTGTTCTTTTCATTTAGTCTCCATGGTTCAGTGGAGAAAAGAGTAGTCCTTACTCTTCCACAGACCCACTGTACAGCCAACTTACTTAAACCTACTGGCCTCGATGCCCCATGGCTGCAAGGACAGGGGATATCCAACACATAAAGCTGTTATGCAAACCAAATGCAGGCCACTGGTCAGGCAAAGGTGCTTCTAAACTGGGCAGTGCTACACCCACAAAAACCACTGAGACCGTTATTGGGAATAGTAACAGTAGTAACACCCATAGTCAATGATGAAAAAGAAACTTCACTTCAGCCCATCAGGACTTTTATCCCTTAAGTATGTGACCTTCAAATTGAAAGAGTTCTGAAATGTTCTAGGAATAACTGATATTAAAATCTGTGTACAAAACAAAAATGTGTGTTATCAAGAGATCAGCAGCCCACCCATGGAGGGCACCTGCCACCATCTCCATCACTAATATGACCACACTGTGGGCTCCCTCATGGCTGTAGGTGGAGTGCCTGGATAGAGTAGCACTCACCCAGGACACTGACTCTAGTGCAAACTCACTTTCCACATTTAGATTTGTTGCAAACTGACTTTCCACATTTAGATTTGTTGCTCTAATGCATTGGATTTATTATTTTTATTTTTTTATTAGCATAGGATTATGCTAATTTTTTTATTAGCATAGGATTTTTATTAGCATAGGATTAATATTACCATTTTGGGGGAGAGGGAGGTTTGTGCCTTTGAGTAGGATTTCTCTGGCATGCTATTGTGCATTTTGTGCTGATACAACAGAATACCACAGACTGAGTAATTTATAACGATCATAAGCGTACTGGATCACGGTTCTGGAGGCTGGGAAGTCCAGTATCAAGGTGTCAGCCTCTGTTGAGGGCCTTCTTGCTACGTCATGACTTGGCAGAAGACATCACATAGCAAAAGGGCAACAAGAAAGCAAGAGAGAGCCAAAGGGGGTGAACCCACTCCCAACATAACACTATTAGTCCATTCATGACCTAAACACATCTGAAAGGTCCCACATCACAATGACAATTAAATTTCAACATGAATTTTGGAGGGGACAAACATTCAAACCAGAGCAGCTATGGACATGGTTATCAGTTAAAGAAAACAAACCATTCTCAGGAAAATTGTAAAAGTAATCATTGGACCTACCCAGTCCCCACCCTGCCAGCCTTCAGGAAAAGACTTAGGGTAAAGATTCTAAGAGTTAGAAGAACTTTGCCTTTGCCTCAAAGTTAGAAGACCAGTTTCTGCTTTCTGTTTAGCATCCTCCAAATATCTATCTGGGTTCAGTTTTCCCCTTCTATACATGGAGCCAATACCTTTTTTCCCCTCCTCATAAAGGGTTTTGAGATGAAAATGAAAAGTAAAATAAAAGTTATAATGAACACAGAATGTTTAAAAACAATGAAGTATCACATAATTGTGTAATAAAGAGAAAAACTATCCAGTATTTAAGTTCTTATTTTATGTCAGACACCATTAAGCACTTTGTATAATGTAAACACTATTGACTAGTAGAAACAATAAAGTAAATTTAATAGAACTTTATCCATACGAATATTCACAATTTTCAACCAAAATATCAGCACTTTTCACCTCGTTTCACACACCTGTCTCTCTCAATTCCAAGACAGGATGGAGAAGTGTTGTTGCTGACCCTCTTGTGATCTGTAAGAAAATCAGTGCAAACTGCTTTCCCCTTAAAGGGCCTCAAGTGAATGGCTCTTGATCTTTGTGGTCCTCAGCTCAATGGATGGAAAAATAGTCTTTCCCAGAGAAGAGAGGAGTAAAACTTTACCTTCTCCTTCTGATCTAATACTCTAGGCCAGCATTAAGATATTGACTGCAACTTTAAACCCCGTGGATGCGAAGATAACTTAAAATGCACACTTCATTCCTCTTGTTGGTATTTCAAAGGACTTTGAGGTTGATCACGGGACAGGAAAGCAGTAATATGGTAGTTATTAAAGAACTAGAGGTTTGAATGGGCTTTGTTCAACTGCTGCTAGACTCACGTGTCCACAAAAAAGTTTAAAAATGTGGCTCCCAAGGGCAGGAATTAAATGGACCTTGGCTTTCTTGTTGCTGTTGTCTTTGTCTTCCTTCTACAGAAAGTGATATCTGAAATGTAATAACTGGAAGTTTCTCCAAAACAAACACTTACCAAAAACTCTCAAGGACATGAAACTTGGGTGGGACTTGGAGAATGTACAGCCCTTTTGGTCATTGATGGAAATAAGAAACACAATTTTGCAGCTGATTAGAGCTGACTGGTTGTTGTCACAATCATTCATTTTGTTAACTGAGTACTTTTTGTGTACCTGGTACTATATCATGTACCCAGTGATATTTTAAGGGGAATAATACACTTTCTGCTCTTGATAATACCAAGGTGTCACTTCTCGAGTGCTACTGTGTGCTGGGCATTGTTTTTAGTACCCTACATGGAACAGTCAATGAATCCTCATAGCAATCCGAGAAAGAGGTGTTATTATTACCATTACTATTTTACACATGAAGAAACACAGACACAGAGATTAAGCAACTTCCTCAAGGTCACTGGCTAGTGAGTGGAGCTGCTGGGTTTTGAACCTGACAGTCTGTTCCGGATCCCACGCTACATAGTGGTAACCCCTGCACTTTACCACTGCTCCTGTGGGAGAGGGGATATGACAGGTCCAGGCAAGATTACACTCTTGGGTCAGTGCTGCCAAAATGGTGCATAAAACATGCTTCAGAGAAGGGAAATGGTTGGCCAAAGAAGACTTCATTGAGGAGGAGGGTTGTATTAGAAACTCTCTTTCCTGGCCAGGCGCGGTGGCTCACGCCTGTAATCCCAGCACTTTGGGAGGCTGAGGCAGGCGGATCACGAGGTCAGGAAATCGAAACCATCCTGTCTAACACGGTGAAACCCTATCTCTACTAAAAATACAAAAAATTAGCTGGGTGTGGTGGTGGGTGCCTGTAGTCCCAGCTACTCGGGAGGCTGAGGCAGGAGAATGGCGTGAACCCGGGAGGCAGAACTTGCAGTGAGCTGAGATCATGCCACTGCACACTGCACTCCAGCCTGGGCGACAGAGCGAGACTCCATCTCAAAAAAAAAAAAAAAAGAAACTCTCTTTCCTTATGTTATGTAGCATGCAGGACTTCACAGGCAGGGCTGGGTGGAGGTCACCTGCAGCTCATGGGAATGTCACATGTAAAGCCATCTTGATGCAAAGAATAGTAACAAAACGCCATTTAGCACAGTTCCTCTCAAACTTTGTTATAAATACAAGTCACCAATTTCTTGTTAAAAGGCAGTCCAAGCCCACAGAGGATGTTCTTGAGAATGCAGCCAAATCAGACTGTTCCCCACAAATTCATTATCTGTTCCTGTTTCAGATGGACATGCAGACCCATAAAGCCAGTTTTTATTAGGGTCTTTTTATTCTTCTTCAACAAAACTTAAAACCTTTCATTTGGTTTGACAAAACCTGTTTTACATTTTCTAAGTAAAATACTGACTAGTGAGAACATTTCCCTAATTCCACAGTTACTTTCTTAAAATTACCAACTTAAAAATGCCTAAAGTCTCACTTGCCTAGGAAATAAATTTTGTATTTAATGTGTTTTATCATTTTCTCCCAAATAATTATTTAGGAGTTGGAGAGAAAATGAATGGGACTGAAAAGCTCTAGTGTGTAACTTTAGGCCTGATTTCCCTGATAAAAATCAAGGAGAATTTGTCACTGTGAATGAAGCAGATTGATGAATTTCTGTGGCTGAGGCCCTGGTTTCCTATGCAATGTGTGTGTGTGTGTGTGTGTGTGTGTGTTCACCTATATGCATTATGTCTGTGCACATGCATGTGTGTATACTCACGGATTATCACAAAAGAGGAAGTGTCTTTGAACAACAGGCTCAGAAGTTAAAATAAGTGTCTATGTTGAGAGCACTCTCCCACCTCCACTAAAAGATTCCTCTCTTTATCTCTTGTATAAGCACCTGAAATGCATGTCTACAAGCTAACTCCCTAGACAGGTTAGGAGAAAGGACTAAAGATAGGATACTTTAGTCAGTTATTAATGACTCTGTGAGAATTTAAGTATCAAATTCTCTGCATTCCCAAATGAGAACAGTTTCCCAGGGTAATGGGAGCTTTGCTGGAGGCCATATTGGAATCATAAATTGGAACCTGGCCTCTCCAAGACACCTGACGAACAAATACAAAGCCCTGAGCATATTTTGTGTTGTCACAGCATCCTGCTCTCCCTTTATCACAGTTTTATTTTATATTTTAGTTATCTTCTCACTTGAGTCATACAGTTGTTACTGGAGCCATCTTGACCCCTGAGATCAGGAAAAATTAAAGGTATTAATCCCTTGGGCTAAGGAAGTCCAATCCTTCTACAGGACGTCTCCTAGTACCTGAAGTGAGAGGAAGGGAGTGTTTTCAGAGGTAGTCAGATATAACTTCCTTCTTATATGAAAGTTCAGCTAAGATGTCTCCTGAATATGAGAAATGCTCCTTGCTATGTAGTTCCAAAGGACTATAATTAGCAATGTAATACCAAATAATATTGTCATAAATGAGATAAATGCTGAATGGAGAAAGCTGACCACTAGCTAAATGTGGAGTAAGAAGTCAGCTACTGCCTGTTAAGAGCTTGTTATATACCAGATGTTGTGTAAATGATTTGTACACATTATCCCAAATGCTAACATGAACCTTATTCTCTTTGTTTTACAAATTAGGAACATGGCTTAGAGAGCTGAGGTGACTGGGCCAAGGCCACACTGCTCATACACAGGAAAACTGGGAATAAGACTCCGGCTGACCTGACTTCAGGATTTCAAGCTCTTTCTCCTGCACCACAAGACTGCAAAACTTCAATTAATCAGAACATTCAGGGGCTGTGTCCTGGAAAGGGTTTCAATATGATGCAGAAATTTGATGTGTGTTGAATGTGACCAGATTCTAGTAGATGCCCAGAGAGGTTTTAAGTCATTGATTACATACCTGACGTGAACCTGTTATTGTCATTACTTTCTTCCTCAGCAAGAGAGCACAGGTAGGTAGCTAATATGCTGCATAATGGGTTCTTTCAGTATTTCTGAGCATCAAAACAGTGCTCAGTGAAAAATAGATCATGCATTGTTTTTCAAATCCTACCTTTTATCCATGGGTCCTGAAACTTATATATGCATCCAAAAATCTGATCTTCATATGTAGAGGACATAAAGTTCTAGGAGTAGAGAGATGCTGGTGGAGGAGAGAACTCAGCATGGGCAGAGGACCTACAATCTCCACGGTGTAGGGAGAAAGTGCATTCTTCAAGGGGCCACTGCATTTCTTGCCACATTTGAGTTAAAGAGAAAATAAGAACAGGCGGAGTACATCATGACAGGGCATCGAGGGGTCAAGGTCCAGCCCTAGTTCTTCACTAACTCTCAAGTGAGTTTGAGTGAGTCATTTTGTATCTCTGGCTCTTACTGAACTATGATGTAAAATGAGGAATTTGTTCTAAAGGATACATTATGTCCATTGGAGAAAAAAATAAACAGATGTGGTTACCTTGGGTGTGGGGAGTGCAGTGTCTGAAAGGGAGCATGGTGGGGATTGAGTTTCTGGTAACATTTCATTTTTTCATGACTGCTAGTACGAGAAAGTGTTTACTTCATAAACATCATCAACCTGTATGCTTATTATTGGTCTGCTTTCCATATGGATTTTTGAGAAGGAAGTTTGCATTAAAAACAAACAAATCAAAACTAGACCTACCACTTCAAATCCTAAAGGGAAGAAAAGGCCAAGTATAAACATGTAGAAACTTGCTTTTTAAAGTGTTTAAACCTCCTATGAATATTCATCTCATTTGAAGGGAAAAAGTAACTATTAGAAGGGGAAAAAAATCCCTTAGCTCCAAGTCATGATGGGGTACTTTGGGCAGCAATCCTTATCTACATGTTATCTAACACAAGTTTCCCTTTTGAAGTATGGCTTCAATACTACATAGCCCAATTTGTTATAATACCCTCTATTCTGAAGCTTTATGGCATTTAATAACTTGCAATTAGGAGGCATTAAGCCTACTGCTACCAAAATCACAGAATCTTAGCAATAATATTGTCACTTCATAGTGCTATGATCCCACAACACAACGTAATGGAATATTCAGGCTGTCAGGGCATGAGGGAACCAGCAGCAGAGGAAAAGGATCACAATCCATTCTGCACACAAGTCACATTTAGATGAAGGTAACTCTTTGCCATTAAAGGCAACCTTCTATTTTGGTGGAACCTATGTCTACAAAGAATGGGCTATAGACAGTTGAGGGTTGGGAGGGAGAAACTCCAAACTTTCAGACACTGATAAAGCCTGGTAGCTTCAGCTCATTAAACAGCAGTGGAGAAATGATCCACTCCAGCCACTGTGGGCCAGAGGCCCAGCTCTTAAACAGACACAAGCAGATCTCAGAGGCCCTTGGCAGCAAACAGTATCCTCTTGCAAAGTCAGCACCTAAAGAGGTAAGCATTAGTGTTGGAAAACTGGAAGTTTTATAAATGCAGATCCTTGGGAGTGTAAATTGGTACAGCCAGTTTGGATCACTATCCTGAAATCCCAGGAAAGTTGAGAATATGTATCCACTGTGATCCAGAAATTCCGACCCTCAGGAAGTGCCCTGCAGAATCCTACCAGCAGGTGCTCATGGACATGAGTAAGAATGTTCCTAGCAGCATTGTGTGTAATTCCTTTGACATGAGAATGAACAAATTACGATATATTTATACAATTAAATACCCTTCAGCAGACAGGATGCCAAACAAGAATGATGCATATCAACATAGATTTATCTCACAAGTATGGTTTTGATTATAAAGGCAAGTTTCAGAAGAATACAATGTAATATTTTGCAAATTTCAAAAATAGGCAATGATAATATTGTAGTTTTGTTAGGTATTCATACACATGTCATAAAGATATAAAGAGTAGCTGGGCACGGTGGCTCACGCCTGTAATCCCAGCACTTTGGGAGGCCAAGGTGGGTGGATCACCTGAGGTCCAGAGTTCAAGACCAGCCTGGCCAACATGGTGAAACACCACCTCTACAACATTACAAAAATTAGCTGGGCATGATGGCAGACGCCTGTAATTCCAGCTACTCGGTAGGCTGTGGTGGGAGAATTGGTTGCAGTGGGAAGCGGAGGCGGAGGTTGCAATGAGCCGAGATCGCACTATTGCCCTCCAGCCTGAGCAACAGAGCGAGACTCCATCTCAAAAAAAAAAAAAAAAAAGATATAAAGAGTAAAGACAGAAATGAACAAGTTCTGTATAATGACTTCCCTGAGAAGAAGGAAGGGAGATACAACCTCAAAGGGGCATGAAGTATTCATAATGCAAGGCAAGGTGGTGAGTTTACAGTGATTCATCATTTTAGTCTTTTTATCTCTTTGTATATCTAATATTTCATAGAAATTTTTTAAATAAATTAAATCTAAAAAATAAAATTAAAATTCACTCACTCAGCCATTCATCCATATGTTCATTCATTCAATAAATATTTGTGAGCATCTTTTTTTATAATTTTAACTTTTATTTTAGATTCAGAGTGTACATATGCAGGTTGGTTACCTGGGTATATTGCACGATGCTGGAGTCTGGGGTACAAATGATCCTGTCGCCCAGGCAGTGAGTATAATACCCAACAGTTTTTCAACCCTTTCCCCCCACTCCAGTAGTCCCCATTGTCTACTGTGGCTCTCTTTATGTCCGTGAGTACCCACTGTTTAGCTCCCTCTTACAAGTGAGAACAGCGAGCATCTACTTTATGCCAGGTACCCTCCTAGGAGCTAAAGAGGGAAATAAGGGAAATAAAAGGGTAGTCAGTGACCTCAAAGTCTCACAGTCTAGCTGGGATGAAGAGACACACAGAGAGGTTTCGACAATAGTGTAGGCATTTAACAATGAAGAATTTTATGTCTAAAAGGAAGACACAGCTTGAGTCAAAAGCACTCACAGAACCTGTCTCCCAGGCATGTGGCTAAAGATGAGGAAGACTCTGGGAGTGAAGCAAATCCAACTCCGCGGAAGCACAGGACATGAATCTCGCAATAGCTTCCTAGCACTTATTTTCAGCGTGCAGCACAATCCATCAACTTGGCAAGTGCTCCCACTCAGGCCTGGGCTGTTTCACTTTTTACAATGGCTGAAATTCTGCACAAAGGTTGATTTCACACTACGTTATGCTTTTTCAATATAAGTGTCACAACCCTTCTAGTAGAAGTGTAACAATGATGGGGCTATATTCATCAGTCATTCTAATGCCTTTTGTTTGAAGAGCACTTAGCAGCTTTTTTTTTTTCCCCAGCGTACTTAATATAAGAACATATTGGTTTCGGCTACAGCCTGTGCTCTCTGTCACAAAAGAATCAACAGATGCATTATAGGAGGGTATAGAAAAAGTTATTCTTCTTGGAAACCGTTTGTGTAGGACTGGGTAGAGCATGTTACAGGTTATTGCATAATACCAGAAATTGGGCAAGGGATGGGGCAGAGTGGGATCTTTGCATTCTATTGTGCTCAAAGGAAGATAATAACTCACAATGTTTGTATAGCCTATATAACTCTAATGACAGTCATAACCAGTAAACTAAATAGGCAGTGACATACATACATATTATTTGAGTCATAATTCCAAAGATGTTCATCATTAAATGGCATACAGAAAGCCCAAACATAGTTATGCTAGAAATAGTATTATTCCTGCATTAAATACCTATTAGACATCTGGAACAGAAAAATATGTTATGACTTATCCACATCCACGATTCTAAATGCTTTCATAATATGCACATGAGTTAATTTATAATTTATAGCTTCACAGTTTGTTGCAGGAAGATTCAATCTAACCCTCATGTTGTGCAGATGAGTAAACTGATACCCTGATAGGTTAAACAACAAAGTCTAACAGTTTGTGAAAGAGTTGGGACCAGAACTTGGCTCTCCTATTCTACAAGCACAGAGCTTCCAATTTTCCATCTGCATATTGTAACAATGCTGAATCACTGGCAGTAGCTCTCACTTAAACTTCCATTTGGGTTTGAAGTTTAGGGATGATTCTGAAATAACATGATTTTTTGTTCACAGGCAACCAGGGGCCCTGTTCAGGGATTCCTGAAAAACTGAAGACAGTTGCTCTTTGCACAGGATGAGATGTGAGGAGTAGCTGCCTGCTGCATGCAGGATTCATGGCCATAAGTCCCCTTGTTAAGAACTTTTATAGAGATCATGCCTACCTTCTATCAAGGGTAGCATCTGTGCTGCAAATTATCAGAGCAGTGAATGCCAGAAACATGAAATAAATCAAGCTCAGAATAAAACAGCAAAGGTTTCGATTTCCCTTACATATACAATGAAATGAAGAACTAAGGTGCAGTTTGGGGATGTGTTTGTTTTCAACTGTAGGAGAAAGAGAGATATAAGATTTCTCTGCCTCAGGCCTGGACCATGTGTCCATAGACAGACTTGATGTCACTAAGAATGCTCCAGCATCCTGTCACTCACATAGGAAGCAGGAATGTATCCTTTCATTGTTTCCTGTAAGCCTGAGCACTGATGTTAATGTCTGAATTGCTCTGGATCCTAAGAGATGCCCACTCAGTCATAGAAATGACTGTCACCTGCACATTAACCCAAGTTCTTCTCCATGTGAGGGTCCTTAGGGGTCCAGCCCTGTCCCAGTCACGGACTGGGGTCACCTACTTGCCTCCAAATGGCTCTAAGAACAGATGGCTCTACGCAGCAGGCAGCATTCATAGGACTGGCTCAACAGCTTCTCGGGATGGCTCCAGGTTTTGCCTGAATGCCCCTTCTTGACTGGATGCCCCTTCTTGACTGAGAAGTGCCAGTTTTCCCAGGGCACTGATCCCCAGACTTTGGGTACTCTTGTTTGGATTGCTAAGAGTGGCATGTGTCATCTTCTTTTGCTTCAGTTCTCTGGACCCAAGTCACCTTTCCATCTGTTATTTATACTCTCTTAGGATTGAATGAAATGTGGTGTTTATCTTGTACTTAATAGTTTTACCAGGGATTAGCCCCATCACAAGCCATACAGCTTCTAGAAAACTAGCTGGAGATGATAACCATGCCCTGGTCTGACATAACATCAGCATTGCCAGCGTGGCCTCTGAAGTGGTGCCCACAGAGCCACTTGCTATAAAGAACCAGACAGATTAATGTGGAGGTGACCCCAGTTCCATAGAACATAAAGCCACCGGAATAAGAAGGCAGCCAGGTGTAACAGTTCCAGGTGCTAATCCCAAATCTCATGCCTCCATGGCTTTTCCTCTTTCTGTCCCTCGTTACCCGGGTGGTCTTAGGACAGTTACTCAACTTCTTTGAGCTTTAATTTCATAATTTGTAAAATTGGAATAATAATACCACCCCACTCACGATGATCATACCCAATACATTGCCTGGTGTGCTACATAACAGGCTTTCAATAAATCATGGCTCTTATCATTGTTATCACAATTAATATAACATGTGAAAGTTCCTGGACTCTAATTCTTGCCAAACAAGTGTTTATGGAAGAATGCTAGTTATTTCAGGGCCTTTTTCTTTATCTTTTTACAAATTTATAGACAGGTAGGTTTTCATAAGTCTTTTCATCTGCTGCTACCTTTACTCTGTTTCTTTCTTTCCTGCATCATGTAATTCTCTCTATAGCTATACTGGGGTCCCAGAGAGCACCACAGCATAATGTCAGTGGTGAAGCATGGGCATTTGTGTGGCACCAAATAGGATTTACTTTATCTCTTACAATAACCAAATGGGCTTCTGGACAGGTGTTATCCCCATTAGTTAGGTGAGGTCACTGAAGATCATGTAACTGGCTGTCAGAAAAGGGACCACAGCCCAGACTTTATGATTTTTCACTCTAAGCTCTGGTTCCATATTACAGGATGAGTCTATGACATGCTCCAAATCTCCCCAAAATCTGCAAATCAGATGATCAAAAGCAACTATATTACCCCTCTCTTCTAATGCAAGCCTGTATTGAGCCAAGCCATACTGAAGTGCCTCGAATATCCACTATCAGTGAATTCAACCCTGTGGAGAGGACAATGGTGACCCTGAAGCCCCTTTTCTATCTGTAAGGTGCCTGTGGTCTCATTGGAGGAACAAGCATAATTGTCATGATGAAAACAAGATGAGGCCAAATATATTTTTGCAGCCATCATATAAAGGAAGGAGCATTAGAAGATGTATCAGAATCCCAGTCCATGGCCATATGGATTGGGTGCTTGATTTTGTACAATTCATTTGTCTTCCTTGAGTTTCAAGTTACTCATAAAAGAGTTTTTGGTTATTCCTCTCCTAGAAAGGACATATAAACAGGTCAAGCACAAGGAACACTGGGGAAAGCAAAGATAACAGAATTGCCCACTTAAGTCCTACTCCAGATTATGAGAAAAGATTTCCATCACACACACACACCACAAGTACCAGTATGATAGAGCTAGAAGCAAAAGAGCAAAAAGCAGTATTTTTTAAATCTCTCTGGACCTGAAATGCATTTCATTTAGTTTTTTAAGGTTCCTTGATTTCCTGATAAAATCGGTACATCTGTGACATCACGTCGATCAGAAAGAAATCAACCTCTGGGAAAATATGGTTAAGACATTGCAGGATGGAGACCCATTAAAGAAAGCCAGCCCACAGAAAAGGGAATAAAACTTGGGAAGGATTATTGAAAGCCACCTATGTCACTGGATATCCTCACAAAGTACTGTATTGTGCCCAAAAGGGAGATGTTTGTAACACAAGAGCTCCCAGAAAGTGGAAAGGTCTAAATATATTCACAGCTGCCTCCCCTCAGGGTTTAGGTTTTGCTCCAGAGCCACTTTAAGAGTCCCATTTCAATGGAAAGCTTTTACCGAATCTGAAATGCAATGAGATTCCATCTGGTAAAATTCATTGAGGGAAATTGCTTCCTACAGTGATACATGATTCATTCATTCACACCTCTGAGCTATTTAAAGGAAATTATCCATGGATTGTATCATTAGTTTAAAGCCACTGCAGTTGTTTTTCTGTCAGTATAATTTTAAGCCATGTAGGATCATTCGTTGGGAAAACATATTTGAGAAAGGTATATAACTAGTTCTCTCACTGGAACAGTATGATTTATGTTGGCAAAACACAGTGTTGGAAATTAAACTCTGAAGTATATGTTATCCTGAGGACTGACATCTGAGCCTCTCCTCTCCCTTGACATACCGCACCGCAACCCAGAATGGGAATTCACGACTGAAAGATGTACAGAAAGTGCAAGGTATTTCTAAGGGTAGAGAACACTGCCGTGAAGACATCCTGCAAAATTACAGCTGCAAAATTGATGTGATGATAAAATGTGTCTCTATTGGCTCACACAGGAAAAAAAAAAAAAACAAGAACACATTCTAAAGTGCCTTTATTCTGTTTGCTTTATTCTATTGGATCATAAGCAGCCTTAGCTTTCTTTCTGGGTTTGGTGGCCTCCTTGGGGGTTGTCAGTGCCCAGCTGCCCACAGCTTCCTTGACCATCAATTATAAGGCAGAAATGCTGATTATACCTCTGCCCAAATTGCTGATGCTGCTGTCATATTTTGAGTCCTATCCTTGGCTTTTTGATGACCTCTTCCTCTCTCCTATGAGAATGGAATTCAATGTGATGTTGTGGTTTTACTATCTAGAAACATCAGAACAAAAGTGTGTTCAGGATCTTTTTTATTAATATTATTGCTAAATTCAGTAGTGTTTCCATTGTTGAAATATACCACAGTTTATTTACCCATTAACCCACTGAAGGACATTTGGGTTGTTTTCTGTTATTAGTGGTTATGAATAAAGCTGCTATAAACATTCATGCATAGGTTTTTCTGTGAACACAAGTTTTCAGTTCACTTAGCATTGTTGGGTCATATGAGAAGTGCGTGTTACGCTGTAGAAGAAACTGCCAAATGGGGCTGGGCACAGTGGCTCACACCTGTAATACCAGCACTTTGGGAGGCTGAAGCAGGAGGACAACTAGAGGTCAGGAGTTCAAGCCCAGCCTGGGCAACAAGGAACCTATCTCTACCAAAAAAAGTTAAAAAATTAGCCAAGCATGGTGGCATGCACCTGTAGTCCTAGCTACTCGGGAGGCTGAGGTGGAAGGATCCTAGAGTGGCTGTGCAATTTTGCATTCCCATTGGCAATGTATAGGAGTTCCAATCACTTTGTGTTATTGTGAACACTTAGTAATGTCAGTATTTGTTTTTGTTATTATTACAACAGTTTTTGAATAGTTATCATTATTATTTCAAAATATTTTGAAATATTATTAAACAGTTCATGTTTAATTACATGGATGTGTTCTTTAGTGGTGATTTCTGAGATTTTGATGCACCCATCACCTGAGCAGTGCCGACTACACAGCGCCCAATGTGTAGTCTTTCATCCCTCACTCCTCTCCTGTACTTCCCCCCAGGTCCCCAGAGTCCATTATATCATTCTTATGCCTTTGCATCCTCATAGCTTAGCTGCCACTTACAAGTGAGAACATATGATGTTTGGTTTTCCATTCCTGAGTTAGTTCACTTACAATAATGGTCTCCAACTCTATTGCCGTGAATGGCATTATTTTGTTCCTTTCTATGGCTGAGCAGTATTCCATGGTGTGTGTGTGTGTATATATATATATATATATATATATATATATATATATACCACATTTTCTTTATCCACTCATTGGTTGATGGGTTCTATATTTTGGCAAATACAAATTGTGCTGCTATAAACATGCTGTGCCATTTTTTTTTTTTTTTTCAAATAATGACTTCTTTTCCTCTGGGTAGATAACCAGATGTGGGACTGCTGGATCAAATGGTAGTTCTACTTTTAGTTCTTTAAGGAATCTCTGTACCTTTTTCCATAGTGGTTGTACTACTTTACATTCCCACCAGTAGTGTAAAAGTGTTCCCTTTTCACCACATCCATGCCGCATCTATTATTTTTTGATTTTTTAATTATGGCCATTCTTGTAGAAGTAAGGTGATATTGGATTGTGGTTTTGATTTGCATTTCCCTGATAATTAGTGATGTTGAGTATTTTTTTGTATGTCTGTTGGCCATTTGTATATCTTCTTTTGAGAATTGTCTAAATTGTCTATTCATGTCCTTAGCCCACCTTTTGATGAGATTATTTGTTTATTATTTGTTTTTTTCCTTCTGATTTGTTTGATTTCTTTGTAGATTCTGGATCTTTCTCAGATGCACAGTTTGCAAATATTTTCTCCCACTGTGTATGTTGCCGGTTTACTCTGCTGATTATTCCTTTTGCTGTGCAGAAGCTTTTTAGTTTAATTAAGTCTCATCTATTTATCTTTGTTTTTGTTGCATTTGCTTTTGGGTTCTCGGTCATGAACTCTTTGCCTAAGCCAATGTCTAGAAGAGTTTCTCAGATGTCATCTTCTAGAATTTTTATGGTTTCAGGTCTCAGATTTAAGTCTTTGATCCATCTTGAGTTGATTTCTGTATAAGGTGAAAGATGAGTATCCAGTTTCATTCTTCCACACGTGGCTCACCAATTATTCCAGCAACAGCTGTTGAATAAGATGTCCTTTCCCCACTTTATGTTTTCGTTTGCTTTACCAAAGATCAGTTGGCTATAAGTATTTGGCTTTATTTCTTGGTTCTTTATTCTGTTCCATTGGTCTACATGCCTGTTTTTATACCAATACTATGCTGTTTTGGTGACTACAGCCTTGTAGTATAGTTTGAAGTTGGGTAATGTGATGCCTCCAGGTTTGTTCTTCTTGCTTAGTCTTGCTTTGGCTATGCGGGCCCTTTTTTGTTCCATATGAATTTTAGGATTGTTTTTTCTAGTTCTGTGAAGAATGATGATATATTTTGATGGAAATTGCATTGAATTTGTAGAACGCTTTTGGCAGTATGGTCATTTTCACAATATTGATTCTACCCATGCATGAGCATGGGATGTGTTTCCATTTGTTTGTGTCCTCTGTTATTTCTTTCAGTAGTGTTTTGCAGTTTTCCTTGTAGAAGTCTTTCACTTCTTTGATTAGGTATATTCCTAAGTTTTTTTTGTTTGTTTTTGTTTTTTGTTTTTCTGCAGCTGTTGATTTGATTCTCAGTTTGTTCGTTGTTGGTGTATAGCAGTATTGTATTTTGTGGAGAATTTTTGCATCTATGTTCATCAAAGATATTGGTCTCCAGTTTTCTTTTTTTGTGTGATGTTCTTTCCGGGTATGGGTATTAGGGGTGATACTGGTTTCATAGAATGATTTAGGGAGGATTCTCTCTCTATCTTTTGGAATAGTTTCAGTTGGATTGGTACCAAGTCTTCTTTGAATGTCTAATAGAATTCAGTTGTGAATCCATCTGGTCCTGGACTTTTTTGTTGGCAATTTTTTTATTAGTTTCAATCTTGTTACTTGTTATTTGTCTGTTCATAGTTTCTATTCCTTCCTGGTTTAATCTAGGAGGGTTGTATATTTCCAGGAATTTATCCATCTTCTCTAGGTTTTCTAGTTTGTGTGCATAAAGGTGTTCATAGTAACCTTGAATGATCTTTTGTATTTCTGTGGTATTGGTTGTAATATGTACCATTTTGTTTCTAATTGAGCTTATTTGGATCTTCTCCTTTTCTTGGTTAATTTCACTAATAGTCAATCAATTTTGTTTATCTTTTCAGAGAACCAGCCTTTTGTTTCATTTATCTTTTGTATTTTTTTCAATTTCATTTAGTTCTGCTCTGACCTTTCTTATTTCTTTTCTTCTGCTGGGTTTGAGTTTGGTTTGTTCTTCTTTCTCCAGTTCTTTGAGGTGTGACCTTAAATTATCTATTTGGAGCCTTTCAGACTTTTTGATGTAGGCATTTAATGCTATGAACTTCCCTCTTAGCACCACTTTGCTGTATCCCAGAGGTTCTGATAGGTTGTGTCACTATTATCATTCAGTTCAAATACTTTTTAAATTTCCATCTTGATTTTATTGTTGACCCAGTGATCACTCAGGATAAGGTTATTTAATTTCCATGTATTTGCATGGTTTTGAGGGTTCCTTCTGGAATTGATTTCCAGTTTCATTGCACTGTGGTCTGAGAGAGTACTTGATATAATTTTGATTTTCTTAAATTTGTTGAGACTTGTTCTGTGGCCTATCATATGGTTTGTCTTGAAGAATGGTCCATGTGATGATGAATAGAATGTATATTCTGCAGTTGTTGAGTAGAATGTCCTGTAAATATCTGTTAAGTTCATTTGTTCTAGGGTATAGTTTAAGTCCATTGTTTCTTTGTTGACTTTTTATTTTGATGACCTAAGTGCTGTCAGTGGAGTATTGAAGTCCCCCACTATTTTGAGACAGAGTCTCACTCAGTCACCCAGGCTGGAGTGCAATGACGCGATCTCGGCTCACTAAAACCTCTGCCTCCTGGGTTCAAGTGATTCTCCTGCCTCAGCCTCCCATGTAGCTGGGATTGCAGGCACCCACCATCATGCCCAGCTAATTTTTGTATTTTTATAGAAACCGGGTTTCACCATGTCGGCCAGGCAGTCCCCTACTATTATTGTTTTGTTGTCTATCTCTAAAGTCTAGCAGTAATTGTTTTATAAATTTGGGACCTCCAGTGTTAGGTGCATATATATTGAGGATTGTGATATTTTCCTGTTGGGCTAATCCTTTTATCATTGTGTAAGGTCCTTCTTTTCTTTTTTGACTGTTGTTGCTTTAAAGTCTGTTTTGTCTGATATAAGAATAGCTACTCCTGCTTGCTTTTGGTTTCCATTTGCATGGAATATCTCTTTCCACTCCTTTACCTTAAGTTTATGTGAGTCCTTATGTGTTAGGTGAGTCTCTTGAAGACACCAGATACTTGGCTGGTGGATTTTTTTCCATTCTGACATTGTGTATCTTTTCAATGAAGCATTTATGCCATTTACATTCAACATTAGTACTCACATGTGAGGTACTGTTCTATTCATCCTGCTAGTTGTTGCCTGAATACCTTGTGGGGTTTTTTCATTAGGCTATTGTTTTATAGGTCCTGTGAGATTTATGCTTTAAGGAGGTTCTATTTTGGTGTATTTCAATGTTTTGTTTCAAGATCTAGAACTCATTTTAGCATTTCTCGCAGTGCTGGCTTGGTAGTGGTGAATTATCTCAGCATTTGTTTGTCTGAAAAAGACTTTATCTCTTTTTCATTTATGAAGCTTAGTTTCACTAGATACAAAATTTTGGCCTGATAATTATTTTGTTTAAGGAGGCTAAAGATAGGACCCCAATCCCTTCTGACTTGCAGGGTTTCTGCTGAGAAATCTGCTGTTCATCCAGTAGATTTTCCTTTATAGGTTACCTGATACTTTTGCCTCACAGTTCTTAATATTCTATCCTTCCTCTTGACTTCAGATAACCTTGTGACTATGTGCCTAGGTGATTATCTTTTTACAAAGAATTTCATGGGTGTCCTTGAGCTTCTTGTATTTCAATGTCTAGACCTCTAGCAAGACCAGAGAAATTTTTCTCAATTATTCCCTCAAGTAAGTTTTCCAAACTTTTAGATTTATCTTCTTCCTCAGGAACCCCTTTGGTCATTTGACATAATCCTAAATTTCTTGGAGGCTTTGTTTATTCTTTTTTCTTTGTCTTTGTCAGGTTGGGTTAATTTGAAAGCCTTGTCTTCAAGCTCTGAAATTCTTTCTTCTACTTGCTCAATTCTATTGTTCAAACTTTCCAGTGTATTTTGCATTTCTCTAAGTGTGTCTTTCATTTGCAGAAGTTGTGATTGTCTTTTCTTTATGATATCTATTTCTCTGGAGACTTTTTCATCCATATCCTGTATTTTTTTTAATTTCTTTACATTGGGTTTCGACTGTCTCTGGTGCTTCCTTGAGTAGCTGAATAATCAACCTTCTGAATTCTTTATCTGGTAAATCAGAGATTTCTTCTTGGCTTGGATCCATTGCTGGAGAGCTAGTGTGATCTTTTGGCGGGGGGTGGGGTGCTATAGAGCCTTGTTTTGTCATATTACCAGAATTACTTTTCTGGTCCCTTCTCATTTGGGTAGACTATTTCATCGGAAAGATCTGAAACTCAAGAGCTGCTATTCAGATTCTTTTGTCCCATGGGGTAATCCCTTGATGTGGTGCTCTCCCCCTTTCCCTAGAGATGGGGCTTCCTGAAAGCCAGACTGCAGTGATTTTTATTGCCCTTCTGGGTCTAGCCACCTAGTGGGGCTACCAGGCTCCAGGCTGGTGCTGAGGAATGTCTGCAAAGAGCTCTGATGTGATCCATCTTCAGGTATCTCAGTCATGGATATCAATATCTCCCCCAGTGGAGGTGGCAGGGGAGTGGAGTGGACTCTGGGGCAGTTCTTGGTTGTAGCTTTGTTTAGTGCGCTGGTAGTCTTGAATGCTGGTTATGCTAACAGTGAAGTTGTCACGTGGACAGAGTCAGGACCTCTGGTTAGCCAGGGTGTTGCAGGTGGTGGAATTACCTATTGTTTTCTCCTTCTTTGGAGCAGGGTTTTTCTGTTATGAGTTGCTGTAATGGCTTGAGTTGGTTGACCTCCAGCCAGGAGGTGGTGCTTTTAAGAGAGCATCAGCTGCAGAAGTAGAAGGGAGATACAGTCTTGCCCTACATTGGCCAGGATGAGTATTCGGGTTTCTCAGGTGATGGGCCGGGCCATAGAGCTCCCAAAAGTTTATGTCTTTTGTCTTTGGAGTTTTTTCGTTGTCTCGTGGCATCTGCAGTGGCAAGCTGCTTCTTTCTATGTTCAGAATCTTATATTTTGTTCATATTATATTTCTTACTACCCAGCACCAACTGAGCCATTCAAATCTTTCTTGAGGATAGAATATAGTCTGAAATATCTCCATAAACTACTTAAACAGATATGGAAAAGTCAAGAGTGAGTGGAGCCAAACAATAGTAACAGAAGGAAAAGATTAGGGTTGGCTTGCCCATTCTTTGGGCTACCATCAGAACTCTGATTTTATGGCTTGCACACATTAGAAGTTACAGGGAGACTCAACTACATATTGATCCTCAGGGAATCATGGTATTTGCTTCACAGTTTTCCCTTGATTTACCTTTGACAAAAAGGCCCTGGGAGTCCAGTCTCAGCTCTGTCAACTTAGCAGTTTTACTATTTTGAGTAAATCGTTCAACCACTCTGTGCTTTATAGTCTTCACATGTAAATTTGAGGACATAAAAACTAACTAATAGAATTTTGAGAGCTAAACTCAATAATGTGGGCAAAGCACTTACACTAGTGCCTAGTTTCTATTAACCAAGTAAAGGGTTGTCATTACATTCATATTATATTTCTTTCTACAGACTTAATAATTCATTCTTAAAAGCAATTTCTCTCCCCAATGTACAAATAAAGGGGAAAAAGTATAAAGTATTCTCAAAATTCTAACTCGTATGATTATATAATAATCAAAGCTTTTCCAGGCAGACCACTTTTCCCAAATCATGTTTATAGAGGATAAACCAACGTTACTCAGTATAGCAGTGCTGGGATCTGTTAGGTCTGTCTACAGCATTAGAGTGGGCAAAATTTCAAAATGGAAAGTAGTAGACATTTCTTATATTTTCTCTTTATATCAGAAAGTAACTATCTGGGCCTATTCCAAGATTTATAAGTTACTACTTTAATATCTTTTAGAGGACGGCTATACAAACTAGGATCATGTATTGCATTTAGATCTCATGTCGCTTCAGTCTCTTTCATTGTATTGATAGGTCCTCAGTCTTACCTTGTGTTTCATGACCCTAACACTCTTTTTTCTTTTTTTTTTCTTTTTGAGACAGTCTTACTCTGTCGTCCAGGCTGGAGTGCAATGGTGTGATCTCGGCTCACTGCAAGCTCCACCTCCTGGGTTCACGCCATTCTCCTGCCTCAGCTTCCCAAGTAGCTGGGACTACAGGCGCCCACCACCACGCCTGGCTAATTTTTTGTATTTTTAGTAGAGACGGGGTTTCACCGTGTTAGCCAGGATGGTCTCGATCTCCTGACCTTGTGATCTGCCTGCCTCGGCCTCCCAAAGTGCTGGGATTACAGGCGTGAGCCACTGAGCCTGGCTGACCCTAACACTTCTTAAAAGTACAAGCCAGTTACTTTACAGATATTCCTTGTTTTAGGTTTTTAGATTGTTGTGTCATGCTTTTTGCATTTTTTCCAGGAATCTCACTGCAGTGATGTCATGCTTTCTGAGTGCACCACATCAGAAGGCACATGATATCAACGAGCCCCATAATGGGAGATGTTAACTTTATCGTTTAATGTGGTGCCTGCCAGATTTATTTATTGTAGAGTTAATTGATAAATATGTTGTACATATTTGAAGCCATGTCTCAGGAATCTGGGGTTCTGAATCATGAAAAGTCTTCCTGCTCAAGAGAAAAAAAATTCCCTTATTCCCAGAAGATGGCTGAGTGTCATAATTTTAAAAAGAGGATAATTTAAATAATTTAAATAAATTAATAGAAGAATATGACTTGACTCATTCCCTTGTTGCCAAAACCAATTGATAGATCCTTGTCCTCTTCATATTTAACATTCTAGTCACATTTGAGATTTTGACCCTTTCTTATGTGGTCAAAATCCTCTAAAACACTCCTCTGTTTTCTTTTCTGTGGTGCTAATCTCTAGTGTTTCTCTTCCTAAATGGCTGACCAGATCTGCTTCTCTGGAATCATAAATACACTTTTAGATAAATGCCTATTTTTAACAAAAAAAGAAGAAGCTTATTCTAGTTATGTAATTTCAGGCAAATTTGTTTACTAAGTGACATATTGAGAAATTTTTCCTGTACCTTTAAATATTCCTATAAATAATTTTAATAGTGGCTTGGTATTCCATGGTAGACATGTGCCATTATTTACCTATGTCCTTTGGGGATATATAGGTTGTTTTCTTTTAAAAGAAATGTAGTGTTGTTATAGCAGGGGGTGGGAAATAATACAGAAACAACAGAAAAAAAATAAGTTATTTCCTCTTCTACCAAAATTAGTGCATATGTGGACACATAAACATACAAAAAAAGTTTGGAAATAATATGCCAGAATAGCTATAATTAATATATCTGTTTGATAGGTTGGGAATGGATTTTATTTTTAAAAGTAAAATAAAAACTACAAAGTACTTTATGTTACAGTCTGCCTTTAAGGAACCAAGGTACCAAATCATACTGACTGGGAGGGACATAATGAATATTGGAAAAGGAGAAACAGAATTTAGCAGAGACCAAGGAGGGAGAAACCTGATAGCAGAGATGCCCTGTTCATCAGTGTTCATGAATGGTGCTGCTAGTCTCTTAAACACCTAGGCATATTGTAGAATATCTATATACATGTTCACACACAAATACATATACAGTCTCCTAAGTAAGCCTCAGGCTAGCACTGATTATTGAGGTCTTGAAAGATGATATAGGCAGAATATGGTTTATTCAGTATCATGGATACTTGAAGGTACACTACAGGAAATAGAGGTGAATAGGATTTAATGATATAACATATATTATAAACATATAATAACAAGGGACCTCATGGTTCTCATTATAAAATAAACTTGGGCCTCCTCATTTTCAAGGGCTCCTACTTGATTACTTTGCAACAACATTATCTTGCATCATGGGAGGCTTGTGTCCAGCTTAAGATTAAGCTCTACTTTACATAAGCAGGTTGGAATATCAAGGCCTTGAAAATAAGCAGACCCAAGTTTATTTTATAATGAGAACCATAAGGTCCCAAATTGTGAGGTGACTTGCCCAGGGTCCCTCTTTTTTTTTTTTTTTTTTTTAAGATGGAGCCTCGCTCTGTTGCCCAGGCTGGAGTGCAGTGGCGTGATCTCGGCTCACTGCAAGCTCTGCTTCCCAAGTTCACCCCATTCTCCCGCCTCAGCCTCCCAGGTAGCTGGGACTACAGGTGCCCGCCACCACGCCCTTCTAATTTTGTTTTTTTGTATTTTTAGCAGAGTCGGGGTTTCACTGTGTTAGCCAGGAAGGTCTCGATCTCCTGACCTCGTAATCCGCCCGCCTCGGCCTCCCAAAGTGCTGGGATTACAGGTGTGAGCCAGCGCGCCCAGCCTCCCAGGGTCCCTCTTGAGTCACTGGTAGAATCAGAGGAAGTGAAGGTTTCCAGTGCCCAAGGCAGCAGTGTGTCCTCTGAACCATCCTGCTTTCCAGACAGGAACCTTAGAAGAGTCACATTTCCCTCTATCGAGAACAGCCATTGTTAGACCAACAGCATCCTCAAAAGCTTTTGCAAATCCCTGTTTATCTCTAACTAAACCCTGACTGTGCCCTTCACTTTGGAAAGACAGAGATTGGGAAATATGGAATAGAAAAAAATGCCCTGGAAGAACTATGTTTTTATTTCTAATAACACCTGACATTTGATTCTTTGTCTTTGCCATGTGATATGGTTTGGCTATGTCCCCATCCAAATCTCATCTTGAATTGTAGTTCCCATTATCCCCACATGTCATGGAAGGGACCTGGTGGGAGGTAACTGGATCATGGGGACGGCTTCCCCCATGCTATTCTCGTGATAGTAAGTTCTCACAATATGTGATGGTTTTGTAAGGAGCTTCCCCCTTCACTGGGTTCTCATTCTTCTCTCTCCTGCCACCTAGTGAAGAAGGACGTGTTTGCCTCCCCTTCCACCATGATTGTAAGTTTCCTGAGGCCTCCCCAGCCATGTGGAACTATGAGTCAATTAAACCTCTTTCCTTTATAAATTACCCAGTCTCGGGTATGTCCTTATAGCAGCGTGAGAACAGACTTACACGCCATGATTCTTAACAAGCAGACACACCTGTTTCACCAGCTAAGTTTCCTCTGCCCAGCTTTTAAGGAGGCAGATGTTCCTGTGGATAATGCACTAAATCTACCAGAGAGATGCCCATAAAGTCTCGTTCAAGATATTTAGTGTGAGAGCCTTTGGTGGAAATAGAAAATTCCAACTATATTGTCACTAAGCTGTTTGATAAATAAGCAATCAAGCCTCGATTAATGTGCATTTCCCACATCACTTATGCCTAACCTGTCTGCAGCTTACTTGTGAAAACTCTAACACATGGTCCCAGAGGAAAAACCATTTTCTCTGTTTGTGAGAGCTCATTGCCTCTTATGTCCAATATTGTTTTCTAAGCCACTCACACAGCAGCTGGGTAGGCAAAAAGAGTAAAGAATTATCAGATATAAAAAACAAACCAGACAAAGAAAAAACAAACTACTCTCAAATATGAAAGGTCTACTTTAAATCACAGCCCACAGCTATCTTCAAACCTCTTGAAGATTCTCTTCTCGTACCCAGTACTTACAACTCAAGAGTAGCATTAGTATGAGTTAGTCAAGCAGAAAGGCAAGTAGGAAATTTGCATCTTTACTTTAAGGTTAAAGTCAAACCTGCTCTTTCACAACAGTGTTTTTCAACCTTTTCTACATTATCATCTCTCTTAGGAGCCCTTTTAGACATTTTTTTCTCCTAATTGCTCCCTCCAATAAAACTGTAATACTACAGATATATCATATATTTGTGTATGTACTGTATGTATAGCTACATATTGAAAGACTAACATTTTTTTCACCATCCCCCTCCCAAAAGAACCAATTTTTGACCCTTGATGGCAATATTACCCCTGTTTAGAATGAATGATCTACAATGGAGAAAAGGGAACCCTCATACTCTGTTGGTGGGAATGTAAATTAGTACAACCACTCCTAGGTATATGCCCAAAGGAAAGGAAATAAGTATATCAGAGATATCTACATTTCCATGTGCATTGTAGCACTATTTACAGTAACCAAGATTTGGAAGCAATCTAAGTGTCCAGCAACAGATGAATGGATACAGACAATGTGGTACCTATACACAATGGAGTACTATTCAGTCATAAAAAAAATGAGATCCTGCTTTTCTCTGAACAGCCAATATGCACTCCCCTTTAGAATCACAGAATCTCCGAAATATAAGAGAATGTATGGTTCTGCTAATCGAATTGTTTTTACCCACTGGTTTGTAGTAGCCTTATTTGGGAAAAGGCCTTCTTTCAAAATACAAATATGGGGGCTATACCCATGATATATTAATGACACCCTCTGTAGTTGAGGCCTAGGTAATTTTTTTAATGCCAAGTGATTTCAGTGCACACACTGTATTTTGAACCATTCATTAAGTCCAATCTTTATTAATAACTTTTAAAACAGCTTACATCTATTGAATGCTAATGATGTGCCAGGCCCTATCTTAGTTCTTTATCTCATGGATTTCTTACAGTAACTCTGTGAGTTATATACCACTATTATTCCTTTTTTTAACAGAATGGGAAACCTAGGCAGTAAGGAGTTAGTCCAGTGATACCCAATGAGTCCCATTAATCTGAATTCAGAGTCTTCATTCTTTTTTTTTTTTTTTTTTTGAGACGGAGTTTCGCTCTTGTTGCCCAGACTGGAGTGCAGTGGCACAATCTTGGCTCACTGCAACCTCTGCCTCCCAGGTTCAAGCGATTCTCCTAGAATCTTCATTCTTAATCATTAGTTCACACAACCACTCCGCCACCTTTATGCATAGGCCACCTACTGAGGCATGAATTTCTTGTAAAAGGCATATACATACACCCCTATTCATCTCTTACTTCTGGGCAAAAGCAGGTATTAAGAGAAAAATCGTGAGACTTAGAGTCAGGTAAAAGCTGGTTGGAATTTTAAATCCTCCATATTCTTCTTTTGTCCTTTTTTATTTTATTTTTAATTTTTGTGGGTACATAGTAGGTGTATTTACTAATGGGGTACATGAGATATTTTGATACAGGCATACAAGGCACAGTAATTACATCAGGGTAAATGGGGTATTCAACCCCTCAAGCATATATCCTTTGTGTTATAAACAATCCAATTTTACTTTTAGTTATTTTTAAATGTGCAATTAAATTATTTTTGACTATAGTCCCCCTGTTGTGTTATCAAATACTAGATCTTATTTATTCTTTCTATTTTGTGTACATATTAACCATCCCCACTTCACCCCAACACCTCCACTACCCTTCCCATCCTCTGGTAATCATCCTTCTGCTCTGTATCTCCATTAGTTCAATTATTTTAATTTTTAGCTCCCACAAATAAGTGAGAATATATGAAGTTTGTCTTTCTATGTTTGGTTTATTTTATTTAATGTAGTAACCTTCCACTCCATCCATGTAGTTACAAGTGACAGGATCTCATTTTTTTTTATGACTGAATAGTACTCCATTGTGTATAGGTACCACATTGTCTGTATCCATTCATCTGTTGCTGGACATTTAGGTTGCTTCTTGGCTACTGTAAATAGTGCTACAATGCACATCGAAATGCAGGTATCTCTGATATACTTACTTCCTTTCCTTTGGGTATATACCTAGGAGTGAGATTGCTAGATCATATGGTAGCTTTATTATTAGTTTTTTGAGAAAGCTCCAAACTGTTCTCCATAGTGGTTGTACTAATTTACATTCCCACCAACAGTGTATGAGGGTTCCCTTTTCTCCACATTCTTACCAGCATTTGTTACTGACTGACTTTGGATAAGATTGATTCTAACAGGGTGAGATGGTATCTCATTGTAGTTTTGATTTGCATTTCTTTGACGATCAATGATGTTGAGCACTTTTTCACTTGCCTGTTTGCCATTTGTATGTTTTCTTTTGAGAAATGTCTGTTCAGATCTTTTGCCCATTTTTTATTAGATGTTTTCCTGGATGGACTTGATGCTTGTGGATATTCATCTGTGTGTGGGCATTGAAGAGTTAGGTATTTATTGTACTCATTGCAATCTGAGTTTGTTTGTGCCTGTCTTTCCTGGGAAGCCTTTCGAGATATATGAAATGAGTTGGGTGTTGTTATCTAAGGTATATCTGCTTTAGGGGGTCACCCCAAGCCCAGTAATGCTGTGGGTCTTGCAAACTCCGAGTTACCACCTTGATAGTCTTGGATAAGATACAGAAGAATTTCGCTGGAATGCCAAGCTGAGACTCTTGTTCTCTTCCCTTACTTTCTTCCTAAAAAATGGAGTGTCTCCCTCTGTGATGAGATGCATAGAGATGGGGGTGGAGTGGCATAACCACCCCTATGGCCACCACCACTATGACTGTGCTGGGTTGGACCTGAAGCCAACACAGTACTGAGTCTCACCCAAGGCCCACTATAACCACTACCTGGCTACAGCCTATGTTCACTCAAGGCCTGGGGCTCCACAATCAGCAGGTGGTGAGTGCAGCCAGGCTTGTGTCCTTCCCTTCAGGGAGGTGAGTTCACCTAGGCCCTAGGTGGGTCAAGAGGGGCCATCTGGGAGCCAGGGACTGGAGTCAAAAACCTTAGAAATTTATCTGGTGTTCTAATGTACTCCAGCTGAGCTGACACTCAAACCGCAAGATGTAGTTATTCTCACTCACTCTTCCCCTTTCCACTGGCAGAGGAGCCTTATCCCATGACCACCACCACAGGCCCACACTGAGCACTGCCAGGCCACCACCAATGTTCCCTTAAGGCCCAAGGGCTCTTTAGTAAGCTTCTGGTGAATGCTGCCTGGCCTGGGACTCACTCTTCAGGGCAATGAGCTCCCCTCTGGCCTAGGGCAGGTTCAGAAATGCCATCCAAGAGTCAATTCCTGGTATCAGGGATCCCAAAAACCCACTTGATGCTCTACCCCGCATTGTGGCCAACCTGGTAACTGAGATGCAAGACAGAGTCCCCTTTACTTTTTCCTCTACTTTTCTCAAGCAGAAATCTCTCTCCATAGCCACCATAGCAGGAAATGTGCTGAGTCTCACCTGAAGCCAGCAAGTCTCAGAGTCTCACCAAAGGCCCATGGTGTGCTAACTGGGTATTGCTACTGGTTATTCAGGGCCCAAGAGCTCTTTAGTCAGCAAATGCTGGGTCCTGCCAGGCCAGGACTGGGTCCTTTTCAAGGCATCAGTTTCCCTTCTGGCCCATGATGTGTCTAGAAATGTCATCTAGGAACTAGGGCCTAGAATGGGGGTCTTACAACTCTGACTAGTGCCACTCTGACTAGTGCCTATGGTGTCTGAGCTGGTATCCAAAATGCAAAACAAAGTCCTCTTTACTCTTTTCTCTCCTCGTCTCAAGAGGAAGGAAGATGTCTCTTTTGGAGCTGCAAGCTGTGCAGCCTGGGGTTGAGGAAGGGGTGGTGCAAGCACTCCCTTAGTAACCCCAGCTGGTGTCTCACTAGGTCACGTGTCCTCCCATTCCACTGGCTCTGAGTGCAGTTCAGCACTAGGAATTGCCTAGGAGTTGCATTCCTTGTGACCTAGACCACCTTTCAAGTTTATTTACTGCCTGAAGACACTTTAGCCCACAGTGGTGAGGCTTGCCAGAATTCAAGTTCAGACCACTGGGATGGACAATTCCCATCTTGCTAGGGCTAGTTTAATGCATTGGCAGGCATCAGCTGAGTTCAGCCTGGTTTTGCTTCCTGCTATGACAGAGCACCACTGAGCTCAATGCATTGTCTCACCATTGCTGTAATCTCCCTCTCCCAAGAGCACAGATTATCTTTCTGCACCATATGGCCACTGCCAGGGAATGAGAGAGGAATGGTCAATGATTCAAAACTGTCTTCTATCCTCCTCAGTGCCTCTTTCAGCTATTTGAAGTTAAAATCAGGTACTGTGAGTGCTCACCTGACTTTGGTTCTATGAAGATGATTTTTTGTGTAGACAGTTGTTAAATTGGTGTCCTTGGAGGCGGGATAATTGGTGGAGCCTTCTATTAGGCCATCTTGCTCTGCCCTTCTCCCCAGTCATCCATTTTCTCAATATTTTACCTAGGAATTTCTTAACTTCCCTGGGCCACTAAATCTTCACTTATAAAATGGGCCTAATAGCTCTTTGCAAATAAGGTCATTTGAGGGATAAAATGAGATAACATATATAAAGTCCTAGCCTAGTGAGCACATAACAGATGATCAATAAATATTAGTTATTTTCCCTTCCTTCACTTTTTTTCTTTGCTTTAATATGTCCAGTGACAATAAGCTCATTACTTGCATATTGAGCCAATTAGAACAAAGTAACATTCATTTGCACCAATGTATAGTCCACAGTAGTTTCCAGCAAAGGTGCTGAAGCATATTTCCCAGATGTGCAACCAAAGTAGAATCAATGTGTGTAATTTATTTTTGCAACAACTGCACACATTATTAGGATGACTGTTAGATGCACTGTGCAATCATGAAAACTTAGCAGTGTACAGCCTGCCATGAGTAGAAAGTAAAACATTATCTCAACCATCACACTGAAGCCAAATAAATTTAAAAATTGGATCTTGGAAGAATGTTTCCCTTTGATAATATACGAGAAGGTTGTCAGAGAAACAAGCAGTTCTCACTGAGAAGTAACAGAGTACATAAAGTTGATCAAGCGATGTTATAAAAATTGTGGGGTTCTTTCACAGATACTATGTGTCACAGGCTGGGTTTCCCCAGGAAATTGACTCTAAGATGGAGATTAGTGTGCAGGAAATTTATTGGAGAATGTTCTCATAACTGGCAACTGTGAGGCAAAAAGAAAATAGAATTGTGAAGTAGGAACTGAACTGTGATGGAGACACCACAGAGTCCTCAGTTGATTCCCACTGTAGGGAGTGTGAGCATGGGTGCGATGGCCCTCCTCAGCTGAGGGCAATCAGCGGCTCAACTGAGAGCCATCCGCTGCCAACAATCCCAGCAACTGGGAGAATGAATGCCTTAGTCCTAAAGCGCGGAGGGGCAGGCGGGACACACATCATCCACTATAGTCCACCCCTCTGAGCTAACAGGATTCACTTGCTTTGTATATTAAATTCTGAGAACATCTCCTTCAAGATTCTGGTTGGCCTCTTTTCTTAGTAAAGAGTCATACTCCAATAGAGCCCATGGTTTTGAATTACTTTTTTTATCTCTAGGATAATTTCTTCATCAATATCCTAACTCTAGTTGGAGTGGTATCTGCATAGCCCTGTGTAGAAAAATCTCATTTGCCTGTATGACAAAACCAATAAGAAAGTAAAGGAAAATGTAGAGAGATGAAAAAAAAAAACAGGAAAAAAATAAGGTCCACAGAGAATGCATCTCTTTTAAGGTGTGTGCAGCTGAATAAAGGAAATGAGAACACAGAGAAAGAAAGAACACAGAGAAGGCCAATAGTAAAAGAAAAGAGAAGGTGGTCTCAGTGAGGATGAGGATTGGAATAGTGAGAGAGGAACTGATGGGCTGCAAGGAACATGCACTGGAAAGGGTTAGAGAAGGTGTGCACAAGTGTAAGGTCTGGTCATCCATTCCTGGGAGGGGTGAAATCAAATTACTAGGTTTGGACAATGTTTGTCTAAAATCTGGACTGTGCTAGAAGGGAGAGGTTGATTTGATGAGGGAAATGAATGGGGTCAGTCCTATGGATCATTGAGGGAAAATAGACAGATTGCTCTAGTCAATGGGATGAGGACCTCCTTGGCCATTTTCTGCCATACTCCATTCTCTTTCCAGACTGAGTCCTAGCCTAGATCTGGCATCATCTTTCCTGTTCTGCAATTTAGATCAACCTATACACTGAGCACTCATTTTATGCTTACTCTGTGCTCAAAATGGGCTGTTTCTGAGAAGCAGAGGAAAAGTTAAGCTATGATCTGTCCTCATGAATCTTATAGTAAATGTTTAAATACTTGAAGCAGTGACAGAATGCAATTCATCTGAAGTGTAGGTATAGAACAGAACTTCTGCTAGACCAGCACTGCTCAGAACAATGAAGAAGGCATAAGTTGGGAGGCAGGCCCTGAAAGAAGGGAAGGATTAGGCCAGATGAAGAGGAGTGGAGAGAAAATTTTCAAGATGAGGAAGGAACATGAGTGAAGTGTATAGTCTGTGGAAAGAAGTCAAGCGCACAGACAGCCCAACCTGTCTGGGTCAAAATATTCCCAAAGGTGCCTGCTCTGATTTTCTGAGCCCTTTAGTCACCTCTCTCTTCCTGCACTCGGACAGCTCTCAAATCCTATTATTTACATATTTCCTGTTTGTGTCCTATTTTACTAACTAGGCTGCAAACTAGGCATGGAGTCATGTTTTGTATCACTAAAGTCTAAACCAATGTCCTTGAAATTATGGACTTCTAGATTTTGGTAGCAGGGGGCTTAAAACCCCTTTTCCAAGCCAGTGATTGTTTTTCTATGTTCCTGATTTAAAAGAAAAATCACTAAGTGCCCTGATGAAAACTGAATGCATCCAAAATATATTAAATTAGTCTGAAATCAATGTACGTATTACAACTGATTGCCAACCAGTCCCAGCTCCAAGACCCATATAAAACCTCCAAGAAGGCAAGGATGGTATGAACTTTACTTTGATAGTGGAGCCCTCTAAGCAAGTAGATGATGTAGATCAGGCAATAAGTCTAAGCCGTTACAGGGTTCGGGTGGCACTCGGATGGCCCTCCTATTGTGTGTAGAGTAGACAAGAGACTTTCTTCAGAAATAGGCTCACATGACCCTCTCATTCTGCTTAGAACAAGTATAATTTTGTGAGGGACTCAGAGAGGAGTCTCTGGAGACTTCTCTGCCATCCTTGGGTGGTGACTTCCATGGTTGAGCAGGGAGCAAGTACAGAATATTCACTTCGAACACATGCTTTTACAACCAATACAATCTAAATATTTCCCACTTTAATACTACTCCCATCTGGTGCACACTTTAAATACAAGTTCAGTATCTTTATCAGTAGAGGTTATCACATTGCCTATCCCAGGGGTCAGCACCTTTGGGGAACATATGGTTTCTGTAACAGCTGTGCAAACATACAACTACTCAACTCTGCTGCTGTAGTGTGAAAGCAGCCATACGCAAAACAAAAAGGAATTATGACTGTGTTCCATTAAACTTTATTTATAAAAACAGGTGGTAGGCTAGATTTGGCTTGAGGACAATGGTTTGCCAATCCCTTCCTTAAACAACTCTAAAATAGAGGTTTTCAACCTGTAGAATGGAAGTGTTGAGACCTCCAAGGTCCTTGAAAATCTGACCCTCATTAGAATGGCAATCATTAAAAAGTCAGGAAATAACAGGTGCTGGAGAGGATGTGGAGAAATAGGAACACTTTTACACTGTTGGTGGGACTGTAAACTAGTTCAACCATTGTGGAAGTCAGTGTGGCGATTCCTCAGGGATCTAGAACTAGAAATACCATTTGACCCAGCCATCCCATTACTGGGTATATACCCAAAGGACTATAAATCATGCTGCTATAAAGACACATGCACATGTATGTTTATTGAGGCATTATTCACAATAGCAAAGACTTGGAACCAACCCAAATGTCCAACACTGATAGACTGGATTAAGAAAATGTGGCACATATACACCATGGAATACTATGCAGCCATAAAAAATGATGAGTTCATGTCCTTTGTAGGGACATGGATGAAACTGGAAATCATCATTCTCAGTAAACTATCGCAAGAACAAAAAACCAAACACCGCATATTCTCACTCATAGGTGGGAATTGAACAATGAGAACACATGGACACAGGAAGGGGAACATCACACTCTGGGGACTGTTGTGGGGTGGGGGGAGGGGGGAGGAATAGCATTGGGAGATATACCTAATGCTAGATGACGAGTTAGTGGGTGCAGCGCAGCAGCATGGCACATGTATACATATATAACTAACCTGCACATTGTGCACATGTACCCTAAAACTTAAAGTATAATAATAATGAAAAAAAAGAAAAAAGAAAATCTGACCCTCTATGGCGCTAAGTCTCCCAACTTGCTAATGAGGCTATGTCAGAGCACATGAATAAACAAAAGAGGCAAAGCTCACTAATAAACAATTGCTTGAACCCAGGAGTTCAAGACCAGCCTGGATAACATAATGAGACCCTGTTTCTATGAAAAAATTTAAAAATTAGCCAGGTACGGTAGCATACACCTGTAGTCCCAGCTACTCGGGAGGCTGAGGTGGGAGGATCACTTAAGCTCGGGAGGTTGAGGCTACATTGAGTTATGATTGCACCACTGCACTCCAGCTCAGGTGACAGGATGAGACCCTGTCTCAAAAAGCAAAAGCAAACAAACAAAACCCAAACAAATAATAATAATTATAAGCATTGAATTTTGACTACAAAAATAAATGAGCTTCCAGCATCCACATATTGAAAAATCAGAAAATGCCACATACCCCCATCTCTCCCTTCTATGGAATTGGGCAGCTGAAGTATTTATGGCCATTATATGAGATGTCAGCTGTGGGTTAATTGATATGCCCAAAAGGAGCAAGGAAAAATAAATCCAACTACTATTCAGAGTATGTTAGTTGATAAACACAGAGACACAATTTATTAATTCCTAGGGAGAATGACATTGGTCAGCCCATATATTGTCATGTAAAATTATTATTCCTGCTCAATAATTCAGTAAAGTTGGAATACTAATGTTAGAGAGACACATGTTATGTTGAAAGAAAGGCACCTGTTTCCCTTACCTGCCTTTATGATTTCAAACTAAGCAATCAATACAAACTTCTCCCACTCAAATCTCTGAACACCCATCTGGTTCTCCAAAAATATTAAATGACTACAGGGTTTGCCACTTGAAACTGAAAAATCTTCCTTCCCCGTAAAGGGAAGCTCAATCCTCATTCAAAAAAGTGAATCAGATTTCCTACCAGCATGACAATTCCCCCTCTCTGGCTTAGTAAAATTTTATAAAATGTACAATATGGACTTTAGCTTATTGTGATTTAAATTCATGCAAGCAAACTTAAAATAATATTTCATCTTAAGCTTTGACTAAGTTGCTACTAATTAACACAAAATGGTACTGGAAATCTAGAGAGCAACATATCACATCTAGGTATCCTGCCACCAAATGGAGCCAATATATTAACAATATTATGATAAATGGCTTCAAAATTATGAATGGTCTGATTCACCGTTCGTGTCATGCTATGACAGGTGTCTTTAGTTTCCATACACAGTAATAACCAAATGGTGGTTGTTCCTGAGACCAATAAATATGACAGCAGAGGTGTTATTATTCATAAAATCATGTGCTCTTTCCAATGTACTTTTCATCCCATGGTTGAGTGACACCAGGACAAAAATGTATAAAAGAAAAAGCTGACTTCAGCTTCCCCCAATTCCACTTTTGGTGCTTTCTATCTCCATGTCATGGCTTATGGAGATCAAGTCAAGCCCCTTCAAACTGGGTCTCAGATACCCAAGTCAGATCAATACCCAGGCCTGGCCTCCCCAAGTGGTGGCTATGTATGAAGTCTCCCAATTTCTAGGCTGATAGAACCTTATTCCAATTTTGTGCCCATTCTTGGCTGGAGACTGAATGGCAGAGGTTCCACATGCCTATGCAGCTGACCCCCAATAAAAACTCTGGACACCAACGCTCGAGTGAGATTTCCTGATTGGCAAAACTTTGCACAAGTTGTCACATATCGTTGCTGGGAAAATTAAAGGCTGTCCAGCAACTCCACTGGGAGAGAACAACTCTTCTCTCATGGCCTCAGTCTTATTCACTTTTTGCCTTTGCTGATTTTAAATTGTATGTTTTTGCTGTAATAAACTGCAACATGAGTGTAACAACTTGCCTAGGTTCTTTGAGTCTTCTAGTGAGTCATCAAATCTGAGAGTAACCCTGGGGACAACCAATAAAAAGACAGTGACATAGAGAGAAATTGTCATGAACCTCCAACCATGTATTTCTAATTTTAAACTCCAGTCCTACAATTTTTAGAAGTACAACCATAGAAAAGTGACTGAATGCCATTGAATTCCAGTTTCCTCATGTGCGACCAAGGTGATAATACCTGTATCATAGAGTTGCATGAAGTAAATAAGTTTGCAACTAAAGCACCTAGCACAATGCCTGGTACATCATAGGTACACAATATGTGTTACTTCCTTTCTCCCAATTTTAAACTAAGTATTATGTTGATTCTTATTCAGTTTTAGCAGGAATTGGGATGGGGGAACCTCTTTCCGACCTCGTAACTCAGACTAAGAAAAAGTAAATGTTCCTAAAGCTGATCAAAGTTTAAAAGGCTCCTTTTTAAAGATCTAGTCAAAAACTTTGGACTTAGCTGATTCTACTGCTAGTGAAATGTCTGTGCTGTCCCCATCAATAAAGGTTTGTATACAACTGAGGTAAGCCAGACACTGGGACTATAGTGGTAAGTAAGACAACCAACGGCCCTGCTGTCATAGAGACCAAATAAATAAATATAAAATAAATGAGTTTGCTGCAGATAGTTAGAAAGGTTATGAGGATGATAAAGTAAGGGAATGGGATACAGAATGTCTGGGTGGGGCTGGCATCATCTATGCTGTGGTAAGGGAGGGTCTCTGAGAAGGCAGCATCAGGGCTGAGGCTGAGGCTAGGTGATAAGAATCTATCTGTGTGGAAAGCTTGGGAGGTTCTTTCCAGGCTGAGGGATCAGCATGTTCAAAGGCCCTAAGGTGAGAATGAACTTGGCAGATGAAAGGAGCTGGAGCATAAGCACCTCGGGGATGGCTGGCTGGAGGGGAGGTCAGGGGCTGCGCAAGGGCAAGACTGTGAGGATTTGTGGGGCGTGGAGGCGTCAGCGTTTACCCACATTCAGTGGGAAGCTGTAGAGAAGTTTTAAGCAAGGACTTGGCCTAATCTGAAATCATTATTTTAACATTTTAAAATAATCCCTGTTGACTAATGGCAATGACATTAAATACTAGATTTGGAAGGAAACTAAAAGATCCCTTATCCCTAAATGCCTCATTTTAAGGATAAGAAATTGGAAACACAGAAAGGAGAAATTGTTCAAAGTTACCCATGAGGTTAAGAGAAGCAGCAGAGCCAAGACTCAGACCTCTGATCTCTCGGCTTATAGGGTCTCTGCAACTGCCAATCACCACCCAAGTCCTCAGTGCTGTGTTGGCTGCAAAAGAATGAGACTGAACATATCCTGGGCTGTTGACTCACACATCTGTTCTAATATTTCTCATGTCTTATGCTCATGAAAACACCAGTGTCTGTGACTAAGATATCATTCCCAAAGATGCCAGTACTGAAGGTGCCGAAAGGGTTCTGCAAAAATGGAGAAAATGATCTATTTTCAATTCCATGCCACATTTGTTCTCCTAGGTCCCAAAGGGAAATTGCTTGAGGCTGTAGTCTTACAGAGTCCCCATTACAATAACTCCCTTGTGATCTCCCCTAACCCTCTGCTACCTAGTCTCTCTCTTTCCCATCCCTCCTGCATCAGCCCACAAATAAATACCCTTTTGCCAAAAAATAACAACGAACCAAAAGTCATTCATTTCAAATCATACACTTCGTTCAAATCAAGCCTGCTATGATCCCAGCCAGGCCTCCCTCCTAAATGAGTTGAGGGAAGCAAGGCTGCCCAGACTAAAGTTGCATGTCCCCTCAAAGCCTTCCCTGCAAGGCTTTAACAAGTGAAAATTTGCTTTTTAGGAAAGTATCATTCCTGCAAAGCCTTGTATTTCTGTGTGACTTGAACAATGCCAGTACTATACTGCCCATAGAATGGTAGAGAAGGGATTTATTGCTCAAACGGCTTCTTGATAACTCATTGGCCTCAGCAGAGATATCCATAATTTATGGAGGAAGTGATCAATCACTAGAAAATACATCCTGCCCATTAAAGGAAGCTGTCAGCCTCCTGCCAGCCCATCTCACTGGACTGGAGAGTCTGAGCCAAGGGCACTTGGGACAGCCTCTTTCTGGCATTGGTTTTCAGGGAACAGAAAGAAATTTTGTCATTGACTCAAAAGCTCTAAGGCCTAAAAAGGAGCTGAGTTTTGGAAAATAGATTCACATAGGGGAAAATAGGAGGACAAGAGAGATCTGTCTTAAAGGGAGAAGCTTTCAACTATTCCTGCAGTAGATGGGGGTGCACGCATGAATCCATGAGTCTTCTATCTGTGGCCAGAAATAAGATTTGGAGATTAAAGGCTGGTGGTCAAGCTGGGGTTTTGGAAACATAGAGTGAGCAGCTGCTTAGCTATTCCACTTGCAAAATAAGAGGAAAGGCAGGATCGAGAGTGAAGCAAAAACAGGAGAGCAAGTGAAAGACAGATGCAACCAAAGAAGAAAAAAGAAGGCAAATATTTACTAATCAAAGAAGCAAAGGGAGTGAGAGGAAGTTGCCTAGAATCATAATGTGTCTGTAATTGCTCATCAGATCAGCTAACTTGGCCCAAATCTAATGTCATTCTTATTTTCAAATGCTCATGAGCTCTAAGGGATACCTGTTTCCTCTCTCCTGTGAGTTCTGAAAATAGAAACGCCCAGACATTTCATGTCACACTGGTTTGAGCTCCTGCTAGTTCTTCTTACCACACAGAGGCAGCTCTGAGTCCACTGTTTCCTGACCCACAGGTTCTATCTGTGAGTTCCTTGCCCTCTGGAGCAACTGGAAGACATTTAGTTCTCCTGCTCCCACTGAGGCATTCCTACAAGGGCTTCTGTGGATGAAATTGAGAAGTAGCCCCAAGAATTTTTGTGTCTTTCCCTCAGGGCTCTCAAAAGAGAAAGCATCTTTCCTCCTGCCACCCCACTTTCGATCTACTCACAAAGACATCATTTATACCCAGATATCATTGGAATGTCCTCCTCTCTGTATTTTTACATTTCAGTTAGGATCAAGCCCTAAGTCTAAAGAATGAATTGCTAAGAGTGGAATATTAGTGACAGCCAGTCTTATGAGTAGGCTGGACCCAGTGAAAGCATCCTTGATACGGCCTTTAACACCCTAAAGGATGTGGCCTCTGCCCAGATCTCTGACATATTCTACTACTTGTGACACTCATCTCCCTGCTCAAACATACTACCATCCCATCAGACACAGGGCTTTTGCACACACTCTTCCTTCCATCTGGTACTTTCTTCTGCAGCTCTGCACATAGTCACCAGTCCAGCTTAGTCTTCACATCTCAGCCTCCCTGCCTCCTCAGATGAGGTCAGGCCTCCCTACTAGAGGTTCCCCAGCACCATACGCTACTCCTTCACAGCAAGTATGATTCATTCCTTCTTTGTCCTAAAGGTCCTCATGTCAGAACACATATGACAGTTTCCAGCTGTCCCAAGAGGACCGGTATGACCAGGCTATAATGGGAGGAGGGATAAGTAGGCCAGAGAGGCAAACTGGCCAGATTAGTCAGGTGCATGAAAGCTTCATTCAGGATTTTATTCTGAGCACAATCAGAAAACACAGGAGGATTTTACACAGGGGAGTGACATGATCTATATTGATCTATACTCTAATTGAGTACTCCAGCTACTGTTTGCAAATGGACATAGGTAGAAGGCAACTTTAGAAGATGTTGGAAGGCTACTGTTGTGCCAGGGATGTTTTGTGGAGGTACAGAGGGGTCAATGGATTCAGTGTATGTTCCACACAATACACTGATAGATTAAATGGACTCAGCAAATGACACCACACAATATACTGATAGATTAAATGTGGTTCTTGAGGGACAGAGAAGAACTAGGATTGGGCTTGGCTAATTAGTAAATGCAGTGTTGTTTATTGACATGAAAAAGATTGGAAAAAGTAGCCGAGGGGGAGAAGTCAATGTTGTTTTGATAAGTTAGAATTGAGATGTCTTTTAAATATCCAAGTGGAAATGTCAGGAAAGCAGATGGAATTGCTAGGAAACGTTAGGGCTGGAAAAAGATATTGGGCAATGATAGACCTATGGAGAGGTTTGCCAGAGTCAGTGTTGCTCTTTGAGTACAATGGAATGAGGGGCTGACATCCATGAGGTTTGCAAGTGAGTGAACAGAAAGAACCAAGGAACCTACATGGGTGAGAAGAAAAAGAAAGACCTGAGCATAGTGAGAATACAGAAAAGTAATAGGGTAGAGGATTGAAAGTCACAACGAGGCTGTGTAATTTCTAAAGTGGGAGATCTAGAGTGAGTGAGATGGAAGGATATGAGGTGGTGCTCAGAGCAGAGACCTCTGCTATAGACCAACCTCATTAGGCTAGTTTACCCATTCCAAATCCTAAAACTTCGCTATGCTGGCATCCTTGCTCTGCTCCAAAATACCCTCCCTCCTTTTTAGGTATTAATCTATCCATGGATGTTGTCACACACTCTGTAACTTTAAACCAGCTTGATGTGTCTGAAGGCTGCACATAGGTTGACCACTCAATGGAGGTTGAAACGGTTTCAAAGCCATTTGTGGACACCTTCCTGAATCACTTCCTGTTGGCTGTTGCGCTGCTTGGTTTATGACCTGGTTGAACTCTGCTCAGCTCTTATGCTCTTTGCTCTAGTCTAGAGTCTTGGCTCCATCATCCATGCAAGATCATGCTCCCTGCTCTGCATTCTCTTGCATGGTGATGGCTGCCAGTTACTTTCTTGGAACTAAACCTCTGGCCAACATGGGACCCAGCTTGGTCTGCCTGCTTCTCCATGAGGGAAAGGATTAGAAAAGACCCACAGCTTCCTTCGTGATCCCCTTCCCAGAACGCCTTCTCTAGCAGACGCATCTCCATGCTGGCAAGCTCCTCCTCCCGTTTTCTTTCTACACTTGAGAATGTGTTCCCATCAGTTTTGTAAACACGTTTCTTCTGGCACATTTTAATTGTTTGTTGGAATGTTGTTGCACTCCTTATTTCTGTTTTTTAATTTTTGACATGTTTTTATGGAATTTTATATCCTTTTTGTTGCTCATTTTTATATGAAATTTGGTTATTTTCCTTCCTATCTTCATGGCTCTAGAGCTCCCTCTTCTGCTCTTCTTGTGAAGTGTTCATGATATGTTTTCCTTCCTGACAATCTCCTAGCTCTGGACTCCTCCCCTCCTTTCATGTAAACTTTGTTTTTTCTTTATCTCTATTGACCCCGTACTGCTCACTTTGAATCTTACTCCAAGCAGTTCCTACTCACTGTGGAGCTTTGTCTTAAAAGGGAGTTTTGTCTGGTTAGTTTAAAGCATTCGCAAGGTCCAGACTCTCAGGCCCCTTCAGATCTGACCACTTGCACACACTGCTAGCAGAGTCTGCAAAATTCTGAGTTTGGCAGTTGCTCTCAGGTTGGCCCTCTGAGGTTTCCAGTGAAAACCTGTCTGATTGACTGGGGGACTGTGACATACATTAGATACCCCATTGTTTTCCTTTGCTTTCACCAGTACAGCTTTGATACCATTCAGGTCTTGAAGGATCAGTGGTTTGTCCCTACCTACTCATATTTAGCTTTCATGGAGATACCTTATCAATTATTGTAAATGTTTATCATAGATTTGGGGGGCTTGGGATTTTTCTATCTAATTGCTCTGTTTAATTTTATGATGGTACTTGGAGAAATTAAATTTCTCAAACATTGTAAGTGGTAGACGTCAGATATAAATCCAGTCATTTTGCCTATGAAGTCCATACTACTAACCACTCTGCAAGGCTGCATCTAAGTGTCATTAGCTGTCAGAAGAATAAGTAGAAATTAAACAAATGAAAAATAGAAATAGACCAGTTCTAGGTTAAGAGAAAGGGATAGACAAAGGCCCTGGGGCTTCTGTGCTTTAGAGAAATGGAAAAAAGCCAGCTACAGCTTTGTGAGACATGGGAGCAAATCATGAAAGGATGCATGAAAAGGAAGCCAAAGCAGATAATTCAGGACACTGCAAGCCAGGGACAGGATTATTTTATCTTACATGCAATGCAAAGCCATCAGAAAAGCTGTAATGTGCATGCAATATTTCAAGAGAGCTCAGAAGAGGGATCACTTTGCTTCACTTAAAGAACTAAATTAGGCCTATAATCCCAGAACTTTGGGAGGCTGAGGCAGGCCTCGAGGTCAGCAGTTTAAGAAGAGCCTGGCGAACATGGCAAAACCTCGTCTCTACTACAAATACAAAAATTAGCTGGGCGTGGTGGTACACGCCTGTAATCCCAGCTACTTGGGAGGCTGAGGCACCAGAATTGCTTGAACCCAGGAGGTGGAGGTTGCAGTAAGCCGAGATCACGCCACTGCACTCCAGCCTGGGTGACACAACAAGACTGTCTCAAAAATAATAATAATTAAATTACATATCTCTGGAACTAAAGAATGATTTGACCACAGACAAGATGGGCAAATGGCGTGGTATAGTGCACTCATGGCCCACTAGGAAGTGAACCAAGACAGGAGTGAAGATGGTACCTGGGGGGAAAGTCATGAGATAGGAGGCTGGAGAACATGGATACTCAGGGCCAGATTGAGATGGCCCTGGGCAGTCCTTTCTTAAGGCATTCCTGGGAGCAATGGCCTTCCTCCACATCAGTTGCTACTGGAAGAAATGCAGAGATAGAGCCACGGAGCCTGTGTCATAATCAGAACTTAAAAAAGCTGCTACTTCAGATTGAATAGAGCTGCACATTTTTACAATTTTCACAATTTTTACAATTTTCAGAGCTCTACATCAGAAGGTCAGCCACATTCACCTGTCAAGATATTTTGGGCAGTAATGACTCCCCTTTCTTGCTATTCTTATCAGTTGCCTTTTGTTATAGTCACTGGGGCTTTGTGAGCTAGCTTTCTCATAAGTCTTCTGTATAATGTAGTATTCGGCACTTTTCCTATTCTCATTCAAACTTCAGCAAAAATATCAGGGAAAATGGGGGAAAGGATGATGCCTGCAACTTGAGTATTATTTTTATCTACATCACATGGAGTGAAGTTGCTTAAACGCTGTAGAACTATGACATAGTTCTGGGATTTCATATATTCAATATGTACATAAAGCAGGACCACTTTTCTATACTTTAGTGACCATTTTACTTCTAGCGCTGCTTTAGGCTTCCATTTAAAATTCTGATTCTTAATCTAAGTTTGAAATCATTGGGAATTATTTGTGGAAAGGCCAGTGGATGGTGAGGCATTAGGCCAAAGGGAGGTCAGGACCCGTTGAGTCTGCTAAGGGCAAGGATGTATGTAAGAGCACAGGTGTGAGCCATTAGCAGCCAGCACCTGCAGCAGCTGAGGCCTAAGTGTATCAGCCTGGTCGAGGGAATCTGGGTGGGGTACGGGAAGCATCTGCTCTGTGGGGCTTGGATGGGACAACATCCCTAATATTTCTCACAATGCCTTTTCTCTACTCAGTAACCCCACGATCTTTTCAGAAGTGTTAACAAAGCCTGTGACTTTTATTTGCTCTGATACTGTTTCTTGATGGCAGTGCTCTGAATGGGGTCTCAGTCCTAAGGCTGTGGTCTAATGGCCATGCCTTTGAGACAGTAGCAGTTTCATTTTCCAACCACGAAAGTCCAGAATCTCTGGAATCTCTATATTCATCTGAAACTGTTCATAAACCTTCTTTCCTGGAGCTAATCCCTTTCTTGTACTACTTTATCAAATGTACATGTAGCGACTGGCTCATACTTTCAAATTCTGCTTCCAACTGACTAACCTGATGCTCAAGTTCATTTAGAACACTTTCTGTTTTCCATATTCCACAGGCAATAGTTTCACAAAATGTTTGCCAGCACATGAATTACCATTCTCCCAACATCCTATAACAGTCTCTTCACTGCCATCTATCCACCAAGAGGCAATGCAAATACTATGGATATATAATTCTTTGGGACCAACAGTAGTAATTACCACAGTCTATTGCCCAAGCTGGACAAATGGGAATTCTTTTGATGGGGATAGACATCAGAAGTTACCTCTGTGGATGTGATCTGGATAGCTGTGGCATAGCCCCTTCTACCATGTGACTACCGGCAAAGAGAGCCCATCTGTAGACATAGAGAAATAAAGCAGGTGAACAGAACAAAGCAGACATGTGAGAGGCACAGAGAGGCTTCCCTGGATTCTTGGTACCTGACAATTTTCCCTTTTCTGGAAGGGTTCCAGCTCCTTCCATCTCAACTTCAGCAATAATAATGGAAACTTGAAAAGGCTCTCAGAAGACCATCTCCTTCAGGAGCCTCCCATACTCTAAAAAATGAGGCAGCATTTCTCTCCTATTGACTATCAGTCTGAATCCTTTGTAGAATCACTTGCATTAACATCCGCAGTAAATCCAAGTATGGGGGAGTGGAATTTCTTCTTGATTTTTTGTCATGTTTTAAATACAGCTTTGTTGTTGTTGTTGTTGTTTTTAATAGAGTTCAGGAGTAGAAACTTTGGAATCAGAAAGATTTGAATTTGAATCTGATATAAACAACTTGCTTTTGGTGTATCTTATAATTTTAGGCAATGTACTCAACCTTAGGCATTTTTTTTTTTTTTTAGATGGAGTCTTGCTCTTGTCGCCCAGGCTGGAGTGCAATGGCATGATCTCAGCTCACCGCAACCTCCGCCTCCTGAGTTCAGGCGATTCTCCTGCCTCAGCCTCCTGAGTAGCTGGGATTACAGGTGCCCACCACCATGCCTGGCTAATTTTTGTATTTTTAGTAGAAACGGGTTTTGTATTTTTAGTAGAGACGGGGTTGGCCAGGCTGGCCTGGAGCTCCTGACCTCACGATACACCCACCTCGGCCTCCCAAAGTACTGGGATTACAGGCGTGAGCTGCCATGCCTGGCCACCTTAGGCAATTTATTTAACCTTCCTAGTCCTCATTTTTCTCATCTACCAAGTGAAGATTATAATATCTACCTTGGAGTTGTGAAAATCATAAGATAATGTCTACCAAGTGCTTAGCACTACTCTATGCTTACTGTATAGATTAAGTCCTTTTTTTTTTTTTTTTGCTTTCCTGCTGTTTTCCCTTCTTCTTGCCTTGTGTAATAGCTTTGCACACAGTAACCCCATGCATGAGACTTCTTTTCATGAAGGGGATCATGTCATAATTATTCCAACTTCTAATGATCTTTACATTAGTCATGTCCAAATTCCCCATTGGACTAGAAAAGTTCCATTCTTCTGTTAGCATTTGAGGTTTGTGTGTTATGTCTCCCTAGAATGTTAGAGCCAATAAGGGCCTTCAAGTTGGTCCATTTATTGTAATCTTTTCATTTTATAGATGAAGAAACAGTGATCACAAAAGTTAAGATGACTCGTTCAAGGTCATTTGGCCAGGTAGTAGCAAAGCACAGATTAACATCTATTTCAGTCCTTCTTCTAATTTGTTATTCTACATAACAGCTGAAATTGAAGATACCACAATTTTCTCATGGTTGGCTTCCTGCTAAATTTTTAGTTTAAAAATTTTAGTTGGGTTTTAGTTTAATTCCTTCTCCCACTTCATCTTGGCTCTAGACTATGCACTTAAGTCTTTAAATCAGAGGATAATGGAACAGGCATGATTATGGATTATTTCAGGAAGGAGCAAGAACAAAGTAATTCCATGGAAGCCAAAAATCTTTAAAAAGCTTTGCAGAGTTCAGTAAGGAAATACAGGCACTATCTCAGACCACCCATATGGCCCAACATCCAGGAACACCCAGCAGGAGGCCAACAGCATGACCCAGAAAGGAGGCCAATGAAAGTACACAGTAGGAAATGAAGCTGGACCACCTGCATCATCAATAACCAATGTTCACTCAAACAATTGTAGCATTGTTTGAACATTGAGAGAAGAAGAAAAAGTAAGGAAAATTCTACAATTGTAGTTGATTCCAAGAAAAGCACGCTATGGTTTCTGATGTCTGCAACAAGTAGCCAGGTGTGAAAATGCAGAGCTATTCAGTTAGGAGGTTAGCATTAGGACCAGACGATATCAGGAGGGATTGGTAGGGTGGACCTGATGACTTCTACATGTGTGACTTGAATAAAGAGCAAGACTATTTTCAAATGTAAGATTTGTACAGAAACCATATCTGTACCATGCACTGAGGTGGCCAAGACAGTGCCAGAGGATGGACCACAGTCTCCCTAATCTAACTGCAAAGACACACTCATGATACTGACCACCAGAAGCAGTGAAACATCACTGCCAGGTGAGACAGCAAGAGCTGCTAGCAAACAGGCAGCAAGAGCAGGAGGAATCCTACTGAGCCCCTGCCCCCGCCGCCACCCCGGGATGGGAGTGAAGGACTTTAAAGGTAATATCCTGAATCTCTCTCCCTCCCTAATCACCTCCTCTTGGGCCGATGTGTCTTAATATTGGTAGTGGTTCAGTTTGGGCCATTACAGTATCAGCTGCTACTGACCTCTTCATTCCTACACAGGACTTACAGAAAAGTTGGGAGGCTGAACTCCTGCATCTGTGCTGCCTTCTTGTGTCCCCAACACCAGCCAAGGCTGTGTGGGAAGCTCCTCACCAACTCAACCTTAACATAACACGATGATGATGGTGTCATGGTCCTGCTTGGACACTTTTCATGCCCCATGTCTTCCTCTCAGGGCCCTTAATACTATTGACTCCCATTTCTCCAAATCTTCATGGCTCCTTTCCCTAACAAGGCTTCTGAAGAGTCTCCTTTCTTCCAAAATTACTAGTGTATTAGTGTGTCTTAGTGACTTTGAAACCACCAGGCTTCCTGTTCACCAGTAAAAGGAACTGGTACCTTTGGATGATACGGTTTCTGGATAATGGCTAATTTGTGCTTATCCATGGAACACCACTGAGTGTCTTCACCCTCCTTATCCACATTTAACTGGACCTAAATATCCCAGTGAGCTATCCACTATATAAGAAAAATTTAAAAAAGATATTCTAAGAGCCTTTTAATTTTCCCAAGACATATGCTACCATTGTTATCCTTAAGTATTATTGTAAACATTATTTAACAATGCACCAGCTGCTGTGAAGAAACAAAGAGAAACAAAGATGTCTTTACTTCTCAGTGGGTTAACAATTTCAATGAGAAAAAAAAAACTTATGTAAATATATGGATATATACTATGAAGTCAGGGAAAGCACACAAAATACCCAGGAGATTGAGAATTCATTTGTAAAGATGTTTTAACAGCATGAAGGGGTGTATATTTCTAATTATGTGTTTAATAAACCCAGGAATCCACCAGAAGATACCTGTGACACCCTTAGAGTATTGCTTTGATGACTTAAACTGGCAAAGAACTAGTTTCCCATTTGAAAAGGCTTCCTTTAATCCATTTAAACAAGAGATGTTAATTGTTCAAATCACTTTGAACAACTACCACCACACTGCGTCCTGTCATTCCCTGGCTATTCCTGGAGGGGTTGCACCCTGCTATAAACAGACCTTTTTCTGAGCATGTGCAGTAAGCTACACTGCCTTTTTTTCCTACAGAAAGGCATAAGTTTCCAGTATGCACCAAACACTAACAGGCTCTGGGGATACAGACAAGCAAAGCAGACCAGGTATCTGTCCTCCCAGAGTTTACAGTCCAGGGAAGTGGATACCCTTACCTGTGTACCATGAGATTATGTGTTTAATTACACCTTCTCTAGAGGCCACGTCCTGTGAGAGCTCGCAACAGTGGCCTGACCTAGTCTGGGAGCAAGGTGGTCAGAGAAGCTTTCCCTGAAGATGGGATAATTAAGATGGTATGAGAGGTAAGTGGGGATTAATCAGGGAAATAGCAGGGGGTGAGAAGCCAGCAGCATACGGGGGGCCCTGAAGCGTAAAGAGGCTGACATTTTCAAGGAAATGGATGTTGGTCAGTGTGGCCAGAATGCAAGCAAGACTGGCCAGATGTGGGGCCAGAGAGTACAAGGACCCAGTCAGGCAGCATCCTATGGTTCACGTGGACGATTGTGAATTTTATTCCAAGAGCAAAGGCAAGTCATTGAAAGCAGTTAAACAGTTGGCTTTGGGGTCCAGTAACAATAGAAAGCAGAGCAGAGCTCAAATGTTTAAAGCATGCTTACCTTTGGCTGATATCAACAATTCTTTGAATATCTCTCCTCTTTGTGGGTATCTTTTTGTAAGGGAACCCTAAGAATGCCATGTGTTACTTCCCTTGTCTTTCCAGCATCTATCTGGAATCTCTACTCTTGACTGCCCTCAGAGGTACAATGGAGATGACACTGGTTCTGTTTGGGCTCTGGAGCCCTCTTGTATGCTGTGGGCCTGCCCTCTTGTGTTTCCTTCAGAAATCTATTACTTTGTAAGCCAGCATTCAACAGCAGAGCAACACAGGAATGTCAACTAGAGGAGGGGATAGGTTGAGTCCATGGGAAAAGCACTGGCTAAGTCAAAATGAAGCAGAGAGTTAGGCTATCTTCCTCACCCTCACTCCCCAGTCCTCCCATGACTGATGTTAAAAACTTGGGTTGTGCAGGCTAACATGGATAGCTATGGAATTTTGAAATGGAGTAAATATCAATTTGAAGTTAGCAACTGGAAAATTGATCAAATCCATACAGATTAATGAAGTAAGCATCCTGAGGCACACTTCAGCTTAGAGGGAGCTCAAAATTAGGAAGGAGATTCGCTGTTAATCCTGGGCTGCTGCTGCCTCTTCAGACCCACTCTGAGAGCCATTTTCCCCCAACTAGCCCTTTACTATCACAGGTCCTGCCTCCTCCGCCTCCTCCCACCAACCAACAACTGCTCCTACCTGCCCAGTCCATCTCCTAACTACTTTCTTCTCCCTTTTTTTATTCTTACTGATTTATTTATAGACGTGAAATTAAATAGAGGAAAATGTATTAAGAAATTGTATACAATAATATGATCTCAAGAACATCCTAAGAGTCAGCTCCATCGCATGGTAGAATGAACGCCCAAGAGAATTAAGAAGAGGACAATTACCTAAATTATTTGAGAATCAACTGGACAAAGTCTCCAAGGATGTGCTGGCAAAAAGGCCCTAGTCTCAACTGCATTGGAATGAAGAAAATGTACTAATAGAACTTTTATCTCCTCATCTCACTTTTTCTTTAGGCTGAATTCTTTAACTCATGCTGAAATCAGCTATATCCATAGACAGCAAGACTCACTGCTTTCCTGTGGCCAAATTCATCAGAAACTAGAACAAAAGCAGGGGAGGGGATATTAAAGAATCCTTCCTTCAACTATCAAGAAGGAAGTTCCATGGGAGAAAAATCAGTGTAGGACTCTCAGCTTTTATCCTAGTCCTGCTCTTTATTCTGTGATCAAAGGATAAATTTTCTGGAAACAGGAAAAATTGCCATGTTCTACAAGCTTCCTGCATATAAATTTTGTCCACCAAGTAAAGCTCTTTCCCCTAAACAGCACCTGTTTTCCCATTATGTGTTTATGGCAATTTCTCTGAAGTCCATTTTTTTTTTATATAAATCCTTGTAGAACATTGTAGAAATCTTATCAAGTTCAAAATATGTGAAATATAAGCATTATTACATTGAGGCAAATCAATGTCCTTAATACGTAGCACTCTAGAGTCTAAGGAAAAACATTGTGGTTTTCTATACTGACATTGTCAGATAAAAATATCCCTTGACTTTACTCAAAACTTCATTGAAAAAAACTACCATGGTTTAATAATCCAATGGTACTTCACATATAGAGCACTTCTACTTTATAAGCTCTTTCACAAGTATCCATTCTTTTGATCTTCAATTTGGGTATTATTAAGTTCATTTTACAAATGAAAGATCTAAAGCTCACAAAAGAAGAAATAATTTGCTCAGTGGCACAGAGTTACCAAGGGGCAGGCTAAAACACAATCTGGGATCTGACTCCAAAACCCTGGATTCTTCCTGTTCTACTAACCCGTACTCCTCAGGGCTTTTGGGAGCCTCTAGAAACATGTAGATGAAGAGTTTTATACGGTGAATACATCCTCTACACATGCCAGGCCAAAAAGCCACACGTTCAAATAGAGACAAAGTATTAATAAAAACATTATTTTAGTCAGTGGCCCAGATGAAAAAGTTTCTTGTCTACTTTCAAGCATTTTTCATGCATAGGGAAAAAAATCATGCAAATTAATTTGGACTTTGTCTCCCAGTTGAAGGAATTAAGGCTTCATCTGATTACTCGAAAACTGGGTCCATTCTTCCTGTTCTTTCTGCAGAGCCGTCTTCCCCCTAGCTTCCTTACCTCACTAGGCTAGAGTGCTTAAGGGTGTTTCCCTGGGCTTTGTGAAAATAGAGTGTTGGAGTATTAATAACTTACTGTTGATTAGAGAAGATCGAGCACTATAAATCCTCACAATGTCTTGAGCAGGCGCTCTCTGTCTTCTGCAGCTGACTGTTTCTCTTTGCCAATTACAAGAAACCATCAAAACCTGCAAAAAAATTGACCTTAAGGATGACAAAGAGTAAAGGAAATAACCTTGCAAACATAGAATTAATACCCTACAAACGGGGACCTCAGTAAAGAACTTAAAACTCATCACTGCCCCTTGAGGGTAGGCAGGACCTGACACTTGCTTCTAATCAATAGAATATAGCTAAGGTAATGAGACGCCACTCCTATGATTAGGTTGCATCATAGAATACTCGTCTTTCTAGCAGATACTCCTGGCTGGCTCAAAGAAAGGAACAGCCATGTTGCAAATGTCCATGTGGAAAGAAACTGCAAGTAGCCTGTAGGAACTGTGAGTGGCCTTTAGGCACTGCGGGCAGCCTCCAGCAGCTGACAGCAATCTCCAAATAACAGCCAGAAAGAAACTGGGGCCCTCAGTCCTACAACCATAAGAAAATGGATTTCATCAACAGAACAATGGAAAACTAATACATCATACAAAGGTACATTCACATAAAGAATTAATAATACCTGAGTGGGTGAGTTAGACATCAAATGGGTACACAGCTGTGTTTTCAACAATTTTTCTTAAGAGCTAAATGACCCTCGTTAGGTGGATTTTCCTCTCTACATCTTGGTTACTGCATCCTTAAGTGGGGTTAATACTACCTCACAGAGTTGCTGGAGGATTTGGATGACATAGTATGTATAAATCATGTATGTTTTCCCCCACAACCTAGGTTTATTTTCTGTTTTGGGGGGGTTTTCAAAGCAGCTATGCCCCCAAAGGTCAGTAATGATCGTATTTGCAAGTAATATCTTCATTAACTAAGCTTATGCTGAATAGTCCCCGACTCGATTTGTCTTAGACATCAGAGGTATAAAAATCGTGGAAAGCACCAGCACTATTCCCACCCCCACCCAAAATCCAAACTAAAATAACCCACCATTACCCTTCACAAAGTCTTGGGGGGAGAGGCAGTATATTAGTTTTCTGTTGCTTTGTAACACACTACACCAATTTAGAGGCTTAAAAACGACACCCATTTACTATCTTAACATTCCTGTGGGGCAGAAATCCAGGCATAGCTTAATTGGGTTCTCTGCTTAGTGACTCACAAGACTGCAATCAAGGTACTGGCCACACTGGTAAAAGAGCTTCCAAGCTCCTTCAGGCTGTTGAAAGAGTTCATTTTCCTGCAGTGTGGAATCGTGGGGACTTGCTTCTTCAAGGCGAGTTGGGGACAGTCTCTGATCTCAGGGAGAGACCCCAGTCCCTCTCTTAAGGGCTTCCACCAGGTTAATTCAGGTCTACTTAGAATAATCTCCTTTTTGATTAACTCAAAATGAACAGATTTCAGGTATTAATTACATTTTCAAAAATCCCTTAATTTTTGCTATGAGAATGCTTTTTCCACAGCCCTTTTTGCCAGAATATCTGTCTTCTCCAGTCCTGAACATAGACACTGATCAGTGCTTATAGGGTCAGGGGATCAAGACTGACGATGGGACTCTAGAGATTCTTTCCTCACTTTCACTTTTATATTGAACCCCTTGGGATTAAATAACTAAGTGTTCTAGACATACCTCCAGTGTTATATAATTCTCAACCTATCTAATACAGAGTCTAATACAACCTGTCCTCTATACAAAACCAGTCAATAGTGTACACAGTATTTGATGCTTTTATAATTTGGAAAGGTAATAAAATAAGGGAGATGAACTAAATCAAGTTTGCTGTAATTCACCCTCTAATATGCTTTGATTTCAAAATTCCAAATATTTTTGAGGACCCACCGTAAGTCTTTTTCATGGGTTTTTATAGGAAGTACATGTCCCTGGTTTAAAGATACTCTGGTGAGGTTCTCTTGCCCTGAGGAGGGGCTCTAAGAATGAGGCCCTTGCATAGGCAGTCTGGGAGAAGGGCAAAAGCAGAAGGGATTCTGTGAGTCTGGAAAGTTCCTCAGCACCTTCTTAACTCTGAGCGTAAGTGCTAGGGTGTACTGGGGCATGCCTGAGCTGCCAGAAGGAATATAGACACATCTACAGTCTTAATTTTGACAAACAAAACTGGTCAGTGAACTGGAAGAGTTAAGTATTAGTTAAGGGGAATCTGAAACTTCCTTCCCAGGTCAAAAATATCTTCACCACCCACCATATCTTTTATGCAACACATATGTCCTGAGTAGGCACTCTGGGCCAGGAGGGATTTCTACAGTGTACTAGACACAGGCATTACTTTCAATGACCCTGGTGATCCTCAGGGCAAAGAAAACTATAATTACCAGAAAGGTTAATATGTTGAACTTTATATATTGGAAAAATATGGCACCAAATCTGAACTCAGTGATTTACCAGCTGTATAACCTCAAGATAACTTGAGGTCAGGAGTTCAAGACCTGCCTGGCCAACATGGTGAAACCCCATCTCTACTAAAAATACAAAAATTAGCCGGGTGTGGTGGTACACACCTGTAATCCCAGCTACTTGGGAGGCTGAGGCAGGAGAATTGCTTGAAACTGGGATGTGGTGGTTGCAGTGAGCCAAGATCGCACCACTGCATTCCAGCCTGGGTATCAGAGTAACCCTGTCTCCAAAAAAATAAATAAAATAAAATGGGCATGTTATGTATAACATACAGGTAATAATTAAGTAGATTTACTAAGTCTCCTTAATTACTAGCTGGGCAATAATAGTACCCACTTTCTTGGAATGTTATGAAGATAAGGTATGTAAAGCATCTGACACAGAGCCTAGCATAGGAAACTTTATTTTCCCTTCCCAGTCACATGGCTTTTATTTCTGAAGATTCTTGTAGAGAGCAGGCCAATGAGAGGACAGAATCTAGGATGGGTATAATTAGAGATGGTGGGGACCTGCGAGGCCAGACCTAGGTGTGGATCTCAGTATAAGACATGTAGCATTCAGGGCTGTGCAAGAATTTGTTTGGCTGGAACAATGAAAGGAGGACTGAGGACCAACAAATTCAACCTCACCAGATATCACTGCAAGACTCTAGAACTAATGACAACTGGAGACCTTCTGAGACCTTGAGTGAGTTCAGCATGGGCCTTGGCAAGAGTCTCTGTATCCTGAAAGATGCAGTCCTGGCTCTGCGGGAAATTGTAAGACTCATCTTATTTTTCTTGGTGCTTTTCGTCTTTTTCAGAGGCTTTACTGCCTGGGAATAGGGCTGGCTTATGAATCCAGGAGTTAATGTTCTATATTTTCATGAAGCTGGGAATGCATTTTTCTTAGGGAAAACAGGTTGGCTTACCATAAAGGTATTATATTTCAAGGTAAAATGGAAATAGTATGATTCTTGGGATGCAATCCACAGGCAGAAACATCTCTAGGAGAAGGCAAGGTCTCACTGACTTCCTCTCTCTTTGCCTGACCCCCATACCACCCCAGGGAAAAGACCATTCTCCATCCTCTGATGACCTGTCACTTTTCTGGAGAGAGGAATATGTGACTGTCCAATTGAAACCCAACTGGGTTTGCACTTCTAACTCTCAGGTTATTTGATGCTGAATCATCAGGCCACAGAATCCTATAAGAATCTCAGCTTCTACCTACCTAGGGAAAAACATGGAGACAAACAGGGAAGAAGAGGAGTCAAATTATGTTTATTTCAAAGTAGAGGACATTATTATTTTATACCATCCAGGATCATTTCACCCTTCTTTGGATAAATCATGATCTAAATTTCCTTTGCTAGATTACCCCTCCCATACTCTCAGTCTATGAGTTTCATATAGCAGTGGCCTTAATCACCCTTCCAGGGTTGGGTACTGAATAGCCTAAATCAATGGTTCTCAAACATGGAAGCACGACAGTCAACTGAGTAGCTTTTAGAAAACGCTAATGCTTGTATCCCATCCCCAGATATTCTGTCATAATTCTGTCACAGTCATTAAATGTTTTTTAACTACTCTAGGTAACTATAATGTGAAGCCAGAATACAGAACCACTGGTTTACCTCCTCAGTGCATCCTATCCTCCTGGCTCTAGTGATTGCTTCAGAAATAGGAATTCAACATTACCTAACAGAGGGAAACCTGGACCCCAAACTTTTGTCTATTTGGAAGAGGAGGAAAGGAAGACAAAGTTCTCTTTTTCTGGCTAGATGTGAAACTAAAAAGATGTAAAGTTTGGAGATTCTGTAACCCCGAGGAGCATGAGAGGTGCACAGCCTGTGCAGAGAGAGGCAAAAAGATGGGTTCTGGTGAAAATGTTTTAAACTATACGTGAAGCCAACATCAATTCTGGACTTCGAAGCTCTCTGAGCCAGTACATTCTTTTTTTGGCTTCAGATGATTGGGATGGGAAGAGGGCTGTCTTTTGTTTTTTGTTACTTGGCAGCAGGAACTGTCCTAACCAAAACACTGCCACTGGCAAATTCATACCAAAAATCTAGTTTCCCAGGCTGGTCTCCACAGAAACATAGATCAGTCAGAGTTATGGATTTTTTTAGGGCTAGAATAGAACTCATCAAGTTTCTAGTATAAAACACTTATTTTACAGATTGGAAGACTTAAAGTCTACAGTGTTTTAGAAAAAGGCCCACTAGTAGGTGACAAGTTATATATCAGGATCCAATTTCTTGACTTGAAGTCAAATGACTTTATTCCACTACTATATACTTCTTTAATAATATATTAAGAATGTATTTGGCAGTCATTTTTTTCATTTTTAATATTTTTAATTGACATACTGTAATTGTACACATTTGTGGGGTATGATTTGATGTTTCAATACATATCTATGTTGTATAATGATCCAATCAGGGTAGTTGGTATATTCATTACCTCATGTATTCATCATTCATTTGTGGTAAGAACATTTAAAACACTCTCTTCTACCTATTTTGTAATAAACAATATTTTACTGTAAATTATAGTCACCCTACTATGCAATAGAACACCAGAATTTATTTCTCCTAATTGTAACTTTGTTCCCATTAAACAACCTCTCCCCTTACTCTTCTCCCCAGTCTCTAGTAAGCACTGTTCTACTCTCTGCTTCTGTGATAGCAACTTTTTTTAGGTTCCATGTATAAGTGAGATATATGGTATTTGTCTTTCTGTGTCTGGCTTATTTCAGGTTCTCCAGGTTCATCCATGATGTTACAAATGATCACATTTTATTCTTTTTTATGGGTGAATGGTATTCCATTATGTATGTATAACACATTTTCTTTATCCATTCATTCATTGTTGGACACTTAGGTTGATTCCATACCTTGGCTATTTTTGAAAAGTGCTGCAATAAACATGGGAGGGCTAGTATCGCTTCAACATACTGATTTCATTTCCTTTGGACATATACCCAGTATTGGAATCATATGGTAGATCATATGGTATTTCTATTTTTTATTTTTTGAGGAACCTCCATACTGTTTTCCACAATGGCTGTACCAATTTCTATTCCCACCAACGGTGTGTAAGCAGTTAGCTTTTCTCCATATCCTCACCAACACTTGTTTTCTTTTGTCTTTTTGATAACGTCCATTCTAACTGAAGTGAAGTGGTATCTCATTATGGTTTTAATGTGCATTTCCCTGAAGATTAGTTATGTTGAGCATTTTTTCATGTACCTATTGGTCATTTGTACGTCTTTTTCTGAGAGATGCCTATTAAGATCTTTTGTCCATTTTTTAATCAAGTTATTTGGTTTTTTGCTGTTGAGTTTTTAAGTTTCTAATATAGTCTGGATATTAACCTCTTGTCAGATGTGTAGTTTGCAATTATTTTCTCCCATTCCACAGGCTGTCTCTTCACTCTGTTAATAGTTTCCTTTATTGTGGAAAAGCTTTTCAGTTTGACATAATCCCATTTGTTTATTTTTGCTTCTGTTATCTATGCTTTAGAGGTCTTATTTTAAAAATCTTTGTCCAGCCTAATTAGTGATTTTTGAGAACCAACTATGTGCTCAGTCCTAGGGGTTCTTTACTGTAAATCAAAGAATGAATGAATGAGTGAATGAATTAATAAATAAATAAGTCAGCTTTCCAATTATTCATTTACCTAACCAATATTTCTAAGAACCTTCTATGTGGAAGAAACTACATTATAGAAGTAGTAGGCATGATTCTCATTTTCAAAGAGCTTATATTTAATACCATAAATGCAAGAGATAGCTACTGAATATCTGTTATGCATTCTCCAACCTAGTTGAAGACAGAAGATACGACCATAAGATTTGTGGTAAACCTTACAAACTTGGAGTAAAGCACAACCTCGGATTTAAATCCTGCTTCTTTCACCTATTACCATGTACTAACTTTTAACCTTGAATGACTGACTTAATTTCTTTAATTTCTCCATCTCTTCACCTTAAAATTTAGTTAATATGCGCCTTCACATGGCAAAGATTCAGTTAAATGCCGTACAGTTGAATTCTTAACACTGTGTTTGATTAGTATTAGTCAGTGAATGAACTAATTTGTTATCATTATGCATATGGCAAACTACATAATATAATCCATGGTTTAAATATCATACATAGTACCCTGAACTATATGAGACAACACAAAGCACTCTGTGGTAAGTGATGGATGTACAGCCTTCAGAGTTTGCAAACTGTCAGCTTGTGGGCTGAATCCAGTTGGCAACCATGTTTTGTATGATCCACTCAGGGCTTTTTAAAACATTCAAATTGTTTCTCAACACCTAAAACTCAGGTATTTTATATAAAAATCTAGATTTTTCTTCTCTCCTGACAACTCAGAAGATCTGACAGTCCTGGGGCTAGACTTCAGCATGGCAACAATTAGCTAGAGCTGAGAAGTGTCTGCCTGGTTCAGAAGGACCCACCTTAAACCTGTGTTGCAGACCCTACTTATTTGTATTTTCTGTCCAGCCCTTGTAGGCTTTAGAGTTTTGGAACTCAAATCATCACTTAACAAAGATATTCCTAGAATCCCTACATCCACTCTATGCTAACACATTTTTTCACACACACACACACATGCACACACAGTCTCCTTGGTCACATTTATTGGAAAATGCTTCATAATAACTCCTCAGCCACCTGAGGCCTCACAACTCACTTATGGTTCTAGAAACATTTCAAGGAATAAATCTGTCTAATTGTTTTAACCTAATATTTCCCAAATATATTTCACTGTAGAAAATGTTCTCCCAAAGAAGACTTGGTAACCCTATCTGCACCAGTGTTTTTTGGAAGACAGCCAGGAATTATTAGAATAAGTTTTAAAGGATTCTTTAAAACTTATGTGTGTTCATAAGAAAAGGAGGTTCATGAGATGTGGTGTATATCACAATCTCTGTCCATTGCATAGACCTATTCTCTAAACGAGGTTTTCAGGGTAAAGCTTATAGACAATCTGGGAATGAAGAGAGGTTGGGGAAACTGAATATATGAAAGATAGAAGACAAAGGAATATATTCTGGTCTCTAGTTTTAAAAAGAGGGCTTGGGGAATTAAGCCAAGTAAAATTTTGCAACCATTCCTTGAAGAGAAGCAACTTCAAGAGAATAACACTAGAGAAAGCAAAAATCACTGCCAGCCCTGGCATAGAACCTCAGTGTTGATCTGCTGTTTCGTGTGTCTTTGCTCTTTCTCCATATGCCACATTATGACAAGCGAATAACAGATTTTCCTTTTTGCGATAAACAGACTGGAGAATTTAGGGACTAGTGGTCTACTTTTATTTCACAAACTGAACTCAGATTGATCAGTAAACTTCCAGTTGTGTGGGCCGGCAGACAAATCATTTGGTTACTGGCTTCTGTCACTCAGAGAAGCTCTGCTCTGTGCCATGGGCTTGGCAAATTTTAGTAAGTGCCAATAATTTACAGCTGGGTTAATCTGGCAGGGCATAAGTCTTTTATGAGCTGATTTTTTATTTTGAGTGCTGAATGAATAGCTATTAATTAGAGAAAATTGAAAAGAACAGGTAGAAGAAAGACAACTGAAAAAATCAATTAGAGGTAGTACTAAGGGCTAATATGTTGATATATTTCTTACAATCTTTTTTCCAAAGAATATGTAGCAGGTATGTATACACACACAGTATATATGTATGTATACCTGTATAGATAAATATATACATGTATTTCTGTGTAACATGAATTTTTAACCACAGATGTAAAAAGATTCTATAAAACATATTTTTAATTTATTCAAACTATCCAAATGCCCATCAAAAGCAGAATGGAAAAATTGATTTGTTATGTTCATATAATATAGTATTACTATATATAATATATATTATATTCATATAATATATATTATATAATACATATTATATTTATATAATATGTATTATTATATAATTATATTATATTATATATAATATGTGTATTGTATATGTGTATTATACATATATAATATTATTATACATATATGTATTATTATGTATAATATATATTATATTCATATAATGTGTATTATTATATATATTTATATAATATGTATTATTATATATATTATATTCATATATGTATTATATAATATATTACATATAATATATTTATATTCATCTAATATATATTATATTCATATATTATATTATGTATATATTTATATATTGTATGCATATAATTATGTATACTATATATTATATTATGTATTACATTATATTTGAGGTTTGGGAACCTCAAATATAATTTGTACAGTCTCTAGGCTGCACTATATATTATATATTATGTATTATATATGTATATATTATATTCATATATTATATATTATATTATGTATTATATTATGTATGTATATATGTATATTTCTCAATTATATTTGGCTGTAGAAAATTTTCTCCCAAAGAATACTTGGTAACCCTATCTGCACCAGTATTTTGGGAAGACAGCAAGGGATTACTGGAATCTATTTTAAAGAACCTGTGTGTTCATAAGAAGAGAAAGTTCATAAGATACGGTGTATATCATGATCATATATTATCATATATAATTAATATACTACATGTATTAGTTCACTTTCATGCTGCTGATAACAACGTACTCGAAAATGAGAAGAAAAAGAGGTTTAATTGGACTTACACTTCCACATGGCTGGGGAGGCCTCAGAATCATGGTAGGAGGCAAAAGCACTTCTCACATGGCGGCAGCAAGACAAAAAGAGGAGGAAGGAAAAGTGGAAACCCCTGATAAACCTGTAAGATCTCTTGAGACGTATTCACTATCACAAGAATAGCACAGGAAAGACTGGCCCCCATGATTCAATTGCCCTCCCCTGGGTTTCTCCCACAATTGATGGGAATTCTGGGAGACACAATTCAAATTGAGATTTGGGTGGGGACAGAGCCAAACCATGTAATTCCTCCCCTGGCCCCTCTGAATCTCATGTCCTCACATTTCAAAACCAATCATGCCTTCCCAACAGTCCCCCAAAGTCTTAACTCATTTCAGCATTAACCCAAAAGTCCACAGTCCAAAGTCTCATCTGAGACAAGGCAAGTCCCTTCCACCTAGCAGGCTGTAAAATCAAAAGCAAGCTAGTTACTTCCCAGATACAATGGGAGTATGGGTATTGGGTAAATACACTTGTTCCAAATGGGAGAAATTGGCCAAAACAAACGGCTTACAGGGCCCATGCAAGTCTGAAATCCAGTGGGGCAGTCAAATTTTAAAACTCCAAAATTATCTCCTTTGACCCCAGGCCTCATATCCAGGTCACACTGATACAAGAGGTGGGTTCCCATGGTGTTGGGCAGCTCTGCCCCTGTGGCTATGCAGGGTACAGCCCCCCTCCTGGCTGTTTCATGGGCTAGCATTGAGTGTCTGCAGCTTTTCCAGGCATACAGTGCAAGCCGTAGGTGGATCTACCATTCTGGGGTCTTGAGGACAGTGGCCCTCTTCTCACAGCTACCCTGGGCAGTGCCCCAGTAGGGACTCTGTGTGGGGGCTCCAACCCCACATTTCCCTTCCACACTGCCCTAGCAGAGGTTCTCCGTGAGGGTCCCATGACTGCAGCAAACTTTTCCTGGGCATCCAGGTGTTTCCATACATCTTCTGAAATCTAGGTGGAGGTTCCCAAACCTCAATTCTTGACTTCTGTGTACCCACAGGCTCAACACCAGATGGCAGTTGCCAAGGCTTAGGGCTTCTACCCTCTTAAGCCACAGCCCAAGCTGCATGTTGGCCCCTCTCAGCCATGGCTAGAGCAGCTAGGACACAGGGTACCATGTCTTTAGGCTGGACACAGCATGAGGACCCTGGGCCCAGCCCACGAAACCACTTTTTCCTCCTGGGCCTCCAGGCCTGTGATGGGAGGGGCTGCTGTGAAGACCTCCAACATGTCCTGGAGACATTTCCCCATGGTCTTGGGGATTAACATTAGACTCCTTGCTACTTATGCAAATTTCTGCAGCTGGCTTGAATTTCCCCCCAGAAAACTAGTTTTTCTTTTCTATCACATAGTCAGGCTGCAAATTTTCCAAATTCTTATGCTCTGTTTCCCTTTTAAAACTGAATGCCTTTAGCAGTACCCAAGGCACCTCTTGAATGCTTAAATGCTTAGAAATTTCTTCTGCCAGATACCCTAAATAATCTTTCTCAAGTTCAAAGTTCCACAAATATCTATGGCAAGGGCAAAATGCCACCAGTCTCTTTCCTAAAACATAACAAGAGTCACCTTTGCTTCAGTTCCCAACAAGTTCCTCATCTCCATCTGAGAGCACCTCAGCCGGAACCACACTGTTCATATCACTATCAGCATTTTTGTCAAAGCCATTCAACAAGTTTCTAGTAAGTTTTGAACTTTCCCACATTTCCCTGTCTTCTTCTGAGCCCTCCAAACTGTTCCAGCCTCTGCCTGTAACCCAGTTCCATAGTCACTTCCACATTTTTGGGTATCTTTTCAGCAGTGCCCCACTCTACTGGTACCAATTTACTGTATTAGTTTGCTTTCATGCTGCTGATAACAACATGCCCAAAAATGGGAAGAAAAAGATGTTTAATGGACTTACAGTTCCACATGGCTGGGGAGGCCTCAGAATCATGGCAGGAGGTGAAAGGCACTCGACACATGGCGGTGGCAAGAGAAAATGAGGAGGAAGCAAAAGCAGAAACCCTTGATGAACCCATCAGATCTCTTGAGACTTATTAACTATCACAAGAATAGCACAGGAAAGACCAGCCCCCATGATTCAGTTACCTCCCCTGGGTTCCTCTTACAACACATAGGAATTCCAGGAGATACACTTCAACTTAGGATTTGGGTGGGGCCACAGCCAAACCATATCACTACAATTATAATATAATATATTATATTCATATTATTATATTATATATCTATAAATATTATATACATATTACATTCATATAATATGGTATTCATATACACAATGAGAATGAAATAATGAACTATGGATAAATTCCACAGAAACATAACGTTAAGAGAGCCAAATGCAAAAGAGTATACACTATATTCTTCTCTTAATATAGAGCACAAAAATAAACTCATGTATGCTGTCAGAAGTCAGGATAGTGGTTTTTCCCTGAGCACTGATACTCGGAAAGGTGCACAAGAGGATTCCTGGGGTGCGACAATGCTCTTATTTCAATTTCACATGTAATATTCAGCACAATAGACTAGATGCTAAGCCATAAAACAAGTATCAATAAATTTTTTTAAATTGAAGTTGAAGTATGTTCTCTGATCATAATAGAATTAAATTAGAAAATAATTTTTAAAATCTTTAAAATCTCCAAATATTTAAAATGTAAATAACACACTTCTAAATTACCTATGTGTCAAAGAAGAAATCACAAAAGAAATGAGAAAAATGTTGAGTTGTTGTTACATAGAGGTGTCAGTGTATGAAGATTTATTGATCTGACAGTAAGGTGCACGTTTTTTATATCTATTTATATATAAAACTTTATAAGTTTAATTTTTAAAAGTTATATAAGCTATTTATATGGGACAGTCACAAGATGCTGCCCATAGTCATTTATTTCTGCTCCCCCTTTGAGAGACTGAATTGTTTTTCATGTTCTCTTACTTCTCTTCTTCCTTCCTTTTTCTCAGCCACCATTACCACCTTTGTCATTTAATACAGAATATTTTTTACCTAGTCAATTAACTTTTCACAGATCAAATTTAATTGACAGGATTCTAAAATATAATATATTTCAACAATTACTTTGAGTAAGATTATAAACTATGGATTAAAGTAAGCAACTACCTATCTTGACCATAATTTTCTTTTTTCTTCTTTCTTTCTTTATTTATTTATTATTATTATACTTTAAGTTTTAGGGTACATGTGCACAATGTGCAGGTTAGTTACATACGTATACACGTGCCACGCTGGTGCGCTGCACCCACTAACTCGTCATCTAGCATTAGGTATATCTCCCAATGCTATTCCTCCCCCCTCCCCCACCCCACAACAGTCCCCAGAGGGTGATGTTCCCCTTCCTGTGTCCATGTGTTCTTCTCATTGTTCAATTCCCACCTATGAGTGAGAATATGCGGTGTTTGGTTTTTTGTTCTTGTGATAGTTTACTGAGAAATGATTTCCAATTTCATCCATGTCCCTACAAAGGACGTGAACTCATCATTTTTTATGGCTGCATAGAATTCCATGGTGCATATGTGCCACATTTTCTTAATCCAGTCTATCATTGTTGAACATTTGGGTTGGTTCCAAGTCTTTGCTATTGTGAATAATGCCGCAATAAACATACGTGTGCATGTGTCTTTATAGCAGCATGATTTATAGTCCTATGGGTATATACCCAGTAATGGGATGGCTGGGTCAAATGGTATTTCTAGTTCTAGATCCCTGAGGAATCGCCACACTGACTTCCACAATGTTTGAACTAGTTTACAGTCCCACCAACAGTGTAAAATTGTTCTTATTTCTCCACATCCTCTACAGCACCTGTTGTTTCCTGACTTTTTAATGATTGCCATTCTAACTGGTGTGAGATGGTATCTCACTGTGGTTTTGATTTGCATTTCTCTGATGACCAGTGATGATGAGCATTTTTTCATGTGTTTTTGGCTGCATAAATGTCTTCTTTTGAGAAGTGTCTGTTCATGTCCTTCGCCCACTTTTTGATGGGGTTGTTTGATTTTTTTCTTGTAAATTTGTTTGAGTTCATTGTAGATTCTGGATATTAGCCCTTTGTCAGATGAGTAGGTTGTGAAAATTTTCTCCCATTTTGTAGGTTGCCTGTTCACTCTGATGGTAATTTCTTTTGCTGTGCAGAAGCTCTTTAGTTTAATTGGATCCCATTTGTCAAGTTTGGCTTTTGTTGCCATTGCTTTTGGTGTTTTAGACATGAAGTCCTTGCCCATGCCTATGTCCTGAATGGTATTGCCTAGGTTTTCTTCTAGGGTTTTTATGGTTTTAGGTCTAACGTTTAAGTCTTTAATCCATCTTGAGTTGATTTTTGTATAAGGTGTAAGGAAGGGATCCAGTTTCAGCTTTCTACATATGGCTAGCCAGTTTTCCCAGCACCATTTATTAAATAGGGAATCCTTTCCCCATTGCTTGTTTTTCTCAGATTTGTCAAAGATCTGATAGTTGTAGATATATGGTGTTATTTCTGAGAGCTCTGCTCTGTTCCATTGATCTATATCTCTGCTTTGGTACCAGTACCATGCTGTTTTGGTTACTGTAGCCTTGTAGTATAGTTTGAAGTCAGGTAGTGTGATGCCTCCAGCTTTGTTCTTTTGGCTTAGGATTGACTTGGTGATGCGGGCTCTTTTTTGGTTCCATATGAACTTTAAAGTAGTTTTTTCCAATTCTGTGAAGAAATTCATTGGTAGTTTGATGAGGATGGCATTGAATCTGTAAATTACCTTGGGCAGTATGGCCATTTTCACAATATTGATTCTTCCTACCCATGAGCATGGAATGTTCTTCCATTTGTTTGTATCCTCTTTTATTTCCTGGAGCAGTGGTTTATAGTTCTCCTTGAAGAGGTCCTTCACATCCCTTGTAAGTTGGATTCCTAGGTATTTTATTCTCTTTGAAGCAATTGTGAATGGGAGTCTACTCATGATTTGGCTCTCTGTTTGTCTATTGTTGGTATATAAGAATGCTTGTGATTTTTGTACATTGATTTTGTATCCTGAGACTTTGCTGAAGTTGCTTATCAGCTTAAGGAAATTTTGGGCTGAGACAATGGGGTTTTCTAGATATACAATCATGTCGTCTGCAAACAGGGACAATTTGACTTCCTCCTTTCCTAATTGAATACCCTTTATTTCCTTCTCCTGCCTAATTGCCCTGACCAGAACTTCCAACACTATGTTGAATAGGAGTGGTGACAGAGAGCATCCCTGTCTTGTGCCAGTTTTCAAAGGGAATGCTTCCAGTTTTTGCCCATTCAGTATGATATTGGCTGTGGGTTTGTCATAGATAGTTCTTATTATTTTGAAATATATCCCATCAATTCCTAATTTATTGAGAGTTTTTAGCATGAAGGGTTGTTGAATTTTATCAAAGGCCTTTGCTGCATCTATTGAGATAATCATGTGGTATTTGTCTTTGGTTCTGTTTATATGCTGGATTACATTTATTGATTTGCATATATTGAACCAGCCTTGCATCCCAGGGATGAAGCCCACTTGATCATGGTGGATAAGCTTTTTGATGTGCTGCTGGATTCGTTTTGCCAGTATTGTATTGAGGATTTTTGCATCAATGTTCATCAAGGATATTGGTCTAAAATTATCTTTTGTTGTTGTGTCTCTGCCCGGCTTTGGTATCAGGATGATGCTGGCCTCATAAAATGAGTTAGGGAGGATTCCCTCTTTTTCTATTGATTGGAATAGTTTCAGAAGGAATGGTACCAGTTCCTCCTTGTACCTCTGGTAGAATTCGGCTGTGAATCCATCTGGTCCTGGACTCTTTTTGGTTGGTAAGCTATTGATTATTGCCACAATTTCAGATCCTGTTATTGGTCTATTCAGAGATTCAACTTCTTCCTGGTTTAGTCTTGGGAGAGTGTATGTGTTGAGGAATTTATCCATTTCTTCTAGATTTTCTAGTTTATTTGTGTAGAGTTGTTTGTAGTATTCTCTGATGGTAGTTTGTATTTCTGTGAGATCGGTGGTGATATCCCCTTTATCATTTTTTATTGCGTCTATTTGATTCTTCTCTCTTTTTTTCTTTATTAGTCTTGCTAGCGGTCTATCAATTTTGTTGATCCTTTCAAAAAACCAGCTCCTGGATTCATTAATTTTTTGAAGGGTTTTTTGTGTCTCTATTTCCTTCAGTTCTGCACTGATTTTAGTTATTTCTTGCCTTCTGCTAGCTTTTGAATGTGTTTGCTCTTGCTTTTCTAGTTCTTTTCATTGTGATGTTAGGGTGTCAATTTTGGATCTTTCCTGCTTTCACTTGTGGGCATTTAGTGCTATAAATTTCCCTCTACACACTGCTTTGAATGCGTCCCAGAGATTCTGGTATGTTGTGTCTTTGATCCCGTTGGTTTCAAAGAACATCTTTATTTCTGCCTTCATTTCATTATGTACCCAGTAGTCATTCAGGAGCAGGTTGTTCAGTTTCCATGTAGTTGAGTGGTTTTGAGTGAGATTCTTAATCCTGAGTTCTAGTTTGATTGCACTGTGGTCTGAGAGACAGTTTGTTATAATTTCTGTTCTTTTACATTTGCTGAGGAGAGCTTTACTTCCAAGTATGTGGTCAATTTCGGAATAGGTGTGGTGTGGTGCTGAAAAAAATGTATGTTCTGTTGATTTGGGGTGGAGAGTACTGCAGATGTCTATTAGGTCTGCTTGGTGCAGAGCTGAGTTCAATTCCTGGGTATCCTTGTTGACTTTCTGTCTCATTGATCTGTCTAATGTTGACAGTGGGGTGTTAAAGTCTCCCATTATTCATGTGTGGGAGTCTAAGTCTCTTTGTAAGTCACTCAGGACTTGCTTTATGAATCTGGGTGCTCCTGTATTGGGTGCATATATATTTAGGATAGTTAGCTCTTCTTGTTGAATTGATCCCTTTACCATTATGTAATGGCCTTCTTTGTCTCTTTTGATCTTTGTTGGTTTAAAGTCTGTTTTATCAAAGACTAGGATTGCAACCCCTGCCTTTTTTTGTTTTCCATTTGCTTGGTAGATCTTCCTCCATCCTTTTATTTTGAGCCTATGTGTGTCTCTGCACATGAGATGGGTTTCCTGAATACAGCACACTGATGGGTCTTGACTCTTTATCCAATTTGCCATTCTGTGTCTTTAATTGGAGCATTTAGTCCATTTACATTTAAAGTTAATATTGTTATGTGTGAATTCAACCCTGTCATTATGATGTTAGCTGGTAATTTTGCTCATTAGTTGATGCAGTTTCTTCCTAGTCTCGATGGTCTTTACATTTTGGCATGATTTTGCAGTGGCTGGTACCAGTTGTTCCTTTCCATGTTTAGCGCTTCCTTCAGGAGCTCTTTTAGGGCAGGCCTGGTGGTGACAAAATCTCTCAGCATTTGCTTGTCTGTAAAGTATTTTATTTCTCCTTCACTTATGAAGCTTAGTTTGGCTGGATATGAAATTCTGGGTTGAAAATTCTTTTCTTTAAGAATGTTGAATATTGGCCCCCATTCTCTTCTGGCTTATAGAGTTTCTGCCGAGAGATCCGCTGTTAGTCTGATGGGCTTCCCTTTGAGGGTAACCCGACCTTTCTCTCTGGCTGCCCTTAACATTTTTTCCTTCATTTTAACTTTGGTGAATCTGACAATTATGTGTCTTGGAGTTGCTCTTCTCGAGGAGTATCTTTGTGGTGTTCTCTGTATTTCCTGAATCTGAATGTTGGCCTGCATTGCTAGATTGGGGAAGTTCTCCTGGATAATATCCTGCAGAGTGTTTTCCAACTTGGTTCCATTCTCCCTGTCGCTTTCAGGTACACCAATCAAACGTTGATTTGGTCTTTTCACATAGTCCCATATTTCTTGGAGGCTTTGCTCATTTCTTTTTATTCTTTTTTCTCTAAACTTCCCTTCTCACTTCATTTCATTTATTTCATCTTCCATTGCTGATACCCTTTCTTCCAGTTGATCGCATCAGCTCCTGAGGCTTCTGCATTCTTCACGTAGTTCTCAAGCCTTGATTTTCAGCTCCATCAGCTCCTTTAAGCACTTCTCTGTATTGATTATTCTAGTTATACATTCTCTAAAATTTTTTTCAAAGTTTTCAACTTCTTTGCCTTTGGTTTTAATGTCCTCCCGTAGCTCAGAGTAATTTGATCATCTGAAGCCTTCTTCTCTCAGCTCATCAAAGTCATTCTCCATCCAGCTTTGTTCCGTTGCTGGTGAGGAACTGCATTCCCTTGGAGGAGGAGAGGCACTGTGCTTTTTAGAGTTTCCAGTTTTTCTGTTCTGTTTTTTCCCCATCTTTGTGGTTTTATCTACTTTTGGTCTTTGATGATGGTGATGTACAGATGGGTTTTTGGTGTGGATGTCCTTTCTGTTTGTTAGTTTCCCTTCTAACAGACAGGACCCTCAGCTGCAGGTCTGTTGGAGTACCCTGCCATGTGAGGTGTCAGTCTGCTCCTGCTGGAGGGTGCCTCCCAGCTAGGCTGCTCAGGGGTCAGGGGTCAGGGACCCACTTGAGGAGGCAGTCTGCCTGTTCTCAGATCTCCAGCTGCATACTGGGAGAACCACTGCTCTCTTCAAAGCTGTCAGACAGGGACATTTAAGTCTGCAGAGGTTACTGCTGTCTTTTTGTTTGTCTGTGCCCTGCCCCCAGAGGTGGAGCCTACAGAGACAGGCAGGCCTCCTTGAGCTGTGGTGGGATCCACCCAGTTGGAGCTTCCCGGCTGCTTTGTTTACCTAAGCAAGCCTGGGCAATGGCGGGCGCCCCTCCCCCAGCCTCGCTGCCGCCTTGCAGTTTGATCTCAGACTGCTGTGCTAGCAATCAGCGAGACTCCGTGGGCATAGGACCCTCCGAGCCAGGTGCGGGATATAATCTCGTGGTGTGCCGTTTCTTAAGCCCGTCAGAAAAGCGCAATATTTGGGTGGGAGTGACCCGATTTTCCAGGTGCTGTCTGTCACCCCTTTCTTTGACTAGGAAAGGGAACTCCCTGGCCCCTTGCACTTCCCAAGTGAGGCAATGCCTCACCCTGCTTTGGCTCGCGCATGGTGCGCGCACCCACTGACCTGCTCCCACTGTCTGGCACTCCCTAGTGAGATGAACCTGGTACCTCAGATGGAAATGCAGAAATCACCCATCTTCTATGTCGCTCACGCTGGAGCTGTAGACCGGAGCTGTTCCTATTCAGCCATCTTCTTGACCATAATTTTCAAATTTCTTTATGACATAATAAATCATTTCTAAATTTTAACCATGGATAAAATTAAATTATCTGTCCACAAAGGTAACATTATCTAGAAGTTGTAGGTTTTTCTCTGGTCATTTTTAAACATACAGTTCTACATAATATTAGAGCCAAAGGCAAGTAATCTGGACCTCTTCTTTTAACTGCTTTCAGTGGACAAATACTTAAAAATGAAAAATGTTGATACCAAGAAGCAATTCTTTTTAGCAAAGAACCAGTTGAAAGCACTGGATTTGCAGTGATCTCTAAATATGGGTTAGTGTTAGGTTAGTCTTTAATGAAAATTAAAACAGCATATCAAAATATGTATGATGCATTTAAAGAAGTGTTTATAGAACATATTAGAACCTTAAATGCTTACATTAAAAAAGAATAAAGGTATAAAAATCAATTATCTAAATTTCCATCTAAAGAAAGTAGAAAAAAATAAAGCAAATTAACCCCAAGGTAAAATTAAGAAAAAAATAGGCATATAGATACAATGGAATTGATGTAAAAGAATTTTACATCCAGCCAAACGAAGCTTCATATGCAAAAATAAATAAATAAATAAATAATTTTCAGATAAGCAAACGCTAAAAGAATTTGTTACCATCAGACCTTCCCTACAAGAGATCCTTAAGGGAGTGCTTAACAAGGAAACAAAAGACTGTTACCTGCCATGAAAAAACACACTTAAGTACACCGTTCACTGACACTATAAAGCAACTACACAATCAAGTCTACATAACATCCAGCTAACAATCCAATGACAGAATCAAATCCTCCCATATCAATATTAACCTTGAATGTAAATGGACCAAATGTCTCACTTAAAAGACACAGATTGGCAAGTCAGATAAAGGAGCAAGACCCAACTATATGCTGTCTTCAAGAGACCTATCTGACATACAATGACACACATAGGCTCAAAGCAAAGGGATAGAGAAAGATCAGTCAAGCAAATGGAAAAAAAAACAGGACTTGCTATTCTTATTTCTGACAAAACAGACTTTAAACCAACAATAATAAAAAAAGGACAAAGAAGGATATTACATAATGATAAAGGGTTAATTCAATAAGAAGACTTAACTTTCCTAAATATACATGCACCTAACACTGGAGCACCCAGATCCATAAAACAAGTTCTTAGAGACCTTACAAAGAAACTTAGATAACCACACAATGATAGTGGAAGACTTCAACACCCCACCTGACAGTGTTAGAGCATCAAGGTAGAAAACTAATGAAGATATTCAGCAACTAAACTTGACACTTGCCTAAACGGAACTAAAAGACATCTACAGAATACAGCACCCCAAAAAATATACATCCTTCTCATCTGCACACAGCGCATACTCTAAAACTGACCACATGCTCAGCCATAAAGCAATTCTAAACAAATTCAAAAAAGCTGAAATCATACCAAACACACTCTTGGACCACAGCACAATAAAAATAGAAATCACTACCAAGATCTCTCAAAATCATAAAATTACATGGAAATTAAACAACCTGCTCCTGAATGACTTTTGGATTAAAAAAAATAAAATTAAGGCAGAAACAAAAAAAATTCTTTGAAGCTAATGAAAACAAAATTAAAACATACCAGAATTTCTGAGATACAGCTAAAGCAGTGTTAAGAGGAAGCTTATAGCACTAAATGTCCACAAGAAGAAGTTAGAAAGATCTCAAATTAACAACCTAACATCACACGTAAAGAAACTAGAAAAACAAGACCAAAACAACCCCAAAGCTAGCAGAAGAAAAGTAACCAAAATTAGAAGTGAACTGAACAAAATTGAGACGTGAAAATCCACTAAAAAGAATGATGCAACCAAAAGTTGTTTTTTGAAAGAATAAATAAGGTTGATAGACCACTAGCTAGATTAATAAAGAAAAAAAGAGAGAAGATGCCAATAAACACAATTAGAATGACAAAGGTGACATTACCACTGACCCCATAGAAACACCAAAAAAATCCTCAGAGACTATTATGAACACCTCTATACACACAAACTAGAAAGCCTACAAAAAATCAATACATTCTGGGAAACATACACTCTCCCAAGATTGAACAAGGAAGGAACTGAAATCCTGAACAGAACAAAAATGAGCTCCAAAATTGAATTGGTAACAAAAAACATATGAACTAGAAAAAGCCCTGGACCACATGGATTCACAGCCAAATTCTGTCACATGTATAAAGAGCTGGCACCAATCCTTCTGAAATTATTTCAAAGTATGAAGGAGGAGGGACTCCTCTCTAACTCATTCTATGAGGCCAGTATTATTTTGATACCAAAACCTGGCAGATACACATACAAAAAAGAAAATTTCAGTCCAATATCCCTGGTGAACATAGACACAAAAATTGTCAACAAAACACTAGCAAATCAAATCCAGCAGCACATCAAAAAGTTAACTCACCAATACCAAGTAGGTTTTATTCCTGGGTTGCAAAGTTGGCTCAACATATGCAAATCAATCAATGTGATTCATCACATAAAGAGAACTAAAAGCAAAAACCATATTATCATTTCTACAGATGAAGAAAAGCCTTTCAATAAAATTCAACATCCCTTCATGTTAACCATCAACAAACCAGGTACTGAAGGAACATACTTCAAAATGATAAGAGCCATATATGACAAACCCACAGCCAACATCACAATGAATGGGAAAAAGCTGAAAGCATTCCCTGGAGAACCAGAACAAGACAAGGATGCTCACTCTTACCACTCCCTATTCAACATGGTACCAGAAGTCCTAGCCAGAGCAATCAGGCAAGAGAAAGAAATAAAAGGCAACCAAATAGGAAGACAGAAAAACAAACTATCTCTTTTGTAGAAGATATGAATCTATACCTAGAAAACCCCATAGTATCTGCCCACAGGCCCTTAAAACAACTTCAATAAAGTTTCAGGATACAAAATGAATGTACAAAAATCACTAGCATTTCTCTACACCAATAACATCCAAGCTGAGAGCCAAATCAAGAGTGCAATTCTATTCACAATTGCCACAAAAAGAATAAAATACCTAGGAATACAGCTAACCAGGGAGGTGAAAGATCTCTACAACAAGAATTACAAAACACTGCTGAAAGAAACCAAAGACAATACAAACAAATAGAAAAACATTTCATGCTCATGGATAGGAAGAATCAGTATTGCTAAAATGGCCATATTGCCCTAAGCAATTTACAGATTCAATGCTATTCCTATCAAACTACCAATACAATTTCTCACGGAATTAGAAAAAGCTGTTTTAAAATTTATATGGAACCAAAGAATAGCCCAAATAGCCAAAGCTATCCTAAGCAATAAGTACAAAGCTGGAGGCATCACACTGCCTAACTTCAAGTTATACTTCAAGGCTACAGTAACCAAACCAGCATGACACTGGTACAAATACAGACACACGGGCCAATGGAACAGGTTAGAGAACACAGAAATAAAGCTGTACACCTACAACCATCTGATCTTCAACAAAGTCAACAATAACAAGCAACGCAGAAGATTCAAACTGGACCCCTTCCTTTCACTATATACAAAAATCAACTCAAGATGGATTAAAGACTTATACGTAAGACCTAAAACCATAAAAAACCCTAGAAGAAAACCTAGGAAATACCATTTTGGACAAAAGCCTTGGCAAAAATTTCATGACAAAGTTTCCAAAAGCAATTGCTACAAAAACAAAAATAGATAAGTGACACCTACTAAAGAGCTTCTGTGTAGAAAAAAAAAAAACACTTTCAACAGAATAAAATACAACCTACAGAATGGGAGAAACTATTTGCAAACTATGCATCCTACAAAAGTTTAACATCCAGAATCTGTAAGGAACTTAAATCGACAAGCAAAATCAATCAACTTCATTAAAAAATGGGCAAAAGATATGAATGGACACTTCTGAAAAGAAGACATACATGCAACCAACAAGCATATGAAAAAATGCTCAACATCACTAATCATCAGAGAAATGGAAATCAAAACCACAATGAGATGCCATCTGACACTACTCAGAATGGCTATTATTAAAACGTTAGAAAATAACAAATGTTTACAAGGTTGCAGAGAAAAGAGAACACTTATACACTGCTGGTGGGAATGTAAATGAGCTCAGCTACTGTACAAAACAGTTTGGAGATTTCTCAAAGAACTTAAAATATAATATTTAACCAAGCAACCCCATTACTGGATACGTAACCAAAAGAATATAAATTATTCTACCAAAATAAACATGCACTCATATGTTCATCACAGCATTAGTCACAATAGCAAAGACATGGAATCAACCTAGATGCCCATCAGTGGTTGACTGGATAATGAACATATGACACATATACACCATGGAATATTACTTGGCCATAAAAAGCAAAATCATATCTTTTGCAGGAACGTGGATGCAGCTGGAGGCCATTATCCTAAGCAAATTAGCACAGGAACAGAAAATCAAATACCACATGTTCTCACTTATACATGAAAGCTAAACACTGAGTACACATAGACACAAAGAGGGAAACAATAAACACCAGGGCATACTTGAGAGTGGAGAGTAGGAGGAGGGTGAGGGTTGAAAAACTACCTACCTATCAGGTACTATGCTCAGTACCTGTGTGACTAAACCATTTCTACAACTAGTGACATGCAATTTATCCATTTATGTACCTCCACATGTACCTCCAAACCAAAAATAAAAGTGGGAAAAGAAAATTTTAAAAACATTCAAAGATCAATCAATATAATTTATTATTAATAATATATATTTATTTTTACATACTATTGATGTTAGCAGAATAAAATAGAAAATGTATATTATCATTTTCTTAGATGCATAAGAAGTGTTTGACCAAATTCAACACCCATTCATTATAACAATTCTCAACAAACTAGAAATAGAGGAGAATTTCCTCAACCTGATGACAAGGCATCTATGAAAATCCTACTGCTAACATTATACTAAATGATGAAAGGCTGAATGCTTCATCCATAAAACTGGGGACAACACAAGGATGTCCACCCTCACCACTGCTATTCAACATTGTGGTAGAGGTCCTAGCCAATGAAATAAGCCAAGAAAAACAAAGGGCATATAGATAGGAAAATGTGTTTATGCACAAATGACATAATTGTGTATGTAGAAAACCCTAAGGAATCCCCCCAAAAAGCTACTAGAACTGAGCAGTGAGACTAACAAGTTTGTAGAATACAAGGTTGATATACCTACAATTTTATGTCTATACACGAGTAATGAACAAAACAGTACTACCTACGATAGCATCAAAAACAATGAAACACTTAGAGATAAATTTATCAAAATGAGTGCAAGACTTGTCAAATGAAAACCATAAAACATTGCTGGAAAAAGTAAAGGAGCCATAAATAAATGGAAGAGACACCTATACTAATCTATAGATTCAATGTAATCTTTAATTCCAGACAGGCTATTTTTGTATTCAGAAAAAAAAGCCAATTTCAAAATTTATATGGAAAGCAAAAGACTGGAAGAGTCTCAACAATTAGGAAAAAGAAATAATAAATACAGACGACCTACTCTACCCAATTTCAATACTTACTCCAAAGTTACAGTAAGTAAAGTATGTAGTGGCATAAACATAAATATATAAATTAATGGAACAGAACAGAAAGTTCAAAAATAGATCCATACATTTATAGTCAGTTGACTTGGGGTATTTTGCTGAGGTAAAATGGGGAAATGATACTGCTTTCAACATTGTTGCTGGAACAACTAGATATAAATATGAGGGAAAGTATCTTCACTCTTACCTCACACCATATATAAAACATTAACTTGAAATGGATCATAGGGTTCTATGGCAAAGTTAATACTCAAAAACTTCTAGAAAAATAAAACTTAAGAAAAGATCTTTGTAACTTTGGATGGAAAATGATTTTTCAACTAGGATACAAAAAGCATAAATGATTTTTAAAAAGAAAAGAAAAACTGGACCTAATCAAAATTTAAAATTTTTGCTCATTGGAAGACATTAGTAAAAATAAAACTGCAGCCTTTCAGCCAGAACTGCCAACTTCCAGTAATTTACCAAAATGACAAACACAAAGGGAAACAGGAGAGGCACCCGACAGATGTTCTCTAGGTCTTTCAGAAAACACAGAGTTATTCCTTTAGCCATGTATATGCAAATCTGTAAGAAAGGTAATATTGTAGACATCAAGGGAATGAGCACTGTTCAAAACAAAATGTCCCACAAGTGTTAACATGGCAAAACTGGAAGAGTCTACAATGTGACCCAGCATGCTGTTGGCATGGTTGTAAAAAAACAAGTTAAGGGCAAGATTCTTGCCAAGTGAATTAATGTTCATATTGAGCATATTAAGCACTCTAAGAGCCAAGATAGCTTCCTGAAACACATGAAGGAAAATGATCAGAAAAAGAAGGAAGCCAAAGCGAAAGGTACCAGGGTTCAACTGAAATGCCAGCCTGCTCCACCCAGGGAAGCACACTTTGTAAGAACCAATGAGAAGGAGCCTGGGCTGCTGGAAACTCTTCCTTATGATTCATGTATAGTAGGTGTTAAAAAATAAAATAAAAGACCTCTGGACTGTAGAAATGTTTCTCTTCATTGAGTAGAAGTATGGTCCTCTCCCAAAGAAATATTTAAAGCAAATCTTAATTGTGTCCTAATTCATTTGTGTAATGTCTTTACTATTCAAATTTAATGTATTTCTTGCTGAAAGATGTAAGGTAGCTTATTGTGCAACAAATTACTCAATTGGTTGGAAAATGGCCAGATTGTATTTATGAAATATTTGTACTGCTTTGAAGATAGTCCCTCTAAATCATCATGGAAGAAATAAAATAATTTAGAAAAAAATAAATAAAAACCTGCAAGTAACAGACTGGAAGAAAATATGTACACTGCATACATCTGACAAAGAACTTGTATTCAAAATTTTTTTAACTTACAAAACAATACTAAGACAAAAAAATTAAAAATGGCCAAATATTTAACAGACACTTCATAAAAGAAAATATGCAAATGGCCAATAAGCACATGAAAAGATGCTCAACATTATTAGTTGCTAGAAAAATGCAAATTAAAACTGCAATGAGATACCAGTAAATACACACTACAGTGACTAAAATTAAAAAGACCAAAAATACCATGTGTTGGTGAGGACATGAAGCAACTCTCATGATTGCTAGTAGGAATGTAAAACAGTACCATCATTTTTAAGATCATTTGGCAGTTTGTTGAAAATTTAAATCTATACTTACCATATGATCCAGCAGTTTCACCTTTAGGTATTTGTATTTGTCTATTTGTATGCTGCTGATAAAGACATACTCGAGACTCGGAAGAAAAAGAAGTTTAATGGACTTACAGTTCCACATGGCTGGGGAGGCCTCACAATCATGGAGGAAGGCAAGGAGGAACAAGTTACATCTTACATGGATGGTGGCAGGCAAAAAGAAAGAACTTATGCAGGGGAACTCCTCTTTATAAAACCATCAGATATTGTGAGACTTAGTCACTATCACAAAAACAGCATGAGAAAGACCTGCCCCCATAACTGAATTACTTCCCACTGAGTTCCTCCCACAACATGGTGGAATTGTGAGAGTTACAATTCAAGATGAGATTTAGGTGGGGAGAGAGCCAAGCCCTGGCCCCTCCCAAATCTCATGTTCTCACATTTTAAAACCAATCATGCCTTCCCAACAGTCCCCCAAAGTCTTAACTCATTTCAGCATGAACTCAAAAGTTCACAGTCCAAAGTCTCATCCAAGACAAGGCAAGTCCCTACCACCTATGAGACTGTAAAATCTAAAGCAAGTCAGTTACTTCCAAGATAAAATGGGGGTACAGACATTGGGTAAACAGAGCCATTCCAAATGGAAGAAATTGGTCAAAACAAAGGGGCTAGAGGCCCCATGCAAGTCCAATATCCAGTGGGGCAGTCAAATTTTAAAGCACCAAAATGATCTCCTTTGACTCCAGGCCTTACCTCCAGGTCATACTGATGCAAGAGGTGGGTTCCCATGGTCTTGGGAAGCTCTGCCCCTGTGGCTTTGCAAGATATAGCCTAGCCTCCTTCCTGGCTGCTTTCATGGGCTAGCACTGAGTGTCTGCCACTTTTCCAGGCACAGTGGAAGCTGTCAGTGGATCTACCATTCTGGGATCTGGAGGACAGTGGACCTCTTCTCACAGCTCCACTAGCCAGCACCCCAGTAGAGACTCTGTGTGGGGGCTCTGACCCCACATTTCCCTTCTATACTGACCTAGGAGAAGTTCTCCATGAGAGCCCTGCCCCTGCAGCAAACTTCTGCCTGGACATCCAGGCATTTCCATACATCCTCTGAAATCTAGGTGGAGGTTCCCAAACCTCAATTCTTAACCTTTCTGCACCCACAGGCTCAACACCACATGAAAGCTGCCAGGGCTTGGAGTTTGCCCTCTCTGAAACCATGGCCTGAGCTGTACCTTGGCCCCTTTTAGTCATGGCTGGAGTGGCTGGGACACAGGGTACCACCAAGCCCCTAGACTGCACACAGCACAGGGACCCTGAGCCTGGTTCACGAAACCATTTTTTCCTCCTTGACCTCCAGGCCTGTGATGGGAGGGGTTGCCATAAAGACCTCCAACATGCCCTGGAGACATTTTCCCCATTGTCTTGGGGATTAACATTCTGCTCCTCATTACATATGCAAATTTCTGCAGCCAGCTTGAATTTCTGCTCAGAAAATGGGATTTTCTTTTCTATCACATTGTCAGGCTGCAAATATTCCACACTTTTATGTTCTGCTTCCCTTATAAAACTCAGCCAGGCACAGTGGCTCACGCCTGTAATTCCAGCATTGGGAGGCTGAGGAGGGTGGATCACCTGAAGTCAGGAGTTTGAGACCAGTCTGACCAACATGGAGAAACCCTATCTCTACCAAAAATACAAAATTAATCAGGCATGGTGGTGCACGCCTGTAATCCCAGCTACTCGGGAGGCTGAGGCAGGAGGATCACTTGAACCTGGGAGGCAGAGGTTGTGGTGAGCCGAGATCATGTCATTGCACTCCAGCCTGAGCAACAAGAGTGAAATTCCATCTCAGAAAAAAAAAAACTGTATGCCTTTAACAGCACCCAAGTCACCTCTTCAATGCTTTGCTGCTTATAAATTTCTTCTGCCAGATACCCTAAATATTTCTCTCAAGTTCAAAGTTCTACAAATCTCTAGGGCAGGGGCAAAATGTCACCAGTCTCTTTGCTAACACATAACAAGAGTCACCTTCTCTCGAGTTCCCAACAAGTCCCTCATCTCCATCTGAGACCACCTCAGCCTAGATTTCATTGTCCATATCATTATCAGCATTTTGGTCAAAGCCATTCAAAAAGTCTCTAGGGAATTCCAAACTTTCCCACATTATCCTGACTTCTGAGCCCTCCAAACTGTTCCAATCTCTACCTGTTACCCAGTTCCAAAGTCACTTCCACATTTTCAGGTATCTTTTCAGCAGCACCCCACTCTTCTGGTACCAATTTACTGTATTAGTTTATTTTCATGCTGCTGGTAAAGACATACTGGAGACTGGGAAGAAAAAGAGGTTTAATAGACTTACAGTTCCACATGGCTGAGGAGGCCTCACAATCATGGTGAAAGGCAAGGAGGAACAAGTCATGTCTTATATGGATGGCCGGAGGCAAAAATAGAGAACTTGTGCAGGGGAACTCCTCTTTATAAAACCATCAGATATCGTGAGACTTACTCACTATCACAAGAACAGCATGAGAAAGACCCACCCCCATGATTCAATTACTTCACACTGGGTTCCTCCACAACATGGGGGAATTGTGGGAGTTACAATTCAAGATGAGATTTGGGTGAGGACACAGCCAAACCATGTCAGTATTTATCTAGAAGAAATGAAAACATAGGTCTACAAACTAAGTCTTTTATCACAGAAACATTATTCATAATAGTAGCCAAAACTTGAAAACAATTCAAATGTCCATTAACAAGTAAATGCATAAACAAATTGTGATATGTTTATACAATAGAATACTACTTGGAAACAAAACCAAAAAAACTACTGGTATGTATAGCAACATGAATGAATCTCAGAAACCATATGTTGAACAAAGGGAGCCAGAAACAGAAGAGTATCTGCCATGCTGTTCATTCATTAAAAATTCCTGGATAGGCAAAACTAATCTACAGTGGTGAAAAGCAGTGGTTGCCTGGAGCTGGAGGTTGGAGGATTGAGTGCAAAGGGACAGGAAAGGGTTTTGGGGGATAAAAATGTTCAATATCTTATTGTGCTGATAGTTACATGGGTGTCTATATCTGTCAAAACATTAGCACTTTGAGAGGCTGAGGTGGGCAGATCATTTGAGGTCAGGAGTTCAAGACCAGCCTAATCAACATGGTGAAGCCCATCTCTACTAAAAATACAAAAAATTAGCCAGGTGTAGTGGCACACACCTGTAATCTCAGCTACATGGGAGGCTAAAACACGAGAATTGCTTGAACTCAGGAGGTGGAGGTTGCAGTGAGCCCAGATCATACCACTGCACTCCAGCCTGGGCAACAGAGCAGTGAGACTTTGTCTCAAAAAAAAAAAAAAATTAAACTGTACATTTAAAATGAATCATTTTATTGTATTGTAAATTAAATCTCAGTACGGTGATTTTTTTAACAAAACATAAATGAGAGTCAGCTGCAAGGGCAACAATACTTTTTCCCCTTCAGATTAATTCCCATTTAACATGTGGTATTTGTCCTCCCAGAAGACAAATAAAGCCATGTTCTTTTTTTTTTTTTTTTTTTTTTTTTTTTTCTTTTTTTTTTTTTTTTTTTTTTTTCCTTTCTTTTTTTTTTTTATTATACTCTAAGTTTTAGGGTACATGTGCACATTGTGCAGGTTAGTTACATATGTATACATGTGCCATGCTGGTGCACTGCACCCACTAATGTGTCATCTAGCATTAGGTATATCTCCCAATGCTATCCCTCCCCCCTCCCCCCGACCCCACCACAGTCCCCAGAGTGTGATATTCCCCTTCCTGTGTCCATGTGATCTCATTGTTCAATTCCCACCTATGAGTGAGATTATGCGGTGTTTGGTTTTTTGTTCTTGCGATAGTTTACTGAGAATGATGGTTTCCAATTTCATCCATGTCCCTACAAAGGATATGAACTCATCATTTTTTATGGCTGCATAGTATTCCATGGTGTATATGTGCCACATTTTCTTAATCCAGTCTATCATTGTTGGACATTTGGGTTGGTTCCAAGTCTTTGCTATTGTGAATAGTGCCGCAATAAACATACGTGTGCATGTGTCTTTATAGCAGCATGATTTATAGTCCTTTGGGTATATACCCAGTAATGGGATGGCTGGGTCAAATGGTATTTCTAGTTCTAGATCCCTGAGGAATCGCCACACTGACTTCCACAATGGTTGAACTAGTTTACAGTCCCACCAACAGTGTAAAAGTGTTCCTATTTCTCCACATCCTCTCCAGCACCTGTTGTTTCCTGACTTTTTAATGATTGCCATTCTAACTGGTGTGAGATGATATCTCATAGTGGTTTTGATTTGCATTTCTCTGATGGCCAGTGATGATGAGCATTTCTTCATGTGTTTTTTGGCTGCATAAATGTCTTCTTTTGAGAAGTGTCTGTTCATGTCCTTCGCCCACTTTTTGATGGGGTTGTTTGTTTTTTTCTTGTAAATTTGTTTGAGTTCATTGTAGATTCTGGATATTAGCCCTTTGTCAGATGAGTAGGTTGCGAAAATTTTCTCCCATGTTGTAGGTTGCCTGTTCACTCTGATGGTAGTTTCTTTTGCTGTGCAGAAGCTCTTTAGTTTAATTAGATCCCATTTGTCAATTTTGGCTTTTGTTGCCATTGCTTTTGGTGTTTTGGACATGAAGTCCTTGCCCACGCCTATGTCCTGAATGGTAATGCCTAGGTTTTCTTCTAGGGTTTTTATGGTTTTAGGTCTAACGTTTAAATCTTTAATCCATCTTGAATTGATTTTTGTATAAGGTGTAAGGAAGGGATCCAGTTTCAGCTTTCTACATATGGCTAGCCAGTTTTCCCAGCACCATTTATTAAATAGGGAATCCTTTCCCCATTGCTTGTTTTTCTCAGGTTTGTCAAAGATCAGATAGTTGTAGATATGTGGCATTATTTCTGAGGGCTCTGTTCTGTTCCATTGATCTATATCTCTGTTTTGGTACCAGTACCATGCTGTTTTGGTTACTGTAGCCTTGTAGTATAGTTTGAAGTCAGGTAGTGTGATGCCTCCAGCTTTGTTCTTTTGGCTTAGGATTGACTTGGCGATGCGGGCTCTTTTTTGGTTCCATATGAACTTTAAAGTAGTTTTTTCCAATTCTGTGAAGAAAGTCATTGGTAGCTTGATGGGGATGGCATTGAATCTGTAAATTACCTTGGGCAGTATGGCCATTTTCACGATATTGATTCTTCCTACCCATGAGCATGGAATGTTCTTCCATTTGTTTGTGTCCTCTTTTATTTCCTTGAGCAGTGGTTTGTAGTTCTCCTTGAAGAGGTCCTTCACATCCCTTGTAAGTTGGATTCCTAGGTATTTTATTCTCTTTGAAGCAATTGTGAATGGGAGTTCACCCATGATTTGGCTCTCTGTTTGTCTGTTGTTGGTGTATAAGAATGCTTGTGATTTTTGTACATTGATTTTGTATCCTGAGACTTTGCTGAAGTTGCTTATCAGCTTAAGGAGATTTTGGGCTGAGACGATGGGGTTTTCTAGATAAACAATCATGTCGTCTGCAAACAGGGACAATTTGACTTCCTCTTTTCCTAATTGAATACCCTTTATTTCCTTCTCCTGCCTGATTGCCCTGGCCAGAACTTCCAACACTATGTTGAATAGGAGCGGTGAGAGAGGGCATCCCTGTCTTGTGCCAGTTTTCAAAGGGAATGCTTCCAGTTTTTGCCCATTCAGTATGATATTGGCTGTGGGTTTGTCATAGATAGCTCTTATTATTTTGAAATACGTCCCATCAATACCTAATTTATTGAGAGTTTTTAGCATGAAGGGTTGTTGAATTTTGTCAAAGGCTTTTTCTGCATCTATTGAGATAATCATGTGGTTTTTGTCTTTGGCTCTGTTTATATGCTGGATTACATTTATTGATTTGCGTATATTGAACCAGCCTTGCATCCCAGGGATGAAGCCCACTTGATCATGGTGGATAAGCTTTTTGATGTGCTGCTGGATTCGGTTTGCCAGTATTTTATTGAGGATTTTTGCATCAATGTTCATCAAGGATATTGGTCTAAAATTCTCTTTTTTGGTTGTGTCTCTGCCCGGCTTTGGTATCAGAATGATGCTGGCCTCATAAAATGAGTTAGGGAGGATTCCCTCTTTTTCTATTGATTGGAATAGTTTCAGAAGGAATGGTACCAGTTCCTCCTTGTACCTCTGGTAGAATTCGGCTGTGAATCCATCTGGTCCTGGACTCTTTTTGGTTGGTAAACTATTGATTATTGCCACAATTTCAGAGCCTGTTATTGGTCTATTCAGAGATTCAACTTCTTCCTGGTTTAGTCTTGGGAGAGTGTATGTGTCGAGGAATGTATCCATTTCTTCTAGATTTTCTAGTTTATTTGCGTAGAGGTGTTTGTAGTATTCTCTGATGGTAGTTTGTATTTCTGTGGGATCGGTGGTGATATCCCCTTTATCATTTTTTATTGTGTCTATTTGATTCTTCTCTCTTTTTTTCTTTATTAGTCTTGCTAGTGGTCTATCAATTTTGTTGATCCTTTCAAAAAACCAGCTCCTGGATTCATTGATTTTTTGAAGGGTTTTTTGTGTCTCTATTTCCTTCAGTTCTGCTCTGATTTTAGTTATTTCTTGCCTTCTGCTAGCTTTTGAATGTGTTTGCTCTTGCTTTTCTAGTTCTTTTAATTGTGATGTTAGGCTGTCAATTTTGGATCTTTCCTGCTTTCTCTTGTAGGCATTTAGTGCTATAAATTTCCCTCTACACACTGCTTTGAATGCGTCCCAGAGATTCTGGTATGTGGTGTCTTTGTTCTCGTTGGTTTCAAAGAACATCTTTATTTCTGCCTTCATTTCGTTATGTACCCAGTAGTCATTCAGGAGCAGGTTGTTCAGTTTCCATGTAGTTGAGTGGCTTTGAGTGAGATTCTTAATCCTGATTTCTAGTTTGATTGCACTGTGGTCTGAGAGATAGTTTGTTATAATTTCTGTTCTTTTACATTTGCTGAGGAGAGCTTTACTTCCAACTATGTGGTCAATTTTGGAATAGGTGTGGTGTGGTGCTGAAAAAAATGTATATTCTGTTGATTTGGGGTGGAGAGTTCTGTAGATGTCTATTAGGTCTGCTTGGTGCAGAGCTGAGTTCAATTCCTGGGTATCCTTGTTGACTTTCTGTCTCGTTGATCTGTCTAATGTTGACAGTGGGGTGTTAAAGTCTCCCATTATTAATGTGTGGGAGTCTAAGTCTCTTTGTAGGTCACTGAGGACTTGCTTTATGAATCTGGGTGCTCCTGTATTGGGTGCATAAATATTTAGGATAGTTAGCTCCTCTTGTTGAATTGATCCCTTTACCATTATGTAATGGCCTTCTTTGTCTCTTTTGATCTTTGTTGGTTTAAAGTCTGTTTTATCAGAGACTAGGATTGCAACCCCTGCCTTTTTTTGTTTTCCATTTGCTTGGTAGATCTTCCTCCATCCTGTTATTTTGAGCCTATGTGTGTCTCTGCACGTGAGATGGGTTTCCTGAATACAGCACACTGATGGGTCTTGACTCTTTATCCAACTTGCCAGTCTGTGTCTTTTAATTGCAGAATTTAGTCCATTTATATTTAAAGTTAATATTGTTATGTGTGAATTTGATCCTGTCATTATGATGTTAGCTGGTGATTTTGCTCATTAGTTGATGCAGTTTCTTCCTAGTCTCGATGTTCTTTACATTTTGGCATGATTTTGCAGCGGCTGGTACCGGTTGTTCCTTTCCATGTTTAGCACTTCCTTCAGGAGCTCTTTTAGGGCAGGCCTGGTGGTGACAAAATCTCTCAGCATTTGCTTGTCTATAAAGTATTTTATTTCTCCTTCACTTATGAAGCTTAGTTTGGCTGGATATGAAATTCTGGGTTGAAAATTCTTTTCTTTAAGAATGTTGAATATTGGCCCCCACTCTCTTCTGGCTTGTAGGGTTTCTGCCGAGAGATCCGCTGTTAGTCTGATGGGCTTTCCTTTGAGGGTAACCCGACCTTTCTCTCTGGCTGCCCTTAACATTTTTTCCTTCATTTCAACTTTGGTGAATCTGACAATTATGTGTCTTGGAGTTGCTCTTCTCGAGGAGTATCTTTGTGGCGTTCTCTGTATTTCCTGAATCTGAACGTTGGCCTGCCTTGCTAGATTGGGGAAGTTCTCCTGGATAATATCCTGCAGAGTGTTTTCCAACTTGGTTCCATTCTCCACATCACTTTCAGGTACACCAATCAGACGTAGATTTGGTCTTTTCACATAGTCCCATATTTCTTGGAGGCTTTGCTCATTTCTTTTTATTCTTTTTTCTCTAAACTTCCCTTCTCGATTCATTTCATTCATTTCATCTTCCATTGCTGATACCCTTTCTTCCAGTTGATCGCATCGGCTCCTGAGGCTTCTGCATTCTTCACGTAGTTCTCGAGCCTTGGTTTTCAGCTCCATCAGCTCCTTTAAGCACTTCTCTGTATTGGTTATTCTAGTTATACATTCTTCTAAATTTTTTTCAAAGTTTTCAACTTCTTTGCCTTTGGTTTGAATGTCCTCCCGTAGCTCAGAGTAATTTGATCGTCTGAAGCCTTCTTCTCTCAGCTCGTCAAAATCATTCTCCATCCAGCTTTGTTCTGTTGCTGGTGAGGAACTGCGTTCCTTTGGAGGAGGAGAGACGCTCTGCGTTTTAGAGTTTCCAGTTTTTCTGTTCTGTTTTTTCCCCATCTTTGTGGTTTTATCTACTTTTGGTCTTTGATGATGGTGATGTACAGATGGGTTTTCGGTGTAGATGTCCTTTCTGGTTGTTAGTTTTCCTTCTAACAGACAGAACCCTCAGCTGCAGGTCTGCTGGAATACCCTGCCGTGTGAGGTGTCAGTGTGCCCCTGGTGGGGGGTGCCTCCCAGTTAGGCTGCTCGGGGGTCAGGGGTCAGGGACCCACTTGAGGAGGCAGTCTGCCAGTTCTCAGATCTCCAGCTGTGTGCTGGGAGAACCACTGCTCTCTTCAAAGCTGTCAGACAGGGACACTTAAGTCTGCAGAGGTTACTGCTGTCTTTTTGTTTGTCTGTGCCCTGCCCCCAGAGGTGGAGCCTACAGAGGCAGGCAGGCCTCCTTGAGCTGTGGTGGGCTCCACCCAGTTCGAGCTTCCCGGCTGCTTTGTTTACCTAAGCAAGCCTGGGCAATGGCGGGCGCCCCTCCCCCAGCCTCGTTGCCGCCTTGCAGTTTGATCTCAGACTGCTGTGCTAGCAATCAGCGAGATTCCGTGGGCGTAGGACCCTCTGAGCCAGGTGTGGGATATAGTCTCGTGGTGCGCCGTTTCTTAAGCCGGTCTGAAAAGCGCAATATTCGGGTGGGAGTGACCCGATTTTCCAGGTGCGTCCGTCACCCCTTTCTTTGACTCGGAAAGGGAACTCCCTGACCCCTTGCACTTCCCAGGTGAGGCAATGCCTCGCCCTGCTTCGGCTCGCGCACGGTGCGCACACACACTGGCCTGCGCCCACTGTCTGGCACTCCCTAGTGAGATGAACCCGGTACCTCAGATGGAAATGCAGAAATCACCCGTCTTCTGCGTTGCTCACGCTGGGAGCTGTAGACCGGAGCTGTTCCTATTCGGCCATCTTGGCTCCTCCTCCTTAAAGCCATGTTCTGAGCTGGCAATTTCCTGTTAGTGACATGCAACTGTCAGAAGCAATGCCTGAGAGATGTCCTTGAGATGTTCCTTCAAATGGGTCATAAGTCCTTGTGGCTATGAAGGTTGGGAGGATGCAGCTCTGGCCTTCTTGTCTCAGAAATGAAGATGACATTATGATTTAAAGGACTAAGTAATTTCCTTGTCAGCAGAACCAGTGTTTTCTGCTAATGGAGGCAACCAGGGAGACTTGCTCTTTGGTCCCTCACAGTGAGGCAGGTCTTCATTGAGTTTGTTAGGACTGTACAGGGAAAGCTGGCAAATTCAACACAGCAACACCAGCGGCATCATGTATTATTGTTGCCACAGAATCCTATCATTCATCATCATCTAGAACTCAGGCATGCTTCTAAAATGGCAAACAGTTTTTTACCTGTGCCATCATAGTCTAGGAACTATAAAATGAATCACGAAGACCAAAAAGAAAAAAATGAATAAGCATTTTCCCTGCAATTTTTTCACCAACTTGTTATCAAAAAGCAAATAGCTTAGCTGGCATTCACCACAAGGGTTATGGCATGATTTTAGAGAAGAGATATATCTGGAAATGAATTTTTTCTGAATGTTTTACACCTAAATTTATGAGGGATATTGACAAGCAGGGCAATCGGTCAGGAATAAGTGAAACAAAGGATACTTTGCTGAATTCAAGGATTTACTAAATAACTTCACTGAGGCTTGCTATGCCCTTTCTCATCAAAGAACAACATTCAGATCCAAATATTGTGGAACAAAGAATGGGAGTGTGGGTTTGTTTGCAGGGAAAGTAAGAGGAGCCATCTGCTTCACCTTTGTTTAAAAATCATGAGGTTTGGGAACTGGAAGGGACCCTGGAGTCATCTAGCTCTGAGCTTCCCAACACTGAAGGAATGAGGTGCTAATGCCAGTGAGGGTAGAAATCAAAGGCAAACGTGGCTCAGCTTCCAGGACAATTCTATCCATATATAGCATTACTATATGTTAAAGCAAACACAGGTATACAATCAAGTAAAATGAAAAATGTGCCTGAACTTGAAAAATGGCACTATAAAAGAACTTTAGTGATTGAGGTAGCTGCTTTCAGCTGTGCTCCAAACCCACAGGCCATCTCTCTCTGCCACCAGGCATACCTCAGTGGAAATGTCAGTGCAGCATAGAGTGAATTGCCTCCTTGCCAGTGCTGTCATGATGAAAGGGGGTCCAGGAAAAAACAAGGTCTTGTCCAGGCCATCCTATGTCTATAGGCAGAGCTGGAACTAGGTTCCACTTTCTCCTCCTTCAGGGCCCTTCCTCTGACCCTCAACACGGCAAGAGGCTGCACCAGGAATTGTTGTATAGAACCTGGAGAGGTGAACCTGCTCGATCTTCCTTGCTCCAGCCAGGCCCTTTGGGGTAGAAACCAAATGGCTGGCTGCTCTTTCTGAGGAGGAATCATCAGCCCCTGGGCTAATGGTGCTGGGTCCTCATCCAGGAGTCAAGCCTTATCTCCTCTCCACCCTCCTGCAGCTTCTCTCCACCCTCCTGCAGCACTCTCCCACTCTAATAGAGCCAGCTTCCCTTCTCTCTGCAGGGATGGTTTTTTAAGAGAGATCATTCATCACTTCTCTCATTCATTCATCATTCGTTCACTTATATTTTGTGCATGTTGATGGAAATACAGAGCTAAGTAAGTCAGCCATCACCTATTCCCTCAGGACGCTTACAGTCTATTCTAGCAGGAAGACAGCCTTAATTAATATATATTCACCTCACACAGGGAGTACATCCTCCTTCCTCTCTTCACCTTCACCCACCAAGAGGCTTTTGTTTTTTTGTTGAGGTCTCACTATATTGCCAAGACTGGCCTCAAACTCCTTGGCTCTTCCCACCTCAGCCTCCCAAGTAGCTGGGAGTAAGGTGTATGCCACTGCAGCTAGCTCCCAGCAGGAGTCTTCATGACAAAGAAAGCAGTTTGGTTTTCCCACAGCCATCAGCTGGGGTTGCTCTGCCCTGGTTCCCTGGCCAAAGAAAGGAACCACCCCTTCCTGGTCCTGACCTACTCCCATAAAATATATCCACAGCAAATAATGGAACTGAAATTCTAAAACTGAGTTATTTTGGTAAATATTTGCCTGTCGATGGTGAAGCCTCGGGTTAACTTCAGGAGAACAAATCTTGGTGCTAAGACCAAGACTCATGGGCCTTTGTGTGTCCTGAGGACTTTTTCCCCTTGTTTCTTGGTAGTGTCTCCTGTCATCGGCCTCCCACCTGTGTCCATGGGTGTGGGGGGCAGGATGGAGATTAAGGCCATCCACGCCTGAGTGACCATCCTGCCCAGCAGTAACAGAGGTGGCTCAGGGGTGGCATAGCCAAGTGGCTTCCCCTTCTGGCTCCTCCATGAGCCAAACCCCTTTCTCTGGCCTCCCATGCCTCATGTCTCCCTGTACCCTGTGGAAGGGGCAGGCACCACCACACAGCAACCCTGCTCTTCCCCAGCCTTCCTAATAAGGGGGATTTCAGAGGCCGACCTGCTATGTGAAGTATGAGACTATGGCAGAATCATTGTGTATAAATACAATTCATGAGAAGTAGATTTTGTTTCAAAGCATCCCTCTCTCTTGCCATTCATTACACCTCTCCTTACTCTTTTAAAGCATGGCAGCAGCTTCCCCTTTCTGACTCGCAATAAGATGGGATTTTCTTTTCCAGGTCAGCAGCTGACAGGAGCCTTGCATTCTCAGAGACCTGGATCGGCACACACCTGCTGTGTTTCTGAGCGCACCTGCTGTGTGATTTCTCACCCAGATTCTCCTTGTCTGCTTGAGAGATTATGAAAACATGTGGTATGTGTACAGACAGTTCATTACTAGGTACTTTAATACTTACCATTTCACTTAATCTTTGCCACAATTCTGTGAGCATTTTCCTTCTTATACTGGGGAAGAAACTTATTCAACCAACGTAGACTGAATGTTTGCCAAGTGCCATCACCAGGCTGTGGGCAGAAAGATGAGCCAGGCAGACATCCTGTTTTTAAGACACTTACAGTCTGAAAGGGCAGGCAGCAAGTAGACAGACAATTATAATACCATGTGGCAAATGAAGCCCACTACCACCATTCCATCTTATATACATAGTATTAATAAATGTTAATGCTTGTCCTTATTCTTAATGAGGAAATTTTACTGTCTGCCCTCCATGATGAGACCAGGAAAAGATCTAAGGTGACGCTCTAAAAGAAACTGAAGAAAGACAATTTACTAAATGGACCTTAGAGGAACAGGGAAGAGGGCATTCTCGAAAGTGAGAAGATGTTATGCAAAGATCTGGATGATTCGTTTGCAGTATAGTGTGTTTAGGACACTTCATAGTAGGGGGCCTGGATGAAGTACTTGTCCAAGGTCCTGCAGCTGTTTAACCGCAAGTCTTGTGGTCAAGGATGGTTTCCAGAGCATCCTTCTCCCCGGCTGTAAGTGGCCAGACCCTCCCTAACACACTGAGCTTCCTGAGTGTAATGCTGCCTGACCATTTGCCCTCCAAATGGGTGCTCACAGCAAATCATCTCTGTGATTCTTGATTTCAAGCTGCATCTCTTTGGACAAGCCATCTCTATACACTAGCAAATTGCAATCGTTATGATCATAGTCATAACATCACAAGAATAATCAAATGCTGTTGAAACAAAATGTACCAATTTAGGCTAGGCTTCAGCTACTGTAATGTGCATTTAAATGTGTGCATAGTTATGATTTATTGTAAAGATGATGGCCTTCATGATTCCCCTAGAAGCTGTGATAGACTGCCCTCTATAATCTGGTTTTGTTTGGCAAATTTATCTCCCCTTCATCCATCCTCAATTTTGAAAGAGAGGGAAACCAACCCATCTGCTGTAATCTGAGCCTATGCAAACTAGGACAGGCTGAAGTCATGATAAACTACTAGTTGATAATTCCATTCAGTCTTCTTTTCACTGGCAGGACCAGATCGGGCTTCTGTAAATAAGCTTCCAACAGAAATCAGTTCAGCAACTCAGTCCCTGACACTTTCCTGAGGCTGCCCATGATCTACATTCCCCTGCCCTATGTCAGTTGGTCTCATGCAGGCTGCTCTGGTAACTTTCAGACTCGAAAGAACACAGTGTCTGCCACCAATTTTCTCTACAGAAAGGAGCAATCTGGTTGCAAGTCAGGGCCAGAGACTTTTTTGAAGCTATTATATTTGCATGGCAAGGACATTGGGCTTATTCAATTATGTGTTTATTTGAGATGGCGTGGAGAGAGCTGATGGCACAGTGTAATGAGAACTCTCCCAGATGACCCCTCAGTACTACTGTTGACAGCTGTTGTGATACCTCGCTACTTGTCTTCTTAGTTTAAAAGAATTTAAGCAAGAGACACACAGCAAAGGATATATATCTAGAATAGAATAGATTTATTCTATTCTAGAATAATATTCTAGCATTTACTCTATTCTAGAATATTCTAGCATTTACTCTATTCTAGAATAATATTCTAGCATTTACTCTATTCTAGAATAATATTCTAGCATTTACTCTAGTCTAGAATAATATTCTAGCATTTACTCTAGTCTAGAATAATATTCTAGCATTTACTCTAGTCTAGAATAATATTCTAGCATTTACTCTAGTCTAGAATAATATTCTAGCATTTACTCTAGTCTAGAATAATATTCTAGCATTTACTCTATTCTAGAATATTATTCTAGAATTTACTCTATTCTAGAATATTATTCTAGAATTTATTCTGTAGAATAATTTATTGCAAAAGTAAAAGAATATTTTGAAAGTTAGATGCAGAATAGACAGTACACCCTGAGAGAGAGAATTCAGAGAGGGTGACTCAGAAGGAACAGACAGCAAAGACTGGCGCTAGGGACACTCCCTTTATGGGAGTCTTATCTGATTATTCATAAAGGGGTAGGATGAGGTGTTATTAGTAAGCATGTCCTGGGTGGTCCTCTGGGCACACATGCACAGTAGCTGTCCATGCTTGTTCATACATCGCCTGTCTCATTAGCATCTTAAATCTCCACCCGGGGTGTGATTTTTACTATTATAATGAGTAAGGGGTCAGTTTGAGAACACATAAAATCAAAGTACACATGATATCTACAGGAGAAATTCCCTACTGAAGATATCTTTACTTTAATGAGCTCAATTACAATGCAATGCTGGGCTTATTATGTTGACTATACCATCACCATGGTTGCTGTGTCCTGAAGATATGGTCATTTTCTTGACTACCTATCCTGCCTCACTACTAGTAGGAGAACACTCACTTGAGAAGACTGCTTTGTTGTTCCCTCCCCATTTTAAATCCCATATTCCCAGGCAGAATTCCTCTCTCCATCTCTACAGCTACCTTGGCACTCTTCACCTGTATCTGAGCACTTTTTATAGACAGCCAGGTACTAGGACTGCTTGAGTTTCATGTATTTTCTCCATTATGAGATGAGCTCTTAGAGGACAGAGTGCCATAATTCTCTCTGCTTTCCGCATGTATGTTAGAGGTTCAATAAAACCTACGGGAGCTTGTCAAAGACAAAAATCAGATGAGTAAAGAGATTGATTTTATTCAGGTAATTGCAATAAGATGAAAAGATCTGAAGACCAGAATGTCTCAACAAGGTGGCTTTGCCTTAAACTTTTAGGGAAGGGGATGGAGGGTAAATAGCTTACAAAGGAGGTAATTTACAGTTGGAGTTGTTTTGCAAGCAGGACAAGTCTATGTTAGTTATCAGGCCTGGAATATTTTTCTCTATGGTTAACTAATTTCAGGGATACAAGCCATTCCAATCCAGTTAATCAAATATGAGAAAAAAAGAACAGGAGTTGGAGGGGCTGTGTCCAGCCTTGTCAGCAGGTTCAGACCAAAGAGGAAAGGTCTGTGTTTGGCCTTGTCACAGGGTAAACAAGGGAGCCACCCACGAGTCTTATGAGAGTCATGGGAAAGAATGGATTCTGAGTTTTATCCAAATCATATAAGGAAGGGTGTTCTTTACTGGAACACAAAAGGCTGGGGAGATTTCTCAACCATCACTCTTGCTCTCCAGGAGCACAGGGCTCAGGTAAAGTCAAGCTCATCACACTGAATGAAAGCAACTGTGCTGTATTCTTCACCCTCTCTCACTGACCTTCTTTCTATATATATTAATCTATATTGGCCAATAGTCTGCTCAAAGAAAGATTATTCACGTTCTCTCTCTCTCTCTCTCTCTCTCCCCCCCCCCCCCCATTTGTGACCCATTCAAATAGAGAACTAGAAAGAGAAGGCAGAAAGTTCCAAAAGAAAGAATTGCCTTTAAGATTATTGGACTTCAATAACTTTCAGTATAAATATCACACTGGTAATTTTTCCACTAGAATTGAAGATGTGAGAAGCAATGAAAATAAAGTGTTTCTGTGAGTGTATTGGGTGAAGAGACTGGTCAAAGGGGCTGTTCTCTGAAGAGCTAGAGTCAGGGAAATTATAAAGATTTGGTTGGTTCAATCCTGGTTTACTCTGCAGTGACCCCTTATTCACCACATCTAGAGTTTTGTGGAGCTGAATCCCATATCCAGGTTGTTTCAGCAACCACCAACCTATACTATGGTTCACTGAGTCAGGGATACTTTTGCAAGTCTAGCCTGCTCATGAGTTGAATTTTCTTTCTCCCTACACATTTCTTTTTCATAACATAGAGTTTTTGTGTATGTTTCTAGACTGGAGTGAAGAAAGGAGAATTAGGAGATTTGGACGAGACTTGTAAGGTGAGGAAGCTCTTTGAAAAACAAGCTTTGGCTCAAAATCTGGGCAGAAATTCTAGTTGGCTCTCCCCTTTTATTTTTAACTGGTTTGTTTATCCCTAACAAACAGTAGATGAGCAGTTCTGGGAATCATTATTAAAAACATTAAAAAAAGATAAGCCTGCATGTAAAGAAATCCTTTGCTGTTGTATTTGATGAGATGACATGTTTTATTCAAATACCCCATTACCTAGTAGAATCTTTGGCACATAGTAGGTGCTCAATAAACAGTGATTAGTTGATTGACTGAATGTATTAATTGCCTTTTAATGGTATTTATCTTTCTCCTCTCATAAGAGGACACAGCTGTACCTCCCAACATTCTTATGTGGCTTGTCAAAACAAAAACAGACTAGGCTTGAATTGGCCACCCTGATTAATCTGGTCTTGATATTTTTTCAGAAGCCATTTTTGTCATCAGTGTAGCTGGTGAAAGACTTTATCTGCAGGTACGGGGGATACAGGCCAAACTTGCCCAAAGGTAGCAAGGTGGATGCCCAGGCAGTGCCAATTCTTGGTCAAAAGTAAGAAATGTGGCAGAGGGGGAGGAGCCAAGATGGCCGAATAGGAACAGCTCTGGTCTACAGCTCCCAGCGTGAGCGACGCACAAGACAGAAGACGAGTGATTTCTGCATTTCCATCTGAGGTACCGGGTTCATCTCATTAGGGAGTGCCAGACAGTGGGCGCAGGTCAGTGGGTGCGCACACCGTGTGCAAGCCGACGCAGGGTGAGGCATTGCCTCACTCGGGAAGTGCAAGGGGTCAGGGAGTTCCCTTTCCTAGTCAAAGAAAGGGGTGACGGACGGCACCTGGAAAATCTGGTCACTCCTACCCGAATACTGCGCTTTTCTGACGGGCTTAAAAAATGGCGCACCACGAGATTATATCCCGCACCTGGCTCGAAGGGTCCTACACCCAAGGAGTCTCACTGATTGCTAGCACAGCAGTCTGAGATCAAACTGTAAGGTGGCAGCGAGGCTGTGGGAGGGGCGCCCGCCATTGCCCAGGCTTGCTTAGGTAAACAAAGCAGCTGGAAAGCTCCAACTGGGTGGAGCCCACCACAGCTCAAGGAGGCCTGCCTGCCTCTGTAGGCTCCACCTCTGGGGGCAGGGCACAGACAAACAAAAAGACAGCAGTAACCTCTGCAGACTTAAATGTCCCTGTCTGACAGCTTTGAAGAGAGCAGTTGTTCTCCAAGTACGCAGCTGGAGATCTGAGAATGGGCAGACTGCCTCCTCAAGTGGGTCCCTGACCCCTGACCCCTGAGCAGCCTAACTGGGAGGCACCCCCCCAGCAGGGGCACACTGACACCTCACACGGCTGGGTACTCCAACAGACCTGCAGCTGAGGGTCCTGTCTGTTAGAAGGAAAACTAACAAACAGAAAGGACATCCACACCAAAAACCCATCTGTACATCACCATCATCAAAGACCAAAAGTAGATAAAACCACAAAGATGGGGAAAAAACAAAACAGAAAAACTGGAAACTCTAAAAAGCACAGTGCCTCTCCTCCTCCAAAGGAACGCAGTTCCTCACCAGCAACGGAAAAAAGCTGGATGGAGAACGACTTTGATGAGCTGAGAGAAGAAGGCTTCAGACGATCAAATTACTCTGAGCTACGGGAGGACATTCAAACCAAAGGCAAAGAAGTTGAAAACTTTGAAAAAAATTTAGAAGAATGTATAACTAGAATAACCAATACAGAGAAGTGCTTAAAGGAGCTGATGGAGCTGTAAACCAAGGCTCGAGAACTACGTGAAGAATGCAGAAGCCTCAGGAGCCGATGCGATCAACTGGAAGAAAGAGTATCAGCAATGGAAGATGAAATGAATGAAATGAAGTGAGAAGGGAAGTTTAGAGAAAAAAGAATAAAAAGAAATGAGCAAAGCCTCCAAGAAATATGGGACTATGTGCAAAGACCAAATCTACATCTGATTGGTGTACCTGAAAGTGACGGGGAGAATGGAACCAAGCTGGAAAACACTCTGCAGGATATTATCCAGGAGAACTTCCCCAATCTAGCAAGGCAGGCCAACGTTCAGATTCAGGAAATACAGAGAACGCCACAAAGATACTCCTCGAGAAGAGCAACTCCAAGACACATAATTGTCAGATTCACCAAAGTTGAAATGAAGGAAAAAATGTTAAGGGCAGCCAGAGAGAAAGGTCGGGTTACCCTCAAAGGGAAGCCCATCAGACTAACAGCGGATCTCTCGGCAGAAACCCTACAAGCCAGAAGAGAGTGGGGGCCAATATTCAACATTCTTAAAGAAAAGAATTTTCAACCCAGAATTTCATATCCAGCCAAACTAAGCTTCATAAGTGAAGGAGAAATAAAATACTTTACAGACAAGCAAATGCTGAGAGATTTTGTCACCACCAGGCCTGCCCTAAAAGAGCTCCTGAAGGAAGCACTAAACATGGAAAGGAACAACCGGTACCAGCCACTACAAAATCATGCCAAAATATAAAGACCATCGAGACTAGGAAGAAACTGCATCAACTAACGAGCAAAATCACCAGCTAACATCATCATGACAGGATCAAATTCACACATAACAATATTAACTTTAAATGTAAATGGACTAAATGCTCCAATTAAAAGACACAGACTGGCAAATTGGATAAAGAGTCAAGACCCATCAGTGTGCTGTATTCAGGAAACCCATCTCATGTGCAGAGACACACATTGGCTCAAAATAAAAGGATGGAGGAAGATCTGCCAAGCAAATGGAAAACAAAAAAAGGCAGGGGTTGCAATCCTAGTCTCTGATAAAACAGACTTTAAACCAACAAAGATCAAAAGAGACAAAGAAGGCCATTACATAATGGTAAAGGGATCAATTCAACAAGAAGAGCTAACTATCCTAAATATATATGCACCCAATACAGGAGCACCCAGATTCATAAAGCAAGTCCTGAGTGACTTACAAAGAGACTTAGACTCCCACACATGAATAATGGGAGACTTTAACACCCCACTGTCAACATTAGACAGATCAACGAGACAGAAAGTCAACAAGGATACCCAGGAATTGAACTCAGCTCTGCACCAAGCAGACCTAATAGACATCTACAGAACTCTCCACCCCAAATCAACAGAATACATTTTTTTCAGCAACACACCACACCTATTCCAAAATTGACCACATACTTGGAAGTAAAGCTCTCCTCAGCAAATGTAAAAGAACAGAAATTATAACAAACTATCTCTCAGACCACAGTGCAATCAAACTAGAACTCAGGATTAAGAATCTCACTCAAAACCGCTCAACTACATGGAAACTGAAAAACCTGCTCCCGAATGACTACTGGGTACATAATGAAATGAAGGCAGAAATAAAGATGTTCTTTGAAACCAACGGGAACAAAGACACAACATACCAGAATCTCTGGGACGCATTCAAAGCAGTGTGTAGAGGGAAATTTATAGCACTAAATGCCCACAAGTGAAAGCAGGAAAGATCCAAAATTGACACCCTAACATCACAATGAAAAGAACTAGAAAAGCAAGAGCAAACACATTCAAAAGCTAGCAGAAGGCAAGAAATAACTAAAATCAGTGCAGAACTGAAGGAAATAGAGACACAAAAAACCCTTCAAAAAATTAATGAATCCAGGAGCTGGTTTTTTGAAAGGATCAACAAAATAGATAGACCGCTAGCAAGACTAATAAAGAAGAAAAGAGAGAAGAATCAAATAGACACAGTAAAAAATGATAAAGGGGATATCACCACTGATCCCACAGAAATACAAACTACCATCAGAGAATACTACAAACACCTCTATGCAAATAAACTAGAAAATCTAGAAGAAATGGATAAATTCCTCAACACATACACTCTCCCAAGACTAAACCAGGAAGAAGTTGAATCTCTGAATAGACCAATAACAGGATCTGAAATTGTGGCAATAATCAATAGCTTACCAACCAAAAAGAGTCCAGGACCAGATGGATTCACAGCCGAATTCTACCAGAGGTACAAGGAGGAACTGGTACCATTCCTTCTGAAACTATTCCAATCAATAGAAAAAGAGGGAATCCTCCCTAACTCATTTTATGAGGCCAGCATCATTCTGATACCAAAGCCTGGCAGAGACACAACCAAAAAAGAGAATTTTAGACCAATATCCTTCATGAACATTGATGCAAAAATCCTCAATAAAATGCTGGCAAAACGAATCCAGCAGCACATCAAAAAGCTTATCCACCATGATCAAGTGGGCTTCATCCCTGGGATGCCAGGCTGGTTCAATATACGCAAATCAATAAATGTAATCCAGCATATAAACAGAGCCAAAGACAAAAACCACATGATTATCTCAATAGATGCAGCAAAGGCCTTTGACAAAATTCAACAACACTTCATGCTAAAAACTCTCAATAAATTAGGTATTGATGGGACGTATTTCAAAATAATAAGAGCTATCTATGACAAACCCACAGCCAATATCATACTGAATGGGCAAAAACTGGAAGCATTCCCTTTGAAAAGTGGCACAAGACAGGAATGCTCTCTGTCACCACTCCTATTCAACATAGTGTTGGAAGTTCTGGCCAGGGCAATTAGGCAGGAGAAGGAAATAAAGGGTATTCAATTAGGAAAGGAGGAAGTCAAATTGTCCCTGTTTGCAGACGACATGATTGTATATCTAGAAAACCCCATTGTCTCAGCCCAAACTCTCCTTAAGCTGATAAGCAACTTCAGCAAAGTCTCAGGATACAAAATCAATGTACAAAAATCACAAGCATTCTTATACACCAACAACAGACAAACAGAGAGCCAAATCATGAGTGAACTCCCATTCACAATTGCTTCAAAGAGAATAAAATACCTAGGAATCCAACTTACAAGGGATGTGAAGGACCTCTTCAAGGAGAACTACAAACCACTGCTCAAGGAAATAAAAGAGGGTACAAACAAATGGAAGAACATTCTATGCTCATGGGTAGGAAGAATCAATATCGTGAAAATGGCCATACTGCCCAAGGTAATTTACAGATTCAATGCCATCCCCATCAAGCTACCAATGACTTTCTTCACAGAATTGGAAAAAACTACTTTAAAATTCATATGGAACCAAAAAAGAGCCCGCATCGCCAAGTCAATCCTAAGCCAAAAGAACAAAGCTGGAGGCATCACACTACCTGACTTCAAACTATACTACAAGGCTACAGTAACCAAAACAGCATGGTACTGGTACCAAAACAGAGATATAGATCAATGGAACAGAACAGAGCCCTCAGAAATAACGCCGCATATCTACAACTATCTGATCTTTGACAAACCTGAGAAAAACAAGCAATGGGGAAAGGATTCCCTATTTAATAAATGGTGCTGGGAAAACTGGCTAGCCATATGTAGAAAGCTGAAACTGGATCCCTTCCTTACACCTTATACAAAAATCAATTCAAGATGGATTAAAGACTTAAACGTTAGACCTAAAACCATAAAAACCCTAGAAGAAAACCTAGGCAATACCATTCAGGACATAGGCATGGGCAAGGACTTCATGTCTAAAACACCAAAAGCAATGGCAACAAAAGCCAAAATTGACAAATGGGATCTAATTAAACTAAAGAGCTTCTGCACAGCAAAAGAAACTACCATCAGAGTGAACAGGCAACCTACAAAATGGGAGAAAATTTTTGCAACCTACTCATCTGACAAAGGGCTAATATCCAGAATCTACAATCAACTCAAACAAATTTACAAGAAAAAAATAAACAACCCCATCAAAAAGTGGGCAAAGGACATGAACAGACACTTCTCAAAAGAAGACATTTATGCAGCCAAAAAACACAAGAAAAAATGCTCATCATCACTGGCCATCAGAGAAATGCAAATCAAAACCACAGTGAGATACAATCTCACACCAGTTAGAATGGCAATCATTAAAAAGTCAGGAAACAACAGGTGCTGGAGAGGACGTGGAGAAATAGGAACACTTTTACACTGTTGGTGGGACTGTAAACTAGTTCAACCATTGTGGAAGTCAGTGTGGCGATTCCTCAGGGATCTAGAACTAGAAATACCATTTGACCCAGCCATCCCATTACTGGATATATACCCAAAGGACTATAAATCATGCTGCTAAAAAGACACATGCACATGTATGTTTATTGCAGCACTATTCACAATAGCAAAGACTTGGAACCAACCCAAATGTCCAACAATGATAGATGGATTAAGAAAATGTGGCACATATACACCATGGAATACTATGCAGCCATAAAAAATGATGAGTTCACGTCCTTTGTAGGGACATGGATGAAATTGAAAATCATCATTCTCAGTAAACTATCACAAGAACAAAAAACCAAACACCGCATATTCTCACTCATAGGTGGGAATTGAACAATGAGATCACATGGACACAGGAAGGGGAACATCACACTCTGGGGACTGTGGTGGAGTGGGGGGAAGGGGGAGGGATAGCATTGGGAGATATACCTAATGCTAGATGACGAGTTAGTGGGTGCAGCACACCAGCGTGGCACATGTATACATATGTAACTAACCTGCACATTGTGCACATGTACCCTAAAACTTCAAGTATAATAATACAATTTTTAAAAAAAGATAAAAAAAATAAGGAGAAAATGTTACCTTACGCTTGCCTGATGAAGCTGGACATGTCCTTCATACAGAAGGAAGATTTCGCACCGTGACACACTTTGGCCTCTCCAGCCAGGGCCCTCCTCCTCTTGTGTGATCCTAGCCCTTAGTCACAGTTCACTGGAGCTGAACAAAGCAGAGGCATAAGATTCACTTGGAATCAGGGCATGCGAGTGAACATTGGAAGTGGACATACTATGCCGAGGTCTGTGCCAGGAGCCAGGAGGTATGGGAAGCTACCTCCTGGGAAGATGAAACAGAGTTTCCTACTCTAGGAACAAGTTTACATGTGCAAGCACTGCCGGGGGCAGCAGTTTCGTCCTGTGTCATATGAGGAACGTAGATCGGTGGTTCTAAGTCCTGGTTACACACCAGAATCACCTGGGAAGACACATTTTTTAATAGGATGTCGAAGCCCCAGCCCAACCCAATTAAATCAGAATTTCTAGAGTATGGATCCCAGGTTTATTAGTCTGTTCTCACCCTGCTAACAAAGACATACCCAAGACTGGGTAATTTATAAAGGAAAGGGGTTTAATTGACTCACAGGTCAGCACGGCTAGAGAGGCCTTAAGAAACTTACAATCATGGTGAAAGGGGAAGTAAACATGTCCTTCTTCACATGGTGGCAGCAAGGAGAAGAATGAACAAAAGGGGTAAAGCCCCTTATAAAACCATCAGATCTTGTGAGAACTCACTATCATGAGAACAGCATGAGAGTAACCACCGCCATGATTCAATTGCCTCCCACTAGGTCCCTCCCACAATACATGTGGATTATGGGAACTGCAATTCAAGATGGGATTTGAGTGGGGACACGGCCAAACCATATAACCAGGCATAGATTTTTTTTAAAAGCTCCTCCAGCTAATTTTAATGAGCAGCCAAATTTGAAACCCCATGAACTTGATGATTCTTAAGAGCTGTTCCGGGATTAAGATTCAAAGTACCGCATACTTGATACAACAAAATCAAGAAAATATAAATACCCCATTGTTTGGGCCAAACAGGGTGTGTGGATGGGGTGTGTTGTAAATAGAAGGTATGGCTGCCTCATGATTTGGGGAAATTTTGAAAGGCTGAGCCCAAGGTGGTGAAAAGATGTATGAGTCTGGAGAAATAAGGCACAATTGGTAATAAACTTAGAGATCACCAACGTGGGAGATTTATTGAATTTATTTATCAATAAATATTTATTGAGCACTGACTGTGGGCCAATACCTCTTGGACTCTGAGGTTGAAACACAGTATATTGGACATGGCCAATTAGATATGAGCATAATAGAAACACCATCAGTATAGGCACTAATCACTTCTCTGTGAGCACCAGGATATGCTTCAGGAAGGAGGTGGTGTTTGAATTGAACCTTGAAGACTGCATGGATGCACCTGACCAGGTGAAACTCAGGTCAGGGCAGAAGGCAAAGTCAAGGGAGGAGAAAGTTGGTAAACAAAGCTTTGCACTTCACACTTAACAAAACTGAACTGTGTTGTTCCACACACTCCATGCTCTTCCACATCTCTGTACCTTTAATCAAGACATTCTGCCTGCCTGTGATACCTTCCTTCTTTTCACCTGGACAAGTCCTGTCATTTTTTTTTTTTAAGAGTCAGCTGAGATTAGTCTCCTCTAGGAAACCATCTCTGAGGCCCCTGTCAGTCTCCCAACAGTTTCCTATGCTTGCTTCCATCAACACACTTACACACAATAGCCCCAATTATGCTGTGAGCTCTTCAAGGGCAGGAACATCATCTATATTCATTCATGCGCTTGTCTCCAGTGCCCATCACATGCCCCTTGCTCTAATGGGTCTTCAATAATATTTACTTAACTGAACATTTTAAACATTATTTAAAAGAAAATTTAATAATAATTAAATCATTTTGCTTAATTTATTATATAGAATTATATCTCCACTAATGGCTGTATTAACGTTCTTTCTGATAATTCCATCATTCCTTTTCTGTATCTGTTTCTATTGGCTAATTTCTCTGTTGGTTAAAATATAATATAATTATATTTTAATTTAATTTATTATATTAATTAAAGATAACTTTAAACATTATTTAAAAGAAAATAGTCTTTTAAAAAAGATAAATCAGATTGATATCATTCTTTAGCTGAAACTCATCTCATGGTTTCTTGATTACTTACAATAAAATCTAAAGTCCTCATGGGGATATACAACATTCTAGATGATTTGGCTCCTAAATATTTTTCTAGCCTTGAATCACTTTCCTTTTTCACCATGTACATAAAACTAGTCTTAAAAGAACCAGCCTGATCCACAAGTAAACCCTACCAGAATAAAACACTCTTATTAAGAAAGATAATGAAATCCAGATAGTCAACACTATAGCATCCAACATACAATTAAAATTTACTAGTTATGTAAAAAAGCATGAGAATGTGATTCCTAACCAACAGAGAAATGAGCCAATAGAAACAGATACAGAAAAGAAAAGGAATGATGGAATTAGCAGAAAGAACTTTAATACAGTCATTAGTGGAGATAAAATAGGATGCTAAAAAAAAAAAAAACCCAGTTACTCCTAAAAAAATGCAGGAAAGAAGGGGAAAAGGAACAAAGAACATATGACCCAAGTAGAAAAGAAATAGCAAAATGGTAGACTAAATCCCAACTAAATGTAAATGGAATAAACATGCCAATTAAAGTGGGGAGGTTGTCTGGCTAGAAATAAAATTGAAAATAATCACTTGGAAAATAGCAAGTGTCCAGTCTGACCAACTAGTCAGGTTTGGAAAGTTAAGTAATGGGAGATAGGCCAGAAAGTTTGACTGAAGCCAATCTATGTTGGGTCATGGATGTCAAGTCCTATACTTATTACAGGCACTTGTGCCTTCTGTGTGCAAATTAGTAGTCAAGCCTATGAAATGGCATGAGCCGCTGAAAGAACAGGTATAAAGCTTCCTTTTCGGGATGTTTTATTTCATACGGAAAGCAAACCTTTCTCCCATCTCCTGATTGTTACCTTCTTCATAACAGAGTGGCCATGGCCATACATTTCAGCTGCCCAGGTCCCTAATGCGTAAATAAGCCAGGTGAAAAAACATTAACCTTCAAGCTACATACTACATACTATGAATCTTTCTTTTAAAAGTGAAAATACACTTGGAAACTGAGGGAAGTAGTAAGTATAATCTTCCCTTGTCATTAAATCAATAAAGAAATTACTCAACATTACTGAAAATCTGCAGTTCTTGGAAGGTATCTCCTTGTTTGTTATTATCATTATTGTTGTTATTTCACTTTTCAATGGCTGCCAAGTCTGAAGGTTCCTGGAGTTAAGGACATAACAAGATAAAGTAAAGATATTGCTTTTGCATGAGTTAATGAAGCTGATATCAATCTTTTATTTCATATACTTCAGGCTGATTATTGCTTTAAATGCAAGCTTTGCTGCATTAAATGTGACACTAACAGGAATACAAATAAGAGAATTCCCAATGATATTAATGAGTGGGGCTGAGGAAAGGCTGGCTTCCCTCCCACGCCTAGAGAACAAAACACAGGAAAGGTCACAAAGCAGCCAGACCTGGAGATAAATCTGAGCTCCACTAACTCAGTGAATGACTCAGAAGTATATTTTTGCTGTTGTTTGTTTCAAACTAGAGGAAGAAAAGACAAAAAATTTGATTGAGCCTCAGGACAAGGGCTGGCCAGGGTGAGGTTGAAAGGGCCCAGACTTCAGAGTCAGAAGACTTGGTGTTTACCCCTAATTCAGCCCATAACTAGCCAACCCCTCTGGGCATCCACTATTCTGTGAAATGACAGGATTTTGCAGCAGTTAATCTGTAAAAGTCCTTCCTGGCTTGAAATTTTAAAGACCAAGTACAAGCCTATTATGAAATAATCAGAAAGATTTGGAAAATGCCTTCCAAAAGACCAATTGTCTTGATGCCTATGACCTTAAGAGGAAAAAAGGGAACAGTTGAGTAAACTGAGTTTTCACTAAGCTGAAGTACATATGATGAGCTAACCAAACAATAGAGCTAGTCCTACTCTATGGGTCTTCTGGCTTCTAATCCTGCTTCTAATATTGAAGCAAAACGGGGAAATGGTGCTTTGGAGTTCCACAGGGAGGATTTGGATCTGGAACCAAACTGTAAAAGCTTCATGGGTTTTTTCCATAAAGTGAAGATTTAGAATGACATTTGCCCACTCCAAAGTATATACCCAAGAGAACTGAAAACAGGTACTCAAACAAACCGTGGTGCATGAATGTCATCAGTGGCAGGGGATAAGAACAGCCTTTATATTGCTTGACATCCAGATCATTTCTCCACGGACTACAGAATAAACAGCAAAATCCCTAACTTCACTTCCAAAGCCCCCAGTAAACTGGCCTTCTTCTCCTCCACTTCCCATGTAATCCTCACCACTCCACTTCAGTCAGAACAAAGAATAGCCCTTTCCTGTGCCTGCCTCACACTTTCCTGCCAACATACTATTTCCTCAGTCCGTGATTGTATTCTCTTGCTTATCTCCACACATCTCCAAAATTCCAAGAAACATTCCGGCTGGAAGTGCTCCTCTCCCTTTCTCTTCTAAACATTTTCTTCTTTCTCCTCTGTGTACTTTACTTCACTCCTATATTATCATCATTGCTGAACTTGCCTTATCTCCCCTCTTAAATGGTACATTCCATTAAGGCTAAAAAATATGGACTTTCACAGGACATGGCTTTAGGGATTTGAACCAATCTTATCTTGATCTCTATGGTGCCAGGAGCCCCTAGTTGGCATCTCAAATTGGATATTAAACAGCTCACTATAAGTATATAAATATATAGTAATATTTGTTGAATGTTATTTGTTTATTGGTTCATTTCATTTCAAGGCCATTTTATGCTAAAACTCTCACTCTTTATTCACTTTTGGAGTAATATTATCTAACTGCAACACAAATCTGTGGAAAAGCTGAAGACTTCCATGAGCACTTTAAGGGATTTTCTTCTTTAAAAAATGGAGCACTAAAGACCAAGACTTGGGATCCCATTGCTCAATTCTGATATCACCAGAAGAGCTTTAGCCTTGGCAATAGAATTTTCTTTGTGATATATTTTTAAACCTCCCAGAAGGAAACATGCCGAATTGAAAGGAGATACTTTGATTTCATTGATTTAAACCCTTATTCAGTTGATTACTAAAGCACATACCTAATCATGGCACATATTTAAAACCACGAAATATTCACAGTGCAATGCATAAGAGATATGATGTATCGTATATTTATTCTACAGTTCAGTAAATTCTGGATACAAAGGCTCAAATTGATGCTCTCAAGTTACCGTGTTAGTACAAACACAATTTCTTTCAAAAACAGTTCTTCATCTCCAGAATTTGATTTCCATTCTGAAAGATGCTGTCTGTAGATATGCCTTAGATGACATAAATAAATCTAGGCTATAACTCTTTCATACAGCCATCAAAGTACATTCTGCCTGTGGCTGAATCACTTCTGAACAGGTGAGGCTGTTCCTGCTGCTCCTAACATTTTAGAGTTACCCCATAAAAGGCTACGTCTAAGTACATATTTGCTAAATGAAATAAAAATTCTCAGTTGAATTTCCCAGAGCTCTGAGCGACTCCCCACTGCTGTTTTGATGTCTCATAGGAAGCGCTGGCACATCACTGAGTTTGTAATCCTGAGAAACCACAAGGACTTAGTAGTAGTAGGTGCATGAAAGTGGGACAGGCCAAGAGCCTTTCTTGGTCAAAGACTGGAACTGTTTTACTAACTTCTACATTTTATTCATTTGCCTCTTTAAATCGAGTTACTCTGCAACTTCCTTTTCTACAGTGATTCCACCATTAACCTTTTGTTTTGTTTTCCTTGCTCACTTTGTGCAATAGTCACTAGAGTCAGTTAGCGAATACTTAACAAATATTGGTTGAATGAATACAAAATTATTTATGATACTTGGTTACCACATGCCAAGTATTGTGCTAGGTGCCAGAGATGAAACTGTGAAAAAATAAATATGGCCTCTCACACTACAAAGTTAAAAGTCTAGTGGGGAAGACAGACCACCAGTCAAATCATCACAAAATAAATGCTGACTTATACATGCGTTAAGTGCTAACACAGAGCAGCATGCGTGGTTCTAAGAGGGGTTAGGGTAGGGGGCTCTGAGCTGGTCAGCAAGGTCAGGGAGTGCTTCCCCGAGAAACCGAAGCTTTAACTGAGATCTCAATTGTGAGTGGGAGGTGACAAGTGGAGAGAGAGGAGACGTCCCCGGTAGAGGCAGTGGCAAGTGCAAAGTTCCGTGGAAAGGAATCTGGAAGTTACCAAGGGCTGAAAGAAGCCTGAAGGTCTGAAGCAGAGAGTTAGGAAGTATGGGCCAGGCGTGGTGGCTCACACCTGTAATCCCAGCACTTTGGGAGGCCAAAGCGGGCAGATCACCTGAGGTCAGGAGTTTGAGACCAGCCCGGACAACCTGGTGAAACCCCATCTCTACTAAAAATACAAAAATTAGCCAGGCGTGGTGGCCAGCGCCTGTAATCCCAGCTACTCAGGAGGCTGAGGCAGGAGAATCACTTGAACCCAGGAGGCAGAGGTTGCAGTGAGCCGAGGTTGAGCCATTGCACTCCAGCCTGGGCGAAAGAGTGAAACTCCGTCTCAAAAAAAAAAAGAGAGAGTTAGGGAGTGTGGTGAGAGAAAAATCCAGAGAGAATGGGCAACATCAGGTCACACAGACTCCTAGGTCCATGTTCCAGGGTCTCTATTCTAAGAGCCACAGAAGTGTTGGAGGATGCTAAGCAGAGGGTGGCAGATCTGGATTTGGGTTTCAAAACCAGAGTGAAATCATTAATACAAAAGGAGAAAGCAGAAGTAGAACTGCCTTATGGTAGCAGACAAATATTAACTGCAAGGTTAATAATAACAATACGCTTTCATTATTGAGCTATTATTGTTCCCCACTCCTGTTGCTACATCAACACATGTGTTTCTAGAGGAATCATCTGTTTGAAATCATCTCCAAGTAGATCCTTGGAAACCCAGTCTCCTGTAGTAGTAGCCTTTTGGCCTGCAGAGATACTACCTTTGTGATGAAAACAGTGAGGGAAAGATCATTAGTCTGTGGCCTGACCTTCGGAAGTATGCTGCACCTCCTGGTGGTCATTAGCTCACTCAGCTTCTACTGGACACGAACTCGCAGGCCACCATGGCCACCAGAAAGCACAGACTGCAGACTGCTCTCCTGACCCAGGATGACCATTACGGAATAACAGCCCCTGTCACGTGCCACCTCACTCCTACAAAATATCCTAGCTACGACTTAGGGCCATAGGTTCATCACATCAATTTTGCATATGAATCAATGTCCTATTTACTTTTCCTCTATGGTGTTTAAATGACATCTGATTCCTCACTGTAACCTTGAGCTTCTAGTACATGCTACAGGATAGTTCTATAACTGAGGAAGCTTTTTAAGTGGGAATGTTAGCCACTTGGGCACTTAATCATCTTTTTATGGATTACAGGATGCATTTTAGGATATTGTTTATTTATGAGGGAGTCCTTATAAGCTCCCTAAGTACAAAGACATTCTAACTAAAAATATGAGACTTTATTCTTAATTCTCTCGTCCTAATTAAACTGAATAGTCCGTCTTCCTAATGAGACTGAATAGTCCGCCTCACTGATTTCAAATCTACCATGTTTGTGAATCCAAACACAATTCCAAAGGGCCACCTTTTGCTCTTTCTCAGTTGAAATTACACCACTCTGGCTAGGCGTGGTGGCTCACGCCTGTAATGTCAGCACTTTGGGAGGCCGAAACGGGTGGATCACCTGAGGTTGGGAGTTTGAGATCAGCTTGACCAACATGGAGAAACTCCGCCCCTACTAAAAATACAAAATTAGCCAGGTGTGGTGGCACATGCCTGTAATCTCAGCTACTTGGGAGGCTGAGGCAGGAGAATCGCTTGAACCCAGAAGGCAGAGGTTGTGGTGAGCTTAAATCATGCCATTGCACTCCAGCCTGGGCAGCAAGAGTGAAACTCCATCTCAAAAAAAAAAAAGGAAGAAGAAGAAGAGGAAGAAGAAGAAGAGAAAGAAAGAAAAGAAAGGAAAGAAAGAGAGAGAGAGAAAGAAAGAAAGAAAGAAAGAAAGAAAGAAAGAAAGAAAGAAAGAAAGAAAGAAAGAAAGAAAGAAAGATTATACCAATCTTCATGGTCCATATTATGATAATATCTCCCTTGTTGAGTTTTCCTGATTACTATCCCTTAAAAGGCCATGATATCTTTCTTCTCTAAATCTTCCAAAGCTTTTATATCACAATTTTTCCTTTTATGCCAATACCACACACACCTTCCCTAGGCCGTAAGTTGTTTGAAGGCAGGGGCTTTACAATGAGTACCTAGTAGTACGTGCTACAGTCTTCCGGGGATGCTCGACAAGTTGATTGTATCCTCCAGAAGATCCCTGAGAACCCCAACTTAATTATTAGCCCTCCCACGGCTGTCTCAACAATGCAGGAAAATATGCTTCTCATGTTCAAGCTGCTCTTTCCATCAGCTGGGCTGGGCCTTCTTGCTGCCAAGGTAATAATAAACATAATTCCAAACTTACAAATGAGAGAAGCTTTGTAGCTGAAAGAATTGAAATCCTAAGTGTATAAATGGGTGAAAATTGCTAAAGAGAGGAATGAATGCATGTCAGTTACTATGTATACGGGGTTTACAAGTGTATTCATAAATTATTTATATAAGCAGTTGCTTGCTTTCCTTACAGAAACTTATACTGTTAAGGAATTGAGGCTGCTTTTATCTTTATATCCATAGTACTCTGGTTGGTAGTAGAACTATGCCTGGTTGGCAGCAGAAGCCCCATAAATACATGTGGAAACTGATTTCTGGTGTGCCTTGCCATCATGATCAGAGTAAACTATGTTACTAACAATGTGCTACCACTTCCCAGATATCCTTGTTTTTAAAAGGATAACTGCAGATGATAAAGCCTAACCTAGATCTTTGATAAAGTTGACTGCTTGGGCTTCTTCAAACCACAGATATAAGATGGCCCATCCCCCTCTCAGAAGGTATTCTGTTCTCCCAGCTCTATTTTGAGCTCTCCAAGGGCAGGGGCTGGGTCTTGCCAGTATTCCTCGGCCACCTGACACAGAAGTGAGCACACAGAGAGAAAAAAAATAAAAGATTTTCTAGGCCAGGCACAGTGGCTCACGCCTGTAATACCAGCACTTCGGGAGGCCGAGGTGGGTGAATCACAAGGTCAGGAGTTCAAGACCAGCCTGGCCAACATGGTGAAACCCCATCTTTACTAAAAATACAAAAATTAGCCAGGCATGGTGGTGCACACCTGTAATCCCAGCTACTCAGGAGGTTGAAGCAGGAGAATCACTTGAACCCGTGAGGCAGAAGTTGCTGTAGGCTGAGATCGCATCAATGCACTCCAGCCTGGGTGACATAGTGAGACTCAAAAAAAGATTTTGTATATTATTATAGGCACAATCTCAACAGCTGATGGCAGACAGCAGCACTCTGTTACCGCTGCCAAGCCCAGCACCAGAAATGGACTCCATCAAATGCCAGGCTACCCTATGCCAAAATACTCTCACCCAGGCAGAAAGAAGGTCTGTCCAAGTCTTCCAAAAGAGCCAAAACAGGGCAGAAAAAAAGAGGATGAATAGAAATTAAAAAAAAACATTTGGTTCTGTCATGTGCAAATAACCACAACATCACCAAGATTGTCAAACCAGCGAACCTGAATGCCCTCTTTATCCCCTCAAGGAATTCAAAGTCCGTCTTTGCACAGGTCTGGCTATAGAAAGTTCATCCTGACATTGAGCCTTTGTTCCCTGAAATTTCCTCCTGTTGAGGGGGGAATAAAAGTCAGCACCCTGATCACAGGGATTTTTGTCCTTTTTTAAATGTTTCACTGCTTGTAACCCCAATGTCTAGAATACAATCTGACACAGAGTAGCATACAATATGTATCAGCTGAATGAATGAATAAATGAGTCTTAGCTCGGCCTCTCAGAGCTATACAGAATAAGTCTGACCTCCTTCCACATACCACCCTTTCAGATTCTGATGCATAATCATTACACGATGTATCCGTACATGTTTACCTGAGCTTCCTGCTAAAACTTCTCTCCTAGGACAAGTTTCCAAGCTGCTTCTCCATGCTGGTCTTTCTTCTCTGACTACTAAGTCAAGGTTCTCAACAGGTTGGCTTCAGGTGATTTTATCCCCCCAACCAGGTGACAAGCAATGGTTGTAGCCTATGAGACCAGGGGTCATGGTCATGACCATTTCTATAATCCTCACATTGTCTGGGACTGCACATGGCATCATGGCATGAAGTAAGTGCTTAGTAAGTGTTGATGAATAAAGCCCTTAGCCCCTGTTTAAGCTCCAGCCTGGCTGAGCTAGATTTCCATAGCAAGATCTCTTCTCCTTTGTTTCTTTCTGTTTTGTCTCTTTTCTCCAGAGCATTCACTGTCAGGGAACTCCTTCCTCCTCCAATCTAATTAGAGGAGTTATAATTAATCCAATCTATAAGTAATTAGGCAAAGCAACAACAAAACACACTATAACTACAAAATGGAAAGTATATTCCTAAAACCAAGGTTGTTCACACACACACGCCCCACCTACAAACACACGCACATGCCCACACACACACATACACACACACTCATATTTTTTCTACCTGTCCAGTAGGAATTAAGAAACATGGGGAGAAATCAGAATGAGCAATAAGACCGAAGTGGAGACTGTGGGGACAGGAGCAGGGGCCACCTCATTCATAATGACTTAAGTGAAATCTTTGACACACACTCATTTTATATGTATGAATGTCATTATTTTAACTTTAAAAAATATCTTTTAACACTTTTCAGAAGGATAGAAAGACAATTAATTATAATACATAGAGTGGTATTGAGTGTTTTTAAATAACCCCAGATACATCTTGCTTTGGGATATAACTTGCGATTTCACTGAGTGCTGTGTGTCCGGCCCTTAGAGAGCCTAGCTTACAACAACCCTCGGAGAAGGTTGTTAGTTGTCTCCATCTTAAAGGTGAAGAGCTTGAGACTCTAATCACATCCTAAACATGTTGAGCTTATGATCTGCCTGGCACTTCAGCTTGCTATGTCACTCTACCTCCTACAGTCTTGTGAGGATGAGAACACTGAAGCTCAGATGACCTTCCCAAAGTCACTCAGTCAGCAATTAGGAGATCCAGGATTTACAACCAAGTCACTCTGATGCCAAAGCCTGTGATGTTAGTCACTAGACCATGCTGAAAGAAGATGAGGAAACAGAGACTTAGAGCGGTCCCATGACTGGGAGAGAAATTGTCCCTCAGGCCAATGAATACGTCAGGAAACAGACATGACTGCCCCCTCCCAGGATTCCCATCTACTGCCAGCCAATCCTTGTGTCTCCTGCCTTCAGGTCACTGTACAGAACTCCCTGTTCCACTGAGCCATGTCCCATTATATGCAAGGTTGAGTCCTCCCTGCTCTGCAACCTCTTAGCACTTGCCAATTCTCTGGGGCCCTGTCTTTAATCTGCACTCATTTATGAGCTGTGCTGCTCTGAGAATGTTCCTAAGTGCACGCGCACACACACACACACACACACACACACACACTTTCCTCAACTCAGCTTTATGCTCCCTCGTCGCAGAGAAAAAGAAGGTTGTCCTATGGCTGTGTGGTTCTTGCACACAGTGGCAAGAAATAGCTCCTGTCCTGGAAATGCCGAGAAAGACTACCATCACTAATAACAGTGGGCAGGAGACAGGCCAACATGAAACCAGTGACAGGTGACCTGTTTGTGAATAAATGATCTTCAGATAAAATGCAGGGTAGAAAGCAGAACAGTCATTGGAAAGGTTCACACAGAGTTCCAGAGAATCTTTCCAATGTGGAGTATATGAAAAATCAGAGCAGGCTCCAAAGAGAAGATGACATTTCCTCTGGGCGCTGAAGGATGGAAGAAGTTGAGTACATGAGAGGGAATGGGTGTTCCAAATAAACAGCAAAGACAAAAGTCCCGAGGCAGGTAATCACAGGAAGAACATGAGGGGCAAAGAACATGTCCATCTAGCTGGATCGCTGGGTGCAAAAGGGTGCAGCGGGGGAATTAAGTTGGTTATGCAGGTGGGGTCCAGATGCGGGGAGCTTGAGTGGCAGGACCGAGGATTTGATCTCTAGTCTGAGGACAATAAGGAGCCACTTGAGGTTTTAGAGTAGGGGAGTAGCATAATCTAAAATGTGCTTCAGAAAAATATACCTGCTATTAACATGGAAATTGGATTGGAAAGGGAAGAGGTCTGTAGCAAGGATACTTGTGTGAGATTATTTCAGAAGATTACAAAGAAAGAAGACGACCTGAAACAACTAGGGCAGCAGCAGACACAAAGGAAAGGAAAGGGTTCTGAGTGCCCACAGAGACAGAATGGACAAGATTCCACAAAGGGGAAGAGGAAGGGAGAGAATGGACAAGATTCCACCAAGGGAGTGTGGGAGAGGAAGGAGTCAACGCAGGACACCTGGGAAGCTGAGACAGGAACAGCAGATACTGGATGCTTACTGAGTGCCAGGCATTATGTGGAGGACTTGATACAGGTCCCAGCCCATGGAATCCTCAGAAGCACCTATGAAGTAAGCAAACTCATTTAACAAGTGTGATCACTGAGGCATTGAGAGGTTAAATAACTTGCCCAGGTGCTCTCAGCTGGTAAGTGACAGCACTGGGGTTTGAACTAGGGGATCCTGTCTCCACAGCCCATCCTCTTCATCGCAAAGCTAGGCTGAGTTGCAGAAACCAGGAATCCAAGAATTCCAGCAGGTTAGGATGGGCCAAGGCTGAAGAGACAGAAAAGGAGTCTAGAGAGCCAGGAGGAGACTGTGGAAAGTCCAGGAGTCAAGGGAGAAGGGAGCTTCGAGAAGGGAGCAAGGGTGGGAGGGTCCTGCTTCCTGGGCACCCCCTCCAACGGAGCTTGCAAGCACTGCACTTGCTTCCCTCCCAGAACCAGCAGCCACCCTATGAAGCAAGCACTTTCCTTTCATTCCTGTGTTTACAGGTAAAGAAACTGAAGCTCAGAGCTTGTGCACAGATGAGGTGTGGGAAATTAACTCAGGTCTCTGTTTGTCCTAAAGTCTGAGCTTTTAACCAATACTTTGTCAAAACAGACCCAAGAATCAGTACAAATGAAAAAAAGAAAAGGCCACTGTATATGGCTAGTAAGCAGGGGCTGCTGGGGAGGTTACTGTATAGCTTAAAATCCAAACCAGAGCATTTTAGAGAGTGAAATGGATGCTATCAATAATTATGCCAGGAGAAGTGGTGTCAGATAGGACTTTCCCAAGCAACCTAAGATGTGTGTTCATCCTACTAAAAGGGCATTGGCCACTAAAACAAAATGAAATAAAATAAATGCAATGGCAGTGAGCATGGAAGCCAATAACAGCAAGCGAAGAGAAATAGGACATGAGGAGCTGGAGAAAATGAAGACGAACTTGGCGACCTCAAAAAGTCTGAAAACTTTAAAAATAACTTGTGGAGGGCGGCAGGTAAGACCTGCTCAACCATGAGCAGGAACAGCACCTTGCACAGTGCCCAGTACAAGCACTTCAGAAATGCCTGTTGACTCATTAATTGGGGGCAGGGAAAGAATTCTTTTTTAGGAAAGAAAAATACTGAGTATATTTGTAATCAGAAAGAGATGATCCTTTGGCGGAGGAGTATAAAAAATGCAAATGCAAGAGAAATTAATAAAATAAAGAGAGCCTCAAGGAAGTAAGTGGGAGAATAGTTTGCCTTAAAAAGGAGCAGAGGAGCTTTCTTCTGGAAAATATATAAAAGGCAGGGATCATAAGCAAAGGACGTGCAGGGAGGAAGTAGACAGCTACTCAGGAGACGAAATTGAAAAGCCTTGGGGCGAGGACAGGATATCGGCAGCGTCCACTCCACATTTCACCCAACAAGTATGTACTGAGTGTCTTCCCGTGAACACGTTCCCTGAGGCAGCCAGGACCCTTTTTTTAGAGTAGCCTGCAGCTGCATGGTGACCCCAGGACTAGGAAGCTGGAAGCAGAGAGTCCAGGGGCCAGGGACCAATTTCTAATTTGGCCACTGATTTGCTTTGTGACCTGGAACAAGTCACTTCCCCTCTCAGGGGATCAGTTTTCTCCACTATCAAATGTGGAGGTTGAACTTGATCATTGGGTCCCAGAGAACTAGAGACCCAGGTTAGACAATGATGAACTGTGTGTTTTTAACAATTCAAATGTAGTAAGGACAGAAAAATGCATGTTTCATACATTTTCAGTTCTCTGCATTTTCACAAACTGAACATGCTATGAAATCAACACTCAGATAAGAAACAGAACATAACTAGTAGCTCAGAAGCCCCATGGTGCTCACTAACCGCTCACTCAGAGTAACTATACCCTTATCACTAACAGCATGGATTAGTTTCACCTGTGTTTGTCCCATCTCCAAGTATACTCCTAGAATACGTGCTAGTTTATGTCTAATTTCCTCCACTCAGGATCATTCATGAAGTTTGCTACAATACATTCCTACATATGTGAAAAATAAAGACAATACTGTACATTCTGTTATCAAGCTAAATATGTTTCAGTTAAATGACTGTCCTTTATTCTGAGATAATATTCTTTCATCTACTTTGTATAAACAGTCCTTTTGAAAAATTTCCCCCATAGCATTGGAACTTTGGTTGGTATTTTGTTTTCTTTTGTTGTTGAGATAAATGTTTTTGTTCCCATTTAGAAAATTCAACCTCTAAATTATATTGTCCAGGAATTTGGCTGGGCTAGGCCACCCCCAGACGTGGGCCCTGCTGGTGTAACTGGGCTGTAGGGTTCTGGACACTGTAATTTACTGGGCCAAGCTTTAAGACTCTGAGCTTCCTGGTTAGAGCCCTCTCTGATGGCAGAATGTGAAAGAAGAGATGCCACAGGTTCTCAGCAGTGTCTGCAGAAGCCACAGACATAAGACTCGACTTTTCTGAAGAGGAGAGAGGAGAGGAGAAGAGAGGAGAGGGGAGGGGAGGCTTGAAACCTCCACACACTATCCACACAGTGACATAAACAGCAGTTTTATCTCCCCATTAAAACAGACCAGATGAGGTTTTATCAGGCAGCAAAGAAGTCTGGGCTGGGAGTCGGGGGAGGGAGGAGGTGGGCAGAGGGAAACGTGTAACTCACTTGTGGGACAGGACCAGAGGATGGAGCAAGGCAGCACAAACTCAAGTCAGAGTCTCCTCAACTCAGGGTCCCTATGGAATGCTGGGGAGAGGAGGATGGTGTGTGGGCTATATCCTCAGGAGGCCTCAGAACCAGAAGCAGGACCTTGAGGAGAATGCAGGGCCTCTGTTTTAAAAAGAAGGAAAGAAAAAAGAAAAGAAAAGCTTGCTGCATTGACTTCTCCGGCAGAGGGGCAAAAGGTAAAGAAAGTCTGAGAAAGAAGCAAAAATCACCTGTGCTGTTGCAAACAACACCAGTTGTGATGAGGGTTCGGTCTATCTGCAACAGCATCCATTTAACGTGAGCACCCCACAGGAAACCTTAACAAAAATGACCCTGGCTTATTCCCTGTTCTCAAGAAGCCATACAGGAGACAGAATAAACATGAAATTTTTAAAAAGGGAACCCTGGCATGCCCAGTTCTTAAGGAATAATTGTCTGGTGTGATTATACAGAGTCTGTGATGGAATCTTCCATCAAAATCTATTCAAGGAGATGTGCCTTCAAGGAAAAAGATCTCTGTTCCTCAGGAGTGCACAATTATATATGCAGCTGGATCTTCTTTGGAGCAATCCATTATAGGACAACTCCACATAAAACAAAATTATTCTCAGGCTATGTTTGCATCATTAGTTTGCAAAAGGATGTACCAAGAGTTTCTTTTAATAGATGGTGTCCTGCTCCATTCAACATAGGATTCCTTGTGAATACAACTTTTTAGAAGGCTTATATATTGCATAAAGCAAGATACATACCAGCATCTCTCCATAGTTGGTTGTTTTGCCATTGTTTCCATAGGGGGCAGTTCTGGGTTTTGTTTTGCTGTTGTTTTGGGGTTTTTTTGTTTTTTGTGTTTTTTGGCTGTTCAGCATTCAACAACACCCCCCACACCCACCCCACCGCCCATTTCTGCTAGCACCTCCATCTCCTGTTGGGGAAAATTCCCCAGTTTTAAGATCTCGGCAGAAGGTAAGTCCCAGCCCCTGCCACCTTGCACCACCTGCTCTACTAGCGGAAGTCAAGGAGGCCACACTGTTTCTCCACCACACTATGCCAGGCTTGACCAGTCAGATGTTCATTCCTGGGACTTTGAGATTTGGCCAAGTGATGTCAAGTCAGAGGGAATATTTGAAGGGACACATTCACCACGGTGACTGAAGCCTTTTGACACCAACTGTTCCTGATATCCCAACACCAATCCCACCAATAACTTTTCCTAAATCCCTCCCCCTTCCACCTTTTCTCCCTAAATATGGACAGAGTTGGTTTCTGATTCTTGCAAATGAGAATACATCTGGGAAACTGAAAAACACTGTTTCTAGCCCACATATAAAAGGGCCACAGGCCTTCCCAACAGACTCTACACCTAATACATTGCAGGTCCTTCAATAGTAGAGACCACATTTTCTGTTATCTCTTCCCATTCCACCGATGAAACAGACCAACAAAAGAGCTGGGGGACACTAACCAATATGGACTCCAAAGTCCATATTGAAACTTAGCATGAAGTTAACCGAGAAGAGGCCAAATAGAAGCATCTTAAAGTCTTCTAGAGTAGATTGGGTTGTAAATAATACAACAAGTTCATATACTAAAGTACAAGAATATAAATAACTACACTTCATGTCTGCCTCATGAGCAGACATTATGTCTTAGGTATTTAATTTTAAAGTCACGCTGAACATTATGTTTTAATTAACGAACCTTGCTTCACAAGGCAATGAGGAGCATTTCTGCCAATTAGCGTCAGATCTATCTTTCATACATATGTCCTCTAATTCCTCACTTGCACTCCGGAATGGCCCAGGGGAAATTAATGACCTCTCTTTCACTTTATGTATATGGGTTTTTCCACCCACTAGTGGCTCACTTTTTGTCACCTCCCTGCCAAAGGACATCTGGAATATCTACAGCTGCATCTGTGGATGCCATTCCTTGATGTATAATCATGGCAAATCCAATTTCCCTCATAACAAAACCATCAAGAGTGCCCCCGCAACCCCAGGTCCCCAAGCCTTTCCCCTACAACCAGGTTATGCAAGGATGTGTCCAAGTCTGCAAATGGTAGCTGCCTCCATGAGATCAGAACAGGGCGGGGGGCAACACTGCCTCTTAGATGCCAGCGCAGGCTCCAGCATCAGCCTGCCAGGTGAAATTCCTGGTTTTACTAGCTGTAAATTCCAGCATTTACTAGCTGTGCAACCTTAACAAGTCCTTTCACTCCTCTTAGGTTTAGCTTCTTTACATGGAAAATTGGACTATTAATAGTAGCCACCTTACAGGGGTGTTGGGAGGACTAAATGAAACAGCATGTGTTGCACTTAGAAAATAACCCAGCACTTAGGAAATGCTTAATAAGCGTTTGCTATTGCTCTGCCTTCAACTTTGTGAAGTTCAACTTTGTGCCTTCAACTTTGTACACTTTGTGGAGACCTTTCTATCCATCTTTACAACAATCCCATAGACCCAAAGGTTCCTAATGTTTGGGGGACTTTTTGGCTTTGCTTTGTTTGGTTTTGTTTTTTTTGCAGGCCACCCACTTGCCTTGCCAAATGCTCCATGAACCAGGTGCCCAGGATGGTAATGGGCTGCTCTAATTCATTCACATTCTCCCTCACCTGGCTGCCACCTAATCCGGTGCTACAGAGATGTAAGCAACATGTCCTATGACTCCCCTAGGAAAAGAAGGGTAGGGAATAGACAGGCAAGATCAGGGATCTGATCCCTGGGGCAGGCAGCAACACAACACACAGTGACAGGGAAGTGGTGTTAGAGAGGGGGTGAGAGGCAGTGGGTGGTCTAGGCTAGTGGCACCTCCTCTGAGGAGTCCAGCAAAAAGGGGCATGTTCCACCAGATATAAAGGAACATGCGACTCTGTAGTCGGGGGATGAGTAGAGCATAGACTTTCAAGAAATATTTGGCATCAATCAAGCTTAAGCTTCCAGGTCCTAGGAATGTAAAGATGGGGGAAGTGGGAGAGTTGGAATTAGCATTAACTGATGTCCATTTTGCTCGGATTCGAAGAAGGCCACAGTATGAGCCACTCCCATCCCTTTTTTGTTGTTGTTGTTTGCTTGTTTTTGAAATGGAGTTTCGCTCTTGTTGCCCAGGCTGAAGTGCAATGGCGCGATGTCGGCTCACTGCAACCTCCGCCTCCTGGATTCAAGCGATTCTCCTGCCTCAGCCTCCCGAGTGGCTGGGATTACAGGCATGCGCCACCACACCTGGCTAATTTTTTGTATTTTTAAGAAAGGAAGAAAGTGTGTTTCGGAGAAGCCAGGAAACAAAGTCAAGGCACATGGTGGGAAACTGGTAGGTAAGCTCCACCCCACCAAGCTAGTACCTCTGCCCTCTCAGAGTCCAGAAGCTACCAGAGGGCTGAGCAAGAAACCAAAGCTGAATTTCAGGCAAGGAAGGTAATTCAGAAGCCCAGGCCCTTTCTTAGAAGCGGGCACAAGGGGGCTGGGTGCGGTGGCTCAAGCTTGTAATCCCAGCGCTTTGGGAGGCCGAAGCAGACGGATCACTTGAGATTGGGCATTTGAGACCAGCCAGGCCAATATGGTGAAACCCCGTTTGACTCTTCTAAAAAACAAAAATTAGTTAGGTATAATGGCACACATCTGTAATCCCAGCTACTCAGGAGGGTGAGACAGGGGAATCACTTGAACCCGGGAGGCGGAGGTTGCGGAGGTTGCGGTGAGCCAAGATCACACCACTGCACTCCAGCATGGGCAACAGAGCAATACTCTATCTCAAAAAAAAAAAAAAAAAAAAAAAAAAATGGGCACAAGGGGGAAACAGGCCTGCAAAAAGAAGACTCCGAATCTGCTCAGCATTCAGCTTCACAGAGACGGCCCTGGTCCTAGAGTCTGGGCAGGGTTGGTTCTGAAGATGGGGATGAAAGGAGATCATTTTGGGGCTGGAGAGATGGGGATGCAGGAAGTAAAGCCAGGACATCATGTCAACAGGGCCAAGGTGAAAGGTATTGGCTGTGATCATGGAACAAATGAAATCTACTAGATCACCTGAGGTCTTGACAAAGATTCTTTGCTTGGCCAAACTTTAGTCCACTTTTGGAAACTTCTCCTAGGCCCAGCTATGTACTCTCTTGTAAAGTCCACTTTTAGCAAAGAATCCTAAGTCAGTTTAGCAAGAACTCCCACTCCCACCCTTGATATCAGACCATCCTCAAAATCTGATCAGGTTTCTCATCCTCCACCATCCCCCAAATGATAACTGATCCCCCTGGCCTTTCTTCAGAAAGATTCCTTTTAGGTCAGTTTAGCCAGAACCTCCTAGCCCCTGATGTTTCTTCTAAGTAATTTTCCATCCACTGACCCCACCCTGCTCCTTGGCTATAAATTGCTGCTCGCCCATGCTATGATGTATTCAAAGTTGAGCCAAATCTCTCTCCCCAGCTGCAAGACACCATTGCAGGGGTCCCTCTAGCTATCACAATGGTCCTGAATAAACTCTGCCTTACAGTGCTTTGACAAGTATCATTGAAAAAATGTTTCTTTAACAGTTTCAGCAAAGGATTTTGATCTTATCGGTGCTGAGCTCCAAACCACTGAACTAACCAGACTACCTGAGGCTACAGACTACAAAGCACAACACATGAAGAGAGAAGAAAGGATTCTGGGGTCAGAGTGAACATAAACGCCTAGTGGTATCACAGCACAAAGCCTTTGTTTAAATAGGAAATGGCACGATAGAAGGCAGCCCTTAGCCCTCCTCTTGCTATTGCAGAGAATAGAATCCTCATTAGGTTTCCTGTTTAGGACAAAGTCAGAGGAAAGTCACAGAGGGATCCATCGGAAGAGTCCCAGAGGGAAAGGGAAAGGGAAAGGAGGTGAGATCGTTGACACTGAAGACAAAAAGGCTGGGGCGACTTGCTGGCATGGTGAGCCGCCTTACACAGAGGCCAGAGGTAGGCTGTTCTGATGAAATGGATTCGCACATAACTGGGGAAGTCTGAGCCAGATACAGGCTGTGCCAATGGGACAGAGTACTGGGACCCAGCCAGGGGACACCCTAGAGAGGTTCTGTAGATGCCTTACACCTGTTCCATTGCATCATAACCATAACCTCCTCTGTACTGTAGTCACATTTGGGCATGTCAAGTCTCCGTCAAAGCACAGGCTCTGTGAGGGGCACCGTAGGATGTATCTTTCTGTTCCCATCACACCCAGCTGAGGGTCCCATCAGAGCTGGCACTCAGCCCATCTTTATTAAATGAACTCTCCCTACATTCCTGCCTACAGTCATGAGCTGGGTACAATGGCCTCTGAGAGGACACTGAGTGGCAGCCACATGAGCGCCTCCAGGTCAGTAGGAAACCTCGAGAGGGTCCTCCCCGTGTCATCCTTCTCTATAATAATCCATCCGCTTCCTCAGCTGGCTGGCCGTCTCCACTCTCTCCACAGATCCACACTGCCATCTGCTGGCAGAAGGCACAGGAGCATCTCAACGCCGCTGTGCCCGCCTTGCAGGGCGTGCAGCAATTCCCAATGCCTGATGCCCAGAGTAATGCCCTCCTAACCCTTGGCATGTGACAGTGTCAGCCGTAGAAACTTCAGGCTCTGTTCCTTGTGACTTCCCAAGCATCTCCCTGTACTCATCCTCCCTTTCTTCACAAATTGTTCTCTAGTTCAGAAACGTGTCTTCCTCCACCATCCCACCTGGGCATACTGCAGACTCCTTTGACCCTGGGTTAGAGAAAAGAGAGCACAGAAGAGAGCCAGACACCTTCCACTTCGCAGCTCAGCCCTTCTCTAAGGCACTTCACTACAGATCATGATGCCCGAGCAGGCTTGGTTAGATTTTCTATAGTGAGATCTGTGATTTGTTTGTTTCACATTTCAACAACTCAGAAATGAGGATGCATCTTAGAGTCATGAGGTCTCGTGTGAAAACTTTGACACCTTCTGGAGAGATCAAGAAGCACGAGCATTAACGTGTCTCACTTTAAATAGGTGAAGTGCATGATGTGTGAATTATATCTCAATAAGGCTACACTTAGTTTTGTTTAAAGCTGTCTCAGGTTGGGTTGGGGAACATGGATGTATACACAAAGCTAACATTCAAGGATACACTCTACAGGAGCTTTCTCTTTCCATCCTCATAGCCTAATGAGGAGACATCGCCGCTAACCTCACATTACAGAGCAGGAAATGGGGGCTCAGAGAGGCTGTGCTCTTGCCCAGGGACTCACAGCTGGTACACAGTGCCATCTGCTTTAGAACCCATGTTCTAAACCACTATATACTCTTCTTTCACATGTTACTTCTATAAAGGAAAAATAAAAGAAAAATTTCTGTTGTAAGACAACAAACTTTCTTTTTTGATTTAAAAAAAAAAAAGTTATGGTAGGAAGTATCCAAGATGTCCTCCAATAGGTGAATGTATAAACAAACCTTGTGTATCTGTAACAAGAACATTATTCCATGATAAAAAGAAATAAGCTAACAAGCCATGAAAGGACATGGATGAACCTGAAATACATATTGCTAAGTGACAGAAGCCAGCATGAAAAATTCTACATGCTGTTTGATTCCTATTATATGGTATCTGGAAAAAGCAAAACTATAGAGACAGTAAAAAAAAAAAAAAAAAAAAAAAATCACTGGTTGCCAGGACCTTACGGGGAAATAGGAGGTTGAAATCAGGGAAGCCCAGGGGATATTTTTTTCAGGTGGTGAAACTATTCTGTATGATTGTGTAATTGTGGATACATGACACTATGCATTTATCAAAACATACTGAACCTTACAGCACACAGAGTGAACCATAATGTATGCAAATTGAAAAAAAAAAACCATTTAGGAGGTCAAAGGAATCCCAGGATGGAATGCAGTATGTGATAAAATGATCTAACTATATTAAAATGTATGAAACTGTAATACCTTACTGAAAGAAGGGGAGGGGGTGAGAAGGAAGGTGCTGACCTAAGCAACTTTGGAAATAAATGAGTGGAGTCTGTAAAACCGAAGCAAAAATAATTGCATATAAACACTATACTCGGCCGGGTGTGGTGGCTCATGCCTGTAATCCCAGCATTTTGGGAGGCCGAGGCAGGCGGATCACGAGGTCAGCAGAACGAGACCATCCTGGCTAACAGGGTGAAACCCCATCTCTACTAAAAAATACAAAAAATTAGCCAGGCGTGGTGGCTGGCACCTGTAGTACCAGCTACTCGGGAGGCTGAGGCAGGAGAACGGCGTGAACCCGGGAGGCGGAGCTTGCAGTGAGCGGAGATGGCGCCACTGCACTCCAGCCTGGGCGACAGAGCAAGATTCCGTCTAAAAAAAAAAAAAAACCACCGTACTCAAGTTGATAAAGCTGTTCCCCACAGTATACAGGTTAGCAATCTTAACACTGCTACACATGTACACTAGAATTAAGCAATTAAGTGAAATATAAGTGAAATGGATGGCGGATGGTGGGAGCCAAGTTCTCACTGATGAAGTAGGAAGTCACAGAGAAGCAAGGGGAGATGATCATGAATTAGAGTTGGAGACATCAGTGTGAACTCATGTTTAGTTTAATATAGAAACAGATGGTTACATATAGAAACACTGAAAGATAGTTGTGTGTGTATATATATATATACATATACATATGCATACCTCTTTGTCCTTGCTCTCAGCTGAGACGGCCTAGCAGCAAGGACAAGCCAGTAAGAGAACCTATCTAGTGCTCAGATCTTGGTTTTATTTATTTATTTATTTATTTATGAGATGGAGTTTCACTCTTGTCATCCAGGCTGAAGTGCAGTGGCATGATCTTGGTTCACTGCAACCTCCACTTCCTGGGTTCAAGTGATTCTCCAGCCTCAGCCTCCCGAGTAGCTGGGATTACAGGTGCCCACCACCAGGCCCAGCTAATTTTTGTATTTTTAGTAGAGACAAGGTGTAATTTTTGTATTTTTAGTACAGACAGGGTTTTGCCATGTTGGCCAGGCTGGTCTCGAACTCCTGACCCCAGGTGATCTGCCCGCCTCGGCCTCCTAAACTGCTGGGATTACAGTTGTGAGCCACCATGCCCAGCCTGGATCTTGGTTTTAAATACCTTTCTCCGGTAAAAGGCACTAGAGCTTCTTAAAGAAATGATTGATTCTAGAATTGGAGCAGGAAATACACAAGATGAGCCTGGAGCAATTTGTAGTGCCAGAAAGTAAAGAAGTGCTTACAACACACACACACACACACACACACACACACACACACACGATGGGATATATCAAAGGAACACAGGAGACAGCTGAAAGAGCCCTCAGTGGCCAAAGCTGGAACAATTTAAAGAAAGCAGTATTGATTATAATCCAAAGTATAAAATAAATATCTGCAAGCCTATACAAATATGAAAAAATAAAAGAATGTGGAAAAAGAGACAAATCTGTGCAGAAGCATTCTAAATAATTTACATATATTCTGTGCCCTCAAGAAAGTTGAACATAACTTCCACTCCTTAAGTATGGGCTACACGTAGTGACTTTCCAAGAATACAGGATAAGCAGGGGGTTGAAAGAGTCACTTTCCTATGGAGAAATATGACAAACACTGCCTCAGCCAGATGATCAAGGTTAACCTCATCAGTCAAAAGCCATGTTGATAGTATGTACCCTTGACATGATGTGACAAAAATGGCACTTTACCTCCATCGACTTCCGCCTATAAAACTAAAACCACAGTCTAATCATGAGAAAAATATTTAAAATCCCAATATAAGGATATTCCACAAAATATTTGACCAGTATTCCTCAAAACTGTCCAGGTCATCAAAAATGAAGAAAATCTAAGAAACTGTCACAGCCTAAGAAGACAGGACAACTAAATATAATGAGGGACTCCGGATGGGATTCTGGAAGAGAAAAAGGACATTAGCTAAAAACTAGGGAAATCTGAATAAAGTGCAGCCTTTAGTTACTAATACTGCGATAACATTGGTTCGTTAATTGTGACAGATGTACTATACTAAGATCTGAATAATAGTGAAAACTAGGTGTGGAGCATAAAGAAACTCTCTGTACTTTCTTCGCAGTAAATCTAAAACTGTTCTAAATAATAAAGTTTGTTTTTAAAAATAATGATATAGGAAATTTGGGAGGTATTTGGGAAGGAAGAAATAAGGGACAATAAATAGAGAATTCAAAACAGAATTGCACATCTCCTTCTTGTTTAAAAATATAGGTGCCCTGTCACGATAAACAACTAACATTTACTGAGAGCTGATTACATGCCTGACAGCATGCTAAGTGATTTGTGCATATTATTTCTTTTAATCCTCACAAATATGCTGTCAGAATATACCATCACCCTCATTTTGTAAAGGATGAAACTGGAGGTCAGAGAAGATACATAATTTACCCAACCAAGGTCACCAGCTAGGAAGTAATGGGACTGAATTCAATTCTGCTCCCATCATCCATTCTGTTGTAAACTTGTTTGGAATGTCTTCATCAATTCTTAAATGTATCCATCAATAAATATTTATTGAGTAGCTCTTATGTGCCTGGTCCTGAGCAATAGCTGGGGCTGGGCCCCAAGGAACTACAAGTCTAGTTGGAGAGACATGGGAAAGGTTAAATTTCATAAAGAGAAAGTCAATTACAGTTTGTGAAGAAAATGAATGCCAGCAAAACTTAGAGCAAGGACTTGTAGCTGGAATAATTGGGAAACACTTCATGAAGAAGCTATGTGGGAATTGCACTAGATTCTAAAGATGGGAAGGAATTCAAAGTTGAAGGACAGGAGGAAGCCCTCCAGGAAGAAAGGCTGGAGCCAATGACTGTACCTATCTGCCTGCAGAATAGGTGTTAAGGAAGTAGCGCAATCCACCTGGTGCAAACAGCCCTGGCCTGAGAGCCAGGAGACCAGAAATTGATGTGAAGTTGGTCTTAGCCTTCAATCTGGACCTCATATGGTTCACTCTTTTTTTGTTATTGTTGTTGTTGTTGTTTGTCGAGATGGAGTCTTGCTCTATCACCCAGGCTGGAGTACAGTGGCGAGATCTGGGCTCACTGCAACCTCCACCTCCCAGGTTCAAGCAATTCTCCTGCCTCAGCCTCCCGAGTAGCTGGGATTACAGGCTTGTGCCACCATGCCCAGCTGATTTTTGTAATTTTTTTTAGTAGAGACTGGGTTTCGCCATGTTGGCCAGTCTAGTTTCAAACTCCTGACCTTGTGATCTGCCTACCTCAGCCTCCCAAAGTGCTGGGATTACAATCATGAGCCACCATACCCGGCCCTTCCAACACTCTTTAAAAAAAAAAAGAAGAAAAAAAGGATGTTTAGAATCCACCCTAACAATTAGAATACAGAGCATTCTGGACTGAGAAAGAGATAAGAACATTAGCTAGGTGCACACCTGTAATCCCAGCTACTTGGGAGGCTGAAGAGGAAGGATTGCGTGAGCCCAGGAGTTTGAGGTTACAGTGAGCTATGATTGTGCCACTGCACTCCAACCTGGACAACAGAGTGAGACCCTCTCTGTAAATAAGTAAGAAAGAGATCCCCAACCAAATGACCTAGCTTGTCTTTTGCAGCTTCTACTTTCAGAGTGTGCAGCGGGGAACGCTTAAGCCTCAGGTGTCTGTGATGCTGCTCAGCCGCCAACCTTTCCCTGGCCTCCAGGCTGCCAGGAAGGGGATCCTGGCTGGGTACCTGTCCTTACAGAGCTTGCAGTGCAGTAAGAAGCCACAGCTTCTGCCCGAGAACCAATTTTAGATCACACATGTGTTTTGTTAGACCTACATGAGATTTTGTTTTAGTTTGTAAAATGTTACATTGGTTGTAAATGTTTAAAAACTAGGATATGCCCACATACACAGTTTCAGCTCCTCTTTAAAATCCTGTTTCAGGCCAGATGTGATGGCTCACGCCTATAATGCCAGCACTTAGGGAGACAGAGGCGGTAGGATACTACCTTGAGCCCAGGAGTTAGACACCTGCCTGGGCAGCATAGCAAGACCATGTTCTCCACAAAAAGTAAAAAAGACATAAAAATAGTAAAATCACATCTTCACTCTGCCCCTGTGAGCTCTCTTTATCCCAAGGCAGACAGGCTGGAGATGGGACTTCCTGCCACCTTTACATAGAGTACTGCTCTCCCATCCATCATAGGCTAATCCTACCAGCTCTAACTCATTCCCTTGCCCACCTGGCCACTGTTGGCACTGTTTCTTTTTAAATTTTGGGGTTTGTTTATTATTGTACTTTAAGTTCTGGTATGCATGTGCAGAACATGCAGGTTTGTTACATAAGTACACATGTGCCATGGTGGTTTGCTGCACTCATCAACCCATCATCCAGGTCTTGAGCCCCGCATGCATTAGGGATTTGTCCTTATGGTTTCCCTCCCCTTGCCCCCCACCCCCCGACAGGCCCCAGTGTGTGATGTTCCCCTCCCTGTGTCCATGTGTTCTCATTGTTCAACTCCTACTTGTGAGTGAGAACACGAGATGTTTGGTTTTCTGTTCCTGTGTTAGTTTGCTGAGAATGATGGTTTCCAGCTTCATCCATGTCCCTGCAAAGGACATGAACTCATTCTTTTTAATGGCTGCATAGTATTCCATGGTGTATATGTGCCACATTTTCTTTATCCACTCTATCATTGATCGGCATTTGGGTTGGTTCCAAGTCTTTGCTATTGTAAATAGTGCCACAATAAACATACGTGTGCATGTGTCTTTATAGAATGATTTGTAATCCTTTGGGTATATACCCAGTAATGGGATTGCTGGGTTAAACTTTGTTATTAAACTTAACACAGATGCAAAACACCATGTAAAGCAAACATGGGGCTTATTGAATTACATAATGAGCACCCTTGTCACTACAACTAATGTCATTTTATTTTCTTCTGGCCTAAACTGTTGCTTTGAAAATTTCTGATGGCAATATAATTTTTTTTTCACCATAAGTTACTTGGTCTTTTGTCTGATTAACCAGGAAATTTTTTTTAGGTACAGTAATTCTACCATAAGTATGCCCTGTTGGCTATTCTAGGTTTATTTATTGAGTTATACGGCATGCCTCTTCAAAGTGTAGTTTCGAACTTTTTTTTATCTCAGGAGTGTTTTCTTATAGTTTTTTATATTTGTTCTGTTCCCTTTAGCTTTCTTCTTTGTTGAAACCTATTATGTAAATGTTGAATGTTGTTGCCTATCTTCTATATTTCTTTCACTTAAATAATTTTTATTCATTTTGGTTTCAATTCTCCTTTTAGTCATCTCCTGTTTATCTTAAGACATTATCTGTGGTGTTTATTCATTCCTGTGTTCCTCCTACTTTAGTCTTCATTATTTCAATTGATTTTTTTCTCATTCTTTCCTGAGTTCTCTCACTTAATTCCTCAGCTTCTCTAATTCTCTGTTGTATATTGTTTTTGCATACACTGTTTTTAAACCTGTAAATGTGCTTTGAACATTACAGATTTTCATCTGTTTATGGGCATGTCTCTGTGATGTGTTTCATTGTAGGCACGTCATTCTGCACCTTATTTTCCTTTCTAAGTTTACATAGCATTTTACCTCAACCTTTTTTTCTGTTTCTTATTTTTATGTGAAATTTTTCTGAACTTCTGGGAGACTTTAGAATAGTTTTTTTCTTATTTAGGGCTCTAGAGCTCCCTTTTCTGTTGATTTCCTGAAGTATTCAAAAATATAGCACTTACTTTTGGAGATCTCCTGGCTCTGTTCCCCTCCAAAAGAACCTTCTTTCTCCTTTGCCTCCGCTGTACCTGTCCTGCTCCTCTTTGGCTCCTATCCCTCAGCGTGGGGCTTGGTCGTGGGAGTTCCTGGGACGCTGACTGCTCCAGCCCCTGCAGGCCTTACCAAAAACCTCTCATACTCACCCACTGGAGGTGCAAACTGCTCCCAGTGTTAGTGGCTGTTCTCAGATTGGCTCCGTGAGATTCTGAGCTCCTGATGGCTATTGTGGGGTTCTGTTCTCAGGTCCATCAGATACCCCATCACTTCCTTCAGCTTCCTCCTGCACAGATGCTGATAATACGCTGGTTAGTCTTCACGTGCTCTTATTAAGGGTTTGTGGAGATGCTTGACACCTGTATATTTGGTGCAAAGCTCATCCCTGAATTTTAGTTTTGCTACCCCAGTTTATCCGTGTTTTTATGAAGTTATTTGGAGAGATTCAAACACTATGGCACAACTGCTGCCACCTTGCCAGGATCTGCATCGTTGTTCTTAATCCATGATTCTATGAATTTCTTAACTGCTGCACCAGCTACCTGCAGGAACTAGCAAGCACAGTATCCTTCCTCCCCTCTCGCAGCCCTCCCAGTCCCCCATCTTGTCTCTTGCTAGAGGCCAACGGTGCTTGAAAGATGCCCCAAAGCACTCTACTTTGTCTTCATATCATTACTGGTATAAACCCCCAGTTGCTGGGAAACACGAGGGCAACACCTCCCTCATGGCTTGTTAGTTCAACCTTGGTTCCTTTCACAATTGCCCACCCCTAACCGGGAATGAGCCTGATGAGGAACAACTGATGGTTACTGTCAGGCAGCCAGATGCCAGGCACAGCCCTCAAGCTAAAGAAGTGGTGAGAGCTGGGGTGGTGGGGGCAGCCCCCTCACTGGCAGGAGGCACAGATGGACTCTTTCCAGAAGGCGAACAAGCGTCCCACAAGTCAGTCCCTGGAGTGTTCACAGCAGGGGCCCCACATCTGTCCCCTTCCTTGAATCCTCCTACCTTATACATAAAACTTCACCAGGGAATACAGTGAGCAAGACAAAGAAACGAGATCAGCTTCCTTCTTTAAATTCAACACAATGCCCATTTTCCTACCCAACATTTATTTTATCATTTATTTAAAAGTGAGGAAGAGTGATTTTTTTTTTTTTATCTACATTTTTATCTCCTCATCTTCCCTCTGAGCTCTGGCACATTAGAGTTTTATTCTGGTCCTCAATCCTTATGGGGCCATCTTGCCTAGTTTATGTCTCTTGGACTTAATGCCAAGACAAAGCAGGTCCAGGCAGGAAGCTCCAAGCACCCAGCACCTGTTACCTTTGCTTCTCGGGCTACAGCCAATTAAATCAAACTTTGCTCTGAGGCTGCCTTGGGGAAGAACAGGTTTAACAGCCTGATGAACAGACAGTGGAGTTGCCGTCACACTTGAGTTACGACTATTTCAACTCCAAATCAACTGCGATTCATGCCTCCCATTTCCTCAGCAAGAGAAGACTTTGGGATATCAGAGAAGACAACAGCCTGAGTCCTAAGGGAAATCTTCTAACTTCCAGAGGAATGACAGATGAGAAACATGCTTAATACATTCTATCATTTGGGGAGAAATTTCTCTTTTAAGTCCAATGTTATGGTACATATTAGAAATATGACCAAGCATGGACAAAAGGCATTCAAGAATTGATCTTTGATGGATCAAAATATGTCCTATTATTGGGAGGCACTGCTTCTATGCTTTCCTGACCTCGTTAGAAATATACCGAGAGGCAGCAGTGAATCTTGCTTCCTCCCACATAGCACATTGAAATCAATGATCCTTGAGAGAAAAAAAAAAAAAAAAAGAGGAGGGTGGGAGACGAAAAGCAAACAAATGCTGGTTCATTTGTTTTTAGGCACTCTATGTAGGACCACCCTGGTTCTGAATGGTAAATATAGATTGTTTCATTTCATTTTCTGCTCCGCCAGGTGGAGAAAGTAATGGGCACTTACAGCCATGCTTTGGTAAATGGCCAAAGTATGCTTATATTTATTCATTTGTCAAAGCCATTCGAATTAAATATATGGTTTAGGATTTAAGGAGAGGATTCTGGGAAGATGGTAGGAAGCACTCGGAAAGTGTCTCTCCACCTAGACAACAATTGCACTGGCAGAATCTGCCTGATGTAACTACTTTAGAACTCTGGAGTCTACTGAACGCTTGCAACTTCCAGAGGACAACTTGGATGGTAAATGAACGTTAATTTCAATCCATTTCAGCTCTTAGCACAGTAGCAGCTACCAATGTCTACTCCTAACCCCTTGGCAGGAACTTATGCACACGTTCCCAGAGCAACTGGCATACAGCTTGTGGGAGCCAAAATGAACAAAAGGAAACTTGCCCTCCAAATACTGCAGACCTGTGTTCTGGTAACTGCTTCTGAACACAGAGACGCAGACAAAGACGTGGGCAGCCACTGTTGCTGTACATCCCATCCCCCGACTGTTAGAAGTCCCTTCTCCCCTTCTGGCTGAAGTGACTTCCAGAGGATTTAAAGGACCAGTACCCTTTTCCTGCCCTTCATTTTTCTTTTTCCCTCGTTGGGAGCCAGACATTAAGTAATAGGACATTCAAAAACAACTGCACATATAGGGGAAATTAGAGACTGACTGCACATATCCAGGGAAAGGCTCAAGCTCAGAAAAAAACCTGAGAAGACCTTAAGTTGATACCTCAGGCTGATACTTGGCCCACAGACTATCTACAACAATAAATAATAATAATAATAACACACATTAACAAAAAAGGGCAAACCCTAGGGAAAGAGGAAAATCTGATTTCCAGAGTTGCCACATTATTAGATTCAAATGTCCAATTGTCAACCAAAACTCACAAGGCATACAAAGAAACAGGAAAGTATGGCCCATTCAGAGGAAAAGAAAAATCCACAGAAAAAAAGGAAATATCAATAGAGACAGACAACATAAAAAGAAACCAAAATGAAATTCTGGAGCTGAAAAGTACAGTAACTGAAATGAAAAATTCACCAGAGGGATTCAAAGCACATATGAGCAGGCAAAAGAGAAAATCAGTGAACTTGAAGATAGGATAACAGAAATTTTGAGTCTGAAAAACAGAAAAAATATTAAAGGGAACAGAGCCTAGAAGACCTGTGGGACACCATCAAGCTGACCAAAATATACATTGTTAGAGTCCCAGGAGAAGGCAGAAAGCAGCAGAGAGAATATCTGAAGAAATAATGGCTGTATAATTCCCAAATCTGGTAAAAGACATGAATGTAAACATCCAAGAAACCCAATAAACCACAAGTAAGATTAACTCCAAGAGATACACACAAAAATACATTATAGTCGAGCTTCCAAAAGTCAAAAACAGAGAGAATCTTGAAAGCAGTGAGAGAAAAGCTACTTACCACGTAAAAGGGATCTTCAGTGAGATTACCTGCAGATTTCTCATCAGAAATTCTGGAGGCCAGAAGGCAGTGGGCCAATATTCAAAATGTTAAAAGAAAAAAAAAAAAAACTGACAACCAAAGAATCCTATATCCAGCAAAACTGCCCTTCAAAAGTGAGGGAGAAATTAAGAGGTTCCCAGGTAAACATAAGCTGAGGGAGTTCAGTACCACTAGACCCACCCTGCAAGAAATGCTTATAGGAGTTCTGCAAAGTACAATGAAAGGACACTAGACAGTAACCCAAAGCAGTATGAAGAAATAAAGATCTCAAGAAAAATAAATACATTGGGCAATTATAAAAACCAGTATTAGTGTACTGATAGCTTGTGATTCCAGTTTTTGTTTTCTATATGATTTAAGACTAATACATTTTTTAAAAAATTATGTCTAAATGCTAGTATTACTGTTTTTAAAAAGTTAATGAGGCTAGTTTTAAAACAATATAACCATACGATGGAATTAAGTCATTAAAAATAATTCAATCTAAAATATTGCCAAGTTAAAAGATAAAATTGTATACGTACAGAATAATTCACTGTTTGTAAATGTGATATGTTCATATATGGCATATTCTTTCATACATACACAAATAATCAGTATTTTAGTAAATTTTGAATACAAAAAAAAAAGGAGTCAGCAAAAAATATAAAGCAGATAATAGTGGTTATATCTAAGGAGTATGTCAGGTTGGATTAATAAAAAAGCAGACCCTAAAACAAGGATTTGCATGTAAATGGTTCATTCAGGATGGTACCAGGAAACACTAATGGGACAGGAAGAAAGTAGGACATGGAAGAGAAGAAAGAAAACAAAGGGTTGGTTATTGAGCAAGTTACCATGGTGGGCAAGTGGGGCTCAATCCCACTGGGAAACCCTGAGTGACAATGTAAGACATACCTCTGATATCTTAGCCAAAGGATGAGGAAGTCTATTTGCCCATCCCATCCCCAAACGTGATGGTCTGAGATCTCAGGGACATTAACTCTCCAACCCTTGGAGCTTGCCCCACATATACAAGTCAAAAGAAATCCTGCAGAATGGGAGTCGCAGGCACTTGTCACAGAATCCTGCCTACAAGTAACGGAACAATGAGAGCTGTGGCCATGTAGGTAAGACACTTGTGGCATCTGCTATAGGGTGAGTTATGGAAAACTGACTTTTGACATAATTTTTATTGTTTTTTGCATAGGAATGACATATTTTAAAATCAGGAAAAAAAACTGAGATAAAAACACCATAATATTAGGTTTTCTAGAGAAAAGAAAAAGCTTACAACTAAGCCCCCAAATGTGCGGGGAGGCCAGGGGTCTCTTCTCAAAGGGGCCCTTCCACCTAGGAAATGTCTGCCACAGAGCCAGCAGCCCTGGAGATCAGCTCACCCGACATGCCGGGGGACAGCACCATGAAGAAAGAGACAGCTAAGACAAAGCACAGTTCTGACATTTTTATTCACTGATCATAAATATAGTCTCATGAGCATTAAGGTGATCATGAATGATGTACTAGCACCTGGAACATGACCATCATGGAGCACTCACTGATTCCCCATCACTGGCCAAAGAAGTCGGGGCATCTTCCTTTCACCAAGTGTTCAACTTTGGAGGGACCCTCCTTCTGGTGCAGCAATTTTATTCTTGGCTTGTTCTCAACAATTAAAAAATCATAAAAGACTGAGTGTTTGCAATAAAATATCAAAGAGGATAAGAAGATTTTCTGTTCTTCTTAAAGTCTAAAGTAAAAAGGGGAGGTAGGGAAGAAGGAAAGGAAAGGGGAAAGATGTCAGGGATCTGCCACGTTTCTTCCTTCCTCCAGAGCATTTTACAAAAACAAAACCGGGGAGGTATTTATTAATGCTGTTTGGAGATGGGTTGCGTCTCTCTGATGAGCCACTCGAGAGCTTCCTGGCGGCCCTGTTTCTGCAATTCCTTCCCAATCACATCCCTGCAGGTCAGGTGGTAATTGTTGAGCCAGTCGCACTGCAGGGAAGAGAAGGACAGACACGGTATTCACCACTACATCTTTAACAACTGGCTACACAGGTCAACAGCAAAGGCCCCCATGTGCTAAGATCACAAGCTGAGAGAAAAGGTGTGCAACACCCTTTCTCCTTACTCACAGGTAAGTATTTTCCTTGTGTTCTGTTTCCCCGGAAATACATAGGACCAGACTTCATGGCTTCTGGTGAAAAGGCTCCCAGAACAGTTTACTATTATAGACAGCAGTCTCTAAGCCAGTAGCTCCTGCTCCCACCTGTGTGGCTTCATTCCCTTAAACCTGAGCCATCCTGGGAGGTGGTAAGTGGGGGAATAGCCCCGGACTCTGTGAGAACTCCTGCTGAGAGAGACACTCGAAGCTGTCCTGCCAACACACTGGGCTACATATCCTATATCCACTGAAAAAGCTGAATAAAAAACTAGGATCAGCCAAGCCCATGGGTGTCTTTTGAGTGTAGCTGCCTAGATGAACCCAAAACCTGCGGTGGTTAAAGACTGTGGTGCAGCAGAATGGCGCTGGGAGTAAACTTAGTTTTCAGACTCTCAACTCAACATGCCACAAGAGCAGGAGACAAAAAAGAGAGTGAAAGGAAGGACCTGCTGGCAGGACTTGGTGCCTGGGCAGGGGCTGATCCACTAGACATGATGGCAAAAGCTCTGAGGCAGGAAAAAGGGTGAACTCTCCTCCTTGGTTGTATACGGGAAAAGGTGAAGTCTGGAGTGAAGCAGGTTTTACCAAGAGGACAACAAGCCACTCTCATCACTGTCTATGGGGGTAGCTGTCTGGAAGCTGATGAGACTGATAGTGCCATGGCTGTGCTTGTCATAAATGAGTCAAAGGCCATTTTGGAGGGCAGCGATGTTACAGAAGTACTGCTTTCAGGGACTACAATCCAGCCAGGTACCAAAGCCCAGCTGGGGTCAGGATGGGCACACAAACCCATTAATTACAAGGGACTGAGGGCAGACAGATAGGGTGGTGTTACCAACTGGCTGTGACCCAGCCAGGGTTCCAATCCCTACTGAGAAGAGCCTAGTAGCCCCTTCTGGGAGTCAGGGAAGTGATGGGGGCAGGGGAGGATGTCAAAAGCAGGCAAACTGCTATGTGTCCACAGCAAGGCCAGCAGGGCTACAAAGCAGCCTACTGTCCAAAGCAGCTCAACAGTAAGGCAACGGCAGCATCCTGGTGTAAGCCTGGGGCCACAGCCAAACGCCCATGGCCCTTTTGGTTGGAAGTAGGGAGGGAAAAGTGGGAGTGTGGACAGCCTCGGTGGAGCCTGAGGAGCAGCACAAGGCCCTGACAGTCTGCAGCTGGCCATATTCATATCTGACCAAGGTCCTTTGCTGCCATCTGGTGATAAGTGATGACGATGCAGACCCAAACCAAAAACTCCCTAAAGTGACTCCAAAATAAAGGCTAAATAGTAAAGGGCAAATGACCAGATATTTTAAAAGCCAGATATTTTAAGAAGACATTATCTGCCCTACAAAGAGTAACTGGCCGAAAGAATAGTTCAATCATGTGGGCATGCAAGGTGCAGCAATGAAACACTGGGTAACACAGATCCCTGGTCTATGTCCAATGTCACGGGAGTAGACTGATTCTCCTTCGAGGAAAAATGGCCTGGCTTAAACTTCCTCATATACTACTTCCCTGGATAAAGGGGAATGTCATATGGGAGAAATGCCTCCTGATGGGTACACTTTATGTGGACAGGAAGGACTGCATGACCTAGAATTACTTGGCAGGAATCCATAGCCTTGGACTTCCAAGAGTGCGAAATGACTTATTACTGGAAAGCCCCTTGCTAAGTCCCTGGAAGCTGTGCCCAAGGGCCATTACAAGAGACACTGGTTCCTATGGGGCAGAGGGATTCTAAGCAGGGTGGGTCCCATGCCCACCTATGTGTTTTCATTTCCTCTCAGCTAAGGCAACACTTACAGGGGCTGGACAAGAGCCCCTGGACACTGGAAGGACTCTTCCTGCTGAAGAGACACACCAGACATTGTGCTGATAGGCTGAGTTTCCTTTTCCATATCCATCTACAAGCTGCATAACCCACCCGGTATCAGCAAGGCCCATGTGGGTCCTGTGAGTGGGAATGTTTAGCTGAACCAAGGGCACGGATGGTTAAGCAGAGGCGCTCAAGCACAGAGGAAAGCTAAGCAGGAAGTGGATGGACTTTCTCATCACCCACCTGTGAACTGGAACAGGCAGAAGAGGCTTCTAGCTGGGAGAATCCCATTCCACAGCTCCTGTGGAAGGGAAGGTCCTTAACCCCCAAAGACCCTTTCCTTTACAGTGTCAAGAACGAGGCCCAAGTGGGCGCCAGTGAGGAAATGTTCCTGCCTTGAGAGGCACTCAAAGGCCATTGGCTGCCTCAGATAACAAAATATTCTTATTCCGAGAGTAACCCACCGTGCTTACCCTGCCTTCGGCTCCCACCAGTCATTTGCTTTTCATTGGAACTTCTGACCCCTGCCTTGCTCTGGAATTTGTGTCCTCCTGGCTTCCAGCTTCCTGGTTTGGGAACTGTTTTGTCTGTCTAGTGCTAACAGTTCCTACCCCATTTCTGACCCTTGTTTCTGCTCTGACCTTGAACATCTGTGTGATTCTTCAGGCCTTTCTCATGTCCCCAGGACTGCCATCTGACCTGGCCTTACCAGTCCAGGGTCTGAAGGAGTTAAGACCCATAACCCTCTGAGCTGGGCAAGTAAGCACTGTTGTGCCCCAGGCTTTGTGAAGGGTTTCACTGCCCCAGAGTGACCACAGTAGTAACCGAGAAGGGCTGGTACTATCTTTCTCCTTGTCTGTGTGAAAACAGGACATACGATAATAGATTTTGCTTTCCATTTCCTTAATGTTTCATGTAACACAAGAAAACAATCTGGTATGTACAGTGGCCAAGAGGCCCCACCATCCATCTGGCTTTTTGTAGGGACACACATAGGCTCATATTTGCTAAACACGCCTCACTGCAGCTATGGAGGAATAGTACAGCCAAACAATGGCATACGAGTTCCACCCACAAACCCTACAGCCCCAGAATGGCTGCGGGAAACAGGACTATCTCCACCTGGAGGCCCAACAAATACAGGAAAAGCTCAGGAGTCCTCAGAAAACCTAGGGCTTTCAGACTCAACTGGCCTAGACCTCTAAATTTAAAAATTACAAAGTGAGACTGGATTAGAGAATTTAGGATTTAGAGGATGGATTAGAACTATTTAAGGTAGTCTCCACCTCCCCTAGTAACATGCCTGCCCACCAAGACTTCCCCATTACCTCTTTGTCTGTAAGAGAATCCACATCTATCATTTTGGTCTGAATTGGAACCAATGTTAGAGGTTCAAAGGTCAGGCTTCCCCGGTTATTAAAATTATACTGCGGGAGAAAGAAGAAAACAGATGCTTTTACTCCTCTTTACTATGCTGAAGCACCATGAGGTCATTCCACCAGCATGCCATCCCTCAGAGCCAGGGGTAACTGGGAGCCAAGAAGTGGTGAGCTGGTCACCACTTTTCACAGACACACAAGGAACCTGATGCCATTTTCCAAGAGCTCCTCCACTGGGCAAACAATGGCCTGTGCCATCAGGAAAGGCCAAACAAAGGGTGCTGAGGGGCTCCCAGCAACAGGTCCCAAGGCTAATGTCTACTGTGATAGGAAACAGGGGCAGGATATGGGGGTATCTGGGCTTAGGGGCATCTCTGGTTTTGGTTCTCCAGGATGCAGGGGTGTAAGTCCTCAAAATCATTTTTATAACAGTCAACTGTGTGGTCTGCCTTGACCCAGCCAGGCCCATCAGGCGACAACACATCTATCCACTGGAGCACACAAGAACATGTCGGGTTTCTGTTCATGGCAGCTTTTGGGAATAAGATGGGAGGTCACTTCCAAGAATAGTGACTTCCATGCCAAAGCAGAGAGCAGATCCCCGCAGTTAACCTCCTTGTAGACACAGGAAGCTACTTCCCTCCAATTGTTCAATTCCACCAATGGAGGAGGCACAAACAGGTCTTTTAGGTAAAGCCTAGAGCCTAAAACCCTGCAACCTTGGTAACACTGATGGGGGAAGAGGGTGAAACACCTGTCTTGTATTGCCTTTGAGGCTGACCCATGGATAACTCAGGGTTCCTCAACTTTACCTAATAAAAGTCACCTGGGGAGTGTGACAAAATTACAGCTTCCAGGCCCCCCACCCTGGAAATTCTAGGGTCTGGGAGGGGCCCTGGAAATTAGCGCCTTGAATAGGCACCCCTAGCAGAAGAGACAACAGGCCGCCTATAGTAAACTCAGAGCCCCAAATCATGTGAAGCAAGCATCAGCCTGAGGGTCTGTGAATCCCAGTTCTAGATCCCAGTTCATTAAGGATTTTCTTTCTGGCTTTGCAGGGAAGGAGTGTGGTTTCCAGGAAAGTCCCTGATATCTGGAGAAGAAGGCTCCATGTTGGCCCCAGAATGGCATACTCTTGGCTCCAAAGACATTAAGTCTTCATCTTCCCACACTAAGAAACAGGAAAATTTTTAAGCTTTGCGCAGTGGCAGTATTGTAGCCAATGAGGTCTATCCGAGGCGTGATTATTGCTAATAGAAACAGGAAAATTTTTTTAATAAATCCTCACCTTGGTCTTCACAGGAACCACAAGGACAACATTCTCAATGCGAATTCCAAAAGCCCCATCTTCATAGTACCCGGGCTCTAAAACAAACCAAATCCCAAAAATGAGAAGCAGCCCACGATGAAGATGTCTACAGAGAGAAACTTTCACTCCTTGGATGACTGCCCTACTCCAAAGGAGAAGAAACGGGTGAAGAGCCCACTCTATCTGGTGTAAGAGCCTAGAGATGCCACCTTCTCTCATATGGCCACTTTTTTATAGGCACTTGAGGTGCAGAAAGCTAGACTCTGAAGTCCCTGCACACTGGCTACAGGGTAAGGAGTAAAGTAACAGTGGATCCACTAAATAAATCATGGTTCACATCCGTAAGACACAATAATGAAGGCATTAAAATATATTTACAAAGACTTGGCAATGACCTGAGAAAAGGCAATGTATCAAGTAAGAAAGCAGAACATAAGACAAGATGCCCAGTAAGATCTCAATGATTTAAAAAAAAAATGCTATCTACATACCTGAAAGACCAAAAGCTAATACAGTAAAACACTAAGTCATGTTTCCCCTGAGTGGTTAGATTGCAAATGATTTTCATTTTCTTTTTACACAGTTCCCATCTCATTTTTTCTAAAATGAACATGTATCAGTTCTATAATCAGAAAAGTTTGTTGGAAGGGAAAAGTATTGCCAATTTACTTTAAACTAATTAAAAAATACAAAACAACGAATAGCTTTCAAAAAGGCTCAAGGATCCACGCATGCCCTCTATGTGAGGGACACTTACCATCAGTGACAATCATGCCTGCCTCCAAGGGCTCATCAGAGAATGTTTTGTAACTGATGCCGCAAGGACCCTCATGGACATTCAAAAAAGACCCAACACCATGTCCAGTCCCGTGCAAGTAATCTAGGCCTGAATCCCATAAAGCTGAACGGGCAAAGGAGTCAAGAAGGTGACCTGAAAGACATAAAGAGCCACTTAATTGTATTTGTACAGCGCTTTAGAGATTAAATTTATTATGTGTGGCTCCAGAACGTGAAACAGAAACCAATAGGTAAGTTACTGGAGGGTTCAGATTTCAGCACAGCACAAGGAAGAACTTTCTAACAATCAGAGCTCCTGAGAAACCATCAGAGCTCAGTCTGAAGCTAGGCGATCATCCATTCAGGATGCTGGTGAGCGGGGATAGACACCTACAGCACACAGAGGCCGTATCAGACATGGACGTTCCCTTGCCAGCTCTGCGACCCTAAGGTTTCAGAATTACAAAGATGAGACTCTAACCAGACTGCAAGCAGACAGGCAGGCATGACAGATGAGGAAACTGAGGCCTAGGGAGATGAGTACATGTCTAATCTACCCAAAAGCAAGGCAGCCCAGGTCTTGTCAATGCCCAGTCCAATGCTCCACCCACCAGGCCTCAAGCAAAGTAGTACATAGCTGAAGTCAGGGTCCCAGTAAAATAAATCCTAAGAATCCCGAAAGGAAGCACTGGCCCAGTACTAAAGGGCAGACAGGAGGCTGCACCAACTTCCACTCAGGCCCTGTGACCTTCATATCTGGTTTGTCCTCTCCTGGGAGCCATCCACATGTGTCATCCAATACCATAAGTGGTCAGGAGAATGGTGCACAGGGGGTACTGGGCCCAATCCTAACCCGGCTCCCTGAGGCCTCTGGGCTCAGTCAGTGGGTTATGGAGACTCACCCCATGAGCACCTGGCTGGGCCTGAAGTGGGATGGGGACCTCACAGTGAAGGAACGACATGTTCTTTCACTCAAACATAGACATATTTGATTCTCAAACAAGAAAAAGAGCCTGCCATGTGACAGAATGCACCACCTACCTTTGGTTCCAGTCGGGAAAACGGCTGCACTCACAGCTATGTGGCCCTTGAGGACATATGTGAAGCATTCCTGCAAAGAAAACCCAGGGGCATGTTGCAGAATGGGGACAGATGTCTAATCCTGTAGTTTTCTGGTAGTTCAGAAAATCCTGCCTGCTAAAGTTTTTAGCAATATCATAGAGAAAATGTAAGTAAAAAGAAAAAAATCTGGTGGAAAAAAAGCCTGGCCACGGGACCAATTTCCCAGAAAATCTTGAAATTCAATTTAGTAGAAGAGCACTGTCAGAGAGATGACCCCACATGACTTTATAATGAACACTCTGACATACTCCATCATGTGAGCCTTAGAAAGAATGGAAAAGTAATAAAAAGTACTGATGACCCTAGCTAACATTACTGAGCTATCCTCTGTGCCACGCACTATTCTAAGCACTGTATGTTTGATCCCACACTTCACGATGGAGGCACTACTGTTATCCTCGCTTCACAGAGAGATTCAGTAGCATGCCCAGATCACACAGTGCCTAAGTGGCAGCATCTGGCCTTGGAGCCAGGCACTCTTGCTTCAACAGCTGTGCTCCCTACCACCATCCTATCTTCAGGGGTTATCCCCACTGTCCGGACAAGAGAAGTGCTACTCAGAAGTGTAGCAGCTTGCCAGTAAGGTGCAGAGTCAGGACTAAAACTCCATGCTCCTCAGCCTGGTTGAGCTCTTTGAAAAGCACAAAAAGAGTCACACCAAAAGAATCCTAGACGCAAGGTCCAAATTCTTCTAAGGCACTGGTGAATACAAATGGAAAAGGCAAGGGACCAAGACAATGAAACCTGCCCCACTACATTGCATAAAACCCTTTTCCTTGGATAATCTTCCTGAAGGAGCTCTCTTGGACAAACAGATTCACTTAGGTGCTCAATCAGCATTTGCTGAGCAGTGACTATGATCCAGGAACTTGCTGGGCTCATGGGAATTCACAGCCACCCGGGAAGGTGGGTCCTTTTATCCTCATTTTTATGGATGGTGACTGCTTTGTTCAACGTCACAGAGCTAGTAAATGGCACAGAAGCTCTGAAGCCAGGTCTCCAGACCCCTAGTACACATCTCTCTGCCTCACAGCTCTCTTTCCCCTTTCCATGCCAATCATACCAGAAACTTAATAGAGTCTGTCATTTCAGAAAGTTTCCAGAGAGTTAAGCCTGTAAATAAGAATCTCAAAAAAAGAAGGGGGTGGCCTTCAAAATCAAATCTAGGCACTGCTTATAAAGCATGTATTTCACTCTCTCATCCCCAGCCTCAAAGGCATTTCCTGACTCAAGAGAAGGCCAAAGCTATTATATTTAAACTTACACCTGAGCTGCCCTAACCTTAGCAGAATGCTTTAAAAATTTCTCCAAATGTCTTATTCCAATAATTAGTTAAATGAACCTCGTAAAGCAGATAAGCCTGACTCCACAGCAAGGAGCAATTTTACTACCCCACATGTAATTTTTACTTCTTTATACAATCCCTTTTCATAAAAGCAATGCTCTTCTTAAGAAAGCAGAGAGGACCTCTTGAGTTTTTTACCTCCACCTTACCTTCTCGTAGGCTGTAGGGGTCCCAAAATGCATTGTCCGCGTCACATCTGTGGTGCCATCCCTTTCCAAAAAAAGGACAAATTGGTTTCCCGTCAAAATAAGCTTTAAGTCAAATATGACACAGGCAAGCATGTGGACAAGTGAGAAGCCCCATACAATGCTGGTGGGCATGTAAAATAGCACAGCCATCTTTGCAAATAGTTCGCAGTTCCTTAAAAGGTTAAATATAGTCACCATATGACCCAGTAATTCCACTCCTAGTTATATATCCAAGAGAACTGAAAACATACATCCACACAAAAACTTGTACATGAAGGTTCACAGCCACATTATTCATAATAGCCAGAAGATGGAAACAGCTGAAATGTCCATCAACTGATGAATGGATAAACAAAATGGGGGATTATCCACACAGTGCAATACCATTCAGTAATTAAAAAGAAATGGAATACTGATACATGCTGCAACATGGATGAACCTGGAAGACATTGTGCTAAATGACAGAAGCCAGACACAGAAAGCCATACATAATACAATTCTATTTCTATGAAGGGTCCAAAATAGGCAAATCCATAGATACAGAAAGGAGAGTAGTGGTTCTCCAGGGTAGTGGAAAAGGGGGTAGTGACCGCTATTGGGTATGAGGTTTCTTTTTGGGGTAATGAAAATGTTCTAAAATTGATTGTGCTGATGGCTGCAAAACTCTGTGAATATATAAAAAAAATTAATTGTATATTTTAAGTGGGTGAATTACATGGTACATAAATTTTACCCCAATGAAGTTATTTTAAAAAATGAAACAAAGTGTGAATGCAGGGATGGCTAAATAAACTGGGAGTGACGTCAGCCCCTGACACACGCATTCTTGGTCTACAGCATAAGGGCTGTTTCACGAGAGACACTATCACTGGGGTTATGAACAAGACAGAAGAAGGCAAAGAAAACAGGAGCCCATCTCTAGCAAAAGAGGGCCAAAACCCAACTTCTCCTGTTAGAACAGCAGGGGGTTTCCTGGACAGAGACCCTAAAAATATCCAAGTACATATCTTAACACACACTAGACTATATCCCTGACATAGAAAGGATAACTTCTAGAATCCTGCTAAAAATTTAGAAGTGAAGAAAAGTTTACACCATTATCAAGCAATCCTTAGCTCTAGGCTGATATTATTAACACCCCTGTGTCCCAAGGCCAGGCATGGTTGCCACGTAATTGGCTGAGCTCATTCAATAATTAGGTCCTCCCTTAGCCATAGTCCCAACTTCAGTGGGGAATGGAGCAGCACTAAAAGGTCTTGCTCGGCTGGGCACAGTGGCTCACGCCTGTAATCCCAGCACTTTGGGAGGCCGAGACCGGCGGATCACGAGGTCAGGAGATCGAGACCATCCTGGCTAACATGGTGAAACCCCGTCTCCACTAAAAATACAAAAAATTAGCCGGGCGTGGTGGCGGGCACCTGTAGTCCCAGCTACTTGGGAGGCTGAGGCAGGAGAATGGCTGCAACCCAGGAGGCAGAGCTTGCAGTGAGCCGAGATCACGCCACTGCACTCCTGCCTGGGCTACAGAGTGAGACTCTGTCTCAAAAAAAAGGCCTTGCTCGTGCCCTCTTAATGCAGACAGGGTCTATTCTTACTCCTTCTTTTGGGTTCCGTATCAAGACCCAACCAAATCTTGGGTTCTTCTCTGAGAAACTTTGTTCCAGAGATGATAGCCGTGAAAGCAGCAAAACATGGAGAAAGAAATTCAGAAATGTGGGGGCAGCCCTCATTTCTCATTTATTCATTCAAAATTAATCCCTTACTTCATAAGGCCCTGGGGCAGCTGAGAGTACAGGGAACCGGCAGGCGGTTCATGGGCTGGGGTGGAAAACTTTCAACGGTTCCAAAAGCTTGCTTTACTTCACAGTTGTTTACTTATATTTTTAAAACTTCCAGCCAAGGACTGTAACATTTCTATCAAACAGTCTTTTGTGAGAACAGAGTCACAACTGGGCTATTTCAAATAGGGGTGAAAAAAATGACAAGACACAGGAACGATTCCATTAGTGGCCAGCACAGAGGGCGATGACCAGCTGAGTGCTCTCAGCTGGAGCTCAGCTGTCCACCTTCTCCACTGCCTCGAATCCATAGTCAAGTTCCACAGCAGTCCTGGTTTACTTACTTGTATTGAGCACCCGAGTCAATAAGGTACACCTCATCCAGGGACAAGGTCCTATTCGTCTCAGGGACTGGCCTAACAAAGTTAATTAAAAATTAATTATTCCACAAATGTAAACACTTAGTGAATCTGGGAGGAGGACACACAAGAGCTCTTTGTACTATTCTTGCAACTTACATAAGCCTGAAATTATATCAAAATAGAAAGTTATGCAATAATGAATTATTTCAACTAATATTAAACTTCTACTTTTCAAAGATCCAATCAACCTATCTCCCCAGCTGAGATAAAGAGCTCAACAAAGGAAAAGTAACACATTTCTTTATGTCTACCTCTGTTTGTGTCTGAAACAAAATAGGTGTTCAAGAGATAATTCTAAAAGCTAAAAAAATGAGAACGATTAGATGCAACAGGACCTAGCTAGAGTCCTGGGAACTGGGACAGGAGCAGCCTGGAGTCACTGCAGCCTTGCTTGTCTCTGGGAGCCCCAGGCCCCTGCCTCAGCCTCCAGGCCCCTCCTTCAGCCCTGACCCCAGCAGGTACCTCCCCACTCGCTCCCCAGACTGCTAGACAGGCAGGAGTGGATGTCTCAACTTGGGAGAAAAACTAAAGGAATTTTGCTGGGAAAAGGAATGGATCACGATATTCTTCTGCTTCAAACAAACATGAGGTATTTTCAAAAAGTGATCTCTTTCCCCACACCGTTTTCAAAACAATATCACTGCACTGGGAAACACCCAAAGGGATGAGAGCACTCCAAGTCTCTGCCCTGCAGCTGAAGTGAGGTTGTCCTCCATTTCCAGGTACCACCCCCTCTTCAGCAATAAGGGCACCAGTCCACACACAAGCTGAACAACTAAAAAAGACAACCAGTACCTCCAGAACCCCGCCTCTAAACAGGCTTCCAACCACCCACAATGAAGAAATGCCAACGCAGAGGCAAATTTCTTCCACTGGCATGAAACTGTTTAATGTTTTAATTATACGGAAAATTCTAGGATAGTATCCAGCCAGGAAATTCATCCTGAGTTAAACAAAAACTGAAGTCCCTCTGATATTTTTATGCTGGAACAGAAGCATTAAGTGAGGAAACTGTACTGTCCCATCTGTGACTGTCTCCCACACACAGCTTCAAAATCTGCCCCAAGACTAAAAGCTCTAAAAACAATTATTAAAAGGGGGAAAAAAGTGTGTGCCCAAGCACAGTGTTCTTTTGTTGGCTGTGCATGTAACAGATGGGGATGCACAGAACTCAAAATACCCAGTGCAAAGCAAAGCGGTTTGAACCAGGCAGAGCTGAGGCTGAAGCCCAATGGCCACACCTAATGACATTTCCCCCCATCTCCACAGGAAGATCTGTCAGTCCTAGACATATCAGTGCCCCTCTGTCTCACAAGGAAGGGAGGCTCGGCCCTGTGGGTCCATGGGTTCTTGTAGACCACGTGGTAAAAAAACCACATACTGGGATGCCAGGCTTCAGGCTCAGGGGGACAGGAAGAGAGGGTACTGATTATCTCTCCACCCAAAACAGGTTGCCTCACAACCTACTACTAAGTTTTTTTTTGGTATGGAACTGATGGAGCTCACAAGATGTATGGACTAGTACAAAACAGCTGCTGTTACCAAGAAAGAAAACTACTCAAAAATTCCAGTCATGGGCCAAGCACAGTGGCTCACACCTGTAATTCCAGCACTTTAGGAGGCTGAGGCAGGAGGATTGCTTGAGTCCAGAAATTCGAGACAAGCCTGGGCAACACATCAAGATCCTCATCTCTACAAAAAAATCTAAAAATTAGCCAGGAGTGGTAGCACATGCCTATAGTCCCAGCTACTCAGGAGGCTGAGGCAGGAGGATTGCTTGAGTCTAGGAGTTCAAAGTTGCAGTGAGTTGTGATGGCACCACTGCGCTCCAGCCTGGGCAGCAGAGCAAGACCTTGTCTCCAAAAAAAAAAAAACTTAGTCATCAAGATGCAAGGGCTATGCATACAGTTCCTGCAGCTTCAAAAAGGAAAGAGGGACACCCATCTGACTACCCTGCAGAGAATGCCAGTGCCATACTGAGCCTAAGAAGAGGCTCCCAAAAGGCAGAGGCTTGGGGATTGGGAGAAAATAAAATCTTAGAAGTCTTATTTCCCTTCATTTTACAGTCTCAACAGACAGATGAAGGTGGGCACAGAGGCCTCTGGTAAAATAATGTCTCTCCCCTGCTCAGGCTCCTGTGCAGAAGCAGCAAGGCCAGGCAGCATGCTCCTCCGCATGCCTTACGCGTAGTGAATGATGGCGCCGTTGGGTCCCGTACTGGAAATTGTTGGGAAGCTCAGGTCCACAAAGTCTGCCTGTTGCCTGTAACAGAAAGACAGAAAGCAGAGTGGCTTAAAGGTTTTTACTGTGCTAAGATTCAGGGCCCTTCCAGCCTCATTCAACTAGCAAGAAAATCAGCACGAGGCTCCTGGGTCCCCCCAAATGGATCCTTACCTGCGAAACTCCTCAGCTTTGTCAGCAGCTGAGATCTCTGTCACACCACCTTTGGGAACCTATGAGAAAATTGCTTATAAATCATCTGGTGAGATAAATTCATGTGTGCCTCTTACAAATTAGAGGAGGTACATTAAAAGCTCACTTTTTCCTCAATTGCTTCATCCCAACTGACCAATCTACAGGACACATCTTTAGCAAGGGAGAACTCCCAAAGGCTCTCACCAAAGCTATCTAAAATCCAATAGTTTCTATTCATTTAATTTTTCACTCAACTATTGTGCTTCAGTATTTTATCCTAAAACCTCCCAAAACAACATATCTAAGTTTAAAAATTCAAAAGCATCCCCTCCTAAGAAATCATCGTAAGAAAATCATTCTAGAGAAATAAAAAAGATAAATGCGGAGAGATTATTGCAGGATTACTGATAACAGCAAAAAATTAAAAACAACCCAAACATTTAAAAATAGGAGGACTGGGTTAGTAAATCAGAAGAGCCACTAGATGCAGTTTTCATTTGGATCCTTTTTTAAGGCCTCAATGTACATGGAAAATGTTCACACTATGATTCTAAGAGAATAAAATAAAACACAAAATCATATCTAAGCCAGGTGTGATGGCTCACACCTATAATCCTAGCACTTTGGGAGGCCAAGATAGGTGGATCGCTTGAGCCCAGGAGTTTCAGATCAGCCTGGGCAACATGGCAAAACCTTATCTCTACAAAAAAATCAGAAAAAATCAGGTGGGCTGTAGTCCCAACTAATCGGGAGGCTGAGGTGGGAGGATCACCTGAGCTTGGGGAGGCTGAGGCTGCAGTGAGCTGTGATCACACCACTACTCTCCAGCCTGTGCAACAGATGAGACCCCATCTCAAAATAAGAAAAAAAAAAAGAAAAAAAATTTATCTGCACACTAAGAGACATGTAAAAATAATTTATATTTTTAAAAATAATTTACGGCCAGGCACGGTGGCTCACGCCTGTAATCCCAGCACTTTGGGAGGCCGAGGCGGGCGGATCACAAGGTCAGGAGATCGAGACCATCCTGGCTAACACAGTGAAACCCCGTCTCTACTAAAAATACAAAAAATTAGCCAAGCATGGTGGCGGGCGCCTGTAGTCCCAGCTAGTCGGGAGGCTGAGGCAGGAGAATGGCGTGAACCCAGGAGACGGAGCTTGCAGTGAGCCGAGATCGCTCCACTGCACTCCAGCCTGGGCGATGGAGCAAGGCTCTGTCTCAAAAATAAAAAAAAATAATAAAAATGTAATAATAATAATTTACATAAAGTCCAGGCATGGTGGCTCATGCCTGTAATCCCAGCACTTTGGGAGGCCGAGGTGGGTGGATCACAAGGTCAGGAGTTCAAGACCAGCCTGGCCAAGATGGTGAAACCCCATCTCTACTACAACTACGAAAATTAGCCAGGCGCAGTGGCAGGCGCCTATAATCCCAGCTACTTGGGAGGCTAAGGCAGGAGAATCTCTTGAACCTGGGCAGCAGAGGTTGCAGTGAGCCGAGATCACACCACTGCACTCCAGCCTGGGTGACAGAGTGAGACTCCGTCTCAAAAAATAAAATAAAATAAAATAATAATAATAATTTACATAGATGAACAATCACCAGAAGGAAACATGAGGGAAAAAGTTACACTAGTGGGAATAAAGACAATATTTTCTTTTCCCAATTAAAGAGTTGTTTATACAATACTTAAAGGGAACATGATATTGTTTAATAACACCACAGAGAAACCACCCTCTTGTCAACTAGAGCAAGAAATTAATGGCCAAGAGTCAATTTAATATAAAAAGGCTCAAGGCTTAAACTGAAGTTCAAAATGTACACAAAGATCTTTTTCTCCTAATACAATCAGCTTGCCTATAATAATATTATAAGACTCATTTTTCCTTATAATGAAATTCCACTTAGTTATGATTCCCTAACCCAAAAAGCATCCACTCTATTATGGAACTTTTCTTCATTCTTGTTACTATTTTCATAATTAAGGAATTTTGAAATCTACACACACCAAATTTCCAGAGAGAATTATTAAAATAGAGCCCAAAAATTTGATGAAGATCTCAGATCTCATGGTCAGCAGAGCATGGGAGATGCTAGAGTTAGAATCACATATAGGTAGGTCTGAATAATGTATATCCACATATTAAACAAAGACTAAGAACCAACCTCTTTCTCCAGCCAGTTAAAGAGTTCACAGAGAGCAACAGCATCTTTAATCTGTGCAAACAATGGAGACATTTTTTAAGTTATCACTGAAAATCACGTGACCAGATTCAGAGCCTAGCCCTAATGCAATACTGAGAAGGCTGTACCTGCAGGGCCACACATCATCAGCAACCAGAGCTTTACATGTGGACATTTCTGGGAAGCTGGTGTGTGCAGCAACTCCCATTATCAGGGAAAGGCTCCTCTGCTATTCAGTAGTTCAGGTACAATCAGGAAGGGCCCCACCTCAGAGCACAGGGAGCTCCTCCAAAAGGTTAACTTAAAGGTTAAGAACCCTACAGGGGCCAGGAAAAAACAGGCCACTATCAAAAGCCACCTCTGGGCCCAAAATCTTTCTTCATCAGCATCACGTCATCACCATCATCTACACTGTGAACATCAATATCTCCTTTTGTATTGTGTATTATACTTTGTAAAGATCTAATCCATCAAGTATTTTATTTCATTCCCTCAATAACTCCTCCTGGAAGGCCAGGAGGCTGAGGCTCAGAGAGATTCTAACCTTGTGCCAGGCTCAATGCCACAGAGGAGGTGAAGGAGCCGGGCCTTCTGACCACCTCACATCCCATCTTCTGCACCAGCTCCTCTACTCACGTGAGCCCGCCTCATGCCTTCTGACTCAGCTGAATTCTTCACAGCTTTGGCGATGCAGATGGGGGTGTAAGGCATACAGCAGCGGTGGTCCTAGAGGCAAAGGGCAGTAGGGTGGGAAATCAAACCGGCTCCACCCACCCAAGACCAAGGCAACAACCTTTTTGCTCAGCAAAACTTACTTTAGACAAATCATTTGAAGAGCTCCCACTGGCGACCCATATAGCTATCCCCTGGGGCCCCAACGACCTGTCCCTTTTGATTGATGACCCTGAGCTTAAGCTCAACCAAAAAGAGTAAGTACATCAAACAAGGTGTCTCTCTTCCATCCCTCACTCCCTTAGCTCTTTGAGACTGCTGGCTGCCTGCCGTCAGCAAGACATTGCTTTCCAAGCCACTGTGGTTGTGGTTAGAGTTCACTAACACTGAAAGCTTGACCGAAATCACCCTTCTCTTGCTGTACAAAGGGGGCTTTTTCTCCCTGTCTAGCCATGCACATGACCTGATGAGTGAGGTCTCCTGCTCCCTCCCTTCCCGCCCAGTGGTCCTATCTCAGCTACTGATAATAATCTGATCTTGAAGGGCTGGAGAAGACCCTTTCCAATTTGAGAACAAGTTAGAATCCAGCAGAGGGGCCTCAGCACACCTGGCACTTGCACAAAGCTTCTAAAATTGCTTTTGTGATCTTATCTCCTTTTCTCTTTCTCTCCAGAGAGAGAGGAGAGAGAGAGAGGAGGAGTCACACTGTGTGTGATGATGGCAGGGGTACAATGGCAAGCCAGATCTAGAGAGCCAGGCCTGGATTCTTCCCAGGATGCCCCACTGCTCAGTGGAGAAGAAAGGACATCACTGGGCTTGCCAAAGGCCACTTGGCAGCCAGAGGCCCAGGGGAGGACAGTAGAAAAGCCTACCTCTAAAGAGGCCTGGATTCCAGTCCCATCCCAGACCCTAATGAAAATGAGGCAACAAGTGTCAGCTGCTTAGCACTGCCCAGCAAGGGCTCAGTAAAGGGCAAGGCTATCACTATCACTTGAATTTGACAAATCCCCAAATCCCCAACTCCCCAATCCTCTCTGAGCCTCAAGTGTCCTTAGCTATAAAATGTGGTGCGGCAGAAGGAGGGGGTAGAGAAGCATTTCCCAAGCTTCAAGCATTCTTATACCACCTGCACAGCTTTTACCCTAGCTTCTTAACTGCTGTACCCTTATTCACTTAGTACTTTACTTTAGACCATCTTTAAATCAGCTTTATTAAATTCAACTTTATTTTAAATAATTATATCATGAACTCATGCTAGTTATGTTTTTTCTATTATATGCTAAATGCTGTTAAAACAGATATATTTAAGCAAACCTAAATAATAATGTGTACCACCTAAAATAATCTCTCATGCCACACTCTGGAAAACACAAGACTCAACAAGCAATAAGGGCCCTCAGGCTCTTGCTATGGCTCCAGCTTTAAGGCCTCATCCATGGAGACCACAGTTCTGATCCAACAGGCAGCCTCAGAAATCTGCCTGTGCTCCAAAGACAATACCAGAACTGGGAAGGGGGTGGCAGAGTTTAGATGGGCCAAAGTGGGGTCACCAACCTTGGGGATGGTCTCGCTCACAGCATAGCTGGCCTTGTCACTGACCCACACCTTCTCCCTTGGGGAGAGGTCAGCACACAGGGCCTTGAGCTCGCTCAGGATGGACTTGTAGGGATGCACCTGGATCCTGTATTCGGCTTCCAGACCCAAGTCAAGAAGCAGGTGCTCCTTCACACTGGGGGCGTCTATGCGGTCACCATCAATGAAGAGCCTGCAGATGGAGGAGAGGTGGGTGGCAGAAAAAGGAGGGAACATGAGTGAGAGGTGGCAACACAGACACACATACACATCAGGCTCTGTTTCCTGGCAACCAAAACCAAGCCCCTTTTCTCTCCTCCCCACTCCTTTCCCAAATCCTGCCCTCCAAGGTGCATTCCCTGCCCCCATCCACCCAATCTGCCAAGCCAGAAATCTGGGCAGTGTCCTCCTTCACTGATGACCCTCTTCCCGTCCTTCATTAAGACCTTGGGACCCACAGCCTAAATCTCCATCTAATCTGTCCAGCTCATCTACAGCCTCGCCCAGTCACCACTCAGGTTCAGGTCCCACCATCTCTCACTTGGGTTAGTGCCACAGCCTCTAAGTCTTTCCCCATCTACCGATGTTTCAGTCATAATATTCTTTACAACTTGTACATCTAACATGTGGTTCCCTCTGAAAAATTCGTTCAATAGCTTCCCACTATTCTTGTTCAGAAAAAGAACCCAAGCTCCTGAATGTGGCCCACAAGGCCTCTCTTTTCTGTGGCCCCTGCTCACATTCTGGCCTCACTATGTTCTGACCTCACTGAACCACTTCAGGTCCTCCACATGCACTGTGCTCTCTACTGTCCAGAGTCTCTGAAAATGCTGTTCCCTCTGCTTGGATCATGGTTCCCCGCCCCTCCTCACCCTGCCATTCACCTAACTCACCCACATTTATCCTTACTCTCTGCTTCAAAATATTACTTTCCCCAAGAGTCTGCTCTGATCTCCAAGTCTAGGTCAGGCCCCTCTCGTAACACCTGTATCTGTCCCACAAGCAGACTGGTGCCCACTTATGTGCCCAAATACTTTAGAAAGAGGACATGCTCATCTCCCCAACTCCAGCCAAGGACCCCGTCCTGTTTCAGTCACCCTAGCACCTAACAGAGACCCTTAGCACATCACCAGCACTTAATAAATGTGTTGTCTTAATGCAAAAAGCTATTGAAATAGAACAGTAATGAAAAGAAGGCCACACGAAATGCTTTGAAAAAATAAACTGACAATTCAACAAAGCGTAGTTGGAGGGGTTTTCCCATATTATTTTTGACCTTCAAAATGACTGGGTTTATTTGCATTGTGGACCCAGAATTGTATAATTGAGCATATATACCCCTTAACACTGGCTGCTAGAAAACTTGACATCAAATGGGTGGCCCGAACTATAGACACTTTCATGCGTTTCAAACCATTTTGGGGGCTCAAAGAGAGGCAGGATATAAATAAACACCTACTGCTAAGGAAAACAAGAAGGGAAAATGTTAAAAGGGCAAGAAAAAAGAAGCACATCAGTGAAATATCAGGCAGTGATGGGTGGGCCAGGACCAGAAAGGGCACACTAGGGCTCTGAGGAGCTCTGGAAGGGAGTTCCAGATGCAGGGCAAACACTCACATGATCGTCTCTAGTCCTATGATTGCGTAGGAGAAAAATACTGGATTGTGCTCCACATCTGATCCTCGGAGATTAAATAGCCCTAGAAAAGAAATCAAAATCCCTGTCACCTGTCTGACTTAAGATGTTAAGGGGTCGCTTGTAGCGGGAGGGAAGAGCTTCAGCTTGGAGTCCAGCTGCTGCGCAAGGATTCAGTGGAATCGCACAGAAAGGCTGGAAGCCTGACTCCCGTCTGGTTCCACCTCTGAGCTGCAATTGCTCATGTCCACCACGTGATGGCACCAGAGCTGTTTCTCAGGCTTCCACATCACTGCCCGGAGAAGGGAATAAAAGCTATTAGTTGAAATCCTGAGAACTGCCCCCACAAGGAGTTGAAATGATCCGCCTAGTGGTGACCTGCCAGGCCTGGCCTTGAAGCCGACAAACCTCTGGCGCTCCCAAATAAAAAGGAAGGAGACGAGCACTCTCTCCCTTCTGAGGCAGATGACCTAGGGTAGAAAAACTGAGACCCTCCCACAAGGGAAGCCAGGCAAGCCTCCTCTGTAAGGGTCAGTGAGCCCCATGGAGACGGAGCTTCCTGTCAGAGGTGGAAAGAAAAGCAGTGAGTCAGCAAGGCTGCAGCTCACCAATGAAATCAGAGCCTGCAGCCCACCCATGGGTCTGCTCTGGCACCACGACTGGGTGGGGGACCTGCGGACAGCCAGTAACAGTGATGTTGCTGAACGTCTGAGAACTAGACAGACCAGGAGAGAGCACAGTTCTGGTCCCAGGACTTCCAGCTTCCGTCACTTGTTCTCATGAGGATCAGAGCAAAAAAACGCCTGGGCATTAAAAGTATAACCTCTATTTTAAAATAATGGCTTCTTAAAGTGATGAGGCACCATTTTTTACCTATCATACTAGCACTTCTTTAAAAATGACAGTACCTGGTGTTCAGGTGTGGCAAGACAGACAAATTCAAATACAAAGGTGCAAACTTTCTGGCAGACAAAGGGCAAGATGAGTCAAAAGCCCTAAAAGCCAACCAGAAATAGGAAGAAAATTATCAAACACTAAGACATGGATTCATGAACCAAGATTTTGATGGTAGCATCATAATAAATTACAGGATTACTGCAAATAACCCAAAGGTCATCCTTAGGGAAACAGTTAAATAAATTATGGTATAACCACATGATGGAGTATTTAATACTCACTTAAAATTATGCTTGTATATGCTTATAGTGTACTGATACAGTGAAAAAATCAGGCTATAAAATGATATATGCATAGAATATTGACACTGATTATCTCTAAGTAACAGAATTTATACGTGATTTTTTTTTTCTTCTTTTTACTTCCTCTGCATTTTCCAAGTTTTCTATCATGGGATTGTGTTTTTGTTACAATCAGGGAGAGAGAAAAGTTTTACAGGTGTTTTTCTCTGACGTTGAGATCATTAAGTTAATTAGGGATGTAAGTCACTGACACACTTGACAATGTTTTGTGGATGGAAGATGCAGGGACTGAAGAGAGAGGACACTGCAGTAGGGTCTCATTCTCTAGTGAGAAGGCAAAAAGATAAAGCAGTGCCTCTTCTCAGTTGCCCTGGGTCAAATCCACTCAGAAACCAGAAGACAGGACAGGAAGGTTCAACCAGATTCCGTCAGGTTTTAGATGAAAGAAGGTGCTGAACAACTGCATGAAGGTGGGTTAAGGTCCAAAGACTGAGAAACTACTATTACATCAAAGGGCTTGGGGAGGAACTTTTAGTTCCTAGTTTTCTGAGGTAGAAATGCTCCCAGAACATTCTCACTATAAAGACCTTAGGAAACCACAGGACAAGTGTAAAGAAAGAAGGCCTCTCCTATGAGCCCACTTCTACACCTACAGAGGCTGACAGACATAAAATATTTGTAGGAAATGCCCTTCCTCAGAGGTGCCATGGTCCTGAGGGACTGGCCAGAGGTGGGCATCACCCAGCTGTAATACTGCTCTGGACAAGCCTCACTCCCCTCCCCAGCTCCCTGTAATTCTTTCTCCTTCATCCTAGTTGGCATCTCCTATACCCATTTGGTGACGTAGTCTTCTTCTTATTCCCTGGCCACTCAGAAAGTTGAATGGCATGAACACACAGATACCCAGAGACCCAAAGGAGAGATCGGGTAACATGCCCAAACAGCGAAACCAGAGCACTCACACGCAATCTCATCCAAGGCAGTGACCACAAACCACATGACGTTCCTCTCAGCCATTTTCAACCGAAGGTCTGCAACCTTGTCCTTCCAGGAGATGCCTGCAAGAAACAAATGTGCTTTAACTCCAGCCCTGGTCCCAGAAAGCAGTAGGAACCCAGTGAAAGAACCTACCCTAAACATCTTTAATCAGCACCATTTCTTACAGGAGCACGCTACTTAAACAGGCAGGAGGCCTGGATTCAAGCCCTATACAAGAAGTGTCCAAGCCACTTGACTGTCGTGAGCCTTGATTGCCTCACCAGTAAAATTCATTCATTTACGCATCCCACAAATGCCTGTGTAACATCTAGATCTGCCAGGCATAGATACGTGCCAGGCACTCTGCTGGTCACTGTGGTTACAGATCTGAGCCAGACCCAGTCCCTGTCTTCATGGGGCTTACAATATAGAAGGGAAGACAGATAATTAAACCAGCAATTAACACACTACTGTAAATACTGATGCAACAGGGGACACACAGGGACCTATATCAACACACTACCCAGCAAAGGGAACTCACCCAGTCTCAGGGGTCAGGGGAACAGCACCCACCACTTGATGTTCCTGGGGGCTGCAAGACTTGCCTTTCAGTGCTAAGACCTAGGAATTCCCTGTAGTCTGACTCACTGTGATTACCACTTCCAAATCACACTTGCCCTTTCAGACACTGCCAAGGCCTCTCTGTTGCTCTGCAAGATGAAATCGTGGTGCTAGAGGAGCTCACCCCATTGCCACCACAACCACCCTACCAGGGCAGCATTCATAACTCAGGGAACAGCCACCTGTGAGCAGGGTGGGCATCTGTCTTATTCACTCAGCACCTCGCACAGCATCCTGCAGATAGTAGGCACCCAAATGTGTACTGAACAGCAACATTTGCTCTCCCCTCTCCTATAAGCAACAAGTCAGAGCTTCTGCTCTAGTGAAAAAAACTTCAAACCACGCTGATGGAAAATATTTAGCTGACCCTGGGCCACTCACTGGACCCATCCTCCCCATTCCGCAATACCCCTCTGGTGAGGATGTCACACAAGAAAGCAGGCTGGGGCTGCCCCCACACCCAGGGCTGCACTGAAGATCAGTTCGGGAATGCTGTTTAAAACTTGGCCCAGAATCTAGGCTGTCACGCTTTCTTCCCAGGACCCCTCTGGGCAATCTGCCTACATTCCACAGCCATCCCCCATCTACCTCTGTTTCTACAGCAAGACGCCCTCCCCTGCAGCCCCACCTCCAGGCCTCTCTCTCTGCCCCCTCACTGCTTCATAAATCCACACAATGGTTCAGAGAACATGCTGCTTACCCATCACTATCGCACAGGCCAAGGAAACACACCCACACCCCAAAGCCTCTAAAGCAGAAGGTACAAGATGGAGGACAAAGGCCTAGGAAGGTAAATCTACAAATGCTGACATAAGAAGGGAAATGGAACCTAGAAACCTCTATGCTCTATTTCCAATATCAAATACGTTCGAGTGGCAGTTAGCAGCTGAGTGGATAAAAAAAACTCAGTCTTTTCAGCAGCACCCAAAAAGCCACCCAAACGAGCTTTGCGAAAATAACCAAAGCCAAACTAAGTGGCAAGTAGGTGGCAACAGTGGAAACAAACAAAGCTCCTGCTTCTTCAAATATCCCACTGGGGCAGAGTAGGGCAAAATCCTCCTGTCAGCTCCAACTCGACTTGGATTCGGAGGACGAGGCTGGAGACAATAGCAAGAGGTGGGGGGACAATGGCAGGGGCCCTGCTGGGCAGAACCATTGATTCTGACCTGTGTAATCCAGGCCCAGTGTGAGGAGAGGCTTGCAAGGGCGCTCAGGACGGTCTGTCCAGATTTTGTCAACGAGGTTCTCCTTGACAGGAATGAGGTGATGGCCGGCACTTCTCAGAACTTTGGCCATTTTCTTCCAATAATCTGAGGAGACACATTGTGGCCCAGCCATGAGCCGAACGCCCATTGCAGCAGGGCAGGGAGCAGGGCCTTGAAAGTCCAGAACCTTCAGAAAGGTGGTCCTGCCATGGCCCAGAGCTGGGTGTGCAGGATGAGGAACTGTAAAAGCACATCTTCACCACCAGTGGAACTCTTCTCTTCACCCTGACCTCTACTATAAAATCAGTCATGCTGAGCCCCCCAGTGCTCCACACCCCACAAGCAAATGAGGAGAATGGAGGGGAATCTAGAAGCCACTTCCTTACCCAAGCAGAAAGGGACCAAGCTCACTTACCTGTAGGAATGATCAAGGGGTCCACACCAACCCTGGATCCTTCAGGAAGCACACTCACCAGCCAGTCTTCCTGAGTTGGTGTGTCCTTCAGACCTACAGGGGGAAGAAATGATAAGAAACAATTCCCAGTGGGCCCACGCTCATTATCCCACCAGAAAGATACAATTCTCTAACATCATGATAGCAGGGTCTTTATTAAGCAGCTTCTTTAAAGTGGATTGACAGGACTTAGAAAATCTGAACCTCCCTTAATCCTGGAAGGCTACAGAGAGGGAGAAGTGTAAGTTTTTGTGTATGAAAAACATAAGACAAGGGTGAGACAGAAGGGAAAAAAGTATGATTTTTCACTTGACCCCTTGTAAAAATATCTTGGGGATCACTGCCACGTACACACATGGCGTCACCACAAAGATTGTCTCCTCAGCGTTCAGTCACTTCCCCACTACTGGTCACTTGATGAGAATTTGGGCAGTGATTTGGTGAAGTCTGGGAACTGGGAGACTCCCACATATCACATACCAGGTAAGGTGATAACATGCTCCCAGTGCCCGCCCCTCATCTGCAAGGGCAGGGTGGCCAAGAGAAGGCCGCTGCCCCATAACCAGCCTCTGAATAGAGGGCTAAGCACAAGTCTTGGCAGCAAAGAGATCTTTCCGAAGATTTTAAGAGAGGCACACAGGCACCTGTCCGGTTGTCTTTATTTATTTATTTACTTCTGAAGACAGAGTCTCACTCTGTTATGCAGGCTAGAGTGCGGTGGCACCATCTCAGCTCACTGCAACCTCCACCACCTGGATTCAAGCAATTCTCCTGCCTCAGCCTCCCAAGTAGCTGGGATTACAGGCTCAAAATTACCATGCCCAGTTAATTCTGTATTTTTAGTAAAGACGGGGTTTCACCATGTTAGCCAGGTTGGTCTTGAACTCCTGGCCTCAAGTGATCCTCCCACCTCAGCCTCCCAAAGTGCTGGCCATCCTGTTGCCTTTAACATGAGCCTCTGGGTTCCCCAACTCCCAGGATGAGACAGCCCTTTCTGTTTCTAAGACGCTAGTCATAGGACACTATATCAGCCTCCAGAATAGAACTAAAATTACTTCTATAGTCCAGTTTTCCTTTAATCTAAGCCAACACCTTCCATATCTAGCCAGTTATCTTTGAAATGTATACTTTTTTTAACCAATGAGGTTTTGGCCAAACAATTAACATCTTGATAAAATATACATATATTTAGAGTAAAAGTTCACATATTCTAAAACAGTAGAAACTTATCTTTACTATTTTCTCTACTGACTACTGATACAACCACATAACCATAGAAGGGAAGTGCAAAGGTTTATAAAGAAAGAAGCTCATGAATTCCAATTCTAAAAAACTGCCTAGAAGCTGACATTGAGTTTCATTCTGCTATTTGATTCTTTCCTATTTTTTTTCAAACCACTAAACAAGCCACTTATTAATACAGTTTCTCCTAATGCCCTAGTACACTACATAATATAACTTTCACAGGATGAAGTCATGTCATTTCCTAGCAGACAGATCTTCGGCAAAACCCCAGGGATGAATCACTCACTGGCCAACCAAACCCACCAGAATCTCCCTACACAGAAGACTCGACTGAGGAAACTAGGAAGGAGCCTGGAGGAGAGGAGGACTCACTCCCTCTGCCACCCCCTTGCTGCCACATACCTACATTAAGGAACAGGCAGGCAGTGTTTGCGCCTCTGACCCCCAAAATGCTAACAGACTTAAGAGCTGGAATCCGTGGGCCCCAAAGAGAGATGCCTGCTCCCCAGGGGGACACAATGATCTACTGGGTGCAAGAAGAAAGTAACAGAGCTTCTATTTGTATTTATTTTTTATAAAGAAATTACAAAGTTAGTTTTTGATATTTGGAATATAGAGGAACACTAGCACATATAAATAACAAATAAACAAACATACATACATGTTGCGGGTGCTTGACTCCCATTAACAGAAGCACACAAACAAAAAAATTTAAAGGCCACTAGCTTGTCCATTTATAACAGCCAGCTTCAAATGCCTGCCTTTGTGTGTGTGTGTGTGTGTGTGTGTGTGTGTGTGTGTGTGTGTGAGAGAGAGAGAGAGAGAGAGAGAGAGAGAGAAAGGGAAAGAGAAATCAACTGCAGCAACAGGCAACAATCTGTAGCTTTGGTGTTTTTATATTTATGAAATGATTTTTGAGAAATAGAAACTTAATCCAATGCCAAGACAAAAATGTTCCTTGTTCCTCCCTAAGACAAAGAACACATGTGTGTGTATGTGGAGGGTGTGTGGCATACACCTGAGTGCACACACCCCTCAGTCAGCTGGCTGCCTGGATCTCAAGGTCATGGTCTAGTCCTCTGTTTCCTGCTGTGAGTCTGAGGACTATTTTCTTTCCTCATTATTTCCTACAACAAACAAGAAGCATCAGGTATTTTGTTTCATCTTCTCTTTCTCACTTGGCCCTTCCTTATCTTCTGTTCTCCAAGTTCAAAATTCAGGAAGCAAAGACTTTGTACAGTCCCTAAAACCGTGTTTCTAAAGACTATTTTAATGACAGGAAAGTACACACGGCAGAAAATTAAATGAAAACACAGAGTATATACACACATTATTCAATAAACATTGATCTATATGCTTTCCACATAGTAATGCTTTAATTCTCACCACTTTATATGTTACTTACTGTGATTAACCCATTTTACAGATGAGGAAACTAAAGCACTCAAGTGAAGCGACTAGCCCAAGCAAGTTCCAGACCTGTTCGCTTGTCCTGAATGCTGCTCTTCTCCAGAGCTAAGCTTCCAGAAGCAAATCCAAGATCCTCAGAGAGAGCCTCAGGGGAAAGCTTTCTGGCTTCTGTTGCCAATGACTCCTTGCCTTTATCTCACTCTGAATCATGAGGCAGCAAATAGTAGAAGGCCCCCAGTACAGGAGTGAAATGCACAGCAATGTGATCTGCAGCAAATCAACTGTCCTCTCTAGCCCTCAGTTTCCCCTCAGTAAAATAAGTATCCTGAACCAGCGTCCTCCAAAATTGAATGCACATTGGTACGTATGTATAGGCATGCCATTTTTTTTTTTCTCAGTTTTCCTTGGATTCTCAAAAGGGTCCATGACTGCATAAAAGGATTAAGATCCAGGAGTCCTGAGGACCTCTAGGATCCCTGCCCAGATCAGGCCAACTAAGTTTGGGCTAGCCATGCCTGTACCCACCCATCTTCATAAGTGTCCAGTTGCTGTCCATTTGCTTGGCAGCCTGGAGAAAGTAGCGCCCGTCAGTCCACATGGCTGCATGCTCTTCTGTGATGATGGCTGTGCCTGAAGCAGGGGAGAAAAAAAAAAGAAGAAGAAAGGTTTCTAACAACTGCTCAGAAGCTGCACAAAATGACAGTAGACAGGCAAGAGCAGTAAGAGGCATCAGCTCCTAGTGGGGCAGATGGGTCCTTGACTCCAAAGAAACCTCTGGGCAAGAGAAGACCACACTACTGAAAACAAGCTGTGTGTCAAGCTCTGAAAGAACAGTCCTGAGACCCAAGCTACCTGGCACTGGTCCCTGCACAAAAAGGACTCCACTTGCACAGTATGAGTCAAGAACAGAGAATGGAGAACTGTAGACCTATGGCCAAAGTGGTCTCGTATAATCAACAAGACACAGGGAGGGATGGTTCCTGCTCAGCAATTACAGCCACTCCTCTGCTCCACCAGACACCCCAGGGGAGCTGTTTCACCTTTCCTGGAGAAAGACCAAGTGGGCCCTATGAGTGTTCCTGCTGTGGTCACTAGCAGGAAGCTTATGCCTCCTACCTTTATCTGCCCTCCGTTCCCACAGGCCTGGCAGAACTTGGGGTTTTGGCAGAGGTGTCAGCCAAAGCCAATCCTAATGCGCCAACCAACACAAGCACTTACGCCAAAGGAAGCAGCATGCTAACCATGAGGGGAGGGGAGCTCCCACCTTGTCCAGCTTGCTTTAGAGAACAAACCTGAAGTGGGGAGTCCACCCTAAAACTCAAAGGCATAATGGTTTTGAGGAACACCAATGCAGCTTAGAGTTAACCTTTGTTATTTAAGCCAAGAGTGAAAACAGAAACCAAAAGCCAAGCACTTGGGAGAATTATCTGGGACCAATAAGCTAAGAGAGGAGGTTCTGAAACTATATTAAAGTCTCATTTCTTATTTGGGGTGCTAGTAACACAGGTATATTCAGTTTAATTGATAGAACTTTTATATGTATGTTATATTCAATAAAAAGTTCAAAAACTTTTTAAAAATAAAAATTGTTAAAACTTTGAAGCAAAGATACAGAGAGGAATAAAAAGGGTTACTGAAAGGTGACCTTGGGGAGCAGGGAAAGACTGGGAACCCACACCTTTCTGCAGAGAGTCAATGTGGAGCATCTGGTTTGCATTTTCTTTTTGCTTCTATATCACAGGCTGAAACTCGGTTCAGTTATTTTTAGGAGGCGAACAAAGGTGCAGCAAGAACAGAGAAAAAGTAGTGACTCACCCGCAGAGCCATCGAATCCAGAGACAAAAGCCCGCCGACAGTCACATGGAGCAATATACTCACTCTGGAAAACAAAGATGACAACAAAGTGGGCCTCGATCAGTCATGAGCAGACTGTTCTGCCTGCTTAGCCTTGTGCTAGGCTCAGCGGGGACTATGAAGACTGGGGAATCCTTGGCCCCCGCCCTCAAGAAGCCAACAGTCTAGCTGAAAACAACAGATTAGCACACACTGCAGAAGATTGAATTAATTAAGGGCAGAGAGAGCTGTTCCCTTTAGCCTCTATTTCCTCATTAGGAGAACCAAAGCACATCAGGAGAAACAGATAAAAACTGCTCTTTCTTCACTGAGATCTTACTCAAAAATCAAACCAATAATAGCCTTCTCCCCTCCTTGCCACTGACATTTAGGCATCTGTTATTTTTCTGAAAAGTAAGGCTGAATTTCTGTGTTAAGCACCAACAATTCCCTAACTTAAGTTTCTGTAGATACTGACTTGTTTCCAAACTTCCTGTTTGGGTCCTCCTCTGAGGTAGCATCACCAATCTCTCCCATGCAGACCCTGTCCCTTCCTGCTACAGAGTGAGCGGAAACGCTTCATCCAATCCAGGAGGCTTCAGCAAAATAAAATGTCATGTCCAAAACCAAGGTCTTCTCAGCTGATAATCCCCTTGCCTCTGTATGGAAGGGGTTAGGGAGTGAAGAAAGTAAGAAATTCTTACGCGTGGGCAAAGGGTACAAGTCAAAGTGTGCAACTTCTGGTAATAGCCAGTGAGGCACAGAGAGTTTAAGTAACTTGCCCCAAATCACACAGCTAATTAAGTAGCAGAGGCAGGATTTGAACCTAAGCAGTCAACTCCAGAGTCTGGACTCTGAAGCCCTATGCCAGGCTGCCAATGCATGACACTTTATCTCTCGCCCTCATCACTCTCTAGGATAAGACCAATAGCAAATGAGAAAACTGAGGTTCAAAGAGAGAATCTTTAAGTAAGCTGCCCACTTACAAGTTAATAGTAGGTCAGGATCCAAAGCCAGGCCTGCCTGAGTACAGAGCTGCTGCTCCTTCTGCAGTTACCAGGATTCTCCCAAGCCAAAGGACCTGGCAAGGTTAAGAAAGTTTAGGGTGGGGAATGGGGCTGCTGGCCAGACCCAAGGCATTTTTAGGACAGTCAACATGATGTAGGGGGAAAAGGCCCTCATGTTCCTTTCCTGCTATATGGTTAAGAACTACCCCTTTCAGCCAGGCACAGTGGCTCATGCCTGTAATCCTAGCACTTTGGGCGGCTGAGGTGGGAGGACTGCTTGAGCCCAGGAACTCGAGACCAGCCTGGGAGCATGGTGAAACCTCATGTCTACAAAAAATACAATAATTAGCCAGGCATGGTGGCACGTGCCTGTAGTCCCAGCTATTTAGGAGGCTGAGGTGGGAGGATAATCTGAGCCCGGGAGGTTGAGGCTGCACAGTGAGGCATGATTGTGCCACTGTATTCCAGCCTAGGCAACAGAGTGAGACCTTGTCTCAAAAAATTAAAACAAAAATTAAAAAAAAAAAAAAAAAGGACTGCCTCTTTCACCAAGGCACCGGCAATCACAGCCTCAAACCAGCCTCCAGGGAGATACTAGAAGGGCCAGCATAGAGAACCACAATGGCAGGATAAAGCAGCTCTGGGCCACCTGCCCACTAGCCCAGGCCCAGCTGCATAGTCTGCAACAAGTCCTGGCAGCTCTCTCAGCCTCATTTCCTCATCTCTAAGACAGGTCATTTCAGATTGCTAAATGCAACAGCAAGCACGTTTTATTCCTAAAGCATAAAGAACATTCGGTCAACAGCACTAAGGAAATAGAAAGAAATGGCCACCAGCATCGTTTAGGAACTGCAGAATCCTCACTTGTTTATTAACCGAGTAATTACTGTGTGCAAGACTTTTTATTAAAAAGTAACAACGGGGGGAAGGGTGGCCCACACATCTCCTAGGACTCTTGTGAGAAACAGTAAGTTAATGTCTTTCAAAACTCACCAGAAACTTGAAAGTGCTGCACATATGCAATGGAAGAGATATTATTAATCTCTTCTTCCTAAACAGTGAGAAGACATCTAAGGGGCTGGGAAAACTAAGTTAAAAATAACTCTTGTGCTAAAAATCACTGCGCACAATGGGGAATACACAGTGAGGGCACTCTCCACCAACATGACGCCACAGGCTTGGGGCTCTTCCACCCGTGACACAGGGTGAAGATACTGGCAAAGACTGGCAGAGAATGCAGTGCAGGTCTGAGCCCGGCTGGACTCTTCCATTCAGGGACATAGTACTCTAGGGATGCCCCACCCCTTTCTGGGCAAGCTTGGGAGAGATGGAAGATCCGCAGGGTTTACCTAGACTTCTCCATCAGCAAAGGCAAGGAAAGAGTTCCTCCAAAGGGAGGTGGAATTAACAGCAAATGGACATGTTTAGTTTGGGATGGAGACAAGGTCTGGGGTAAGAATGTCCAGACATGACCTAAGTGGTCAACATTCCAGAAAGACATTGCTAAGCAAGGCTGGCCACAGCCTCACCTCCACACTGACAGGCTATGCAGAAGCCAGACAAGCACTGGGCCCAGGGCTGTCACTCTCCTTCTCCCAGGCATGAAGCTGGCAACGCCCAGGGGCGGTCTCCTTAGAACACAGCATAGGGCCTAAAATAAACCAAAGCTGTAGCATGCTAGGAAAAAGGCACAAAGAAGCACAGCTGCTGGCTTTTTCTCAAAACCACCCACTTCTCTCCATTTCTAATAGCAGCACTCAGTCCAAGCCTCCATCATCTCTACCTGGACTACCGCCCCTACAATCCACTCTGCACATACACTCAGAGTGAGCTTTTCCAAATATCTAAGATCATGTTAGCAACCTCCTTAAAACCCTCCAATGGCTTCCTATTATATTTAAGATAAAATCCAAACTCTGGCCCAGTCAAGGTACCAGCTGATCTGACTTTGCCAGTCCTCTTGCAGCTCTGCTCCCATTCACCATGCTCCAGACACACCCACCTCCTTTCTGCTCTTTGCATATCCTGAGCTCATTCCTGCCTCAAGGCCTTGGCACATGTGCTTCCTTGTGCCTATAAAAGTATTTCTGATCATGGTATGGCTAGGTCCTTCTCATCATTACATTTGAGATCAAATATCACCTCTACAGAGAGGCCTACCTGTACTACCCAGCTATAATAGCCACCTGGCCACTTTTAAGTCTCTGTATAGCACACACATACTCTAGATATTTGTCTTTTTTTTTTTTTTTTTCTTTTGGAGACAGGATCGCCTTCTGTTACCCTAGCTAGAGTGTGGTGACACAATTATGGCTCATTGTATCCTTGACCTGTCAGGTTCAAGCAATCCTCCCACCTCAATCTTCTCAATAGCTGGGACTACAGCAGGCACACACCTTTTTTTTTTTTTTTTTTGTAGAAACGGGGTTTTACCACGTTGCCAGGCTGGCCTTGAACTTCTGGGCTCAAGTGATCAGCCTGCCTCAGCCTCCCAAAGTGCTAGGATTACAGGCAAGAGCCACCATGCTGGGCAATGTTTCTCTTCTTAATGAACTTTTTATATGTTTATTGTCTTGTTCCTCAACCCCCATCTTAACCCCAAGCATATAAGTTCCATGAGATCAGGGTATCTGTCCTGTCCCTGCACTCAGCACAGGTGACTAGATCCTCAACCCACATTTGTATTATAAATGAACAAGCAGAAAGAGACATGAAGCTTTTCCCTACATCCAGTTAAAACCTCAACCATATCTACGAAGATGGACGAAGGGACCATGAGCCAAGGAATGCAGGTGGCCTCCAGAAACTGGAAAAGGCAAGGAAATGGACTCTCCCTGGAGCCTGCAGAAGTAACATAGCCCTGCTGACCCATTTTAGACTTCAGACTTCCAGAACCATAAGAGAATAAATTTGTTTTAAGTCACTGTGGTAATTTGTTATAGCAGTGATAGGAAACTAATACATTATCTAATGGGGAAAAGATCGTAAGGGATTATAAATGGGGTTTCAAATTCAAATACCTCAGGGTACAGGACAAAGGATATCTTTTCTAAAGACAGCAGCTCCTACTCAGCTCTGATTTCTGAAATGCAGGCCACATGTTGCTAACCTTCAATATTTCAGAAGAAGCCAGAAATATGGGTTCATGAGAAATTACCCAATTTTTAAATGTTGGCATCTAATTCCAACAATATAAACAATACATAGCCAAATAAAGCATCTGTAAACTACAAAAAAAAAAAAAGCTAGTCATCTCTCAAAAATCTGGTTCAAGTGCTCCCTTTTCCATGAAGCTTCCTGACCCACTTCAGCTTTCAGAGGCTCCCACATTTCTGAATTTTACAGGACCATCCATGTTGGCACTTATCCATACCCTACCTTGGATAATGCTGACAAATAATGTTAGCTAAGATTATTTAGTCTGTATTGTTTATTATTGTCTCAACACCTACTAGTCAATAACTGTATTCATTTCCTCTCATTCTAATCCTCACAGCAGCCCTGGAAGGTATCATCCCTCGCTAATCTACAGATGAAAAAAATGAAGCTTAGAGAAATAACTAACTTCCCCAAGGTAACACCACAGTAAATGGCAGAACCAAGATCTGAACTCAGGTCTGACTTTTTTTTTTTTTAAGATGGGGTCTTGCTTTGTCGCCTGGGCTGGAGTGCAGTGGCGCAATCTAGGCTCACTACAACCTCCACCTCCCAGGTTCACGCGATTCTCATGCCTCAGTCTCCCAAGTAGCTGGGATTACAGGCGCCCACCACCACACCCAGCTAATTTTGGTATTTTTAGTAGAGACAGGGTTTTGCCATGTTGGTCAGGCTGGTCTCGAACTCCTGACCTCAAGTGATCCGCCTGCCTCGACCTCCCAAAGTGCTGGGATTATGGACATGAGCCACTGCACCCAGCCTCAGGTCTGACTTTCGAAAGCCCATACCCTTGCAAGCTGCCAAGCAACCTCTTCTACTTTTGTACAGAAGTTGTACACATCTAGTCTCACAATTGGATTATAAATTCTGAGGGAACAAGGAATACGAGGTGTATGCTGCACTTACCTCTACTTTCATCAGCCACAGAATAGACATCTCCTACAACCAGCAGTTAGAACTCTGTTCAAGCCTGGTTCCCCACTTACTAGCTGGGTGAACCTGGGGCTCAACTTCCTCATCTGTAAAATGGGGATGAACATAATGCCCACCTTGAAGGGTTGAGGTGTGACATAAAGCAATTAGCGCATGCCGAACATCTGATGAACTGCAGCACTTATTGCTATGAACTGCACCGAGCTTGACTCTATAGCAAACATAAGAAACTATCTTCTCGAAGTGGACAATCGGCAATAGTAGACAGATATTCCATGAAATATTAACACTAATAAACAGCCATATAAACGATGCTGAACATGCAGTGTGGTATTTGCTATAGTTTAAAGGATGCTCAGATGTGCCTTAGATCCATCAGACCAAGCTCAGAGGTTTGACTGGGCCACCAAGGATAGGCGAAGAGAGCAGGAAAACAGTCCAGAGGGAAAGGTGTGACAAGGCCCAGAAGCAAGAGGCAAGAGGCCTGTCATGAGGCGACACCCAATTAGCCTAATGGCAGGGGCAAGAAGTTCAAGGGAGCAGCTGCAGAGATTTCTGTAAAGGCCGTCTGAAGACAAATAGTCAAAGACCTCAAACACCAGACTAAGAGGCTTGAACTTTATCCTGCAAGTTCTAGAGAGACACTAAAAGTTGAAGAGAGGGTGGTGACATGACCAGAGCTGGGTTTTAAGAAGAGGGATCAACATGGCTGGTCACATGCCGATGGAACTTGCCAAGTAAAGCTGACAGCTGACTGCCAAGATAAGCATGACTAAAGTTACTAGAGTCCACATTAGCGTGACATCTTTCCCCTTCCCTGACCCTCTTCTCCCATCAGCCATGAGCTTGGCACTGTGCCTCAAATATACAAGGTTCTCAAGAAAATTGAAACTGAATGAATAAATGGCCATCGGTCCACAGGAAGTACCAAAAGTTAGACTGTGAATGGAGATGTGGACTCCTTGTTTCCAAATATAAGTTATTGGCATTTTTTTCTCTCCTAAATGAAACCAAGTCAGGGTATGTGGGAAAAACTGACAGTTGTCCAAAGATTTGTGCTCCTTCCTTAGTGTAGAAGAGTCACTGGAAAGTAGCTGCCCAGCCAGGCCTTCATTCCCATGCCTCATTACATTGAGGTGAGGTCACATGACTTATTCTTACCAATGAAATGTGGGTGAGAGGTGATACCTGGGTCGGGGCTCTAACAAATGAGTGTGCCCTGTCCATACTCTGTCCCCTTCCACCAGCTAAAATGGTGGTACTATGGGATGGAAGAGCCTAGATCCCTGAATCACTTTCCCTCAAGGTAGAGGGAAGTCCCCCACCAACCAGGAACACCCACTCTATACTGCTACATGAAATAAGAAATAAGGCTTTACAATACCAGGCCACTGAAACTTCGAGATGTGTTACCACAGCTAGCATTATTCTAACACAACAGATAAAATCACTGTGGGATAAAAATCATTAACCCCACCCCAAGAGAAAGCCTGTTTATGAAATACAAAACAAAACAGGAAGCTGACTCCAGGAGAATGGAGTAGGGTCCAAAGAGTTTAGGAAAATCTGAATCATGTCTTCCAGGAGGAGGAACCACAAACAAAGCCAAAAATTCACATTGGCAGAGTCAGTCCCTGACAAAACATCACCCTTTGACTAAGCCAAGCCCAACAACATAATATGGGGTCTACGGATGAGGAGGATGAGGAATCAAGATTTCTAAAAGGCAGTGCTGGCACAGCTCTGACTCCAACCAAGGATTCTCCTGCTTTGAGGCAAGTGGTGCCCACGAATCCCAATATACGACTAGGATGGTACATGAAAGTATCCAGATTACCAGAGAGAACAGACGATTCCTTGCTATAAAAGTCCCCCAGGGCCCAAGCTCATTAATACAACAACCCTAATACCACAACCCTTGCTCTGAGTTTAAAAAGAAGAAACCCTTAGAGTTGCAGAGGACAGAGAGAAGCAGACCACTGCAGTGCCAAGTCCTTGCGTAATTATGCATTTGAGGTACGTTTTCTCTCTTGCAGGGAACAGCGTGTGGGTGTGTATATTTGTGTTTTGGAAAGTACACAAAGGACAGAATTCAAGATTCCCCTTCACTTCTCCAACACCCTCCCCTCCCCAGCCGTAGGAGAAACTCCATCAACCCAGAATCTACCCTGAAATGAAACAATTAGGAACAAGAGCCACAGGGAACAGCAGCCTCTCTATTACTGAGGAGGCTACTATGGCAGGTCACACATGAAGCCAGCCCTTCCTTCTTGTTCTCACAATCACAGCAAGGATCCAGAGTCCCACTTAACAGAGTCGCCCCAACTATGTGGCTCTTCTCCACAGGAACTAAAACAAGGAACCCATTTCCTTCTGTTGATGGCACCACAAACACTCCCAGGCTTCAAACCTTCCCAATCCCCTCTACCACCTGCCTGCAAGGTCCACATTTAATCCAGGTTGTACTACTTCTCCAAATCCTACCCCTCCTCTCCGCTCCTAACCCCAGTACCCAAGTCCAGGCCCTCTTTACCCCAACTCTGAGATCCTGCAAGGCCTAACAGGTTTCTCAATTCCCAGAGTCTCCTTTCTCCAACCCATACTAAACACTGCTCCCTCTGATCATGTCACTCTAAAATCCTGATTCTGGTGGTCAAGGACAACCATGACCAGTCAGGGGTAATTCATGGATGGTCTTAACCAGGCCACTGTTCTCCCTTCTTCAAGCTTATTGTCATGCATGTTCTCCTAATTCCATAGATACCCATGGTATTTCTTACCATTTGATCCAGCCATCCTATTACTGGGTATATACCCAAAGGATTATAAATCATGCTGCTATAAAGACACATGCACACATATGTTTATTGCGGCACTATTCACAATAGCAAAGACTTGGAACCAACCCAAATGTCCATCAGTGATAGACTGGATTCAGAAAATGTGGCACATATACACCATGGAATTCTATGCAGCCATAAAAAAGGATGAGTTTATGTCCTTTGTAGGGACATGGATGAAGCTGGAAACCATCATTCTGAGCAAACTATCGCAAGGACAGAAAACCAAACACCGCATGTTCTCACTCACAGGTGGCAACTGAACAATGGAACATCACACACTGGGGCCTGTCATGGGGTGGGGGGAGGGGGGAGGGATAGCATTAGGAGATATACCTAATGTAAATGATGAGTTAATGGGTGCAGCACACCAACATGGCACATGTATACATATGTTAACAAACCTGCACGTTGTGCTCATGTACCCTAGAACTTAAAGTATAATTTAAAAAAAGATTTCCATGGTATTTCTTGTACTTCTCTCCCTCTTTCCATGCATCCAAATTCTACCTGTTCACGTTCCAATTTAAATCCTACTTTCTCCATGAAGACTTCCCTGATCCTGCCAGCTTAAAATACTCTGTCACCTTTGAATTCAGTTCACACTTTAAGTAAACTTACATTACAGTTGCCACCAGCCACATGTGTCTAAGCACTTGAAATGTGGCTATTGTGACTGAGAAACAGAATACTTAATTTTATTTCACTTTAATAAATTGAAATACAAATTTAAAAACTGATATTCAAGATTCAGTTACTGGAAAACTTCTAAGTATGTTTAGAACAACTTGGGTACGTGAGTCCACCTTTTCAACTGTCAGTCTTATGAAATCTAAACACAGATCAAATATTTCCAATGAAAATTTCACATTCAAATTGCGAAGTTTTGTAAATGTAAAAACTTCCCATATTTGAAACCACAGCATAAAAAGGAATGTAAAGTATCTTCTTAATAATTTTTATAATGATGATGTGCTAAAATAATATTTTGGATATGTTGGATTAATATATTGTTAAAATTAATTTCACTGCTCTTTTACTTTAATGTGTCTATGAGAACATTGAATATTACATGTGTATCTCACAGATTCTACTTAGACAGTGCTAATGAGGTCCTTTCCCATGACATTCACCAGTTTCTTTTTGTGTTCTCATTTATGACTGTGGCTTACCTATTATTTAATCTCTTCAAAGGGAATCTCATTCATCTCCACAACAGTAATAACAACAATAGCGGCAGCTAATATGACGAGACTTTTCAAGTGACATCAAGCATTCAAGCAGCAAGCATTCAAGTGCTTCAAGCATTCACATCTACAGTATGAACCCATTTCATCCTAACAATAGCCCATGCGGTACATACCACACTGTCACAATCTCCTTTTTGCGAATGCAGAAACTGAGACCCAGAAAGTTTAATTGACACTTCAGAATTTCATGTAACTTGCCTGATGTCAAGCAACTAGTAAGTAGCAAATCTGGCATCTGAACCCAGAGAGGCTCTAGAGCTCATACGCTTACCTATATGCTAACTACCTGCCCTCTGCATTTGCCCCAGACCTAGCCCTGAGCAGCAGTCAGAAAACATGCAAACAAACAAAACACAATTTCTCCACGTATGTAAGACAGACAGCTAAGCTACAGCAATAGAAATGACAGTTAAGATTATAAAAGAAAGAGTGGAGAGGGGTGATGAAGATGGAAGGACAGCAAGAGTGCAAAAATGTAAGTCTGTGAAGTCTAAACAGTGACTTCTGCAATAAGAGCAACAGCTAACACCAAGCAAGCTTGATACATTTTGTATTTTCAGGATGTTGCTACAAAACACATCTGTCTCAGATTAGAGCCTCAGTTTCCTCATGGAGGGAAAAGCCATCTAATTCTGATATTGCAGGATCATTAGTAGGAGATAAAGAGCTGAGGGAAAGCCTGGAACATCCCCTGTGGCTTAGATGGCCTCACTGCCACTCCCAGAAGGAATTGCTTCGGGTGTAATAGGCCACACCTACTGTCAAAGATAGAACATTTTTAAGTATCAGTCAGGGTGTCCAAAAATCAGCTTTATGATGACCAAACAAACAAAAAAAGCTGGCAAAGGAACAGCACCCAGGACCAAGAACATCAAGATAAACTTGACTCAGCTATAAGATGTCGGTGTCTCCTACTAGTAAACACACAGATAATATCCTAACTCCAGGCAAAAGAAAACTGAAATTGAAATACAAACACTACAAAGCTTCCAACACACCCTTAACCAGAAACCTTCAACTCTTAATTCAAGTAACATTAGCAGGTCGAATCTTTCTGTACACTGAGGCCTCCCCTGGAGGTAAAGATTCACAAATAGTAGAGCTATTAGGAGTCTTCAGCTGAGGCTCCATGACGACCTGTGAGAACCCTTTCGGAGGAGGGCCCCAATTTCAGACAACTGTGCCAGGGGACTTACAGAACTGCCCAAACCAACTGCTACATAATCATCATGTGCTCCAGTTGCGGGAACCACCATCTGCTCAACACTAACAGGGTGACTGCAATCAAATCAGCCTAGGGCAACTGTCCAATGCTTGAAGGGCAGAAAATTAAAAATGCCACTGGTGAATCCAGCAGAGAATCCAGGTGACATGAAGCCCACATCCAAAGGCTGAGGCCTAGGACTGACAGGAAACAAGGAAGAGCTCATCAGAGGGGCCCAAAGAAAAGAAAAAACAAAATTCCTTGAAGACAAGGCAATGGTCTGCCCTTCTTAAATGGGGGAGTGCCCAGCTCCTCTGCTACCTACGACTCATACCATAACTCAGGCTCAAATCACAGTGGCCAGCCTACTTCCTCACCCAGTCCTTGGTCAAGATGATATTTTGCTTCATATGAAGTTGGTCAATCTTTTTTTTTTTTTTTTTGAGACAGGGTCTTGCTCTGTTGCCTAGGCTGGAGTGCAGTGGCGCAATCTCAGCTCACTGCAACCTCCACCTCCTGGGTTCAAGCGATTCTCCCACCACAGCCTCCCAAGTACTCAGGACTACAGCCATGAGCCACCACGCCCAGCTAATTTTTGTATTTTTTGGCAGAGATGGGGTTTCACATGTTGACCAGCCTGGTTTCGAACTCCTGACCTCAGGTGATCCACCTGCCTCAACCTTCCAAAATGCTCGGATTACAGGCGTGAGCCACCACACCCAGCCTGAAGTTGACCAATCTTATTTGTCTATTCTAATGAACACAAACGAACCTCACCAAGTCTATCCTTACCTTCCCACTGCCTACTAGATCTAACAGTTATGCACCCAGCCTCATGGCTTCCTCACATGCCACCACCCCGATTCCAGCTTGATATTCTACTTTTCCTATATTCTGCCAGGCTGAACAGCCAGTGAGCTGGTGCCTGAATACACCTCTCACTCTGACCTCTCCCTTCATCCACCTCTACATGCAAGACCCATCATCGGATGAAAAGTACTATCACAGAACAACATATAAAGGTATTCCATGAAACACTAGAGTCTCCCACCCCGCCCCTGAAATAACTGGGAAAATTCCATGGACATTTAAGTCTGAAAAATGCTGAATACTTTATCCCCTCCTTAGAGGTACAGAGTGCACATCAGCATATTAAAGGCCCTGAGAAGTCCTGCAGCTATGAAACTCATTGGGGCAAAGGACTTGAATAGACATTTTCTCCAAAGAAAATATACAAATGGGACCAAAAAGCATATGAAAAGATACTCAACATCACTAACCATCAGGTAATGCAAATCAAATCTACAATGAGCCATCACCTCACAACAAAACAAAAAATAGCAAGTGTTGGTGAGGAAGTGGAAGAACTGGAATGCTGTGTACCATTGGTGGGAATGCAAAATAGTACAGGTGCTGCAGAAAACAGTATGGAAGTTCCCCCAAAAATTAAAAATAGAAGGATCATATGATCTGGCAATCTCACTTGTGGGCATATATCCAAAAGAATGGAAAACAGGATCTCAAAAAGATACTTGCAAACCCATGTTCATTGCAACATTACTCACAATAGCCAAGAGGTGGAAAAAACTGAAATGACCATCCACAGATGAACAGGTTAAAAAAAAAAAGTCTCTAAATAAAATGGAATATTATTCAGCCTTATAAAAGAAAGAAATCCTGTCATATGTTACAACATGGATGAACCTTGGACACTATACTAAGTGAAATAAGCCAGTCACAAAAAGACAAATACTGCATGATTCCAATTACATGCGTTATCTAAAGCAGGCAAACTTTTTTTTTTGAGACGGAATCTCGCTCTGTCACCCAGGCTGGAGTACAGTGCTGCAATCTCGGCCGGCTCACTGTAACCTCCGCCTCTCAGGATCAAGCAAATTCTCCTGCTTCAGCCTCCTGAGCAGAGGGATTACAGGCACGTGCTACCAAGCCTGGCTAATTTTTATATTTTTAGTAGAGATGGGGTTTCACCATGTTGGTCAGGCTGGTCTCCAACTCCTGACCTCATGATCCGCCTGCCTCGGCCTCCCAAAGTGCTGGGATTACAGGCGTGAGCCACCGTGACTGGCCCAGCAAAATCTTAGAGAGAGAAAGTAGAATGGTGGTTGCCAGGGATAGGAGGGGAGGAGAGAGACTGGGAGGAGCTGTTTAATGGATATAAAGTTTCAGTTTTGCAAGACGAAAAAGTTCTAGAGATCTGTTGCACAACAATATGTGCATGTAGTTAACACTACAGTATTGTACATTTTTAAATGGTTAAAATAAATGTCATATTATACATTTTTCACCACAATAAAAAAACACTGTTCAGCTCATTTCACTATTTTCTCAACTAACAAATATATTTTTTGTAGAGCATCTTACAAGACACAACAGGAATACTGAAGAACACACACAGTTTGGGGAACACTGTTCTAAACATCAAAGTATCCTAAACTTCATACTGTTGCCTCAAATATCCGATCCCTTTGCTTATTCATTTCAAGCCCTTCATTTGCTCCTAAGGCCAGGAAATCCATGTCTCCAGGCAGAGATCCAATCTTGAGGTTGAGTTGTTCCCAGGTTAATACAGGCCTGACCTTGTCGCAACCATGTAGACCAGGACCTCTGGGGAGAGGCAGGAAGTCAGCCAGCCAGAATGGACATGTTTTGTGATCTTTGCTCAACTTACAGAAATACCCTTATCTACCACCCCCTCCATCATGGTGGACTGGTGGACCCCCATTACTCATGTCTGACATCACACAGACACACACACAGACACAGACACGCACACGTGCACACACACAGAGTAACCAGGACCATGCAGAACCAAGTTGCTACATATACCAATCAAGTTCTCATCCTGGACTTTGAATTTGGGGGATTAAGGTTCTAGTTCAATCTGGTATCTTGAAAGTAAGAGAGGAAAAGATATAAATGTAGGTGTTGTCAGGTTTATATGACCCAACCAGTTGGCTGAAAAAGAGAAACTGATATGCAGCAAGACCTGAAAACCCTCCCGTCCCAGTTCTTCTTGAGGGCCTGCTACATTCCTGCCCTCATGTTCCACAAGACACCCTATCTGAGGCCCTGACACACATAACTCTGAGAGCACCATTCACAATCTGGAGTTGTGCCAATATGGTGGCTCTGCCCTTGAATCCTTATAAAGCATTTTTATTGCTCAAGGTATCTCAAGGCAGTTTCTATTACCTGCAACTGAAGAATCCTGTAACAACAGCTTTATTTCCCACCACTGCTTTTTACTTCCCTGGTCTCTTGCCAGGGAAACCTGTCCCACTGTTTCTGAAGAGCATCCGAAGCTTCCCTGTTTCTTTGCCTTTGCTGCCACTAATACTTTTACCTAGAACCTCTTTCCTCCTCCTCCACCCCATCCCTCTATTTACCCAAACTCCACCCATCCTTCAAGGTCCAATTCAACTGTCTCCCCTGTGCCATGAAGCTCTTCATCATCTTCCCCTCTCACCCTCAAACTTCCACAGCCTTCTGTCCAGATTTTCTTGATCACACTTACCACATTTTACCTTACAATACAGGTATGTGCATGTACATCTAAACTCCATTATTAAGCTGTATGCTTCTTAAAACCAGGAACAATCCTCATCTCTATATCATGTCTAATACCTGAGATGGGTAGGGCCTTATACATAAGTAAAGGCTGGGAAAAACTGTACTTATAGATGATTCTGTGGAAGAATAGCACTCTTATATTATTTCATCTCTCACTAAACCATAAGCCTAGTGAGAGCAGACATTCAACCTTAAGTTCATCTTTGCACCCTACAGCACCATAACCACAGTGTAAGCACTCAAACACTTGCTGACTCAATGACTTCACAGTGGATCCTAGAATCCTTTTACCCTACCGCCCATCAACCCTATCACATGAGGTCTCTGCCTCTCCAACTCTCCTGGATTGGGCAAAAGAGAGACAGGGCAAACAATTCTGCTAGGAACACAGTGTGGCAGAGGAGATGTGGAGTATGCCAGCAACAGAAAGTTCCAGAACTTCTGTCCCTTAATTTGCCCACTAATTCTTCATTGAAAGATGGCTAAGTCACTGGAATCAAGGAAGCTAGGGCCAATCCACAAGCATTCAGTGAGACCTATTGGACACAGATCCCCATAGCAAGCCCTGGAAGGGCTTGGTTGTGGCCCTGGTTGTGGGTTGACAATTAGAATCCTACAAACACATTAGGGCTGGGGAAAAAAGACTGAAAAGAAAGGAGAGGCCCATTGCCATGCAGTACCTGATGAGCATCTCCCGATGGGATGATGTAGGCCTGGATCGGTTCGGTCACATACTCAGAGTTCCTCATGGCTTGTCTCAGCTGCCGAAGCAGCTCTGAAGTCACCTTTGGAGGCATTCTGCCGTCTGCAACAACAGGAGAGCAAATTTCAAAACCAGCCTGCCCCCAGCAATTCAACGTCCAGTTCGAAGTGGGCCACAGAGAGAAGTGCCTTCTACGTTCTGCCCCACTCCCAGTTAGGTCTTCAAATTGATCACTCCACCACCAGACCAAGACCAAAGCTGCCAGAAACACTAATGTTCACAGTTCTTAAATACTACCTCCAAATAGCCATTTGTGGCCAGAAAAGTTCAGCTACTAACCATTTCCAACTTGACTGGTTACCTCTTTCACTCCTAGGACTTTATTCAAGAATAGGAGATAAGTACACAGAAATTTAGGTGTTTATCTTTGTTTATAGTAGAAAAAAGCAGGAGAAGTGTATGGTCAGTTAAATAAACTATAATACGTACAACAGTATACTGTGTACTCATTAAAAATTACACAGACCTAGAAAAGAATTACATAGACTTATATATTTGATTTGGAAAGATACCTAGACAACATTTGTGGGTGATTAAAAACAGATGACAGGCTGGGCGCAGTGGCTCACGCCTTTAATTCCAGCACTTTGGGAGGCCAAAGCAGGCAGATCACAAGGTCGGGAGATCGAGACCATCCTGGCCAATATGGTGAAACCCCGTCTCTACAAAATATAAAAAATCAGCCAGGTGTGGTGGCACGTGCCTGTAGTCCCAGCTACTCCGGAGGCTGAGGCAGGGGAATCACTTGCACTCAGGAGGTGGAGGTTGCAGTGACCTGAGACCACACCACTGCACTCCAGCCTGGCAAAAGACCAAGACTCCGTCTCAAAAAACAAAACAAAACAAACAGATGACAAAGGAAAAAAATATAGATTGTTCTTATTTATTTAAAATTGTGTATGTATATATGCAAAGAGAAGTTTCTAGAAGGACAGTCACCCAAGTGTTAAGAGTGGTTACCTTTGGGTAAGTAAATTTGGAGTAATTATTGTCTTCTTGTATTTTTCTGCTTTTTAAATTTGACTGCTTTAAAAGAGTATGTTTTATAAACCTTTTGTTAAATATCCAGCTACAGATTTAGAGAAGAAAGTTCCGTCCACTAGGAGTCAAAAGTCTTATCTTCTAGTGAATACCTGCTACCAACCAGCTGTGCAAGGGAGAAGGGGACCAGGGCCTCAATGCTCTGTGTTCTCCTCTTTAAAGTATGGCGGGAGTGGCCGGGTGCGGTGGCTCACACCTGTAATCCCAGCACTTTGGGAGGCCAAAGCAGGCGGACCACAAGGTCAGGAGATCGAGACCATCCTGGCTAACATGGTGAAGCCCCGTCTCTACTAAAAATACAAAAAAGTTAGCCAGGCGTGGTGGCGGGTGCCTGTAGTCCCAGCTACTCAGGAGGCTGAGGCAGGAGAATGGCGTGAACCCGGGAGGCAGAGCTTGCAGTGAGCCAGGATTGCACCACTACACTCCAGCCTGGGCAACAGAGTGAGACTCTGTCTCAAAAAAATAAATAAATAAAGTATGGCGGGAGTGGATGAGACCCAAGGTTTTCAAACGAAGTCCCAAGGCTCCAGGGGAGTCTACCATTCAAATAAAACCAGAGTTGGAATCACCAGCTTTAGAAAATACAAAATAGGAATAGAAATATAAAACTAATTAAAATGAAATGTTAAAGATGTTAACTCTGGTCCTACTAGAAATTCTTAAACTTGTTTCATCTATATCTATAGTCAGGAATAGTCTCTTGTACTCACTTAGTGGAAGCACAGATGATACAAGCTGACTTAACCACTTTAGTTGGTTCTTCAAAAAGACCTTTTCTCAACAATCACTGATATTAGTTAATGTTCTGATAAACATCATAGCTGTAGTCCTATGTCTACATAACAAAACAACTTCAGAAGGAGCCAATTACAGAATAGTGATCATGCATATTTCACTATATCCCATATACTGGCACAAAACTATACTATTAGAATTCAAAGTAGAATAATGAGTTTTTCCAACTCATTTTTAATAGACTTCATTTTTTACAGCAGTTATAGTTTCACAGCAAAACTGAGCAGAAAATACAGAGTTCCCATGTAGCTCCAGCCCCAACACACACACAGCCCCCTGCCACTATCTGCATCCCCAACCAGAGTAGTACATTTGTTAAAATGGATTAACTTACATTAACACATCATCATCACCCTAGGTCCACAGCTTACTCCTGCATTCATTCGTGGTGTTGTACATTCTATGGGTTTTGAAAAATGTGTAATGGCATGTATCCACCATTATAGTATCACACAGAGTACTTTCACTGCCCTGAAAATTCTATATGCACATGCAGCCTATTCATTCCTCCTTCCTCCTCTCCTCTAACCCGACAATAACTGAGCTTTTCTACTGTCTCCATAGTTTTGCCTGTTCTAAAATGTCATATAGTTAGAAACATACAATACATAGCTTTTCCAGATTGATTTCTTTCACTTAAGAATATGCATTTAAGCCAGGCACAGTGGCTCACACCTGTAATCCCAGCACTTCGTGAGGCCAAGGCTAGTGGATCACCTGAGGTTGGGAGCTCAAGACCAGCCTGACCAACATAGAGAAACCCCATCTCTACTAAAAATACAAAATTAGCTGGGCATGGTGGCACATGTCTGTAATCCTAGCTACTCAGGAGGCTGAGGCAGGAGAATTGCTCGAACACAGGAAGCAGAGGTTGTGGTGAGCCGAGATCACACCATTGCACTCCAGCCTGGGCAACAAAAGCGAAACTCTGTCTCAAAAAAAAAAAAAAAAGACAATATGCATTTAAGGTTCCTCTATGTCTTTTGATTGCTTGATAGCTCATTTTTTTAGCCCTGAATAATACTCCATTGTCTGGATGTACCACCATTTATCCATTCACCTGCTGAGGGACATATTGGTTGTTTCCAGGTTCTGGTAATCATGAATAAAGCTGCTATAAACATCTGTGTGCAGGTTTTAGGTGGACGTAAGATTCCAACTCATTTGGTGTTTTTGGTGTTTTGGAGTTTGCCAACTCATTTTTTAACAAAAATATTTTACTTAGTCAAAAACATTGTAACATAACTCTGTAAGTAACACAGAGTTAAATCAGGACAATTACATGAGGTGATCTTCAACGACTGACATCCTGACTTGCTGTAGCTTAAACCCTGCTGGGCATAGGTCCTTTTTGGATCTTTTTCTTTAACATACTCATTTGCTTCTTCCTTTTCATCATCACCAGCACCTTAGGCTTCTATGCCTCAGTTGTTATGGTGATCTCCAATAGAATCCCCTATGGGGTACCATACTGATCTTGAGCTAGAAAAAGTGCCCCACTTATCATCTGCAGCAAGGGCAACTTCAAAAGCAGGCCTTAGGGCTCACCCTCAGGAGTCTCAGAAGAGAGAAGTACTCAAAGGAAGAGTCAATGGAAACTGTCCTACTCATAACTCAAGCATATCCATGTTCCTTGCATTACACCTGCTTCTGAATATTGTTCAGAGGGGCATTCTTTTTTTTTCTGAGGGGAGACGGGGTCTTACTACATTGTCCAGGCTGGACTCCTGGGTTCAAGTGATCCTCCCGCCTCAGCTTCCCAAGTAAATGGGACTACAGGTACACACCACCACATCCAGCTATCCTTTCGTCTAATCTACTGGGCCTATAATTTCTCACCTATCAGAGAAAAAGGGATCGGAAGTATCTGGTCTGATCCAAGTTTATATGTCAACACCTCCACTGGGGGTTCAAAATAAAGCCCATTGTGATCTCCCAAGCTTGCCAGCATCTAAAAATTTTACTCTGATATCTTTCAGGAGCTTCAGAATAGATTTATTGTGTTTTCAAACCATATTTCTGAGCAAGTTATCATTCTTAAAAACAGTCAAGCAAAAATGAAGCTTTCTTTAGGAGCAGGACTTCAACACTGGCTGCACATTAGGACTATCCGGGAAACATCTGACTTAACTGGTCTGGAGTACAGCCTTGGCTTCAGGAGTTTTAAAATGCAAAAATATAAGAGTCTAATATACTTTCTTTCAAGATCATTTATTTCTTTATAGACTCTGCCTTCCATTCAGGTACATTCTGACGTAAGGATTTTGGTGGCACTGACTGGGTGTTTAGTGCTGATTGTAGTATCAATATTATCAGTCACTAACTTCATCAATAACGTTAACACAACCAATCATGAGCACAAAATCTTCAACTGCAAACTAAAAACCAACAAAAACAAACTGGATCTGTTCAAAAACATCCTCTGCTTCCTGGTCATCACAACCTGCCTCCTCATTCCCACATTCTGATCTTCATCACTACCACCATCACATCATCACGTTTCCCCTGGTGACTGGCATATCAGACCCCCACAGAATCATCAGCTTTATCAGTCTCACTGACACTCCCCTCCACAATGCTACCTACCCCCATCAACACTCAACACTTTCCCTCTTCCTACTTCCTCATCCTTCAGGCCGATCACATTCATGTTCTGGGTGCAATGCAGCTACTTCTTTATCATCAATATTAGACATGATGAAAGAAGTCCCAATACCATAACCAATAGTTAGGATGTGGTAAGGGGCAGTGGCAGCAACAGTGAAGGTGAAGAAGATAGCAACAGGCAATGGCTGAGGCAGTGAGGCAGCTACCACTGAAGTGAATACAGTGGGCCCTGGTGGTTGAGGCAGCTGTACCCACAAGGAAAACAGGTGATGGAAAGTGATTGAATGAGTGAGCAGCTGGAGCTAAGGAGAGAACAAAGTTGGTGCAATTATATAAGTCCTAGCCATTGAGGTGGCACTGGTTGAAAAGGCAGCCAAGATGGAGGAAGTGAAAGTTGTAGCTAATGACCCTCATAATTTGTATAAGGAGTAAATGAGTTACTATACATATGGCACTTAGAAACAGTACCTGGCACATAACAAATGTCATGTAAATGTTTAATGTTATTAGAGTTAGACACACAACTAACCATAAATGCAATGTGATAAATTGTGTAAACAGGTGTGTATACCACTTCTCCGGAAGGCAGGGATGATGTCATCTCTGTATCCATGTATCTACAATTAACATATACATATGCTCACTCAAAGATGGCTAAATCAAATTCACAACATTGGATCTATGATCTTTTCAGTCTCAATGAACAGTAATGAATCTTCAGTGACAGATAGGCTCTTGCAAGGTGCTGTATTATGACATCTGCTCATTCCACATCCTATGACTTTTCAGAAATGTTAGAAACAGCCAAGAGCTAAGCAAAGTATGCAGCAAAGTAGGAAGCCAAGAGCAACAGGCCTAGTCCACGATGAAACATTAGCCCATACACTGCCAGGTATTTTCAAACTATGCCTTACAGAGAATGACTCACTTAAAAGTCTTGCATATACAGGTCTGCTTTTAGAAATAAGTTCCCACACCTTCAGCCTTTATCACAAACAAGATTTTTCACTGATTGTACATGAAAAGCACACCATACTTACCTCACTGGTGGCCAGGCAAATTAAACATGATAATGTGTGTGAAAGCACCATGCACAGCATCTATTACACTGCAGGAGCTCAAGAAATATTTGAATCTGGATCTGAAGCACCAGCTGGAATTCCCAAGTCTCGTTATAAGAATGGAAGGGGCCAGTTTACTCCAATTTCAGCATCTTAACACGGGCACAGATGCTCTTCCAGCATCAATAGCTTTAGAGGTAGTGGTTTGTTTCTCTGTTGCACAGCTGAGGGAACGCTAAGGGCTTTACATACATTAGTGGCTAATTCTCACAACAATCCTCCAAGGGAGGTTTCACTATTCTCATTTTACACATAAAGGAACAGGAGTTAAAAGGAGTTAAGTACTTGCCCAAAGTCAGCTGGTTCATCAGGAACCGGGACTCAAGGTCTATGCAATTCCCAAGTCCATGCTCTATTACACCATATTAGCTGGGGGACATAATAGAGCCTTAAAGTGTTCTAAGACCAACAGAAGCAAAACAAGTGAGCTCCAGTTTCCAGCTGGGATCTACAACCTCAGGCAACTGAAGCTACCTAACCTCTATTTCCTCATACATTACAAAAAGAAAAAGAAGTTATCTTCCAACTCTAAGTTTAATGATTCCATCACTTTTTTCCTTTCTTTACTTTCTCTTTTTCCTCCTTCCTCTGCTACCTCCTAATATGGTCCAAAATGTGTTGGATACATCTATATTTTTTAAAGAAAAAGGATCTAAAATTGCATGCAATTATAGCACTGATCTTCCAAACAGAGATTAGACGGGCATGGTTTCTTATGTACTTCAAGAGATCAATTTTTCAGTCAGCTAAAAAAAAAAAAAACACATGGTTCTCCTTAGTAGTCGTTAGAGCAGTACTGGCTTACTGGGATAGAAATACAGTAATACACCACTTTTCAGAATTCAGGTTTCTGGCAACCCATCAGACAATTAACCAGTTCTGGGGAGAAGGGACAGCCAAGAAATATTTCCCAAAAAGACTTTCCTAAATGCACACTCAATTTATAAAGGACAATAATATATTACAAGCTTTTCTCATTTTGCAATCTTATGATCAAAATTGAAAGCTAATTTCTAAGATAATGAAGGACTATATTAGAGAAATAGAGAACATTTTCCATAATAACCTATCTCCTTCTCCACCACCACCACTCTGACAAAAATGGAAAACGAAAAAAACAAACAACAAAAAAAAAGTTGTAATTCTCTAACTTACTACCTTAAAAAAAAATGGTAATGGCCAGGCGCAGTGGCTCATGCCTGTAATCCCAGCACTTTGGGAGGCCAAGGCGGGCAGATCACCTGAGGTCGGGAGTTCAAGACCAGCCTGGCCAACATGGAGAAACCCCATCTCTACTAAAAATACAAAATTAGCTGGGCGTGGTGTCGGGCGCCTGTAATCCCAGCTACTCCGGAGGCTGAGGCAGGAGAATCGCTTGAACCCGGGAGACGGAGGTTGCAGTGAGCCGAGATCACGCCATTGCACTCCAGGCTGGGTGACCAAGGGCGAGACTCCGTCTCAAAAAAAAAAAAAAAAAATGGTAAATATATAGAAACAGTAACCAACCACTTAGGAAGCCAAAAAATAAAATGGTTTTTAACTTCCAGATACTAACCCCCAGTCATGATCTGTTACTAATTCCTTACCCTCTTCTTCTCACCCAACCTGGGGTTGGGGTGGAGATCTAAAATCCTTTACAGATGTTCCATCTAATTTCCAGACAAAATTATTACCTGTTTCCACACCTGTGTCTCCTGAGTGTGTCACCTCGTTAGGTTCAATTATTCTTAAATTTCTCAGTTGAAAATCCTGGTGATTCACCCTTAAGGAGAGAAAGAACAGGAAGTTGCAGACTTTGACCACAATAAACGTGGCAAGGCTCAGTTAGAGGAGGCATCGCTTAACTTAGCAGTTCTCTAACATGAGTCAGAAGAACTTTCACCCCCATTATCAGTGGCAGAATAAATAAAAGTTTGATGTAAAACTTGCAGGTGTAAAACATCCCCATGGCAGGTTAACCTTCTCAGTTGCAGCTTCTAGTTCATAAATTCTCACACCTCCTATTTAACTAGACTAAGAAGACTTATTTTCAATGTTTTTTCCTTACACAAGTTCTATTTGGTTCTTTTTCACATCTGCCCGTTCTTTCTTTATGGTGTCCTATTCTTGCACTCTGGTTTCTATGCCTTCTCTTTGTGCCTTCATTACTGTAGGCCCTTATTTTATAATTTCTCCCATACTTTCAAATAGATCTTGGGAGACTAACCCTCATGTTTGCTAGGTCTGCTGCCTCTCCCTCTTGGTGGTTCATTCCTTCTGCGTTTTGTGATCTTTTATTAAGAGCTTATCTTCAATAGAGGCTATTTATCTATGAGAATGTGATGGGTCCTGGTTTGTACAAGCAGTTCTGTTATTGTTTGCTTCTAAGACTTTCACATTAATTTATTAGCTAGAAGATTTACACACAAACTTCTTGTTCCCATATGGGGATAGTCTAATGCCCTGGACACCAGGCATGAAGGTCTATATCTGCATCTGGTAACTTTCCCAGGCTCAGGTTACTAGCATACCACTCAGGCGTTAGGTTCCCTCTACATTTTTGGCACTTGAGGATTTCTCTTTCTTTCAAGTTCATTCAGTCAACAAATATTTATTGAAAAATCTTCCATAATCCAGGCCCTATTCTGGACACAACAGTGAACAAAACAGACAAGATCTCTGACTTTAACAAATTAAGATGGGGCAAGGCAGGGGGATGGGCAGAAGACAGGGAAGAGAAGGCAACAGACACAAAACAAGTACACAATACGTCAAGTAATAAGAACGTGTTTTGTGAAAAAAAGTAAAGCACAGCAAGGGGAAGAAAGCATCAAGGAGGTAAGGGGAAGGATTATTTCATATGGGGTAGCCAGGGACAGCCTCTATTATAACAGACAACATTTTAACACAGACCTAAAAAGAGTGAGGAAGCAAGCCATGTGAACGGCTAGGGGAACAATGTTCCAGGACAACAGCAAGTGCAAAGGCCATGAGGCAGGAGTATGTCTAGTTTACCTGAGGAAAAGCAAGAAGGTCAGCGCAGTGTGATTGTATCAGGGGATGGGGAGGTAAGTGGTTCAGAGACAACATCATTGAGGCACCAGGGGGCCTACTGTGGGGCCATAGAAAAGGTTTTGAATTTTACTCAGCTATGAACTCAATTAAGTTATAATTTAACCGCATTTTTACATGTTGGTAAAGACAGAGAGGGACACATTAGCTCAGTCTACCACACGGTAAGAACCAGATAACCAGGCAGCTTTACCAATGACTCTAGGCCTGCTTTCATATGGCTGTGACTTTAGTTTTACTGGACAGAATGGGATGTTCTTAACGAGAGTAAACATATTATTCTTTCATAAAAAAGTAAGACACCCCAATATGTCTTCTAAAATATAAATACAAATATCCTCAACAAAATACCAGCAAACGGAATCTAGAACAATATAAAAAGGATCATCATCGCCAAGTGGGTCTTATCCCAGGAATACAAGGTTGGCTCAATATATGAAAAATCAATTATTATAACAGGCCATATCAATAGAATAAAGAACAAAATCTACATGGTCTTCTCAACAAACGCAGAAAAAGCACGACAAAATCCAATGCCCCTTCAAGTTAAAAGTACTCAGCAAACTAGAAGAAAAATTCCTCAACCTGACAAAAGTTATTACAAAACCTACAGCTAACATCATTCTTAATGCTGAAAGACTGAATGCTTTCCCCTATAATCTAGGGAATGTCTACTCTTGGCAGAGTAGACAGGGATGTCTACTCTTGGCATTTCTATTCAACATTGTACCAGAAGTTCTATCTAGGGTAAGTAGGCAAGAAAATGAAACAAAAGGCATCCAGTTTAGAAAAGAAGAAGTAAAACTATCTCTATTTGCAATTGACATAATCTTGAATACAGAAAATCCTAAAGAATCCACAAACAAAATTAGAACTAATAACTGAGTTCATCAAGAATGCAGGATACAAAAATCAATATTTAAAAAATCAATTTGACTTCTATATCCTTGTAATGAGCAATTCAAAAATAAAATTAAGAAAAGTCCATTTACAATATCAAAAACAAAAAATAGTTAGAAATAAATTTAACAAAAGAAGTGCAAAATGTACACCACAAAAACTAAAAAAGACTGCTGAAAGTAACTGAAGAAGACCTAAATAAACAAAAGCTATTCCATGGTCATGGATTGGAAGGTTTACTATTGGTAAGATGGCAGTAATTCCCAAATTGATCTATGGACTCAATGCATTCCCTGCCAAAATTCTAGCTAGCTTGGAGGTTGAAACTGACAAGCAGATTCTAAAATTCATATGGAAATGCAAGGGACCCAGAATAGCCAAAACAATCTTGAAAAAGAACAAAATCTTGAAAAGAACTCTTCCATCCCAATTTCAAACCTAAATACAAGACAGTGTGGTGCTAGCATAAGAATGGACTTACAAATGAGTAAAACAGAATTAACAGTCCAGAAATAAACCCTCACAACTGTCAACTGATTTTTGAGGATGCCAAAACCATTCAATGGGGAAGGAATAGTCTCTTCCACAAATGGTGCTGGGACAAGTGAATATCCACATGCAAAAGAATAAAGTTTCCAACATGGCAAAACTCCGTTTCTACAAAAAATACAAAAATTAGTCAGGCATGGTGGTGTGCACCTGTAGTCTCAGCTACTCTGGAGGCTGAGGTGGGGTGGATCACTTGAGCCCTGGAGGTCAAGGCTGCAGTGAGCCATGATAGCACCACTGCACTCCAGCTTGGGTTACAGAGCAAGACCCTGCCTCAAAAAAAAAAACAAAAAAACAAAAAAGCCCAGGCACAATGACTCACATCTGTAATCCCAGCACTTTGGGAGGCCAAGGCAGGCAGACTGCCTGAGTCCCAGGGTTCGAGACTAGCTTGGGCAACATGGCAAAACCCATCTCTACAAAATTTACAAAAATGAGCCAGGTTTGGTGGTGCACACCTGTGGTCCCAGCTACTTAGGAGGCTGAGGCAGGAGGATCGCTTAAGCCAGAGAGGTTGAGGCAGCAGTGAGCTGTGATCGCCCCACTGCAGTCTAGCCTTGGTGACACAGAGAGACCCTGTCTCAAAAAAAGAAAAATGAAGTTTAACCCACTTCATATCATATTCAAAAATTAACACAAATGGGCCGGGCACGGTGGCTCACGCCTGTAATCCCAGCACTTTGGGAGGCCGAGGTGGGCAGATCACGAGGTCAGGAGATCCAGACCATCCTGGCTAACACGGTGAAACCCTGTCTCTACTAAAAATACAAAAAATTAGCCAGGCATGGTGGCGGGCGCATGTAGTCCCAGCTACTCGGAAGGCTGAGGCAGGAGAATGGTGTGAACCCAGGAGGGGGAGCTTGCAGTGAGCTGAGATCGGGCCACTGCACTCCAGCCTGGGCGACAGAGCAAGAGAAAAGGAAAGAAAGAAAGGAAGACAGGAAGGAAGGAGAGGAAGGAGAGGAAGGAAAGGAAAGAAAGGAAAGAAAGGAAAGGAGGAAGGAAGGAAGGAAGGAAGGAGGGAAGGAAGGAAGGAAGGAAGGAAGGAAGGAAGGAAGGAAGGAAGGAAGGAAGGAAGGAGAGAGAGAAAAAAGAAAAAGAACGAAAAGGAAGGAAAGGAAGGAAAGAAAAGAAAGAAAGAAAATAAAAAAAAATTAACCCAAATGGATCACAGGTATGAACGTAGGCGCTAAACTGTAAAACTCTTATAGCGCAACCATAAGTCTGCCTGACCTTGGATTAGGCAATGACTTCTTTAGACACAAATCAAAAAGCACAGCAACAAAAGAAAAAAGAGATACACTGGACTTCATCAGAATTTAAAATGTTTGTGTTTCAAAGGATACCATCAAGAAAATGGATGACAACCCACAGAATGGGAGAAAACATCTGTAAATCTGTTGAGTCTAGTATCCAGAATATATAAAGAACTATTATAACTCAACAATAAAAAGACATATAACCCAATTTTAAATGGGCTAAGGATCTGAATAGACATTTCTCCAGCAAAAGTACACAAATGACCAAGAAGTACATGAAAAGATGCTCATCATTAGTCATTAGGGAAACACAAATCGAAACCACAATGTGATACCACTTCACACCCACTAGGAAGGTTATAATAAAAAAGATTGACAGTAACAAGTGCGGGTGAGGGTATAGAAAAAATTAGAACCCTCAAACATTCCTGATGAGAATGTAAAATGGTGTAATGGCTTTGGAAAACCATTCCTAGGTACACAATCAAGAAAATTGAAAATATATATCCTTATAAAAAGTTGTACACAAATATTCACAGCTGCATTATTTGTAACAGCCAAACTGTAGGAACAACTCAAATGCCCAACTGATAAATGGATAAATAAAAGTGTCTATCCATATAATGGAATGTTCTTTGCCAATAAAGGGAAATCACGCCAGGCGCGGTAGCTCACGCCTGTAATCCCAGCACTTTGGGAGGCTGAGACGGGCAGATCATGAGGTCAAGAGATAGAGACCATCCTGGCCAACATGGTGAAACCCCATCTCTACTGAAAATACAAAAATTAGCTGGGTGTGGTGGTGCACACCTGTAGTCCCAGCTACTCAGGAGGCTGAGGCAGGAGAATCACTTGAACCCGGGAGGTGGAGGCTGCAGTGAGCCAAGATCGTGCCACTGCACTCCAGCCTGGCAACAGAGCAAGACTCCGTCTCATTTAAAAAAAAAAAAAGAAAGAAAAGAAAGAAATCACACCTATGACATAGGTGAACCTTGAAAACATGCTAAGGGAAAAAGCCTAATACAAAAGACCACATAGTATATGATTCTATTCACATAAAATGTCCAGAATAGGCAAATCGGTAAAGACAGGAAGTAGACATGCAGTGTTGGTGGTTGCCAAGGGCTGAGGTGAGGAGTGACTGATTACAGGTAACAGGATTTCTTTCGGGGATGAAGAAAATGTTCTAAAATGATTGTGATGATAGTTGTACAACTCTGTGACTATACTAATAACTTGAATTGTACATTTTAACAGATGAATTGTATATAAGTGAATTATATCTCAATAAAGCCATTATAAATTTTATAACATCTCTTTCTTGTGGACAGGGATACAAGTCAGATTCTCACCGAATTTCCCATTACTTCATACGTAAGTTTCTAAGATGGTAAGTAACTGATCCCAATGACTGGTTCAGACACATGACTACAGAGGTGGAAGGTTATCATTTTTTTAGAGACAGGGTCTTGCTGTGTCACTCAGGCTGGAGTGCAGTGGCACAATCTTAGCTTATGGCAGCCTCAAACTCCTAAGCTCAAGCAATTCTCCTGCCTCAATCTCCCAAGGACCTAGGACTACAGGTATGTGCCATCACACCAACCTGATTTTTTTTTTTTAATAATTTTCTGAAGAGACAGGATCTCACCACATTGCCCAGTCTGGTCTCAAACTCCTGGCCTCAAGTGATCCTCCCACCTCAGCCTCCCAAAGTGCTGGGACTATAGGTGTGAGCCACCGTGCCTAGCCAAGGTTACCTTAAGGTAATCCTATTCATTCATTTTACAGAATAAAAAAACAAAGATAACTTACCATAGGCCATATAACTCAGTAGCCGCAAAGCCAAGACCAGAAACTAGGTCTGACAGGTGAGCTCAAACTCTCTGTGTGAGCATCAACACCTCCACCTTTCTGTCAGGATCACAGGAGCTACGAAGCAGCTCAATACTACAGCTGCTCTGTTCTTGTCGTATCTTGGTCTCCGCAGAGTCCAAGATCTATCCACCTTTCACTTGTTTGGACAGATAAAATTCTTAAGTTCTCTGTCAAAGCACAATTATCATTAAATATTAAGAACTAGAAGAATATACCTCAGGGACTATCCAACTCAATTCCCTCCTCTAGACCAGGAAACCAAGAAACAAAGATCAAATGACTGGCTCAAGGCCTCACAGCTAACTGCTGACAGAGCTAGAACCAGCGTTCCAGCCTCCCAACATCCAGCTCAGTGCTCCTACCCTTCCCAGAACTTCTTCGACCTACACCTTCTCAACTTCATGATGAGCCACAAAGTGGGTAAGGGGCAAGAAGCATGCAGAGCACTTTCAATCTTTGTATAAGATGGTTATGGTAGCACTAGAAAAGGCCTTCTCCCTCTTTTTCCAAGAAATTCTGGCAGGGTTCTGAATACCTCACCCCCCTGCAACCCCCAGTTCATGGGAATCACACATGTGTAGCGTTCAGCATGGGGCAAAACAAGGAACAAGATGCTCAATCACACCTAGTGGATGAGACAAGGGTAAACTGGAACAAGTTCTAAGGTTGGGAAGTAAGCAATGTTGTCTTTGTCTACCCAGAATCCATCCCTCCTTTTGATGGGAACCTTGGTTTTCCTTTTGAGAATGTACCCTCTCCATTTCAGCCCAAGGGGTTCAAAGCAGTCTTATCCAAACACCTAACAGGCTCTGGGACCCAAAGCAGGTCAATCCCTCCCTCTGGCCATAATGATTGGTTCACAGATGAACATGAGAATTAAGGCAGCCCAGTGAGCATCAGATCAGGGACTTCTGCTCCATTAGGAAGGAGGGCTCAACTTCTCTGCTGGGGCTGTCAGCCTAGAACTGTCATAACCTGCCATAAGGAGAAAGTCTCCCTGAGAATGAAGCGGATACTGAATAAATCAGAGCCAAGAGATGATAAAGAGAAGTCTGAAGCCAATGTTGGTGGTGCTCCCGGATTCAGCCACACTAGAAGCCAGCTCAACCCCATTTTAGGTAAATCAATTTGAGTTCAGTTTCCATTACCGAAACTGAAAGAAGTGCTCACTTTTACAAGGAATGGCACTCAAATTCTACCAGTAGGGGAGGCGCCTGTGGAAAATGGCTTCCCCTCTCTCAGCCTTTCACTGGACTTTCCTTTGAGGTAAAAAAGACTCTACCAGCTGGTGTAGAAAAGACTCTTCTGCTCCTAAAAGGCTGTGAGTCTATAAATCTAGCACAGATCACCTTGGCCCCCTAAAGACCACCTGAGGCCTACAGCCTAACTCATCATTATCCACTTGCCTGACTCCATTTCCAGCACTTCACTTACAGGAAGCTCCTTCCAGATGGAAGTTCTCCACCCCTCCCACATACTTCCACAGGGTGGGTCTGGTTTTCTGCTCACCCTTAACAAGCTGTGGCAACGGCAAATCCAGGTCAAGGTAGGTTTGGGACCCCCCTACTCACAAACACAAGCAGGAGCCATGGTCTGTGTTCAGCAAGAAAGCCTGGCCATGCTGCAAAGTGAGTGCATTCATGTCTCAAGTGGTTAGCAGGTGGGTGACCCCTTGGGGATGGCCAGGGAGTCTGGCCTGTGGCCTCCATGAACTCTGAACACCTCTCTCCGTCTCCCACTTTGTCAGAGGCTCTGATAAGTACATCCTGGTTATGGCAGGGGAATAAACTAAAACATGTTTAACTTGAGGCCGGGAAATTATCTGTCTCACCCTCCTATGCCCAAGGAGAGCCCAGGGCAGGCTACTGGGGGGATTTTCCTGGAGATTATACCAAAATATTCCCTTACACAGCCTCTGAAACCATTTGGGTAGGGAGGGGCCCGCGACCGTCTATCCTTGTGGCGGTGACAGATCAGTAGAGTGAATTGCAGGAGTCAGTATTGTCGAGATTGTAACTTGAGGTTTAGATTCCTGGGTAACAGAAGCGAGGGCAAAGGCTCGCCCACCTCCCCGGACACGAAGAGGGGCCAACTTCCTCCAAGAACGGGGCCTTCCCGCGGGCCAGGAACTGTGACGGCCGCCGCCCCCTCAGGCCGAGTGCAGCAGTTCCGCGGGCATACGCGTCCAGGAACCAGACTCGGGCCGCCCCGTGCCCACCGACCCTCCGGAAACGAACCGGATCTCGCCCGGCCTCATGGACCCCTTCCCCCGGCTCCTGTTCCGGGGCTCCGGCGAGCGCGGCCCTCGCCAGACTGCGGCGGGCCGGGCTCCTCACCCGCGCGTCCCTGCCCGCCGAGGTGCAACACGCGCGGCCGCGCAGCGAGGGCTGCACGCTGCCCGGACGCCGGCTGCCGGCGGAGTGCCCTCACCTTACTCGCGGTGGCTTTCTGGAGGCTGCCATTCGGCGGTGACGTGCCCCAGCCCACGTCAGGGGAGCGCAGACCAGCTGATCACCCGCGGAAGGGCCGGCGCGAAGGAGGCGCGAGAGCCGGCGGGCGGGCGGGCGGGCTAGCGCCGGGTCGGCCACGCCCTCGCCCGTGGCGGGCGCTGGCGCCGCGGCCCCGCCCACACGCAGGCCCCGCCCACACTCCCGGACCTGGGGTTCGCGGCCGCAGCGCCTGCGGCCCAGAGCGGGGCCTGCCCTTCCACACCAGTCCGCATTGCCTCTCCCTGCAGCGAGCGGGGAAAGGACGCAGTGCTGCTGAGTGTCTTCATTTTTGTTCGTTTTTGTCGTCATTCCTCAAAGAGGAAAAAGGGCTTTGCCGAATAAAGGGGCTACTGTCCCAGGGATTTTCCGGCTTAATTTAGGAGGGCTGAGAAGAGAGGGACGTGGCCGGCTCCGGAAGAACCTCGACAGGGTCTTCGAGGCTTTGGAACAGGGTCTCAAGCTTTAGAAATGTCCCCAAAAGTATGTTCCCAGAGAGCTTCAAAATCCAGCTCTCCGCTCCGCTTGGATAGTAAATAGCCCCTTCAAACTTAACGTCCAAACGGAACTCCTGGAACTCCCAATGCACCGAAGCAAAGCAAAAACGTTCTCCACCAGTCTTCTTTGCCATCTCAATCAATGGCTACTCTATTCTTAAGAGGCAAAATTTAGGAATCCTCCCTGCCTCTTCTCTTTCACACCCCACATCTAATCTGCCAGCAAAATCTTGTTGGCCCTGCCTCCAAAATAGACCCCTAATCTGGCCGTGTCACACCACCTCCACCTCCTACCCTCTGATGTGCATCAGAGGGTTGTACCACCCCACCCGTGTGGTTACAGCAGCCCCCCAAATATCCCCTCACCATCCCGCACCTGCACAGTCCAGCCTGAACAAAGCCGCCAGACCAGTCCTTTGAAGCGTGACACCAGGTCACTTCTTTGCTCAGCACTTTCCATTAATTTCTCGTTTCACGCAGCATAAAAGCTCCATTTGATCTACCCCCAGCCACATTTCCTCCTGTTCTCACCTTCCTCACTCTTCTTCAGCTGAAATGGCCTCCTGGCTCTCCTTGAAAAAGCAGGGTACACTCATGTCCCAGGGCTTTTGGACTTGCTCATCCCCCAAATATTGAGGCTCCCTTCCTCATTTTCCTTCAAGTCTTCGTTCAAGTATCACCTACCCTGACCATCCTATTTAAATTTGTAAATCATTCCAATATTCCTAATCCGCCTTACCCTACTTCATTTTTTCCATAGCACTTACCACCTTTTAACAGGATTCTTTTAATGTACTTATGTGTACTGTATTCTTCCCCCTCTCCTGCCACCACCCACGCACACAACAAAACCATCAGTGCAGATTGTTTCTGTTTTGTTTAATGATGAACAATATCTAACATGTCATAAGTTCTCATTATATATTTTCTGCAGAAATGAATGTTTCAGAATGTGCACTCCTCAAAAGCAGGGATGGTGGCTCTCTTGTTCATTGTTATTTCCCTGGTGCTTAGAACAACACCTGGCACTAAATGAAAGTGACCACATTTTTTTAAAGGTGAATGGCACCTCCTCCTGCTTTGACCTTGGTGTAAGGCCTAATATACCTGTATCAGCTAGGTTCTGCTACCTGCAAGAACTCAAAGTCGTTATTGAATAAGCATTTAGGCAAGCCGAATTAGACTGTGTAGTTAAAGCATGAAAAAACTAAAGATGTGCTTCCTGGGAAAGCAGCACACATCTGTTGCATTTCCCCAAATTTATGAAGCCAAAAACAGAGAGATTGTAAATAAAATACTGGTTCCAGCCCACATCTGAAAGCTGGTGGGAAAAATCAAGTTATAAGAGAAAACGAGATAAGAGAGAGAGAGATAAGTGAAACTTAAGGGGGACAGGTATTTAATAATCACATTGCCTAAAAGAAAAGGAGTTGGCTCAGAATTTACGGCATCCAGCTTCAGGGGAGAGAGAGAAATACCTTGCATTCCCTGAGCTGGATTTGAGTTCCTGTTTGCAAGATAAAAAAAGGAACCCTTTCCCCTCTTGAAGTTTTTTTGTTTGTTTGTTTTTTGAGATGGAGTTTTGCTCTTTTTGCCCAGGCTGGAGTACAATGGCACAATCTCAGCTCACTGCAACCTCTGCCTCCCGGCTTCAAGCAATTCTCCTGCCTCAGCCTCCTAAGTAGGTGGGATTACAGGCATGCGCCACCACACCCGGCTAATTTTTTGTATTTAGTAGAGACGGAGTTTCACCATGTTGGTCAGGCTGGTCTTGAACTCCTTGGCCTCGACCTTCCAAAGTGCTGGGATTACAGGCATGACCCACTGTGCCCGGCCTCGCTCTTGAAGTTCTAACAAGAGAACCTCTGGAGAAGTTATAGCACTGAATTACCATGAGAGAATGAGAACACCAGGAGTTATATAGGTTCTTCTCCTGGCTCTACAGTCCTTGCATCCTCAAAGAAGTGGAACAGTCACACTGCCTGACATTCATTGAAGGCTATGTGTCTAACCCACAACAAACCAATGGGTGAAGGACTCTTATCCTCATTTTACTGGTTGAGGAGACTGAAATTTGCAGAGGTTAAGCCCCTTGCCCAAAGTCCCTGAGCTAGTAAGTGGTGGTACTGTAACATACATTCAGACAGCAGGATGGATTCCTAGCCCTGACACTTAATCGCGAAGTTATCTGGAAGGGACCCTAGAGGTGGCCTCATCCAGTCTCCTAGCCCACACAGCAGAAAGAGGGAGACAGCTGGTTTTGGCATTCACACCCAGACCGGGTGGGTCTTAGATGTAGCCAGAAATATTAAATGCGTAGAAATATGTTGGATTGAATTGTGACCTCAAAAATTCATATGTTGAAGCTCTAACCCCTAGTACTTTCGAATGTGATCTTATTTGGCAATAGGATCAGTGCAGATGTAATTAATTAAAATGCAGTCATATTAGAGTAGGAAGGATCCCTAATCCAATATGAAGTGTCTTTATTTAAAACAGAAAAAGAAATCACACTGTGCACACAGGAAGAACACCATGTGAACACGAAAGCAGAGATCAGGACGATGCATCTACAAGCCAACAAACACCAGGACTGCCAACAAACTGCCGAAAGCTAGGACAGAGCCATGGAACAGATTCTCCCTCACAGCCCATGGAGTGAACTAACCCTGTGGGTATCTTGATCTTGGACTTCCAGCCCTCCAGAACAGTGAGACAACAAATTTGTTTTCAAATCACGCAGTTTGTGTTGCTTTGTTACGAAAGCCCTAGGAAACCAATGTAAAACAAGTTCCAAATGTCCGTGTATAGATTGTGGACCTGTGTTTTGGGCCACCCGACATTCATTCATTCTCCTTCTGATAACCATCCTACCAATTCCCTCTGGGGCCCACCTCTCCCTACTTCCCTCCTTTCCCCATTCTCTATGTATGTTATCCAAGTGCAACACTTGGATTCCAAGAGTGTATCATGTAACCCAGGCATAGGCTACAATGATAGGATCAGATATTGCTATGGGAATAGAGTCTTGCTTCCTTCTGCCAGCCAAGATCCTGGATGCATATACTCGAACTGCTGCCTCTATGTGCAACATGTGAATGGCACCAAGGCAGCAGAAGACAGAGCAAATAGAAAGGGGAGAAGCAGACCTCAAAACGTTATTTGAGTGCTGCATCCTGCAACACCTTAAACCAGATGTCCCACTGGACTTTACTTAAGTAACCATCTGTACCATTGAATTTTATGCATGAGTAGATATCATTTTATTAATGTAGACAATCACGAACTAACAAAGGGAAAAAGTAAATTATAAAACAATATAATATCCCTTTTTTTGTTTTTGTTTTTTGTTTTTTGTTTTTTGAGACAGAGTCTCGCTCTGTCACTCAGGCTGGAGTGCAGTGGCACAGTCTCGGCTCACTGCAAGCTCCGCCTCCTGGGTTCACACCAATCTCCTGCCTCAGCCTCCCGAGTAGCTGGGACTACAGGCTCCCGCCACCACACCTGGCTAATTTTTTGTATTTGTAGTAGAGATGGGGTTTCACCGTGTTAGCCAGGATGGTCTCGATCTCCTGACCTTGTGATCTGCCCACCTCGGCCTCCCAAAATGCTGGGATTACAGGCGTGAGCCACTGCGCCTGGCCAATATCCCATTTTTATAACATATCCATAACTATGTATACTGATACGGATATATAGATACAGAGTTTTTTGGGAGGGAGAGACAGGGTCTTGTTCTGTCACCCAGGCTGGAGTGCAGTGGTGTGATCACAGCTCACTGCAGCTTCGACCTCCCAGGCTCAAGCAATCCTCCCACCTTAACCTTCTGAATAGCTGGGACCATAGGCACACACCACCACACCCAGCTAATTTTTTTTCCTTTGGTAGAAATAGGGTCTCCCTATGTTGCCCAGCCTTGGTCTCAAACTCCTGGGCTCAAGCAATCCTCCCGCCTCAGCCTCCCAAAGTGTTAGGATTATAGGCACGAGCCATTACACCCAGAGTAAGTACTTTTTTAGAATAAAAGGAAAGTGATCCACAAAATCTTAGTGCATATCTTGAGGTGGCAGAACTTGGGCTGATTTTAATTTTGCCATTTTTTTGAGATTGTTTTTTATTAACAAGAAACTCAAAGTACTAATAATTTCTCTGGCCCTTACTCCTTGGAAGGCAGAGCCAAGGAACTCGTTTTGTACTCCAAATCCAAGCACTACAAGTAATAGTAGCCCTCTAGTATTCAATTTGATAATTGGTTGATGACCTGACCACTTATTGAAACAGGAGCAACATCTCTTGATAAACTCCCAGATGAGAGGACTAAAAAAAATAGAAATCCCTGTAGGAGATCAAACAAAATTATAGCTTTAGAGGAGAGTTTTAACCTTTTCAAACATTTCAGTTTGTTCTAATAAAATTGATAGTTACAAGAACAGTAATGAGTGAAGCTCTCATAAATCATTATAACATGGCCTTATTTTTTGTAAAGTTAACTAAAAGATAGGCTTGAGGTTGCACCCTAGAAAGGAATGGGAGAAGACAAGCCAACTTTCAGGATTGTAGAGTCTGCCAAAACAATGTACTGTAAATTAAGGGTGGGAGAATGCATTTGGCTCAATTCAGAATCTACTCACCCTTTGTATTCAATGAAAACTGAACTCAGACCTTTTGATATCTGAGTTCCATTTACTCTTGGCAAAGTTCAATTCTCTGGCTCAAATTTTTTAAAAAGCCCTTTAAGAGGCCCAGAGGGTTTCTTGAACATCAAATGGTTCTTGCACAAACAACATATTGATGAGCTAAGTGCAAATGAATTAGAAACATACAGAGTAAGTGTTCTTTGAAACACACAGACCCTCCCACCCTATGAGGGAAAAGACTCAGGGAAGCTCTATGGCAGTCTCTTCCTTTAAGGAGTATTCCTTTTTACCGTAATTTATCCCCTCCTCAAGAAGCCTTTGGGGGACCTTTGCAAAATATGGGAAAGGGAAGAGAGTATATCCAGCTGTTCATGATGTTGACTTCTCACAATCCCTTCCAAGCTATGTCTTCAAAACTGGGCTTTGGAGAGGGGCAGCACAGCCTAGAGGTCAAGGTCAAGAGACAAATTCTGACTCTGTTTCTGCCGCTAAATAAATGTGTGACTATAGAACTGGCAGAGCACCCTTTCCTCTGGTTTCTTAAGGTGTTGGGCTTGACAAATGCCTTCCAGTCTGACTATGTAGTAATCAAATCCCATATGTTTTCTTTGACCCTGAGTATATATTTTTTTCTTTTCTTTTCTTTTCTTTTCTTTTTTTTTTTTTTTGACAGAGTCAGAGACAGAGTCTCACTATGTCGCCCAGGCTGGAGTGCAGTGGCATGATCTCAGCTCACCACAACCTCCACCTCCCAGGTTCAAGGGATCCTCCTGCCTCAGCCTCCCGAGTAGTTGGGACTACAGGAGTGTGCCACCACGCCAAGCTAATTTTTGTATTTTTTAGTAGAGACGGGATTTCGCCATGTTGGCCAGGCTGGTTTTAAACTCCTAATTTCAGGTGATCCACCCACCTCAGCCTTCCAAAGTGCTGGGATTACACTATGCTCAGCACTACATTCTCTTTTTAATAACAGCTTTATTGGAATACAATTCAGTGCCATACACAGAGCCAATTGAAAGTGTGCAATTCAATGGTTTTTACTATATTCATAGAATTGTGCAAGCATCACCACAATTTTAGAACATTTCATCACTCCAAAAAGAAACTCATACCCTAGGGCAGTCACTCCCCATTTCCCCCCGTCCTCTCCACCCTAGGCAACTGCTAATGTACTTTCTGTCTCTATAGATTTGCCTCTCTGGACATTTCATAAAAATGGTATCATTTAATATCTGGTCTTTTGTGACTGACCTCTTTCATTTAGCATAGCATTTTCAAGATGTATCCATGTTGTAGGATGTATCAGTACTTGATTCCTTTTTATTACCAAATATGCCAATTAAAATTCCATCGTACAGAATATTACTTTGTTTATCCATTCATCAGTTGATGGACATTTGGGTTGCTTCCACTTTTGGATATTGTGAAGAATGTTTCTATGACAATTCATGAGCAAGCTTTTGTGTGGACATGTGTTTTCATTTATCTTGAGTATATACCTAGGAGAGAAAATACGGAGTCATATGGTCACTTTTTGTTTAACCCCTTGTGGGAGACTTTTGGACTGTTTTCCAAAGTGGCTACACCATTCCCAGCAGCACTGTTTGGGGGTTGCAACTTCACATCCTCATCCATACTTGTTATCTTTTTTTCAATTCCAGCCATCCTAGTGGATATGAAGTGTTATTTCAAGTAGTATTGTGGTTTCAATTTCCGTTTCCCTGATGCTAACGATGTTGAGCCTCTTTTCATGTGTTTATTTACCATCTATATGTCTTTGTTGGAGAAATGTTTAGTCAGATCCCTTTCCCATTTTAAATTGGGTTATTAGGTTTTTTTGATTATTGAGTTGTAAGCATTCTTTATATATTCTAGATGCAAGTCCCTTATCAATTATATAATATGCAAATACTTTCTCCCAATCTATGGGCTATTCCATTTCTTTTAAAATTCTAATTAGATGGAAACATTCAAAGAGGAAGATTTCACTATTTAAAAATCCGTGACGGGCGCGGTGGCTCACGCCTGTAATCCCAGCACTTTAGGAGGATGAGGCGGACGGATCATCTGAGGTCAGGAGTTCGAGACCAGCCTGAACAACATGAAGAAACCCCATCTCTACTAAAAATACAAAATTAGCCGGGTGTGGTGGCACCTGCCTGTAATCCCAGCTACTCAGGAAAGCTAAGGCAGAAGAATCGCTTGAACCCGGGAGGCGGAGGTTGCAGTGAGTGCAGATCGCGCCATTGCACTCCAGCCTGGGACACAAGAGTGAAACTCCGTCTCAAAATAAAATAAAATAAAATAAAAAATAAAAATAAAAATAAAAATCTGTGTCTTCGGTCTCTTTTGAAAAATCGGAAGGTTGGTTTGGCAATACTAGTCTTTCCTTCTATACAGTAACAAGGAACATGAACAGCGCAGGGACTGGCCCCATGAAATGGGACAGAGAGCCCTCCATTTAACCACTTACACTGTTCTACTTTACCTGCCAGACCACTATTGATGTCCAAATTTGTGACTCCTCCTCCTGGAGAATCTGACAAACATGGCCTGGATTTCAACTTCACTGAAATTGCCCTTGCAATTAAGCTAAGGTAACTACTTCTTGTCAGAATGGTTTCACCTTTCGCACCTAAACATAGAATCCCCCAAACTTAACACCAGCTAGCAAGTCCTCACTCTTCTTGTTTTGCAATTTGGATTTTGCAAGGCATGGGGCAACTCATTGGGGCTTGGCAGAGCCCCCAGAATTCTGGCAGCCCTGTGTGTACTGATGTCATGAGTGTCCCTTGCCATAATGCATCCTCATTACTAACTCAAATCTGCCAAACTCAAACAATTGGAGCTGAAAAACAGAGTAACAGGCTGCCTGAGCTGCAAAACAGTGCATAAAAATACTCAGAAAAACAATTAGTGCCTAGGACCATATCCAAGAATGAAAATCACTATTTATTATTGTTAATCATCCCTTTCCCTGATCACAATTTGCCTGCTAAAAGCAGCCCCTTCTCAAAATACAATGAGTAGTTCTAAAAGATATCTTAGTAATATAACCTAGTCATATATATTCTTTTCCTTAGTTTCTCATTAACCTATGTTTAATGTTTTATTCATCTACTCCTTCAATTTAATAACCTTTTTACCCTTACTTTTTCTTTTTTAAACAGCTTTATTGAGATGTTAGTTCTCATTACCATTCAATTTGCCTCTTTAAAGTGTCCAATTCATGTCTTTTATTATATTCAGGGTTTTACAACCATCTCCACAGGCACTTTTAGGGTTTTGTTTTTTTTGTTTGTTTGTTTGTTTTGCGACAGAGTCTCACTCTATTGCCCAGACTGGAGTGCAGTGGTGCAATCTCGGCTCACTGCAACCTCTGCCTCCCGGGTTCAAGCGATTCTCCTGCCTCAGCCTCCCAAGTAGCTGGGATTACAAGCGTCTGCCACCATGCCCGGCTAATTTTTGTATTTTTAGTAGAGACAGGTTTTCACCATGTTGGCCAGGCTAGTCTCAAACTCCTGACCTCAGGTGATCTTCCTGCCTTGGCCTCCCAAAGTGCTGGGATTACAGTCATGAGCCAGTGTGCCCAGCCAATTTTAGGACATTTTTATCACCCCAAAAAGAAATCTCATATCCTTTAGCATCACTCTTCTTTCCTCCCATCCTCCCCAGTCACAGGCAACCACTAATGGGCTTTCTATCTCTATAGAGTTGCCTCTTCCAAGCATTTCAGATAAATGAAATCCTACAACATATCATGCTCTGTGACTGGCCTCTTTCACTTATCATAGTGTTCTCAAGATTCATCTGTAATGTAGCATTCATCAATATTTCATTCCTTTTTTGCAGAATAATATTCCACTGTATGAATGTACCACATTTTACTTATCCATTCAAATGGACTTTTAGGTTGTTTCTACTTCTTGGCTGTTATGAATAATGCTGCGAGAACATTTGTGCATAAGTTTTTTTGTAGGTAGATTTCATTTTTCTTGGATAAATACCTAGGATGGAATTTCTGAGTCATAGGGTAACTCTATGCCTAACATTTTGAATAACTGATGAACTGGTTTTTTTTAAAGTGGCTGCACCTTTCCCACCAGCAATGCCTATTCTTATTACTCTTTATTAATATATTTGTTTTCTTTTTTCCATCAACTGTCCCCAGATTTCAAATGAAATTCCTAATTGCTTTTGCCCTTGGGGAAGTGGAGTGGCATTTAATTTTAGAGTGAACCCTTCTTTAGCCTCTCCTGTTAAGGACTCCGTTGGAGAAATCACACTTCAAGGGTCCCTTCACTCTTGTAAATCAGAATTGTTACCACAGTGCTACTTAAGCCAAAGTCTCTAAGTATCTAGCCTAGGTATTTTAGATACAAACAAAATAAAGTAATTCAATCATTTAAAGGCATAGACGTGGAAATTTGGAACTAGAAGGGGCCCTAAGGATTCCTTCATCAATGCCTTCATTTTATACATAAAGATGCTCTAACCAAACCGAGAGTCATGTGAGCAAGGCCACACAGCTGCTTATTAGAGAATAAGACTGAAACCCAGGTCTTCTGATTCCCCTCTATTCCTCTGATCAGTTCACCCTATAGTCTCTCAGCCAGCTGTGCTTAGCAAACACTGGGGCAATTATAATTCCAAGAGCAAGGGCTGCATTCATACATAGAACAGAGTGGAGAATTAGGTGATTCCGGGTACCATGGGCTGATTCTAGCCCATAGATGTATTTAGCTTACCCTACAAGGTATTTTAAGATTTTTTAGAAAATAGTTGCCAACTCATAAAAATGAAGAAATTTCGGCCAGGCGCGGTGGCTCGAGCTTGTAACCCCAGCACTTTGGGAGGCCGAGGGGGGTGGATCACGAGGTCAGGAGATCGAGACCATCCTGGCTAACACGGTGAAACCCCGTCTCTACTAAAAATACAAAAAATTAACCGGGCGTGGTGGCGGGCGCCTGTAGTCCCAGCTACTCGGGAGGCTGAGGTGGGAGAATGGCGTGAACCCGGGAAGTGGAGATTGCAGTGAGCAGAGATCAAGCCACTGCACTCCAGCCTGGGCGACAGAGCGAGACTCCATTTCAAAAAAAAAAAAAAATGAAGAGATTTCACCCCGCCCCCCCAAAAATCTGTTAGCATTGGACCTGCGGTTCCTGCTTAAATTTTGCAAGCAACAGGCTAGAGTTGAACAGTACCTCCCAGTACCCATCCAGTGGACCTCTCTTATCATGTCACCTGCCTAGTTCCTGAAAGTATTTTAATTTGGGACCCTTATTCCAGATAATTGAGACATATATGAGGTGTTTATGCATTTGCTCTCTGTAGAAGTACCCCCACCCCACCTGGTCCCGGTTAAAGAGAGAGGGAGAGAGATAGACACCAGACAGACAGATACTGGTTGGCAACTCAGATCTTTGCAGGCTTGCAGGGCTTGTGAGGGAAGCAGCAGGGTGAGCAGGAAGCTGTGGGGACTCTGTGGGGCCTGCCTTTGGCCTAAGTTCACAAAATAAGCAGCAGATGCAGCAAGGCCTCTGCAGATTTAAAAAAAAAAAAAAAGCATGTTGCGTCAGAGCACATGTCTCCCCAAAGGGTACGTGTACGAACAGCATGCAGACTTGTGAACTGAAGCCCTTCACTTTCCCAAGTGTGAAGAGCTGGGCCTTAACTTGTTTCCATAAATTGCCGTTTAGTTTAAGCTGCTGTGCAGCACATCATCTCTCCTAGTCAATTGCTAACTGGTAGTGTGCACCATGGTAACCTGCAGGCCAACAGATCCTGTTGGATCCCAGGCCAACAGATCCTGTGGAGCAAAGCACTCTGCATACTGAAGTCCTCTGTCAGCTGGTATGCCTGGACTCATTCATGTGTTGATTGTGAAAAGCATGCTGCACATCTTTTGGCTCTTTGCAAGCTCTCAGTTCTTGGAGGTGACCAAAGCTTAATCCGCAGTTGGGTCACAGACACTGAAAGGAGTTTCACCTTACCTTAGTATTTAACACCACAAGCCTTGGTGTCAAATAGATCAAGGCTTGAATGCCTGTTCTGCACCTTAGTAGCTGTAAGATCTTGAGCAACTCACTTTTTTCTCTCTAAGCCTCATCTGTAAAGTGGGAAAAAGGATACCTGACTCTGAAGGCTATTCTGAAGACTGAAAGAAAGAATACAAGAAAAGTACTCTGCACTGTCTGGAGCACAGACAGAGCACAATAAATGTTGGCTCTATTATTCCTGAAGAGCTCCCACAGTGCATTGTACAAATCTGATATCTATACATCTTCATAAAACCATAGATGGTCAAAACTGGAAGAGTCTTTGGAGACCATCTAGTTCACTAAACTTACGAGGAAAGCAGTTTCCTCCTCCACAAAATGAGGTGGTGGCCCTGGCCAGCATGTGGTCCCATCAGTCTAGGGTTTTGTCAATGCCCTTATTGTGTAAAGCAAGGCGCACCTGCAGACACCAGAGTAGATTTGCCCATGGGGTAGGCCTTACTGTTATGTTAAAGAGTCACCTTTCCTGCAGCCTTGGCTCACTCCTTAATAGGCAGAGCTTAAGAGGCCCCTGGGTGAGGCTCAGAGACAAATGAGCTCAGAACACATGTGGGAGGGCACGACTTACATCCTTTCCCTCTTCGCCAGAGTTGCCCGAGTGTGTGAGCAGTGGGATGGACAGCTCTAAGTTGGAGTTCAGCACAGCTGTGAAAACAACCTGTTCCCATGGCTTCCCTCAGCTCTTTGGCACAAAGAGACCTTCCAGCAGCTTCAAACAAAGGAGGAGCTACTCTTAAATGGAAAGAGAGCAAAACAGAAAGCTGCTATTGTATGACCTCGTCACCAACTAGGTCTTCCTTCCTTCCTTCCTTTGAAGTTAGAGGGGATTGGAATCATGTGGGTGTAAAGCAAAGAAGAAAAAAGAAATAGATTAAAAATCTCATGTTATACACCACAATCACCAGTTTCCAGTGCCCTTTAACTGCAAATAGCCTCAAGACATGGAAACAACTCCTGTCTGTTGACAGATAAATGGATAAAGAAATTGCATAAGGGAATATTAGTCAGCCTTAAAAAAAAAAGGAGGTTCTGCTATTTGTATCAACATGGATGAACCTGCAGGACATTATGCTAAGTAAAATAAGCCAGATACAGAAAGAAAAATACTGCATTATCTCTCATTTTATTTGTGGAACCTGGAAAAAAAGAAAAAGTTAAATACATAGAAACAGCATTAAATGATGGTTACGGCAGGGGGCAGGAAATGAGGATATTTAGGGCAAAGGGTACACAGTTTCAGATATGTAGGATAAATACATTTAGAGATTAATGTACAACATGAGGAATACAATTATAATATTGTACACTGGAAATTTGCTAAAATAATATATTTTAGGGGCTCTTGCCACACACACACACAAAAAGGGTAACTAGGTGAGATTTTCACTATGTATATCAAAACATCATGTTGTACACCTTAAATAAGCAATAAAAGAAAACTGCAAACAGGCTTTCAAAGGCTAAAAACCTTAAGCTGTTGTGCTGGGCAAGGCTCTGCCCAACCCTCCGCTTCATCCATGCACCTTCTCTGGGCCTCTTTCTCACCTTCCTTTGTGCCTCGGGACTGTCGCACATCCTGTTCCACAGTCTGAGGATATTGCACATCCTCAAAATGAGCCCCTCTACACACCACCTCTGCCCCAATACCTCTGCCCCAATAATGCAAAATTTAAGCAGGAACCACAGGTCCAATGCTAACAGATTTGGGGGAGGGGGTGGTGTGAAATCTCTTTATTTTTATGAGTTGGCAACTATTTTCTTTTCTTTTTTTTTTTTTTTTTTTGAGACGGAGTCTCGCTCTGTCACCCAGGCTGGAGTGCAGTGGCACGATGTCGGCTCACTGCAAGCTCCATCTCCCGGGTTCATGCCATTCTCCTGCCTCAGCCTCCCGAGTAGCTGGGACTACAGGCGCCTGCCACCATGCCTGGTTAATTTTTTGTATTTTTAGTAGAGACGGGGTTTCACCGTGTTAGCCAGGATGGTCTCAATCTCCTGACCTCGTGATCCACCCGCCTCGGCCTCCCAAAGTGCTGGGATTACAGGCATGAGCCACTGCGCCCGGCCAGCAAGTTGGCAACTATTTTCTAAAAAATCTTAATCCTCCTGCCCCCTGCCATAACCACCATTTAATTCTGTTTCTATGTATTTGACTTTTTCTTTTTTTTCTAGGTTCCACAAATAAAATGAGAGATAATGCAGTATTTTTCTATCTGTATCTGACTTATTTTACTTAGCATAATGTCCTGTAGGTTCATCCATGTTGATACAAATAGCAGGACCTCCTTTTTTTAAAGGCTGAAAAATATTCCTTTATGCAATTTCCCAAAACTCAAATGACTGACAAAAGCAGTGAATGAAGTACATGAGAAAGACTGGATTGGGCAATATTTATTAAGCACGTATTATGTTCCAGGCACTATCCTCAGTGGCACCACAAAGGAGACAAAGATGACTGAGCCTTGCCTCTACCTGGCAGCAAAACACTCCATGGATGTCAAACTTGGGGGCTGTTTTGTTCCAGCTTCAGCCAAAGTTGACCTACTGTTCACCTGTATATCTTCTACTCTTCTTCAGGGATCAGGTGAAATGTCTTCCATAAGGAAGCCCTCCCTGCCCTCCTGACCTTATGAGTGTCATCTGTGCCAGCCTCCCACAACAGCAAGCTCCGTGATGGCAGGGCCTATCCCAGTCTTGTTCCCACACTACATTCTTAGGGCTTAGCACAATTCCCAGCTCATGTGAGATTCTCACTTTCATTTAATACGACAATGAATGTGTACATAGCACATGCAGCCCACAATACTCGACTTTTTCCTTCTCCAAGGAGCTCAGATTCCTCAAGTCTAAATGTACCGACTTGGAGAAAGAACCATCTCTTTGCAAAACTCAACTGACTGAGAAGAGCAGTGAATGAAGTACATGAGAAAGACTGGATTGGGCAATATTTATTAAGCACCTGTTATGTTCCAGGCACTATGCTCGGTGGCACACAAGGGAGTCAACGATGACTGAGCCCTGCCCCGACCTGGCAGCAGAACACTCAGTGGAGGTCAAACTTGGGGGCTGTTTTGTTCCAGCTTAGCCAAAGTTGACCTACCATTCAGCTGAATTGTCCTCTTCCATGCAACTCACATGCCAGACCTTGTGTTGCAGTAAAAAAGGAGAAATTTCCCCCCTCATCAAATAAAAATCACTTGCAAGCAGGTCTTTTATGTGGCAAATATCTAGGTCATGTCATGTAGCCTTAGAAAGAGGGTAAGATCAACGCTTTAGAGTTTGAAGACCTAAAAATGATGGTGAGCAGGACCGAGACACCAATTCTAGATAACTTCTGAATGTATTCCCATATTTAGCAAATTTTTTTTTAGTGCTCCAATATGCCAGGCACCTAAGTGGCAGCAATAGAGCAAAAAACAAAATCGACCAAAATCTTGGCCTATGTGGAGCTTACATTCTAGTGGGAAAAGACAAGCAATAAAATAAAAATATAGTATGTAAGGCAGTGATAAGTGTTAAAGAGAAATAAAAAGGAAGGGAAGGGAAATTGGGTTGCTGGAAGTGGAGTGGGGTGTAATCTCTCTAGGAGTGTCAGGAAAGGCCTCTTTGGAAGCCTAACATTTAAAGGACGTAAAGGGGTGGGCCCTCACAGTAATGTCTTGATGCCTCAGCAGCACCAAAGTTGACAAAGTCACTGAACAGAAGAAAGAGCTGCCCTGGGTGGGATGTGCCAGTGCCCCGGAGCAGTGCCTGGCGGAGGGGACCCAGCCCAGCCTAGGCAGGTCATTTCCACAGCTAGGTTTGCAGCATCTCTCCCCTTTCCATGCTGCCTCCCACACCCTAGGATTATAGCAATACAGTTGGACATTATAAATCCAAGGAGGTCCAGGATAGCTAATGGAAGGAGCCATGGTTGGTGGGTCATGCATGCATTATCACCAGCTGCCAAGGAGCCAGGTGAGGGCAGGGGCTTTTATTATAAGTGTAATGGAATTATCAGACAGGTCCATACCACATACCGGACATGCTAGAGAGCCCTAGGGAAGGAAGCTACCAGGTATGCTGAAAATGAAAAGGAGATGTTGCAGGGCAGTAGGAGGTGTTCAGGGAAGACCATGGAGGACAATAGTTATAGCAGACTTGAAACAAAAAGGCATGGAGATATTCTGGGCTTTTAGGGAACGTTTGACCAAAATGAGGGAAAATTGAAGCTGAGTTGAGAAAGCAGTGTTAAGCTGGGTGTGATGGCTCACACCTGTAATCCCAGTGCTTTGGGAAGCCCACATGAAAGAACTGCTTGAGGCCAAGAGTTCAAGACCAGCCTGGGCAACATAGCGAGCCCACATATCTATTTTTTTTAAAATTAGCCAGGCATGGTGGCACATGCCTGTAGTCCGAACTACTCAGGAGGCTGAAGTGGGAGGATCACTTGAGCCCAGGAGTTTGAGGCTGCAGTGAGCTGTGATTGTGCCATTGCACTCCAGCCTGGGCAGCAGAGTGAGGCCATGTCTCTAAAAAAGGAAAAGAAAAAGGAAAGCAATATTGTAAATGCCCTAAGGGGCTACAGTTTTCTTAATTGGAGCTCCTAGGTTGTGGAGTTAGAGGAGGTGAGCAGGGGTGTACTGGTACAGAACTGGAAGAAAAGCAGGACAAATTAGGGTTCTGGCTCTTGGGATACCCAGTTCTGCCACATGTGAGCTGCAGGGCCTCAGCAGATCACTGTCCACACTGGGCCGTCTTCCCCTTCTCTGAAACAGGGCAGATTGGATGTACCCCAAGCCTTCCTCCTGCTATGACATTTGGAGACTATGGTAACAACTAAGGAATGATCCTCTCCTGGGCCTGCACACCCAACAGAAATATGTACATATGTTCACCAAAAGGCACGTACAATTGCAGCACTGTTCATTGTAGTCAAAAATTGGAAACTACTCAAATGTCTAAAAACAGTGAAATGGATGAATAAATTCTGGTCTATCCATACAGTTGAAAAGTGTAAAACTGTAGGAATGAAAAAGCTATGGCTGTATGCACAGTGTGAATGAATCACACAAATAGGACTCAGACATCTAAGAGTATATGCTGCGTCTGTAGGCCTTTATAAAGTTCAAAAACAGGAAACACTAAATTGTTACATTAGAAGTCAGATTAATACTTACCCTGGCTAGGGAGCTTGTGACTAAAGGAGGCCTGAGTGACACCCCCTGGCTTCTGATTATGCTCTTTCTTAATCTGGGTCTGCTTACATAGATGTGTGGACTTTATGAAAATTCCTGGAGCTATACTTTTATCATCTGTGCACCTTGTAAGTATATTATTCTACAATTAAAAATATACTTAAAAACACTTTTAGAAGAAAATATAGGTGACAATCTTTAAGATCTTGAGGTAGGGAAAAATTTTTTATATAAGACAAAAAGAACACAAATCATTAGAGAAAAAACCAATGGATTCAATTATATTTAAAAATTTTTTAATTCAGAAGGAAGCAGATACAATAACAGCAGTGCACCTGCAAACAGCTTCAGTGTGATAGGGGAATAACATAATGAATAGATTATTCATTTCATTTTGCTGTGAACTATGCCAAGCCCCTTGCAACTGTTATCCCATTGAACCATCATAACTATTCTATGAGGCCAGTGCTATTATCATCCCCATTTTGTAGATGGGTAAACTGAGGTTTGGAGGAGTTAAATTACTTGCCTATGAGCACTTGGTTGGTGAGTAGAAGTGCCAGTAATTGAATTCAAGTGGGTCTGACTTCTGAGCTTTTCATCATTTCTCAGTGACAAAGCAGGTTCAAAGGCCAGCTCGAGTGGGGAGTAAGGTCACAGGTTGCAGGTTCAGGTCCCCAACACAGTCCAGTCCCAGCAGTGTTTTCAAATAGAGCAGATAATTAGTTATGACTCCAAGCTCCCACCCCCCAAGATCAGAAGCCCAAGGTTGAATCAGAACCCTGTCCTCTTGATGGGGTGGAGTAAAAGTGAAAGGTGGGATTACGGGAATCCCATCAATCTCAATTTCAATTGAGAATTGAGAGGAGGAGGTTGGGCTCTTCTGTTGCATTCTCTGTGCCTGTTATAATCAGTGATGATGCCTTTCTCAGTTCCTCAAAAGGAATGTTCTACTCCAGCTAGTCCTCTCCCACTGAGTGTTGGCCCGGTATGCCAGGTTCATTCCAATCTCTGAACACCGTTTGTCCCACCTGGAAGACCCTTTCCCTTTCCCTCCTCTTCTATCTAATTCTGCTATACTTCCAGGCCCAGGTGGAGCCACACCTATACTCTGAAGTTGGCCTCTATTACTGCAAGCCAATACTGTCCAATAGGACTTTCTCTAGTGAGAAGGTTAATTTTGCATTTTCCCGTATAGTGGCCACTAGGTACATGTGGCTGTTGAGCACCTACTATGCCTAGTATGACTGAGAAACTACATTTTTTATTTCATTTAATTTTCTTTAATTTACATTTAAATAGGTGCTTGTGGCTAGTGGCTACCATATTGAACACACGACTTTGACTTTACCTTGTACCGACTCCCTGTATTGCTTTGATTATATTCCTTCAGGAACTGAATACGAAGTTAATAGATATTCTGCTTATTTTACTTACATAAGTCTTATCTTTAGAGCTGAACCATTAGCCTAAGAAAAGAGAAATAGGAAAAAATCTACTTGTGTGGCCATACTATTGGCACACAGTGCTGAGCATAGAGGATGTCAGTCTCAGTGAATTCCTGCTGAAATCAGTTGCTGGCTCAAAGTAGGCAGAGGTGGAATACAAGGCCTGGAGCACTTGGAGGCCTGAGTGGATGGTGCTCTGCTTCTGGGTGTGGGGTAGAAGGTGGATTCCCAGGAAGAAGTTAACAGCTCCCCTGTTACAGAAGTCAGCACCTAGAGCCTAGATGAAGACAGACTTTTGTCCTGGCCAAGTACATACTTAAACTCCTCTAAGGCCTTGCTGCCATTTCCTGGAATCCTCTTGCACCTCCCAAATGGCTCACGGTTCCAGAGCGCATGTCTGAGGCAGAGTACAGAGAAATGATTACAAAGCAGCAGTGCAGCCGTAGCAGAAGCACCTGGGGTGTTAATTAGAGGCATTAACTGTAGCATTCCTGAGAACCCATGAACTCTCTCCTCCCTTTGCCAAGCCGCAGAAACACCTTCTTTGGGATTTTCTCTCTGAAGTAGTAAGGAACAGCAGAGTGGGAAAGAGAAGCAGCTGAGCAGAAAAACCTTTGTCATGCCCCGACCCTGCAGCTTGTCCTTAGGCCCTGCCCTCCAGTCTTGGGCATTTCCCATTGGGACAGGCAATGAGGGACAGGGTCATCAGGGACACTCAGGAACAGATTGAAATGAAAGGGGCAGGCCTTTAATTATGCCTGTAATCCCAGCACTTTGGGAGGCTGAGGCAGGCAGATCATCTGAGGTCAGGAGATCAAGACCAGCCTGACCAACATGGTGAAACCCTGTCTCTACTAAAGATACAAAAATTAGCCAGGAATGGCAACGTGCACCTGTAGTTCCAGCTACTTGGGAGGCTGAGGCAGGAGAATTGCTTGAATCAGGGAGGCGGAGGCTGCAGTGAGCTGAGATCGCACCACTGCACTCCAGCCTGGGCAACAGAGCAAGATTCTGTCAAAAGAAAGAGAGAGAGAGAGAGAGAGAGAGGAAGAAAGAAATAGAGAGAGAGAAAGGAAGAAGGAAGGAAGGAAGGAAGGAAGGAAGGAAGGAAGGAAGGAAGGAAAGGGAAGGAAGGAAGGAAAGGGAAGGAAGGAAGGAAAGGGAAGGAAGGAAGAAAGAAGCAGTGGGGCCCTTGAGACAAGAAGACAAAAGAAGAGATAAAGGGGCTAAAGCCTATTAAAGAATGTTTGTGGCAGGGGTGAGTGAGAAAATAAAAAGAATGTTCATCAGTTCCTCCCAAGGCCCATGCCCACCCAGGTCAATTAGGGATTTCAAAACAGATGAAGGTCAAGTTGCAAGAGAAAGATAGAAGTGAAGATAGAAGGTCTGGGGAGGCTGGACATTGTACCAGGCAATCTGCACACTGGGCACTCCGGAAGGTCTTTGTATGGCGTTTGAAGGGGCCCTCGTACCTTCCTTCAGGGTGAGGTGGCAAATAGAGTGCAATGGAGATACCTGCTACCACCCAGGATGCCCAAACGGCCACTGGAAGATGTCCTTGGGCTGGCCCAGGATGCCCAAACGGCCACTGGAATGAGAAGAGTGGGAAGGTACCTGGATACCTGATTGCATTACAGATGGGCACCCCAAGGTGACATCGTCCTTATCCAGTCTAGGAGGGGTGTATTAGGCCATTCTTGAATTGCTATAAAGAAATACTTCAGACTGGGTAAACCTCAGAAAAGAGGTTTAATTGGCTCATGGTTCTGCACGCTGTACAGGAAATAGTGCTGGCATCTGCTCCTGGGGAGGCCTGGGGAAACTTCCAATCATGGAGAAAGGTGAAGCAAGAACAAGCACTTCACATGGCAAAAGCAAAAGAGAGAGAGAGCGCAGGGTGTGGGGTGTGGGGATGCCACACACTTTTAAATGACCAGATCTCATGTGAAGTCAGACCCAGAGCTCACTTATCCCACCAAGGGGATGGCCCAAGCCACTCATGAGGGATCCGTCCCCATGATCCAAACACCTCCCACCAGTCCCCACCTCCAACACTGGGGATTACATTTCAACATGAGATTTGGGAAGGGGAAAATATCCTAACTATAACAGGAAGAAAGTATTTGGGGTCTATATACTGTAGTACATCATCTGTAGCAGATCCCAGGCCCCACCTTCTCTGTCCACATCTGCTCCCTTGTCCAGGGAGAGGAGCATCATCAGTTTAGGTGGCCTGGCACAAAAAGTCCTTAACATCTTCAAAGCTGTTTTGGGGGGAACAAAAACTGTCTTCCCTCTTCTCTGAGTTTTGCCCTCTCTTCCTTTCCCCTGGGCCTTCAGAGACAGGCTTTGCTGGGTGAGATCCTCAGCCTCATCACTTCCCACCCTCCCCTCACTGACTCCTCCTCCACCACTCCACATCCCTCCACAGAGAGACCACCAGGGACCTACCTGTGGCCAAACTGAACAGAAAAAGCTAAGGCCTCATCTTACCTCTGAGACAATGCCTCCCCACTTCATGAACTGCTTTTCTCCGTACGCCTTCTTTGTCTTTGTGTGTGTGTGTGTGTGTGTGTGTGTGTGTGTGTGAGACGGAGTCTCGCTCTATCGCCCAGGCTGGAGTGCAGTGGCACGATCTCGGCTTGCTGCAACCTCCACCTCCCGGGTTCAAGCAATTCTCCTGCCTCAGCCTCCCAAGCAGCTGGGACTATAGGCACATGCCACCACGCCCAGCTAATTTTTTGTATTTTTAGTAGAGACGGGGTTTCACCGTGTCAGCCAGGATGGTCTCGATCTCCTGACCTCGTGATCCGCCCGCCTGAGCTTCCCAAAGTGCTGGGATTACAGGCGTGAGCCACTGCACCGGGCCTCTCCCTACGCCTTCTTAATACAGTGTTCTCCTCACTTTTCCAATTCCGTGGGGCCCCCTTCCTTTTCCCTCATAAGCCCAGATCATGCGGTGTCAGGGCTCCACTCACCCTCCCTGCACCACCCAGGGGGGGCTTGCCCTGCACCTGCTGGCCTCTCCTGTCGTGGCTTTAACCACCATATCAACAGCACCAGCCCAAAGCTGAGTCCTGGGTCCTTATTTCCAATTTACTCCTCAATAGCATTGTCCACATATTCTGCAGATACTTCAAACTCGACATGTCCAAAATTAAAATTATTCTCTTTCTTCCCTTGAAACTTGATTTCCTTTGCTCTATTTACAAATATTCATTACTATTCTACTCTTTGACAAAGATTCAGCTCCTAATGAGGGGCAGTTTTGCATTTATTTCCCTTCCTCCTGTTAACAGTACCTAGGTTTTCATTCAGGCAAGACCCCTCTCCCCACAGCCCATATGCCACTAGAGAAGGTGGTGTCAGGCATGATCCTTGGTTTTCAGCACATCCCCTCCTCCTAGCCACCAAGTTGGGTTTAGGAATAGGCAGCACGTGGCCCAGTTTGAACTAGGGAGATGTGAAGAGATGCTGCCTGGGAAGGAACTGTCTCACACTTACAAACTCCTTGGACAGCTGCTTTCTCATCCTGAGTATAAATAAGGAAGCATGTAATTCTCAGAACATTCTGGCAGCCACCCTGTGATCATCAGGCAGCCAGTCTTAGGATGAGGCAAATACCTGGGAGCCTCAGAAGAAAAGGAGAAAGAACTAGATCTTTGGTATTATGACATTGTTAACTTCTGGATCAACCCTCACCTGAAGGTCACCTTATCACTGGGGTTGTCAATAAATTCCTTTTATATGTTAAGACTGTTGAAATGGGGTTTGCTATTGCAGGCATACCTCATTTTATTGCACTTTGCAGACATTGAATTTTTCACAAATTGAAGGTTTGTGACAACTCTGCGTCAAGCAGGTCTATCGGCACCATTTTTCCAACAGCATGTAGTCACTTTGTGTCTCTGTGTCAGTATTTTTTAGCAATAAAATATTTTTTAATTAAGGCATGTACATTTTTATATATCATACTATTGTGGATTTAACAGACTATAGTATAGTGTAAACATACCTTTGTATGCACTGGGAAACCAAAAAATTCATGTGACTAGCTTTATTGCAATATTCACTTTATTGCGGTGATCTGGAGCTGAACCTGCAATATATTCAAGGTATTCCTGTACTTGTAACCAAAACATCCTCAGTGATAGAACTAGTAGTAGATCCTCAATAAGTATTTTTTGAATTGAACCAACTTGTAAAAACGCATTAATTATACATTGTCCTTCAAGTGATCCAATGCCTTGATCCCATTAAACTACACACATCTCATTAAGAAGCACTTCAGTGGCAGAGATTGTTTTATTTTTTATTTATTTTAGAGGTTTACAGTAATCATAGGCCTCATGGGGTGCCTCAGATCACACGATGGAGGCAGCTAGACATGCTGCCTGCATGTGAGCCCAATTCTCTCTCCATTTCAATTTCCTTGTCTCTAAATCCAAGTGATAAAACTTGCACTTCCTTCTACCACCCCAGGGTCATGAAAAAGTTAGGAAACCAAACGTATTACATTTTATAAGGTTTGTTTTCCACTGCAAGAAGTGTGGATGCTATCTATATAAAGTGAGACTCCTCACATTTGGAGGGGCAATTTCTCTCTTGGGAAACTTGTGAGAAGAGCTCTTAGGTTGGCTCCTTACACTGATGAAACCTCTAATGAGGTGTCAAAACCACAAACAAAACTATAACACATGATGGCCAAAACAAACTTATTAAATGCTGATAAAATCGTTAAGATGAGTAGGTTGAATTGGATCAGAGGTTTTTGACCATATTGTGCTAACACACTGGTGAGTCACAATCCCATGTGCCATATATGTTATAAGTACTTGCTCACTAATAATTGTCCAAATTTTTTATTTACTATAGGGAACATCTGTTGGTTTTGCCCACTCTGCTTCCATTCTCCCATTTTCTAGTAACGCCCCTCAGTCTTCCTTTGGGGAATACTCCCATAGCCCCTCTTAGTCCATGTGGTTCAAATGAGGCCGATGCCACCTCCATCCCCACTTCCATCCTGGAGAGAAAGAAAGAGAAGATGTAGTCCTAGGCAGTCAGCATATCCCACTGCCCTGAAAACAGTGGCTGATTCAAGGATAGGGGACAGTGATTCCAAGTCAGTCCAATGAGTCTTAATCCTAGAACTTAACACTGAAACTATTGGGAGAAGAAAGCTCTCTTTTCACAGAGGGTGCTAAGCTTTGGGGATACAAACCGAAGCCTGCCAACAGCCATTTATCACTCATGAAAAGACTCTGTCTGACAGTGTCGATAGAAAGAAAAGTAGAACCTAGAGATGAATAAATAGTCTAAGTTCTGACAAAACCATTTGATCCCCTGGATCTAGCCAGGACTAAAGCCTCTACTGCTGGATATTCTTTAATTTCACGAGTCAATAAATATCAACTCTTGCTTAAGTTGGTTTGGGTCAGGGTTTTGTTCCATGTGAGAATCCTGAGTTTGCATTTTTGAAAAATAAATTAGAGTGAAATCAAGGTTACCCTTATAATAACCTCTCTCACTAACATTCTGGTATGCTTTCTTGAGTGAGTGAGAGTGGAGTGGAGAAGGAGCCAATGCCAGCGATGGCATTTTGCTTGCCGTTTAGGTGCCTCTTAAAGTGAGAGACCAAAAATCTGAGCCACCAAAGTAATGTGTCCTGCTCCTGCCCACGATTCATCTGTGCATCTTCACAAGATAAAAGACTGAAACCTCTTTACTATTATTTCTGAAGTTCCTTCCAGCTCTATAGCTTCCAGAGTGTCTAAATGACTTTTATCATCACAGTGCAGTTCTGTCTATGGCTTTTTGTATTTCCTAAAGCATTCCTGCCCAACCCACAGCAACATTTGCACTTAGACAACCCTAAGCAGTCAACAGCCCTTATAATACCACTTCACAGATGAAGAAACTGAACCTGAGAATGGTGAAGTGACTTGCTCAGCCACAGAGCATGGGAAACTCAAGTTTGCTTCCTAACCAGCTCCCTTTCTTCCTCCTGCAAGGGCAAAATGAGATCATAAATAGGAAAGCACTCTGAAAAGAAGGAATCTCTATTGATGCCAGATGTATTATTATAAAGCCAAACCTAAGTATAGGGTGACCTTGTTATCACCCCCAGAGGTGGAGATGCTTACAGATCTGGCCGGTTTAATCTCTGGATACCCTGGGGAGAGTATCTGGGGCTTTCTCCAGTAGGGTTAAGTTTTGCATGTTCCCGACATCACTTTCTCCAGAGGGGACCCATCAGAAAGAAAAGAGTGACATCCCCTCATTCCTTAAAAACATCACCCCCTCAATTTTGCACAACTCAGGCCAACCCAAACGTCAGAGGGTAATAGTGTTGATGTCAGGATTCAAAATTTATGGACAGTGTGGACATATGCGATGGTTTGTTTGGGGAAATGGATTTGTCATGTGCAGGATATATGGCACCAGATAAAACATCCTGACAATATTACACGATTGGGGAGGAGGGGGTGCACAAGGATATTATTTTGAAAATACACTGTTATGACATTTTAAAAATTCCAGAGTGAATGCTGAGAAGATCCAGAGGTTAATGTGATGCTGGAACATGCAGCTGTGCAGGACCATAAAGAGTCATCCATTTTGTATCACAAAGTACATTTTTCATCTTCTTCTCCCTCAAATCATGGAATTGGGGGCAGGGATATTGTAAGCAAATTTGATTTAAGTACATTTAAAGGAGACTAATACAAAAGTAATAATAAAGATTCATCTTTTTGAAATTTTGAAAATAATCCAAGCTGGGCGTGGTGGCTCACGCCTGTAATCCCAGTATTTTGGGAGGCTGAGGCGGGCGGATCACGAGGTCAGGAGATCAAGACCATCCTGGCTAACACGGTGAAACCCCGTCTCTATTAAAAATACAAAAAAAAAAAAAAAATTAGCCAGGCATGGTGGTGAGCGCCTGTAGTCCCAGCTACTCAGGAGGGTGAAGCAGGATAATGGCGTGAACCTGGGAGGAAGAGCTTGCGGTGAGCCATGACTGCGCCACTGCACTCCAGCCTGGATGACAGAGCGAGACTCCATCTCAAAAAAAAAAAGAAAAGAAAAGAAAAGAAAAGAATCCAAATAATCTAAAAATAAAAATTTGTCCAAAATTGCAAGATTTTTGACCTGCAATCCCAGCAAACTATAAACTTTGCTTCTTCTCTTGCCAGCTGGCCAACATAAATGGCTGCCATCCTTTGCCAAGAGGACTCTTATATCATGAGATTTGTTTGTTTGTTTGTTTTCTACTCATCTGAGGTCTCATAAAGTGCAACCCTAACAAAATGCAGCTTCCTTATACTTAGATGCAGTAAAGTTTTTCAGAGGGCCTGTTATATATAGGCTTTCACATGTCTGCTATTTTAAACCTCACAATAGCTCTAACAGGTAGATAACGCCATCCTCATTTCACAGAGGAGGAAACGGAGGCTTAAAGGATTTGAGTAGCTTGCCCATGGTTATGTAGTGAGGAAGTTGCAGAGCCAGAACTCACATTCAGGGCTTCTATCTCCTCTCCACCACAACCACTCAAGCCAAAAGAGATGAATTTGACTGCATTTGTGCATATAGTCATTGTTCTCCAGGCATGTGTCAGACACTGTGCTAGGCACTAGGTCAGTGAGGATGGGAAGATTCCAGAACCAAGATTTCATACGGGCAGGCAGTGCTATAAGGCCTAGGGTCAGAAGTTCCAGGTCAGTTCCAGCAGGTATCAGTATCTGGAGATATGCATGGCAGTGAGAGATGGACAGGGGTGGGGTGGGTCCCCTTCGCCTGGATGGTGTGTTGAACAGCACAAACAAAGCTAAGAGTGCTTCCCTTCTAGGTTAGGTTACCTTCACACCAGAAATTATGGAGATTCATTGTAATGATAGAAATAGAAATAAGAAAGCTCAGCCAAGTTGGTAGGCCTCTCGTGTGAACCAAGCTAAACCACCAGACCGCACAGAAAGAAAAAAATCCACGGCCCAGCCTAGGGAGTTTGGGAGTCTTAGGGAGTTTTGCTCTTGGTTTGGGATCTGGAAGCTGGTAGTCAAATCAGCAGGTTATCTCATGGACTTTCAGGTCTGGTGCTGACTGGTCCCTGGCATCCTACCATTACCATGCCTCCGCTGTTTCCTTTCTCTCTCCTTCTACTTCAGCGGCTCCTGTTGCAACTGACGAAGTCCTGATTCCATCCTTCTTCCCTCCCCATAGAGCAGCTTGTTCAGGACTTCTACGACTTCATGAATTGTATTTACTGTTTTTTTCTCTCTATGTATCTTTTGGCTTTTTTCTTCCTACCAACTGATTCTCTCACTCTCTCTTACTGATTATTCTCTTACTCTCTGACTACTGAGGGAGAACCTCTGATTTGGTTCACTTAAACACTATTTCCCTCTAGTGCAAAGGTCTTGCACCAGGCTACTTTTTAGACTATGGGCCAACCTATGCACTAGCTGACCTTGGGTCAAGTGCTCACTCCTGATCCAATTAGCTATGACGTTGGGGATGGGGTAGGGGTGGGGTCCTATGGGACACAGCATGACCACCTACCTGTGCATAAAGAGCTTAAGGCCATTTCCTCAGCAAGGAACTGTAGGTGTAGGGTTGCCAGATAAAAAACAGGATACACAGTTAAATCTGAATTTCAGATAAACAGTGAATAATTTCCTAATAGAAGTATGTCCCATAGATGGCATGGGACATGCAAATATTATTTATTGCTAAGCTGAAATGTAAATTTGTTGCTAAGCTGAAATGTAAATTTAACAAGGTGTCCTGTATTCTTATTTGCTAAATCCAGCAACCCTATATAAGGGGAATTATTAGAAGAACTTGTAGATATCCCTCGAAGGCTTGGCCAGTTCAAAAAAGAAAGGAGGTAGGAGAACCAAGGCCATGGATGCAGAGAAGGACATCCAAACTAGTCATCAAAATCAAGAGACAGGAAGCAGGTATAGGAAGCCACAGACAATAAACCCATAGATCCAGAGAAGGAATCCATGGGTGTGAGAAGTAGGAGGAGGGTGGTCCCATGTACATGCCTGATGCACAAAACTGTTGTCCCCAGCAAGCTTGTAGGTGATCTCCATGGGCAACATGTGGGAGGGGGTTCTGGAAGACAGGCAGGCAGCAGGATTCTGCTCATGGGTTCATCCAGACAAGGGACATAACCTGTGCCTATCAATGGGAAGAGGGAGATGTTAACGACATTGTCCAATCTCCAGGACAACTTGGCTTACAAAACCATAGCACAGAGAATACAGAGCAGAAAATGTAAGCAAAAGTTCAATTGTTTCAATTAGGCAAAGGTAGCCATAGGCTGTAGTTCAGGAAGCAAGCAAGCCTCTGGGACATAAGCCATGCCATTGGGATACTGGGCTCAGATGAGCACAACTAAATTGAGGTCCTACTTCTGCAGGCTGGAGACTCCAACCAACCATCTGCCAAGATAAGGGTGGGCTCAGGAACCAAGGAAGGGTTCGATTTCCTAGCAAGTGAGGCAAAGGAAGGCTGGGCTTGGCAACTCACAGTGCTATAATTTTTTCAACTTTCACTTCCTGGGACGCTGGGGAGTCAAACCAGGCTGAACTTCCCAGAGTTGGGCCTGGACATGGAGCTGAGAGAAAGAAAGTCTGAGACCTGAATGAATGGGGAGCAGGAATCAGATTCAAAACAAAGTTTCAGCAAGGAAAATAAGGCAAGATCACAGGAGTAGTGAGGGAGACAAGGCCTAGAAAGATCCTCTCAGATAAATGTCCCTAGGGCACCTGCATCAAATCTGTGGGCAGGCAGATAGGAGTGAAATGGTTTGGGCTTTGGTTTGGTTTTTGATCATGTTGCACCACAATCCACACTTTATATACTAGTTTACCTTTACTAGGTAGGTTGCATGCTAATATTTCCTAATCTCTAATCTCTTTTATTTCATTTCTATGTTATTTAGAAATATGACTCACTACATTGATTTCATAGCCCATTAATGGGTCATACCTCATAGTTTGAAAAACATCAGCTTAGATTATATTCGATATACCTTTGGACTATTCATTTTTTTAATCACTGGCCCTTGGTAATGCCGTGTTTTGAAATGTCTGCCTTTCTCATACAACCCCTTCTCTGAGAACAGTTTCCCATTTCCCCCAGATGGGCTCTCCAAAGGCATTGAGGCTCTGGACATATGTGCCTACAACATGATGTTTCCAATCTGAGCATATCTGATTGGAGAAGAGAGGACAACTGGCCCAAAATGGACCACCAAATGTTTTCCTCCAGAAATTTGGAATTTGGCCATTGAGATTAATAGTTAGTTGGATGGTGGGTGGTCCTTGAGACAGGACTATACAACATATGGTTGTACAGGTTGTGGACTACACAACTATAGAAATTACCAGTGACAGCCAGGTGCAGTGGCTCACACCTGTAATCCCAGCACTTTGGGAGGTCAAGGTGGGTGGATCACAAGGTCAGGAGTTCGAGAACAGCCTGGCCAATATGGTGAAATCCCACCTCTACTAAAAAAAAAAAAATACAAAATAAAATTAGCCGGGCGTGGTGGCACATACCTGTAATCCCAGCTACTCGGGAGGCTGAGGCAGGAGAATGGCTTGAACCTGGGAGGCGGAGGTTGCAGTGAGCCGAAACTGCACCACTGCACTCCAGCCTGGGTGACAGAGTGAGACTCCATCTCAAAAAAAGAAAAAAAAGAAATTACCAGTGACATAGACTATAGGTAAAAGGTGCTCCCTAGGGTGGCTTAGTGTACAACCTATACAACTGTACATGACAACCCCGCTGGAGTTGAAAGTTAATTTAGTTCCAGGGCTAAAATGACTGCATTCTATCAAGTACATATGAAACAAGGTTAAAAAAAAAAAAAAGCTTTTATGATATTACCAGCTAGAACCTAAATTTATTTTAGGGAAAGAATTATCTTTGTATATGAAAGTACCATGATAAGCTGCTCAGGAAATCCTTCAATAACAAACATAAGTTGATGCCAAGACATCAGAGAAGGACAAAAGACATTCCACTGGAAATAAAGAAGAAATCTTCTCAGTTTTTCTCCTAAAATGTAGAGAAAGAGTTGAGCAATCCTATATTAGGAGGAAGCTGGTAGACCTGCCTGGAATGCCAATCTATAAGCAGTAGTGAAACCTCATTAGGATAATTTAAATGTCACCAAAAATGCAAAGAAAATTGGAAAATTTAGGCTAACAAAACTCAGAAAGAGAAGGGTACATTTTTAATGAACACTTTGATAAGCCATATGGGGTTGGGGTGAGTCCCCAGGGACATGATTGCATAAAGACAGATAGTTGTTTAAAACAAACAAACAAACAAACAAAACTCTAAAAAGGGTGGGTTGAGCAAAATCCATTTATTCTATTTTATTCTATGCATTTCTTCTATTTTAGTAAGTTGTGCATATTGGGGCCAGAGCTGAATTGCTCAGGATGACAGAGGCTGAGTGTGGTCCTTCTACTTTGCTTTGTACCCCAGGCAGGATTCTGCCTCTCCTCCAAGTAGCAATTTGAAAAAGCATCCAATTGTTAGATTTCCCAATGTACCAACTTGTTAGTCTTCCCAGAATATCCAAGGGCTTTTGATGGCTCTTGGTACAAGTAAAGGGGAAAATGACAAATAGAGGGAGAGAGAAGAATGAAAACTAAGGAGACAAGTTGGGGCCAGGTGAAGTGAAGGGCCAGGGATACTCACCAGTGGTAGGTGACTTCAGGGTGGTGACACGTCTGTTTCATTTGAGGTTTGCACCCCTGTGAGTGTAAGCCCTTCCTCTACTTATTCCTCACCAATTTCTCACTACAATCTCTTACTCTCATAAATAATTTGTGTGAGTGTGAAGTACATATGTATGCATGTGTAACTCAAAGGAAAAAAAAAAAAAGGAAAAAGGGTGGAACAGAACAGAGACCAGCCAGGTACGGTGGCTCACACCTGTAATCCCAGCATTTTCAGAGGCCAAGACAGGAGGATTGCTTGAGCCCAGGAGTTCCAGGCTGCAGTGAGCTGTGATTGTGCCACTGCACTCCAGCCCAGGCAGTAAAGAAAGACTCTATCTCTAAAAAAAGAAGAAGGAAAAAAAAAAGAGAGAGAGAGAGAGACAGAGAGAGACCATTTGAGCTGAAGACTTCAAAAGGGAAAGGAATCTTTAAAAACAGAAAACAGAAGCTCCATTGGGAATTCAGAAATATCTTGGGAAAGCTTTAGATACCCATATGATAAGGTGATCATTCCAATTTCACCTAGACCTTATGGGAAAGGGAAGCTCCAGCTAACAACTGAGTTACATGCAGAATTGAAACGAAAGCCAGCCTACAGAGAGAGAACATGTTTAGCACACACAGAGAAAAAGAGATCATGTTGCTTCTTATATTAATTAAATAAACTAAGCTGTGGTAACGAGCATACAAAATCTTATAATTGCTCAAAAACAATAGGAGTTTATTTTTCACTCACCCAGTATCCAACTGAAGACAGCTCTCCCAGCTGAAGACAGCTCCCCTCCATGTGATGATTCAGAAACCCAGGCTCCTTCCGACTCCTGGCTGCACTGTTCCTTAGGGTCTTGGGCCTCATGATTATCTGTATTCAACTAGCAGGAAGGGAATGAGAGCCAGGAGAGGACACACTGGCTTCTTGGCCTGGAAACAACCCACATCACTTCCACTCACATTCTGTTGGCTAGAACTCAATCATGTAGCCACACCTAACTGCTTGTACAGCCAGGAACGTGTGGTCTAGCTGTGTTCAGGATGAAAAGGAAATGGATTTTTAGTAAACAGCTATCAGTCTATCACAGTCCACCCTCCTGTATGCCAACTGTCCATTTGCATCCTTCTTCCCTCATGGAGACTACACCCATGCCCTCCTCAGGAAAGAAAACCCAAAGTCCCATTCAGCCACTACATCCACCTCAAAGTCCAGGATGCTTGAGGACACAATGTCTTCTTAATCAGGTCTATATGCGGTTCCTCCTGGTCCAGCAATTGATGAACTCAAAGACCAGTTACCTGTCCCTCTAACACATGTCCACTATACTGTGGTGGACCCAAGACCTGATATCTGCAAAAAGACTCCCATTCAGAAAAAAAAGAAAAATGAGAAGAACACAGTACTTACTTAATAGCATGATGGAATTCTGCTGGGCCAACAGTGTAAAGACCCTCTGCCTGGCAGGGGAGATAAATTCCTTACCTAGTCCTTAATCTGCTCTCTGGGAAGAATTTTTTGTCTATTTTTGTTTAGGGCCCCTTACTCTACCCTGTTGGGTATCCTTCCATGTCCATTATTTTTTTTAGCCACTTCTGGAGTGTCCTCCTTGAAGACTGTACCCCCTTTATACAGCTGTCAAAATACAGAATTAAAATAAATTTAATGCAAAAGTCTTAATTGGCTTTATTTGCAATTCTAGAATCGGGCAACACTTCATCCCATAAAATAGAGTGAGTGTTCTGATGAGCCAAGCAGAGGAGGCTGGTTTTACAGACAGAAAAGAGCTGAGGAAAGCAGACACAGGAAACAAAATGTGGATTGGTTGTCTCAAAGTTACATTTCTGGTAAAGGGTAAAGATTAAAGCAAAGGGGGCTTTGTTTTTCTTTTTCTTTTCTTTTCTTCTTTTTTTTTGAGACAGGGTTTTGCTCCATTGCCCAAGCTGGAGTGCTTTGGTGCAATCACAGCTCACTGCAACCTCAAACTCCTGGGCACAAGCGATCCACCCGCCTCAGCCTCCCAAGTAGCTGGGACTACAAATGTACATCACCGTGCCTGGCTAATTTTTTATTTTTTGTAGAGACAGGGTCTCACTTTGTTGCCCAGGCTGGTGCAGAGGGGACTTTCTTACGTCTGCTAAAACTGGCCTGCTTGGGGATTTAACTGTTATCCCTTTCTCTCTCCTGGTTTTTTGGAAGGTCACATAAACAACTTAATTTCAGTTTGGTGATGTGGAACTTAAGCATGAGTGACTCCATTTTGATTTAGTCTGTTGGGCCCAGTGCAGGAGCTCAGTTCAAGCCAACAGCCTCCTGTAAATTTTATTTAACACAGCTCACTTTCTGCTCATACAAATTTAGGACGGAAGGGTAAGGCTTAACCAATCAAAGATTATTTCATCCAAGCTTGTGATTTTTTTTTGTAATACAATTCCCTCAAAAATAGAAAGTTTCTCGTTTATTTGTTTCCAGTAAATTCCAAGTGCCAATAACCACACCCAGAGTTCTTTCCTAGACCTAGTTCTGAAGCCCAAATTATTTTCTTCCTTGTCTCCAAAGATTTCTCTCAATTTAATGGCAGCCACCTTGAGACCATCTGAACAATAGGTCTGGGTGGAAAGGAGCCCTTTGCTGCAGAGTCGAGTTGCTATATTTAACTGAGATTTCTTAATGGGCTTTTCTCCTTTCAAAGTTTTTTTCTTTTTTTAGAGGAGGGCAATTGGGTTTGTGTTTTTGGTTTTGGTTTTTTTTTTTTGGTCTTTGTTTTTTTGTTTTCTGATTCAGTCTATTTCCAGTTGGGTGTCCAGAATCAATAGGTTTTTCCAAATTTGGGGATTGTTTATTCTCTTTTGTTTCTGCTTATAAACTGGCCAATTATTGCCAGGGAATGTATTTTTCTAGTAATAAAGTGCAATAAGCAGCAAATAACTCAACTGTAACACACAACAATGTTCTATCTCTTTATAATGGCTTTCCCTAGAGTTACAGGGACAGCAGATATTTGCTTGGCCTTCCAAATAGTTTTAAGAACTATTTTGCCACGGCATAACACAGGTCACCATTTCTTCAGCCTATTCTGTTTTCTTGCTTCCCATGGCACAACTACTGAGTGCTACATATTATGATTATTTCATACATTAGCACTCTTTCTGACACTGACTTCTTTACTACTTAAGGTAAGTAAACTGCTGTTGAAAATAAATCAAAAATGTATAATGACTCAAACACAATAGAAATTTATTTCCTTCCCACGTAACAGTCTGAGGCAGTTGTTCCTGGTCATTAAGTGGGTCCACTTCACACAGTGATTCAGGAATCAGACTGCCTTACCCTGTGGCTCTGCCACTCCTAAAACTTCTTCATCATCTGCATTCAGCTGCAGAAGGTAAAGAATGTGAAGGGGCATACCTGTTTATTACAAGTTTTGACCTAGAAAGGGTCCACATAACTTCCACCTAGGTTCTTTTAGCAAGAACTCAGTCATATGGCCATATCCAATTACAAGAGAAGCCAGAAGGTACATCCCCCGCTGAACAGCCATTTTCCAACAACAACTCTATGTAGTTAACAGGGGTAGGCAAGCTATAGCTGGCTGGCTGAATCCAGCCCAGTGTCTGTTTTTGTAAATAAAGTTTTATTGAAACACAGCCATGCTCATTCATTTATGTATTATCTATGGCTGTTTTCACACTATAATAGCAGAGCTGAGTAGCTGCAACAGAAACCACACAGTCCACAAATCCTAAAATCTTTTTTCTCTGGCACCTTGACGGAAAAAATGTGTTGACCCTTGCTTTATGCTATGGAGGCTGGAACTGTTGTTGCCATCTTGCCACCACAAGGGGGAGTTTGGAACTACTGGGGCCCACAACATGGAGGCTTAAAATGAAGCCAATCAAAGAGAAGGCAGAGCCTAGAGATGGAGAGAGACCAAGCCCTGATGACCTCATTTGAGCCTTGAAGCCCCACTCCTGAAGCCAGCTAGCCTTGGGCTTTTTTGTTGATTCAATACAGTTCATTCTTCACTTAAACCAATTTGAATTGGGTTTCCTGTCCCAACAGAAAGGGCCCTAATTGATAACCTCTCCTACTTTAGCAATAGCAGGCAACATGAGAGGGAGTGATATTTGTCTTATACTCAAAGCATAGTGATGAAACTTCAGTCTGATTTAGTACACCAATGGGTCGGACACGGACCATGCACAAGTGCTACTGAGGTGTAAAACCAACATGTGACATTTCCCCAGTTTAGCCCTGCAAGCTCTTGAGACACTGCTCACCGAAAGCTTCTTATGAATATTTCATGTTTCTGTCTGAGTCGATCAAATTTCTCAAAGCAGTTGAGGTGAGAGTGAAAGGCAGGGGTTCAATGAAGCAGCTGCTTAATGATTCCCTAAGTCTTGGGAGACCCTGGATAAAATTTGGCCAAGAAATAAAGGCAGAGATTTTTTCAGTCCAACCTGTCCTGGAAAGGCACTGTGTCATCTCACGCAATGAAACATAATAGCCAGTCTCTCTTCCAGGCCGAGCTCTCGGAGCTCTCTGCAGGTGCACTGGCAGAGCCTGGAAAGGTTGGCAAAGGCCAGGTGGCTTTGTTCCCCTGCTGCCTCCTCTTTAGAAGTTGCTCATTACAGAGCAGGACGGTGGTGTTATATAACACAAGCTCAGCCTGATTCCACTAGAGTACAAGGGAGAGGAAAATGTCTAAATGTCTTAAACACACTGCAGACTGAGACCATATATAGGACTCTTTAGACATTGACAGACGGGCAATGCATTGAAGTCATAATACACCCTAGACTTCCTGTACAGTGCCCCTTATAAACGCAAGCACTTGTTATATGATAAGAGTCTTCTAGAGTAGAGCCAACAACAGCAAAGCCTGTATTTCTAATAATTCTTGGGGTTGGCCAAGCAATCTCTTTCCATGGATCTCCAAGAGCTTTGCAAACATTTGCTGTGAAGAAACCTCACACACACACACACACACCCATATTTTTAAAAATCACCCTTGTGAATAAGGGTGATTATACACACTCCCATTTAATTAACAAACATGTCCTCTTGTAACCACATGCCTCCTGTGACATGAATAAGACATTCAACACCCAGGAGGTGGAAATGAGTCCTGCTGTTTTTTAACCCTTTGTAAAAGTATGAGAACACTGTATAAAGGAGGTGGTTTCTGAGCAGAGGTATGTAGGACAAGAATGCTGTAAGCCATGGAAGCACCGAAAGGCAGAAGCCCTGGAGGCTGTGAGCATGTAAACAGTCATGCCTGTACAAAGCTGAGCTCAGTCATACCTGTCCAGGTCCCTCTGGGTCAATCTATGAAGTCTCGGAGTTGGAAGAAGATCAGAGGAAGTTTTATTCAGGGAAATAAATGGTAGCCAAGGCCAAAAAGAAAGTTTAAATAATGGTCATCTAGGTGAAAAGCACAAGGTTGAAGCTAGAAATATAGAGCTGAGGGGTGAGGCAAACACAGAAAAATAAGCCAGAACTGAGGTCAGGTAGGGAGGTCAAGGGCAAGGTGAGCCAGGGCAAATGGCTGTAGCTAGAGAAAAAGAGAGATTTATTTTTTTTTAATTGGCTCATGCAATTGTGGAGGCTGGCAAGTCTGAAATCCATACAGCATGCTAGCAAACTGGAACTTCAAATGAGAATCATGTTGCAGGCTTCTGCCTAAAATTTTAGAGCAGGCCAACAGAATTTCAACACAGGCAAGATTTCTATGTTGCAGCCTAGAGGCAGAATTTCTTCTTCCGCAGGAACCCTCAGTTGTTACTCTGAAAGCCTTCAACTGGATTGGATGAGGCTCGCCTGCATTACGGAGGGTCATCCACTTTACTTTACTTACAGTCAACTGATTATGAATGTTAACCACATCTACAAAATACCTTCACAGCAACATCTAGACTAGTGTCTGACCAAACAACTGAGACCATAGCCTAGTCAGTTGACACACAAAATTAACCATCGTGGGGTGTTTAAAGATGCCAACAGACCAAAGTGTTTACGAAATTCCTTACTCATAGAGATGTAGGGCTAGAAGATACTCTATAGGTAAGGAATCTAAGAACTGGTCCTTAGATTCCTTATCTATAGAGTATAGATGAAGAGAGTATGGTGGAAAGTGATACCTGGATCACCCAAAAGATGGCAAGGACGTAGGCCTCCTAAACCCCGTCCTGTGCTTTTTCAAACTCTGGATCTAGATATCCTAAGCCCCAGTGTGCCAACTCCCACGCGGTTTCTTCTTTGATCAAACTTGGTTGGGTACAAAAACAGCCATGTGTCTTTAAATTTGTGCCAGCTAGATCACATTCTAGTCATCCAAATATCTATTTCTTCAATAACCTTGGGAGGAAGTTAGGGATAGCAGAAGGCTAAGGACAACAACAAAATGCAAAAGTTTCCAAGAGACTGGAAAACATATGTGGAGTTGGAGCCTTGCCCTTGTGGGTTTTATTTCGGAGCCATCTACATCTAGCCAGCAATTACTTTGGGAATTCTCATTTGCACCTATGTTCTTCTATTTGCAAAACTTGAGTTACATCAAGATGGGCCTGCCTATCAAGAAAGGGCTGTTCACTTTTCCGTTCGTTAGGCCTAAAATGGCGAAATCAGCTTGTTTTTGACTTTTTGTGAATGAAATAATAGTGTTTGCTGTGTGGAACCATCTGGCCCATGCACAGCATGGATTGTTTGCATCAAACCCCGCCTGGCATCCCTCTGAGGTCAGAATCCTCCTATGGCTGGGGTGGCTCCAGGAAGTGCTTAGAGCAACAAAAAACTTGGCAAAAATAATCCACAAGAGCATCATGAATGCAAAAACTCTTCCCATAACAGAACAATCACCAGAGGAGTCAGGCGCTTTTCTGTGGAAACCAGGGTGTACTTGAAAAACTCACCCAGAGACCAAGGCAGAGAGGAACGATCTGTTACCATCCTCCCAATTTGGCCTGCTTTTATTTCTCTAAAATCATGGTTTGCAATATGTGGGTGTTACTGTGCTGTTTTTTTCCCCTAGTAGAATGACAACCAGGAAAACCTCCACACTTCAACTGAGCAAGTATTTGTCGACTTGAGTGGGATATAGTGAATAATAACAATAGCTAATTGAGCACTTATTATGTTCCAAGGAATGTTCTGAGCATTTTACATGAACCGACTCTTGAATCCTCACAACAACCCTGAGGTAGGTACATTATTATTCCCTTTTTTTTTTTTTTTTTTTTTGAGACCGAGTCTTGCTCTTTCGCCCAGGCTGGAGCGCAGTGGCGCAATCTCGGCTCACTGCACGCTCCACCTCCCAGGTTCACACCACTCTCCTGCCTCAGCCTCCCAAGTAGCTGGGACTACAGGCACCCGCCACCACGCCCGGCTAATTTTTTTGTATTTTTAGTAGAGATGGGATTTCACTATGTTAGCCGGGATGGTCTCGATCTCCTGACCTTGAGATCTGCCTGCCTCAGCCTCCCAAGTGCTGGAATTACAGGTGTCAGCCACCGAGCCCAGCCCTTATTATTCCCATTTTTTAAATGAAAAGATGAAATAGAGAGATGTCAAGTTAGGGAAAGATTAAATTTCCTAAACAAACACCATAGTTCATCAATTCTAAAATAATTTTTGTCACATTTTAACATCACTGAAATTAGAATGTGTCCTACAACTGATGGCACGTTAGCATTGTGTCATAATTTAATTAACCACTTTTTTTCTTTTTTGGTGATGCTTAAAATAATATTTCATCTTACAGCAACAGTATCTTAAATTTGATGAGAAATGGCAGGGAGAGAGAGTCAGGGTAAAACCCGGGCAGTTTGACTGTGGAGTCTGTGTTCTCAGGCCATGCAATGAGAGATTCCCAGCTGCCCAGGGAGAAGGGGAGGGGAAAAAAATAGATTTTGATTTCAACTAGGAGTTCAGAAAATGCTGTAAGTAGGATTTCTGAGACCTCACCATTCACCTAGTTCTTAAATTGGTCATCAAAAACAAAACAAAACAAAAACTTTACTTGGTTTTTAAATGGATAAAAAGCTAAGGCAGCCTAAGCAGTTTTCCAGTCTTTTAAAAAAGAAATCTTCAATGCTTTTTGATAAACAAAGACCTCATACTGGTCCCCTCCCTATGACACCCCCAGAAATTCTGATACTATATGCTGACCCTACTATCACCCCACTCTGTGAGAATATTTGGCCTAAAAAATATTCAAAAACTGTCTTGTTCTGTGTACAATTCTGCGTGGGATTTGATCCACCTTTCTCTTTTCTTATCTTCTCAAGCATGATAATATTTAGATAGCAATAAACTTAATTTTTTTTTAAAGAGTGAGGGTGAGTGAAAGGGTAAAGAGGAATTGTGTGTGTGTGTGTGTGTGTGTGTGAGTGTGTGTGTCTGTGTGTGTTTTGGAATTGTTTTGTTTTGTTTTATATTTGGGTTGGTAAGGAAGAAGTCTGTATTTTTTTTTAAAGGAAATCTGTAATTTTAACCAATTTATTATTCCCAGTTTTTCTAGCAACAACACATTGATTTTGTTGCCCAGGAAACTGGTGGGAGTTTCTGGAGAATTAATTACCTCATTCCAAACCAGGAGGTCACCAACCACGCTCTTTTCAACTCTGTTTTTATATGAAACAAAGGCCATTCCTTGCAGCTCACCTGAGTCTCTCTAGAGTCTGAAACCTGAGTCTCTACTCATTCCTGGGATTTCGCACTTCCTGCTGCAAACCATATGTCAGGTTATGACGGGAAAACCCTATAGTTACATTTGGGGAGGGTGGGGGAGGAAGGATGAGGTCACAAATCCCTGCAGGAGGCAATCACAGCTCCAACTCAAAGCTGCTAGAAAAACATGTTCCAATAAATTAAATAGATTGTTTTCATAGCCCTTTAACAACATTTTGCTTTTTACAGTTTGAAGTGTCTTTCCCTCTGCTCTGTGCCATAAGTGGGCTCCTTTTAGACTTTTGCAAAAGCTAGCGGCTAGCCTGCCCTGAGCGGTAATCTGCCTGGATTTTGTTCCCTGCACCTGGAAAGTTCTTTTAATTGGAAGGGTTTTTTATTCCCTTCCTTTCTTTGGTGGAGACACCAAACACAGAGAGCCTGGGGGGAAATGGGGTCTCTCAAGTCACTAAGAGACTGAAGTGTCTTAGGGGGCTTTGGTGGTACTGAGGACTCACCTAGCACTCCAGTAAAAGACGCCTAGGGATTTGGGAGGCATGCCTCAGGGGAGAATTTGCCCTCCTAAGGACAAGAGGATGAAAAAGAAGGCTTGCTGACATGCCCCACTATTGATAGGAAACCCTGAGTACCAGGAGTAATCTGGTTACCCATCTGAACCACAAGAAATCTATCACTGGGGATGAGAACATAGTCCTTGTCCCTTAAGTGGAGGACAAGAAGAATGTTTCTTTAAAGATGACTGGCAGAAAACTGACTCATGTCAGGGTGGTGGAGGAGAGAAGGAACAGGATCTGAAATCTGGCAGACTTAAATTTGAATCCTGGCTCTGCCACTTGCTAGCTGCATGACCAGCAGTGAATGAACCGCTCTCTGAGCCTCTGTTTCCACTTGTACAAAATAAGGATAACAATATAAAGTATGAGTACTATGAGGATTAAATTATATCAAGTATTTACACTGCCTAACACATAAAGGCATGGAATGGCTGCTCTATCCATGCAATGCATCGTGCAGATCTCTCTGACTTCACATCTCCATGTGAGAGGATTAGGGCAGCACCTTGACAGCAGGTATGCCCCATTTTCTTTTCTCCAACAAAGCTCAGACTTATCCTATTCCTCAGCACACCTCAACTGCTTCTCCCTGGGGCCTGGTGGGCTTCAGAAGTTAAATCTGTGCTTATTCCACTTCTCCTAACAAGAGACCAGGAATGACGAAGGCTCCAGCCTTGTAGCCATTGTGTTTCTTGGGCCAATTTAGGTTAATGTCATGGACAACTCATTATCTTATGCACTTTCTTTTTTTTTTCTTTTCTTTTTTTTTTTTTGAGATGGATTTTCACTCTTGTTGCCCAGGCTGCAGTGCAATGGCACGATCTCAGCTCACTGCAACCTCTGCCTCCCAGGTTCAATCAATTCTTCTGCCTCAGCCTCCCAAGTAGCTGAGATTACAGGCATGCGCCACCATGCGCAGCTAATTTTTTTTTTTTTTTTTTTTTTTGTAGAGATGAGGTTTCACCATGTTGGTCAGGCTGCTCTTGAACTTCTGATTTCAGGTGATCCGCCCTCCTTGAATTCCGAAAGTGCTGGGATTACAGGCGTGAGCCACCGCGCCTGGCCTTATGTACTTTCAAAACCAACTTACATCAAAGCAAGACCCAGATGTAAAAAAACAAAAACAAACTTATAGGAGTATCATCCCTTTCTTTCAGCTGTTTCTGTGAATTTATTTCCATAATAAGCACATTTTAGAAATCACTTAGTCTATTGCTATTTCCACTAACACTTTCTGTAGCCCAGAAACCTTTAAAACCCCCACTCGGCTAGATTGGAAAGTCCCACCTCCTCTATGAAGCCTTCTCTGGTTGCCCAGTTCACATTGTGCCCTCCCTTCTCAGAAATCCTGCAACACTGCTAATCAGCACCATATGGCTTAGCAGGGAACACTGTTCTTGCTCCATAGTGCTGTGCTCATCTCCCTTGATTGCTATTAAGATTCTCGACGATGGTTGCCAGATAAAATACAGGATGCCCAGTTAACTTTGAATTTCAGATAAACAGCAAAAAACGTATTAGTATAAGTACGTCTCAAGTATTGCATCCCATATTTTTATTTGCCAAATCTGGCAACAGTAAGGCCACATTCTTATGCTTCTACATCTGCAACAGCATTGCGGAGGTGAGACTGTCCTGGGCCACATCACAAATAATTACTGGTATCAACAACAACAACAATAATGGCTAACATTTATCAAGCACCAAGCAGTTACTGCCAGACACTAGGCTAGATACCTTATGTCTACCATGTCAAGGAGAGGGTCCAAAAACATGTACATAAATATGTCATTGACAATGCAAGGTCGAATATGTTTTTTTTAAGGCAATGTAGCTTCAAGATTGAGGGGAGACACTCTAAGCCACATAGCCCAGCACTGTCATTTACTGTCCTTACCACCTTGGGTGTTTACCTAATCTCTCCTTATTCTCCTCATTTATAAAATAATGATGCTAGTAGCGCTTTCCTCCCGGAACTGTGGTAAAGATTAAAGTAGGTAATACACAGCTGGGTGCGGTGGTTCATGCCTATAATTCCAGGACTTTGGGAAGCTGAGGCAGGTGGATCCCTTGAGCTCAGGAGTTCGGAACCAGCCTGGGCAACATGGCGAAACCCCATCTCAACGAAAAAAAAATACAAAAATTAGCCAGGCATGGTGGGATGCACGTGTATTCCCAGCTACTTGGGAGATGGATGTGGGAGGATCGCTTGAGCCCAGGAGTTCGAGGCTGCAGTGAGCCGAAATCACACCACTGCACTCCAGCCTGGGCAACAGAGTGAGACCCTGTCTCCAAAAATTAAAAAAAAAAAAGTAGGTAATACGTTAAGGGAGTGACAAGGTGCCCAGCACATGGTAAGTACTCAGGAAATGGTAGACGTTGTTGTGGTGGTAGTGGAGATGGTATCGTTCTGATGGAACTTAGAGGTGGAGCTCTTTGGCCTGAGTGTTTAGTAGGCCTTCAAGGACTGCTAAGTGTGACGAGTCAGGGAAGATTCCCAGGACAGCAAGAAAGTGGAAGGCCTTTTTAGGATGTGGTAGGTAGACTTACCTAGCTGCTTCAGTTTGCATGGGATTAATGCAAAACCTTGTTTACAATCAAAATGCTCTGTTAATCTAAATTAACTTATAGTCCTCATAGCTTAAATATTTGCTCTTGTGGCTAGAGCAATTGACAGGTCTTGGGACACAAGTTGAATATTCGGTGACATGATTCTTTTTTTTTTTTTTTTTTGAGACGGAGTCTCACTCTGTCGCCAGGCTGGAGTGCAGTGGTGCGATCCCGGCTCACTGCAACCTTCACCTCCCGGGTTCAAGTGATTCTCCTGCCTCAGCCTCCGGAGCAGCTGGGACTACAGGCACCCGCCACCATGCCCGGCTAATTTTTGTATTTTTAGTAGAGATGGGGTTTCACCATGTTGTCCAGGATAGTCTCAATCTCTTGACCTCGTGATCTACCTGCCTCAGCCTCCCAAAGTGCTGGGATTACAGGCATGAGCCACTGCGCCCTGCCCTACATGATTCTTTTTTAAGGGAAACAGCAGGGATAGTTCTGACAATTGATATCTGTCATTGCACCTCATTTCCAAGCTTATCACAGCAAGATAACATTCACCAAGGAACTAAGATATTTATTGACTATCTATCGATTGGCAATAAAGAGAGTTGTACTCTCTTGGTAATGAACCTTGAGGATCCCCTCCAAAAGTTCCTTTTGCCCCTTCTCTTCTGCAGGATGACTTGGGCACGGAAGCATAGACCCAGCGCTCGGGACCTTTTGCTGGATCTGTTTCCGCTGAGGCTTCTGCTCGGAGCTGAGGCTGTGGGAATGAAACCATAGAGGGTGCCAGATGGCAGGGTGTGGGAAGTCTCAGGCTGGAAAGGGATGGCCAAAATAAACAAGCGACTGGAGGTCTGAAAAATGAATGGATAAACATCCAGACCAAAGTCAACAGTGCTGGAGAGTCCAACCCGGTCTCCGCAGCCGGGGAGGTTTCGACACGTGAGTTCAGTCTCAAGTCCTTGAAAGAACTTTTGTGCATCTGATTCTTAAGCATCCCTGCCTTGGAGGGGGTTGTGGGGGAGAGATCACACGGTTCCTGTAGCAATTCAGGAATCGTTAGATTTTCATCAACATGCTTTTCTATAAGGTTTCTGCCTAAAAATCAGTAGATGACTGGACACTTGTTGATATTAAAGAAGTAATGTTAATTTTTTTAGTATAAGAATAGTGTTGTGTATATATTTTTTAAATAATTTTTTTTGAGATGGAGTCTTGCTCTGTTGCCCAGGCTGGAGTGCAGTGGCACGATCTCGGCTCACTGCAACCTCCCCCTCCCAGGTTCAAGAGATTCTTCTGCATCAGCCTCCCAAGTGGTTAGGATTACATGCGTGCACCACCATGCCCAGCTAATTTTTTGTATTTCTAGTAGAGAAGGGGTTTCGCCATGTTAGCCAGGCTGATCTGAAACTCCTGGCCTCAAGTGATCCACCCGCCTCAGCCTCCCAAAGCGCTGGGATTACAGGTTTGAGCCACCGCGCCCAACCTTTAAAAGAATCTTTATCTATTGAACATTTACAGATGAAGTGATGCGATGTTGTGCATTTTCTTAAAAATAATCTGGGAATGGAGGCTGGGGATTGGCCAAAAATGGACAATTTTGAGCTTGGAGAGCATTATACTATTTCCTGTACTTTCATATATGATGCTTAAAATTTTTCATAGTACAAAGGTTTAAATAAAAGTTGTCAAAGGTGCATTTATTTTTATCTCATAGAAAGAACCAAAGTAGGATCTAACAGAATATTTAGGGTTTTTTTTAAAGTATAAAAGATCCCTATTTTAGGTCTACATAAAACACAATGAAATGGAAAAGAAGCAGAATTAAGCCATTTGGAGATAAAGCATAAATAAGTGTTTTACACATCTGAATATTTTATGACAGAATATCTGTGCTTTCCTATAAAGTAACAGATAATATGTGTATAGCACCTTTGGTATTCTCACTTCTCCAGATAACTGGATTGTGTTTACCTCATTTTGGGAAACAGTAAATTCAGAGAGTAGAGTTTATGATGTACATCTAAGAGATGCTTCAGAGTAGCAGTTATTACTTTGCTGGTTGGGGGCCCATTTGCAGTTCAGTGGGGTCTTGACTTAGACTGGGGCAAAAAGAGGAAACAACTCCGTGAAAGAAAGGAGTCTAGCACACTGACCAAAAAGTCCCTGCTGGAATTCTTCTCTGACTCAATTCATTTCCTCTCAGCCTTCTGGTATGATGGGTTTTTTGTTTATTTGGTTTGTCTTTTCAATCCCTGATAAATTTGAATTACAGTCACTCTATGATGTGTGCTATGGAGAAAAGCAAAAAAGCAAACTGTTTAGAATCCTTGTTTAAACTGGAATCACTGATTCAGCTTTGAAAGTAATACATGATCATTTCCTGGCCAGCAAAAGACCCCAAATCCTGTGTGACCAGTTCGTATTTATGCAACTAAAATGCCTCCAGTTTGTTTGCTGTTGTTGGGGGCTGGGTAGAAATGTGCTGCTGTTTCTCTAAAGCATAGTTGGCACAGGCATTGACTCTATAATCTTACTGCGTTTGCAAATGTTGTTAGGAGACCAGCATATGTCATATCACATTGTTTTTAATGCAGTAAAGAGTCAGATGATACCGCACAGCCTGCTCAGTGCGGGAAGGTGCCTGGCTGCTCTGCTAGCGGAGTCCAAATCAATTATCCTCTAATCAGGACTGTTTCCGGCACTGGTCAGAGTGAGGTTCAGAGTGAAAAGGAAAAACTGCTATTTCTCTCCAGATCCTGTTTGCATCAGCGGACTCCATCTGAGACCCATCCTGTTTGACCTCTGGTGTGGCGGGGGAGGGGAAATGGTCTGTTTGACTTTTGACTGTCACTGATCCGAGGGCCTCTTTTTCTCCAGGAAATTCTAGGATTAGTATTAAAACTTAGTCATCATCCTCAGTCTAACAGGATATACAGTCTGAGCTATTCAGGTTTCTCAGACTGGTCTGTGGGACACTTGTTCAAAATGCAGAGTTTGACACAGTCTCTAGGAAGATGCTATTTAAACAAACTACCCAGGTGATTCTGAAGTACAGCCAAACTCAAGAACTTGGATCAGAATGAGAACTCCTCAAATCCAGGCCACTGACTCCAGCCAGGCCCAACTCTTCTATTTATACTCTAATACTGGGAAACTTGTTTAGAGTTCTGGGCACCTAGAAGGGACCACAAAAAGAGATGCCTCTGTTTATGGGCACAGGAATGCTTTAGGACACCACCTTCATACATTCCTAGGGGGCAGATAGTGAGAACCTGGCCTAACCCGGGGTCAGCCTGCAGACAACAGTCAGACCCTGACCAGCTTCCCACCAAGACATGTCAAAATGGGAAAAACAAGGATAAAGTTAATTCACTCAAATGATTTTGTGATTATTTTAGCCATATCTTTCTTGAGGTCCTAAAATAGCTTTTCTTTTAGAGATTTATTTCCAATTTATGTGTTTATTTTTTGAATGGTTAATACCTGATACCCCTTGCACAAAATTTAGAATGTTCAAAAACTTGCTACCTTGACTATGTGCGAAGCCTCCTTCCCATCCCAAAACAGCTACTGATTTCTTTTTCTTCAAAAAATGCTTATTAAAGGAGATAAATCTGTAGAACTCATTTCTAATTAAGCAGGTAGCATCTTCCTTAACAATGTATTGTGGAGCTACTTCTATATCAGTACATTTGGGGAATTTTATAAAATTAAATGATGGTGATGATATATTATAGTTGGGTATTCTTAAAATGCCTTAAAGACTGCACACACACACACATAAACACCCCACAAAATCACACACATACACGCATATTTGGCGGCCCCATACCGGAGCCCCAAAAATGTTTTTACATTTTTTTTCTAGTCCATGAAATCTAAAAGCTAAAGCCAGGGACATAATACCAATGAAGAATAATAATAATTTTTAAATGATATTTTTGTAATATAATATCATATCATATATAATACATAATAATTATTTATTTAATAATAATAGTAAAAGGGTTTCGGACTCAAATGGGTTTGAGCTTAAGTTCTAGTTCTGTTATTTTCTAGTTCCAAGAATTTAGATAAGTTGCTGGTTTCTCTGAGCCATTTTCCTCATTTAGCAAAACTGAAGGTGGGGTGAGAAATAAAATCTCCTTCCTGAAGTTGTGAGAAGTGAATAAATAATGAATAGAAAGCACCTGGAACCTTGAACTTGAAGGATTATCAGTATGTGGGGCGCGGCTAAGATAGCTGGCAACAGAAAAGAGCTGCAGAGAGGTGACATTAGATAAGGACTGGAAGTGCTCATTGACTTTGGCAGTTGGAAAATCAGTGAAGATTCAGCCACAGAGCTCAGGGGAGTGTTATGGGCAGAGATCAGAGCTGGCAGCAGGGGTGGCACAGCGGCTGGCGAGGAGAGGAGGCGGTTGGTGCTGAACACGTGCATCCTTGTTGAAGCTCTGCACTGTGTGCTCCAGTCTCAGAGCAGGCAGGCGTTCTTAGTCAAAGAAATACTGTCTGGCAAGCAAAAAGATCTTTCTGTTCCTTTATCTGCATTTTCTGAACACGGTGAAGGGATTATACTGGCAAGAGGGATATTTCTTTAAGCCCCACTTCTTTCTCAAGGACTCCACTCATATCCTGCGGCTGTTCTTGTGCTTCTCTCACGTAAACAGCCGCCCACCAATCTTCTCCAAAGACTCTTTCTCGCTAGTTCGTTCACGTCTTCCTCCTCTCCCCACTTCCTCTCTGATTCTATCCCAAGAAAGCCCAAAGAACCATTGGTCTAGAAGACAGAATCCTCAGAGGGCAGAAACAATTCACAAATACACAATCCTCTTTGGCTGTCAACAGCAGGGTGGAAAGGGTGGGAACCCTGCTGGGTAATAATTTTTGTCCCTTCACAAATGAATGAATGATGGGTTAAACTGAGCCAAACCCCAGCTGGGCTGCAGAGACACATGGAATGTGCCGAGGGTTTATCTGAGCAAAACTTTGAGGAGCTGTGAACAGACTGTGTGCCCGTGACAAATGGTGTACTGCATTTAACACAAATTAGGTGATCACAGTTGCCTTGCTGGACCAGCAGGAGTGATACTTCGGGATAGAGAGCATTCCAGGACCTCTTCAGTTAAGGGATCCAGTTCTCTTTCTGCATAAAGAACTGGCTGTCTTGACCCTGAACCACGCACTGTGCTGTAGCATGCTACCTTTTTCCATTTCTGAGTAAGCCATCTACGGCCAAAGCCCAACTGGAAAGTTCTGGGAGAATCCTGGGCATCAGGCTCAGCATCCCAACACATGATGGGCAAAATAAGACAGAAGCCAAGGGGAAAGGGCCAGTTGCTTAGCTCTGAGAGCGTTCCAAGTTCCTTGGAAGAGATGTCTCTCCCTGCCCCCTCCTTCTGGAGAACTGAGGCCCAGTTTAACAAAGCAGAAATGTGAGGGATTTGACCTTCTATTAAACTTTGTTATTTCAAAATAATGCTCCGGTTTACTTAAAGGTACAGTGCAAATAATTGGGTTCACGTGTTTCACCAATTCAGATAAAAGATGAGGGCCAATCTGCATAAGTGATGACTCTTTCTTACAGCGAAACTCAAGCTAGGAGAGGCAAGACAGTGTAGCTGTGGAGCTGCTGAGAGCCCAGGCTTTGGGGTTAGACAGACCTTGTCACATCCTAACTCCATTGATGAATTAGTATCTGTGTGTCTTTGGGCACTTTATCACTGTGAGCTATAGTTTCCTTATCTGCAAATTGAAGATAATAACCTTACCGGCCGGGCACAGTGGCTCACGTCTGTAATCCCAGCACTTTGGGAGGCTGAGACGGGCGAATCACTTGAGGTCAGGAGTTTGAGACCAGCCTGGCCAACATGGTGAAACCCCATCTCTACTAAACATACAAAAATTAGCCGGGCGTGGTGGCGCATGCCTGTAATCCCAGCTACTCAGGAGGCTGAGGCAGGAGAATCGCTTGAACCTGGAAGGCGGAGGTTGCACTCCAGCCTGGGCAAAGAGCGAGACACCATCTCAAAAAAAAAACCATACATACCTACTTCATAATGTTGTTGTGAACAAATGTATAAGGCACTTGACATTGTGCCAAGTAGGGTATCTTTCACTAAATAGTTTCTCTTGTTGGTAGGGGTTCTTGGAGAATCACACTTTATGAATGTGTAAGAATTTTTAATAAACTTTTAAATTTTGGAATAATTTTACAGCTACAGAAAATTTGCATAGCTAGCCCAGAGAGTTAGCATATACCTTTCACCAAGATTTTTTTTTTAATGTTAGCATCTTAATATTACCATGGTACATTTGCCAAAACTCAGAAGACAACTTTGGTACATTACTACTGACTAAACTCGGTATTTTATTTTTATCCATATTTCAGTTTCCTGTTCCAGGATGCAATCTGGAATATCACATTACATTTAGAAGAATGTTTTTTAATTAGCACAACAATCAACATTATTAATCAATCAACTAGTGTCTCTGTTCTCAAAACCTAAATGTGGGGGCAAATATGGTGGCTCATTCCTATAATCCCAGCATGAGTTCTTGTGTTGTTGCCCAGGTTGGTCTTGAACTCCTAGCCTCAAGGAAACCTCCTGCCTCAGCCTCCCAAAGGGCTGGGATTAAAAAACAAAAAAACAAAAAACCCTAAATGTACCTTTCAAGACCACTTGAGAGGTCTTGAAAATCATTTATTCTCTTAAGCAATTTTTTGCAATTTGTTGATCTATTGATTGGCATGGTAAGTCTTTTTTGCATGGTTAGTGAAATAGTCAAATACAGGTTAGCATCCGCCTGAATTATCACAATATTCAGTATATTTGGATTTGAAATTAATAACATTTTACTTTGTACATAATCATGTCCTACAAAGAGATGTAGTACCTGGCACTTAGTTTGTGTTCAAAAATCGTAGTTGGTCAGCTAAATGTAAAAGGGAATTCAGATCTCCCAACAGCTTCATCTGTTTACAAGCACAGCTAGATGTAGTTTGCCATCAGCTGGGTCTTGTTTTGAACGATCCCTTGGAGCTTAACTTTGCCTTTGCACATAGAGCCTGTTTGTACAAGATTATACAGAATCTGAGCAAATAAAACTTACTATTTGGCAAACCATGAATTTCTCTCCCACCTTTCACTCAGCAAGAATTGTCCCTCAGGGGCAATTGATTCCGATGTTGAAAATAATCAGTTTTTCTTTCATCTCTGAAGAAAAAATTACCTGTGTGTGCGAATTCAATTTCTAGGAAGTTAGATGTGGTAGTTGCTGTTTTTAATAAACAGTATTAACTGAAAATGATGAGAATCACCAGGGTGGCTGTGCCAATGAGAAAAACAGAGATACGGGTGTCCAAGCAGCTGTGAACTTTATGGTGTGACCAGGTGGGTCTGCTGCAGCCCTGCTGGGACCTCAGGGGTAAGTTATTACAAGATAGGTGTGGCGTGAAGCTGTAGCTTCCTTCACCAGTATTGAATGCAGCATTGCATCCAAGGCATTCATTTAGCCATTCTTTAATTCAACTTAAAATACCTGTCAAGTGACAACTATAGACCATCTACTAGATCACTGTTACCAAAAGTGTGACCTATGGAGCATCCGTTGACCTGGGAGCTTGTTAGAAATGCAGAATTTCAGGTCCCACCCCAGTCCTCTGAATAAGAACCTGGATATTAACAAGATCTGTAAGTGATTCTCATGTCCATTAATATTTGACAAGCACTTGGCCAGATGACAAGTGTTAAGAGCCAGGATCCTGTCAGGAGACAGATGATACATTTATTGAAGAGACTATTAATGAAAGTTAAGTTAGACTTACAGGAGGACACCAATAAGGAATGGTGAAGTGCCCTGGAACTAGTACCAGCAGGAAGTTGTTTCCATACCAGCAAGAGCTGTAGCTGTAGGAGAGGGCTATGCAGTAGAACCAATGGTCTTGGGTAGAAGAAAGCATTACCAAACTGTGCCTTGGCAAAGAGTGAGCTACAGGAGTAAATAGTCCAACCTTTCTCTCATTCTCCAGCCAGTGCCTCCCAACCCAATGCAAAGCTGGAAAGCAAGAAAGTCCAGTTGATGCAGTTGGTAAAGGTCAGGTGCCCAGGGCAGAGGGCACAGTGGGGAAAGGTAGAAAGTGTCTCTGGGTCGGGCCAGGGTAGGGGTGCCAACAGAAAATATCCATCACACCACCAAACATGGCCTTTAACGTCAATGAATTTGTTCTACAGAAGAACTTATATATGTATGGTTTAGAGGTGAAGATAACCTCTTTTGTTCCAACTTATACAAAAACTAGATTTTTCAAAGTGGCCTTGAATTTGATATTCTAGGATTCTCCCAGATCACTCTTTCACAAACTGAGCATATTTCTAAGCAAGTATTATGTCAAAGGTACACAAGTAGGCACTAAGAGAGAGATGGAAGTATTAAAGATGGTCTCTGCCTTCAAGAAATTTGCAATTTTAGGTAATCAGTGCTTCCTGTATAAAACTTTGCAGACAGGCTCACATATCAGCCAGAATCCAGTAAAGCAGTATTCTGAGTTGAGACTCTGGAACTAGGCTGCAGGGTTTGAAACTCAGTCCTTACTTATACTAGCTGTGGATGTGCTGCCTAACTTCTCAGTATCTTTGTTTCCTCCTCTGTGAAGCTATGATGATAAAAATAATTACCTGCTTCAAAGGGTTGCTATGATGATTGTGAAGATTAAACGAATTAGTACACAAAAAGTATTTTTAGTGGTCATCAGCTAGCACACTGACAACCCTATACGTGTTAATTATTGAAAACTAAGAGAGAACTATGCCCCTAGGGGCAGAGGGTCTAAAAAGCAGAGTATCAGACTAATGATATAAAGTTCCCTCTCTAAATTTATTAAAACATGTCAATTAAAGGAGAAAAACAAGGAGCAAATAATCACAGAGTTGGCACAAGAATAAGGAGGCATTGAAACACATAAGTTTGAGAAGCCCCGACCCCTGGTTACTTCCAGCCCCTAGACTCCATGCAATCCCTGTTTGAATGTCCTTAGAAGATTAAGAGTCTTTCAAAGGGGACAGGTTCTTAAAGAGCTTTCTGGTTCAGAGGAAAATGAAATGTAAATATAAAAATAGGAATGCTTTTAAGAAATGGAAGTTGGGGCCAGGTGCGGTGCTTCACGCCTGTAATCCCAGCACTTTGGGAGGCTGAGGCGGGCCGATCACAAGGTCAGGAGATCGAGACCATCCTGGCTAACACGGTGAAACCCCGTCTCTACTAAAAATGCAAAAAAAAAAAAAAAAAAAATTAGCTGGGCGTGGTGGCAGGCACCTGTAGTTCCAGCTACTTGGGAGGCTGAGGCAGGAGAATGGCGTGAACCCGAGAGGCGGAGCTTGCAGTGAGCCGAGATCGCGCCACTGCACTCCAGCCTGGGTGACAGAGCAAGACTCCGTCTCAAAAAGAAATGGAAGTTGGTTAGCCGGGCTCAGTGGCTCACCCCTGTAATCCCAGCACTCTGGGAGGCCGAGGCGGGCGGATCATGAGGTCAGGAGATCGGGACCATCCTGGCTAACACAGTGAAACCCCGTCTCTACTAAAAAATACAAAAAATTAGCTGGGCATAGTGGCGGGCGCCTGTAGTACCAGCTGCTTGGGATGCTGAGGCAGGACAATGGCGTGAACCCGGGAGGCGGAACTTGCAGTGAGCCGAGATGGCGCCACTGCCTCCAGCACTCCACCCTGAGCGACAGAGCGAGACTCTGTCTCACAAAAAAAAAAAAAAAAAAAAAAAAAAGAAATGGAAATTGGTTGTGTATTCAAAACTAAAGGAGTTCTAAATATCTATGGGGGAACAGCTACTCTGAGTATCAAATGTGCTATGCACCCGTGCCAATAGAAGTCATGTGCATATATCTGAGGGCAGAAGTCAGCTCTTGAGGCTTCGTTTAGTTACCTCTTTGTCAGGATTTCCAAATTTTCAGGCTTCTTTTGTTAGATCCAGCACCGGTTTTCTTTGCTTTTTGATGAACTTTTGACCTATATTGCATTTCCAACCTCCAGTCTTTTAGTGGAAGGCCATTAGTGACTGGTTAAACACAGTGTACACACACACACACGTGCACGTTCATATATTACATTTCCAGACCAATTGAATTACAGAAGGAACCAATTTGAAAAGTTATTGAATTAAAACCCTAGAAGACAGAGATGGATTTTATTGTTAGTGGTTGGCATGACAACTTGATATGCTAGAGAGTAGTATGTGCTGAGTTCACATCGTTGGAGACTCTGACAAGTTCAAGGCCAAGGCTTTGCTTCTAAATCTTGTTGCCAAGGTAATGCAGCATAAGGCCAGAGTCCACTGAAATGAATACCTCTGACAGCTCATGCCAGCAGGAGCTATCTGATTAAAAGGGATCTTTTTTTTTTTTTTAAAGAAGAAGAAGAAGAAAAGAAAAAGAAAGAAACAGTACTTTAACAAGAGCAGGAGGAGAATGCAAAGGTGGGATATTGAAATATGGGCAACAGAAAGTCTGAAAGGGAAGCAGCCAGTGGATGCCAAGAAGAAACTAAATAATGGGGTCTGTTTTATTAGCAAAAAGTTGGTGATGTGTGAAGGTCTGCAGGCAGGGATTCCAGCCTGCTGGGCCATCTTGCATGCAAAATGATACTGCCCCAATTTGGTTCCCTGGCTCAAGTTCAGCAGAATGATTTCACTTGATTGGTGGCCACCCTCCTCCCAATGGCAGACTTTAACAGATTTTCTTCTCTGATAATACATTCAGGAAAATGGTTTCTGAGGGACTTCATAGGTTACAGATATTTCCCAAGATGAGAAGGGAATCCACAAAAATCTCAACTCAAGAGTAGAGGCCACCAAAATGCCACTGCCTTCAGCCACTAGAATGGCCTTTTTGATATTCGTGTGATTCATGCCCCGGTGATTTATGAGTCAGTAATTTATAAGATAATATTCTTAGATTCGTGATCTTATGAGATCCTCATTTTCCTAGATTTATGTACTAATTTATCTTGGATTTGATCATGATGAAGCTGTGGTCCTTAAGCTCCAAGAATGGGGAAGAACAAGTCTTTAAGCACATGATCTTATTTCCCATAGGGATTTGACCCAAGCACTGTATGAGCCATCTCTCCTTTACACTTCCAGGGATTTAATGGAGATAATCAGTAAATGGGGATACGTGGCTAAGAAGGTAAAAGGTGGAATCTGAAAGGAATTCAGAATCCCAGGTCAGCAGTTCTAAAGTTCCTACATATTCAGATCAGAGTACTATTTCATAAGCAAATGAGGGAGTAAAAATTTACTTTGCTTATCCTACCCTATACAAATAGCTTATACTGTATAAGCCATAGTGGAAAGTACTAATATAGTAGCCCCTGGAATTACTGACAAAAATCCAACTCCTGCCTCACCAAATGATTTGCTGAATGACATTGGGGCAAAGTATTTAACATGTTTTGTCTCTGTTTCTTACATTTTAAAACAAGGTAGATTATCCCAGCTTTCACCTGTAATGGTTGTTCTCTACCTGGAATGTACAGCCAAATCATGGAGAGAGCTTTTTAGAAAATCAGATTCCCTAGGCCCCACCCCAATCTCTACTGAGTCAAAATTTGTCCTTTCCAAAAGCTCTACACATGATTCTGATTTGCATCTTTAAGAAGCACCAAATATTATGGATAACTTATAAAGATGAGCAAGCTGATATATGTGAGTTGTCATAAGCTCCTTAATCAAAGAAAAGGGGTACTGCTAAGTTCAGCTTACATATTTGTTCAGCTTATATTTTTAATATAAAAAATTTCCTAAATTCCAAAGAAATTTGGAATGTAGGAAACTTGGCATACATAAAGTGGCTACATTTCCGTCTACCATTTGAAGTATTTAGAGTTGTCCAAGCTTTAAATGAAAAGCTCTTTGAAGTATCTTTCTTTGTTCATGGTTTGCAATATTCCCTTCAATCTTTATTGATCTGGACAGAATAATAATGATGTTTATCTAATGCTTACTGGCACTCACTCTGAGTGCTTTTTAAGTGTTAGCTCATTTGATCCTACTTCCTCTTACACACATGCTGTGAAGAGATTAAGTAACCTGTCTAAAGCCTCATGGGTAATAAGAGGTGTAGGTGGGCTTTGAACCCAGGAACCCCACTCTAGAGCCCCACTGTTAATCACTGTGTTACTCAACGACGTGATGGGTCAGATGTTTCCAATGAATTAATTTTTCAACTATTTCAAGTGAAAACAAAAGTCTAGATGGTATATGAATTTTTCCAGGCCTCAGATCATCATATTTTAAAGTGTGAGCCTTAGACCTCCTGCATCAGAATCACCAGAGGTGCTTTTCTAAAATGCAATTTCCAGGAACTGCTCCCAGGCTTATTACACTAGAATCTCAGAGTGCAAGTGAAGACTGGGAACTGACATTTAGAAAATACACTCCTTAGGTGATTCCTGAACCCAGTGAAGTTTAAGAACCACTGGCCTGTATCAACATTTGTAGGTCACCATCATAGGGAATGAGGGTAGGTAGAACATCTTGGGAGCTGCGGGAACCAAAGTTGTTTTCCAGAATCAGATATTGGGCACTGCCTGGGGCAGAACATTCAGTCAAGTGGCTAATAAATCTGTACAAAGCACAGCTTCTGCCCAGGAACCGTGGTTGTTGTCCTTCACTGAGGAGAGCCAGCAAACTGACAGTATGAATTTGCCTTCAGGGCCCAGATCTCATTTCTCCTCAAGGGGCTTGTGCTTGTTGGTGGCAGCTAGCACTGGCCCGGAACTTTGATGTTTTCCTTTTCAGTATCCAAATGCTACAGAGACTGTGTCACTGCATACGCCGTCTCTGGTATAATGGCAGAGGCGGGGAGCAGACTGTTTGGAATGCAGTCTGGCCCCATTGGGACTTTGAACTGGGCTGGAACTTGCAGAGTCTAAGAGTTTAATCGTGGCATCTTTTTCAGATAGGCAAAGAAAAGGAAACCAACCCAGAGGGGTTGGTGTTCAGTACTCTGGAAGAAATCCATGATAATTTTTTAAGGAATTGAAAGTTTTTATGAGGCTTACTGAGGTATCATTCATATACAGTTAATTTTACCCTTTTCCAGTGCACAATTCAATGAGTTTTGGAAAGCAGCTATACTCATTGTCATACCACCATTGCCAGTTCGATAAGTTTTGACTAATGTATGTAGTCAAGTCACCAACATCAAGTAAGATAAAGAACATTTCCATCTCCCCGAAAAGTTCCCTAATACCCATTTGCAACCAATCCCACCATATTTCCCCAGCCCTGTGGCTGCTGCTGATCTGGTATCTGTCTGATTCCAGAATGTCACATAAGTAGAACCTTATAATTCACAGCCTCTTGTTGCTGCGTGTCAGTAGTTCTTTCCTTTTTATTACTAAGTAGTATTCTATTGTATGGATGTGCCACAATTTGTTTATTGATTCCCCAGCCGGGCATTTGGGTTATTTTCACTTTTTGGCAGGAATTGACATTTAAATGAGCTCAAATTCAGCAAGCATTTATCGAGCATGCACAGAAACAGACTGGAAAATGAGATAGTTCATGTTTACAGTTTCTAATAAAAATTATAATCACACTGGAGATTCAAACTAACACCTAAAGAAGAAAGAAGTCTATTTGTGACCCTAGAAACAAACATGGAGGAAAAGGACTCCATTCAATAGCATTGGTCTAATGATTAGGAGAGAATCTCATGCCCTTGGAAAGCCCTAAAATGACACTACCATGCTGAGACACATGAGGGCGCTGTAACCAACCAGCATTGCCAAACACTTCATTCTTACAAAAGTTGTTTGTTTTTTTAATTTATTGGAATGCTTTGTTGAAAACTCTAGTGAATTCTCACTCCTACCCTTGGTCTCCTTGGCCACTCTTGAATGATAGAAAAAAACATAGGCATCGAGTGGATCTGTCTTTGACTAGTCATCAGGGGATTACTGTACCCGACCACAGCTGTACGGTGAGGCTCCCGTCGGCTTTCCTACTTAAACTCACAAGGAAAGGCTCCCAAAGGAACTCTAGATTAGAATACCTCATGATCACAAAGAAAATTGGGATTGACCCTAAAGTTTCATTTTTATTGTTGTTGTTTTCAGGCCTTCCCTGAATATAACACACAAATATTCAAACATAATTGCTGGACAACATTTTAGAAAGACTTGTAAGGTACTTCTTTCACATCTCAGCAATTTGGCTAGTTGAAAGTTGTTCGTTCTTCAATGAGAACACATGGACACAGGGAGGGGAACAACACACATTGGGGCCTGTAGAGGGAGAGCATCAGGATAAATAGCTAACACATGCAGGGCTTAATGCCTAGGTGATGGGTTGATAGGTGCAGCAAACCACCATGGCACACGTTTACCTATGTAACAAACCTGCACGTACTGTACATGTATCCTGGAACTTAAAATAAAATATAATAAATTTTTTTTAAAAAAAGAAAGTGGTTCGTTCTTGTCAAAGCAACCACTACAATCAGTTCAGAGGAAAGCTATCTTTACAGCAAAGCAGCCAGGAGAACTTAGGGTTACTGGGTTTGGCTTCTGAATGGCTGTTCAAAACAAAAACTGAAAAGAAAAAAAAAACCCTCTGGATACATTTAAAATTTTTTGAAAATCAATGACTCATTTGTTACAGAGTAAGCAAGTACAAAATAAAAGACACTTCATAAAAATTGCATTAGAATGTTCTGGTGGGATTCTAAATGAATTTAGCTGTGGGATGGTATATGATTTTTGTGCAAGATCCAGCAAGGCTTAGGGATTCCTCTCTTAGAGAAAGGGTTTGATTCCGTTATTTGAAAGGATGTCTCTCCAAGCCCTTTCTATAATTAATAAAATGCTCACTTGAAGAAAGATTTACTCAGTCAAACCTATCCAACCTAAAATATGACTAATTGTTTCGAGCAGAAAATTATCTCTGGCTGTCATATCCAAATTATATAACAACATGGCCTTAAAATTGGGTGGAAAATAGTGAAGAGCTGATTCTAAAGGCAGAATGTGGCTCTGGTCTGGATTTTTTAAGCAGTTTCACCCAATCTCTCACCCAGAGGGACCAACCTGATGTTTTCTTTCTTCCTATTTGAGTAAAACTCTGAACCACTCGATCAAACCTGGGCCCTTCACACAATCCCACTGTGGCCCTTTCAATTATCCCCTTCAAAAGGCATTTTCCCATTCTCTCCTGATCTTACTCCTTGCGTCCAAAGCTCACTGGCTCTGTGAGTGTGCTGGTAAAAGCATGGACCAATGAGTTGTTGCTGGCTACGTGATCTTGACCTGGCTACGTTACTTAACCTCTCTAAGCCTCAGTTACCTCCACTGTAAAATAGAGATTATAATAATATCTACTTCAGGTCCCCGTAATAGTATCTATCTGAAGTTGTTGAGAAGAATAAATAAGATCATGCATATAAAGTAATATAATCCAGCATCTGACACACAGTAAGCCTTCAATAGAGATTGACATTATTATCATCATCCACAACATTATTATTATTATTATTAATTTCCAGTATGGTCCCTCTCTCTATGATCTGATCTCCCCATCCTGGTAATCCATCCTCAGAGCTCCCTGGAAAGAACCCTCCTAGTCAAAAAAGCCCTTAACCACTCCTATCTCTGCATCTCCCCTGAGGGTTGTCCTCCCCTCCCACCAGGGTTCACAAACAAAATGTAGTCAATGCTAAAAATCTTGTCCCATCACATATTAAGTTGTGCTAAGACTACCAGGAATGGCCATCACTTTAGGTAACCATCAATTCGTGTGGCTTTACCTTAAAGGTGGCACACACTTCATCCTATTATAAATCTCTGCACTATTCATGTTTCTCTCCCATAGGGGAGAAACATCACTTCAGTAGCATATTCTGCCCATCAACAATCTTCTTCTTATAAATGAGATTCAGAAAGAGCACAATGTGAGTGGACAGGTGTTCTGTTTAAGGAGGGGAAATGCTATTTTACATCATTTCAATTATGTGCCCAGCAAGCCACAGAGTCAAGGCACAAGTTGACAATTATAGCTCCAAGTTTTGCAAGAGAAATGGAACAGAGGAAAAGGAAATCCAAAGAGACTATCATCCCAGTTTTTCGAAACTGTCTCTGGTGATAATGTCCTGCGAAAGATGAATGAGGAGAAACAAAGTGCCTCAAAGTAGATTTGTTAATATTTCCTTTGAATAATGGGGGAGAGGTGTCCTACAGACAATTCAGAATAACTTAGAGACAAGTTGTATTTTAAATCAGTTTTCTTGATTAGCTTCTGTGGTGTTTAGGAGTGTGGATTCTGGATCTGTCTGGTTAGTTTGATATTCTGCCTCTTCCCTTTAGCCTCCTTAAGCCTCAGTTTCTCCATATGTAAAATGGGGATGACAGCATTCTCTGCATTGTCTACTCCAGTGTTGTCATTAGAATTAAATAAGATAGTCCATTTATACCACAAGCACAGCACCTGGAAAGGGAAAGGGGATGGGAGATGAAGCAGAAGAAAATAATATAGTAAAATTAGGCCAGTTCCGGTGTAAAATTAGGCCAGGTCAGCACTTTGGGAGGCCAAGGTGGGTGGATCACAAGGTCAGGAGTTGGAGACTAGCCTGGCCAACAGGGTGAAACCCCATCTCTACTAAAAATACAAAAATTAGCTGGGCATGGTGGCGCACACACGTAATCCCATCTACTCAGGAAGCTGAGGCAGGAGAATTGCTTGAACCCAGGAGGTTGCAGTGAGCTGAGATTTTGCCATTGCACTCCAGCCTGGACGACATAGTGAGACTCTGTTCCCCCCGCAAAAGAAAAAGAAAATAATATAGTAAAATTAAACAGAGAGAGGCCTTATCCAGACTAATGATGAAAGGGTGCATGAACCCACAAGTATGATTTACTCAACCCCATGCTCCTGAGGTCAAAGAAAAGCAATAAGGAGAAGGAGCTTTAACACATGGACTTTGCCATTGTGTTTGTCCGTTAGCACATCTTGGCTTATTTCCTCCTTCTCCACTATGTCTGATGTGGTGAGTTTGCTCAGTAGCCAAGTTCTAGAGAAAATGAGTAATAAACAAAAAGGAGCCAAAACAATTATATACCCATAGAAGTAAACCCACATACTAATGAGACTTTAGAGGCTCTTCAGATCAATCGTCTGAGACTGCAGAGGTTGAGTGGCCTGTCAAAGTCATGTGGCTAAGGAGTAGCCAAGTCAGGACCAGGCTCTAAAGGTGTCCTAGGGTCCCCCTCAGTACATCAGGCAGCAGGAGGAATGGAGATAATAATAATAATGTTACCTTATATCATATTTTACGTCCAATGCAACACGAAAGAGAAACTTCTATACAAGTATCTTTTAAAGTTCAACTCACAATAGGCTTTACACTTTAAATGGGTCACTCTTCATCACCATGGTGATTCTTCCAAGTTTTCCTGGAATTATCAGCTGTTTTCTAATAAGGACACTCCCCAGAACTTGCAACTGCACCAAGCAGATAAATATTTCCCAGTAGAAAATACTTAGCTCCTCGCTCAGCTTAGTCAGCAATTGCTTTTTCTTCTCCACTTCCCAGGAAAACAGCCTGAAGCATGCTCCTACATTTGCTTTAGATATCACAGAGTTCTTTAAAAGTCTCTTGATTCTACTGAGGACAAGCTTGCTTCCTTGGGTTTTATGTGATTTATATATTGAGAAACAGCCACCTTCTTGCTTTCTATCTTTCTAACTGAGCAATGAGTAGATCACAATTTAAAAACATATGGCAGCTCTTCAAAAAATTAAAAAAGAATTACCATATGATTCAGCAATCCCGTTTTTGGGTATTTATCCAAAAGAATTGAAAGCAGGATCTTGAAGATATATTTGTACAGCCATGTTCGTAGCAGCATTATTCACAACCGCCAAAAGGTAGAAGCAACCCAAATGTCCTTTGACAGATGAAAGGATAAACAAAATGTGCATATTATTCAGCCTGAAAAAGAAAGGGAATTCTGACACATGTTATAACATGGATGAACCTTGAGGACATTAAGCTAAGTAAAATAAGCCATTCACAAAAAGAGAGAAATATTGTATTATTACACTTATATGAGATAGCTAGACAAGCCAAATTCACAGAAATAGAAAGTGCAATGGTTGTTGCCAGGGGCTGGAGGGAGAGGGAAATGGCAAGTTGGTGTTTAAGGAGAATAGAATTTTAGGTTTGCAAGATAATAAAGCTCTGGAGATTGGTTGCACAACAATGTGAATATCCTTAGTAATACTGAACTATACACTTAAAAATGGTTAAGACGATCAATTTTATGTTGTCTATTTTATCACAGTTAAACATTTTTAAATTTTTTTTAAATAAGAGGGAGAGAGAAAGAGAGATGGGGAGGCAGGATAGAATGCATCCTGTACAGTTTGTATTAAATAGTCTCATTGTTTTAAACAATTCTGTTCTATTTTATTTTATTTTATTTTATTTTATTTTATTTTATTTTATTTTATTTTATTTCAATTCAGGGTCTTACTCTGTTACCCAGGCTAGAGTGCGATGGCGCAATCTCGGCTCACTGCAGCCTCAATCTTTCAGGCTCAGGCAATCCTCCCGCCTTAGCCTGCTGAGTAGCTGGGACTACGGGCGCGTGCCACCACGCCTGGCTAATTTTTGTATTTTTAGTAGAGACGGTTTTGCCACATTGCCCAGGCTAGTCTGGAACTCCTGGGCTCAAGCAATCTGCCTGCCTTGGCCTCCCAAATTGCTGGTTACAGGTGTGAGCCACCACGCCCAGCCTAAATAGTTATTTTAAATAGTCTCATTAGTCTTATCATGCTTCTCAGTCATAGTTGTGAAGGTTCAGCGTTGAAGTCTCAGGGCACTAAATCTGCCAAAAGCACCAGCTTAAGGCAGTGTAAATAGACAGTGAACAACACCATGACCAATTATTTACCTGAATGTTCCCCCGAATTTGTCAAGTTTCCTCTTGGCTCATATTGATCTCCAGTTGGCTAGAGATATCTACCCTTCCAGTTTTGTCAATATCCCTAGAGTTCCTTTGCATAAGTTATGATTTTGACTAACACTTAGAAACTGTTGATTTCGCAGGGAAAAAAATGGTTATCTTTTAAATGGACAAACCAAAATTCTTGAAGTTCAAATCCTTGCTTGTGACATAAGTTCCTTTTTGTACCTACCTTTATGAGTAAAACTGTGTTCCTCTCCTAAAAAAATTTACATATTGAAGCCCTAACCCCCATAACTCAGAATGTGACCTTATTTGAAAACAGGGTAATTGCAGATTTAAGTTAAGATGAAGTCATAGTGGAGTAGGGTGAGCCTCCAATTCAAGATGACTGATGTCCTTACAAAAAGGGGAAATTTGGACACAGTCACATACACAGAGAGAACGCCATGAAAGCAGAGATCTACAAGCCAAGGCATGCCAAAGATGGGCAGCAATCCTGCAGAAGCTAGGGGAGAAGCATAGAGCAGATTCTTCCCTACAGCCCCGAGAAGAAACCAACCCTGCCCACACCTTGATCTCAGATGTCCAGCCTTCAGAACTGTGAGACAATACACTTCTATTGTTTAAGCCAAAAATAAATAAAAATCATTGCCTTGATATGAGCTTCATTACCACCACCATTTCCCTTTCTCGATTCCTTTGCCTCTTAGCGCCTTCTGCTTTTTTTCAACTTAGAAGTAGCCAGCTCTCTTCCCTCCAAAGTTTCCCTGCCCCTCTAGGCTCCCACCCCATGCACCATGGTGGGTTTTTGTTTGTTTGTTTGTTTGTTTGTTTGAGACAGAATCTCGCTCTGTTGCTCAGGCTGGAGTGCAGTGGCGCCACCTTGGCTCACTGCTACCTCCACCTGACGGTGTCAAGTGATTCTCCTGCCTCAGCCTCCTGAGTAGCTGGGATTACAGGCATGCACCACCATGCCTGGCTAATTTTTGTATTTTTAGCAGAGATGGGGTTTCACCATGTTGGCTAGGCTGGACTCGAACTCTTGATCTCAAGTGATCTGCCTGCCTCAGCCTCCCAAAATGCTGGAATTACAGGCATGAGCCACCGTGCCTGGCCCCATGGTGTGTTACAATATGTGCAGCTTTATTTTCTTTCTTTCTGTTTTAAATTTTTTTATTTCCATAGGTTTTTGGGAACAGGTGATATTTGGTTACACGAGTAAGTTCTTTAGTGGTGATTTGTGAGATTTTGGTCCGCCCGTCACCCAAGCAGTATACACCGAACCCGATTCATAGTCTTTTATCCCTCACCCCCTTCCCACCCTTTCCTCCAGAGTCCCCAAAGTCTACTGTGTCATTCTTATGCTTTTGCAGCCTCATAGTTTAGCTTCCACTTATGAGTGAGAACATACGATGTTCGGTTTTTCATTCCTGAGTTACTTCACTTAGAATAATAGTCTCCAATCCCATCCAGGTTGCTTTGAATGCCATTAATTCATTCCTTTTTATGGCTGAGTAGTATTCCATCATAAATATATGATATATATATATATATCTCACAGTTTATATATCTTTGATATATATACCAGAGTTTCTTTATCCACTCATTGATTGATGGGCATTTGAATTGGTTCCATGATTTTGCAGTTGTGAATTGTGCTGCTATAAACATGCATGTGCAAGTATCTTTTTCGTATAATGACTTCTTTTCCTCTGGTTAGATATCTAGTAGTGGGATTGCCGGATCAAATGGTAGTTCTACTTTTAGTTTTTTAAGGAATCTCCACTGTTTTTCATAGTGGTTGTACCAGTTTACATTCCCACCAGCAGTGTAGAAGTGTAGATTCTTTTATTATGGCCATTCTTGCAGGAGTAAGGTAGTATCACATTGTGGTTTTGATTTGCATTTCCCTGATCATGAGTGATGTTGAGCATTTTTTCATATGTTTGTTTGGCCATTTGTATATCTTCTTTTGTGAATTGTCTATTCATGTCCTTAGCCCACATTTTGATAGGATTGGTTTTTTTTTTCTCCTGTTAATTTGTTTGAGTTCGCCGTAGATTCCAGATATTAGTTCTTTGTCAGATGTATAGATTGAGAAGATTTTCTCCCACTCTGTGGGTTGTCTGTTTACTTTGCTGACTGTTCCTTTTGCCGTGCAAAGCTCTTTAAATTAAGTCCCAGCTATTTATCTTTGTTTTTATTGCATTTGCTTTTGAGCTCTTGGTCATGAAATCCTTGCCTAAGCCAATATCTAGAAAGTTTTTTCTGATGTTATCTTCTAGAGTTTGTATAGTTTCAGGCAAAAGCAACCAAGCTGAGAAATCAAGATCTCAACTCCTTTTACAATAGCTGCAAAAAAATTAAATACTTAGGAATATACCTAACCAAGGAGGTGAAAGGCCTATACAAGGAAAACTACAAAATACTGCTAAAAGAAATCATAGATGACACAAACAAATGGATCAACATCTCATGCTTATGGATGGGTAAAATAAATATTGTGATAATGACCATACTGCCAAAAGCAATCTACAAATTCAATGCAATTCTCATCAAAATACCACTATCATTCTTCACAGAACTAGAAAAAAAATCTTAAAATTCATGTGGAACTAAAAAAGAGCCTGCATAGCCAAAGCAAGACTAAGGAAAAAGAACAAATCTAGAGGCATCACATTACCTGATTTCAAACTATACGATAAGGCCACAGTCACCAAAACAGCATAGTACTGGTATAAAAATAGGCACATAGACCAATGGAACAGAATAGAGAACCAAGAAATAAAGCCAAATACCTACAGCTAACTGATCTTTGACAAAGCAAACAAAAACATAAAGTGGGGAAAGGACACACTATTCAACAAATGGTGCTTGGATAATTGGCAAGCCACCTGTAGGAGAATGAAACTGGATCCTCATCTCTTACCTTATATAAAAATCAACTCAAGATAGATCAAGGACTTAAATCTAAGTGCAGGCTTTATTTTCATTTAATTTTATTAACTTGTTTGCTTTTTATTATAAAAGTAATATATACTTATGTTTAAGTTGACTTTGGCTGGGAGTGGTGGCTCGCCCCTGTAATCCCAGCACTTTGGGAGGCCAAGTTGGGTGGATCACTTGAGATCAGGCATTCGAGACCAGGCTGGTCGACATGGTGAAACCTCTTCACTACTAAAAACACAAAAATTAGCTGGGTGTGGTGGTACAATTAGCAATTAGCACCAAAATGAGCATCCTTGTGTTTGTATCTTTAAGCACTTATTTGATTGTATTTAGACGATAAATTCCTAGAGTTACTGGGTCAAAAGACACATGCATTTTACATTTTTATAGATATCCTCCATGGACCTTAGTACCAGACAAAGCTGGGATTGAATCTGTACTCTGATACTAGCTGTGTTGCTTCAAACATGTTACTTTATTCTTTCTCAGCCTCAGTTTCCTTGGCTGTAAAATGGATATAGATTATATCTCAGAGTTGTTCAAGGATTAAACAATATGTTTAGTTCAAAATGGTTAGCAGTTCACATATATTCATACCTTTCTCTCCTCTTTATTGTCCCTCTCCTAATTCCTCTCTGAGTTTTTGCAAAGATTTGGCAAATATCCCATTTCATTTTATGTCAACAAATATTTATAAAACATTTAATATGTGCAAGTTTTGACAAACGCTGTAGGGATTCTAAATGTTTTCTTTTAAGGCACAGTCCTTTCTGGAACTTACAGTATTGTACAGGAGAAAACTATCTCCCAGGTCCTACAATAGGGCAGGCCCTTACTTAACATGTTTGGAATGAGTGAGTAAAGAAAGGAAGGAATGTTGCTGAATGAGTAACACCACAGTCTGGAAAAGAGCTCAGTGTAGGTCCTAGCAGCATAGAGTGGAGCATGGAGTCAAAAGTGACGGAGATGAGATTTTGCAAAACTTTTCTTCTGGATTTTACCTAATCACAAGGGAGGCATTGGGGCTGAAGGCCAAAAAAGCATTTGCTAGAAATATACTTAAAGTCTTATGTTTTAACTTAAAACTTCACATGAAGTTTGCATTCTACTCCATAACACATTGTTTGTTTCCAAATAAATGGAATCTTTCTCCTCAGTCCTAGCATAAAATGAACATTCCAAGAAAATGTACTATATTTATTGGGTGGCTCTAGTTCCTCCTGACATGCTTTCAGAGATATATACACCCAAGTTTGAGAAGCGTGAGATTAAGATAGATGCAGAATGAGTTCTCACTTCATGCTTCACCAGCCATCTCCCCTCTGTCTGTACTACACACCCACTCACAGCCTCATCCCTCTCAACTTTCTGCTAAAACTCTTACCTACCCCTGTTTTCTCTTCAATCCTGGTGTTGTTTTCCTTACCAATCTAAATTTTATGTTGACACTCTGCTACTCAAAATATATGTAAGAAAAAGAAATCAGCTACAAAACTCTTCCAACATCACTTGAGGTCATTAAAGTCTCAAGGGACCCTGTCATTCATCCACATTGTGTTAGCTTCTTCTGTCTCATCCCGGTCATCTATGACAATAGACTCTCAGAGAGATGTAGCTTGTTTCATTTAAATCTTGAAAAGCACCCAAACTAATGCTGTGGTCAATTAATGTTGCTTGGGTTCTGAGCATTCAGCTGAGTGTTCTCCTCTGTGTTTGAAGGACACTGTAAATGGAACACATGTTTTGAATTGCTTCTCCAGAGCTCTGATCTTTCCACCCCTTCTCTACCCCCACTGCTTGGGCTCTGGGTCAGTCCTCATCATCTCTTGTGTGGATTATTTCCCTAGCTCCTTCCATGGGTCTTCTTGTCTTTCTATTCTACCCTCCTCGAAGCTGCTAAAGTAGCTTTTCTAACCCAGAGGTCAGCCCACACTACTCCCTTGCTTAAAACTTAGGTGGCAACAATCTATAACCATGGGCAAGGACATTCCATTTCACTTATAAACATGAGTGAAAGAAGCCAGATACAAAAAAAGTACACACGTTAAAGCTGTAAAATGGATATAAATTCTATCTCAGAGTTGTTCAAGGATTAAACAATATGTTTAGTTCATAATGGTTAGAAAACCGATCTATGGGGTTAGAAGTCAGGATAGTGATTCCACTTGGCAGGGATGTGGAACAGTAGTGATTGGTAGGGAGCACAAAAGGGGTTTCTGATAGGTTGTTAATGTCCCATTTCATGATCTGAGTACTAGAAAAACAGATAGGTTCAGTTTATGCAAATCCATCCAGCTGTACTCTTATGTTTGGGTCACTATTCTCTATGTCTATTCTGTCAATAAAAAAGTATAAACAAACAAAAAACATTGGCCAATTTCCCTTAGCATAATGCACAGTCATTCTCATATCTCCCACCCATTCCCCCTACCAATTATCCGCCCTATGAACCAGCCACACCAGATCACCTGATGTTCTCCAAACACAGCATGCTTCCCATTTTCTCGTGATGCTGCTCACTTCGCCAGCAAGCTCTTCGACTGAAAGTCGACTTATTCTTTGAGGCTCCTCTCAAATATCACCTCCTCCATGAGATTTCTTCCTGACTTCCCTTACTTTGTATTTTCTTTCCTATTTTTCCTATATATATAACAAGATGCATGCTCTGAAAAGTATGAGTTATACTTAATGGGACAATAGGATTAGAATACAGGGATCAGGAATGGCCTGGAAAATCCACGCTGTGTATAAAACATTGTATTATAGTAATTTCTTTGGATTTATCTCTCTATCTGGACCAGAAGTTCTTAATCATTTCTGTGTCATGAACCCCTTTGGCAGACTCGGTAAGTCTACTGATCTCCGTTTTTTTTTTGACACGGAGTTCCACTCTTGTTACCCAGGCTGGAGTGCAATAGCCCGGTCTTGGCTCACTGCAACCTCCACCTCCTGGGTTCAAGTGATTCTCCTGTCTCAGCCTCCCAAGTAGCTGGGAGTACAGGCGCCTGCCCCACACCCAGCTAATTTTTGCATTTTTAGTAGAGACAGGGTTTCACTATGTTGGCCAGGCTGGTATCAAGCTCCTGACCTCAGGCAGTCGGCCTGCCTCGGCCTCCCAAAGTGCTGGGATTACAGGTGAGAGCACCTGGCCTGGATCTCCTTTTTAAAAGTAAGTTTTTTGTTTGTTTGTTGTTTTTTGAGACAGAGTCTCACTCTGTCACCCAGCTGCAGTGCAGTGGCACAATCTTGGCTCACTGCAACATCCACCTCCCAGGTTCAAGTGATTCTCTAAAGTAAGTTTTTATAACTATAAGTGCATAAATCATGTACAGCTCAATGAATGTGTACAAACTGAATATATTCATATTACTAGCATTTGGATCAATAATTAGCTAACCCCAAAGCCCCCTTGTCCCAGCCACCACCCCACAAAAAAGTAAACTATTTTGAAATTAGTCTGTTTTTAAACTTTATGTAAATGGAAAAATATAGTATGTTCTCTTTTGTGTCTGGTTTCTTTTGCTTAACCTTATGTTTGTGAGGTTCATCCATGTTGCTGAATGTAGCAATTGTTTATTCATTCTCATCTCTGGGTGGTATTTCATTACATGATTATACCAATGGTGATTTATTCATTCTTCTATTGATGAACATTTACTTTGTTTTCAGTTTTTTATTTAATGAACAGTGCTATTATAAACATCCTCATGCATGTAATACAGTACATATATGTATCCATTTCAGAACACTTTTTAAATGAATAAATACATAGGAGCACAAAAGAAATAAATGTACGGCTTTCAAAAGACAAAAAAATTTCAGATATAACTACATATGTGCTTCATTAACACAATTTCTACATCTAGCAGTGAGTCTAATAACTATTGTAATTTCAAAGTTATGATGTGCATAAATGACATTTTAAAATTTCTGCCAAACTACCATATGCTATGAAAATATCTATGATTTCTCCTGGTAACAAAGTCACACATATTGTGAGTACTTCTGTTCTTTGGTGAATACATTTACAATTGAAGGAAATGTAAAATTTTAGTTAGAGGTTAGTGGAAAATAGACATGTGATTCTTTTTCCCCATCCAAATTCAAGAAGCCTCTGAATTCTATTAGGTTAATAACCTCTCACCTAGACTTAACCCCCTTAAAAGCAAGGATCATATCTTAACCATATTAAAAATTCAGAATTTGGCACAAAACTTGGCACACATTAGGTGTTCAAATATTTTTTGAATGACAAACTCATGAATGACAATAGCTAACTTTTACTGAGCATGTAATATATGCCAGGTTCTATGCTAGGTACTTTAAATGTTCTTAAATCCTCACGACAACTTTTTGATTGCTGCCTCCATTTTACTGATGAGAAAACAAAGACTTGGATAGGCTACATAAATTGCCATGATTTTATTGCCAGTAGGTGTCAGGGCAGGAATTTAAACTCAAATGTTTCGGACTCCCCCCCCACCACCCACCTCCCCAAGCCCCCAGCTGACTGCTAACTTCTACGTTTACTGCTGACAATTGAATGAAGAGATAAATGAATAAATGAATGAACAAATGGATAAACTTAACCAACTACACACTCTACTCCACTAATTTTTACAACCAGTGGAACAATTTCGAGAAGCAATTGGCTGGAATTAGTGATGCAGGGTGGTTGTTGAATATTTCTTTGCATGAGGCAATTTGGCTCCTTGAAAAAAATTAAGCTCAAGTGCTCATTAACACTGTTTTTTAATCAAATGAACTGGCATCTGGCAAATGTTAGATGATAGATGTTTGCAGTGCCCAGCTTTAGCAGGCAAGCTCCTGGGCCACAGAGCTTTATTCACTGTAACCAGTACTAAGCTCCAAGTGCACACATCAGGTTTTTTGTGGGAAATTATCTGATGACCAAGTCTCACTTCCTTTCAAGAAAAACACTCATAATGGTCATATGCCAGTTAGGGCATTTTGCCCTATCTGAGATCCAAAGGAAGCTGTGGAGGGATATAAAGGAACCCTAGATGTCAGGGGTTCCAGATTCCTCTCTTGTCTTGAGGGCTTAGATAGGTGAGGGTCTTTCTAGGGTATTAAACCAGATGGTCTTTCAGTTCTGACTTTTATCCAAAGGAAACATATTAACTTATTTATTTCCTTTAAAAAGGTATTCTCCAAGTGAGGATTCCTGAACTTTGTGAAAAGGTAACCAAGTGCTTAAACATATGTTTGTGAATTTAGCTATTCTTATTTTACTGTTTTTTGAAATTATACAAATAATACTTGCACATGTAAAAGCACTCAAATATCCAAACATTTAAAGCAAAAAATGAAAATCTCTTTCTCCTAATCCCACCCCTCAGAATTAACTACTGTTAAGTTTTTCGTACAGATTTCCAAACTTTTTTCTAAATACATACACCATATATTTACATCTATATACTCACATAAATATATGCACATGCCCATGCATACATAGATACATATATACAAATATAGCTCATCATATAGTGGTCTAAAACGTACTTTTTTCCTCAACAATATATCATGGACATCATACCAGGTTAACATGATGTTTCATCAAGGCTGTATAGTATTCCATTTTATGGATCCATTATCATTGTTTTTACTATTCTATTGAAAGCTTTAGACTGTTGTTGTCACTGTTGTTTTGTTTGTTTGACATTGGAAACCACCTGGCAGTGAACATCCTTGTAACTATCTTGTTTAAATGTTCACACAAGAATTTCCGCACAGTAACTTCATTACCATGGATTTTTTTTAGTCAAAGAGGCACATGTTTTAATTTTTCATACTTATGGACAAGTTCAAAAAGAGATGTTTTGAAGCTTCTGTTCCTACGGAAACTTTCTGTGAAGTTTCAAATGACTGTGAGGTCCACAGCTCTGGGTTATCTCACTCCTAAACTCATGGAATTCCTTTCACTTTAGTAAAGTTAGCATGTTTCCTGCATTACGACAATCTCTTATCCCAGAGCACATTTGAACTCCTTTCCAAACTATCCTTTATTTCAGAAGCCTCTCATGCTGCAAAGTAAAGATTAAATTCTACCTCCACTATGGATTTTTTCTAACTAGTTAGCATACACTTGCGTACAGCTTCATTAAGTCCCTGTTTAAGCTTCCTTCTTTTCTATTGTACAAGCAAAAGAAGGTGGTTTTATTGAGAAGGAAAATGCAAGGCAATATACAGAAAGTGGTTATTTATTTGAAACAGGAACAAGGGAAAAGTTGAGAACATTTCAGAACAAATCATCATAACAGGAACCTGAAATCATGCCATAAACACCTCAGGCCCCAAGAAATACTGACTTCAATATATTCTAAGAAAAGAATTCTTAATTGTAATTTTACCAAGCACTCTGTATGTGCAGGCATTTTATAGAAAATCTTTTTTTTTTTTTTTTTTTTTTAGACAGAGTCTTGCTCTGTCGCCCAGGCTGGAGTGCAGGGGTGCAATCTTGGCTCACTGCAAGCTCCGCCTCCCGGGTTCACTCCATTGTCCTGCCTCAGCCTCCTGAGTAGCTGGGACTACAGGCGCCCGCCACCATGCCTGGCTAATGTTTTTGTATTTTTCAGTAGAGAAGGGGTTTCCCCGTGTTAGCCAGGATGGTCTCGATCTCCTGACCTCGTGATCTGCCCGCCTTGGCTTCTCAAAGTGCTGGAATTACAGGCGTGAGCCACCGTGTCTGGCCTAGAAATTATTTCTAATCCTCCCAATAGACTTGTCAGGTAAGTTGCAATATCTCCGTCAGGTAGATGAGGAAACTGAGCCTTACAGAACTGATGCAATTGCGTCAAGATTTCATATCCAGTAAAGTGCTTAAGATGGGGTTCAAACTCAGATTCATCTGATTTTCTTTCCATTGTACTTTGTTGTTTCTCTTGCCATCCACATTGCCAACTCAGAACTTCAAGGAAAAGAATCAAGACCAATGAATGGAGGTGCCAAGATGCAGAACTTAGCTCAGCATAAGGAACATAAGAAGATGAGTCACTTTTCATGGGAGGTTGGATGATGGGTTATCTGTCAGGAGTAATGTAGATTATATTTCTGCAGTGGGTCAGAGGCTAGATCAGTCCTCTTCCAAGTCTACACATGTATACTTTGACTCCCATATCCATTTTACAGATAGGGAAACAGAAGTTTAGAATCATTAAGTGATTCGTTCAAGTCCACAGCTCATTAGTGCAGACCCCAAGCATAGTGGTGGCTCTTCTACTGACCTTTCCACAAGAAAACACCTACTTCTAAGTTTGTAGACTTTCTTCTATCTTGTCTATATTATCTTGAATCCCTTTAGTCACTTGTTTGTTCTTGTAGGTTCTGCCTTGATATCTTAAACAAACACAGGATTGGAGCAGAGAGTGCCATGCTTTTATTTTCTCCTCCTATCTCTTCCAAGAACAAAGGCACAAGGGGCAGTCTAGCGCAGGACCATTTGGCGTCACCCTACTTCACCTTACTTTTTTTTTTTTTTTTTGAGACGGAGTCTTGTTCTGTCGCCCAGGCTGGAGTGCAGTGGTGCAATCTAGGCTCACTGCAAGCTCCGCCTCCTGGATTCACGCCATTCTCCTGCCTCAGTCTCCCGAGTAGCTGGGACGACAGTGTCCGCCACCACGCCTGGCTAATTTTTTTGTATTTTTGAGTAGAGATGGGGATTCACCATGTTAGCCAGGATGGTCTCAATCTCCTGACCTTGTGATCCGCCCGCCTCTGCCTCCCAAAGTGCTGGGATTACAGGTGTGAGCCACTGCACCCGGCCACCCTACATTTTTTAATGATTTGATTTCCTCATCTAGTAGTAAAAGTACTGATGCTATATATAAAGAAAGCAATAGCATGGAGAAAGAGGACTGAAATATTCCTCAAAAATACAAAAGCCATCCCAACCACAGGTACATCCAGTAAAAACTCTGGCAATCTTTTTAAAAGCAGTCAGGGTTGTATCAATTCTATCATCCCATTTCATGGAAAAGAAAAAAAAATGAAGGGTCTTTCAGAAACCACCACCTTCTGGACTGAAGCATGTTGGGTCATGGCCAGACTTCAGGGAGACTGGCTCAGAAAATTTACGCTGTATTTGAAGAGCCCCTGAATGTTTAAGAGTAGGCTGTTTGATTTATGTGCCACCCACACTCCATACCAGGTTGCAGATACAAGTTCCAGTCTGGTTTCTCAGTTACTTCCCTGGCAGAGAAGTGAAACCACCTATCAGAAAAATAACTCACCTTTCTGAGAGAGAATGCCACTCACCTTCTCATCCCAAATTCACTGCAACAAAGTATAAACTGCATTTGAAAACCAAAGGCCTTGCTCATGCATTTGGAGACTTTGATTAGATCCCTAAATCCTTACTATTTAACTTAATGTAAAGTCTGGATAAGTAAATTTCTGTAAAGGCTGCTAGAAAGGCTTATCATTGAGTTAACAATTAACATCCAAACAATTTGACTCTTGGAAAGCCTATTTACTTTGATTACCTGGTTCAGGTAGTTTTCAAAATGTAATTCTTAAACATTCAAAGTGAGGGTTAGAAGGGCCTCAAGTACAGGCAAAAGCAAAGACCAGGTGCTCTCTCACTAACTGGCCAAGCAATGTTGGAAGGCGGTAAAGAGAAGGGGCTGATAGCCCAGACTCAAGCCATTTTGTTGCCTGGTGTTGTGCTGAACTCCTATAGACTATAATGGGGATGGCACCACGTTCAAGAGGCCAAAGAAGAGACTCAGAGACATGGAGTTTTACAGAGGAGAGAGGCCAGTGGCGGTGGGCTGGGTATGAGAACCACTTGAAAAAAGCATGCAGTTTACATAGTATTTTCGCTTAACTCCCCGTGCCTAAAACCTCCACCTGGCAACTTTCATTTAACCGAAAACAAAGGACCTCGATCTCCTGTACAGCCCTCACTCCACTGGACAGGATAGGCGCTCAGATGGTCCTTCTAAGATAAGGAACAGATCCCTGATTTGGCCACTCTTGGATTTCTTAGCTCAGAATTCTGAACACACATTCAGGTGCATCTGCCATGTAGGATCATTCTCAGGATATGCACATGTCAAGTTATCACTGTCAGGTGTGTCTAACATTACCTGGATTCAAAACCCAACCACTGCTATTTACCTGCTCTTTGATCTTGGGCAAATTACTTAACCTCTCAGTGCCTTAGTTCCACTGTTTCTAAACAGGTATATTAGGGCAATACCTCATGGAGGTGTATTAAATGAAACAACCTACATTAAAAAGCACTTAACACAGTACCTGGCACATAGTGAGTGCTCAGCAAATGTTAGTAATACTATTATGTTTTAATAAGAATGGTGATTTTTCTCCACCCCCATTTGAAATGAAAATGATTGGCCATGCAGAATCAATATTGTTTTATATCCAGATTTTGTTATGTTTAATTTTCACAAATACCAACCGCTATTAAAAATAAAAAATATTAACTAGACTGGTTTTTACAACTTGATCTCTATTTATACTGTATATAATCTGCAAGTGATTAGATTTCATTTTTATTACTCTTGTTAAACTACAACATGCTTCGTTATCTCTCCCTGGGTGTGGCTTACACCCAGAACTCCTGCTGGCTTTGTTCAGTATGCTTTCTGTTGTTACTTTAGTTTCAGTAATCATTGTGAATGAGACTGTGAGAAACTTGGCTTGTTCAGAAGATACTGTGCATAAGACATGAGGTAAGTCATTAATTTCTTAGCGTTTTAAAGAGTCATAAGTCTTTTCAAAAATGGGGGAAGGAGGAAGGTCAACAAATGACTAGGATTTAACTCAAATGATTAAAAGGACAGGATGTTCCTCTTTTTCCCCTGGGGCCAGAGAAGGAAATGAGAACTAAATTTAATGTTATGAATTCTCATGTTCATAAATTAATGTCTTAGGTTTATGTGTCCTAGTAATTATGCCCTGCTTTGGAAAGCCTTGCTCTGAAAGTTTAGTCTGAAGGTAGAAACTCAGTATCTGGGAGGGCTTAGTAGAAACTATGAAATAAAAGTGTAGACAGTTTGCAGCAAGGTATTTAAATCATGCGTTAAACTTTCCTTCCTACCTCAGTGGTGTGACTGATGTCAAGCCATGGAGCTCTTCACTCTCTTCGGCCTCAATGAATTGTGCTGTTCAGGTTCTGCTATCATACATTTACACTTTAGTGAGAATTTAGGTTAATGTGTTACTACTCCCAGGAAGGATTTGTTTTGAAAGCTTTACCTCTAACTATAGATCACAAGGTTTTTATTGCTATGCCATAGATTATATTTCAAGCAACTGAGGTCACTCTAACTTAAGCAAAGCAGGAATTTATTGGAAGAATAAGGCACAGAGCTCACAGAATTGAAGAGAAAGCTGAAGAATAGGGTCTTGTAAAGACAGGAGCTAAGTGGGTTTTATGAGGTCTTCGTAGCAGTATCTAATCTCATTTTCTTCTAGGACCTCCTTTAGGTGGAATTCTAATCTTAAGTCTTTGTGTTATTACTCAAGATTCAAATGCTAGGAAGAGATTATCTGTTTGATTCAGCATGGGGTCAGCCCCTATCTCAGAAGAGGGTGGGGTGCCAAGCTGCAGCAATGAGGTAAAAAAAGGCTCCAAAGGAATATTGGGGCACCCTTACTGGAAAAGGCAAGGAATGCTGTGCAAACAAAAACAAACATTTACTATAATCAACAAGTAAAGGAATTTCACAGACCTGTAAATAGGGATACTTTGGAGATATAGTCAGAGAAGGCTGTTGCTGCCCTTGAAATCCCTGCACTTAGGTAGCCATTTTTCTTCACATGATGAATCCTTCTGAAGGACCCCTTCACAATGACAGTCTATAAGTCAAACGAGACAGAAGGGACTCTAGGATTCTTTCGCTGCTTTTCTCTCAAAAGCTTTTAAATCACACCGTATGATTTGACTATATTTGGGAATGCCATTGAATTCTTAAAGCCATGCTTTGTGGTCTTTTACACAGATGCCACTGAAATGTAGTTTCTAAGGCAAATATTTGAAAGAACACTGATACATCTAAACTTGTAGTCCACTGCACACCTACAGTGCTGGCTAAATGTGCAGCTTCCAGAGTGCAACATCAGACCTACTACAGAAGAGTTTTGATGGGGAAGGGTTAAGATGGGGGCTGATGCTAACTTTTAATAACGATCTAAATCCGGGCGGTTTTCATGTACACTTAAATTTGAGAACTACTGAACCAGTCTCAACAAATCCTAATATTTATTGGGTATATACTCTGTGACCATCAATGTTCTAGACTCTAGACTGTACTAGGGATACAACAATGAACACGATAAAGTTCTTGCTCTTTTGAAGATTCCTATGGGGAGGAAATTAATGATAAATAAGTACAACAAAATTAATTAACAAAATAATTATAAAGTGGAGTTTGTACTCTGAAGAGAAGAAAGAGGGTAATCTCAAACTTAGCAGAAGGGCTCGCTTTTATCTGTTATACTACTTCTTCTCAAGTCTTCTCTGTCTCAGGTAATGGTACTACCATCCATCAAGACACTAAGGTCAAAGGCTTTGGAGATCACTCTGGATTGAGTCCTCTCTTTCTCTCCTTTTCTGCACTCAACTCATGTACTCCATCAGCAAGTCTCCAAAATATACCCAAGATCTTTCACTTCTCTTCTCCACAGCTACCCCTACAACAAGACCCCATTTCCTCTTGTCAGGATGACTTTAATGGCTTCCTAACTAGCTTCCCAGTCTCTAGTCACATCTCTCTAGTGTTCATTCTGCACATAGCAGCCAGGAAATTCCAAAAATGCAAATGAGACTGTAGCCTTCCTTTGCTTAAAACCTTCTGAAAGTCAAACTCCTCACCATGATCTGCCAGACCCACATGATCCAGCCCCCACCTAGCTCTCCTGTCTTGGGCCTCTCTCCTTCAGTCACAGTGTTTGACCACCATGCCTTTCCCTCAATCTCTCAATCATACCAAACTTGTTCCTGCCTCATGACCTTTGAACTTACTTGTCTCTCCAGCTGCCGACTACAGATCATTCAGGTCTCAGCTCAAATGTCACCTCCTCAAAGACACCTTCTTCATCCATCCTAACTAAAGCAGTACCCCTCCCCCACCCTAGTCATTGTCAATGGCCTATTTTACTTTCTTCTTAGCCTTTAGCATCTGAAATTACCTTATTTATTGATTTGTTTACATGTTAACATCTGTTGTTTTCCCAGTACAATAAAAGCTTCATGAGTACAGGGATTTTTGTTCATTTTGTTCACTACTTTGTCTCTACCACCCAGAACAGTGCCTGGCACATAGCAGGAGTTCAACAAATACTGTTGCCTTAATGAGTGAAAATAACTGAGTGAATTAATGGACAGTGACTGGAAGTGTGGCAACTTAAACAAGCTCTCAGTAAATGAACGCTGGGTGTTTCAGGGTTTGGGGACTACGTACATTCTAAATTTGCCCTACACAAACTCTCTACTCCAGGCAAACAGATTTGTTTGCTACTCTACCAACACACTTTATATTTTGCTGTCCATGTTCAATGAGGAGACCTAGGTTGTGCATTCATAATGAGCTTGACCCTGAGCAAAGCACTGTGGGACCTGTCTCAGAAAGCTCACATGCATACGCTTCCTCCTGCCACCGCCATCACCTAAGGCCCTTCTCCTCGTTTTTCCCCCATTAAAGTTCTGCTCTTCCCACTCACAGACATCCTCCCTGTTTTCTCCAGCAGGAATTGACCTCTATCTTCCCTGACTCCTTTTGGACTCTCTTATTCCCTGACTCTGGTATATTATACTTACAAAATATGTGCCTGGGCAAATTATTTAACCTTTCTGAGTCTCAGTTTCCTCATTTGAAAAACAGGATCAATGATACTAATTTAGCAGGACTGATATCATGATTAAATGTAGTATAAACTTCAAGCATAGTGCTTGGCACATAATCACTCTTTAAACTGTAGCTATAACAAATATTATTTTCCTCATTATTAATAAAACTATCATATCTTAATAATTATTAAAATAAAAATATTGATACGACAGTTATTTATTGAACATTCAGCATTTCCTAGGAGCTTTACATTTATTATGTCATATGAAATAATTCTGCAATCTAGTTGTTTCATACATTTGTGTTTCATTTCCCAGCTAGATGTTGAGGCCATAAGCTATGTCTTAAGGTTGTTTTTTTTTTTTTTTTTTGAGACAGAGTCTCAATGTGACACCCAGGCTGGAATACAATGGTGCGATCTCGGCTCACTGCAACCTCTGCCTCCTGGGTTCAAGAGATTTTCCTGCCTCAGCCTCCTGAGTAGCTGGGATTACAGGCATGCACCATCATGCGCAGCTAATTTTTGTATTTTTAGTAGAGACTGGGTTTCACCATGTTGGCCAGGCTGGTCTTGAACTCCTGACCTCAGGTGATCCGCCCACCTTGGCCTCCCAAAGTGTTGGGATTATAGGCGTGAGCCACCGCACCTGGCGTCTTAAGGTTTTTTTAAATAATCCTTCCACTACCAGACTAGTGTGCTGTTAATAACACATGCTCAAGAACTATCTGCTGTAAATAATAAGATGATTTATAGCTCTGAGAGTTAATGATTTGTATTATGTCAGAATATAAGCTGGTCTGAAAAATCAGATCAATTCAGTCTGCAATTTTTGTGTGAAAACTTGGGTTTGGATCTGTCAGCTGCTTAAATAGTGTGCTGACGCAACCTGTCCCTTCCATTCATTCGACGAGTACTTTTGAGCACCTACTATGTGCCATGCTCTGTTATGAGCAACTGGTAAAGACTTCTAAAATAGGGAAATTATTACATTCATTTGTCAATATTTCTGTTATGTTTATAAACTCCACTTTTGCAGTTCCATACTCTTCCCAAGAAACTGGCTCATATTTTAGAATCTAAGCACTTAGAGAATGTACAGAACATACAGCATGATGAACTGTTAGGCTCTGGAGTCAGAAAGCCTGGATTTGATCCCTAGCAGTGTTAATTCTATGCTTTGATATCCTGGGCAAGTTACTTATTCTCTCCAAGGCTCAGTTCCTTAATCTGTACAATGAAGATAATAATACAGTAGTATCTACCTTTAAGGGTTATTGTAGGTATGAGATGAAATAACACATATAAGACATTCAGTACTGGTATGTTTTAAGAGCTCAAAATTTTAGCCACCATTAAATTACTAGTTCACATTACTCTACCAAACATACTAAGAACACTAGACAAGAATAATGCACCTGGAAACTCATTTTTGAACACAGAGTGAGAGAATAAACAAATATTTAAATTCCATATGGTGTCAGGCATTAGAAGCTCTCCATATGTTATGTCATTTAATCCTCACAACAATGTCAAACAGGTATTATCTTACAGATTAAGATACTAGGGGCTGGGCATGTTGGCTCACACCTGTAGTCCCAGCACTTTGGGAAGCCGAGGTGGGTGGGTCACTTGAGCCCGGTAGTTCAAGACCAGCCTGGGCAACATGGCAAAACCCCGTCTCTACTAAAAACACAAAAATTAGTCAGGCATAGTGGTGCACACCTGTAGTCCCAGCTACCAGGAAGGCTGAGGTGGGAGGATCGCTTGAGCCCGGAAGATTGAAGCTGTGGTGAGCTGAAATCACACCACTGCACTCCAGCCTGAGAGACAGAGTAAGACCCTGTCTCAAAAAAAAAAAAAAAAAAATTACTAGGACTCAGAGAGGTTAAATATTTTGCACACATTTATGCAGCAGAAAAGGTGTAGCCAGTTTTGTGCTTATCTGAATCTCTTTCACATAATGAAACGGGGCCATCCGCATTTCACTCATGTCTGAGATTCTGTCTACACAGTGCATTGTTTCTATAGGATAGCTGTGATCAAACTGGTGATACATGAGAATCACTTGGGGTGCTTAAAAAGTCCTCAATCGTCTTCTTTATTCAGAGATTTTTTTTTAAAAAAAGTCTCAATCCAGGGCCCCATCCTAAAAGATTTAATTCAGTAAATTTGGAGTAGAGCCTATGAATTAGTATTTTAGGAAACACTCCAAATGGTTCTGTTGGAGGTAGTTCCTGATTACTTTCTAGAAATACTGTCATAAGAAGTAAAACACCTGGTTTTAAGATCATGTAACATACTAGAGATTCGTAGCTGAAGTGTGAAGGCATATGACTATGTGATGAAAAGATGTATATGCAACTAACGTATTTTAGGTTTCACATAGCAATTGCATTTTTTGCATTCATTTTAAAGTTTTTCTACATAGAAACTAGCGATTCTTGGCTGGGTGTGGTGGCTCACCCCTGTAATCCCAGCACTTTGGGAGGCTGAAGTGGGCAGATCGCTCGAGGCCAGGAGTTCAAGACCATCTGGCCAACATGGTGAAACCTCGTTTCTACTAAAACTACAAAAATTAGCCAGGTGTGGTGGCAGGCACCTGTAATCCCAGCTACTCAGGAGGCTGAGGCAGGAGAAACGCTTGAACCCAGGAGGTGGAGGTCACAGTAAGACTCCGTTTCAAACACAAACAAACAAAAAGAAACTAGTGAGTCTTTTTTTTTTGAGACGGAGTCTCGCTCTGTCACCCAGGCTGGAGTGCAGTGGCACAATCTTGGCTCACTGCAAGCTCTGCCTCCCGGGTTCACGCCATTCTCCTGCCTCAGCCTCCTGAGTAGCTGGGAACACAGGCTCCCGCCCCCCACACCGGGCTAATTTTTTGTATTTTTAGTAGAGACGGGGTTTCATGGTGTTAGCCAGGATGGTCTCGATCTCCTGACCTTGTGATCTGCCTACCTCGGCCTCCCAAAGTGCTGGGATTACAGGCATGAGCCACCGTGCCTGGCTGGAAACTAGTGACCCTTAAGTTGAGTTTCTATGAGTCTTTATGTTCTACATATGAGTGGGCCTCCCACTAGGAGTTTCTTATTTGTAGCAGTTGTTTGCATATTTATTTAGTCATGATGATTTTAAGTTACCAAATAGAAAATGAATAAATGAGAACAAACACTTAAAAAAAAAGAGGACCCTAAGGGTGATATTTCATTAAAGTTTCAGAAATATATCAGGCTTGATTACTTAAACAGTTGTATAAAGATCTTTCAGATATTTAGCTGAGGTTAATTCCTTTAAAATAAACCATATAGGTCACATAGTACTAATAAAATATGTTGACGAATCCTTGAGTATTGCCCTGATTATATCTCCTTGGGGAATGGAGAACTCATTAGCATGAATTCCGTGTTAGTCCTCCCTGCCTTGTTCCCCAAGTACTTTCCAGACTGGCTTGGCATAAAAGGGTGATCAAAATGTATGCAGCATGGCCAAGTTTCAAATGAATGGCTCATCTAACTCCACTGATTAAATACATAACATTATGTAGTTTGAAAAGGCTGTTGTGCTTCATTAAGTTTACTTTTCTGTCTGAGAGCTTTAAAAAGGTAAATTTTGGGGGGGTGGGATAGGGAGAGGATTCTATAAATTCTTGGCTCTTCATATTCAAATGGCATATGCATATTTCCCAACCCAAGGGAAAATCCTCAAAGCTGAGAAGTTGTTAAATTGGGAACAGTAAGGGTGTGTGTGTGTGTGTGTGTGTGTCTGTGCATGGAGAAAGAGGAAGAGAGAAAGATAAACCTGTTTGCTTTCTGAAACAACAAGTAGTAAAACAGGTTGTTTAGGGTAAAGTCCCTTGAACTAGATAATTGATTTTAAATACATTTGCCTATAATAATACCTTATATTTACATAGTGCTTTGAAAAGTTCAAAGCATTTTTACATTTATTATCTCATTTGAACTTCACTACAACCCTATGAAGTAGGTACAGCACGTATTATAATCCACCGCCACCACCACTTAAAAGACAGCTATACTGAGGCACAAGCATGTCGAGAAACTTGTTTAAGGTCATATAACCAGTTGGTGTTACATCTAGAACTGGAACACCAGAACTCTGAAACTGAAGCCTGTGTTTTCTTGGCAGAAAGTGCCTCTGCTACTGCTTGATCTACCCAGAGTTCCTGTTGAGATTTGTGGCTACAATTTAATTGGAGAATACAAATCAGGCACGTCTAAAGAGCTCTACAGAAAAGAGATTGTTTCTTTTAGATCATGACTGTGTTAGGAAAGGGAGGTAGAGAATGGAGTCAGTTGTTTTGGACAATGCAAATTAAAAACAAACAAAAACACTTTGTAGTCAGTTTCTGGATATGTTGGGAGCAATTCATTCATTAAATCGTGTATTCATTTTTTAAAGTATCCGTTAAGTGCCTTTATATAAGAGACTGTGCTGAGCACTTTGGGAAGAGGTAAAGAAATGCATTCAATTTGCGGGGAGGGGATGTGGGGGAATGCTTTGAATTATACAAATAATCACCATTTTATTCATTGTTCAATACTACCTGGTAGATGAAATAAAAAGCCCTCCTTGCAGAGAAGCAAGGAAAACAAAAACAGATGAAGGAAACTGGGCAACTAATTTCTTTTAATTCTCTCCCTGTAGGAGGCATTAAAAAAAAAAATTGAGGCCGGGTGCGGTGGCTCACGCCTGTAATCCCAGCACTTTGGGAGGCCGAGACAGGCGGATCACAAGGTCAGGAGATCGAGACCATCCTGGCTAACACTGTGAAACCCTGTCTCTACTAAAAATACATAAAATTAGCTGGGTGTGGTGGCATGCGCCTGTAGTCCCAGGCTGAGGCAGGAGAATCGCCTGAACCTGGCAGGCAGAGATTGCAGTGAGTCGACTAATTTTTGTATTTTTAGTAGAGACAGGGTTTCACCATGTTGGCCAGGATGGTCTTGATCTCTTGACCTCGTGACCTGCCTGCCTCAGCCTCCCAAAGTGCTGGGATTACAGGCATGAGCCACCATGACCGGCCAGACCCTGGGAAATTTCAATCCAACTTCCTCACTTTACAAAATAGGGAACTAAGAACCAAATAAGGTTATTTACTTGTTCAAGATCACACAGGTACATCATTAACAAAAGCTGTGCAAAGAAAATTAAAGGCAGAATATTTCCTTTATTTCTTTCTATTCATATTTTGAGATCACACCTCTTCATTTACTTATAGAGAAAAAAACATAACTGGTAAGTGCTTAAATCAAGTAATATAAAGATAAAATGTAAGGTTATAATGCAGATTCTCAGGTGGACACGACACATTTTAATAGTGTAAATAGCAGATTCATATGCACTTAGAGTCAGTCAATCCACTTGTGTTTCTTAATTTTGCTGACCTTTGAATTGCCACTGAAATAGCATTAATACTGTGCTATTATCCAAAAATTATTTTAGATATATTTTGTTTTTTCTATACATAATACTGTAATTTTATTTTATTTTTTTTTGAGATGGAGTCTTGCTCTGTCACCCAGGCTGGAGTGCAGTGGCGCGATCTTGGCTCACTGCAAGCTCCGCCTCCCGGGTTCAAGCAATTCTCTGCCTCAGCCTCCTAAGTAGCTGGGATTACAGGCGCCTGCCACCACGCCCGGCTAATTTTTGTATTTTTAGTAGAGACGGGATTTCACCATCTTGGCCAGGCTGGTCTTGAACTCCTGACCTCGTGATCTACCTGCCTCAGCCTCCCAAAGTGCTGGGATTACAGGCGTGAGCCACCACGCCCGGCAATATTGTGATTTTTTATATCACATGAGCACACATTGAAACCTGTCAACAATATATTTTCTAATACTGGTATTCACTGAAGTTCCAAGTATGCTTATAGGTAGGACTTGAATCCATTGCTTCTAGTCACATAAACGAGTTTTAATTCATTTTTCTTTTTATTCTTATATTAAATACTAAATAGCTTTCCTTTATATAGTTATTATTTTAGTACGATGTTGAATATTAGCACAAATATTAAATTAAATTAAATATTAGCACAAATTACTAATCAGTTTCAAGGCATACAACTTTATTTTGCCATTACCCCAATGTTTGAAATTAGCAGGGCTCTTTAAAACTGGTGCTTCTAGCATTTCATTGACTTACACTAAAATCATTGCCTCCATTCCTCAACCACCCAGTTAATTTTAACCTTGACCTCCCACAGCTGTACTCATTTACTCAGTCCACAAAACTCCCTGATTCCATCCTCTCTGCCTCTTATGAAGCAATACTAGAGAGGAAAAACAAAACCCATTCCTTTAAGAAAGATTCCGCCTCCTCTCATAAGCAAGCGCCTAATGGTAATTGTAGAGTTTACTAAGTCAAACACTTACTACTCAGCATTGAGAGAAGCTGCTGCTGCTAATGCTGCTGCTGCTGCTGCCGCCGCCGCCGCTGCTGCTGCTGCTGTTGGTCTGAGGCTGCAGTAGGTTTCTGTGCAGCATTGCAGAATCCACACCTAGAGAACAGAAGACACAGACACGTACGTCTACTACCCTTGTTAGAAGGAAGCTTTGGATCTTCGGTGGGTAAGGAGATCTATCTAGCTATTTTGTCCAGAAACTGTGAGAAAAGGAATGATCATGGAAAAGACTGTTCATCAGACATGCTTAAAATGGATTATGTTAATTTGTCTTCCTTTGGTGGTGGTGGGGGTGTCCAGATTTGCGACTAGCAAAATATAGTGAGGACTATATTCTGATAGGTGCCCTTAGGATACTTTTTTTGCTATTCATAAAAAGGCTAACCTTGATGCATGCAAAGCTTTTCATTTTTTTGCTTTTTAAATGCAAGAAAATATCCAGCCACTCCCAATATCTCTCTCAAATACTGCAGATATTTTTAAATACCAAATAAAATGTCAGGCTGAGCATTTTCTAAACAATTTTCTTCCTCAAACTAGGCAGCCTTCCCCACGATTCGTTAAGAGTATTTAAAAATAATAAGGCATGGTTGGATTTTTTGAGCAAATGGGAGATGGTGGTAGACTAAAATTTCTACAGCCTTAGTCCAGTGGAGAGAGAAAACGATAAATGCATCACAGTTTGTGTCAAGACAAGATTCATTTTCCACACTTCATATGTGGGAAGAGGAAACTACATTTTAATTAGCACATTTTTAGGGAGGAGGGGGGGGATGAAGATGAGGCGGATGGCGTGAGGTATTTGAGGGGGACGAGTCTGCAGATGAGGAAAGGAAATGAAGTGGATTGTCGCCAGTGCCTTGGAAACGAAGGGGGATAAGGGTGGGGAACGAAGTTTGTTGTGTGTGTTAGGGTGGGGTTGGCCCAAGGGACCATGAATCATTAGAATGGCGCTCGGAGGGGTGTGCTTGCAAGTGTACTGGTGCAGGAGGGACGTGGAAGTCGTGGGTGGCAGAGAAAAGTGTGCACCGCTGGGAGGTCTATTTCAAGAATAGGTTGGGATGAGAAACATGTCTGGGCGAGGGGGGTGGGAGGCCCGGTGTCACCTGTGGATGGATCCACAGCCCTGCAATTGCGTGTTGCAAAGTTTGCCCGGCCCCGCATTCATTTTGAAGGTTCTTGGCGATGCCTCGACTTTTCGCCTCAAAGAAGTGAGCTCTCATAAGGTTCAGAGGCCGGGAGCCAAAGCGGGAGTGAAGACTCTCGAGGGGTCCAAATGAAGCAGAAGCGAGAGCCCCTGTCCTCCCCCTATGTGGAGGTGAAGCAGGGGTTGTGGGGACTAGGCGCCCGCGAAGGCAGCTGTGCTGAGAGCAAAGTCCAGGCCCCACGGGGGGCGTGCGGAGGTTGAACCTTTGCAGTGGCCTCCTACAGCCCCAGCAGCCAGCGTGGGCGGCCGAGGCTGACTCAAAGCGGCGGCTCAGCCTCGGGAGTAGGAGTAGGGGGCTCGCTCATTTAGGGCGGGAGACATTTCCGAGGCGCCCCTCCTCCCCTTCGCGGTCGGGTTTCTATCGGGGTCGTTTCCCCCTCTGGCCCTCCGGGGACGCCGCGGATTCGAGCTGCACAGTCAGAAGAGGACGTTGAAAAGGCGCCAGGCAGCCGCCCCGAACCAGGCCCTCCCGGCTGCCGGGCCTGCAGGCCCCCACCGCTGCGGCTTCACGGACTTAGAGCTTGAGGGCGCGGAGGGGGCTGCGGGGGCGGGACCAGGACTCCCGAGGGGCGCTCGGGGCGGGGCCAGAGAGAGCTCGGGGCTGCCAGAGGCGAGGTCTTGAGGAGGCGGGGCCGGGAGGCTTCGGAGCCCAAGAGGCGGGGCCAGAGGCGTAGGGGGCTGCGAGGGGCGGACCTTGGGGGCGTGACCGGGGGGGGCGCTTGGGGACCTAGGGGCGGGGCGTTAGGGGGCGGGACCAAGGGACGCTCGAGGGGCGCTCGGCTAGTCCCGCCAGAGCGCGAGCCGCCAGCCCGTAACGGTCGCCAGTGTGAGGGGCGGGAGGGAAAGAAGAGGGGTTTAAATTAGATTTTTTAAAACACAGAGCAAGCGCCAGAGGCGTCGGCATCCCAGGTGTCGCCGCTTCCTGCTGCACAGGGCTCGGCGTACAGGTCCCTCCCTCCTCAAGCCCCCTCCCCTTCTCCCGCCCTACCCTCTGGGGCTCTGCGGCGCTTAAGAGGCGGCCGCAGCGGCGGATCCGGCGGCTGCTGCAGCCCGGGCGGCTGCCGAGAAGGAGGGAGGGGAAACACAAAGCCGGCTACGCGCTGCGAGGTAATCTTGCGGGGAGAGGACGCGCCGTCGTCCCGCCTCTCTTCCGGGCCGGGACGCGGGCACCCGCGCGGGGGCTAGCACTGGGGACGCTACTGGGGGTCGCGCGGGGGTAGGGAGCGGCGGCTGGCGGGGCCAAGGGGACTTCTCATTGGCTGTCCCTGCGGCCTCAGGTGAACCCTTTTCCGGGGCGGGAGTGGGGACCACGGCCAGGCCAGAGGGGAGCGTACCTGCGGGGGAGGGTCCGGGGGTGGCGGTGCACGGCCTGCGGCGCCGCCGGGTGGGCCCGACGCTTCGCGCGTCTGCTGGTTTTCCCTAGGAAGGCGGGGAGTACCAAAATCAGTTACTGGCTGAAGCTTAGGTGACCCCGGGGACCTTAAGCCCTGAAGGTGCGCTCCAGGGGAGTGAGAGGTTCCTGCGCTTAGAAAAGGTGGAGGAAAGGGAGCGAATGTTGGTTTTAGTTGTTTTTCTCCTCATTTAAAAAAAATTTTTTTTGTTACAAGTTGAAAGTGTTCAGTCACCTTTCTCCTATAATCCGCTTCCCCACCCCCCAACACAGACACACACAAACACACCGCCCCTACAAACGTATACATGTTAGGTTGAGCTTCCTGCTAGGGGTGACAAGCGAAGTTGGCAGCAGGTCTGGTGTGCTGGTGTTTGGGGCACGTCCAGCCTCTTTGGAGGTAGGCTATTATAGCTTAGGCAAGACCACAGACAGGTAGCATAATCTGGGCCTCTTTTAAAATGGCAAGAACGGCTTCAGGTGAACTTTTTTGTTGCAGAGATTTAATTGCAAGTAGGTGCCGGTTGAAAATGGGAGCGCAAGGAAAACCACTAATTTCCTTGGCACATGTGCTGTTGCAATTAACCTGGTAGAGTGTTAAGGAATTTAACTTAGCCAAGAGGCTTTGAGGGAGGATTATATGCAAGTTTGGGGAAGGAATTGATAAGATTCTGGGGTATGGGACTAGCTACATACACGTGCGTGCAAGTTTACGTTAAATTATGTAGCATTTTAGATTTAGCAGTATTAAATGGTTGCTTTTCTTGGAATGGCTTCTGACTACATAGTGCAGGGTACGTTCCTAATTTTGGCTTTAGAAGACTCCTAGTGAGAGTGTTTTTAAAGATTGAAAAAATAAGAGTACAGTGCAATTTGTCGTTTTCAAGTTAAATACTTGACTGTTAAAAATATTTGTGTAATTAAGTTATGGGACCAACCCATTTATAGGGTTAAGTTACTTAACCCTATAAATAACTGGAACATTATAAATGGAGCATTTGTAGAAAGTTTTTATATCGAAGTCTCCATTATATTGTACTTGCATTATAACTTATTTTCCTTTGCTTAAATGGAGCAGATTAACTTTATGGAAGGAGGACCAGGATAAAATAAAGGCAGCTACATTTAACTCTTCATCTTTCTGAAGAGTTCAGTCTGTGATAACACTTAAGGTGCCCAGAAGTGCTGGCATGTTGGTAATAGTTTTTAAAGAAGAAACGGGTGTATCTATTTTGAATGTTAAACATAATTTGAAGGAGTTCTTGAGATAGTTGGTTATGAGACATTCAATGTATTGCTACATTTTACATATATGATATCAGGAAATGTTTGGTGAACATTTGACATAGTTGATCATATGACACTTGGGAAATATTTTGCATGATAGAAGGATAGTATTTTCGTAATGTAAGTTTCAAGCATTGACTGAAAGGGAGAAAATTACACACTTTGCTGTCTCACCCCTTTCTTCAATATTATGCTGGCATGAATGTGAATTCTGCCTAATTATGTTTAAAGTGTAGATCTGGCCTTTGTAAAACCAGAATGTCTTTTGAGACCAAGAGAACATAACATCAGCAACAGCCCAACTCCTACACACAATCCTAAAACCTAGATACAGGGTGGTGCCCAACTTCTGAGGTTTTGAGGCTTCCTGAAGTAGGCCTATCATGTCTGAGTGCTTTTGTCACATGTAAGCCTACAGGTGGTTAGCTGGTTAATCTCTCCCATTTCAAAGCAGTTGGTTAGCAGTACTGGGTGGCATGTATGCATGTCATCAGAGTATAAGAAGTGTTTGAGGGAAGAAATCACATAAAAGCATAGAAACCTGGCTCTGAACAAACTGTGTAGCGTGTTGGGGAACAGTCACATCAGAACTTTAGCTTAACCGAGTTGTTATATGTAAAGTGCTTAGAATGGGGTTTGTATTCAGTGCTTTTTGTGTTTATCATTATCAGTATGTAAAGTGACATATCTTTTTGAAGGCTGTTAGGTCATGCTACCCAGCATGTGAAGACTCAGCAAATATTTGTAATAGCCAATATTTATTTGCCTAACCTCTGTGCCAGGCACTAAGAGTTTTATATGATTTAATTTACTTAGTCCTTCCAACAACCCAGTGGCTAAACAGAGGCATGGAGAGGTTAAGTATCTTCCCAAGGTGACACAGGTTGGTTCTGAAGCCAGAGTCTGGCCCAAGAGTGAGCCCATGTAACCACTGCCCCTTGTTGCTATTGAGCTCATGGTAATTACTGCAAACCAGTGAGAGGTCTTCATAGTATTCCCACGACTATCAGGTGCACATGTCTTGTTTAACCACATCCTCTGGTATTAATACCACCAAGTTATGCTTAAATCTAAGGAGTGGTGGTTAATCCGCATTAAATACAGTCACCTTTTGACATTGAAAGGGTATTCTCTTTTGATACACAACATATGTTTAGGGTGCTAGAGTTTGTGCTAGAGTGTGCTATCTTTCTAATTACTAAAGATACTAAAGTCTTTTTTTTTTTTTTTGAAGCTTACCAGATATGTAGGGCCCCAGGTGGCCCAGAGGGCACTAATTCCCATTGGAGATTCCAGTTCTGCAGTAAATCAGTAAACCTTATCACCTTTCTGATTACCAACATCATATCAACCTGAGATAAATTTTAACTTAAGTTTGTTCTAAATACCACCTGAGTTGCTTCCTAAAATGAACCCTAAATGCAAAGATGTAACTTGTGGCTTATACTTTGTCATTCACATTCCTCAAGGAACTGTGTGTTGCTGCTTCACCATTGTAGTTGATATGTCAAACAAATTATAAACTAAATTAGGAGCTGTTTTAAGTAATGTTTAGAATTATTGTAGATAGATGAAATGTCATTTGACAACTTAGTGCAATGTAATGTTAGGAAAAAATGTTTAAAAACAAGCATGCGTTGAATTGAGAAAGTGCAAGCTTTATTGAAGACACAGGTTACTAATCTGTTTCTCACACTAAACACTGTTTTTGTTATAATTAGTGCTTTTCAGATTCCTTTGAAAATATTAAATATGTAGAGTTTGAATTTTTAAAAAAACTTTAAATATCTAATCGAGTGCTATTCTTCCTTTTAAACGTAGACCTATTTGAAGTTATTTAAACCCAATTTAAAATTAATTGGACAGTCCTAGACTGTCATGTCATTGAGATTCAAAATAAGTGCCTTAATACTTTATGTCTTCTTTGTTAATACTCTATGGTTTGAACTCCGGGTCCATGCCAGAGTGTTTATAGGTGAGATTGTTATGAGGTCTTTCAGGTTCTGCCAGAGATTCAGTTCTCTTGGCCAAATGCCAAGACAGTCTCAAATTTTTACTGTAATTTTTTACTGTAATGGGTTGTATATATCAAGAATCCTCTAAAACATACAGGTTAGAAGTCTTTCATTGGCTGTTGCTTGAACGAAAAAGTGTGTTATCCCTTAGATGAATATGATTATTTTTTATTCTTGCAGTAGCTAATTATGGATGTGTGTGTCTATGTATACGTATGTCAAACCATGCTACTTGAGGGATTCTCTTCCTTTTAGGTAAAGTTAAAAATTATTCACCTGGTGTATTAATGTAATATTTATTGAGTACCAACAGTATGCATAGAGTAATACCTTTATGTGGGAAAAAAGTGTTGGAGAAAAAAGGTTTGTGGATCTTTTATTTATTTCATGTGTATTTTAATGTTGCTGAATATCTGGACCAGTCTCAAAGTTCAAAATTGAATTGCCAGTTGAAAACATGTTAAATGTTAAGAAAGTACTGTTTAACTTAAAGTCTTAGATGGTAGCACAGATAATGAGAATCAGAGCCCCTTGTTTCCTTAAACTGTTTTTGGTTGAGTATGTTTGAAAAGCTGCGTTAACAATTCCTTTCAGGCTTCTAGGACATTACTTAACTGCATTGAAGGAATACATTTAGAGTATCCTAGAAACCTTAAAGAATGAATGTGGCTTTCAGAGTTGTCTAGCATAATCCAAATAGTAGTAGCATGATCACCAAAAGGTATAAAATGGATGAAACCTCTCTTTGATTTTAAAAGGCTTACTGTTCTTGTAAGTTTGTTTCTTGAAGATAATATTGCTTAGTTTTAACTCCACTAAAAGCTGAACCGTTATTGTACAAGATGTATAGGCCTTGGCATATGTTTATATCTTTTTTTTTTTTCTTCTTTTGTATTTTTGAGACAGCTCTCACTATGTTGCCCAGGCTGGTCTCGAACTCCTGGGCTCAAGCCATCCTCCCACCTCAGCCTCCCAGGTAGCTGGGACTACAGGCATGAGCCACAGGCCTGGTTTATATCTTTAAGGTAAGGTTAGATCTAAATTGAGCCTTTACTTGAAGTCAGACTGATCTGCATCAGCACCATATGTTATGTTTACTTTTTTTTTTCTTTCAATGAAAATGGGCCTGAGGAGATTGGTTTGTATACGGTACATAAACTGGCATTTAAGATGACTACCTCTTCAAACAAGGCTACGGTTTTTTTGGATTTTTAGGTTTTTGTTTTGTTTTGTTTTGAGATGGAGTCTCTCTCTGTCATCCAGGCAGGAGGGCAGTGGTGTGACCTCGGCACACTGCAACCTCTGCCTTCTGGGTTCAAGCGATTCTTCTGCCTCAGCCTCCTGAATAGCTGGGATTACAGGCGCCTGCCACCACTACCGGCTCATTTTTGTATTTTTAGTAGAGATGGGGTTTTGCCATGTTGGCCAGGCTGGTCTTGAACTCCTGACCTCAAGTGTTCCTCCCCGCTCGGCTACCCAAAGTGCTGGGGTTACAGGCGTGAGCCACTGCACTCGGCCAAGGCTAAGGTTTTAATCTAGGGTTATGAAACTCAATTTTTTCTGCAGTGGGCATATGCAATTTCCATAGGATAAACATTTCCCTCAACCAGCTAGGAGGTAAAAACACTTCTGAGAAATTTAAGGACAGTAACATAATGTCTTTAAAACCAGTGTCTCAAGAAGTATACTATATTAGTGAAACAATAAAATAACAGTGATCACAGATACGTTAAGGCAAGCAGTGGATTAAGCAGGATAACCTAACTCCAAGTAATATACACGAAATTATTTTTTTAAGCTTCCATACCTCTTTAAATTTATTCTTGTGATTTCTTACTTTCCCCTCCCTCACCAAAGGAAGTGCTCACCTTTTCAGATGGAATGAAAGAGGAGAGTGCTGATGTGAGTGACTCAGCCTGTTTAACTCTGCCTCTGTGGTGGTTTGTTGGTTACCTACTAGAGGAGGTGGAACTCAAACAATGTAAAAGCAATCAGGTTGGAGAAGTGCTGAGTTTTTAGTGTCATGGGAACTCGGTGTATGTCTTTGTCACCATTAGCAGTGTTTCTGTGCAGTTCTTCCACAATGGCTCAGCTCATCCTGAGCAAGGACAGCATTTCTGTTTTCCTTTTCCATTCAATATTCTCATCCTATCATCTTTTGATTTGCTAGAATGACTAAATGCTAGAGCAGAAAGTTGGGTTTACTCATCCTCCTGAAGAAGATAGTTAGGCTTACTTGGTATATCTAAGGAAGTAAATTTGGAAGTCAAGGCCTCCCCAGGGACTTCTAAGAACACTCCACTTTTACGCCCTAGGAAGTTAGAGTGAGCAACTGTTAGCTGCATCGTGACTTCTGTTCTCATTTGTCTTAATACATGACAAAAAAATTCTAGAAGGTCAGCCTTTTAATATCTAAGGAGGTGGTTGGAAAATGGCAATGGTCAGAGCTCAAATGGAGTTGTGATTGGGCATAAGTGCCTTGGATGAGTGGAATGCTTCATTGCCTGAGCTGCACAAATGGGAGGTAGAAAGGGATTTGCAATGAAGTTGATGCATTGTTCGTATTCCTTATTTCCACAGCCAACTTTTTAAAGGTGAAAACAGTGTACCTCTTACCTTGCCTTTCTTTTACAGTTTTTTTATTTTTATTTTTTTTGAGACAGAGTTTTTTACTCTTGTTGCCCAGGCTGGAGTGCAATGGCGCAATTCTCAGCTCACCGCAACATCTACCTCCTGGGCTCAAGGGATTCTCCTGCCTCAGCCTTCCTGAGTATCTGGGATTACAGGCATACGCCACCACGCCCGGCTAATTTTGTATTTTTAGTAGAGATGGGGTTTCTCCATGTTGGTCAGGCTGGTCTCGAACTCCCAACCTCAGGTGATCCACCCGCCTCGGCCTCCCAAAGTGCTGGGATTACAGGTGTGAGCCACCGCGTCCAGCCTTCTTTTACAGTTTTTATTGTCAGAGTTGAGTTCACTTTCCTAAGGGAAGGTAGAATTTTTTTTTTGAGACGGAGTCTCGCACTGTTGCCAGGCTGGAGTGCAGTGGCGTGATCTCGGCTCAATGCAACCTCCGACTCCCTGGTTCAAGTGATTCTGCTGCCTCAGCTTCCCGAGTAGCTGGGTTTACAGGCATGGGCCACCACGCCTGGCTAATTTTTTGTATTTTTAGTAGAGATGGGGTTTCACCATGTTGGCCAGGATGGGAAGGTAGAATTTTTAAGGTGAATTCTATCTGATTGCTTAACATTTTAGCTTTAAATTGGAGATTGCACTAAAAGGAATTTTTTTCTTTCTCCACAACTGTCTGCTTGTTAAATTTCGAATAAAGATTTTCAAAATAGAAGTGTGACAAACCTTACTCAACATTTAATAATTGGGAGCTATTATTTATTAAAGTACACATTATCAATGAATTAGAAATTCATTGCTTTAAAAATACTTGTTTTTTGAAAAACTAGAGCTGCACTAATTTTCATATTAGAATGTTTGATTTTTTTTTTTTTTTTGAGATGGAGTCTCGCTCTGTCGCCCAGGCTGGAGTGCAGTGGCCTGATCTCGGCTCACTGCAAGCTCCGCCTCCTGGGTTCATGCCATTCTCCTGCCTCAGCCTCCCAAGCAGCTGGAACTACAAGCACCCACCACCATGCTCGGCTAATTTTTTATATTTTAGTGGAGACAGGGTTTTACCATGTTAGCCCGGATGGTCTCGATCTCCTGACCTCGTGATCCGTCCGCCTCGGCCTCCCAAAGTTCTGGGATTACAGGTGTGAGCCACTGCGCCTGGCAGAATGTTTGATTTTTTTTTTAAGTGGACATCAAATTTATTTTCAGTTAAAAATGCTGAAAGTAATACATTTTTACTTCATCTGTCATAGTGAATGTTGATAATGATAAAATCTTATTTCTCTAAGCACTTTGCCATAGCTAAATACCTTAGTAAAACATGCGATAGACAAGGGTCCGGTCACTAGCCACAGAAAGGCTGTCACTGTTATAGCAGAATGTAATAGGGAAGGAACATTTTATGCCTCAATAAGAACAGTGTATTTGCTTGAGATAGTAATAACCTCTGAGAAGCTGATTAATTGGTAATCACTTAAGTTAGATGATTTTATATTGTTTGATGTCTTATAATCTAAACGTCCCTGTGCTCTTTTAGAGTGTCTGCCTTGACCAGTCAGCATTTCAGGAGGGATTGTGACTGTCAGTTAAGTGCTTTGAAGAGAGAACCCCTGCTTTGTGTCACACCTGAATGTAACAGGACATACTTCTTGGGGCTGTTTAATTTGGGCTCAAAGGGAAGAGTGCCATCTACTGAATGGCCAGCATCAAGTTGAGCAGCTCCTGTTTTCCTTACAGAACTCAGCCAGTTCCTGGAGAAACCAGGCCCAGCTTCATTTGGAGGATTTGACAGGATCTTAGTACCAAGTGGAATTGTTGCCTGCTTAATTTTAATTATGCTTCCCAGCAGGAGGCCTAAACACATGATGAAGAACTAATTCAGTACTTGTTGGAATGCATGGGAAAAGAGAAACCTGAAGAAGTTGTTGAGCCTTATGTTAAAAACAGCCGAGTAGTGGTGAAATTAAATTAAGTGGTAAAGAAAATTATTTTAATGAGAGCAGTCTTTCAATAGCAGGTCTGGTTGGTTATTGATGGCTCCTGCAGACAATAATGATGTTAAAATCTGCTTGGGCTTAGAATCAGCAAACAAATCATTTGCCTAACTGGAGGTAAGGGTTTTAAGAATACTTGAATACTTCGATTGTTTTTTTCTCCTGCCCTTTTTGTCTCATTTTGTAAGGCAATGATTCCTACTTGAGTGAATTCACTGTTTCAAAGTAGATTTTGTTGTTGTTTTGGTGTATGGTAGTGGTTTCCTGGTTTTTGTTTGTTTTTTCTTTCCCTATTTTCCAAAAACTTACTGTGGTAGCAGCCATGGGTAGAACTGGAGGTAGTAGAACTAGTTACAGGTCAGTGGAGGTTTAAGGTATCTGGAATAGGCTTGTCAAAGCCAGACAAGAAGGAACTTTGAAAATATGAATTGAAAGGAAGCTTTGAAATTGTTGCTATAAAAATACACTTGATTGTTACATATTTATATATATTATATGTAATTACTTAATTAGTAATCATTTTTGTTAGCCTTTAAAACCTGCCAAGGATCATTTTAAGCACTTCACATAAATTATCCAAAGTTTAGTGAAGTAACTTGCCCAAGATCGTACCGTTAACAAAGGGCAGAGCCAAGATTTGAGGTCAGGGCTAATACCCTTAAGCACTATGCTATATACTGCTGATTTATTTATGTTTATTTTTGTTGGTGACTGCACAGAAGAGTTGAACCAAGATTAGAATGATATTTCTGCCTTGGCTGGAAAATACTGATGCTGGGGTTCTTGGTTTCTGTTGTTGTTTTTAAGGAAGTGGTAACATGGGTAAATACGATTGAGAATTCACTAGAATCAGGACGTATACATGAGATGAACTTCCAAATGTTTTCTATTTGATTTTGTCTATGTTAACTTTTGTTCCTTCTGCTATATTTAAAACCACAAGAAAAGTTTACTGAAACATGAAGTGAATTGTTTCACCCTGGGGCGTGTGCTTAAAATATACCCTTCATGGGAAGAGTTACTGAAGAGGTTTTGGCTGGGTTTATTTTTTGTAGGGGAGTGGGGATTTGTTTTTTGTATGTATAATATATACATATTTAGTTTGCTTCCTTCTAAATATTTTTATGTGGTAGTACTTTTCAATATGGCAATAATCATGTCCACAGTACAATAAAATTAAACCATGTGCCATCCTGAGGTCCTAGGGGAAACCAAGTTTTTGTGCATACCAAGTACGTTCTGTATACTGAATAAGTACCATACCTTACGTGTATGTACTAAAACTTCATTGAATCCATGTATTTTTTAAATTAAGAGATATTTAATACCTGACTACTATTATGAGTAATGGTCTTGTTTGTTAACACATTTTGAGCATAAAAGGTATCTTGTTTAAAAAGGTTGGGGATCATTGTTTTGGTATAACCAAAAGCTTCTAAAATTGCAGTTAAATGATGGTTTTGCTGTGTATTCTTAACCCAGTCACCCTTAGGGCTTCTGGTCCTTCTCCTTTATCTGTAAGGAATTATACTTTAATATGTGTCTTCCAGAAAATCCCCATAAGCTATGAGATACATCACTCCTTGAGACTCAGACTTTCCCAGTCAAACATAGGAATGGTCAGCAATAACTAAAACAACAATGCAAAATATGTTACTTGCCAGTGTGTGTGATGAATGCCAGATGACAGATACAGAAAACAAATGCCACAGGTCAACTGGTCAAGAAAAGAGATGGAGTGGGCTGGGTGCAGTGGCTCAACGCCTGTAATCCCAGCACTTTGGGAGGCTGAGGTGGGTGGATTGCCAGAGGTCAGGAGTTCGAGACCAGCATGGTCAACATGATGAAACCCCATCTCTACTAAAAATATAAAAATTAGCCAGGTATGGTGGCAGGCGCCTGTAATCCCAGCTACTTGGGAGGCTGAGGTAGGGGAATCGCTTGAACCTGGGAGGCGGAGGTTGCAGTGAGCTGAGATCACGCCATTGCACTCTAGCCTGGGTGACAAGTGAGACTTTGTCTCAAAAAAAAAAAAAAAAAAAAAAAAAGAGTTGGAGTGGTCAGAAAAGCCCTCATGGGAAAGAAGAACAAGGGTGGACCTTGAAGGAGGAGTTAAGATTTCATTAAGTGGAGAAGATGGAAAGGATTTTGGCCAGAAATTACTGTCCGTGAAAATGATTCTTTTTCTATAGCATGATGGGAGATAGTTTATAATAGTGGTTCACAATATCTTGCCACTATAAGGCATTTAACAGCTACAGCAAAGACTTATTTGTAGCAGTGCCAAGGACTGGCCTCCCTAGGAAATACATTAGAATATGGCAGGAGTGAAGGGAGGGGATGGAGTGGCAGTGGTGGTCACATGTAGACTTTTAACAGTGCTCCCTCTTAACTCCATATGAAAATTCCTGCTTTTATAGGAATATCCTTATACATCTGTTTTGAAGGCAGTAATGCTTAGGAAAGTTAGTATTAATAGAAAGACTTTAGGAATCCTCATCATTCCCAGCGCTGGACAAGGAAAGCCTCATTTTGGGGAAGAGATGTACGATTTTAAAAATCTGTATTTGTCCATCATTTACTTTGTTTGCCTAATGCTAGAGCATATTCTGTCAATGTCTGTTATATAACTTTTAAATCTAATATGTGGATGATGGATGGATGGAGTTGATACGAGATATGACCATTTCACTTAAAATTTTTGTAAAATAACATTGTCCGTTTTCAGATTTTAGATTTGTTCCAAAGTGTCTCAGTTCTCTCACTCAGACTTGTCATGTTTATCCCTTACTATTTGAAAAATTCTTACTGTAACTCTATTCAAGACATTTTGAGCAAGTAACTTTCTGTTTGCTTTTTTTTTTTTTTTGAGACGGAGTCTTGCTCTGTTGCCCAGGCTGGAGTGCAGTGGCGCCATCTCGGCTCACTGCAACCTCCACCTCCTGGGTTCACTCCATTCTCCTGCCTCAGCCTCCCGAGTAGCTGGGACTACAGGCACCCGCCACCACGCCCGGCTAATTTTTTGTATTTTTAGTGGAGACGGGTTTTCACCGTGTTAGCTAGGATGGTCTCCATCTCCTGACCTCATGATCCGCCCACCTCGGCCTCCCAAAGTGCTGGGATTACAGGCGTGAGCCACTGTGCCTGGCTAGTTTTCTTTTATATAAAATATGTGAGCCATTGGGATAAAGCATTTTTTTAAGATTCATCTGTGCTTGAAGGTGCTGTGATTATGCTTCTGAAGAAGCTGAATTCACCAGTTTGTAGGTTTACTTGGAGAGTGGCCAAGAAACCTATGATTGTACTGTGTGAAGATTCTGGGAATGGGGCTAATAGAAGATGAAGACCATGAAGGTCCTTGGCTCTATGTATATGTGGCACTTAAGAGAAGGACATCATTACCCCAGGAGCTTGTCAACTCCCAGAGTTTGTTGTCAGCTCTTCGGAAGCTAGAGCCTTTGGCAAAGGACAGATTCTTTCCAAAATACGTGAAATGAGCAAGGATAGCAACTTTTCCTAAAGCAAACTGTAGAAACATTGTGGTATCTTTTCCCATAAATGCTTTCCACTCTCATCTGAACTTTATTAGATGTAGTAATATTAGTTCCTCATACATATTTGTGACCTGTTTAGCCCTTATTTTTTTGAGCAGCTCGGTGCATCCTTTATTCATTTATTCATTCAACAAATATTTATTGAGCAATTATTATGTGTCAGGTTCCATTCTAAGTGCTGAGAATTTGGCAGTAAGCAAAACAGACAAGTCCTCCTGCCCTAATGCAGTTTATATTCTTGGAAGTCAATAGAAATAAAGTATGTGTTACGTTAGTGATAAATGTTATGGAGCAATATAGAGCAGGGAAGGGAAACTAAGGGAGTGTTTGGGCGTAATTGCAGACCTAAATAGAGCAGCCAGGAAAAGTCCTCACAGAGAAGGTGACCTTGAAGATGATGAGAGAGCATGCATGTGGATGTCTGCGGGGAAGAACATTGCAGGCAGAGGAAACAAGCCAAAGGCCCCGAGGCCCAAGCATAACTGGCATGGATGAAGCAGAACGTGGTGGGGATAATGGGAAGCCACTGGATAACTTCAAACAGAGGTGTGGCACCGTCTGACAGATGTTTAAAGGGTTTATTTTGGCTGTGTTTTGAGACTAGACCATAGTGAGCAAGTGTAGATGCAGGGAAACTACTTAGGAGGTCAATGCAATACTCTTGGTGAGAGATGATGTATCTGGTAGAGGTAGTGAGAATTGATTGGATTCTGGATATATTTTAAAGATAGAATCAATAGGATTTTCTTACTGAAATATGGGGGTATATGTTGAGAGAGAGGAGTCAAACTTGACACCAAGGTTTTGGGCCTAGGCAAAAGTCTAAGAAGGAGCAGTTTGGAGAATGGGAGAGAATAAGAGTTCAGTTTGAGACATTCATTTGAAATGTCTGTTAGACATCTATTTGCAAGTTGCTATGAGGAGAGATCAGTGCATAATTATAGGCCGACTATATAAACTTGTGAGTTGTCATTTTCCTCCTCCATTTTTTAAATGGTTGCATATTTAATCCCTTTGATGACTAGAATAAGCTTTGCTCTAATATGGGTTTGAAGTATTTCTATACATCTTTATGCTTTGAAGGGATTTAATGTATCTTATAAAACCTTGAATTTATTTTAACTGCTAAGGACACTTGGTCCTGAAGGAAACCATTTTCTCTAGGGATTGAACAACTTTATTTTAATCAAAATGTGAAAATAAAAATAGTGTTGTTACTGCCCTTTAAAAATGGAACAGTCTGGCTGTTCCTCAGAGTTAACGTGGTTAAAAATGGTAACGGTTTACGATCCAGCACTTCTCATAGGTATATACCCAAGAGAATTGAAAATGTGTTCCCACAAAAAAATTGTACACTAGTGACCATAGCAACATTATTCATAATAGCCCAAAAATGGAAACAACCCATATGCCTATCAACTGATAAATGGATAAACAAATGCGGTATCCATGCAGTGGGATATTATGCAGTCATAAAAAGGAATGAATTACTGATGCATTTTATATTATAAATGAACCTTGAAAACATGCTAAGTAAAAAAGCCAGATACACAAGGCCACATATTATATGGTTCCACTTACATGAAATGTCTAGAATAGACATTTATAGAGACAGAAGGGAGATTAGTGGTTGTCAGGAGCTGCAGGGAGGGGGAAATGGGGAGTGGCAGCTTAATGGGTACTGGGTTTCCTTTTGAAAAGGAAAGATGATGAAAAAGTTCTGGAGCTAGATAGTGGTGATGGTTGTGCAACATTGCGAATATACTGAAAACCACTGAAATGTACAATTATTAGTAAATTTTATGGTATATGAATTATGTCTCAAGTTTTTAAAAATACCAGGAAAAAAAATCTGTGCGTGCAAATTCAGATGTATGGAAGAATAACTAAAATAACTTATGTGGACCTTATTTCTAAAACAGAACTGTTTTCCCAGTAGAAAGTTGGATGAAACAAGAATTACCGCACTCAACCTGGTTTAGCCTGCTTTGCTTAAAGAGGCTAGGTTAAGATGCTTTTCTTGTCCAGGTAGAAATCAGGAGGTGGTTTGTGATACTTGATAACTCAGGGGTGAGTCTAATTTTTTTTTTAACACTTGATTTTGTCAGGGATGATCTAGAGAAGCTGAAGAAGCCTCTATGATGATCCTTTCCATGGGTTTCAGAGAGTTGGAACTGTCTTATGAATAAGTTTATTAGGTCTTAAGCAATAAAGATGGTCTACTTTTTTCTCCATATCTATAATTTTAAAATATGGAATAACCAATTCCCAATAATTTTTTTTAGCCAACCCAAAGTTATATTTACCTTCATAAAAAAAACAGAACCATCAAAGAGGATGATACTGGGTTGGCTAAAATATTTCTAAATTACCTTTCATATACCACTTATCGTAAAGTTATTTTTTTGAGGTATAATTCACATACCATAAAATTCACCTCCTAATTTTATTTCAAATATATATATTTATGTAATTTTCTTTATTAGAATGAAAACTTCTAGAAAACAGTGGTCCATATTATTTGAATGGCTGCATAGTCATAGCTTGATAAGTTTTCAGTATTTTAAAGGAAGCATATGTGAACCAGACAAAAACCTTAGTGGTGAAGATAGACATTTATGTAAGTAACAGACTCCAACACAAACCTGCGAGCTATACTATAGCAACAATTCAAAGGAAGTACAGGTGGGCACAGAGAAGGGAAATATCTCATTGGGGAGAAACAATTCAGGGAGGAGAGTGGCATTTGACTTGAGCTTTAGAGAATCCAGTAGCATTTCAAGCTGTTGGGGAGGAGGGTGAATTATAGGCCATAATACTAGAATATGCAAAGCCACGTAAGTCTGTGGGATGGTTATGATATGGGAGAGGAAGTAGGAATAGTGAGGTTGAGAGGACCAGATCATGCAGGCCCTGGGTGCTACTTTAAGAAATTTAGATTTTATTCTGTGGCACCTCTTTCAGTTGAGAAGAGGCATAATCAAATGTCTCTGAGATTTGGTTGTGTGAAGAAAGTCACGATGGAGAGAGAGTGTGTTGGCAAAGAGGTTAGGAGGCATTTAGAGATAAGCAAATGAACTAAGACCATGGCTTTGAGATTTGAAAGAGAATGGTATTTGGTGTGTGATGGTATTTGGAGGTGGGCCTTTGGGAAGTGATTATAAGGGATTAGTGCCCTTATAAAAGAGACCTCAGAGAGCTCCCTCACTCCTTCCTCCATGTGATGACAAGCAAGATGACAACTATCTGTGAACAAGGAAGCTGGCCTTTACCAGACACTGAGTCTGCCAGTGTCTTGATCTTAGACTTCCCAGGCTTCAGAACTGAGAGAAATAAATGTTTGTTGCTATATTATAAGCTACCCAGCCTATAGTATTCTATTATAGCAGCCTGAACAGACTAAGACAGGAAGGAATGGGACATTTTGGAGGCAGAAATCTGTGCAACTTGCTGAACAATGGAGAGGCTGAAGAAATATATAGTCACTGAGGGTCGAAATCTAAATGTGGCATTTGACTCCATTTCCAATACTCTGATTTATGACAGAGGAAAGAGAACACTTGTACTACTTAGAAATGAAGTAGATTCAGCAAGTCTTGAAGGTATATTTTTCTTCCCAAACATAAACATTTTAGAAACTTGACTAGTTCTTAATCTGCTTTACTGCTCAAGTGTTACCCAATCGTCCAGTCTTTAAATTTGTTTTCATTTATGAATTTGGAAGTGGTTGAATAGTCACCATTTTGGCTAAAGAATAGTCTTTTTGTTTACAAATGAAGGTGCTTCCCCTATGCTGTGTTTTTGCATTTAATTTTAAACTTTTGTGCATTGCATTATCCCAAGCAAATTAACACAGGAACAGAAAACCAAATACCACATGTTCTCACTTAAAGTGGGAGGTAAACATTGGGTACACGTGGACATAAAGACAGAACAGTCGACACTGGGGACTACTAGAGGCAGAAGAGAGGGAGGGGATAAGGGCTGAAAAACTGTCCAGCACAATGCTTACTTCCTGGGTGATAGGATCAATTGTACCCCAAACCTCAGCATCACACAATATACCCGTGTAATAAGCCTGCAGAGGTACACCCTGAATCTAAAATAAAAGTTGAAATTATAAACAGAACTTTTGTGCAATGGAATAACAAAAGAATTGAAGGCATTGGGCTTTGCAATATCAGGTATTGCATGTTGTCATTACAGGAAGTCATTGTGCCATCTTGGTTTCCCCTTAATAACATATGGTGGTTTATCTTGAAACTTCAAAAGTAAACATAGCGTAAGCACCTATAATAAATTATTGCCAAAAAAAATCACATGCAGAATTATTTTTGCTATGTGAATTTAGTGGAGAATCCAATCCAGTAAGACTTTTTGCACATTTGAATGGTGAAACAAGATGATTTGGCTCCTCTAGTAGCTTTGTTGCATGCACAGTTGACCATTTTTGTTTGTAGCTCCTTGTAATAAGATATTTAACACAGGGCTTTATATTGGGACATAGTGATTTTATAAATGGGTGGGAGAAAACACTGAATTTGACAGAACTAACTTCTAGATTATTTCAATGTAAAATTTTCATGCTTAAAATTTTTAAGTGTTAGATGTTTAAAATAACTTACTCAAAAGTAATTCTTAGTAAAATGAAAATCAGTGAAAAGCACTCAGTTTTTTAAAAGCAAGAATGATTTTATTGGTTTCAAAGTTAAACTTACTATTTGAATCAAATTTTTATAAAATCCATTTATTTTTTAAATACTTGAAATTTTGAGTAAGAAATATAAGGACATGGAACAAAATAAGGCACAAAAGCGTATACAGTGAAAAGTAAGTTGTCACCCCCAAACCACTCAAGTTTCCTCCTCTTTTCTTTTTTTTTTTTTTGGAGACAGAGTCTCACTCCATCACCCAGGCAGGAGTGCATTGGGTTCAAGTGGGTTCTTGTGCCTCAGCCTCCTGAATAGCTGGAGTTACAGGCGTGCGCCACCATGCCTGGCTAATTTTTTTGTATTTTTAATAGCGTCGGGGTTTTGCCATGTTGGCCAGGCTGCTCTTAAACTCCTGGCCTCAAGTGATCCACCCACCTCGGCCTCCCAAAGTGCTGGGATTACAGGTGTGAGCCACCGCACCTGGCTGTCATTTTATTAAAACGTTTCCTTTCCTAGCGTCCGTTCCACTAAGGCAGAGGTATAGAAAGTGGGAGGTGGTAGCTATAATAATCTTTCACTCATACTATAGTATAAATAATACTTTTTAAATTTAATAATACTAATTTAATTTAATATTTTTTTAATTTTAGTTCGATATTTGTGGGAGAGATGGGAATCTTCAGAGTGGTGGTAGCCAACTTCTGCCTCCATGGTTCAATTAAAAGCAAGTCCCCTAGTTAATAGAAGTAAGGGGTCTCTAGGCTTGCAAGTTTCTTCAGATGCTAAAATTATGCCTTTGTGTAAAATCAGACTTTCTGTTATATGAGTAGACGTAGGAATTCTCTGTATACTTTAAAGGAGAAGCAAATAGAAATAGAGAGGGTGATAAAATCTAGATTCATAGAATTGTGGAAACCTTACTTCATTTTAAGAGTGAAGAACCCAGTCTGATTAAAGGAAGTTCCGTGTTTAAGGCAACATGTTGCTTGTGGCAGATCTAGACTCAAAACTGAGATTCCTGCCTCTGTCCAGTGCTTTTTTCACTTCATTACATTACGAGCCATCTTAACTCCATTCATGCAATTCTGGGGTAAGGGGTTTTGTCAGAATTCCACCTGACCTTCCCTAGAGCAGGGTTTGGACAGGATGAGAGACCCCAATCTCTCAGATTTGAGGCTTCTTTTCAAGATATCTGTTTTTCCCTTTTCCTTAAAAAAGAAAAAAAAAATTTCATCGAATTTGGGAAAGTTTTGTGAAGTTTTTTCCAAAATCTGTAATGTGTCAGGATCTTTCTTGTTTTCTTAATAGAAGCCACACTGATATTATGTATATTGTTCCAATTTTAGTGTGCTCACCACTGAAGCAAGTCATGTACATGGTAAATGTTTCTGACATGTTTAGGAACATTATATAGAAAATTCAGAATGGATGTATTTGGCTGCCTTGACATTCCTTTTTCTTTTGGAAAGGAATGTATTTAAATGAGAAACAGTTCCACCCCTCCAATGAAAAGGAATAGTTTTAGGTCATTTGAGTGAAATAGATTATAGAACTTATGACCCCAGTTTTCTTGTTTTTTTTTTTTTTTTGAAACGGAGTTTCACTCTTGTTGCCCAGGCTAGAGTGCAGTGGCGTGATCTCGGCTCACTGCAACCTCAGCCTCCCGGTTCAAGCAATTCTCCTGCCTCAGCCTCCTGAGTAGCTGGGATTACAGGCACGTGCCACCACGCCTGGCTAATTTTGTATTTTTAGTAGAGATGGGGTGTCTCCATGTTGGTCAGGCTGGTCTTGAACTCCCGACCTCAGGTGATCCGCCCACCTCGGCCTCCCAAAGTGCTGGGATTACAGACGTGAGCCACCACACCCGGCTGATTGTACTTTTAAGTCAGTTTTAATAGGACCCAGGTACAAGGTCAAGGTACTTGAGAATTTTTGGATTTAATGTTTTACATTGGTTTAAACTGGTTGGAGTCTGGCTGTGTTTCCTGGTGACAATATTCATATTAAAAATCTTATAGGTCAGTTTTTATAAAAACTATGTAATATTTCTTTTAAGTTAATGATTGATTTTTTTTTTTTTTAACTTCTGGTGCCTTTGCCTGAGATTTTGGTTTGTAGAGAATAATATGTCAGTTAAGCAGAAATTTCAGTGACCTGAAAGTTTGGGTTCTTCATTTTAATGAGGGCCAAATGATTAAGAATACCATTGGATTTCAGTAATGTATTCGAAGTAGTATCTTCTGGCTGGGTCCCAAAATCATCAGATGCTAACTATACCTTTTCTAGTCTTCTGTACTTAGAATCAATATTTAGAATGAAGATCCTAATATCTTGCATAATTCTTAAACAGTAAAGATAAATATGTTCATGAAAGTATATGAAACCAAAAATTGGAAAGATGGCTTTTAAGATGGGGGAATGAGGTAGAAGACTACATTAGTTTGGCTTATTACTGTAAGAATTTGTTTGCCATTTCTGATGAGAGTAATAATGTGGGTTCCTCCCAAAATGTTTGTCTTTTAAGAGAAAATCTAGTGAGCTATCAAGAGTTGTAATCATAAGGATTAGGCCTTCTGTTCAGTGATGCCTTTTGTACAGGTTGAGTAGCTAGAACTACCTGCATGGTATAATTTGAAGTTTCATAGGAAGGCCCTGAAATAGTACTGTTCTCTCCACCCCAAAATGTGAGCCATATATGTAATTTAAAATGTTGTAGAAGCCACATTAAAAAATTTTTAAAGAAACGGGCGGGAAATTAGTTTCAATATATTTGATTTAACCTAATATATTTAAAATATAATTTCAACATGTAATCAGCATAAAAAATTTTTACTCAGTCCTGTCTATATTTTACACTTAGCACATCTTAATTCAGGCTAGCCACAGTTCAAGTTTTCAGTAGTCACATGTGACTAGTGGCTATCAAATTGGATAGCATATCCCTGGAACATCTTTCTCTTTTATCCCACCTCAGGTGAGAATTCCTCCACTAGCAGTTTTTCTAGGGGGACTAAAGTCTTGCCATTTCTTTGTATGCTCCCTCTATAATTGAAAGGAAAATGAGACACTTCAGAGAGAAAAAAAACACATTAAACCATTCCTGGGGCATGTTTTAACCATTTGTGCTTTATGTGATAACCAAAAGCTAGTACTACTGAAAAAGTGCAACTGTTACTGAATGAAAACTTCAGAGGGCAGGTTCAGTTGGTTATGCTTAAGTGAGAGGAGAGCTTGGGTAGAAAAGGTTGTGGGGGGAAGAAAAGTTGGGACAGGTTTTGACTTCAGATCTTAGAGTCCTGTTGGCCTTGAACAAGTTAGCTACCTTCTCTGAGCCTTTTTATTTGCTTCATACATAGAATTGGGGTTAAATACCTCTCAAGTTGCTATGAGGGTTATATGAGATGACATACGTAAAGTGTGTAATATGGATAATATTTGGTACATAGTAGGTGCTTAGTAAATATGTATTGAATAAATGCTTGCTGATTATTTACATCCCTGACCCCCATCTCCCCTTATGAGACAGGAAAAGAGAGGAGAAAAGCCTAAAATGAACGTAGAAGTATATTAAACAAACAGCCTGGCTGGGCGTGGTGGCTCACGCCTGTAATCCCAGCACTTTGGGAGGCTGAGGTGGGTGGATCACCTGAAGTCAGGAGTTCGAGACCAGCCTGGCCAACCTCATCCCTACTAAAAATACAAAAATTAGCTGGGCGTGGTGGCGGGCGCCTGTAATCCCAGCTACTCAGGAGGCCAAGGCAGGGAGAATTGCTTGAACCCAGGAGGCGGAGGTTGCAGTGAGCCGACATCATGCCATTGCACTCCAGCCTGGGCGACAGAGTGAGATTCCGTCTCAAAACAAAAGAAAAAATAAATAGCCCATTTACAAAATTGACTGGGACTTAGTGTTTGACCTGAGCAAATGAGTCTCTAAGCATTGTGGTTGAGATTTTAATTCAGTACTTTTATCTGAAAAGTTCAGAAAATAATGATGTAGAATCATTCATACTCTGCATTGTTTAAATAGAAAGAAATGAGTTTTGCTAATTTTATTTCCATGTACTTATACCATTAATAGCATTAGTAAATGTTTCTGAATTTGTTTCAGTTAAGAGAAAAATCACAATTAACTCTCGTCTTTCCCTACATATGATACAAATTCATCACTTTCCTTTTTTTTTTTTTTTGAAACGGAGTTTTGCTCTTGTTGCCCAGGCTGGAGTGCAATGGCACGATCTCGGCTCACCGCAACCTCCGCCTCCCGGGTTCAAGCAGTTCTCATGCCTCAGCCTCCCGAGTAGCTGGGATTACAGGCATGTGTCACCATGCCCAGCTACTTTTGTATTTTTAGTAGAGACAGGGTTTCTCCATGTTGGTCAGGCTAGTCTCGAACTCCCCACCTCAGGTGATCCGCCTGCCTCGGCCTCCCAAAGTGCTGAGATTATCGGCGTGAGCCACCGTGCCTGGCTCACTTTCCATTTCTTCAAAAGTTTTATCACAGTAGTTATTGCAGTTTGGAATGTAGACATTTTATGTCTACTTTGCAAGTTTAATATACAGAGTAATAGATTGTCGTGATGATTATAAACTTGTAGTAATTGGAACTAAGGAAAACATCTCTAAATGGAAGAAAACAGCCACTTGGTGACTATACTTCTTGTTATAATGCAAATGGCATATTGTTCTTCTTCCGGCATTAACATTAATTTGTACTTTCTATGACATTAGCTGTATAACAATGTGTTCTGAATCTGTTAAGGAGAAGTCCTCCTATACGTATCATATTTCTGATTTGCTATATATTTTGAGATATTTATTTGAAAATTTGAAATACTGAAAAGTGGGAAAGCATGGAGAGTTCTGAATAGATGATTAGATAAGGGCTTTCCAAAGCTTTAAGCTCACCAATGTGTAGGCCTCATCTGTGGTAATGTTCTTGGAAATCAGTCACATTTGAAAAATCCAGTTTTCTTGCCAGTAGCATCTGGTTGCACTTTATTTACTTTGAAAGTATTTTTTGAATTGCAAAAAAGCAAACCATATGACAAGACTTTTCTTACCTGATTGAAAGTTGCTTACGGTTTAGTTGAATTTTTAACAAACTTAACTAAAGGTATGATTGTCCAAATGCATGGAATATCCTGACAAATCAGATATAAAGAATTTTTAAAGTTATTATTGGCCTTTAAAAATTGCCCAGACTCGTACTTTATTTACTTTATTTTAGTAACACTCTTAAGGAGTCTTATTTATTAAAAGTTCTTTCAGGTTTGTGGAATTTTGATGATAGCTGACCTGACTGGAATGTACTCTACTAAAAGAAAGTGATGATGGCTGGGCACGGTGGCTCACACCTGTAATCCCAGCACTTTGGGAGGCCGAGGTGGGCGGATCACCTGAGGTCGGGAGTTCGAGACCAGCCTGACCAACATGGAGAAACCTCATCTCTACTAAAAATACAAAATTAGCCGGGCATGGTGGCACATGCTTGTAATCCCAGCTACTAGGGAGGCTGAGGCAGGAGAATCACTTGAACCCAGGAGGCGGAGGTTGCGGTGAGCCAAGATCGCACCATTGCACTCCAGCCTGGGCAATAAGAGCGAAACTCCATCTTAAAAAAAAAAAAAAAAGAAAGTGGTGATTATTATGTGATTGGCATTTCTCCACCAATTTCTGAAACCTTCTGACAGCTGTTACTAGTTATATACTTGTGTATATGTTTGACAAACTGACTGTGAGCTTTTAATATACAGGTGTTTTATAGTAATCTAAGCAACTGGATTCCCTTGGTAACCTAGAGATTTGTGAGATGATTTTAGGTGGCATGGATCTAGGCTAACCTGTGAAATGGGTATTAGGGTAGATTCTTTGGAATGGGCCCAGGCTTGGTGCCAGAATTATAGAGTTCCACTGACATTATGGTAACCACTAGCTGTGTGTGGCTGTTTATCGCTTGAAATGTGGCTAGTCCTAATTGAGATGTGCTGCAATTATAAAAATATACAGATTTCAAAGACCTAGTACAAGAAAAAGAACATAAAATAACTTTTTTTAATATATTGATTACATTGGCTACAGCTATTCCAGCTGACTTGGCTCGTCCAATTTGTATTACAGTGCTGTTTTGAGAGCTATTGCCTACAAGCAACCTCTACTCCTTCTCTAACTCTCCCATTGATGAAGTTTAAAAAACGAAACCAAACCACTTGCTCCACCCACTATCTTTAATGGTTGGTGACTCCTGACCAGCTTCTTGAAAACAGGTGATAAAAATAAATTTGTAAGTCCAGGCACGGTGGCTCACGCCTGTAATCCCAGCACTTTGGGAGACCGAGGCAGGTGGATCACCTGAGGTCGGGAGTTCGAGACCAGCTGACTAACATGAGGAAACACTGTCTCTACTAAAACTACAAAATTAGCTGGGCGTTGTGGCGCATGCCTGTAGTCCTAGCTACTCGGGAGACTGAGGCAGGAGAATCCCTTGAACCCGGAGGGGGAGGTTGCAGTGAGCTGAGATTGTGCCATTGCACTCCAGCCTGGGCAACAAGAGCAAAACTCTGTCCCTCAAAAAATCAAAATAAAAAATAAATTTATGGCTACTATCCATTGGGCACCTGCCATGTGCAAGGTACAGTGCTAGGTACTTTAGGTAAAATCATGAATCCTCACATCAGTTCCACCGGATTTATATTCTAAATTACGAAGAAACAGATTCAGATACATTGTGACTTTGCTCTGGGTAAGTGGCAACTAGTAGGTGGCAGAATGGAATTCCAACCTAAGCCAGCCTGGTTCTAGAACCAGTGTTCTTTCAGCTGTATTATACTCCCCTATGTTTTCATTTCCATGTGTGTCCTTTAACATGAAGCGGAGTACTGTTTATAAAGGAGTTTCTTGGCAAATGGTGTTGACTGATCAGTACTTAGGATCCTTAAGTTGTTTTCCTTTGTCTTGGTGGATGACTTTAATGCGCCACCCTCCTACCCTATCTGGTACCTAGTGAGTGGCCTAGATGTTAATGAAGAGACATGAGCTATTTTTTTTTTTTAAGTAACTTTTAAAAATTGACAAAAGTTACATGTATGTATTATCTAAAACATGATTTGGAATACGTATACATTTAGAACATAAGGTTTTAGAATATGATTTATGAGAATGCATAAATCAGTCTAATTGACATATGTATTACCTCAATACTTTTTTTTTTTTGTGATAACATTTAAAGTTTCCCCTCTTAGCAACTTCAAAGAGATTTAATCTTATTGGCAGCCAGTTGAACGGTATAGATCAAGCCTATGACTTTCTCACCTGGAAAATCAGTCACAAAAAATGTTTCAGATGCCTTCAGGAAGAGATACAAGAAGAGTCTCCTTTGCTAAATGCCAGGAATATCAAATCTTGGACTTCAGAGACTGGCCATATAAGGAAAGAGATTTTTATAGACAAAGAGGGTTGAAGTAAAATAATGGGATAGAATAAGCATATTAAGCTGGATAAGTGTTATGTAATCCTAGGTCATCTCTTAATGGCCATGTCCTTGACATTGTTGCATTAAGAATGAGAGCTCGGAGAAATAGTCCATGTGTTGGCATGCTAGTCTCTAAGTTAGAATAGATGTGATCACAAATCATGAGTGCTCTTAAAGGGTGGATCCTGCATTCACTCATCCACTTCTGCCTTCATTCAGGCTCAAGCAAGTGGTGGTGACTTTGGAAAGATAAGGAGAGAAAAGGAAGGACAAAAAAGGAAAAAGGGAGTAAAACCAGACTGGGGAAGTGGGCAGCAGGGATACTTGGGCAAATTCAGAGTGCATAGTATTTGTACATGTACATGCATATTGTATTTATAATACTAAGAGCTATGTAAACTGTAAAATACTATTTCAGGAAAGAGTATAGTATGCTAGAAAGAGAATTTCTGACTAGGTGGTGTGGATTCAGCTTTCTCAGCTCTACCATTACCCTAAGTGTGTAACCTTATGAAAGTGTTAGAATCTGAAATAATCGCTATTCTATTAATACTTCTCTGGCTTTCCTTCCTGATTAAGATCATGCTAAGTTTGAAAACACTTTGTGCGTGCTCATATGCTGTATACATGTTGTTATTGTTTTTATACTGTTAATTATTTCTCTTCATCTAAAGTATTGCCTACCAGAAACTTTATCGAGAGGAAAAAATTTGTACCCAAGAACACACACATTATGATTAAGAGAAGTTAGAGTTAAATTAAATAGCCAATTTAAATAGAGCCAATTTGGCTCTCATCCCTAGGCTTTATAAAAGAGACAGTGGCAGCCTTGTGGGTGAGGGGAATGTGGACCTAATTACTCATTTAATTTAATCATTCATCCCTTTAACTCCTTTAAAACCTGACTTTTATAGGTCGATTATATAATGTGTGTGAGCACAGTGTTTCTCTTTGAATGAAAAACCCTGTTGAATGGCTTTACAAAAAGAAGATTTTGATATATTCATAGTAATAAACTTGGTTTGCATTTCTCTGAGGCTTATGGTCTTCAACTTCTGACCAAGTTAGTGAAGGGCTGCTATAACTACCAGATGGCAGTCTTTTCTGATCCAGTGTTAGATGCCAACAGACTAATAGCAGAATAGATGTAAGCAGAATTCAAGCACAGCATTTGAAGTATTGTTTAAATTGGTCATCTAGCAAATTTAATATAAAGAGGATAAAGAGAATATGTTCATGTCGCCATACAATTGTTTGGTTCTCAGGGCAGTCCCAGAATGCATCTTTAGTTTGTGTTCCATGTAAAATGCAGGGTACAGGGATATTTTGCCAAGTGCTGGTTTGAAATTTACTTGGGATCCATCCAGCTGGCAGATCAGCTGTGCTAATCAGATGGGCCCGTTTCTGGGGAATGGGATTTCATAGAGGGAGCAGTGTTCTTGAAGTATAGTTACTTAAAAACCAGTTAATTTTTAATTTAAAAATTCTCATAAGTGCTATATTAAAATGTATATAGTGCAAGTATTATGTATATAGTGCAAATACTTTGTGCATTCTTGTAAATAATAAATAGGGACAATAAAGTCATTGTGCTATACTCAGCTGCCTTTAATTTCTATTTTGAATCTCTGGGACCGTAATTTGCTAGTTGCCTGCAGTGTTTATTAGGATTAACTCATCTGCATTTCCCACTAATGTAGATCATTAGTTCTAAGAGATTTCTCAGGATAAATAGTGCCAAATATGTTTGGGAAACTACTTTCTGTACCATCTCTTAAAGGTTTATATTGTACCTTAGCATAGCAAAGACTGAGAAGTACAGCAATTAAGTACAGGGTTTGCTTTGTTTTGTTAAAACTCAGTGTGTCTCAAGTATGTCACTAGACCACAGAAATCAGTCTCTAGTTCCATCCCGTGGAGCTCCTGTTTCTTAGAACACTCTTAGGGAAAACACTGCCCTTAAGTTATGAGTTAACAAATCTCTAGAGTTTATTTTTTTGATTACATTTTGGAACTACTACAATTAAAATTTGTAGTTACAAATATCTCAGCCTAGGGGATATAATGCTTTTGTTTTAAAAATCAGTATTCATAAGGTCATTTTACATAGAAATGTTAATTTCTATGGGGTATGTCTTTGAATTGATATTGACATATATCTTGGGACATTTTGGTATTTTGTAAATATAATTTTCCTTTTGTTTCAAAAAATTACATTTTTTGATAAACAAGATAATTTCTTTAGCAAGTATTTTATAATTTAAAATTATATTTTTTCATTAATAAAATAAAATATAATTATTTTAAATTCAACTGTAAGATAAATGTTTTAGTAGCAATTAAACTAGTCTGTAATTCTCATTTGAGCTGAAAGGAAAACCAAAGATTTCAATAGTCCAAGATACTGCCATGTAATCAGTTATTAAATGGGGCTTTGAGACTCTCAACCTAGACAATCATACTCTAAAGATAAGCAAATTACTTACGTATACCAGTCTACTGTTTATATTCTCTAATCTGAATATAAAGGGTTTTAAACATTTCTTTGCTTTCCATGAATTCCTTAAAAATGACATCTGAGAATGTTTTTTAAAAAATGTTATATCTAAATGTGGATCTTGAATCATCCCCAGGTTGTAAAACAGGAAAGTTGTGTCGTTTTGTGAGTAATAGGAAATACTAAGTATAGACAAGCTTCTAAGTGTAAGCCAATGCATACATTAAGTAAATTAAACCAAAAAAGATTAACCAGCCATGTTTCAGGTTTTGGAACATGTAATGTATAAATGTAACCTACTAGAAAAATAGTTCTTTGCCATTAACCCTCAAACCAAATCATGAGACAATTTTTTCAGTTGCATTTGGAAGACCATGTTTGTTAGCTTTGGCTTACCATTTGCTGAATAAATAAAAATGGCATGTTTAATGCTAAGTAGTATTTATAACCAGACCATCAAACACCAAGTGGAATTCTGAGGGAGGGATTCTTTCATATTGAAATATAAAATAAACGTTTTGTCCTTAGGGTTTCATTAGATGGTACAAGATCTGTAAGGTAATGAGCTCATCCATTTCTCATCATTATGTCAGCGCCCCCTTGCTGCTATACCTTCATTGATATTCCCTTTCCACCCTCTGCTCTATCACCAACCCCATCTATCTGCATCCCATGTTTTAAAGAAATTACAGGTAAAGGGAATAAACTCACTAGAACAGCCTTTATTCTGAAGAATATTGCTTGGTGAGGAAGCCTAATGATTAGAGTGATAACTGACTCCATCAGGAAGCGAAGCAACTTCCCATCAGCAGAAGTGCCATTAAAAGCTCTAAATCCAAGCTAGACTTGCTGACTAAACAGAAATTGCACTTGTGGCGCTTTGTCAGCTGCCTGTAGTTTGACCCTCTCTCTTTTCTACTACCAGTAATAGTATGAATCCTTTTAGACTAGTGGTACTCAGACTTTAGCATGCATTGGAAGCACCTGGAGGGCTTGTTAAACCATAAATTGCTAGGCCACACCCCATACTTTGATTCTTTAAGTCTGAAGTAAGGCCCGGTAATTTGCATTCTCACACGTTACCAGGTGTTACTATTGGTTTGAGACTCAGTGTTTTTTTAGGCTAAGAATTGTCTTTGAATTTTCTCTTTTCCTGTCTCTTATGCCACCACTGTCCCCATCGAAGCCTATCATCTGCCAGGCGCGGTGGCTCATGCCTGTAATCCCAACACTTTGGGAGGCTGAAGCGGCAGATCACCTGAGGTCAGGAGTTCGAGACCAGCCTGGTCAACATGATGAAACTCGTCTCTACTAAAAATACAAAAAATGAGCCAGGTGTGGTGGCAGATGCCTGTAATCCCAGCTACTCGGGAGGCTGAGGCAGGAGAATCGCTTGAACTCGGGAGGCGGGGGTTACAGTGAGCCGAGGTCATGCCACTGCACTCCAGCGTGGGCAACAGAACGAGACTCCATCTCAAAAAAACAAACAAAAAACCTGTCATCTGTTGTGGACTGTCCTGGAAGCTCTTTTCTTATTAGCTTTTCCTATATTGGTTTCATCTATAGTGAGGCAGCATTTTACCATGGAGTCCAGTTTCATTATTATAACTTAGAATATCTTTACCAGTTTTGGAATTGTTCATACCTTCTCCAAGTTATATTTCTCATGTGATAATCCCCTTACATAGTTTAGAAAGTGTCTTTTTTTTTTTTTTTTTTTTCTTGAGACGAGTCTTGCTCTGTCGCCCGGGCTGGAGTGCAGTGGCGTGGTCTCAGCTCACTGCAAGCCCCGCTTCCCAGGTTCATGCCATTCTCCTGCCTCAGCCTCCCAAGTAGCTGGGACTATAGGCGCCTGCCACCACGCCTGGCTAATTTTTGTATTTTTAGTAGAGACGGGGTTTCACCGTAAGGATGGTCTCTATCTACTGTCCTCATGATCCGCCCGCCTTGGCCTCCCAAAGTGCTGGGATTACAGGCGTGAGCCACCACGCCCAGCCTTCTTTTTTTTTTTAAATGATCACATTTCAATATCTAAGTAGATACTTTCACTCTCTGAGGTATTGTCATATATGTAATCTTCTAAATATATATTGGCTGTTTAAGGCATGGGGATAGCATTTCATAGAGGAGTGTGCAGGTCATTCCCCAGCAGTAGAAAATAGTGTTATGACTAGCCTTCTGGAGTTAGATATTAGGTGAGGAGAAAGATCTTTTGCATATTCCTCTTGAAGCAGCCACTGCTTTAGCCACAAAAAATACAGCCTCTTTTTACCTGGGACACGGTTAACTAGACTAGTGCTTTTTGCTTCCCATAAGTGGTCAGGTTCTAATTTCTGAGGGTAAGAGATGGGTTTTCTAGGATATGGAGCATTCTGGGAGGACTAGGTATATCATAAGAAAGAAAATACTAGTTGGAAAGAATTGACCATAGACCTCAGAGGTTTTCTAGTTCAGCTTTCTCATTTTATATGATAGGAAATGGAACATTTCCTGGACTTGCCTAAAGTTTTACAGCCAGTTAAACACACATCAGTCGACCTCTGTTTCAGTCTTACCATGGGTTCCTACTGTTCTTTAATACTGGCATGAAATTTTGTGACACAGTCACGTAGTGACTAGCCACACAGTTCAGCTTCTTAAGTTGTATAGACCAGGCAGGTGACTCAACGCCTATAATCCCAGCACTTTGGGAGGCCGAGGCAGGCGGATCACTTGAGGTCAGGAATTTGAGACCAGCCTGGCCAACATGGTGAAACCCCGTCTCTACTGAAAATATAAAAACTAGCCAGGCGTGGTGGTGGGCACCTGTAGTCCCAGCTGCTTGGAAAGCTGAGGCAGGAGAATCACTTGAATCTAGGAGACGGAGGTTGCAGTGAGCCGAGATCTCGCCACTGCCCTCTAGCCTGGGCGACAGGGCAAGACTCAGTCTCAAAAAAAAAAAAAAAAAAAAGTTAACTATATAATATTTATTTCAAAAGTCATGTTTTGGTGATTTTAAATTTAAAGGACACTGCCATATCATAACATACACTGCATTCAGCACTATTTTTATGTATGTTTGTTTCTGATTGTAAAAACAGCATAAACTCATAAGATATTTGGAAAATACAGGCTGGGCGCTGTGGCTCAAGCCTGTAATCCCAGCACTTTGGGAGGCTGAGGCAGGCGGATCACCTGAGGTTGGGAGTTTGAAACCAGCCAGATCAACATGGAGAAACCCCGTCTCTACTAAAAAATAGAAAATTAGCTGGGTGTGTGGTGGCACATGCCTGTAATCCCAGCTACTTGGGAGGCTGAGGCAGGAGAATCGCTTGAACCCGGGAGGTGGAGGTTGTGGTGAGCCGAAATGGTGCCATTGCACTCCAGCCTGGGCAACAAGAGTAAAACTCCGTCTCAAAAAAAAAAAAAAAAAAAAAAAAGATATTTGGAAAATACAGCAACAAATTGGTAGATAAAAATTAGCAGTAAACCACCACCCAGAGATAGCCTCTTATATTAAGGTAGGTTATCTATGCTTTATTAACATCTCCAGAATTCAGTGACTTATTTTCCACTTACATGTAGTTCAGTGTGGACTAGGTGGGGGTAGAAGAGGGTTTGTGTAACCAGGCTAATTCATCTGGTGGCCCCCATCCCCCAGAGCCTTTGAATTCTGCCCTGCATCTTGGATCTTTTGCAGCCAGCCTGTAAGGAAGGAGAGACCTTGGAAGAATCCATAGTAGGTTTTAAGAACTAGAGCTCAAATCTGGGACAGCAGCGTAAAAACAATTTTGTATGCTGTTTTATTAAAACATATGTTTAACATTTGTCCTTAATCATTAAGTACTATTAGAATATTATGCAGCCCTTACAATCTGTCTTATTATTAACTGTTCTTTTTAAACAGATATAAAAGCCTGTCTACTATAAAAGGACTCTTTTAGCTGCTCTTTAAAAGCACGTTGTCTTGATGCACTGTTTCTTAAGGGTCACACATATACATATATATGTTAAAATGTTTGTATTCATTGACTCGATAATTCTCCAAAGAATTTACCTACAGAGTCCAAATGTGAAAAGTTAAATGCATAAGGATGAAAATTATGTTTGTAAACTAGTAAAGACTAGAAAAAACTGGACATGTTTGAAAGAGACTGGTCAAATAAGTGTTAGTAACTACACACATTATACAACATTAGCATATAACACAGCCATTAACAATGATGTTTATTTGCTTAGAAAGATGTTACAGTAAATTATGGGCTATAATATGTGTAATATGAAAAAGTTGATTGCATGAATGTACATGTATATGTGAATAGATACCTTTATGTGTGTTTGGAGGGTATTACCACAGTGTTTCCTAGCGATTATTTCTGTGTTGGCAGATTTGTGGTGATTTTTAACTTTTCAGAAACTCTTCAGAAATGTTTCTGTAGTTTTTAATTGTAACGACTTATATTTAAGCCCACTCTGGCCAGACCCTCTCCCTTACCTTGCACATTGCTTCTGGTATTGAGCCTTCCTAACTCTTCTCCTTCCAGAGTAATCATGTTGTTGCTTGCCCCACTCAGTCAGTCCGCTACCACCTCCTCCCATCCTTTAAGACCTTCTGACTTAAAAGTTCTCCTACCCCAATTTAAGCATTCAGGAACTGATTGGAGAAGAGCTTGAATTGGTGAAGTTAAAAAAAAAAAAGTGTTCAGGGCTGTAATTTAGGTGGAGGGACTAATGAGGAAGGAGGAGTGTGGCCCTGACCTTGAGGCATGATGCAGTGGCAGAGAGTCCCAGCCACCTGGATATAATCTAGGAGGATTGTCTTTTGAAGTTAATGCTAATTATGTATATGAAAGTGAAGCTATTACAAACTGCTGAAGTTATTTCCAGTAGGAAAGCATACAGTGAGCACCCTGTTTAAAGAAAAAAGCAAAACCATAAAATACTGTATTAGTTATCTATTGCTACATAACAAATTACCCCCAAACTAAGCAGCTTCAGACAACAAACATTATCTCACAGTTTCTGTGGAGCAGGAATCCAAGAGCAGCTTTGCTGGGTTCTGGCTCAGGATGTTTTATGATGTTGCAGTCAAGCTGCTGGCTTGGGTCTTCAGTCATTTCAAGGCTTGACTGAGGCTAGAGAAGCTGCCTCTAACTTCGCTCTTGGTTGTTAGCAATGCCATAGTTCCTCATGAGCTTATGGTGGAGAGCTTCAGTTCCTTGCTAAGCAAGCCTCATCACAGGGTCATCTGAGTGTTCTTAAGATGTGGCAGCAGGCTTCCCTTGGAACAAGTAGAAGGATGGGGAGGACCCAAGATGGAAGCCAGTTTTTAAAATAATCTCATCTTGTGAACATACCACCACTTCTGCCCCTATTGCTGTTGCTCTCTCAGACCAACTGTGATACAGCGTGAGAAGGGACTACACATGGTTGTGAATACCAGGAGGATGGGATGGTTAGGGACTTCTTAGAGGTTGCCTGCTGCAAATACTCATGCTGTTAGGTAAATCGTTAGGAAAGTTATTATTATTTTTTTTTTTCAGATTTCCAGTCTTTACCTCATAAAGATATGTTAGACATTGCTAGTTTGAATGAGGTTTGGGTGAGAATATACTTAGTGGAACATGTGATGCAGCTTTCTTATCAACTTAGTGGAGATAGATTATGTAAAACCTTTGCCAAGACTGGAAGGTGATTAATAGGCCAGCTTACCTGAAACATGATTGAACAGATTGACACTGGCAGGATCACACAGCACAAATTTAGTTTGGCCAATTAATATATGTACCCAGTAATTTTTGATGATTATCATCCATAATTAGGAGTACTTAATTGCATATTTAAGTACTCATTATTCCATTGCAGTATAAAGCAGATAGTTTTATAGCAAAGATTATGCCGTGGAGACATATACATACCATGTTGTGGAATTTGGGCTTTTTTCTGTGGGAAATAGGGAGCCAAAGAAGGATTTATAAGAAGTGGATTGATGTGGTCAGATTTGTGTTTTAAAAATCTTCCTTTGGCAACAGTATTGAGAGTGGACTGAGAGAAGGTTGAAGGTAAAGAGATTACTAAAGTATGCCAGGAGAGAGAGAGTGCCTGAACTAAATCAGTGGACTCGGATAGAGAGGAAGAGACTTTTCCTGAAAGGAAAAATGGTAAAACAGAAGGAATGATGGAGTTTGAAGGTCAGGTTAAAGAAGTGCCTAATTTCTGGCATGGAGAAAGAAAACTGGAAAAAAGAACTTGCACGCACGCGCTCTCTCTCTCTCGCTCTCTCTCTCTCTCGCTCTCTCTGTCTCTCTCTGTCTCTCTCTCTCTCTCTCTCTCCGTGTGTCTGTCTCTCTGTCCCTCTCTGTCTCACTCATGCTGTATCTCTTGCTCATGCTGTGTCTCTCACTATCTCCCTCGCTGTCTCTCTGTCTTTGGAAGAATATGTGGGTGATAAGAGTTTGATTTTTCAACATTTGAAGATTGAGATACTTGAACAGCAGACCACAGCAGGAGATTTTAAGTAGGTAGTTGAACATAGAGATCTGGAGCACAAGCTAGAAGTTTGACAGGACTGTAAATAACAGATCTGTGAATTAATAACAGGAGAATTGAGAGTTGAAGTTGTGGGAGGCAGATGAGGTTTTCCAAGGTGAATGTGCAGAGTGAGAGAAGTACACCAGGGATGGAACTCTGTTGAATACCAAGGTATAAAATCATCCTTTTTATAGCCACAATCCAGACTAAGAAAATGCCAGTGTAGGGATCCATTTCAATCCCGGCCCTGCTTGAGGTTACATTGAATAAGGTATCAGACCCCTTTGTGACTTCAAATAAATGGTTTAACATCTCTAAGCCTAAGTTTCCTCATCTGTAAAACGAAAGGGTTGGTTCAAATCAGCAGTTCTCAAGCTTTTTTCTTCTAGATTATGTGTGATATAGGATGTTCACACTCACATTTCCACAGACGTGCTTAGAATTATGGGCAATTTCCACTGCTCTGGTTCTCTGTCATACAAGAAATGCAAGATTGTGAGAACTAAGCTGTTATAACAGTAACCTTGGGCCTCCTCTGTTATATGTTTAAAAAGCAACTAGTTCAGAAATTTTCGTACTGAATCAACAAGAAGTTACTTGCAATAGATACCTGACAGCTGATAGGCATGTAGCAACAAAATCATTACTTAAAACTCCCAGGCTAGTTATATTACTTTTAAAATTCTTTTGGGATCACAGACCCCCTGTAAGAACTAATGAAGGCCATGGATTCTCCCCCCAAAAAATATGTGGATAATTTTTTTATATTTGAGAGAATTCAAATAAAATATTCTAAAGTTGGTAGCGTCTCTTGGGATCCGTGACCCTGTATTAAGAAATTCCTTTTCCAGATAAAAATCCCCTTCTGGAAGATTTTATGACTTTATTTGTTGTAAAAGGAGAAGCATATTTCTTTGGAAATAAACTTTGTGATTAGATCTTTGTAGGTAAGTATTTCTATAGTAGTTTTAATTTTTAAATACTGTTGTTTGAGCTTGCCATAATTAGAAGACAGCCACCTATTCTGTGGATAAACTAGTGCCACTTTAAGAAAAGGTGATTTGGAGCACAATTATATTAGAATAACTACTAGCTATTTTAAATATTCTGTTCTATACTACTTGGGTGAGGGGAGGGTGTCAGCGAAGGCAGTGGTAGTAAGGCAGCCAGGAGGTGACAAAGAGTCCAGGCATTCAGGGGGCTTTCCTGGGGCAAGTAAAGCCTTTCTTGTTCGTGTTTGTCGGTCAGTCTTGCTCAAGTGACTTAGAGGTGTCTGGAAGTGTATGTTCAGTGAGCTGAGAAATAATCTTAAATCTTTTTACCAAAAAAACAACACTCATGATTTTTAAAATAAATTTATTTCAATTATAATAATACTATCTTTAATCAGGAAATAGTCTAATAACATGGAATGTGGATTTTGGTGTTATCTAGAAGAAGAATTAGCACACTAATAAAATATTAATAGTCTTATTATTGATAACTGAGTTTTGTCTGGTGCTGTTTTTTTTTTTTTTTCCATCAGTTTTTTTACTTCTTAGGCTTGGGAACCAAATCGAATTCTCCTGGTAATTACAAATAAGTACTGCTTCAATTTCTATCATCCAGTTATTTCATGAGAAAGTTTACAGTAATGGTAAAGCAGTTTGATTTTGTTCTTTGTCTAAAGTACACCCATACCAAGATAATTTAAATTAATTTTTATTCAAAGTAGTTATTAAAACTTTGAGGGGAAAACATAGAATGCATATTTTTCTACTTCAGAGTTTCGGTGGGTCATATTTAATATTTTTAAATAATGATCACGTATTTCAGCTTTTCAGCAAATGGCATGCACTGGCCTAGTAATGATTAATCTTGGCTCAATGATCAAGAATGTTGACTTTGAAAACTTACTTGCAGGCTGTGGAATAGCCTACAGAGGACATAGTAATTTTGTTTGTGTTTCAATTATGTCCTGAAGATCTTGGTGTGTGTGGTTGTTGGGCCAGCCCAGTTTTCATTTGAACGGCTTGGCCTTTACAGGTGGACTTCTCTTCCAAATGAGTATTTCTTTTAACTTGCATCCGAATTAATGTTCTTTAGAGAAATCTATAACTTAAATAAAGAAATTGACCTCCTCCCAGGTTTCTTTTTTTTAAACAAATCCTATTTATTTTTTAAGTATGGCTGATCTTTTTTTGTATGACTTTCTATCTTTACTACGAAAGTTGCATTTGGATGTTTCTAGATATTTCACTCACCTATTTGCTGTTATTCCATTTTTAGGGTTAACTTAGCAGCCTGCTGCTTTATTTTTATTTTTTTAACCAAGGATGAATAGCTTGGTAAGAATGATATAGTAAAATGAACATGTATTTCTTAGGGAGAGGGATCACTATTGGAGCCACATTTTTTCCACTGCATAAGTTCTCCTAAGAGTAGATTGGGAAATTGTAAAAGCTATGTTAGTCTCTTGAAACTAAGATATTATTTTCAAATTATTGCATCAGGGCTCTAAATTCTTCATTCAATAAATATTTTAATTCTTGCTGATAAACACTATGGGGGATACAATGATAAATCAGAAATAGATTCTTTTCTCAAGGAATATCTAGTCAATGGAGAAGATACACTGTGTGGTTAAATAACTACAGTAAAAAGTACAGATTAAGAGCTGTGGTAGCTCAAAGGAAATACTATTTTTGGGTTGAGAGGAGTGAAAATTAGGGGAGATATGAGCCTTATAAAATTTGTTGAACAGGCCGGGTGCGGTGGCTCACGCCTGTAATCCCAGCACTTTGGGAGGCTGAGGTGGGCGGATCACGAGGTCAAGAGTTCAAGACCAGTCTGACCAATATGGTGAAACCCTGTCTCTAAAATACAAAAATTATGCAGGCATGGTGACACACGCCTGTAGTCCCAGCTACTCGGGAGGCTGAGGCATGAGATCGCTTGAACCTGGGAGGCGGAGGTTGCAGTGAGCCAAGATCATGCCCCTGAACTCCGTCCTGGGTGACAGAGCGAGACTCTGTCTCAAAAAACAGAAAACAAAATTCTGTTGAACATCTAGAAAAAGGAAACTTCTGATTCTATAAATGAAACTTTATAGATTGATTATATTAGGACAGCTTATGTGAGAATTTGTCGCTTTATATTATTGTGTCTTCTGGCCTATTAGACCATTGGCTCCTTGACAGTGAGAATCATATATTTTTATCTTTGTGTTTCTAGAACTTCATACTTAATTGATGCTTATCATATGATTTTTGAGAGATGAATCAACTAGGAACCTAGAATTTTCCATACAAAATCAGACAAGCACTTCATGTATTCTTTGTTTAATGTAACATAGGTGCTGCCTTCTGTACATTAGCTTCAAAATGTTAAAAATATTCATAGAACATCCACAGCTGATAAGTAACACCAATGAAATTTTTATTTCAGATACAGTTAGTGATGTAATGGGGAGGAGAACAAATATATTCCTTCAAAATAAAATTGTAGACTAAAGAAGTAATAGGTGTCAAAAGAGGAGGTAGCAGAGAGTCTTTAGATTTCTCCCATGAGATTCAATTAATAAGACCCTTTTAATTCAAAATGAAGCTATGTGATTTATACTTTGGGACTAGGTAACTGTATGACCTTATCAAATGCTGTTTCTAAAAGTGCTATACTCATAGTAAAACTATGTGTATAACTATGCATAGTCAGTCCTCAAAATAGATTGCTATGTGCATTTGGCTATGTGCATTTGAATTTTGACTACAGTCTTACAAGTGGAATCTTACTGTAAAGTAGTTCCAGACCTGAGGAAGAACGTCAGTTATTCAAGGTGTTGGGGGACTAGTTGGTTACTTAGTAGAAAATACTTTTCCGAAACACTGGGTAGTTTGAAGTAAAGTACCTGGCTGGGCGTGGTGGCTCATGCCTGTAATCCCAACACTTTGGGAGGCCAAGGTGGGGTGGATCACAAGGTCAGGAGTTCAAGACCAGCCTGGCCAACATAGTGAAACCCCGTCTCTACTAAAAATACAAAAATTAGCTGGGCATGGTGGCGTGCGCCTGTAGTCCCAGCTACTTGGGAGGCTAAGGCAGAAGAATTGCTTGAACCCAGGAGTCGGAGGTTGCAGTGAGCCGAGATTGTGCCACTGCACTCCAGCCTGGGTAACACAGCAAGACTCTGTCTCAAAAAAAAAAAGAGAAAGTACCTATGGTGAAAGAATAGAATGGTTTTGGGTCCTCTGTTGCTATTTAGCACTTTTGAGCTATAATATTAGTTATAGCAAAGATCTGTATAAATTTTATCTCCTTATAGTTGACGCTTGAGCAATGTGGGTTTGAATAGCACAAGTCCACTTACATGCAGATAATTTTCAGTACATGTTTTGGAAAATTATTTGGAGATTTGTGACAATTTGGAAAAATGGATGAACTAGAAATATCAAAATAAGAATAAAGTCATGAATGCAGAAAATATATGTAGATTCTATCTACTTCTATCATTTACCACCATAAAATATACACATATCTATTATAAAAAGTTAAAATTTATCAAAACTTACACACACAAACACAGACCATACATGGCACTGTCACAGTTGAGAGAAATGTAAATAAACATAAAAAGGCAGTATTAAATCATAGCTGCATATAATTAACTCTCGTACATACTGTAGTCCTGTAATCATGTAGCCACCTCTTCTTGCTGTTGCCGTGAGCTCAAGTGTTAGGACTATTTACTTAAAAAGCTGTGTGATGTTAATCATCTATGTGAACAGTTCATCCTTCCAGTAAATTGTGTATTTCAGTAAAAAGTGACCTCTCAGTATTATTGTGTATCTTTCATTGTGTCTAATGCAGAAATGTAAACCTTGAATAACACCATGAGACTCATACAAAGTGATACTTTCAAGAAGCAGAGAAAAGTCATGACATTCTAAGAAAAAGTTGAATTGCTTGATGTGTACCATAGATTGAGGTCTGCAGCTACTGTTGCCACCATTTCAGACAAATGATTCGTCTTGTAAACAGATGACATAAATTTATGGTATCAATAAATACAGTACAGTACCGTAAATGTATTTTCTTATGATTTTCTTAATATTTTCTTAGTATTTTCTATAGCTTGCTTTATTGTAGAGTACAGTAATATGTATATATATAACATACATAATCAACTGTTTATGCTATCAGTAAGGCTTCCAGTCAATAGTAGGCTATTAATAGTTGGGGATAGTCCAAAGTTATACGTGGATTTTTTTTTTTTTTTGACTGCGTCAGAGGCTGGTGCCCCTAACCTCCCATGTTGTTCAAGGGTCATCTATATGTAATTCTGGAGACGGGGAGGATCAAAAGCTTTGAAGGATATAAAATCTCATCTAAAGTGAAATTTTTATAGAATGTACATAAATGTATAGGTTAAATGGAAAGCAATGTTACAAGAGCCAAGGGTATTCAAATTCTACTTACTGTTGTCACTTTGGGGAAGTTGCTGAACTTTTCTAGGTCTTGTTTTCCTCATCTACAAGATGGAGGTAATTGTTGCCTCACTAAGGTAGTGGTGAGTATTAAGTACGATAAATATGTAAATCACTTAGCATGATGCCTTGTACATAATAGTTGCTTTAAAAATAGTAGCTGCTAATCAAGCACAAAATACTGGTTTGGAAATATTTGGTTTGAAATTGAAAAAGAATAACACCTTAAATAAATACTGTCATAATCCAGGATAATTTTGTCCTTTTTTTTGGTTTTATGAGGTTTGTATTGAAGCATTGCTGAAGTTCAGTGATTCTGAAGTGATGTCTACTATAAGCCCAAAGGGTCACAAGTGCTGACTACTGAGATGTAGTAGTTTTCACCCCAGAGACAGCAGAATGGAATTTCCACCAGATCACTCTTTGTGATAGATATTTTAAAAGCCATGCTATTCTAATGTGCCCTGAATAATATAGATAGCTAGTTCACAGTAGCTAAATAAATATTATTCATTATCTTTCCATTTACCTTTAGGGCAGTTGTAAAAGTCATGCTATTAATAGATCATTTATATGTTTAAAACTCAATAATATAGGTAACTCACAATTTACAAAGTAGATTTGCCGACTTAACACACTTTTAGCAACAGTCTGAGTAATATTAGGCTTAGACAGTTTTACATAATGTACTTATAGTTGGAGACTTGGCTTCTAGTCTATGACTTTGGGCAAGTCACTTGGCTCTCTCAGCCTCAGATTGCTCATCTGTAAATGCACACTATATTAAGTGGGGAAATCTGTTAAAATCAGGTGCTAGCATTCTCCAAATATATATATCGGGTCCCATTCCACGTCTTCTAAATCAGAACCTCTGTAGGTTGAGGCCTAGATAATTTTTTAATGTATCCCTGAAAACCATTTTATAAATGAAAATTTGTGCAGATACTATCTTTTAATATTCTTTGAATCTTAAGTATTTAGGAACTAATAGAGAAACTTGTCATGCTACTTATCGTATGACTTAGGAAAATAAGGAAAGATAGTTATAGGAAAAAGTCTCTGTTGCAAAATGAGAAATGAGATAGCTTCACAGAAGCACAAATGAAAGAAATGTAAATTCTAGAGAATTATCTGTGGGAAAAAGAAATTGTTTAATATATATCCTCAGAATATCTTGGGAGTGTCTTCAGCTGGTAAGGTAAAATGAGTATGTTTAAAATCCAGCTCAACTAATGAGAACCACTATCCCATTAGAAACAAACATATTATTACTATACTTTAAAAAGATTTAGCTAAGTGTAATATGAAATGTATCCTTTCTCAAGTGATATGGTGTGGCTGTGTCCCCACCCAAATCCCATATTGAATTGTGGCTCCCATAATTCCCATGTGTTGTGAGAGGGTCCCAGTGGGAGATAGTTAAATCGTGGGGGCAGTTTCCCTCATCCTGTTCTTGTGGTTGTCCTTAAGTCTCACGAGATGTGATGATTTTATAAGGGGTTTCCCCTTTCGCTTGATCATTCTCTCTTGTCTGCCACCATGTAAGACATGCCTTTCCCCTTCCACCATGATTGTGAGGCCTCCCCTCCCCAGCCACGTGGAACTGTGAGTCCATAAATCTCTTTTTCTTTATGAACTATCCAGCCTTGGGTATGTCTTTATCAGCAGCATGAAAATGGACTAATACTGTAAATTGGCACCAGGAGTGGGGTGCTGCTGTAAAGATGCCCAAAAATGTGGAAGCTCCTTTGGAACTGGGTAACAGGCAGAGGTTGGAACCATTTGGAGGGCTCAGAAGAAGACAGGAAAATATAGGAAAGTTTGGAACTTCCTAGAGACTTGTTGAATGGCTTTGACCAAAATGCTGACAATCATATGGACAATGAAATTTAGGCTGAGGTGGTCTTAGATGGAGATTAGGAACTTGGTGGGAACTGGAGTAAAGGTGACTCTTCTGTGTTTTAGCAAAGAGACTGCCAGCATTTTGCCCCTGCCCCAGAGATCTGTGGAACTTTGAACTTGAGAAAGATAACTTAGGGTATCTGGCAGAAGAAATTTCTAAATAACAAAGCATTCAAGAGGTGACTTGGGTGCTGTTAAAAGCATTCAGTTTTGAAAGGGAAATAGAGCATAAAGGTTTGGAAAACTTGCAGCCTGATGATGTGATAGAAAAGGAAAAGCCATTTTCTCCAGGAGAAATTCAAGCTGGCTGCAGAAATTTGCAGAAGTGATGAGGAGCCAAATGTTAATCGCCAAAACAATGGGGAAAATGTTTCCAGGGGATGTCAGAAAACTTTGTGCCAGCCCCTCCCATCACAGGCCTGGAGGCATGGAGGAAAAAATGGTTTCATGGACTGGGCCCAGAGTCCCCCTGCTGTGTGCAACCTAGGGACTTGGTGCCTTGTGTCCCAATCACTCTAGCCATGGCTAAAAGGGGCCAAGTTACAGCTCATGCTGTGGCCTCAGAGGGTGCAAGCCCCAACCTTGGCAGCTTCCACATGGTTTTGAGCCTGTGGGTGCACAGGAGTCAAGAATTGAGGTTTGGGAACCTCCACTTAGATTTCCGAGGATGTATGGAAACGCCTGGATTCCAGGCAGAAGTTTGCTGCAGGGCTGGGGCCGTCATGGAGAACCTCTGCTAGAGCAGTGCAGAATGGAAATGTGGGGTTGAAGCCCCCACATACAGTTCCCACTGGGGTGCTGCCTAGTGGAGCTGTGAGAAGAGGGCCACTGTCCTCTAGACCCCAGAATGGTAGATCCACTGACAGCTTGCACCGTGTGCCTGGAAAAGCCACAGACACTCAATGCCTGGGAAAGCAGCCTGAGTGGTGCTGTATTCTGCAAAGCCACAGGGGCGGAGCTGCTCAAGATCATAGGAACCCACCCCTTGCATCAGCGTGACCTGGATGTGAGACATGGAGTCAAAGGAGATCATTTTGGAACTTTAAGATTTGACTGCTCTGGCCAGGCGCGGTGGCTCATGCCTGTAAGCCCAGCACTTTGGGAGGCCAAGGCAGGCAGGTCACGAGGTCAGGAGATCGAGACCATCCTGGCTAACACGGTGAAACCCCGTCTCTACTAAAAATACAAAAAATTAGCTGGGCGTTGTGGCAGGCGCCTGTAGTCCCAGCTACTCGGGAGGCTGAGGCAGGAGAATGGCATGAACCCGGGAGGCAGAGCTTGCAGTGAGCCGAGATCGCGCCACTGCACTCCAGCCTGGGCGACAGAGCGAGACTCCGTCTCAAAAAAAAAAAAAAAAAAAGATTTGACTGCCCTGTTGGATTTTGGGACTTACATGGGGTCTGTAGCCCCTTTGTTTTTGTCAGTTTCTCCCATTTGGAACAGCTGTATTTACCCAATGCCTGGACCCCACTGTATCCAGGATGTAACTAACTTGATTTTGATTTTATAGGCTCATAGGCGGAAGGGACCGGTCTTGTCTCAGAAGAGACTTTGGACTGTGGACTTTGAGTTAATGCTGAAATGAGTTAAGACTTTGGGGGACTGTTGGAAAGTCATGATTGGTTTTGAAATATGAGGACATGAGATTTGGAGGGTCCAGAGGTGGAATGATATGGCTTGGCTGTGTCCCCACCCACATCTCATCTTGAATTGTAGCTCCCATAATTCCCATGTGCCGTAGGAGGGACCCAGTGGGAGATATTTGAATCATGGGGGCAGTTTCCTCCATACTATTCTTATGGTAGTGAGTAAGTCTGAGATCTGATGATTTTATAAGGGGTTTCCCCTTTAACTTGGCTCTCATTCTCTCTTGTCTGCCACCATATAAGACATGTCTTTTGCCTTCCACCGTGATTGTGAGTCCTCCCCAGCCACGTGGAACTGTGAGTCCATTAAACCTCTTTTTTTTTTTTTTTTTTTTTCCTGAAGCGGAGTCTCGCTCTGTTGCCCAGGCTGGAGTACAGTGGCACAATCTCAGCTCAATGCAACCTCTGCCTCCTGGGTTCAAGCGATTCTCCTGCCTCAGCCTTCCAAGTAGCTGGGATTACAGGTGTGCACGACCACACCAAGCTAATTTTCGTTTTTTAGTGGAGACAGGTTTCACCATGTTGGCCAGGCTGGTCTTGAACTCCCGACCTTTCAAGTGATCTGCCCATCTCGGCCTCCCAAAGTGCTGGGATTACAGGCAGGAGCCACCGTGCCTTTCTAAATTACCCAGTGTCAGGTATGTTTTTTTAGCAGTGTGAAAATGGACTAATACATCAAGCCATATTATATTGCTCTCAAATGTGTTTGGATGATGTGGAAAGTGAACCCTCTCATATATCAGTTGGAGTATAAGTTGGTGTTTGGAGGGCAATTTGCCAGTATCAAAATTAATATTGTCCCAGAAAGTAACTCACATATACAGTCAATTGATTTTTTGACAACGGTGCCAGCACCATTCAAGGGGGAGAAAATGGTCTTTTTCAAGAAATAGTGCTGGGAAAACTGGATGTCCTCATGCAAAAAAATGAAGTAAGACCCTTGTACAACATACAAAAATAAACTCAAAATGGATCAAAAACCTAAATAAAGAGCTAAAACCATAAGACTCTTAGAAGAAACCAGAGGGAAATCTTCATGACATCAGATTTGGAAATGATTTCTTGGATGTGACACCAAAAAACAGGCAACAAAAGGAAAAATAGGTAATTGAACTTTACCAAAATTTAAAATGTTGATGAGGATCTGGAGAAATTAGAAACTGCTGCTTGTAATGTAAAATGGTGCAACTGCTATGGAAAAACTATACAGTGGTTCCTCCAAAAGTTAAACATAATACAAAATTTATATAAATATTTGCAAATAAGTATATATAAGTGCATCATTATAATAGTGAAATATTAGGGAAAATCTATATGCCTGTTATAGGGAATTTGCTAAATAGTGATATATCCATACAGTGGAATACTGTGCAACCATTTAAAAATAAGTTAGATGGCTCTCTAAGTCCTGAAATAGAACATATTCTAGGGTATACCATTAAGTAGAACAAAGCAAGATGTAGAGAAGTGTGCATTCTCCAATTTTTGTAAAAACAGGAAATGCATAGAAAGAATCACAGGGTGGCAAAAGTAGTTCTTTCTAGGAAGGAGTTCAAGGTTGAGAGGAAGAGTAACTTAATTGTATAGATTCCTTTTTACGGTTGGCTTTTTATTTATTTACTTATTTTTGAGACAGAGTCTTGCTCTGTTGCCCAGGCTGAAGTGTAGTGGCACGAACATGGCTCACTGCAGCCTCAACCTCCTGGGTTCAAGCGATCCTCCAACCCAGCCTCCCAAGTAGCTGGGACCACAGGCCCACGCCATCATGGCTAAGTTTAAATTTTTTTCTTCTAGAGACAAGGTCTTGCCATGTTGCCCAAGCTGGTCTCAAGCTCCTGGGCTTCCCAAGGTGCTGTCTCAGCTTCCCAAGGTGTTGAGATTACAGGTGTGAGCCTTCATGCCCAGCCCAGTTTGGCTTTTTCTGTACCACTGAATTGTTTACTATGTACAGGTATTATAAGTGAATTGAAAAAAAATGTACCAATAATTTTCTTTTATAGAGGGATCTTTCATATCACCTCTGTCTACCTGGAAAGTAAGTAGTAGGTACCCCCTCCCTCTTTAGGAAAACACCAAAGAATCACTGCTCATAAGATATCTGCTTCAGCCTAATGGTCCCTGCCAGGGGTTCCCATTCCCTGGGCCCCGGACCAGTACCTGTTAGGAACCGGGCTGTGTGGCAGGCAAGTGAGCATAACCACCTGAGCTCCACTTCCTATCAGATCAGTGGTAGCATTAGATTCTCATAGGGGCCCGAACCCTGTTGTGAACTGCGCATTCAAGGAATTTAGGTTGCACACTCCTCATGAGAATGTAGTGCCTGATAATCAGAGCCACAGTTCCATTGGGAAACCATCCCCTTTCTTCCCGACCCCCAGTCTGTGGAAAAATTGTCTTCCCTGGTGCCAAAAAAGTTGGGGACCGATGGTCTATGCTAATAAATGTTTAGGGTAAAACAGCTTTCTTAAACTGCAGGCTCCTCCTGTGCATAAAGATACGTGGTTACTTTGACAAATAGCTTATATCAAAAATGTAAATAAGTGAATAGTTTTATTTTTAAGCCTGAAAACCATTTCAGAGGTTATATTTGATAGGAAAGTCAGTGACTCAAATGAAAGGAACTAAGGTCCATTCAAAGACAGGGTTGCAGAAGTTGAAGTAGAAAAGGTGAATTTCCTTAGAGCTTTAAGAAACATTGTTCAAATGGAGTGCAGGAACAACCATAAATATATAGTATGTTCTATGAAGATATAAATAATAATGAGGCCTTGAAGAGTTTGTCCTGAGGTGGGCAAAATACCTGGTTTAGAAAATGGAAACAAACAAACAAACACATGGGAATAACTATGCAAACACAATAGGAAAAATAGAGTTTTACTTTTGTTAGTGAGCAAATACAGCTTCCCAGTAGTACAGTAAATACAAGCCAGATGGCTGAGAGCATAAGATCATAGCAGAATGGGGAAAAATCAACTGAACAATTTACCAGTGATCTGTCTACATTTTCACATTTAGTTCAATAGTAATAAAAAGAATGCTGTTGGATTCACTTTCAAGTAGATGAATTTACATAATGCCAGTTTCTGCTTGGGTATAATGTGGATTTTTTTGTTGTTGTGGCAAATGATAATGGAATATAAAATAGCTTTTTACTTTTCATTGAACATTTCTCAATGTATCTTCTTTTTGGTTATAACTGTTAGAAACTGTCTATCTGGATTCTATAAAGGTCATCTCTATGTGTTTAAATTTTATGTCTGCATTTCTAGTAATACTCATTAGAAATTAGTACATATGCTGTAATACCCAAGACTATTGTTTTTCTATGAGTAAACTTAAAGTAGTACATTTTCTCTCACAGGGTGTACTTGTGTTATAAATTTGTTTTTATAGCTTGCTTTTGTTCATTTTTTTAACTTTAAAAAAATAGTAATTGGAACCTTTACTAACCATCAGTAGTCTTAATTTTCACTGTGAAGTTAATGACTGATTCATTTTCCTTGAGGATTATTGTTCTCATCAATAGGTAAAATAAGAGTAGGTAAAATTCCCCTAGAACAGAAAACTCCAATTCTCATGTACACACTGGTGTTGAAAGTATTAATAAGTTTAACTTTTATGGAAGGCAATTTGTCAGAGGTTAAATGCAACTACCCCTTGACTTGTCAGTTACATTTCTAGAAATTTACATTTTAGTTCCAAAAAATGCCAAGTTCTATGTACGAAGATGTTTATCATAACAGAATTGGTAATGACAAGAAAACAAACCGACCTGGAAATGGGAGATGTGTATGCCATAATCATGCACAGCAACCGTTGAAGAATGAGGTCATTTGATGTGTACTGACTTAGAATAAAATGTCCACTATAAATGTTTGAAAACTAAGCTGTAGAACAGAATATGCGATATAATAGATTTTTAAAAGTATGAACAATAAAGTTTCGTTTATATATGCTGAGAATGTGTGAAAGATGTACCTGACTTTGATTAAAATTTATTTTGGGGGAATGGTATGTGAATATTGAGTATGTGTTACTTTTATAGTACATTTTCAGAAATCAAGAATGTAGTATAAAGATTAAGAGCCATAAATCTGAGTCTCAAAATATTTCAGCCCTATCAGATAATGCTGCTATTATTTGTGTGTAATACAGGGAGTCTTGAGTTTAGAATTAGAAGCCCTAGATTGATAATCTGGGACTATCACTCAACTAGCTGCAAGATCTTGGGAGAAAGCCAGTTTTCTCTTTTTTTTTTTTTTTTTTTTGAGATGGAGTCTTGCCATGTTGCCCAGGCTGGAGTGCAATGGCGCGATCTCGGCTCACTGCAACCTCCACCTCCCAGGTTCAAGTGATTCTCCTGCCTCAGCCTGCGGAGTAGCTGGGATTTACAGGCACGCACCACCATGCCTGGCAAAATTTCTTTTTTTTTTTTTTTTTAGACGGAGTCTCGCTCTGTCCCCCAGGCTGCAATGCAGTGGCACGATCTCCGCTCACTGCAAGCTCTGCACCCCTGGGTTCATGCCATTCTCCTGCCTCAGCCTCCCAAGTAGCTGGGACTACAGGTGCCTGCCACCATGCCCGGCTAATTTTTTTGTATTTTTAGTAGAGACAGGGTTTCACCGTGTTAGCCAGGATGGTCTCGATCTCCTGACCTCGTGATCTGCCCACCTTGGCCTCCCAACGTGCTGGGCTTACAGGCATGAGCCACCGCGCCTGGCCTCCATGCCTGGCAAACTTTTTGTATCTTTAGTAGAGACAGGGTTTCTCCATGTTGGCCAGGCTGGTTTTGAACTCCTGACCTCGTGATCCGCCTTCCTCTGCCTCCCAAAGTGCTGGAATTACAAGCATGAGCCACCGCACCCAGCAGTTTTCTCATTCTTAAATGAAATTCATGTAAAGTGTTTACCTCTAGTAAGTGCCCAATAATATTAGCTGTTTTAATGCTAAAATATCAGACAAGAAACAGGAATAAGTTATGATGATAAAAACATATGGGCAGGTGTAGTCAAAATATTTTTTTGAACTGTTGAACTTCTTGCCCGGGTGTTCTGAATTATGGTATTGCATGACCATAGAAAATAGTGGTAAAGCAGTCTGTTTACATAAGCCACTCAGCTACTTGTTGCTATTACCCTTAATTTCAGAAATATTACACGTGGTACTTCTTGAACGTTAATTTGCTGAGAAATAAGCATGTTTTGGGATGAGTACTGAGTTCAGTGTTCCATATTTGGCAGTTGATAAAAAAATATGGGTTGCTGAGTTTCACAGCATAAGTTATTTGGCAATGGTATTATCTCAGATTCAGCTTTTAATGAATATTTACAATATTAATATCTTATTTTTCCTTGATTTTTTTTTCTAAGAAAAGCCCAGATTAAAACAAAAATGGATAAAGTATAAGTGAGTAACTATGGCAGCTCAATTGTCTAAGAACAAAGAGGCAGGCATCAGAGTCTTTGATTCCTGTCCTAACTCAGCAACTTAGTAACTCTGTGTCCTTGAGTAAATCCCTTAACTTGTCTAAGCCACAAAATGGATCTTAGTCTATGTATTGGAGCTATGATTTTTAAAAGTTGTTTTGAGCATAAAATGAAATGAAGGATGTAAAAGTGCATTATAAACTTGAAGACACTATGCTGATAGAGATTACACAGCTCCTTCTAATCAAGACTTTCTTGGCATAGTTTATTAAATGACATAAAGCTCATTATACAAATTTTCTCAATGGAATAAGACAGTAACGGTCAAATGAAACATAAATCCATGCTAACGACTATGAAATCTTTTGGCCTAGCTAAATGTGCAGACTATATAATCCCTTTGGTAGCATATGTATGAGTTTGTGACCTGAAGGCTGTTGTATTGCAAGCAGATTTTTATAAGTCAGCAAAGACATCTGAAATCACATCACAATTCCAGTGTTAATGAGATAACTAGCTGCATCACTGCTACCCTTCCTTGGCTCTTGGGTTTAGGGAAAACCTTAATCCTCAAACTAACATAATTCACAATAGGTTCTGATGATGCTCAAATGTATATAATCTTTAGTTCCATGAATAAATTGCATACTAGAGTTACTCACTTTCATTTTGCATTTGCAGACTTTGTGTTCTTACATTGAATGATATGTTTTCTAATCAACTGATTCCTTTAATGATTAATTTTAGGCTTAAACATAATATTTACAAAAGCAGGAAAGTGCAATTGAAAACTAGCAAAGACTAAGACAATTAGTATCAACCCCATTTTATATTGGGAATTAAAACTGTTTTGAAGATGACAGCACAGCCGAAGTAAGGGTTTTTTCTCCTTATCACAAACAGTAGTAGGCATTAATTTTTAGAAGTAGAAAATACCTTTCCTTATGCTTGGGAAATAAATGGAATTTTTTACAAAATAATTACAGGACTTGGAGTAGAAAGTGAAAAATTAATTTTGTGGTTTAGAGTATTAATTTGCTCTAAGAGTTAATAAAAGGAAATGGGAAATGGACAAATCAGATTTGTCTAGTCAACACTGAATAGATTCCTCAAAGTATTGAATTTGAAACAATTGGCACACATTTAAATTCTAAGATCTCTATAGCGAGTAAAACTTGAAGTTACTTTTTATCTCACCTTCCTCAAAAGTACCCTTAACCATGCACCTGGAGCAAAGGAAAAACCCTTTCTTTTTATTGGTCTTCTTTAGCTATCACAGGGACTATTTGGGCAGTGGCTATACTAATGGGAAGATGGGATTATAATTAGGTTAGTTTTCGTTCTTTCTAGACCCATGTCTTTATTTGAAAGTTCTTTGGATTCCTGTGGTCAGTGATACAGGGAAACTCTAGGTTCTTAACAGTTTCCAATTATTTTCTCAAGAATTCCTTAGGTTGCAAAATATTTTGATGCCTTTATGGATAAGAGATGGGCTGGGGTTAGTGACCCAGTGCATTTTTTCATACCCCCAATTCTCCCCATATCAACCCTTTCTCTACCCGACTCTGCACTTCTCTAATTGGGTATTATGTGACAACTAACTCTTCTCTGCATTGAATATATTATATTGTTACTTATCCAAAAATAGTTGCCAGTAATTTTTCCTAGTAGTTCTGGAAAATTCCTCTTCCTTAAAGATGCAGGAAAACAGTTTTACTGACCAAGAGGTGTTTTTTCAAAGACCCAAGTTGAGAACTAATGCTTTCAAACTCATGGCCTCAATCAGTCCTCCTGCCTGGGTTTCCCAAAGTGCTGGGATTATGGGCTAAGCTACCACTCCTAGCCAGGAACTAATGCTTTAGATCTACTGGTACTCAAACATTATTGTTCTTTGGAGTCACTTGGTGCTTCAAAATTATTGATGTCTAGGTCTCACTGCTGAGATTTTGATTTAAATGGTGTCGGTGCAGTCTGGGTACTGGGATTTTTTTAAAGCTCTTCATCTGATTCTAATTTGCAGTAAAGTTTGAAAACCACTGCTCTAGTCAATAAAACAAAACTAGGCAAAACTCCAGGAAGGCAGGAAGCTTGTTCTCCACTGAGACCCCAGCATGTAAAATGGTAAACAGTAGGCACCCAACAAATATTTTTTGTTGCAATGAAAGAATATACTTTTTAAGAATCACTGTAATTTAAAGAATAAACCAAGCAGTGATTCTTTGAAATAATCCATAGGAGCTAATGATAAGTTAGTGATGAAGTATGGATTCTTTTGTGTATGTATGTAGAAAAGCTGATGCTAGATAATCATTTTCAAAAATTATAGATAAAAATCTTTGCATGAATATCAAGTGGAAATATGCTATCATTTCCCTTATGCATATTTGCATTTAAAATAACCCACAGGGACAAAATGATTTTCCCACTGAAGCTAACTCTTACCATGAAATATTTCTTTGATTTAGTTATTTTCTCCTTTATCTCCTGAAGATTTTTTTTTTTTTTGGCTTGCCATATGCATGCTATTTTGCTTTTCCTTTGTACTTTGGGTTTTTGTGGTGTATTTTTTGAGGAGGGAGATTTCTTTTGCAAATAAAGGCAGCACTCTGTCTCTCCTTTTTTCAGGAAACACCTTTTTTTCTGTGTGATGCAGTCAGTTTTTGTCATTTCCACTTTAACGTGAACTAAGAAGTCATCCTTTTCCTGTGAACAGGAAATTTCCCAGCTGTTGATAAACTGTGGAGCCGCCTGTGAAAAAGGGCAAGATCTCAGAATTCCTTCTCTCGATTCTACATGTTCTTTATTGCTTTCTACATATTGCTGATCTTTTCATTTCTAATGTGTACCATCTGATTGACGAGATGGTGACTTCCTGTTTGAGAGTTAGCTCCATTCTTTGTGTATCATACCCACGGTGATAGTACTTTGTGAGGACTGTGGCAACAGTGCTGTGCTCTCCTCTGATGTAAAGGGTAAGCTGGGAAATCAAGACATTGAAAGGAGTATTAATTTGAAAATAATTCTATAGCATTTTCTTGGGGAAAAAATGCTCACCACCTCCTCTCTTTTCTAAACACACCATTTGAGGATATCACTATTTCCTTTGTATTGAGCCTTTTATGTATGTTGAACTATCATTTGGAATATGATCTGCTGATGTACCTGGGCACCTCTAATCAGCATCTAAGTATCTAGCTCATGATTCTTTTCAGTATCACAAATCCATTCTAAAGTGGAACTGTAGGAAGGATCTGTCATATTACTGTTAAATTATCATTGGTTGCAAAAGTTTTCCCAGTGCCTACAACACTGTCTTCCTTCTTTCCTTGACTCTCATCTTTTAAAATTATAGTTTATAAGTGACATTTAATTTATAAATCACTTAAAAATTACATTAGATCCATTGTGAAGTGCTCTCTTTTCACCTCCATTACCTTGGGCCTGGGTTAGGTGCCTTGTCTGTTAGCTGACACAGGATCCTATGAAAGATAAAGGAAATTCTATTTTTTTAAATTATATGTTGGTACCATGGAAACACTTTCAGAAATGGAAAACTAAAGATCACCCATACAGGCCGGGTACAGTGGCTCATGCCTGTAATCCCAGCACTTTAGGAGGCTGAGGCAGTTGAATCACTTGAAGTCAGGAGTTTGAGGCCTGCCTGGCCAAAATGGTGAAGTCCTGTCTAAACTAAAAATACAAAAATTAGCTGGGCGTGGTGGCGCATGCCTGTAATCCCAGCTACTCAGGAGGCTGACGCAGGAGAATTGCTTGAACCCGGGAGGCAGAGGTTGCAGTGAGCTGAGTGCGCGCTGCTGCACTCCAGCCTGGGTGACAAAGTGAGCAAGACTCTGTCTCATAAATAAATAGGCCGGGTGCAGGTGTCTGTAATCCCAGCACTTGGGGAAGCCAAGGCAGGCAGATCACGAGGTCAGGAGTTCGAGAACAGCCTGGCCACTATCACCATATAGAGACACCCCATCTCTACCAAAAATACAAAAATTAGCCGGGCGTGGTGGCTTGCGCCTGTAGTCCCAGCTACTCGGGAGGCTGAGGCAGAAGGATCGCTTGAACCCAGGAGGCGGAGGTTGCAGTGAGCCAAGATGGTGCCACTGCATTCCAGCCTGGGTGACAGAGCGAGACTCTGTCTCAAAAAAAATAAAAAATAAATAAAGATCATTCATACAAGTATGAATTTCTCAAAGGCCAAAGTTGGTTTTGTCTTTCTTGCTACAACCTGTTTATTCTGAAGAGTACAACCAAACACATTAGTCCCACATGGCTTTTTATTTAGGGACATCATGATGAAAGGTTATTCTGTGGACTCTCAAAGTACTTGTCATCCATAGACTTGCTGACACCTCGTCAAGGCTACTTGAATGGGTGTATTACACAGGCTTGGTCAAAGGGTTAATGCATGCTAGAAATGTGAAGTGAAGGGAATAGAGTTGAGGCTTGGGAACATTTATGTTTTTTAGACTGCGACTTCCTGTTCAGCTGAGAAGATAGTCCTGTAGCTTTGCTGTTAGCTAAGGAGACAGTCTTGTAAGCTTGACAGATCACAGCTGTATCCTGTACTTTGTGTGAAAATGTACTTGCTTTCCCTCCTGTTCATTTCGTTTTTCTAATTTCCTAATATATTAACGTTTATTCCAGTGTTTGATGGAGTAAGAAGTTGGGTATATGCCCACATGAGAATGTGAATAATAGCTAAGTACTAGGTTGTAGGCAGATAGTGGATTAAATATGGAGTGTGTGTGCTGCAAAAACTAAATGACAAGGAAAACCCCCCCTCTGAATAAAATTTTACAAGAAAGTCCCAAAAGCACTTGGATATTTTAGCCTAGTGCTATAATTGAAGCAGTTGTCTTATTTCTTTGCAAATCAGATAATTTCTTTATAAAGAATCAAATGCTTGCTCTGTGTTCTAACCATTCCACCATTTTATTCTCTCTCAAAGCTTGAGGACAACTTCGGGACATTTCTTTCATCTCACTATCCTAAAAATCTTTGCCACTGGAACAATATTAAACTACTTCCTTCCTTGGGATTTTGCACTCTGTCTGAGCCTAATATGCTAGTAGATTGTGTCTATCAACACAAATTCATTTTTTGACATTTGGACAGACAGAACTTGAAGTTTTTCAGTATCTCATCTCATTTGAAGTGGATGTTTCATTGTTGCTATAGAGGAATGACAATTACCGTGTTCTATAGGAGGTGGATTCCAATTTAAGCATTCTTTCCTGAGAGGCAACTTTAAATTTTATAGAGTAGAAAGAGTACTAGCCTGAAGTTAGGTTACGCACATTCTGTATGACCTTAGATAGTGACATTGGGCACCTCTGAATTCTCACAAGTGAAAAGAAAGAATTGGACTAGATGACCTTTAAGGTCCTTTTGACCGTATTTGACATTCACTGAGCCTGAGCTTTGTGCTATGACTATGTTGTCCCTCTCATTGTATTAGTGCCTATTACTCTGAAAAACCCACCGCTATATAATATGAAAGATGAGAAAGAGGTAAGCCAGCTGAGCTGTTTAATTTAGAAAGATGGAGCCATGGTGTTCCAGATGGTGAGGCTCATCCAGCAGAGCCATAAATGACAGCCAAAGTAGATACAGGTAATGCTGATGGCTTCCTGACAGTGTATGTAGTAGAGAGGGACTTATGGGATTGACTTACTGAATGACAGTTTTATTGGTGTAGTGCAGCCTGGAAAAGGGTTGTCAGTCTTTTTTTTGGGTGGAGTGGTGGTTTCTGTGTATGTCCCCTTAATGCTAATTGATGTTGAAAGTATAAATGAGACAGGATTGACTGGAGTCAGCTTTCCTTTGGGAAAGCAGAATGATAGCATCTTCAAGAAGTACTTTTGCAAGGTATAAAGCAAATAGGTACTGTACTTCATAGACACTTCTGCAGTGCCCATAAGTGCTGAAATAGATGAAATTCAGGTGCTTGTAGAGGAAGGAATATCCATTTGCACAGAGACCTAACTTAACAAATGGACTGGCTAATTAAGGGTTAACTATTTGCTTTTCTTTTGTATTGCTGTATTATCTTTATCTGGGTACCATAATCATCCTTGTAAATTTCTAGTCTGAGATACATTCTACACTAGACCCATTATAGGATATTAGAATTGTATGAAATCTTCAAGGGCATCTAATTCAGTCCTCTCATTTTCACTTGAGCAAAGTGAGTGCTAGAAAGACTGAGTAACTTAACCAAAATCATTGTGGGAGTTAAAATCAGAGCTAGAACTGGAACTAGAACCTAGTTCTGCTGACTACTAGATTTTTACTGTCAAGAATGCAAATTGGCCAGGCCAGACACGGTGGCTCACACCTATAATCCCAACACTTTGGGGTTCCAGGGCAGGAGGATCACTTGAGCCCAGAAATTCGAGGCTAGCCTGGGCAACAGGAGGACACCCCATCTCTACAAAAAATAAAATATCGAGGCCAGGTGCAGTGGCTCACGCCTGTAATCCCAGCACTTTGGGAGGCCGAGGCAGGCGTATCACCTGAGGTCGGGAGTTCAAGACCAGCCTGATGAACATGGAGAAACACTGTCTCTACTAAAAAAAAAAAAAAAAAAAAAAAAAAAAAAAAAAAAATACTAAGTTAGCTGGGCATGGTGGCACATGCTTGTAATCCCAGCTACCTGGGAGGCTGAGGCAGGAGAATGGCTTGAACCTGGAAGGCAGAGGTTGCGGTGAGCCAAGATCATGCCATTGCATGCCAATGCAGGCCATTGCACTGCAGCCTAAGCAGCAAGAGTGAAACTCCATCTCAAAAAAAAAAAAAAAAGATAGCTGGCTCGTGAGGGTGTGTACCTGTGGTCCCAGCTATTAGGTGGCTGAGGTGGAGGATTGCTTGAGCCCAGGAGGTCAGGGCTGCAGCGAGCTGTGATCTCACCACTGCACTCCTGCCTGGGCAACAGAGCAAGACCCTGTCTCAAAAATTAAATAAAATTAATACAAACCTACCTTTATATATTTGAAAGTGTGAAATGTACCCCCAAAATTTTCAAAATGGTAACCGATTTTAATAAATTAGTGAAGAAGACAAAATTAGTTTTTTCTAGGAATCTTCCTCCCAGCCTTTGCTCTTCAATAACGTATCAGAAAGTAGCATTCTACCAGCAGATACGTTTCCATATCACACTCTACCAGATTCTTAAACTATGAGATAAAACAGTATTAGGCAAAAGTAGCATAATATGGATATAAAATTTCTATTACACTGAGAATTCAGAAAATTCTCTTAGGACAAGATTGGATAGGGCAAGATTGTGTAACCCTGAAATGTGTTAGTCTTGAACAGATATTTCGGGATCTGTTCTGATTATCTCTCCCCAGCAGAAAGATTGTGATTAAGGGAAAAAATAATTCTTAATTATTTGTTGTGGGTTAGTGGTTACATGCAGGTTTTTGTTTTCATTTTGCATAATTTAGTTTCGAACAATGTCTTCATTTTTTTTAACGACTAGAAGGCCTAATTTAGATTTTAAGTGTTTTGTGAATGTGTTGTTAATGTTTCTTATCACTGAAAAATGGCATCAGGAGCTGAAGATGGGAGAAGCTGTTGAATTCAGACAACAGAATGCATTAATACTGTAACACTGCTGTTGGCCACAGTGATTGAACATTGTGATAATTTATGCTGCACTATGTATTTAAATCCATTATATTGTTGAGGTGGAGAAGCGGAGTTAAGTAGTGTACTGATTTCAGACCTAAATTTTCTTGAATTTCTTTATTTATTATGCCTCCTTGCTAAGTAGTTGATATTACATGGATCACTTACATTTTGTATAGGAGTATATATAGAGCTCATATAGGAGAACTTAGATTACTTCTTATAAGAAATTGGATACGAAAATGCTTTGGTTTTGTGAGAAAGAGGATTTAACAGTGTCTCCAGAGAGCTAAGCTAACCAACAGAAAAAATGGCATCAAGTTATAAATTCTTGCTATAGAAAGAGGGGAGGCTTTTCTTTCTTTTAAATCACTTAATTTTTTCAGATAAACTTTTAAATGCAAGTTTAACATATATATAGAAAAGTACAGAAATCATAACAGTACAGCTTGATGAATATGAATATATATATTCATTATATATATATATATATATATATATATATATATATATATATATATAAAGTGAACACCGTGTGTAACCTACCTAAGTCAAGAACTAGAATGCTAGCAACACCCTGCTCTGGGTTCTCAGGCATTTCTCCTCTCTCTGCAAGGCAGCCATAATCCTGACATAATTTAGTTTTGAACATACCATATTCTAAATTCAAAGTTTAGTTTTGAATACCATAGAGTAGTGTTGCCTGTTTCAGGATTTTATATACATGGAATCATTCAATATCTACTCTTTTGTCTCCAGCTTCTTTTGCCCAGCATTTTTTTTCCTGTGGGATTTGTCTGTGTTGTTAAATGTAACAGTAATTCATTCTCTTTATTGTATGTACTGTATTCCATTTTATGAACATAAAATAATTCATTTAGATAATGGTCATTCAGATTGTTTCCAGTTTGCATCTATTAAAAATAATTCTGCCATGAACATCCTTGTTGTATGGTTTTTGTTGTTCATATCCATGCAGCTCTTTTGAGTGTATTTCTGGGAGAGGAGTGGCTGGCTTACAGGGCATGTGTGTCTCCAACTTTTGCAGGTAAGGCCAGTTTCCCAAAGTATTTGTACTAATTGACATACCAACTCTGAGTTCCAGATGTTCCACATCCTTGCCAGTACTTGATATTAAGTTTTTTGTTTCTGTTTTCATTTTAGCCACACTGGTAGGTAGATAGTGGTATCTCACTGTGGCTTTAATTTTTATTTCCCTTATAACTAATGATGATGGGCACTTCTTAATGTACATACTGGGTTTTTGGATGTGCTTTTGCAAAGTGCTGTTCACGTCTTTTACTAATAGAAAAATTGGGTTATTTTTCTTTTTATTATTGATATCAGTGGTCTAAAAAGATATATTCTGGATTATCTTTTTTCAGATACCCTTAAAATGTTAACATCCATTCTTAAAATCCAAAGTTAATAGCTGTCTCTTCCCTTTTTCTGAACAATACAAGGATCTTAAAACACTCTTATTTTCTATTCTTATCTTATATGCTATTATTAACCAGGGTATTAGTTCACCTTGTTTTTAACCACCTGCATTTGTTATTGCTATTTTTTTATACAGTATTTTTAAAACTGCATGTTTCCCAGCCTGGGCAACATGGCAAAACCTTATCTCTACAAAAAATACAAAAATTAGCCAGGGGTGGTGGCACGCACCTGTAGTCCTAGCTATGCAGGAGGCTGAAGTGGGAGGATCGCTTGAACCTGGGAAGCAGAGGTTGCAGTGAGCTGAGATCTTGTCTAGGCGACAGAGCGAGACCCTGTTTCAGAAAAGAAAAAAAAAATTACAAATTTCTTTACTCACTGTTGTTTCTTCCATCCCAGCCTGCCCTTCCAGTTTTAATTTCTTTCTTCCTAGAATTTGTCCTTTAAAAGTTCCTTTAGTAAGTTCATAAAACTTTTTAGTGAGACAGTGTTTTATTTTACTCTTATTCTCCAAAGATAGTTTTGTTAGATATACAATTCCTAGACTGACATCTTGTCACAGCAATTTGAATATATTTCTTTGTCTCATTGCTTTTATTTAGTCTTCTTTTGAAGTCTGTTGCAGGTTTAATTGTCAGTCCTTTGTAGGCAGTCTGTCCCTGGACCACTCTGCAAAAAGTCTCTAGCCATGATTTCCTTGAATATCTCCTCTGATCTATTTCCTCTTCAGGAACTTTGGTATGTTGGACTTTACTAAAGTCTCTTAGTGTGTGTCTGTCTCTGTCTGTCTCTCTCTCTCTCTCTCTCTCTCATTTTTTCTTAGCCTCTCTCTCTCCCCTTTTTTTTTTTTTTTTTTGAGAAAGAATCTCACTCTGTTGCCCAGGCTGGAGTACAGTGGCTCGATCTTGGCTCACTGCACCCTCCGCCTCCCAGGTTCAAGTGATCCTCCTGCCTCAGCCTCCTGAGTAGCTAGGATTACAGGTGTGTGCCACCATGCCCGGCTAGTTTTTGTATTTTTAGTAGAGACGAGGTTTCACCATTTTGGCCAGGCTGGTCTCGAACTCCTGACCTTAAATGATCCACCTGCCTCAGCCTCCCAAAGTGCTGGGATTACAGGTGTGAGCCACGGCGCCCGACCTCTTTTAGCCTCTCTTCTGTATATTCTGTTTCTTTGTGTCTCTGTGCTTCATTCTCGCTAGTTTTTTCAAGTATGTATTTTAGTTTACTCTCTTGGGTCTCATGTACTGTTACTCCATTAAGTTTTTTCAATTATTCGATAGTCCTTAAAATCTGCTGGTCTTTATAGCATCTTCCTTTCTCATGCTTCTAATTTTATCTTTAAGGGTTTTGAACACTTAATTTAAGGGTCTTGAAACATGAAGACCACTTCATGTTTCTCTCTTGACTTGGGGTTTTCTGGACCATGCTGGTGTATAAACCCAAATCTCAAATCTTTGTGAGTGTAGGCCTATTGTTACAGATTAGCAAGGGAGACTTTTTCCATTCAGCGTTCTGGAAAAGACAGATAAGGCTTTTTGATTTGAGTGTTTGTTTGTTTTTGAGAGTCTCTCTCTGTCGCCCAGGCTGGAGGGCAGTGGCACAATCTTGGCTCACTGCAACGTCTGCCTCCGAGGTTCAAGCAGTTCTGCCTCAGCCTCCTGAGTAGCTGGGACTACAGGTGTGTGCCACCATGCCTGGCTAGTTTTTGTATTTTTAGTAGAGACAGTTTCACTGTGTTAGCCAGGATGGTCTCGATCTCCTGACCTCGTGATCCACCCTCCTTGGCCTTTCAAAGTGCTGGGATTACAGGTGTGAGCCACCGTGCCTGGCCCTTGATTAGGGTTTTTAATTCTCTCTGTTAAGGGATAGATTTTTTTTTCTTTCTTTTTGGTCAATCTTTTAACTAAGAATGAACCCTTCAACATTCTGGGTTTTTTTTGTGGGGTTCTCTGTAACTCCCCATCTTTTAGAAGTCTGTTACAGGCTTCGATAAGCATAGCCCACAATTTGTGAGTAGAAGAAAACCTGGTTTCTAGTTGTTGACTATGACTCTGAAATTCTTTTGTAAATTTTAAGCAGCTTATATTTCTTTGAGATATAATTGTCTAGAATTTTTTGGAAATTCTAAAACGAGTATTTCCATGAGCGTTTCTTACTAGTGGTGTGATCTATATAATGACATTATGTTGAGAGAGGTTTGTATATTTAGATCCCTCTTTTGCACTCTAGCTACAAATTTTTGTTTACAAACTGGTAAGCCAAAATATTAAAGCTACACTTGGTTGCTCTGTTCTGACTGTGTTAAGAACACGGGTCTAGGTGCACTGATTGGTTTCTGGTTTAGCAAGCACACCTTGACTTTTGTATTATGGTGAAAGCAAATGCTTGTTAACTGTATAGTGCCTTTTAAAAAAATTCCTGTAGGAAGATATTAATGCTTAGAAAAATCAGTAGATTTGATTAATAAATCATCTATAAAAAACCTGAAATATTTTTCAACTTTCATTTCCTAGAGTGTAGTAAAGGCAGTAACTGTTAAACGTGAAATCAAATAAAGTAATTTGCACCTGGAAGAAAGCCTTTCTAAAATTATTTCTGTAGTTTCTAGCCACATGATTGAAAAATACAATAAATGTATATTATGTTATTACTTCTCATTTGCAGTTTTTATAAACTTTAAAGCAACTTCAGAGGTGCTAACTTGGGCCTTCTTTCTTCCCTCCACCTCCCCTTTTTATTTAAAGCATCATATCATTTATTATATTGGACCAGCAGGAATGAGTTTAAAGAGGTTGAGAACTGTTTCAGATTAATAACTTGGAAATATCCCACAGGAGTCACAGTATTGCTTATCTTGGATTAAGTTTTAAGAATCCAGTCATTGAGAATTATTTCTATAAGCTGCCATATTTAAAGTTGGAGTGAGGAAGAACCTTACACTGATCCACATACCCCAAAATTCGTGTCAGTGTACTTTATGGGGATCTTGTAGTTTGAAGGATGGCATGGTCCACAAGATAAAAAGCTTCATCATGACAGTCAATAAGTAATGTTCTGGGTTTACATAGAGTTTATATTTCTTTCCTCAAGGTTCTCAGTTTTTCATTTTCATGTATAAGGTATACATCGCTTTTCTAAAACACCAACAATGCTAGATTATTTTTGCTTTGATTTGCTTTGTTTTTTTCATATTCCTTTGAATGATTTAGTTATTACTTCTCTTTGTTTAATATTTTTTAAAGGGATAACTATTTATCCTAACTTTCTCTATACTGGAAAAACACCCCCTTTCCTTCCCCCATTTACAGGATTGTGCAACCTTTCAGTTAAACAAAACCAAAATTGTTCACTTGCTCAGTGTTCCACCCCCTTGAAATAAGCCACATAGCTCTCTATGGGTGTGGCCCAGCGTCTTTGGCTGCCACAGTTACTTGATCCCCTTATCTCATGTCACCCTTGGCTCCCTATATTGTCTCTTCATCTGGTTTCTTAGCTCCTCCTTTTCCCGCTTCCACCGAGTTTTTGTACTGCTCCTGTCACTTTGCTTCTCAGAAGTTCAGAAGCAATTGTCATGAGCTTTTCCACCTCCCCCCCTCCTTTCTCTGAATCTTCTGAGGAAGTTACAGTTGGCCCTCCACTTCTGAGGGTTTCGCATTCTCAGATTCAACCAACCACAGATTGAAAATATTAGAGTAAAAATACAGAATAACTACTTACATAGCATTTACATTGTATTAGGCATCATAAGTAATCTAGAGATGATTCAAAGTATTCAGGAGGAAGTACAAAGTTTTATGCAGATACCACTTCATTTTATATCAGAGACTTGAGCATCCTGGATTTTGGTGGCCATGGGAGGTCCTAGAACTAATCCCTGATGGATACCTAGGGACAGCTGTACATATACACTGTCCAAAGAATTCATTGAGGATTTCCTACTCCAGGATTAAACTCCTGAAGTGAACGTTTTGAAAGGCAAAAGGATTTTTTCTTTTTTGTCAAAGTTTAGATGTTGTAGGTGTGAATTCATTAGTATAAAGTACTTACAGCCCTTGCTTTATATAAAGTATATGCTCCTAAAAAGTTGGCTAGTGGCTGGTCATGGTGGCTTATTCCTGTAATCCCAGCACTTTGGGAGGCTGAGGGAGCTGGATCACTTGAGCGCAGGAGTTTGAGATCAGCCTGGGCAACGTGGTGAGACCTCGTCTCTGCAAAAAATAGAAAAATTAGCTGGGCGTGGTCATGTGAGCCTGTGGTCCCAGCTACTTGGGAGGCTGAGCTGGGAGGATTATTTGAGCCCGGGGAGGTTGTGGCTGCAGTGAGCCATGATCATGCCGCTGCACCCAGCCTGGGCAATAGAGTGGGACCCTGTCTTAAAAAAAAAAAATTGCCTGTATCTCAGTATAACATGGTTAAATGCAGGTGCGATTACTATTTAAGACAACCTGGCAAGGAATCTTTAAATAATTTACATAAATAATCCTACCTTAATTTTTCCATTTTAAAGGATTTTTCCTCTCAGGTTGTCATGATTGTATATGCTGTAAATGATCTGCATATTCTTCTTCATAAAAATGGAAGATTTGTTATTTATTTGTACTTCAGTGTGGAAGCATCTTAAACATTAACCCTGTGGCATTTTCTCATCAATAGTAAGTTGATCAAATGAGTGACCCAGTCTCAGCAATTTAACATATCATCCCTTTCAGCTTTAAATGTATATTTAATCACCTTAGCCCATTTTTCAATCCACAAAAGTAACCTTTCTCATATATCAACAGCTTTCTGGGCCAGTGAACCTTAGAACTTAAGTGCCTTACAAAACATAATGCTTATTAGTTGTGTTTTTTTTTTCCCCTTCCCACCCTCTCCCATTAAATCTACCTTGCTTATACTTGATGCTTTTAAGGATTTGAGCTCATAGGGTGTAGTATAATGTAGTGCCACCTTGACCATGAAATTTGTTTACTGACCTTAGTATTAACCTAGAACATTCTTATGCCTCTTTTCATGGTGATGTGGTGTCAGATTACAATTTGACTGGCTTTCAAGATAATTGGTCTTAATTATTTCTAAGTCATTGGTTAATGCAGTGTAAGAACAAGCATTGTTTAAAAAAGAATATAAATGGCTTTTGAGTTTCTTTTCTTAGCATGCAAGTCAGATTAGAGTGAAAGCAAAAGCACATGACACAAAACTGTGGTTCGCTAATAGATTGTAGGCTTCCTGTAGCTTAAATTATACACACCACAGTAAACTGTTACCCAGTGGCAATTTTGATTTCCCTTTTGTATTAGTTGTAATCTGTGATACTTTTATTTAAAGTAAAGCCATGTATTAAAAGTTTATTAAAACATATATTGTCTTTTTTTAATCTTTTTCCTCTTCACCCCATACATATATACTCATTCCTTTTAGACCAAGCTCCAGGGTAACTTGCCCTGTAACCTTTCAAATAGGCTCCTTTCTCTGAATATATCTGTAGTATATCTGTAGTATATCTATTATAATAACAGAGTGTGCTACAATTGTCTCTCCCTCTCCCCTGCCCCAACCCACTAAATTGCTAGTATTTTAGGGTCAGAGACAATGTCTCGTTCATTTCTTACATTTTTTACCATGATACCTGTTCACTTGTAGCATGTAATAGTAGGGGAATGAATAGTTAGTAGAATAAATGTATTTAAGAAAAAAGTAGAAAAGAAATATATGGTGAATTGATTTACCAACTCAGAATTTAAATATAAATTTAAAAAATCTAAAATCAAAGTAGGTTATGTGATCAGTACTGCTGTAGGTTGCAGAGAATAAATTGATACTCTACACTTTAGTTATGTTTGGGAGCAGTATGTATGATTCTGTAAACTGAAATCCCTCTAATATGTACAGAAGAAATACATTTACAGACTAGTTTTGTTTTTGTTTTCGTTACACCTTCTATCATGCCACTGAGTATATAGCAAATCTATCAACCATTGAGTGGAAAAACACATTAAGATGCTTGAAGGCAGGCAGAGTTATGCAGGGGTTGAAGGATAAAGATTGGGGGGTAGGGGTGCAGATAACCAAACTTGTCTCTCGCCCTGTCTTGGAAAAAGCTTACTTATCATATCTGAGGACTCTTAAAGCATTAATTTTAGAGGCTGGGATGTGGCTCTTGTCATATACAGGCAGCCCAAGTTCTACAGCTAGATCTCAGAGAAGCTGAGAGTGTTAGTAGGCCTACAAACACATCATGTGGGTTTTTTTTTTTGTTTGTTTTTAGTTTTTTGTTGTTTTTGGGGGGGGGGGGTGGGGAGCCAGCTTTGCCTCCTACCTATCCAACAGCAGTGTTTGAAGCTAAGTGCTTGAATTTGTTTTAGGAGGATAATTTTTAGAAACATTATTGATACTTAAATTTCCCAAGATTAAAAAAAAATTGGGGGAATGGCTTTTACTGGGTAAAGTATTTGAAACGTAAAACATATTTTTCCAAGTAAAATGATGTCTCATAGTTGGAAAAAGCAATTTAAAAATGCCTACAGAGCCCCATATCCTTAGATGGAACAGCTCAAAGCAAAAGTAACATTTTTAACAAATTGCAGGGGAGAGGGTTTCAGTCCAACAAAATAAAAAGGCTCTTTAGGTTTGCTATAGAACATTGTACCTATAATCAACAGTAATGTATACTTAAATTTAAGAGGATAGATCTCATGTATTCTTGCCACAGTTAAAAATAAAAGTTATACCTCAAAGATTTAGAAAGTAAAAACAAATTGCATGTGTCATGAATATTTCGTATATTGTGGCTATATTTCATTTTGTTTTTACTTGTTTTCTATTCCGTTTTAGAACTTTTCCCAAAACAGAAATTATTCATGATTGCAGATTTTTTTAATGGCACAAATAGATTTATTCTTCACTTTTTATTCTGTGCTTTTTTCTTTTTCATGTAGTCTGTGTCTTCACAAGGTGTTAATAAAATGCATAGTTTTCAGAAGTACTATGCCATCAGTAGAGTCAAAGCCATATTATGTCTTTCTACCTCTAGTTTGGCAACCTTGAAGATACAATACAACCTCACTAGTTTGGTGAATTTTTGTTTTAAATGGGGATCATGCCTAATCTTTAGACCTAATGACTTACTGAATTTCAACCTCAGCTTTAATAAGCTGAACTTACCAATCATTGTAGGTTATGTTGTGTACATTTTTTTATCCAGAAAAAGCCTATTTTGAACATTAACCATATTTCACTTATCCCCAACCTTGCCTTTTCTATAATTCTTCCTTTTTAAATCCTGGATTACCTGTTTTAACAAATAACCATCTATCACATATTAAATAGGCAAGGGACATTATTCATTTACCATGTATAATTTTATTTATTTATTTATTTTTAGACGGAGTCTCTCTCTGTCACCCAGGCTGGAGCGCAGTGGCGCAATCTCGGCTCACTGCAAGCTCCGCCTCCTGGGTTCACGCAATTCTCCTGCCTCAGCCTCCCGAGTATCTAGGACTACAGGTGCCTGCCACCACGCCCAGCTAATTTTTTTGTATTTTTTTTAGTAGAGATGGGGTTTCACCATGTTAGCCAGGATGGTCTCAATCTCCTGATCTCGTGATCCCCCAGCCTCGGCCTCCCAAAGTGCTGGGATTACAGGCGTGAGCCACTGTGCCCGGCCACCATGTATAATATTTTTTAAACTCCTTTTTCAACCCCTGGTCTAGGTCCTGAGGGGCCCTGCCCTCAAGTTGCACACTGTACGTGTGAGAGGTATACCCAGGGAACAGACAGTTAGTGTAAGGAGTGCTATGTTGGAAGTAAGCCAGAGGGTTGTGGGACTTGAGGCTTTACCGGGTGGAGGCCTGTAGGAGGCTTTTCTTTACAAATCCGTCTTTGCAGGAGAGGCTAAACCAGGGCATCCCTCAAATAGGAAATTATAGAATATAGTCAGAAATGCCTGCAGACAACAGTTGGATTTCACCAACTTGGATAGTCTCTCATTATCTTCTGAAGCATGAACACCATGGTCAGCATTTTTATCAAGGAGTTATCTATGTGGTATTATCACTTGTGAGAACAGTTAACTGGGAGAACAAAAGCTCTGAGAGAGTAAGAGCTACTCTTGAGCCCTTCTACAGTTCAAGGGACATCTCTGAATTAAAACTATAGGATGGCAGACTGTTTCATGAAGCTTCCTCCTACATAGAACTCACACAACTCTTACACCTTGGCTTTGGTTTACTTTTTGTCCAGGCCTTTTTTTCTCCCCTTGAGTTTTACTCCCTCAGCTGAATCCCACAACTGAGTTTTCTTCAACCTAGAACCTCCATAGTGTGTGTAAAATTGGCCTATTGTGAAAATCACCAGGGATGAAAAAATCACTGTTCGACTTATCTCCATTGCCACTAGTTGTATGACCTTATTTGCTTAACCTCTTTGAGTTTTAGTTTTCTTTTTTTTTTTTTTTTTTTTTCGAGACTGGGTCTAGCTCTGTCACCCAGGCTGGAGTGCAGTGGCATTATGTCGGCTCACTGCAAGCTCCACCTCCCGGGTTCATGCCATTCTCCTGCCTCAGCCTCCCGAGTAGCTGGGACTACAGGTGCCCACCACCACTCCCAGCTAATTTTTTGTATTTTTAATAGAGACGGGATTTCACCGTGTTAGCCAGGATGGTCTCGATCTCCTGACCTCGTGATCCACCCGCCTCGGCCTCCCAAACTGCTGGGATTACAGGCGTGAGCCACCGTGCCCGGCCCTAGTTTTCTTATCTGTAAAGGAGGCATCATGACAGTACTACCGATAGGGTTGCTGTGGAAGTACATGGAATAAGTATGTAAAGTGCACGGCACAGCAGTCTAAATTATTCCAGTGGCACTTTAACTGCTGAGCAGCATTTAGATCTCTGAGGACACACAAGTTTGCACAGTTGGTTTTTAATCTTTTTAGTATTTCATGCATTTTACTCTGATCATCTCCTTGCCCCCTATTTTTCTGTCATTTTGCTTTCCTTTTTGGAGAGTGTTCATCCTTAGTTGTTTTGTTTTTATTATAACTAAATGCCTATTACCATTCAGCACTTAACGGATGGTTTCAGTGGGCTAAGCTCTAAGCTCTGTGCTATCTGTTGGAATACAAAGGTGCTCCCAACTGAGTAGAGGAACCCATGGAAGCAGCCACCTTCCCACCCCCGACTAACATGAATTTAACCTGATTTAAACAGTTTAGACAGACCTTTTTTTTTTTTCCTTAGCCAGTCTTGTAGTAGATGGAGAGGTTACTTTCCATAGACATTTCAAGCTAGACTGAATGTCCCACAGAGCTGAAGCTTGCCAAGCAAAGCTCATCTCTGTGGCTGTTTTAAGTCACTAATAGTTATACCACATTTCTAGAAGTTGGTGTCACCATCAGCCAAAGATTAAACTTGTCTCCTCTCCTCCCCCAACCCGATATATCCTTGACCAGATGATGTTTGTTCAAAAGGAAAAGCCCTTTTTTTTGGTTTTGTACTTTTAGTCTACCACATGTTTGAGATGCCTAGTAGTTCCTTAACAAATCAAACTTTGTGACTTCGGGATTCATAGCACTTTAGTTGGAGACAGTTTCTCATTGTGCTGGTTTGATTTCTGGCACTTGAAAACATCTCCATTTGGAAGCTTATGGAATGTTTCATTCACTCCCCTATTTGGAGTAGACAGTTTGTCTTCTCTTCATTGATCAAGCCCTAGACCCTAGTGGTGCCCAGAGTGAGTGTCCTGTCTATGTTGTATTTGAGAATGTACAGGCACTAGGAGTGCGTGAACTCTTGTGCAGCTGACGTTGATTGGAGGGCAAAAGGGGAAGGGGAAGGCCCTTAGGACAATGAATTCAGTCATGGGGCTACCTCATTTCCTTTTTTTTTTTTTATCTTAAACAAAGCTAAAATATGTTTTCAATTACTTTGTTTTTAAAATGCTATCTTTCTCTTTTTGCTAACTTTCATAACAATAACTAATCGCAAGTCATTTTATGTACTGAAAATACAATATGACAGAATGACATTTTACAAAATTTAAATGAAACAAATATTTGAAATAAAATTGGAGTTGGAGGACAGGAGAGAAGGGGGATAGCATGCTTCATGAGTTGCACACAAGCTCATACTTTAGTTGTTAAGCCTCTGGCACTCAGTAGAGTATTTTTATTTAAAATCTACAAAACTGAGGAGGCGGGAGGGAAGGAGAAATTTCACTGCTTGAAAGTTACCCTAGAAGATTGGATCTGTAAATTTACATGAATCCCTGAAACAGGCGTGTATGTGAGTGCCAAATAATATCAAGACTAACCAAGAAAAACTTGCTTTTCTGCATGATTGTGGTGGAAGCATTGGTTCCCAACAACTTTCACATTTATAAGGATTTTTTAAAGGGACTAACTACACATTGGGCAAGTAGCTGTGTAGTCCAGAGTATTGGCTGGATTTAACATACTGAGGGCATGTGGATTCCTAAGAATGTCACACCTTGTCTGTGCCAGTAAATCAGAGTGTCTATTCTTGATACTAAATCTGATATCATTGGCAGATTTTCTCCTTTATTGGAAGGGTGATATTCAGAAGGGAGAATATTTTTTCATGTATTTTGCTCTCTCTGTGATTGGGGTGTTTTTATGGTTTTTTGTTTTTTTTTTAAAGCTATGAAATAATACTGGCAAGTCCCAAGAAAACTAGATCTGGATTTCATTTTGTCTCTTCAACTCTGTGTGATCTTGTGCACATTCCTGACATGTTACAAACAGCTTGTGTCTCTGAATGTGCAGTATCAATTTTCAGTGGTGAAAGCCCCAAAAGGAAACAGACTGATTCTTCCATGCACAAACAGCTGGGCAGTTGTGGATGGAATTAATTGCTGATATATATTGGCTGTGTTTTTCTTCTCTTGTCATTTCCTTTGCAGCTGTGAAAGTGAAGTTTGGCTTGAAAACACATTCTGCCAGTGCAAATCCAAAAAGTATCAAGACAGGATTCTTCTACTATAATAACCAACTGGTAACTTTGAATTGTTAGTTTGAGGGGGGAGATGAGGAAGAGCCAAGAGATAGCAGCAGGTGATTGATAATTACATAGATGGTTGAAAAAATAAATCATGCTGTTAGACTATGAGAAGAGTATGTTGGAATGGTTAATTTATCATGTGGCAAGAGTGACCTCATAATCCAACAAAGGCAAGATCAATCAACAGCCCCTCACTAGGGTCCTGAGAGAGGATGTTCTAGGCCATCTCTCAAAATATTGAAATGTTCAATACTCCAGACTGAATTATTGTTCCAATGTGAGAGAGTAGCTCTTGGCTAGAGTAACATGACAACATGCATCATTAAAAATAATATTTTCCTGGTGTTCTCTCAAATCCTTTTCCATTGTTCATTTTAAATTCTATGTAAACAATTACATAGTTTTTTATATGCTTATTTTACTCAAACTTTAATTTTATGATTATAGGAATTCAATTAAAAATAACTCTTGGTTGTGTTTCTGAATATGCGTATACAGAAAACAGTATTGGTTAAAATCACTTGAATAAGTATCAGATGTTTGTTAATAGTTTCAATAACTGATAAATTATTTTAGATCCTATTAAAGATATTTGTACAGTATTTATACATACTGTGGAAAACTTTTTAAAATAAAATTCCTACAAAATTATTGAAAAAGTGGGTGAGTATAAAATTTTTTAAAGTATGGTATGCATAATAAATAATTTTCTTTTTTACATGTACATTTCAATATTCTACCAGAGCAACTCCATAAATTCAAAATAAATCTTATTTTGAAGGGAACTATTGCTAGTTGATAATAAAACGTTTTTATTGTTTGTGTATTGCTAGGAGAACTAGAGCACTGGTGAGGAGAGAAAGAGGTAATTTGTGTTCATGGTCAGGACCTCCAGAAACAGGCTGAAGTAATGTTTTAGAATGAGCAATGCTTCTGACACCTTGAGATATGTAAAAGCTGCTGTTGCTAAACTTAGAAGTTGGCATGGTTGGACTTCCTTTATAGTACTCTACTTCCATCTAACATTCTGTTGGTTGAACTGTGTGATCTGTCTTGCATTTTATCTTTACTTTCTTCACAAACAAGAAATGAGAATACATTTTACTTCAAGGCAGGAAAGCTGATCTACAAACATGAACTCTCCCCCACTTTTTTAGGAGGACTAATGAATTAATTGTGACTCCAAGGCTCTGAAAAATGTGTGGCAATATTAATGTGCAGTTTGCTCTCACTGAAGTCTGCCTGGGTGTGTTGTTTCCCCCAGAGTGAGCTCCACCCTTGCTCTAACCACATTGAGTGTGGATATCTTGCTCTTTAAAACAAAGTTCATTGTTAGGGCAGTATTGCAACAGAATTGCCACACAAAAACCAGCTTAAGAAATGTACAGCACTTCAATTTTTTTGTAAGTAATGGATTGTCTATTGTAATACTGATTGCTCACAGCTTAAGGGGAAACACAGATAAGATAGATGGTTAAGCTTTGTGCCAGCTGCTAGTAACATGCAATATTCTTCTTTGGGAGGAGCCTCTGGCTTTATCACTCCACTAAGTTTTTTTTCTTTTAGTTCACTTGTCTGCTTTTTTTTTTCTTTCTCTTTCTTAAACAGTTTACTGAATTGTTATTTTTAACGATTTTGGGGATGACACTGACTGTTCAAATGAAGGCAAATAGTATTCTCCCAAATGTGCTAGTTATTTAACTTGAAAATGCTTGAAGCAGTGTTTTGTACTGAATTTATTGGACCCATTAATAGCATAATCTGGCAATACTGTATTTCGAGACATCGTGACATGAACTTTGTGTGTAAGAGTGGGTTCATTGAATTAAAAAAAAGGCAGCTTCTAAAGAGCCTTTTATTTCTGTCATAATGATGCTTTGTCCTGTTGCTGTTGGGTATTTGTCAGAAGAGTTGGGGCAGGCTGCAGCCCAAAGTTCTGTTCCATGCCTCATCAGTTCCGTGCTTCTGTGTTCTTTCTAGAGTTTGTGACGTGAATGGTGAGTTGAACTATAGGAGAATTATTGTTGTTCATTGAGGTCCATGTTCAGCAATTTTTTTTTTCGCAACTGGGGGTCTGTCTGATCTTTTTTCCCCCTCACACACTGAGTTTCTCTTTGTACCTGAGTTTTAAATGCCTTTGGAGTGTTTAATTATTCACTGACTGAAGTGGGCATGTAGAGAGAGAGAGGCTGTGCTTTGTGTTATCTATACTCTCTGGTGTGTGGTCATGTGTACACTTTGGGTAGACACTCATTTGGTGCAAGCAAACTGAATAACTGCCTCTGTTGAAATCAAATCTGAATGTTGAAAATGGCTAATTTCTGTAAGGCTTGCAGGGGTGACATTGTGTCATCCTTTTTGAACTAAGACTTCTTAGCATCTCCTTGCTTCAGCTTCCTCCTTTTTACTTGGTAGTAATTGGATTTAGCTGACTTCTAACTTCATAAGGATGTAAGAATAAAGCACAGGTGTGGTATCATAGCAAAAAGCACTAGCCTGGGAATCAAGAGACTGTTTTACCTCTTTGGACATTAGTTTCTTTACCTGTACAGTTAGGAATTTAGGTTAGCCTCTTCTAAGATCTTTTCTAGCTTTGAGTACCCTAATTTTCTTTGTAAAGACACATGACTATCCCAGCAATGCTAAAGGGAATATGCTAGAATTGAGAGAAAAATGTTTGGATGTTAACTCAGTAATTCTTATAAGTGACATGAAAACTAAAGCTTTACTTTAAGAAGTTGTGTCTGTCAGGAATTTTGAAATTTACTTTTTAATATCTGAGTAGTAGAACTAGCTATATAAATCATCTCATCAGCATTTTCAAGTTGAAATTAGGCCAACCTCCTGCCACAAGTGTTTTCGTGGACCTGGCTACTCGTGGACATTGGCTACTCAGTGTACAGCTATTAGTTGTGTAGCCTTGGGTAAAAGTGGCTTTCAAACTTTTTTCAGTATATTTTGCATCATGACCCAATCATGACACACACGAACCACTTTACATCTCTGAAATAAATCTCTCTTACAACACAGAAAATGCTATTTTCTGTTATGTTTCATTTCAAAAAATATTGGTTACAATGTACTGTCCCTTTGAACTCTGGAGGAATACAGTTAAACTTCGACTTTTACAGTTATGCTGGAGCAAAGCTTGCCAACGAATTTGCTGTTAAATATTGAAATTAGAAGATTTTTAAATAGATTTTTATTTGGAACTTTAATAGAAAATCATAGTTAATATCTCCATTAATACTCTTATCTTTTCCTAAATACATAATATAAAGAAAATGGAATATTTTTTACCAAGCCCTGTGAATCTGCCCCTCAGTCTCCTCCTTTTTACTCCAGTCTGCTATACAAGCTTTGTCTTATTTATGCATACCCTATTAGTGAGAACTAATAGACATACCATGACATGAAAAGCATTGAGAAGGCTTTTCTAGAGAACTAGATATAATGTGTCATGTACATTAGATATAGAGTGTCAGATTACCATTGATAAACCCTTTCTTTATCTTCATCACCAGAGTTGTCTCCCAGAGCTCCGTGGAATTTCCTTTCTCTGCTTTAACGTACTTTTAAAAGGTAATTTTACTAAAAAATGCATATGGTAAAAAGATGAAATAATATAAAAGGGCATGTGACAAAATGTTTTTCCCACCCTAATCCCTCAGCCCCACTCCCCAGAAGGGAATTTATTTTTCAAAAAAATGATGAGAGAGAGAGAGAGAGAGAGAGAGAGAGAGAGAGTGTGTGTGTGTGTGTGTGTGTGTGTGTGTGTGTGTGTGTGATCTACCTGAACATCTTTTTAATACATATAAAATTATACCATTATGTATCTACTCTTTTCCTTTTTTTTTTGAGACAGAGTCTTACTCTGTCACCTAGGTTGGAGTATAGTGGCGCGATCTTGGCTCACTGCAACCTCTGCCTTCCAGGTTCAAGCGATTCTCCTGCCTTAGCCTCCCGAGTAGCTGGGATAACAGCTCGGCTAATTTTTGTATTTTTAGTAGAGATGGGGTTTCACCATGTTGGCCGGGCTGGTCTCAAACTCCTGACCTCAAGTGATCCACCTGCCTCAGCCTCCCAAAGTGCTGGGATTGCAGGCGTGAGCCACTGCACCCAGCCTACTTCATTCTTTTTAATGGCTTTATAGTACTTTATTGTGTGGATGGATGTACTGTAACTCAGTTATTCCTCCTTTGATGGATATTTGGATCATTTCCAAGTTAGTTCCCATCCCCTCTCCATCAGACGTACTTATGCTATCAGTCTTCTCCTACCTCCGTTTTGGGATAGAACCCAGAACTGGGGTACTATAGGGAAGGTATAATAGTGCTGTGTGGAAATAGAAAATTCCCTTACCAACTTCTATGTATCAGACTAGGGCTCCAAAACTAGGCCGCACTATCCCAGGCATTCATGGGTCGGGGTGGGTAAGAACTGCCCCAGGAGGAAGTCATTTCTCCTCAGAGCAGTGAAAGAACATTGGGTTCAAAGTCGGGTAACTTGGGTGTGGTATTGGGGTGGGTCACCTGACCTCCTTGAATCCTCAGTTTTACCATCTATAAAATAAGAGATTGAAATAGATGAGTTTTAATGTCCCACCCAACTTCAATATTTATGTAGTATTTTTGTTGGAATATTGATTTAAACTGGATAACCCAAATTATATGAAGTTTCTCATATTTAAATTAAAAACATCTATTGTATATATTGTGTGGTCTGTAATTTATTTGACCTTCCATGTGGCCTAAGCTATTTTAAAGTTTAAGAATGTAAAAAAGGAAAGTTGAATATCATTCTATATTTTACATAAACTATCCTTTTCTCAAAAGTCAATTTCAAAAGTATAAAACCCATTCCAGAATTAAAAGCAAATCCTTTTTATCAAGCTTGAATATTTGAGGAGGAAGATTGTGAAGTTATGTTTGTTTTTAAAATGGATCCTTATAATTTTTCAGTGAGTCCGACCATTCAGAAGTAATCCTAGGGCTTTGAAACTTGGCTTCAGGTTTCTTGTTTAAACTGTTTGCACATTCTAGCCCTTTAATCCATCTCCTTGTTTCGTTAAATGCTAAAACTGACATTACTTAACATAATTAAAGTTTTCAGATTTGATGCTGAGGAAGCTGCTTTAGAGGTGAACTATATCCTGCCAGCAAAGTTACAAAGTTACATGGCAAAGTTATAAAGTAACAAAAGCAGTATTTTTGCTGTATCACACATAGGATATTTAGCATTGGGTAGCATTACCTGTTTCACAGTTTTAGTTTCATAATTCAATCAAATGACAGCTGTTCTAAAGATAAAATGATGTAAGGACTTCAATTGATTTGTGTAATTACAACTGGAAGATAAAAGACATTTTCTTGGCCAATAAGGTAGGAGAGAGAGTTTGTATGTTTGTGTGGTGGTTACCTTAGTTTCTTTGCAGAAGGCTTAATATACCTTGAATATACTTTTCTATAATCTGAGATATTATTATTATTCAAATAATGCTAGATAATTATTAGTGTTCCTTGTTAATTTTCATACGCATTTTTTGACATACAATTCCACTTAGCAAAATGTATCGAAGACCTTCTAGCAGCCAAGCACTGAGTTAAATGCTAGGAGTACCTAGGTAACTGAGACAGTCTTGCTTAGAATCCTCTAAAATGACAACTGCTCCTGTTCCTTGCGTTGTTGGAGCTTTCTAATATCCACTGGTGATTGGAACTTGGCAAAAAATATATATATATTTAAATTCGAATCTGTGAAAATAGATGAAAAGTATGTTTTCAGTGTTTAAAAAGAAGGTCTTAATGTCTTAGTACAGTGTCAGTTACTTTGGAGGCACACTCTTCTGTATGAGGCTCTGCTGGTGACACCAGTTTCTCACTAATTGAACTCTAAGTAATGCTGTGGTGCTTGGACTAATTAATTGAGGCTAAATTTTTGTCTACTAAAACGTATCTGATGTATAAAAAACTGTTGGAATTATTGTGCTTCACCTATTATGATTTTTTAACAATTGCTTATATGAAACCACGCTTGAAAATGGTCACCCTCTGTTTTGAAGATACATCCTGATGGCTTCTTTGTCAAATTACCCCATCCATTGTGGCATGTATAACTAAGGAAATTCTTCATAGTTAGAAATATACAGGATGCTGCTGTCTACAGGATGTTGAACAAACTTTGAAGCATTTGAAGCCATTTTAGGAAAACAGTCCTATGGTGGCAAAATCAGTCAAATAGATTGTAGTTTGAGCTGAAACAGACATTTTAAACGAGAGAAGGGGAAGTCTCATTACCCTGGTCTGTTACGCAGTCCCAGAAGGCACTGCTGTTTCTGCTTTGGAGCCCAGCATTTGGCTAGGGTCCTGTGACACACAGTGGGAATTCACTTCCTATCAGGAAATGCTGTTTTTCAATGTATTATCTTGCTGAGACAACCACAGTGAACAATAGGCTATTAACGTTTTAGAACAACAAGTGTCATGACTAAGCCAATATTTGCTTTGTTTTGAGTATCACTCTAAAAAAAAACTTTGGCTGAGCTTCAGAATACATTTGACCATCAGTAACTGTTGGGCATAAAAGTCATGACAGTTAAAAAGATCAGAAAAAAAATGCTTTAATAGTGGTTATGACCTTTTGCAGGCTTAGCTTACTCTACACACTTCCTGTCCTTAGATGAGAATGAATTATTTTAAACATACCTTTTGGGTATGAAAAATGTCCATTTAAAGACCTATTTTGAGTTTTGGAAGCCATGAATTCAAGTTCTGTAAAACATTAAACTGTCTTACGAGATAGCTTATTCGGTTTACTTCTCTCCACAATTATTAATAAACTGGAAAGTCCTTAAGGGCAGGAATCAGAGCTGTGCCTTAAATAGTCTTTATAACCTTTTTCTAACACCTGAATTAGCATTTGCTGATTGATTGGATCAGTAGTTTCTTTGGTGTTTGAAGATAACATTTTTGTATCATTATTTGTACGTGGTCTCAAAACATGGCGGTAAATATAGATTTTTAGAAATTGCTCTTTTTATGTATGTATTTACTTATTTTAAGTATTTCCAGATACCGATAATGCTCTTCTCATATCTTCACACTTTTTTTGTGTAATTACTTTTCAGTCAGCTTAAGACATTTCATATTCAGGTCACAATATTCATTACCTCAACCATCTTGGATACTTGGCCAGTCTTATCAAACCACGAATAGCCCAGTTTTCAGAGTTTGCTCTAGAATCCCTGTCCTGGTTTATTCTAAGACAAGTAGAGAATGGGGGTATTATGAGTCAAGAGCCTTACTCACCTCAGTGAGTTAATAAACCCTTATTGAGTAACTCTAAGTGGACAGTAAAGAAAGGAAAAAATGTTGACCCAGTTACTTGGAGCCAACAGACATACTCAGATAATTAAAAGGCAATACAGACTATGACAAAGTGATTTGAACACTAAGGTTGCGGGGAGAGCTAAGATGGAGGAACTTAGGAAAGTCACCATGGAAGGGGTTGGCTTTTGAATAAGAATTCAAAGTATGGACAAATATTGGATGGACGGATGGAGATGAGAGGGGAAAACAGTCCAAATGTATGAGATATGGTGAGCATCCTGGCTAACACGGTGAAACCCCGTCTCTACTAAAAATACAAAAAATTAGCCGGGCATAGTGGCTGGCGCCTCTAGTCCCAGCTACTCGGGAGGCTGAGGCAGGAGAATGGAGTGAACCTGGGAGGCGGGGCTTGCAGTGAGCCGAGATCGCGCCACTGCACTCCAGCCTGGGTGACAGAGCAAGACTCCGTCTCAAAAAAAAAAAGAAAATAGAAGAAGAAGTATGGTGAGCAAAGCAACAATCGGGGATGGCTTTTTTTTAGGAAGAGTCATTTCCCTCTAAACCTAATTAATAGGGATGGACTTTGAAGTCTTTCCTATCGTTTTTTCAGGGCCTGAATTTTAGAAGCCCCAGGCTGATAGCTAAGTATTTTTTAAAGATGGGACTTCCTGGATGCTTTTTTATTTCCTTGGGGCAGGGACTGAGGAAATGGTGTTTTTGGAAAACTATAGTAGTTGGCTTTGTGCTTCTTTGTTGCAACCAAGGATCCCAGGGTTGTAGTACTCTTACTACCTTTTAAAGGTTTAAAATAACACTTTCTAGCACTTTACAACTTGACAGAACCTTTCCTAGACAATAGAGATCAAAAGTAGACACAAAATATTTACCAAACTCTGGAGAGCTACTTAAGTTACTAAGCTCCTCATAGATAGCTTTTTATTTGACAATAAAGTACTTGATGTAGGCTTTAAGTACAGCTAAATAGACACTATAGAACTAAGCTGTGAGTCTAGTCTTTGTGAGCCTCAGAAAAACAAGAGTCCTACTTCAAGCTGGAATTTAAAATATAGCAAGCAATTTCAGTGGACCTTTTAGGCATGTGTGAGTGGGCACAAAAAGCTGAGTCATGAAGTTTACTCTTCCTGGTGAATTACCATGAAAGCTTGAAAGAAAAGCACTCTCATTATTTTAAAATAGTAAAAATTGTTTTAGATTCTTATGGAAATAACACCAACAAAATGTTTTGTATATTAATCATGAGCACATACCTAGAAACCCTTTAAAATCAAGAAATTGTAACATGAGGCATTACCTGGCTTTTTAGAGATAAAAGTTAACAGTTTATTTAATGTACAGTAGCACCTGAAATGTGCTTAAAATTGTGCTTACCAAAATCTTTAGTTAAATAAATTTCTAAGTGCAGTTCATGTTTTAAATTTTTCTTATATGAACAGATCATATGGTCTACAGTCTTATGTATCTCATTCTAATGTAGATAAAGTGAAAAGTATTGGGTAAGATAAATTGAGGGACTTGGGACACGTCACTCTCTCTCTCAGGATCTGTTCTACCTTTCTCCATATGAGAAATGAGGTAGAATAAGATTTGATAATATCTTACATCCTTTTAAGCTCTAACATCTTTAAATTCTAAGGATAGTATTCCTCTTTTGGCTCTCATTAGGTAATATCAGGGAAAACAACTCCTCTTGTTGGAAGAGTTCTTATTTATATTTACAAAGCAATGTTGTTTCTCTACAATCCTAACAAACGTATGAAAGTTATTCTTTGTTGTTTTAAAGTCTGCATTTCTGTTGTTTTTGATAAACTTTCCTCCATAAATTAAATAGTTAATTAGTTTAATGTTTTCTCTTTTTCCTGAATTTGATATTAGACTTCTCAGGTCTTTTTCCAGATTTTCTCACTTTTTATTGAGAGTTCAGTTTCCAGCAGTGGACTGGAGACTTGGGTTGTTGTCTCTTTATCTTCTCATTATTTCCAGTTTCTTCATGTTAGAAATAATTTTAATTCCCCCCCATTTTTTGATATGAATTAGTTTGGTGTCATAAAATATCAATGTATACATACATTTTTAGAATTCTTGTTCATATCAACTAGGCCTACTTTTCAAAGCTAAATCCTGTTTTATCAGGAAAGAGCCTAGACCTCTTTAAATGCACCCACAAGCTTGCATGGCAGTTAATGTCCAACACAGTTCAAAATGAAATAATGGGGCATATATAATCTGGAGACCAGGATCTAGAGAACTTTTTCTAAAGTTCATAATTATAGTTTAGATTACACTTTGTTGAAGATTTAATTTGGTGAATACCCAGGGGATTTTACTGACTGGAATCCAGGTAAACAGTCAGGAGCAGATTCCCAGAAATGGGCAATAGGAATGAGTCCAGGTATGTGAACAGTCAATATGAGTGAGATTCAGTAGGTGTCAAACTGTAGCACATAGGCAGAGTTTAGGGACAGGGAATTTTTGGCAAAGGGTGGTAATTGGTAGAAGTCCAGATCCAATCAGTACCAGGGAGATCTGCATGGCATCGGAGATCTACTGCCATATGCAAAGATGTGAGCTATCAGGTGACCTCAGGGAACAGTGGCAAATGATAGAAGGGTCTAAGACTGAGACGTGGGCCCTAGGGTTCAGGCATAGACCTTCAATTGTAAAAGTATTTGAAGTTACCTGATAGAGAAACAAGAAAGTGAATTAGGCTGCTTGAGAGTGAGTGGAGTGGCTCAGAATTTAATGATTAAGAAACAGACTTGGGCCGGGCATGGTGGCTCACGCCTGTAATCCCAGCACTTTGGGAGGCCGAGGCAGGCAGATCACCTGAGGTCGGGAGTTCGAGTCCAGCCTGACCAACATGGAGAAACCCCTTCTCTACTAAAAATACAAAATTAGCTGGGCGTGGTGGTACAAGCCTGTAATCCCAGCTACTTGGACGGCTGAAGCACGAGAATCGCTTGAACCTGGGAGGCGGAAGTTGCAGTAAGCCGAGATCATGCCATCGCACTCCAGCCTGGGTGACAAAGAGCGAAACTCCGTCTCAGAAACAGAAAGAAAAAGAAAAAGGCTGGGCGCAGTATCTCACGCCTGTAATTCTAGCACTTTGGGAGGCCGAGGTGGGCGGATCATGAGGTCAGGAGGTCAAGACCATCCTGGCCAACAGGGTGAAACCTCATCTCTACTAAATATACAAAAATTACCTGGGCATGGTGGCACGTGCCTGTAGTCCCAGCTACTCAGGAGGCTGAGGCAGGAGAATCACTTGAACCCAGAAGGTAGAGGTTGCAGTGAGCCGAGATCATGCCACTGCACTCCAGCCTGGGGACAGAGTGAGACTCCATCCTCAAAACAACAACAACAAAAAACAGGCTTGATATGGTTTGGATTTGTGTCCCCACGCAAATCTCATATTAAATTGTGATTCCAAGTATTGGAGGTGGGGTCTGGCAGGAGTTGATTGGATCATGAGGGTGGTTTCTAATGGTTTAGTACCATCCCCCTAGTGCTATCTCATGATAGAGTTCTCACAAGATCTTGTTGGTTAAAAGTGTGTATGTAGCACTTCCTCCTTCGCTCGCTTGCTCTCCTGCCACCATGCAAAGATGTGCTTGCTTCCCCTTCACCTTTCTGCCATGATTGTAGGTTTCCTGAGGCCTCTCCAGCCAAGCTTCCTGTATAGCCTGTGGAACTGTGGTAAATTAAACCTCTTTATAGATTACTTAGTCTCAGGTAGTTCTTTACATCAGTGTCAGAACATCAGAGTGGGAACAACTGCAAGACTGACTTGATGCTGAGAGATACTAAACTAGTTTCTTAGGGTTTCCCATAATCCAAGGGTCCCAGAGCCTGGCATGAACCTGCAAGATGTGGGTTCAGTGGTCTCCAATGTGAGCAGAATAGCAGAAATGCAGCATGTATGTACACATGGCAAGAAACCCACTCGCTTTAGAAAGTGGCTTTTATTTTTTTTTTATTTTTTTGAGACTGAGTCTGGCTTTGTCACCCAGGCTGGAGTGCAGTGGCACGCCATCTCAGCTCACTGCAACCTCTGCCTCCCAGGTTCCAGCAATTCTCCTGCCTCAGCTTTCCAAGTAGCTGGGATTACAGGCGCCCACCACCACGCCCAGCTAATTTTTGTATTTTTAGTAGGGATGGAGTTTAGTAGAGATGTTGGCCAGGCTGGTCTTGAATTCCTGATCTCAAGTGATCCACCTGCCTTGGCCCCTCAAATTGCTGGGATTACAGGCATGAGCTACCATGCCTGGTCCTGAGCAAGTGGCTTTTAAGTCCATCCTTGCTTAAGTGAAAATATATTCCGTAGTATTTTATGATTTAGTAACTGCTTTAACAGTGTTTCCGCTATGATGGAAGCAGTAGAGCCTGCTGCATCTTTAATTTGTGGTTGGCCTTCATTATGAATCTTCAGTTTTACAAAGAAATTTTTGTTCATCTGATGTGACAAGAATGTTCATATTTTTCTTGCTTTAGATTTCCTTGGAAACACTGACTGACAGGGTAGTTGGCAAAGGTCATGCCATTGTGGAAAACCAGAATGTTGCATTGTACTTATGTATATCAGATGTCTTGTTCAGGTTAGTGTTTTGACGATTTGTTATTTCTGAAGAGCTGACATTGATTCTGCAAAGGTGTGCTATCTATTCACACTGTTGATGGTAAAATGCTTTCAAAAATAGATATTAGGATGGAAATTCCTTTGGAACAGTATATGTGTTAGTTTCCTAGAACTGCTATATAACAAAGTACTGCAATCCCGGTGGCTAAAAACAACAGATCTATTCTCTTACAGTTCCGGAGGCCAGAGGTCCAAAATCAAGGTGTTGGCAGGATTGGTTCATTCTGAGGGGTCTGAGGGAAAAATCTATTCCATGCCCCTCCCCGGGCTTCTCATGGTTCCCAGCTTGGTCCCTAGGCTTGTGCTGCATCGGTTCAATCTCTGCCCTGTCATCATAGGGCTTTTTTCTTCCTTTGTGTCTTTTTTGTTACTTGGTGTCCAAATCTCTCTCACTTTCCTCTTATAAAGATACTAGTCGTTGGATTTAGGACTCACCCTAATCCAGTATGATCTCAACTTAATTTGATCTACAAACCCTATTTTCAAATAGGCCACACTGTGAGCTTCTGGGGACATGAATTTTTAGGGAAGACACTATTCAACCACTATAGTACAGTAGTATGGCTGAATGTCAATCTTTAGATCTAAAAGATGATACATTTGAAAAAGCAAGTTTTTGACAAATCCGTTTTGAGAAACAGATTTCTGAAATTGATAAAAATCTCTTTTTGTGAACTTGCACTTAAAACCATCAACCAATTGCTAAAGTGGCAGGTTATAACCAAAAAGTATTTTTGCAAGTAGTTTTCAAGTACCATTATCTGTGCTTAATAAGATGCATTTTCATGGCACAATATTAGGCGTTTCATAAACAAAACAGATCAAGTTGTGATGATCTTGAAATGTTCCTTAGCAGCCAAAATCGGAAGGCAGAAACTCCTCCTTCAAATCCAACTGCTTTGCAGTTGCAGTGTGTTGAGTTGCCTACAGTTTTTGGATTGACTTTTGCAGCTGTATTTTTTATAAGTTATGAAAGCCAAAAGTCTTTAGCTTGAATATCTGAAATAGTAGATCAAAATGAACTCTTGGTAATTATACCCTGTGGTTCTTTAATATTTTTTTGTGTATTTTCCTCCAATTTTTAAAATAAGGAACTTTGTCTCATTTTTTTGTGCCTTTCCATCCCTCCCTTTCCCCCACCGTGGCACGTCACAATGACTGTATTAGGAATGGAACACAGAAACATAGTCCATGGTAACAAATCAGTTTCCTAGACTAGCCTTTTCAATGCATATTTATTTTGCAGACTCAGCTCATTTTTAATAATAAGCTTTGTTGGATTATTTGCATTTCTTCAGTTAAAATCTAATTTCAGCTTGTGAAATAGGTAGATGTAAGATTGGAATTTGGGGAAGTTAAATTTCCTATATTATTTGTATTTGAATATTCATTTGAGAAAAGGTCCACTGAGATTTGTAGAGTGGGTATGCAGTAAAGTATGAAGTATGTGAGAGTTGATGTTTCTTTAAAAAATAAAAATAAAAAAAAAGCTTTTTGCCTAGAAAGACTACCAAATAAGAATCAAAGACTTACGGTATCTCCTGAAATTGAGAGCAATGAATGTTTATTTAAAAATAATAATTTCTAGTGATTCCTCTTTTTAAAACCTCTCATTTATCATGAGCTGTCAAGCTCTGGATAGTTTCCTGGATCTCAATTTTAAAATTTTCTCTAATAGCAGGGAACTCAACAGAAACTAAATGTCTGAGACGCACATCTAAGTAATCAATCCACTAGTCTCTGTCAGCTTTCTCTAAGGAAGGGGTTGGGATGTGGGGTGGGGAACCCTTCTTTTGTTTCTCAACCATTTTCCAAAACTCCACATTGAAGACAAATGGTGACTAAGGGAATATATATAGAATGTTCATTATATTTTGTAGAAAGGAGAGTAAAGGCTCACCAAGGCTGTGTGTCTTTGGGTTCTGTAAGATACTTGAGGGATTGCCTTTCTGTGGTTGATTGTTTTACTCATTTCATAGGAATATATATATATGTACACACACATATGTATATATGATATATGTTTATAATATATATGATATATATATAAAATCAGTTTCATATTTACTTTTCCAAATGGTTTATGTTGGGAACAATTCAAGTTAATGTTAGATAATGATTAATGATTGAGTTTGGACTTGAAGAAATACTTTCTCTGAACTTTCTGTACATGTTTTCAACTTTGTAACCCTGCCCCTTGTATGGCCATTGTAATTGGTAAATTTGACCTAATTATAATAAAGATTTTTATTTCAAGTTACCAGTGAATGTTATTTTCACCTCTACCAATGTCTAAGCAAGTAACTGCCTCTCTTCCTCTCCCAACCCCCACCATCACCTCAAGTACAGAAATCTGTTTGCCTCACTGTTCCTTGTAACAGGTAACGTAGATCAATAAAATATCCTTCGTCGTTAGTGACACAGAGGTTAGACTGATCCTCAGCATTGTCCAACTCTGTCTTTAGTCTTTGAATCACCCTGTTGAATGATTATGTTGATATAACAAGCACCTACTTGACTTTTTTTTTTTTTTTTTTTGGCAGACAGAGTCTTGCTCTGTCGCCCAGGCTGGAGTGCAGTGGCGTGATCTCAGCTCACTGCAACCTTCACCTCCCGGGTTCAAGCGATTCTCATGCTTTGGCCTCCCAAGTAGCTAGGACTATAGGCATGTATCACCACGCCCAGCTAATGTTTTGTATTTTTAGTAGAGGTGGGGTTTCACCATGTTGCCAAGGCTTGTCTTGAACTCCTAAGCTCAGGCAGTCCGCCTACCTTGGCCTTCCAAAGTGCTGGGATTACAGGTGTGAGCCACCATGCCCAGCCCCTACTTGACATTTTTTTACTTACTGTTCTGCACCTACATTATGAACAATGTGTGTGTTATGACTACATCTAACTGCTTTGTTCCAATTGTACAATCACAAGGAGACTCATGTTTGCCAAGAGTTTATATTAATTCATATTATATTTTTATTTGTAAAACAAAATTTGAAACTGAAACACCCTCTTAGCTGTGGCCTCCAATTGACACATATTTTATCTTTTTTAAATGACTGCTTAGTCAGACATCAACTTCCATTAAGTACAGAACATTTAGTACCGCAGTGGGTTGCTGTTACTATTTTATTTTATTTTGTTATTGTTGTGGGGGTTTTTTCCCTTGACTTTAAGTTGGATTTTAAACTAAGGCTCAGTCCTAACTTTTACTAAACAACTATAGATTTATTATTTCCTGGACTTTATATTGAGGTTTAGAATTTAGTTTTATTTTAAAGATAACAAGTCATTTCAAAAGAACAAAAACGGGGTTCAGGAATTTAAGAATAATACGGATCAATCTGACAATTCCAGCAGTAGGCCAGAGAGGTAGGTAGGTTTCCACATGTGTAGGTTTGATAGCCATGGAAGACTTTGTGCAAATTTTATTGCTACTTTTAGAATATTTACTATTTCCACTTTGGTATTGAGTATTGTGATCATATAATATTTTCATCCCCCCTCCCCCAAATAAAGTCAGTGATCTAATGGCTGGATATATCTTTAGGAAATGATAGTCCTTTGAGCCATCTCATATTTTTTGGCTAACTCCACCATGCCTGTTAAGATCTATAACCATGAGTAATTTCCTTATTTGTGAGAAGAACCTTTGGTAATCTGAGACAAATTTATTAAACCTCAGTTTTTATACTACAAGACTACAGTAACTAAAACAGCCTGGTACTGGTTCAAAAACAGACACATAGACCAATGGAACAGGTTAGAGAACCCAGAAATAAAGCCACACACATACAACCATCTGATCTTTGACAAAGTCAACAATAACAAGCAACGGGGAAAGGATTCCCTATTCAATAAATGGTGCTGGGATAATTGACTAGCCATCATATGCAGAAGATTGAAACTGGACCTTTTCCTTTCACCATATACAAAATTCAACTCAAGATGGATCAAAGACTTACATGTGAGACCTAAAACTATAAACTCTAGGAGAAAACCTGGATTTCACGATGAAGTCTCCAAAAGCAATTGCAAAAAAACAAAAATAAACTAGTATGACATAATTAAAGAGCCTTCTGCACGGCAAAAGAAACTATCAACGTAGAAAACAGACAACCTGCAGAATGGTAGAAAATATTTACAAACTATGCATCCAACAAAGGTGTAATATCCAGAGTTTATGAGGAACTTAACCCAACAGGTAAACAACCCCTTAAGAAAATAGTCTCAAAGGACATGAACATCCACTTCTCAGAAGACATACACACAAGTCAACATGCATATGGAAAAATGCTCAACATCACTAATCATCAGAGAAGTGCAGATCAAAACCACAGGGAGATACCTTCTCATACCAGTCAGGATGACTGTTATTAAAATGTCAGAAAATAACAGATGTTGGCGAGGTTGTGGAGAAAACGGAACACTTATACACTGCTGTCCAGCCACTGTGGAAAGCAGGAGGTTTCTCACAGAATTTAAAACAGAACTACCATTCAACCCAGCAATCCCATTTACTGGGTGTATACCCAAAGGAATATAAATTATTCTACCAAAAAGACACAAGCGCAAATATGTTCATTGCAGCACTATCCACAATAGCAAAGACATGGAATCAATCACCTAGATGTCCATAACAGTGGTCTGAATGAAGAAAATTTGGTACATATATACCTTCGAATACTATGCAACCATAAAAAAAACATGAAATCATGTCCTTTGCAGCAACATGGATGCAGCTGGAGGCTATTACCCTAAGCAAATTAACACAGGAACAGAAAACCAAATACTGCATGTTCTCACCTATAATGGTAACTAAACATTGAATACACATGGACACAAAGGTGGGAACAATAGACACCCGGTCTACTTGAGTGGGGAAGGTAGCAGGAGGGTGAAGGCGGAAAAACTGCCTATCAGGTCCTCTGCTCACTTACTTGGCTTATGAAATCATTTGTACTCCAAACCCCAATGCCGTACAATTTACCTATGTAACAGACCTGCACATGTACCCCCTGAACCTAACATAAAAGGGGTGGGGAAACATTATGTTGTATACTTTAAATAAATATAATTTTATTTTTTAAACTGAAAAAAAAAACCCCTCAGTTTTCTTATCTATAAAGTTGGGGATACTGGTCGCCTTTTCATAGAGTTGTGAAGGATTTTTCTTGGAGGCTGGAGAGACAGAGTCTCACTCTGTCACCCATGCTGGAGTGCAGTGGTGCAATCTTGGCTTATTGCAACCTCCACCTCCTGGGTTCAAGCAATTCTCTTGCCCCAGCCTCTGAGTAGCTAGGATTACAGACACATGCCACCATGCCCAGCTAATTTTTACATTTTTAGTAGAGATGGGGTTTCACCATATTTGCCAGGCTGGTCTCCAACTCCTGACCTCAAGTAATCCGCCCACCTTGGCCTCCCAAAGTGCTGGTATTACCAGCGTGAGCCACCACACCTGGCCAGAGTTGTAAAGGATATTAAATGAGAAAATCTGTATAGAGCATAGTACCTGGAATTCTGTGATTGCTTTAAAATGTTTCATTAAATTACTGCTTTTGTAGTTTAGACATGTTTATGTATACATGCATTTCTATTTAGTATCTATATTAGACCAATTTCTATTACCACTTATTTCAGTTGGTGTATTATACTTGTCTTAACTCTTTAGGTCCCAACAGGATATTTTTCTGAGGTTTGTTTTGTTTCATAATACAGCCCTCAACTCTTTTAATATGATGCTAAATTATATTAAAGTGAAACTTAAATACAATTTATTATTACCCAGAGCACAGTCAATGTCATTTTGTTAATAGCTTCTAATTAAGTCATAGTGGTCATCTGTCAGGTAAAGAGTTAAGACTTCCTATATACTGATCAATAGCCAACGTAGTCTCCTTTTCAGATGGACTTGAGTCAATTTAGTGGTCCGTACCTTGCATGTAGTTCCTTTTTGTTTGGAACTCAAAGTTGTGTGGAATGTTCCATGACATTTTATTATACCATTTATCTGCCTGCTCATTGAGCTTCTTCATCTGCCCATCTCCTAATACTCTTTGTCTTTATGCATCTTATTTATATGTTTTGCTAAGTACTGATGGCAAAGATACTAAGTGTCTTTATGGTGTGTGGGTGTGTGTGTGTATGTATGAAAAATATATAGTTATGTGAATGTGGTCTTTCCCTGTATCTCAAAATCTTATTGTACTATATTCGCCTATTTTTGAACAGTGGTTGACCACAGGTAACTGAAACTGCAGTTAAGGAGGGGAACTACTGTATTGATAAAATGTTAGTGAGTACTTTTTAATATTTAATGATGTACTTAAAACTTGTCCCTTTGGTATTTAGGTCAAATAAACCACCATTATACAACTACCCCACTTGTACATCTATTTTTCTGTGCATGCTAGGCAAACGGACCATTAAGTCTATTACAAGCACTAGAATTTTAGTTCTTCTTAATAGCCTGTTCCTCTCAGTGGATGGTATTTATAAAATACATCCATAAACATGGCGTGATGGGTCTGTTTTCTTTCTTATATTTCATTGAAGGAGTAAATTTTGATTATGGGGCAATCTGGATGACATGGTAATGCTAATAAACATCATTATTATGATTTTATAATATGATATTTGAGCAATGTAACTTTAGAAAAGTCACTCAACACCACTGAGTATAGTTTCCTCTCATCTGTAAAAAGTGATCATTGAATCTAGTCTGAAATATTTCAAGAGAAGCTCATATAAAATCAATAGCCTTTTAGGAATAAGAGCCTAGTGCTTTGTGGGATAATTAAGTTTTTCTCCATTTGTGCACTTAGTGCCATCTGTATTACTCAGTGCTGCTCAATGCCAGGTTCATTTGGGTTTTTTCTCCCATTTTTCTTCATTTTTATCTATTTCTGCTTCAAGTTTTCAGATCTGTCAATTTCCATGTCAGTTGTATATAAAATTTTGGCTAGCATTTAAAAGCAGCTCATGTCTTTTAGAACTTAAAATGAAGAAAATTTCACTAGTGATCTAAGGATAGTAGCTTGTCATAGTTTGTGTAGGGTCTAAGTTGTTTTCTAGAACTTCAAATAACTTTAAAATTTCATAGTAACTTTCATCAAGAAAAACTGAAATAGCATTTGTTGTTTTGTTTTTTAACCAAATATGCTGCTTTGCGGTCTTGGCATATCTTTGATTATTCTTTGAAGTGTGGAAAAATAGGTCTGGTAGTTGAAAGTACAGCCATCTCTTTGCTTATTCTAAAGAAAGCTATTCAAACTGCCAAGAATTTTAAGTTTGGAAAGATTTTTTTGTAAGTAATAACTTCTTTTCAAAAGATTGTTTTTACTATTCCCAGCCTATAAATAATGCAAACCAGATTTATTTGGAAGGAGTTGTGATATAGTAAAGTAACTTAATTCAGCCCCCATTTATGGAGTTCTCGCCCATTGTGAGGACTACAAGAGAGTCCCCATTCCCAAGCTTGCAAGGTGGTCAGTAGCTTCTCAGGTTGGATTTTTAAAATAACAGTTTTATGGAGATAATTCACATACCATGCCATTTGGCCATATAAAGTATACAATTCAGTGGTTTTTAATATAGTCACAGAGTTGTACAACTATCACCACAATAATTTTAGAACATGTTCATCACTCCAAAAATAAATCTCATTGGCGGCCACTCCTCATTTTCCCATAGTGCCTGGCAGCCATTAATCTGTTTTCTACCTCTATAGATTTGTCTTTTCTAAACATTTCATATAAATGGAGTCATACAATATGTGGTCCTTGGTGACTAGCTTCTTTCACTTACAATGTTTTCAAGGTTCATCCATGCTGAAGCACATATCAGTATTCCATTTCCTTTTATTGCCATGTAATATTCCACTTTCTGGATTACCATATGACAAAATACTATACTTTGTGTTTGTCAGTTGATAGATGTTTGGGTTGTTTCTACTTTTTCCTGTTAATGAAAAAATATGCTATAATTTTATAATAGTCAAAGACGAGAAATAACCAGTTGTCTTTGAGTAGACAAATGATTAAACAAATAATGATACAGCCATACCATAGAATAGCATTCAACAGTAAAAAGGAACAAATTATTGATATGACAGCCTCCACAAATGTTCAGTAAATGATTGAGTGAAAAAAGCCAATCCCCAAAGGTTTTATATGTTGCATATTTTCATTTGTATAATATTCTTTAAATGACAATTATAGCAATAGAGAATGGATTAGTGGTTGCTGCTGATTAAGGAGGGAGTGGAAATGGGCATTGCTATTAAAGGGCAGCATGCGGAGTACTTCTGGTGATGGAAATAATCTCCTTCTTGACTATATTACTGTCAGTGTGCTGGTTGTGATACTGTAATATAGTTTTGCAATGTGTTGCCATTGGGAGAAACTGGGGAAAAGGGCATAAGGGATGTCTGTGTTATTTATTATAGATTATTATATAAAAATATTTTTTTGGAAAAAAACAATACTCAGTTGGCTCTTTCAGCATTCTACCTAGAAATCTTAGTGAGCTCCACATTCGTTAAGCATGTTTTCTAGTTTTCAAGTTAACACATTCTTGTTAGTTTGTGCTCTCATTATGCAACATAACCCTCTCTCCAGTCTCCAGTAGCAGTCTCCTCACTGCCTTGTCAGCCTCCACTAATAGCCTCCCCACTGCCTAGGCCCCAGAGCTAATGCCAGGTTTTCAGTTTTTGTTATTACAGCACCAGTAACACCAGTTTTCACTTTAGTTATCTGTTGCTGTGTGAAAAACAGAAACAACAACAAAAACAAAGCTTTGTGTGTTTAACAATTTATTATTTCTCATGATTCTGTATGTTGACTGAGTAGCACCTTACCTGCTTTTACCTGGACTCATTCATGTTGCGATAGTTAGCTGGGGGGGGTCTGCTGGGAACCTGGCTTACTGGGGACAGCTGGGCCTCTTTCTCCTCATTTTTCATTATGGGCTTCTTCATGGTGTGGCAGCTGCACGACCCTCAAAGTGTATAATGTCACTTCAGCCACATTGTTTTAGTCAAAGCAAATCACAAGTCCAAACCAGATTTAAGGGATAGGAAAATAGTCTCTACTTCTTAGTGGAAAAAGTAGATCGCAGGGAAGCATGGAAGAATTCTTGAGGCCGTCTTTGAAAAACGATGTACCACAGAGCCCAAATCAGGAGTCCAGCTCATCTAGAGGCATCTAACAGGTAACTCAGGTGGAAAGGGCTCTACAAGTGGACCTGAATACAAGCAACCCAGATTGTAAGATAGGCAAGAATGGCACTAGCAGTGCTGGTGAGCTCAGAATTGAACATAGGGGTATTTTTCTCAGTCTGTGAACACTTTGGGTTAATTTGATAATGAACAGCTTTACAAAATACATGGTATGAGCATATGTCAGATACTGTTTAAGTATATTAACAGTTATACAATGTTACTACCTCTGTTACTTTGAGTTTTGAGGGTTCTTATATTAATCTAAGTGGATTGGGAATATAGCTTTCATATGTATGACTGTTTTTGTTTAATAGCTCAGGTATTGTTTGGGGGTTTTCTTTTTGTAAGTGTGTTTTGTATCCTATCTTACCTGTGAGCAAACTTTTAAAAATTCTTTGGTGAGGAAAGAACATGGTATACTATAAAATTCAGGAGGGCCCTGAAAATTGTGGTATTAATATTTTCCTTTGACTGTGTTGAGATTGGATTTGTCTTATATTGGATTAATGTTTATGTATATATTTTGGATTTTTTGTGCTTTGTTTTGAAATTATTTCAGACTTACAAAAGAGTTGGCAAAAATAGTGAAAGAATTCCTGTTTGTCCTTTACCCAGATTCCCTAAATGATAATATCTTCCATAACCATGTTGTAATTATCAGTTTCAGGAAATTAACATTGATGTAAATACTATTATCAAATTTACAGATTCTATTTAAATTTCACCAATTGTCTCACTGATGTCCTTTTCCTGGTCTAGGATCTGATCCAAGATTACATGTTGCATTTAATTGTCACGTCTTAGTCTCCTTTGTCTTCTTTAATCTGGAACAGTTCCTTACAGTTCCTTAGTCTTTGTTTTTCTTTTTTTTTTTTTTTGAGATAGAGTCTCGCTCTGTCACCCAGGCTGGAGTGCAGTGGTGTGATCTCGGCTCACTGCAAGCTCCACCTCCCAGGTTCACACCATTCTCCTGCCTCAGCCTCCTGAGTAGCTGGGACTACAGGCGCCTGCCACCACGCCTGGCTAATTTTTTTGTATTTTTAATAGAGACAGAGTTTCACCGTGTTGGCCAGGATGGTCTCGATCTCCTGACCTCATGATCTGGCCGCCTTGGCCTCCCAAAGTGCTGGGATTACAGGCATAAGCTACCGCGCCCAGCCTAGTCTTTATTTTTCATGACCTTGACATGATTGAAGAGTACTGGCCAGTTGTTTTGTACAATGATCCTCAATTTAAGGCAGTCAATTGATTTGATTCAGAGGAGCCTGGTCTTCTGTAGTTCTGCTTTGAAATGGTTGAATATACTGAAACATTGCAGAAATATTATTCTTATCTATGAATAATAATCCTAGGAGTTGGATGGCTAAGGGACTGGATAGAAATGTAATGATTGGGAGTATTTTTAAGTGGCTCTGTGTTTAGAGTATCTGTTTTATAGGTACTTATTTTCAAAAATCCTCCCCCAAAAATGTGCTTTCAGATGTATAATTCATAGAATCATAAACAGCCCTTTGTAATATCCTCAGAGAGCTTGAAAATGTTTTTATCTTTCTGCAGTGCTGACATTGATGTGTTTTAAATGGGTAGACATTGTGCTATTTGCAAAGCCTTCTATCTAAACTAAGCAGATAGTTGTAACATTTTATCTGTGACTGGCTAAAGTTCTTTTAACACCCATATTTCTTAAAGCAAATTGTGAACTATTTTCATGAATACAGAATTTTTTTTTTTTTGAGATGGAGTCTCACTCTGTTGCCCAGGCTGCAGTGCAATGGCGTGATCTCAGCTCACTGCAACCTCCGCCTCCCAGGTTCAAGCAATTTTCCTGCCTCAGCCTCCCGAGTAGCTGTGATTACAGGCACCTACCACCACGCCCAACTAATTTTTTGTATTTTCAGTAAAGGCGGGGTTTCACTATGTTGGCCAGGCTGGTCTCGAACTCCTGACCTCGTGATCTGCCCCCTTGGCCTCCCAAAGTGCTGCGATTATGGGCATGAGCCACTGTGCCGGCCTGAATACAGAAACTTTTTTGCCTCACTCCATCGCCCAGACTGGAATGCAGTGGTGTGATCATGGCTCACTGCAGCCTCAACCTCCTGGGCTCAAGGAATCCTCCCACCTCCACCTCCTGAGTAGCTAGGACTACAGGTGCATGCCAACACGCCTGGCTTTTTTTTTTTTTTTTAATTTATTTTGTAGAGACAGGGTTTCACTATGTTGCCCAGGTTGATCTGGAACTCCTGGGCTCAAGTGATCCTCCCACCTCAATCTCCCAACATGCTGGGATTATAAGCATGAGCCACCACGCCCAGCTTAAACTCTATTTAAAAAAAAAAAATACAAAAATGTGATTTACTGTAAGTACTATTTTTAAAATATTAATATGTAAAGAAATATGTAATAAGCTACAATATTTCTTCAAAAAAATCAATCTTACTCTCCTCTCTAGCATATATTCATTCTCAATTAACATTTCCTACCCCTTCTCCCTTCCGTTTCCTTCCTGACCATAACTTAGAGTTTCTAGGGCATTGTTTTTCAAGTTGTGGGTCACAACCCATTAGTGGATCATCAATCAATTTGACTAGCGTGTATTAAAATGAAGTAGATTAAAATAGAAAATATCGGAATATACCACATAGTAAGGGAAAGTATGTCATTAATTTATCTCAGTTATGTATCTTATATATTTGTATGTGAATACAATATAAAATGTTTGAAAGCCACCATTCTGGAGTGTTTCATCTATTTGTGTCTTGAACCTAATGTTTTTTAAACATGCATGTTGGATAGTTGTTGCATAAATATTTGCATAAGATTTTTAAAACTAGAATTCTGTATATACATGATACCTTGTTTCTATTCTGCATGGCCAAAGGCTACATCAGAGGGAAACCCTTAGTGTTCACAAGTTTTATAACTACTTTTTAAAAATTCGTTCTTTGCAGCACTTTAAAAGAATGTTGTTTAAGACTATTTTTTCCCTAATGTAATTCATACTGGTTTGTACTAGTTCCTATTACTCTGAAATACTTAGAAAGTATGACTTTGCATATGTGGTATTAAAAGTAGGAGTTGGGGGCCAGGCACAGAGGCTCATGCCTGTAATCTTATCACTTTGGGAGGCCAAGGCAGGAGGATCACTTCAGCCCAGCTGGGCACAGTGGCTCATGCCTATAATCCCAATGCTTTGGGAGGCCGAGGTGGGCAGACCATGAGATCAGTAGTTCCAGACCAGCATGGTCAATATGGTGAAACCCCATCTCTACTTAAAAAAATACAAAAATTAGCTGGGCATGGTGGCACGCGCCTGTAGTCCCAACTACTCGGGAGGCTGAGGCAGGAGAATCTCTTGAACCCAGGAGGTGGAGGTTGCATTGAGCCAAGATCACGTCACTGCACTCCAGCCTGGGTGACACAGTGAGACTCCATCTCAAAAAAAAAAAAAAAAAAAGGCAGTTGATGACATTAACGTAATTTAATTGAACCATGAGTTTCTGTTAGCTCTGAAAATATCAATTACAAATCGAGCATTATAATCTAAGATCTTTTTATATGAATAAAAAATTGTTCTAATATTTTTGAGAAGCTACTTTTTAAAGTGCACCTGTTAACTCTGAGGGCAAAATGTAAAAGTTCTGCTTGACCCATGTAAATTTTGAATTTAATGAATTTATCATGGATGTCCTTCTTTGTGTTTATTAATGCAGATAACAAGAGTAATCCACAGACTTAAAACATGAGCTCAGATGCCAGCCAAGGCGTGATTACCACTCCTCCTCCTCCCAGCATGCCTCACAAAGAGAGATATTTTGACCGCATCAATGAAAATGACCCAGAATACATTAGGGAGAGGAACATGTCTCCTGATCTACGACAAGACTTCAACATGATGGAGCAGAGGAAACGAGTTACTCAGATCCTGCAAAGTCCTGTGAGTTGAATTAGAAGGCTGTAATTTTTCTCCCTCTTTGGAAATGTTAGTATAATAAGGTAGAAGTTTTCTCAAACTACCCTCAGGTTAAAAGAGGGGTGGAGGAGGAGTGGTGACCAGTTGCTTCCAGTCTTTCAAAGGAGAAATGGACATCTAATTTGTGTATTTGATTTGCAGAGCCTTAATGACAACCTAGTATTGTGTTTGGTGGTTTAAATTTTGTGTGTTTTCTGGGTATAGCACTTTATTAAAGGAGGATACCCAATTCAGACTGAATATGTAAAGAAAAGAAAGGCATGACTCAAGTCATAGGAACCAATAAATAAGTTAGGTATATCCCATGCACGTATTTTCTTCTTCCTTTGGGTACCTTGACGCTCAGAGTGGCATGAGAAGACTTAAGGTTTTTGAGGAAGTCTGTGATTTGGCAGCCTAGTATTACATATGTCTACTGCAAGCACACGTGACTACACACTAAATTAACTAAATTAAAAGTAGATTATAGGCCAGGCTCAGTGGCTCACAGTGTAATCCCAGCACTTTGGGAAGCCGAGGCAGGAGGCTCACTTGAGCACAGGAGTTTGAAACCAGCCTAGGCAGCATAGTGAATCCTTGTCTCTACAAAAAAATTTAAAAATTAACTGGGTGTGGTGGTGTGCACATGTAGTCCCATCTACTCCTGGGAGGCTGAGGCAGGAGGATCACTTGAGCCCAGAAGGTCAAGACTGCTGTGAGCCGTGATCATGCCACTGCATTCCAGCCTGGGCAACAGAGTGAGACCTTACCTAAAAAAAAAAAAAAAAAAATTCAACTCAAGTGGAAAAATCCTGTCTGCACAGCAATAGTCAGACTTTGTGAATCATATTCAAATGATCTGTTTTCTTACAAAATCTTAGTGGAAATGTATTAATACATGATGGAAAATGAGAGAACAGCTTGATTTAAAATGCAAAATGAATTTGTAACTTTCTGCATGATGAAGATCATGCACCCCTAAGACAGAGTTCAGCACACAGACATATGATGCCCAGGTTAGGGTTATATTAGGTTTCCAACTTGGGTATCAAAATTAGCACCAAGGCATAGAGCTGCCTGAAGTAGCCCTGGTAAATCATTTTTGTTGTGTCCTTGTGAATTTAATCATAGAGGTAAGTCCAAAACCAAAGGGGAATTCCACTCTTAAGTAATTAATTCTCCCATACCAGTGGCCTCGGTGAAAGCATTGAAGTACAAGTTATAAAAGCAATGTAAGCATTGAGTAATTTTATTTTTTATAGTGCCCACTTTAAAGAAACTCTTTCCAAATGGAAAGATTCATCAGAAAAGTCATGAGAGAGTAAATGTTCAGTGCCTTACTTTATGCAAACTTGAGTGTCTAGGTTTATAAACACTTGAAGAGCACATTAATTATTTAGATCAAAAATAGATATGTTTCCTTCTCCAAAGAAACCCCATTTTTAAGAACTAACTTACTAGATCGGAAATGGTGGCTCACGCCTGTTGTAATCCCAGCACTTTAGGATGCCAAGGCAAGAGGATTGCTTGAGCCTAGGAGTTTGAGACGAGCCTGGGCAACATAGTGAGACCCAGTCTTTGCAAGAAATTAAAAAATTAGTCGAGCGTGGTGGTGTGAGTCCGTAGTCTCATACTTGGGAGGCTGAGTCGAAAGGATTACTTGAGCCCAGTAGATCAAGGCTACAGTGAGCCGTGATCACACTACGGCACTCCAGCCTGGGTGACAGGGCAAGACCCTGTCTCAAAAAAAATTTTAAAAGAACTTATCAACCAAATGATTGTAGTAACAGCATATTAGTAACTGAAAGAATGAAGTGAAGTTTCAATTTTGGTTAAGGTTGTTAAATATTGAGATTTCTTTAGGAAGTATCTCAAAGAGGACCGTTGAATTCTAACTGTAGAGTCTAAATGAAAAAAATTACTAAACTCCATTTTTATGCCAGGGTTTTTGTCTTATAGTTTGCCCATTAAACTAAAGTTGCATAATGTTAAGTAGATTAATTTTTTTGTATTTAGTATTTCTATTTGTAAATTGGCTTAAAAGTAAAAATTTTACTTATGCCTTGGGGAACTTAGTGAAATAATGTGAAAGGGCAAACGCATAGTGTATCATTTCCCTATTCACTTAACGAGAATGATCACTTTCTGCCCAGAGAGGAACAAAGAAGGCTGAGATTTAAAAGAATTAAAAGTTGATATTTTTTTTTCCTAGATCTTGGCTAATGAATTTAAAATCTTCTTTGTGAAAGACTTAAGAAAGTGTATACATTTTGTCTTCCTGCCATATTTTAGGACAGTGGTTTTTAAGTTTCTTTTAATGCAACAGAAACTTCACCAAGGGAAATGATACTTGGTGGCTTGTATTAGTTATCTACTGCTGAATAACAAATTATTCCAGAACTTAGCAGCTTAAAACAAGCATTCATTATCTCACCATTTCTGTGGGTCAGAAGTTTAGGAGCAGGTTAGCTGAGTTTTTCTGGCTCAAGTTCCCTGATGAAGTTGCAGTCAATATGTTAGCCAGGGCTGCTGTCATTTGAACACTTTACTGGGGCTGGAGGATCCACTCTTAAGATGGATCACTCACATGGCTGTTGGCAAAAGACCACAATTCCTTGCCACGTGGACTTTTTCTAAAGCTGCTTGAGTGTTCTTCCCCAGAGCAAGGATCCAAGAGAGAGTAGCCTGAAGGCTGCTTTTGAACTAATCTCAGACATCACACACTGTCACTTCTGCCATATTTATTAGTTAGAAGTGAGTCTTTCAATTCTCCCCATGCTCCAGGGGAGAGAAATTAAGCTCCATCTTTTGAGGAGAGAATTGTCCACTCTCTGGTTACTATTTATTTATTTAGAGACAGGGTCTTACTGTGTTGCCCAGGCTAGTGTGCAGTGGCTGTTAACAGGCACAATCATAGCACACAAAATCCTGTGCTCAAGCGATCCTCTTGCCTCAGCCTCTTGAGTACCTGGGACTACAGGTATGTGCCACCATGCCTGGCAGGTCACAATTTATTTTAAAGGAACCGCAGTCTGTCCTTCTGCCACAATTTATTTTTCTTCCTTCCACATGCAAAATACACTCTTCTTCTCCTAGCACCTCCTAAAAAGTCTTATCCCATTCCAACATTAGCTTGAATCCAGAATCTCATCATCTAAATGTAGTCCAGCTGCAGATGATTGTCCTCAGGGTGTAGAACCTTAAGTACAGGTCCTGTCAATCTATTAACCTGTGAAATAAAGATTCATGTTATCTGCTCCCCAGTGGCAGGAGAGGGCATAAGATAACTGCTACAGACATCCCTCTTCAAAAAGGAGAAAATTGAGAAATTCAAAGGAGTCACTGGTCCAAAGCAATTGTGAAATCCATCTGGACAAATGTTTGGAAGTGTTTTGATTAGGACTCAGTCCTACTATTTACCAGGACTGAACCTCCCTGGTGCTTGGCTCTGCCCACTAGGTTCTTGGTTCCACTGTCTAAGTCATCCTTCCTTTTTCTTGAAAGGTAGCCTGTGTTTGCCACTTTGTGTTTTTCTTAGTCTGCTTTCTTCTTACAGAAGTTTTAGGGGTGCAAAGGCCCCTTTTCCTTTTGTACTGTCTTTGTTCCTTTCAGCCCAAGCTTACAGTGTTTCTGCTGATATAATTCTTTAAAAAATTTTGTCAGTCTCCTGTAAATATTGGGATTCACTCTGTTAAACAAAATCCATAACCAATAAAGATTAAAGTCAGATTTTACTAATTCATGTTTGTAAGTGACAAATTTATACACCTTCTATTTAAAATTCTCAGCTAATTTGGGTAGAAGGGAAATCAGGAGAGAAATTAATAAAAGCAAAGTATAATACTTTTTTATTAAGCACTTACTATATGCCAAGCACCTATTATGCATCTTTAATCCTCAAAGCAATTCAGTTAAAGAAGTATTAAGATGCCTAAGTTATAGATGCATAAACTGAAACTTAGAGACATTAAATAACTTGCTGAAGTTTTACAGCTTAGTTAAATGATGTGGTCAGAATTTAAACTGCAAAGCTCACACCTGTAATCACTAGGCTGTACCACTTACAGCATTCAGTGACAATGAAAAAATTCTGCCTATATGTTTTTATATCATCTTATTCATCTTCAAAGCCTGCTGCTTAAGTTAATTCAACGCAACCTGGAAGAGTTTATAATCACAAGACATTTTGGTGTAAATGTAAATTTGGATGACAAAAATCACCCCTTATTGCTTTGAGCTGAGAAAATAACAAATAATTTTTGTTATTCTGGCCCTCAGGTATTACTTATTTCTAGGAATTTCACAGCCTTTTTATATTTAATTTTTTAAAATAAAATATTTATCTTAGAAATCAAATACCACTTGGTAAATTAATTTGGCTTGAGATTTTGTTGCAGTAGAGAAAATCCACAAGTTCTCTTTGTGGAGACCCTAAGTTCTAATTTACCCCCTTTTCTCAAAACGAAGTGTTCAGGACAAACTATTGGAATTAAGTGATTCCTTTTCAAAGTTAAAGAAGCATATAAATTGAAAAACTAAGCAATAGCACATTGAATACAAGAGATGGTTACTAAATTCTGAATGCATGGATGGATAGAGAATAGCTAGGTGGGCTTTGAAACATTAAACATTTGAATATTGTCCAACAGGCTCCTACTGAACTTGACTGCTTAACAAAACAGTTGCTGGGCTTCCTAAGCCTTACCACCATGGGAAGCAGTTTAGACTGGTTGACACAAATGTGCAGTGTTATTCTGAAAAATAACAGGAGTGTATGTGGTGGTAGCCTGGGCACATGACATACTAACAGTTTTTAATAACAGGGCAATGCATACTGCTGTAAGCTTATTTTGATGCGAGGAGAAACGTCAAAGGCATATACATTTTAGGATATCACTGGAAGTAAGGCCTGAGTGTTAACAGGGTTCCTTAATTCAAATTGGTCAAAATCACCATGATCTGTGGTCAGTTGAGAAGTTTAAGATGCAGGTATTCTTAACTTTATTTACATTTCTGTTGTACACAGCTTCAAGAAAAATATTCTAACCTTTAGCTTCATGTTAATCAAGACTTAGATACAGAAGAAAGACCATCCAGAAGAAAATATGGTTTATTTGTTTTTTCTCCTTTCAACAGGGCCAGTGGTATTCTATTTCCAAATGAGTACATTTCTTAATGGAGAAATTCTAAGTAAGTTTGTTATGCTCCTAATCCTGCTTTAGGAGAGCTCTAATAACATAATTATAGGGTGCCTTGGGAGCAGCAAGTCTGTAATCTTTTTTTTTTTTTTAACTTTTTGCCCCAATTTTCCTCTCTAGTAATTTTGAGGTAAAACATCCAGATGTGGATATTTAAAATTCATCTCTGATGTCTCCTATATTTATCAGTGTTATTATCTGAGTGTAAGTTAGACATTACTGATAAATGAGCCAACATGGAGTTTTTTTTTTTTAAGCATTAATTGAAATAATTTTATCAGGTCAGGTTTTTTTAAAAAATCAAATTGGTTCTCTTTTCTGTGACTTAAGTATTTTATCTCCTGCCACTTTCTCCTGAAAGTTCTGACCTTGGATACAGAGTTTTAAAATGTGATGCCTCAAGTGAATTCTACTTTTGGTTTATAGTATTCCGGAATATGTGAGTACTTAAAGTATATTCTTAGCCTACATGAATCTCACATCTCTGAATATTTGACATTTTTAGAAGTCCATTTATGTCCATACTTTATGAATTCAAAGTTTATAGCCTCACTCCCTCGACATTGATAGATATATAAAATAAAAGGGTGTGAGATTCAGATAAGGCTTTTAAGGCACCCTGTCTCTAACTTAAACATTTTGCTTTTCACCTAGTGATTTTTTTACCATACTTTTTGGACCTATGTTTGAAGAGCTGTTCAAACTATAATGTTCTGGGGGCAAATTAAGTTTTCAAGTAGGATTTTGTTTGAGTTGAAGAATTAAATGGCTTTTTAAAAGTTTATAACATTCAATGAGGATGAATTTCTTATTTAAAGAAAATAAATCTTACCTAGTAGATTATGGGTAGGCCTAATTAGACAGCAGGGATTTCTCATTCAAGTAATAGACTGATAAGACTGTTTTCTAGCTAATAACCTATGAAATGGATATTTGCTACGTTAACTGGGTCAAGATTGAGATCAGATTCTTCACTTTCTTTATATCTAGGAAAATGAAAAGAAACTCTTAACTTAGTATTAATTGAGCACTGAACTACACACTCAGGGAGAATCTAGAAATGTGAAAGACACAGTTTCAGTCCTCAGATAATATGGTATAGTAGAGCAGGAAAATAGTTAAACAATCACAGTCATACACTAGGTACCCTAAGTATAGTATAGGGAAAGTTCACAGTGAAGTGTAGAAGAGAAGAAATACAGAGATCCCTCCTAACTTGGATGATTAGGTGACTTCAAGGAGAAGGTAGCATTTGTAATGTGTTGAATAAAGGAAAGAATTCATTAGGAAGAAGAACAGTGGAAGTCAATACTTCCATTGGATGAAGTAGATCGAGCAGGGCTAGAGAAGTGCAAGTTGTGATCAGAGAATGCTGCAAGAACCTCATAGGCTAAAGCATGAGGTAGTAATGGCAGATAAAGCAAAAAAAATTACATAGCAGCAGACTATGGAAATTTTGCAGTACCAAGCCATTTTGACCTAAGTTAGGAGTCAGTACATTTTCTCATCATTGCCCATTTTGTTTACACAATTTTTTATAAAAGTGTTTGTTTTGGATCTGGGTTCACATTTTACTTTGCCTACCACTTACTAGCTATGTGACATTACGAAGCTCGTTTAACTTGAGCTTCAGTTTCCTTGTTGGTAAAATGGGGAAAATACCTCACACGGTTGTGACAATTAAATAAAATAACATAAGAGCATGCAGTACAGCACGCAGCACGTAGTCGGCAACTGTTTTTTGGAAATTATATATTTATTGCTAATTTGAAGTACATTATGCTTTTGTGGCAACACTTGAAGATTTTAATTCCTTAGACTGTATTTTGGTTTTTTAAGGTCTTGAATCTGTTACCCTGATGGCATTCTGGTTTATTCATCTTCACAAAATTTAACAACTACCACTACCTCCTCTTCTATGCTCTTCTGTATCTGAGAAAGAAGACATAGTTTATGCCATGGTTTTGTGTATATGTTGTTTGATCTTCTAACCAGTTCTTCTCTAGTGGAGACTCCAGGGAACTGTTGGCTAATCTGACTTAAGCCCAGTATGTGGCCACACCACCCTGATTAGAAATCAAGTTTCTCATTATGCTTTGATGAATTCTTAGCTACAAGAGGGCAAGTACTTAGCCTGGTATTCCAGGATCACCATAATCTGCCAGTATATATATATATATTTTTGCTTTATCTGCCATTGCAGTCTAATGCTCTAATCTAGCCTAAGAGGTTTACTCAACATTTCAGATCACAACATGCCTGCTAGCTTATTAGTTGTATTTGGTTTCAGAGATACAATCCAAGTCTGAATAAAATTAGGAAAAGAACTTGTGCTCAGTTGAGGGTTCCATATTTGAATCTTTATTCCATTTACTTATTAGCTTTATAACCTCGAGCAAGGCATTGCCTATCTCAGGACTTTGTGGTGAGACTCAAATATATCAACTATAAAGGATTATTAACATTGAACTTTAGTAAAAATATGATTAACTACCCATCTCAAAGATAAATAAAATTTTTATCTTAATATTTTAATGAAAGCTCAATAAATTTACTGATAAATTTAAAAAATCAGCTGAAATTAGTAATTAGTAATTTTTTATATTAGTCTTATATTAGTAATTTTTACACTTACTGTTTTATGACTTAGGTGATTATCTGAACAATATTTGAGAAACATTTGAAACATGTAAAAATGAGTAATAAATGTTCATGACAAAATATTAAACCTTTTTTGCACTGGAAGAATTCTTACCTGTTGAAGCACTGTGAACTGTAAACAAGGCTGGGGGGATTTCATATACTTTGAAAAAAAATTTTTTTTATACCTATACTGCGTAGAAGCTATTCGTCAGCTTTAAAGGAGACATTCGTATTTTCCCTCTTACTCTTAATTTGATTTCAGAAGAGCTTATACATCGCTCTATGACACCATAGCTATCCCAAAGGTTTTAGAATGGTACTCACATATTGTGGGATATATGGTAATGAAGAAAGCATTTCACTAATGTAAAAAGAGCATTGGACTTGTGTCCTTGCCTCTGGCATTTACTAGCTGTATGTCCGTGAACAGGTTTTCAACCTTTCTTTAACTTTCTCATCCCACCCAGCAGAAATTTCTCACCAGTTTAATAAATTGTGATTCTCTTGAGTACCTGGTTGATTTTTTTTTTTAATCTAAAAACCATTGTAAATCAATACACTGAGCAAGCTGTCTTAATTCATGTTGGCTGCCAGAGTTGAGATAAAATTTGTCCCATCTCTAGCAAATGCATACAATTTTATGGCATTCACTTTGTATCTTAACCTCATTCCTGGCTCTGTCTACCTTCCTTATGCTTATTTTCTCTTCAGCTTTATTTTTCTTACCTATATTTATTTTTGTAGCATTTTAATCTGTGGAAGCTGCCTTAAATTTTTCCTGGAAGAACATGGGTGCAAGACATTTAATAAAATAGATAATGCCTACTTCTCCAAGTTATTGTAATATATGTAATGAGTGATACACATAGTAGGTATCATTAATTTTGGTTTTTTAAAAACTGAATCAAAGAATATCAGTTATAACTACTTTGAACTGAGAAAAGTTTAAATAGTTTGGTTTTGAAGGGAAGATAGAGTTCCAAAAGAGCAGATTGGCCCATTGCCATGTGTCCAGAAGTTTTCTGTACTTTACATAAAGATAAATGAGGATATCTGGAACATTTTTTTCCTTTCAGCCTTAAGCATGGTAAAATAGTTATGTTACTTGTCTGTATGAAGGTGTCCATCTATCTTGTATACAGCTCTCAGCCATCTTATCTTCACAGGGTCTTGGATGAACAAGAAAACTCCCTAATGGAGTTTTCTGATAAATGAAGTATATCTTTGTAGAGGATATTTTACAAGACAGTTTTTCTGATTTAAATCGTGTATTTAAATGAACTAGATACCGGCAATAGAACCAGATGTTTTTGAGCTTTTATTATATTGTGTGAATGATTTACACTTAACAAGCCTTGAATTTGTAAAAAGAAAAGCCATATTTAACTGGTGCAAACTGCTCCATGAACTTAGGATTCAAATGTCACAATTAGTATTTTTAAAAATTAATCACTCAAATATCCACTTGCCTTATTAGCAGAAAGTACACCATCTTTCTCTTGGAATTTCTGCTTTTCTCTGAATTCTTCCAGAACTTTAGTGACTTACACTGACTGGGTTAATCAGTGGCCTCCATATCCAAGATGGGTGTGGGTCGTGTATCCATGCATCTGTATATATGTATGTGAGGGAGACACACTAGAGTCTGTTCAGTCCACCACTGCCACTGTACTTCCCTGCCCCATGGTAGAATGTTGAAAACCAGTCTTAAACTGTTCAACAGGAGCTATAGGTTCACTGTTGACTCAGATGTTTGTGCAGGCCACCACAGTGCATCAGGGAGGGATCTTCCGGTGCTAAGCTCGGTCCTTTATGGTTGAGCACCCAAGATTACAACTATTAGCACCCAGCTCTTAGAGTTCACATCATGGAAACTTCTCAACTATTGTTCTAAGTGCACTGTAAACACTGAGTCAGGACTAGTTCTAACATCTACCACCTCATACCCTTAGAACCATATTTCCCCTTATCACCATGAGCTCGTATGCCATTTTTTTTTTTTAAAGTTCCTGGCTGAGTGTGGTGGCTCACACCTGTAATCCCACCACTTTGGGCTGAGACAGGTGGATCACTTGAGGACAGGAGTTTGAGACCAACCTGACCAACATGGTGAAACCCCATCTCTACTAAAACTACAAAAATTAGCCGGGCATGGTTGTGCACACCTATAATCCCAGCTACTTGGAAGGCTGAGATAAGAGAATCACTTGAACCCAGGAGGTGGAGGTTGCAGTGAGCTGAGATTGTGCCACTGCACTCCAATCTGGGCAACAGAGCGGAAAAAAAAAAAGTTTCCTAGACATATAGGTTATTTACCCACCCTCTCAGAAAGGCTCCATCTAAGCGGAGATTCCAGGAGATTTTATTCCTACCGTCACGAGGCAGACCACTGTCAGTGACTCAAAAGAGATTCACCCTTCTAAAGGAAGTTTTCTCCATTATCTCCCAGGTATTCATACCTACCCTTCTTGGAGGAAGTGATTCCAAAATAATTTTCTGCCTTCTCCCTCTTAGGCAGAGTGGGGGAAATGGAGCTTAATTTCTGGCAGGGCATCCTGCTACATAAGTAACTAATCTCAAATGGAAGAGCAAGGGTTAAGTGACTTATGTTGCAAGAACCTTCATCTTTAAAACGAAGGAGACATGAGCAAAAGAACAAATGACAAACTTAATAAGTGTTGGTTGGGTGTGATGGAAAGTCAGAACCAACTATTTGTGATATGAAGGATTGGGAGAAGTTTCAGATGTTGAACCATACTAGTAACTCGAGGGTTACTGGAATAGAGGCGTTCTCTTAATATTAGTTCAGGATTTTGATCTCTATAAACACTGTTTCTGCCACTACCTCACCCACCCCACCCCCAAAAAGATACAGAACTCCAGAATAGGAACATATGGAACCCAACGTTCCATTAAAAAACTGTCATTTAGCCGGGCGCGGTGGCTCACGCCTGTAATCCCAGCACTTCGGAAGGCAGAGGTGGGCGGATCACCTGAGGTCGGCAGTTCAAGACCAGCCTGACCAACATAGAGAAACCCTGTCTCTACTAAAAATACAAAATTAGCCGGGTGGTGGCGCATGCCTGTAATCCCAGCTACTCAGGAGGCTGAGGCAGGAGAATCGCTTCAACCCGGGAGGCGGAGGTTGCGGTGAGTTGAGATCGCGCCGTTGCACTCTAGCCTGGGCAACAAGAGCGAAACTCTGTCTCAAAAAAAAAAGAAAAAAAAATTGTCATTTACCACAGTGTTGCAGAGAGTGATTAGAACTCAACTCTTATTAATTTGCTTTCAGAGTTTATGGAGCTAAGGAATTTCCATAGAAATCATAAAGTAGAAATTATTTTAGTATGTCTCAGTGAAAACTTTTGCCATTGAATCACTCTGTATTCAAAGTTGTGCCCCATTCACATGGGAACTCTGTCTTTTTTTTTTTGAGATGGAGTTTCGCTCTTGTTGCCCAGGCTGGAGTGCAATGGCATGATCTCGGCTCACCACATCCTCCTCCTCCCGAGTTCAAGCTATTCTCCTGCCTCAGCCTCCTGAGTAGCTGGGATTACAGGCATGCACCACCACGCTGGGCTAATTTTGTATTTTTAGTAAAGACGAGGATTCTCCATGTTGGTCAAGCTGGTCTCCAACTCCCCACCTCAGGTGATCCACCCGCCTTGGCCTCCCAAAGTGCTGAGATTATAGGCGTGAGCCACCACGCCTGACCAGGGACTCTGTCTTAGCTAAGCAAGGAGTGGGTCACCTTTTTTTTTACAATGGTTTCTTGGTGCTTGAGTTGTATATTAATAAGAGGAGTTTTATCTGTGCCTGTCTAGTGTAGATATTATAATATCTCATTTTCTTTGACATGAAGAATGCCTAGTGGTTTTCCCCCCTAAAAGCAAGCATCTTGCTGCTTCTTGCAGTGCTTTGATTTTATTATTTTGTGTTTTATATTTGTTTTTAAATAGTACAGGTAAAAGCTATTCAGAAAAGGGATGGGGTAAAGATTGATTGTATCGGAACAAGTTACTTTTGGGCCATTCAGTCTTGCTTGCTCAGTCTTTATTTTTGTGTATTACAGGCCTTTCGGGAAGACTTGGAATGCCTTATTCAAGAACAGATGAAGAAAGGCCACAACCCAACTGGATTACTAGCATTACAGCAGATTGCAGATTACATCATGGCCAATTCTTTCTCGGGTTTTTCTTCACCTCCTCTCAGTATGTCAGTTTTGGAGAGTTTTAAACATTATAATTTTACTTCCACTTTGGACCACTATACATCTCTAGCAGCATATTCTGCTCGGGTTCAGTCCTTAAGTTTATAACATCTAATACTTAGAGTAACATAGTGTTAGACCCTCCTACCTTTTCATATCAACCAGGCATTTACTACACTTTGTACAGATTATAAGATGATATAAGACATGATTCTGGGCTGGGACTTGTGGCATGTGTCAGTAGTCCCAGCCACATGGGAGGCTGAGGTGGGAGAAATGCTTGAGCCCAGGAGTTCGAGACCAGCCTAGCAAACAAAGTGAAAACCTTGTCTCTATTTTTGTTTTTTTGTTGTTGTTTGTTTTTTCTTTTGAGACAGGAGTCTTGCTCTGTCGCCGAGGCTGGAGTACAGTGGCCCGATCTCGGCTCACTGCAACCTCCACCTCGCAGGTTCAAGCGATTCTCCTGCCTCAGCCTCCTGAGTAGCTGGTATTACAGGTGCGCGCCACCACGCCTGGCTAATTTTTTGTATTTTTAGTAGAGACGGGGTTTCACCATGTTGGTTAGGCTGGTCTTGAACTCCTGACCTCACGATCTACCCACCTTGGCCTCCCAAAGTGCTGGGATTACAGGCCTGAGCCACTGCACCAGGCCCACCCTGTCTCTATTTTCTAAAATAATAAATCTGATTTTAATGTGGCTGGATATAAATCATATCACAGTTGGATTTGGAAGTTTGGGTTTTATTCCTAACTTTGATGGGAAGCCATTTTAAGCAGAAAGATGATTTTAAAAGACCACTATATTTTCTGTGTGAAGAATGAACTGGGAGATTTCATAGTATTATTAACAAAAATAGAATAGTTGGGGATCTGGTTTGGCTTGGGAAATGGAGGAAGTTCAACTTTGGGCATGCTCCATTTGCATTGCCAAGACATTGCAGCAATTGGAAGTGCAGTCAGAGAGCTTAGGAGAAACACTTGGCAGATGGACATAGAGAAGTAGTACTCAAAGCTGTGGACATTGATTAAATAATCATACAGGAGTATGGGCTGACAAAAGATTCCAAAGAGAAAACCTCAAAAGCTCAAAGAGGAAGACTAGTCAGGGAAAACAGAAATAGTAAAAGAAGCTGCCCTGGAAGTGTCCTGGATTCCATGGCGGGAACAAGGAGCTACAGGAGACCTGGGCCTGCTGGCTGGAATGTACAAAGGCATGGCAGGAGGAAAGCCATGTGCCACTGTTTGGAGATCAGGAAATAGCAACCAGTTGCCTGAAATACTTACGCAGTGAAGTGAAAAGCGGAAGTTAAAGTTGGAAGGTTACGGGGAGAATAGAAGACAGGTTAATGGCTGACTCTAAAATTTTGTCAGAAATTATGCTATTTTTTGTGGCTTATGTATTAAAACTATTCAGATTACTTCAAAACATCTCAAAATTAAAAGGTTTTCCATTGAAATATTCTCTTTAAAAGTTCTTGCTCATATTCTCAGGTAAAAAGCAGTGCTTTAGAAAACTCAATGGCTTTATGCATAATGAATTTACAAAGAAAGGGGCTACAGTCGAGTACAAGAATGAGGCTTATTGCAGGGATCCATGCATGAGTTAAGGGCTGAACTCAAGAGTGGACAACGAGGGACCTTATGAAGAAAACAGTCATGAAATGTGGTGACAAATTATATATGGTTACCCAGGAGAGGTTAAGGAGGTAGAGGTTACTGAAACCCAGAGTTTGAGCCTATAGGAATGGTAATATCAATATTAGAAGCAAAGTAAGGAGAAGAGAGAAGGTAAGAAAAACCAGGAGAGAGAAGATAAAATCACCTTTAGACCCTTTTAATTTTCATGTTATTGCGTTGTAGGCACTTGGAAATAGCAGGCTAGGCTGGGCACAGTGGCTCATGTCTGTAATCCTAGCACTTTGGGAGGCCAAGGCAGGAGGATCACTGGAGGCCAGGAGTTCAAGACCAGCCTGGGCAACATAGTAAGACCCCATCTCCACTAAACAAATTAAAAAATTAGCCAGGTGTGGCAGCATGCCCTGTAGTCCTAGCTACTCAGGAGGCTGAGGTGGAAGGATTGCCTGAGCCTAGGAGTTCGAGGCTGCAGTGAGCCATGATCACACCACTGCATTGCAGCCTGGGTGACAGAGTGATACCCCTGCCTCTAAAAAAAAAAAAAAAAAAAAAGGGTGGGGCCAGTTGCAGTGGCTCAGGCCTATAATCCCAGCACTCTGGGAGGCCAAGGCAGGTGGATCATCTGAGGTCAGGAGTTCAAGACCACCCTGACCAACAAGGAAAAAACCTGTCTCTACTAAAATACAAAATTAGCTGGGCCTGGTGGCACATGCCTGTAATCCCAGCTTCTCAGGAGGCTGAGGCGGGAGAATCGCTTTGAACCTGGGAGGTGGATGTTGCAGTGAGCCGAGATCGTACCATTGCACTCAAACCTGGGCAACAAGAGTGAAACTCCGTCTCAAAAAAAAACAAAACAAGCAGGCTGGAAAATGGGGAGGAGGACCTGATCAGAACTAAAGACCAGGGAGTGAGTCGTCTACACAAAAATAACAATAGGGAGGCTCAAGAGTCTATAATGTTTTTGTAGGGAAAAGTAAAATGAGAAAGAACATAGTGGAGGACTGAGCTTTGGGGAAGAGCCAAAGCTGGGCAAAGGGAACAGATGAACTTGTTAAAGGAGAAAAGCATGTAGACAAGGAATAAGAGATCTAGGATAGTATCACATGGGCCTCGAGAAGAGTTCTAGGAATGAGGCAGTGTAAATAGTGTAAAGCTGTAAAGAGGTCAAGGAGAATGAAGACTGAGCAAAAGTTGAACTTGGTAACAGCTGAACTTGGCAATTAGATCATTAGAGACCTTCAAGACCTTCAATAGGACAGAAATCATACTACTATTTGCATGCATTATTTTCCATCTCAAATGTTTTTTGTGTTTGAATAAAAGTCAAGAGAGATAATAGAAAAGTAGCTTTCTGTTGAGGTCTTTTCATCATAAAACTAGCAGTAACCTCAGTATTTAACACTTTTACCCTCGGAGATATGTGTAACCATTTTTCCCCAGTGGTGTGAGCCTTTGATATAGTCACTCCTTAGCAAGCACTACATGAAGCAACTTTTACTAAGCAATCAAAGATAGCTGATACTTATTTTTACTCTCAGTTTACCTCTCTGAAGGAGAATAAGCTAATAAAATATTATATGGGCTGATAAATTTCAGATTATTATATACAAGGCTGGGATACTCCCAGACGCAGGCTACTTCCTGGCAACTAATTTCCAGGTAAGGGATTGCATGACTCGTATCTCTCTCCACATTTTTTGCTCTTTTAGGTCTTGGCATGGTCACACCTATCAATGACCTTCCTGGTGCAGATACATCCTCATATGTGAAGGGAGAAAAACTTACTCGCTGTAAACTTGCCAGCCTGTACAGACTTGTAGACTTGTTTGGATGGGCACACCTGGCAAATACCTATATCTCAGTGAGTTCTTCAGCTTTCAATTCCTTTTTTAAAAAATTCCAGCTAGAAGGCAACTATACTCTTCTTACCTTTACCTGGAAGTCCAGTTTTCAGACTTATTCTCTAAACCTAGTATGCTAGATCACAACCAAATACTGATTTAAACCTTATACCCAAGGGAGAGGCTCCAATTCCCCCACCTTTCTTCTCCCCTTACTATCTATGTTGTTCCAAGTTCCTTTGGTTCAGACCAACTGTAGAATCTATCCAGGAAGAAATCCTTCTGGCAAAATTGTCCCTCTCCATGATAATTATGTCTGAGCATCAGTGGCTTTAAAAAGCATTTGAGGCAAGGAAGATAGAGGAGGTCAGGGAAGTTTCCTCCCTGGTCTTTATTTTTAAAATATATTCTTTCCATTCACCATCATATTTTTATTTTGCCACACTTGGAAAAAGATGCTATTTGGAAACAAAAGAGGATTAAAATATTGTACAATGGAAATGGTACAGATGCAGTCCATCAAGAATCTTTCTTCCTTTCCACCTTCCATCTTTATTTTAATTCCTTCCTAGGAAGAGATTTTGTTCTCTTTCCTTTGCCCATTTTGCCTTAACTTCCAAGTTATAAATTAAGGTTATAATTATTACCACATTGGCTTGAATAATATTAGCATTTATTTTTCATGAACATAGCTGACCCTAAATAACCTTAGAGCCCCAAAATAACACTTTTAGGTAAGTCCAGTAAATAAGAAACTAAAGTCAGAATTTTTTAGCAAGTACTTGAGGGAAACTTTAGGAAAGTTTCATGTTGTAGACCTTTAATTTTTGCTTTGTTGGTTTTTTTTTTCCTGATCTCTTACAATTATTCATTGTAAATATATTTGTAGTCATGTTTCCACTGCAAAATATGAACCACTTCATAGTAATTCCCTGTTGTTTTTTTTTCCAGGTAAGAATAAGTAAGGAGCAAGACCACATTATAATAATTCCCAGAGGCCTATCTTTTTCTGAAGCTACAGCCTCCAATTTGGTATAATTTTCCATTCCTGTGTTGCTTTTTCTGAGCTTTCTTTGGCTTTTCTGACAGTTCTTAGCTTTTAGCACAGGACAGAATAAGAAGGTATGGATGGAAAAACATTTACTAGTGAACAGTGAAGGGAATTTGAACTATGTTGTTTTAGGGAAAAGCTTTAGAGAATAGCGTAATTGAAGAGACTAATAAATGAGTTGGTCTTATCAGTTAACTTGTCTATGTTTTGAAGGGAATCGTGATTTTTTTTTTTTTACCACCCTATACACTCAGAAATTTGTGTAAAAAAATTGTGTAAAAAAAACACACACGGCCAGGTGCAGTGGCTCACGCCTGTAATCCAAGCACTTTGGGAGGCTGAGGCAAGTGGATCACGAGGTCAGGAGTTCAAGACCAGCCTGACCAACATGGTGAAACCCCATCTCTACTAAAGATAACAAAAAATTAGCTGGGCGTGGTGGCACACACCTGTAATCCCGGCTACTCGGGAGGCTGAGGCAGGAGAATCGCTTGAATCCATAAGGTAGAGGTTGCAGTGAGCCAAGATCGCACCATTGCACTCCAGCCTGGGCTACAGGGCGAGACTCTGTCTTCAATACACACACACACACACACACACACACACACACACACACACACACACACACACACAATGTTCATAGCTAGATTTAAACAAAGTTCAGCTGGTATGAGTATAGGATCTGACCTTAGTATTTTATCTTTTCCATGACTACTCCTAGCCACTGTCATCAGCTTACAGAGTGACAGGAGCTACCTTGGTTCTGGGTGCTTGCTGCAATGTTAGCAAATAGAAGTTTTCTAGCCAATTCTATACATGCCAGACTTGTTCAGACCTCCGATGAAGAGCTTAAGTTTCTCCTTTTCTTGGAAACTGTACTTCTTGCCAAGTACCAAGTTTTGTTGCACCTGTTTTATAAATAAAGTTTTATGGGAACAAAGCTATACCTGTTAACTTACAGATTGTTTATGGCTGCTTTTGTACTGCAGCTGCAGATTTGAGTAATTGCAGCAGAGGCCCACAAAGTCCAAAATATTTGCTATCTGACCTTTTACAAAAAGGTTTGCTACCCCCTGGTTTAGCTTGTGAAACACAAACTTTGATACGTATATACCAGTTAAATATGTCCTTCTGATTTTTTCCAGGTGAAAGTCAATATAATAGGAGAAGTGGTTGACCAGGGAAGTACCAATTTGAAAATTGACCATACAGGATTCAGTCCCCATGCTGCAATCTATTCAACACGTCCTGATGTTAAGTGTGTGATACACATCCATACCCTTGCAACAGCAGCTGTAAGTCAATGAAAGTCCAAAACTGACAGGACGCTGGAAGATGTATTATTTTTGTGGCTTTCTCAACAGGATGCTTTACTATCTGCTTTTCAAAATCATATTTGATACAATAATCTGCATACCCAGAAAGCAAAAGGCCTTTGGGACCAAATGCTACCATTCTAGGAAACAACTGGAGAAATAACATTTGGATTCTAAAACTAACCAGTTTGAAAATTGGGTCATTGAGTTTTTTGGAGCAAAGCTTCTTTCATAATATTTGACACAGCATATAAGTTGAGTTGTATTCCCTAAGTCCTTTTTGTGTGTGTGTGGAAGAAACAAAATGGGAAGTGAATAAAGTGGGAAGTGGGCTGCAATGGTGAAACACAGTGAATAGGCCAGTGTTTTCCTGAGCTGACCAAACAATCAGGTTCCTATGAAAATGTATTTAGTAACCAAATGTGTTATCTTGGTATGGGCCAAACCAAATAGGTATCCTCCATGAAATGTGGGATCCTTCCAATTTCTCAAGAGTCTCTTCTTCTGGGAGATGTTGCCTATTATGACTACCAAGGGTCACTTGAAGAACAGGAGGAGAGAATTCAACTGCAGAAGGTTCTGGGACCAAGTTGTAAGGTATGTAGTAGAGTTTGTCTAAGGAGCTATTTTTGTTGCTGCTGCTGTTGATGAAAACAGTGTGAGCTATGCCAGTTATTTCAAGTGATTGCTGTGGGCATTCTATTTTAGGTGCTGGTACTCAGGAATCATGGTGTGGTTGCACTTGGAGAAACATTAGAGGAGGCTTTTCATTATATTTTTAATGTGCAACTAGCCTGTGAGATTCAGGTAGGAAACATTATTCCCCTTTTTTAATTGCTTTGTTATTTGCTCGTTTAGTTGGATTTTGTGTACTTATTTGCAAATACATATTAGTTAGTGGCTTTTTGTCTTTTAAGAGAAGTTCTGCTCTACTTATGTAGGCAGGGTTTTCAACTCAGTTATCTCTTGAATTGAAAATAGGAGTAAAGGAAATTAAAATTTTCTCACACACAATCTAAGGGCCTCATAAACATCATTTTCCCTACAATCCTGCTTTTTAAGTTAGTACAATTGCATATTTCTGTTTTCACCCTGTAGTGGTGGTACTAATTAAGGAAGAAAAACAGCTGCAAATCAAGAATCAAATGTGTTGTGGTCACTTTTGTAAAAAGTTTGACTAGGTCCAGAAGTTATATGAAATTGCAGTTTTCAACAATTCCACAGCCTCATTATGATGAGAGGTTGGATATTTATTAATCATTTTTTTCATCAGAGATGTTGAATGTATTTAAAGGCCCTAATTTTCTTTTTCTTTTTCTTTTTTTTTTAATTATACTTTAAGTTTTAGGGTACATGTGCACATTGTGCAGGTTAGTTACATATGTATACATGTGCCATGCTGGTGCGCTGCACCCACCAACTCGTCATCTAGCATTAGGTATATCTCCCAATGCTATCCCTCCCCCCTCCCCCCACCCCACCACAGTCCCCAGAGTGTGATATTCCCCTTCCTGTGTCCATGTGATCTCATTGTTCAATTCCCACCTATGAGTGAGAATATGCGGTGTTTGGTTTTTTGTTCTTGTGATAGTTTACTGAGAATGATGATTTCCAATTTCATCCATGTCCCTACAAAGGACATGAACTCATCATTTTTTATGGCTGCATAGTATTCTATGGTGTATATGTGCCACATTTTCTTAATCCAGTCTATCATTGTTGGACATTTGGTTGGTTCCAAGTCTTTGCTATTGTGAATAATGCCGCAATAAACATACGTGTGCATGTGTCTTTATAGCAGCATGATTTATAGTCCTTTGGGTATATACCCAGTAATGGAATGGCTGGGTCAAATGGTATTTCTAGTTCAAGATCCCTGAGGAATCGCCACACTGACTTCCACAATGGTTGAACTAGAGAGCCCGCATCGCCAAGTCAATCCTAAGCCAAAAGAACAAAGCTGGAGGCATCACACTACCTGACTTCAAACTATACTACAAGGCTACAGTAACCAAAACAGCATGGTACTGGTATCAAAACAGAGATATAGATAAATGGAACAGAACGGAGCCCTCAGAAATAACGCCACATACCTACGACTAGCTGATCTTTGACAAACCTGAGAAAAACAAGCAATGGGGAAAGGATTCCCTATTTAATAAATGGTGCTGGGAAAACTGGCTAGCCATATGTAGAAAGCTGAAACTGGATCCCTTCCTTACACCTTATACAAAAATCAATTCAAGATGGATTAAAGATTTAAACGTTAGACCTAAAACCATAAAAACCTTAGAAGAAAACCTAGGCATTACCATTCAGGACATAGGCATGGGCAAGGACTTCATGTCCAAAACACCAAAAGCAATGGCAACAAAAGACAAAATTGACAAATGGGATCTAATTAAACTAAAGGCCCTAATTTTCTCTTTAAATCAAGCAGATTTGGCCAGGCACGGTAGCTCATGCCTGTAATCCCAGCACTTTGGGAGGCTGAGCTGGGTAGATCACCTGAGGTCAGGAGTTCGAGACCAGCCTGACCAACATGGAGAAACCCCGTCTGTACTAAAAATACAAAATTAACAGGGCGTGGTGTCATGTGCCTGTAATCCCAGCTACTTGGGAGGCTGAGGCGGGAGAATCGCTTGAACCCGGGAGGCGAAGTTTGCAGTGAGCCGATATCGTGCCATTGCACTCCAGCCTGGGCAACAAGAGTGAAACTCAGTCCTCAATAAATAAATAAATAAATAAAGCAAATTCTCATGAAGCAAATGGTAATAATCTTAATTTATTGGAAGGGCCACAAGAAAGGGGGAAAAGAACAACTAAAAAAAAACTTTTTCTACCAACATTAACTTGTCCTAACAATCAACTTATTTTTGCTTTAATGGTTCCTCCTCTTCTCAAATGGGGCTATGAAAAGCTTAATTAAATTAAGATAATGAGCTGATGGCTTCTGCCTAAATATCTTTAAATTCAAAGTACAGTGTTTTTGTATTTCCTTAAAATTATAGCTTTTAGCAAAAGTATTAACTGGATAACCCTGGGAAAACTTCAAGAAAAGAAATTTAAAATTTGGCAGCAGAATTCCGTGGCTTAAAATATGTTAAGAGGTATGGCTCTAATGTGTTTTCCATCAGGGAGGATCAGAGTCTTGGAAGGTTTCTTTTTCAGATAGGTGGAAAAGATACTTCAGCTGTCTGCTGGCACAAGAGTGTCATCTTGTCTTTGTTGTTAGTAGCCTGAGCAAGTATTATAGATATTTGCCAAATTGAAATTGTGCCTTTTTGAAAGTAAAATACTCATTACAGTCTTTATAGTTTTGTGTCTCTGTATATTTTACCATTGATTACAGGTGCAGGCCCTAGCAGGTGCAGGTGGAGTAGACAATCTCCATGTACTGGACTTTCAGAAGTATAAAGCTTTCACTTACACTGTAGCAGCGTCTGGTGGAGGAGGTGTGAATATGGGTTCCCATCAAAAATGGAAGGTTGGCGAAATTGAGTTTGAAGGGCTTATGAGGACTCTGGACAACTTGGTAGGTTGCAAAATTGAAGTAAAACTTGGATTTAATGTCTTCAGATTCAAGAGCAGATGCTTCCATTTTTGTAGAACATGCTCCATACTCTTCCAGAAGCTGAGTTTGGCCCTAGGAAAGCATTTCATTGTTATTTAACCACACCTTTGAGAATTAAACAGAACTTACAAATGTCGTGTTTTTTTTTTAAGATTACAATATATTGTTATTAACTGTAGTCACCATAGTACAATATATCTCTTGAACTTTTTCCTCCTAACTGAAATTTTGTATCCTTTGATCAACATCTCCCCACCCCCACCTCCTTGTAACCACTATTCTACTCTACTTTTATGAGTTCAACTTTTTTTTTTTTCTTGGAGGCAGGATCTTGCTTGGAGTGCCGTGACACAATCAGGGCTCACTTGCAGTCTCAACCTGCTGGGCTCAAACCATTCTTCCACCTCAGCCTCCTGTGTATCTGGGACATAACGTGTGTGCCACCGTGCCTGGCTAATTTATTTTTTTTTTTTTACTTTTTGTAGAGATAGGGTTTCTCCATGTTGCCCAGGCTGGTCTTGAATTCCTGGGCTCAAGCAGTCCTCCCACCTCAGCCTCCCAAAGTGCTGGGATTACTGGCGTGAGCTGCCATGCCCAACAAGTTCAACTTTTTAAGACTCTGTATATAAGTGAGATCATGGGGTATTTGTCTTTCTGTGCCTGGTTTATTTTATTTAATACAATGTCCTCTAGGTTCATCCATGTTGTCACATTTGACAGAATTTCTTTTTTAAAGCTGAATAGTATTCCATTATGTTGTATATACCACATTTATATCCCATCCATCAATGGACACTTAGGATGATTCCATATCTTGGCTATTGTGAATAATGGTGTACCTAACATGAGAGTACAGATACCTCTTTGACATACTGAGTACATTCCCTTTGGATATATATCTGGTAGTGAGACTGTTGGGTGATATGGTAGTTTTATTTTTAATTGTATGAGGAACCTCCATACTGTTTTCCACAATGGCTATACTAATTTACATTGCTACCAACAGTGTGCAAAGGGTCCCTTTCTCCCTACATTCTAACACTTGTTGTCTTTCATCTTTTTTATAATAGCGATTCTAACAGGACATGCCATCTCGTGCTTTAATTTGCATTTTCTTGATTAGTGATGTTTTAATACACTTGTTGACCATTTGTATGTCTTCTTTTGAGAAATGTTTATTCAGATCCTTTGCCTATTTTTTAATTGGGTTCTTCTCTTGTTATTTTTTGAGTCCCCTATATATTTTGGATAGTAACCCCTTAAAAGATGTATGGTTTGGCAAATGTTATTTTAGATTTTACCCTCTTCTGTGAAGGCTCAGAAGGCTGACTGCCTTCAGACCCAGGAACAGAGACTTAAATGAGCACTGAGATTTGCTTCCCCAGAACAGTTTTATAGATAGAAAAGCACTTCTGGTCAGCAACTTAGAACTGTTCGTTTGTCGGGAACAGTTGTGTGAGTGGAAATTGCAATATCAGCTGTTATCAGCTCTAACTAGGTCTTGAAATTTGCATAATTTCAGCTCCAGTGTTACATGAAAGTTATGTGGTGTTTGGAAGGATGCCTTTTTCTTTGTTTTTTAGCAAAGGAGTCTTTTAAATCATTTGTATACAAAAGGAATTAGGATCCAAATGCTGTTATTGATACAGGTTTGATGCTTCAAATGTGGCTTTTCCCTCCCTTAGGGGTATAGAACAGGCTATGCTTACAGGCATCCTCTCATTCGAGAGAAGCCTAGGCACAAGAGTGATGTGGAAATCCCAGCAACTGTGACTGCTTTTTCCTTTGAAGACGATACAGTGCCACTCTCTCCTCTCAAATACATGGCACAGAGGCAACAGCGTGAAAAAACAAGATGGCTGAACTCACCAAATACTTACATGAAAGTGAATGTGCCTGAGGAGTCTCGGAACGGAGAAACCAGTCCCCGAACCAAAATCACGGTATGCCAGTATTTTATGTAGTTTGCCTTTACTAAATATTTTGCCTAGTTACTCAAGAATTGAATGTTCTATATTGAAAATATTTGGAAAGTAAAATAATATTAAAAATATTACTGTCACTTATCTGGCTTTAACTTTGTGCAAGACACTCTTCTAAGTGCCATACACGAATTTTCTCATTTAACTCTCCTAATATGAATGATGCTGTTTTTCTATTTTATAGATGAGAAAACCAAGGCAAGAAGGGTTAATTAATCATGTTTTAATGGTAAACTCGGGATTTGCATGAAGACAGTCTGACTCTTGAGCCCAGTTCTTGTCCACTACATGATACTGCTTTGTAGTTTCTATTAAACTACACCAGTAGTTTAATTCACCAGTGAATTAAAACTGTAAAAGTTATCAACTCCTAATTGTACCAAAGCTGCATGAATCACTGCACATAGCTACCCTTAGGCAAGATCTTGTAGGTAGAGAAATGGGTTATTTTATCTTTTTCAGAATTTTGCATTAGATTTGGTTTGGTTTGGTTTTGGAGTGCATACCACCAAACATTCTCTAGGTCAGTCTTGTCCAGTCCATGGCCCAGGATGGCTTTGGATGCAGCTCAACACAAATTTGTAAACTTTATTAAAACATTATGAGAATTTTTTGTGATTTTGTTAAACTAATCAGCTATCGTTAGTGTTGGTGTATTTTATATGTGGCCCAAGACAGTTCTTCCAATGTGGCCCAGGGAAGTCAAAAGATTGGACACCACAGTTCTAGATATTCAGAATTAGTTCATCTTATATAAACTAATGGCATTCAATATGAAAATACCTAGGCATCAAAATGTCTTTTCTGTAGTCTATAAGATTTCTTGCCTCCCAGTAAAAGAACATAATTAAACTCATTGGTTTCTCAGAATTCATTTTGTTTACAGAGATTGATGGTCAGCCATCATTAATCTTGATCGAGATTCGCTTTCTTTAAGGATTATAATATGGGGTAAATGAGAAGAATTATGTAAGCTCCTTCCAACCCCGTGGTTCTATTTTGCTATTATATACCAGATTATCCCCATTATAAAATGCCGATTAGGGCTTGGCCTTTTCTGTCAGCCAAAAATAAAAAGTGAAGTCTGATAAACTAAAATCTTAAGATATTTCTTAAGTTTTTTTTTTTTTTGATTACTCCTTTGCCATCTTCATCTGACTGCTGTCTTCAGTGCAGAAGACAAAACACTGAATGTGAGTGAATGTGAGATCATGCTCTCTGTGCTTGAAGTAGTTTCAGCATCATATTTTCACTTGACACAAGGAGAAAGTTTAATTAGCAGTATAATTGAATATTTATGTGAATCGTAATGGCATTTATTTTTTAAGTAAATGTTGATTTTGAGCCTTTTCTAACTAGTATGAGATGAAACTAATTCACCACTAAGATACTGCTTAGTGAAATTATTTAAACATTGGCAATGCCCCTCTTGAGACTATAAGCAGTTATCTAACAATCTACTAATATTTTCTTAACACAAAGCTTCATTTTAGAAAATTTTTGATTCTTTAGTGGATGAAAGCAGAAGACTCATCTAAAGTTAGTGGTGGAACACCTATCAAAATTGAAGATCCAAATCAGTTTGTTCCTTTAAACACAAACCCGAATGAGGTACTAGAAAAGAGAAATAAGGTAAGACATGGTCTTCTATAGCCAGGGGAGACATTTTAATTGCTTTATGTTTAAATCACCAGTGGTTGAATCTGGTTAATGCCAAACTTAGAAGTTTGAATACAGAAGAATTTGGAATTTAATTCAGTATAATTTTAGCTTATATTGAATGCCTCCAGCTCTGTGCTAGTAATTGGTGAACAGGCTACATGGGGAAGATGTATTGAACATTTTTCTGCGTTAGAGAACCCTGCTATTAGGGGGAAAATGCAGTTCTCTAACAACCTAAGACGAAAGGAAATAACTTGCCATAAAGAGCAGAGGAGACTAATATGAGTTGTTAGGATGGTAAAAGAGGTCTTTATGGAGGTGGGAATTGAAGAGACTCTCACTCTGGAAATGTCAAGTAGTAAGCTTTTATGAAAAGATAAAGCAAAGGTCATCTGCATAGTTGCCCTCAAGAACTTTATATTGAATTGTTTTTCAATTCAGATTCGGGAACAAAATCGATATGACTTGAAAACAGCAGGACCACAATCTCAGTTGCTTGCTGGAATTGTTGTGGATAAGCCACCTTCTGTAAGTTTATGAAGTAGTATGATCTTTGTTTTTTATTTACCACATTAATTTCATTGATTTTTAAATATGAATATTTATTTTTACTAAGGTTAATATAAGCACAAGTTAAAAAGTCAACTCACAAGATTTAAAATGTCACCCACAATTCCCAGTTTCCAGGTGCAGCAACTTTCTGTTCTTTTCATTGCTTCTAATGTTTACTTTGGTGTTTCTGGTTAGTTAGTTGAGATGAGGTCTCACTCTGTTGCCCAGGATAGTCGTGAACACCTGATCTCAGGTGATCCTCCAGCCTTGACCTCCTGAAGTATTGGGATTACAGGTATAAACCACTGCTCCTCGTCCTCCTTTGATGTTTCTAAAGAGCATCTTCTGCTTTTTCTTGGTCTATCAGTTTTAGACCTTGACTATTTTTCATCAAATCTGTGTTATCCGTTATAAGAAGTACCATTGTTTTATATGTCACTAAAAGAGAAAAAACACTGCCAATTATAATTGTTCCCAATTTCAGAGATGGAAAAAGTTCATCTTAGAATTAATGAAATATTTTTGAAAGATGGGGATTTAGCCTGTTTATACAGTGCTTCCCTTTTTCCCTCTCCCCATTCTCCCAGTAAGGATACATCACAGTTTTTGTTTTTTGTTTTTTGTTTTTTTCTGTTAGATCAGCTTTCGTTATTTATATTACTACATGTTTGCTGCTAAGCCAGGTAGTATTTCCTTTCTTACATAAGTCACCCCTCCCTACTCTCACCTTGCCTTTTTTTCATTGGCTTATTATTTGGGGTACATTGGCTTAGTTCTTCCCGAACTTTTTAAAAGAATTATAAAGTCCCGGCTGGGTGCAGTGGCTCACGCCTGTAATCCCAGCACTTTGGGAGGCCGAGGCGGGCAGATCACGAGGTCAAGAGATCAAGACCATCCTGGCCAACATGGTGAAACCCCATCTCTACTGAAAATACAAAAATTAGCTGTGCGTGGTGGCGTGCACCTGTAGTCCCAGCTACTCAGGAGGCTGAGGCAGGAGAATCACTCGAACCCGGGAGGCAGAGGTTGCAGTGAGCCAAGATCATGCCACTGTACTCCAGCCTGGTGACAGAGCGAGACTCCGTCTCAAAAAATAAGAATAACATAAAATCTGTCCTAATATTATTTTCCACAGGGTGAAAGTCAACAGGTAATCTCTCTGTTCCAGCCCCCCTTCATTCTGATCCAAATCTAAATTGGTTGCTCTCAGGCCAGCTGCACAGGTTCATCTGGAGGATTCCTGTGCTGCTGATCTATATTGTATTCCGTTTCCTGTATCTTGTGTCTTCTGCTTTCTTGATTTCCTCCTTTACTGTAGAACGCACCCTCTAATAGCTTTCCGAGAAAAGGATACATAGGTGGTAACAGTCTGAAATGCCTTTATTCTATCTTCAAATGTGCATATAATGGATATAGAATAGTTTAGAAATAATTTTCCCCTGAAATAAGAAAAGCATCATTCTGTTCCCTATTTTATTGTTGAAGTAGGAAGGCATTGGAATTCCTGAACCTTTGTTTAGGATTTTTTTTTTTTTTTTTTTTTTGCTTTTAGACCCTTTCTGCATCCCTGCTGTTCTGAAATTTTATGATTGTGTGCTGATCTCTTTTTAGTCTTTTTTCTAAGTAATTAGTAACCCTTTTCAATCTCCAGAGTCATATCCTTCAGTTCTGGAAGTTTTTTAAAAGTGTTTCTTCAAGAGTGTTTTCTTCCCATTTCTTTTTCTGTCAGTATATTATGTTAGTTTGGATGTTGGGCCTCTTTGAGCCTCTGATTTTTTTCTTTTCTCTCCTACTTGCCATCTCTTTATCTTTGTATCCTACTTTCTGGGAGAATGTTTTCTAACCCTTTTAATTTTTTATTTTGATGTTAACTTTTTTAATTTATTTTATTTTATTTATTTTTTTTGAGATGGAGTCTCGCACTGTTGCCCAGGCTAGAGTGCAGTGGCGCGATCTTGGCTCACTGCAAGCTCCGCCTTCCTGGGTGCACGCCATTCTCTGCCTCAGCCTCCCAAGTAGCTGGGACTACAGGCGCCTGTCACCGTGCCCGACTAATTTTTTTTGTATTTTTAGTAGAGACAGGGTTTCACCGCGTTAGCCAGGATGGTTTCAATCTCCTGACCTCGTGATCTGCCCGCCTTGGCCTCCCAAAGTGCTGGGATTACAGGCGTGAGCCACCACGCCCAGCCAACTTTTTTATTTTTAATAAGAGTTCTTATTCCCTGAATGTTCCTTTTTAATAACATCCTGATCTTTACACTTTCTCTTATTGCTCTAAGGGTATCAATTTTAAATTTTCTTCATTTGCCTTTGTTGTCTTTGTCTATTCTGAGTTGTTCCGTATGTCTGTTTATATGGAAGAATGAGACATTAAAGCATATCAGAAGCTCTGGGTATACACAGAGCTCGGGGATTGGTGGGCTTCACTGTAGGGTGATTGGATGTGGACCAGGTTGTTTCTCTGGGGAATCCCCAAACATTATTCTCTGTAATTCTTTTATCTGGGACTATTTAGTTTATCTGGAAAAGAACTCCAGTCTCCTGCCAGTTTCCAACCATCATTCTAGGAGCCTGCAACTGTATTTTGTGTCCCCTAGTTAGTTTTTCTTTCTTTCTTTCTTTCTTTTTTTTTTTTTTTTGAGACGGAGTTTTGTTCTTGTTGCCCAGGCTGGAGCGCAATGGCGTGACCTCAGCTCACGGCAACCTCCGCCTCCCGGGTTCAAGCCATTCTCCTGCCTCAGCCTCCTGAGTAGCTGGGATTACAGGCATGCACCACCATGCCCGGCTAATTTTGTATTTTTAGTAGAGGCAGGGTTTCTCCATGTTGGTCAGGCTAGTCTCGAACTCTGGACCTCAGGTGATCTGCTCGCCTTGGCCTTCCAAAGTGCTGGGATTACAGGTGTGAGCCACCGCGCCCAGCCTAGTTTTTCTTTCTCAAGCCTCTGATCTTCTGCAGAGATGAGAGAGAGGGAAATGCTTGGCTCTGTGGAATAGGGAAGGGAACCTGGGAATCTGTTTCCTATTCAGACTTTGAACATGTTCCTCTATTTTCACCTTTTCCTTACCACCACCTTCTATGGTACCTATTGCCTCTAGTTTATGGGCCTTACCAGACCTCTTCAGGGCAAATAAGCATGCTTCTCATTTGCATCCTTTTTTTCAGGACTGAGGCTTCAACTTTCTCAGCTCTGCTACCTGCTGTTCCACTTGCATTCCAGCTTCCAAAAATATGTTAACATTTCTCATCCTTTGTTGTTTCATCTCACATTCTTTTGTCCTTAAGGGTGTTTTGTTTTGTTTTTTTCTATTCCTTTACTATCATTTTAGTGGGGTTTTGGGAGGGATGAAAAATAAATACATGGGTTCCATATGCCAACTGCAACTGAAATTCTCATTATTTCCTTTCCTGGAGAAAACAGCTACAAGCTTATTTTCGTAACAGATTTAAAGAACTACTTTTGGTACAGTTTCATTTCTGTAAGCCTTTTTTACAGTGGTCTTTAAAATGGAGCAATTCTTGTTTTTTTCAAGTTTTTTTTATGTGAAACTTATTAGAACTTGGCATAATGGTTTTTAAAAATTATTAAGATTTACTTATACAGGCTTATTGAGGAAATATCACTGGCAATTTTAGTCCATTGGATTAGTAGTTTAAGGGCATCAATCTTACAAGAGCATTTTAAACAAAGCATGTTACCTTGCATTTCTTAGGATTGTTGTGAAATAAGGCTTCACAAACATCATATTTGCATTTATGTGTATATAGATGGATGGATGGATAGATATATAAGTAAAACTCTTGGTAATGAATCGATTTTTATTTTTTCTTTGTAAGACTATGCAATTTGAAGATGATGATCATGGCCCACCAGCTCCTCCTAACCCATTTAGTCATCTCACAGAAGGAGAACTTGAAGAGTATAAGAGGACAATCGAACGTAAACAACAAGGCCTAGAAGGTTAGTTAATCTTTACATTCAACCTAGGGTAAGCCACACTGATAACAATAAAGTACCTCACGTTGGATGATAGAAAGCAGTCAGTGTGGCCGGGCACAATGGCTCACACCTGTAATCCCAGCACTTTGGGAGACCAAGGCAGGTGGATTGCTTGAGGTCAGGAGTTTGAGACCAGCCTGGCCAACATGGTGAAACCCCGTCTCTATTAAAAATTAAAAAATTAGCCGGGCATGGTGGTACACGCCTGTAGTCCTAGCTACTCTGGTGGCTGAGGCAGGAGAATCGCTTGAACCTGGGAGGCAGAGGTTGCAGTGAGCTGAGATCGCACCACTGCACTGCAGCCTGGGCGACAGAGAGAGACTCCGTCTCAAAAAAAAAAAAACAGAAAAAGAAAAAAAACAATCTGAATGCTACTATTTTATAGTAAAATCTTCTAGAAAGTGAGATTCCCAGATGAGTAAAGAATTACTAGCCAAAGTAGATGTAGATAAATTAATGGATTTAAACATTTCATAATTATGTGGCTTTTTAACTCTCTTAATTTTAAATAATTACAGATTCATAAGTATGTAGTTTTGATGCTTTGTAAAATCTCTATTTCTGGTTATCTCAAGGTGCCAACATTGTCACTTCAAAATTTAAAACTAACTGCTAAAATTTTGATGTGACTTTCCTTAAGCACACGGACACTCTAGTAGGTTGAGTTTTCTGGCTTTGGAACCCTTAGTAAGTAGATTGTTAGGATTATATTTAAGACTTGTTAATGAAAACATCTTAAACAATTGACTACTAGCTCCCTTTTTCTCTGGAATAAGAGATTCTTCCTAGCAGGAGTTCTCTATCTTGAGTCTTTGGATAAGCTTCAGGCAGTCCATGAGCCACCTGAAAAATACATGCTTTATTGTTTAAGGTACACATTTAGGGAGGGAAGGGTTCAGGGTCAGGAACAAGCCTGTCACCCAAAAAGAGGGTAAGGAGCCTCTGCTTTAGAGCATCCACAACATACAGTTGAAATTTTCATGCAAAGCAAAATAAGCCAATAGTTAATGAATTTTTGTCCATGTTAGATATCATTTAGGAAGAACTAATGACATCTTGATCATCCAAGGAACAGTTTTTTGTGCCTTTGTCACAAAAGGGAGTTGTCCTGATTCATTAATGTAATTATACTAAATTTTCTAAATGGTGTTATTGAATTTGTTTATTCTAACATAAAGTTGGGAGCTTTCTCTGTTTTTCATATTTTGTAAAATATCCCTCTTTAATCTCTTGTTTTTTGAAAGCCTAAAGATGCCAGGTAACAAATGTTGCACTCTAGAACCGTCACCTTTTTTATATAACTTTATAGTAGTTTCTTCCACATTTATTATGACCTTATGAATTAGCTCAGTAACATTGCTCTGACAGGTATCACTAATTAAATATTGTTCAAAAATTCTGTGAAGCATTCTGCCTCATTAATGTAGCATCATTGGTGAGGCTTTATAATTTTTTTCATCTGTCTGCGCAGTATGTTTTGGTTTTCTAATGCTAGCAAGAGCTACATGCAACATATCATTTGCCTGGGCTGCCAGCAGCTGTGCATCTTTTGTAACCTGTACGTAAAATAACCATTAGCAGCCAGAAATGTTAACACATTAACCTCCTCTTAATGTATAATTATGGATATATGGGATAACTGTTAGCATGCTCAGCTCACTGCTGAAGAATTTATCATCTCTTTGTATACAGGCATTTGATGTATGCACTAACCTCCCTAAAATCATATGCTGCTTTGTTTTGTTTTGCATGGCTTTTAACTAAACTCTTATCCAACAGATGCTGAGCAGGAATTACTCTCAGATGACGCTTCATCTGTTTCACAAATTCAGTCTCAAACTCAGTCACCGCAAAATGTCCCTGAAAAATTAGAAGGTACTCAATGTAATTTCCCACATAGCATTCACTGAGTTAGTCTTGAGTCTGTCCCTCTGTGTTTTGTTTTCACGTGAGGAAGTTGAATACCTCATCACAGTAAGTTTTCCATATTTTACTTATATCTCCCAATAATTACATATTTTATATCATTAAAAATGGGGCGCTACTTTTGTTCAGCATTTATATTGATTTACCTTAATCTGAATTTTGGCAACCCGCAGTTCTTAAGAATTTGTGGAATTGGCTGGGCGCGGTGGCTCACACCTGTAATCCCAGCACTTTGGGAGGCTGAGGCAGGTGGATCACGAGGTCAGGAGATCAAGACCATCCTGGCTAACACGGTGAAACCCTGTCTCTACTAAAAATACAAAAAATTAGCTGGGTGTGGTGGCGGGCGCCTGTAGTCCCAGCTACTCGGGAGGCTGAGGCAGGAGAATGGCATGAACACGGGAGGTGGAGCTGGCAGTGAGCCAAGACTGCCACTGCACTCCGGCCTGGGCGACAGAGTGAGACTCCGCCTCAAAAAAAAAAAAAAAAAAAAAAGAATTTGTGGAATTAAACATCTCCCAATCAGCAGCATGAAATCTTTTTCAGTATTGATTGCCAAATGATCCCAAAACTAGAGAAAAATATGTTGTCTTCCTCATTTATACTTAATTGATTTACAATGAAACTGTTATTTCATCAAACTGGGATTATCTAGCTTTTGCTCTTTGGTTTAACAACTTTGTTCCTTTCCCCTTTATATCATTAAAGAAAATTAGCTTCTTGCTAATAGATCACAGTTTATTAAAATAATGATCTGTCTTCATTGGAATCAAAGTAATGCCTTATTACATTGCTAAAACATTTCAGTTTTGTAAAGTAGAGCAAAAATGTTAAGTATGTAAAATAACCCCCAAAAAACCCTCCCCTTTCGTAGAAAACCATGAGCTGTTTTCCAAGAGCTTCATCTCCATGGAAGTGCCTGTCATGGTAGTAAATGGCAAGGATGATATGCATGATGTTGAAGATGAGCTTGCTAAGCGAGTGAGTAGGTTAAGCACAAGTACAACCATAGAAAACATCGAGATTACTATTAAGTCTCCAGAGAAAATCGAAGAAGTCCTGTCACCTGAAGGCTCCCCTTCAAAATCGCCATCCAAGAAAAAGAAGAAATTCCGCACTCCTTCTTTTCTGAAAAAGAACAAAAAAAAGGAGAAAGTTGAGGCCTAAATAAAGTCTTTTTATAATTATTATTATAACAATGTGACATTGCACATCTAAATACCACATTTAAGTTGATCATTAATATGCAATGGTAGATCAGATTGGGGGATGTAGCAAACTGGACTTTAAGAACTGGAAAGAGGTTTTACAAAAGAAAAACTTTCAGATTCATCTCTCATTTTATATGTCCAGAAATGGCTTTGAATTTTAAGCAATTACTAGTTTTAATTAGCTCTGCCCTCATGAAGTATTATTATAATTCACCATAAACAGCTATCTGTCTGAATTACTTCAGGCCTTCTCCATAATATCTGTTAGAAAGAAATTGCCAGTGAGCAAGTGAGAATTTTTATTTCTCAATACCTGCTTCACTTGATAATCATATTATAATTTTTTATCATGATTATTGACTATATTTTTGGAGTCCCATTGTTTCAGTGGGCATTAACAGAATGCTTTAAAAACTTCTAAGACAAGAATCTATAGCATTAGTATACACTGGCACATAATTTTTTAAAAAGTTTTAAGAAAAGATTCATTTGGAATTTTATTCACAGTATAAAATTTCCTCACCTGAAGTAACTTTGTTTGCCAAAAAAGTTGTTTTAATAAACTATAATTTTTGAAAACTTCCTTTTTTATTAGTTTAGAAAGCCCCTTATTTTTCAACAAAGGGGATTTTGTACACATAACATGGGTTATTTAGTTTAACTCTGGCAAAAAAAAAAAAAAAAATTTTGTATGTTGATGTTTGTATACCGTTCAGTATAAAAGTGTCCTAAGCATATTAGCCAATCTTTTCACAGTAGAGCATACTTAAGGCTGCTTGGTACTGAGTATACTTAAATATAACTCCAGAATCCAGGGACTTGGTGTTAAAACAGGATTAGAGCATGTAAAGGTACATCTAGATTCATATTTGAATCTTAAACTGTATTTTTCTCTTAGTATTGCTAATGAGTAAAGAAAAGTCTCATAAGGTAGCCAAATGAAAAAGAATGAAAGGGAAAGTGAAAAATTAAGGGGACAAAAGATGGGATGTGAAAAGAAGAATTCTAGTTTGATGGTGACTCATATTCACGATAGGATACAAAGTGTGATTTGTTGGAAACATGTCCCAAATTTCTAAAATTCTGCTTCTCTGCCAAAAGCAATGTCTTTCTTGGTTGATATTTGAGTTTTAAAAGGGTCAAATCTTTCTAATTTTTTGTATCTTTAGAGGGCAGCACTAGAAGAAATCAGCAGGTCTAATCCCACCAGTAAGAAAACTACCACTTCTTGATTTTTACAGATTTAAAAAAATCTTTTCAGTGACCTTTCTTTTTAATGTAAATACAAATTTAAACCTAGGCTTAATATAGGCGTTTCCCCTTTCACCCAAGTGATGTCACAGTTCGATGCAAAATCAATGATCCAGAATGATCGTGGGTAAAAATAACTCAAAGTGTTTCTTAAGGGTGAGTTGGCATGCAAAAAATTACATTGATTACAGTGTGTTTTGGAGCTGGCTCTGTTTGTGTGCATATGATAATGCAGAGTTGAGCCAGAGCCTGGAAATGTCATTCTAGATCTCACTAACTACTGGAATCAGTGTTTTAATCTCTTGGTGGAAACTTTCAGTTGCTTAACTCTCTATTGGAAGATTTTTTTAATGTTCTACATCATTTATGTTGTATTACAATGTATGTAGAAATAGTAACCTGTGAACTATGCTTTTCCATAACTTTTTAAAAATATATATATCTAAATGAATGCAATGTGCATAAATATTTTTTAAACATAACAGTGAACTATTGCACCTTTTGCTAATGCCTCTATTTACTTGCTTTGGCATAAAGAATGAGCCAATGAACCTCTGTGTCCTGTGGAAAAATGTATAAATGTTATCTGATATTGCTCTTAGATGTAATGCTAATTAATGTTAAATCACAAATAAACAGTATTTTAAATATACGGACTTGTATCATGAGGTTTCCATTCACAGGTGGTTACTTAGCCTATTCATGGTCTGTTGAGTTTTATACTTCAGTGAAACTTGGTAAGTTATTGATGCTTCTGAATAAAGAATGTCCTGATAAATATATTTTCAAATTAGTTGAAAATTATATATATATACAAAACCTGTCTTTTTTCAGCTTATGTTAGAGGAGATATTCCCTGAGAGACCTGTTTTGTCTCTTGATAATGGGTATGGCAGCCTCTATCAATGTAGAATAGATGTTGCAGGATATGTACCTCTCTGATTTTTAATGTATTTGTTGTACAAATAACAATGTAATAGAAAAACAGCAGAAAGAGTAGAAAGTAGTTCACAATTTTATCACATTCACTTTTTTTTTTTTTTTTTTGAAACGGAGTCTCACTCTTGCCCAGTCTGGAGTGCAGTGGCACAAACTTGGTTCACTGCAACCTCCGCCTCCCACGTTCAAGTGATTCTCATGCGTCAGCCTGTTGAGTAACTGGGATTACAGGCATGCGGCACCATGCCCAACTAATTTTTGTATTTTTAGTAGAGACAGAGTTTTGCCATGTTGGTCAGGCTGGTCCTGAACTCCTGACTTCAAACAGTCCACCCACCTCGGCCTCCCAAAGTGCTGGGATTACAGGTGTAAGCCACTGTGCCCAGCCTTTTTTCCTTTTTGACATGGTCGCCCAGGCTGGAGTGCAGTGGTGTGATCATAGCTCAATGCAGCCTCAAACTCCTGGGCTCAAGTGATCTTCCTTCCTTAGCCTCCCAAGTAGCTTGGACTACAGGCATGCACCACCACACCCAGCTATTTTGTTTCTTTGTTTTTTGTTGAGACAGGATCTCACCGTGTTATCCTGGATTCAAGTGATGCTCTTGCCTCAGCCTTTCAAATCATAAGGATTATAGACGTGAGCCACCATGTCTGGTCCATATTCACATTTAAAAAAATTATATTCCCTTCCAGCTATTATCTAGTTATATATATTTATATATATATCATTTATATGTAGGTGTTTTTTATATATTATGGTGTGAATGTAATTTTTCAGGGTTTTTTTTCCTACTTAGATAACACATCTAGATTTTCAAACTAAATCTGTCATATGAATAACTTCTTGTGATTATTTTTCTACTTTGCCCTAAAAATACAGTACAAGAGGAGGATAACATGTTAATTGAGGGCTCTGGTTAATTGAAGTTTTTACTATAATTACCCATTATAAAAATGAAGGGTTTGGTCAGAGAAAAATAGTCATAGTCTTGGGCATATTTAATTATTACCTTGGCTTGTAAATCACCCTGTGGTAAAAAATTGCTATTTTAGAAAGATGCTCATTTCAAAATTCCCTTTCATAAAGCAACAAAGGCGATTATCTTCAGTTCTCACTTGAGAGTCAATATAGTAGAAAAGTTCGCATGTGCCTTTTCTTCATTGATTAGTATTTTCATTCAGGGAATAAAAACCAAACTGATAAAATTTGTGACAGCACTGGCTTCTCTTAACATCAGGCCCCTTTTTCCCCCCCACATAGGCAGAAAATACAGACTGGTTATTTCTTTTCAAACTCAAGGTTGATACATACACATATCCAAGTTGCAATCTTGGCCAAACTGGGATTTTGATAAAAACAGTCTTGTTTGTGGCCACTAGAGGGAGTAATAGATCTAACAATCCAATGTTTCCATTCCTTGCACTGAACTTCCCTATTTAGTCTGTAGGCACCATGTTTGTTGTGAAATACCCAGAACTTGAAAGAGAAGGCATTTCCTTTGTTGTTTATTCTCCTCAGTAGATCGTTCTCGACTTTGTTTCCTTAGCAGGTCTCATTACAGATATCACCCACAGTGGAGAACACATAGAAAGTTGTGGTGTGCTCTCAGAGGCTGTGATAGGATATGACACCTCAGAGTTTTCATACCTGTGAGTGACAAGACAATGCCTTCTTCAATAATTGACTTTTTTTTTTCTTTTTTACTAAGGAGCTAACCGATAATATTTTTTGTTGATGCCTTCTGTGTACCAAACGTTAGGCTAAATGCTTTTCATATATGACTTCATTTGGCCTTCCCAGTATCCCAACAAAGTAGATGATATTATTCCCATTTTGTAGATAATGAAACTAAGGCTTGTAGAAGATGAAAAGTAGGTGGTAGGATTCCACCCATAGAGATTCAGACTTCTATAATTACTCATGCCATCTGTGTGCCAGACCCTGTGTGGCTGCAGTACATTTCCATGGTTTTTAGGAAGAGGCAGTTATCTTAGTTTGGACTGTAAGTCAAGCCACGGTGAACTTGTATTTTGATATAAGTAGATTTGGGATCAAACATTGACTTTTGATTTGGAAGACTTTTTTCCCTAACAAATCACCTCAAGAATGAAGAAATTGGTGGATACCTGAGAAGCAGGAATGACCTGTGGTGATAGCAACCTTTAGGATAAAGAACCAGCTCCTAAATCTTACACCATGACACCTGGAAGACAAGTTATCATACTTTTGCTTAAGATGCAGCAGAGACTTGAGAAGAAGCCCTTTTTCTTTTTCTTTTCTTCTTGATTTCCATTATTGGAAACAGAAGAAACATTCTAAGGAAAATGTTTTTAAAACCAGAAAAGGTAGCTTAATCTAGTTACAGAAGTCATTTTAAAGATCAGAAATACACTGTATCTACAATTTTATTTAAATGAGTGTAATTGAAGATGGTCTGTCTTGGAGAAAAACAATGTAGAAGCCTTTTGGGGAAACTTGATAGAAAAAAACCCTGAATTTGCATACTCTTACTTTCAAAGGGGTTTCATTTCTAAGAGCTGACCATTAGGGGGCAATAGTGGATCTAAATTTAGTTTTAGTTCATTGAGGGAACTCCTTCGAAGTATTTTTGGGCTTGATTTAGAACTCTATTTTGATTATGCATTGCTAGGTGCAGTCTAAGGTTGAGGAAAGTTTATAGATACCAGATTATTTTATTTGTTCCTTATAGCCTGGTTATCTTGTTCTGACTTTGTAAGAATTATCCTTCTGAGAGCTGGTGCTTACCTAATGTCATACACTTCATGGGGGCGCTAAGCCCGGATTCAAGAAAAGGTCTTCAAGTCTTCATTTCATGCTTGTCATACCACAGTTTTCCTTGGAAACCCATCAGGGCATAACCTACGAATGGATAAAATAGATAATAGATACATTTTCTAAAGTTTACTGCAAATTGTGATGTTTAGAACTTTATTACGGGAACAGTTTAGAGAAACACATTGCAAGACCAAGCCTAATTATTATTTATCCATAGTTGTTTCCTAAAGTTTCAAGTTTTTAGATGCTCCATGAGTCTTTACAGTATTGTCTCAAGTTGCTGATTTCTTTACTGTTGGAACCTCTAATATTTTAAATGCCATTTACACTTCAAGTGACAAACGGGCACATTTTGATATTCTGTACCAAAAAAAAAAAAAAAAAAAGCTTTTTTTATCTAGCAGAAAAATAGATGGATATATATCCAGTCCACAATTCCTTTTTATTTAACAAAAAGTTTAGTATGAAAATATACATGATCCAATTTTTACGTCATAGTAAAATAGGCCCTTCGGGGAGAGGTCATGGATTTCTCTGCAAAACAGCCTTGATTTATACTCATCCCAAGGCTTCTAACATGATACAATTTCCTCATATCACCATGAGGAATATCATTCTGTTACCCACTAGTTGCAATCTCCACACATCCATCAATCAAAAGATTCATAAAGGGATCAAATCCCTGCAATATTCCTTAGACATGTCTGTCACCAGTTAAATCCAGCAATAATTCTTGTCTATTCATTTTTCCAACTCAGGAAAGAGATCCTTGCTCATGGTGTTGACTCCATGGACTCAGAGCTGCCATGACACAATTTTCACCCTCCTTCACGCTCCCGAAGTAGGCCTGGCCCACAATTATTTTTAAGGCCTATATAATTTCTGGTTGGGTAAGTCTTTATACTGAAGCTGTGGTGAAGGGGGTTTTTGTTGTTCTTGTTGTTTTGAGATGGAGTCTCACTCTGTGCCCAAGCTGGAATGCAGTGGTGCGATCTTGGCTCACTACAACCTCCGCCTCCTGGGTTCAAGCGATTCTCCTGCCTCAGCCTCCCAAGTAGCTGGGATTACAGGTGCCCACCACCACACCTGGCTAATTTTTGTATTTTTAGTAGAAATAGAGTTTCACCATGTTGTCCAGGCTGGTCTTGAACTCCTGACCTCAGGTGATCCACCCGCTTCAGTCTCCCAAAGTGCTGGGATTACAGGCGTGAGCCACCATGCCCGTCCCGTGAAAGTTACTAAGTTGCCTTTTTGTTTCTAGATTTTATTTTTACACAAACGGTTTTGTCATTCTCCAGAGTCGGTCCTGACCTTGCTTCTGATGGTAAGAAAACCTCTCCAGTGCTATATGACTGCTGTCACGAGGCAAAATACTCGTTCCTTGCTGAACAACATGCTTTAATAGCATTGGTTTTATTCATCTAATTTGAACGTGTATTGAAGAATATTAGATTTCTAAGAAACTCTAGGATTTTTTAAAAAGTGTTTATGAAATGGCAGAATCAATATGTAGTACAAACTTGCAGCACCAGATGAAAGGACTTATAGGCAAGATTTTCCTCATTGTCTATATTAGACTCGCACTCAAAAAGCTGGTAAATATGTCAGCCCTATAGAAAGACCATTGCAGAGTGTTAATTGGACTTCTTAGACCAAACAGTGTCCCTTCAGATTGATATTTAGACTTGAAATTTTTGAGAAAAACTTGGATTTCCCAAAGCAATATAACATATCCTAGCAGATAGGGATGGAAATTAGGAAGTAGTACAGTTATAAAATGCAGGCTTTATTATTATTTTTTTCTTTGAGACAGTCTCACTCTGTCGCGCCCAGGCTGGAGTGCAGTGGCATGATCTCGGCTCACTGCAACCTCCGCTTCCCAGGTTCAAGCAATTCTCCCGCCTGTCTCCCAAGTAGCTGGGATTACAGTTGCCCACCACCACGCCCAGTTAATTTTTTGTATTTTTAGTAGAGACAAGTTTTCACCGTATTGGCCAGGCTGGTCTGGAACTCCTGGCAGTTGATCCACCTGCTTTGGCCTCCCAAAGTGCTGGAATTACAGGCATGAGCCACTGCACCCAGCAAAATGCAGGCCTTAAGAGGCAGACTCAGCCGGGCCCAAGTAATCCCAGCACATTGGGAGGCCGAGGCGGGCGGATCACGAAGTCAGGGAATTGAGACCATCCTGGCCAGCATGGTGAAACCCCCTCTCTACTAAAGATACAAAAATTAGCTGGGCATGGTGGTGCACGCCTGTAGTCCCAGCTACTCGGGAGGCTGAGGCAGGAGAATCGCTTGAACCTGGGAGGCAGAGGTTGCAGTGAGCCGAGACTGTGCCACTGCACTCCAGCCTGGCAACAGAGCGAGACTCCATCTCAAAAAAAGGGCAGGCTCTTTTGGATTTCCCTCTGGTACTCCTGACTTATCTTTTCTGGGTTTATAAAACAAATATAGTGACAGTCCCCAGCCTGGACCTGGAGCTACAGTTCTGCTAGACTCTTCTCAATGGTTTTCTGGCTGTGTTCTGTCCTTCCTTGAAGACCATTTTCTTTCATAGACAGTCAAGATCTAAACTAATTGTTTTTTTTTTTTTTTCCAAAAGCAATAGCTTCTGAAGATTTTCACTAAGCAGGAGCTAGGGAGGAAGTAGTTGTTGCGTGCTATAACTCACCCCTTTCCTGTTGAGTAATGCTGTAGAGGTTGGATTCAGTGGCAACTGGCTTGCTAGACTTTGACTTCAGAGTAGATGAGCTCCTAGTTTTATGAGAGAACATGTAGATACAGCCAGCTTGTTGGCATGCACAGGCAGTCTCTTCCAAAGGTGTTTGCTGGACTAAGGAGTTAAAGTTCAACATTTCTTCCTACCTGATTTCTGTTTTGGAAATGTTGGCTTCAATTGTTTCAACTGAAATAAAGGTCATTTGAGGCTATTAGGATAACCAAGACTGTATCCCAAATATTATCTACTGGTCCACATCGCGGGGAGGGGTAAGACTCACTGCACCCGGATGTTTGGGTATCTTAAGCCTTTTAAATTATTTAATTTAAAATATCCTGTGTGGTAATTGAGATGTTTTGTTTTTAAATTATTTTTAAAATAGTGTTTTACTTTAGAACATATTTTCAAAATATGAAATTTTTTGATATGTAGGTATGGTCGTGTGTCTCCATTTTGACCTTTAAGTTAATATTGAGCAAGGGTATATGCACATGTACTTGCCAAAGCCAAGCTGAGCATGGGTCAATTAACTGCAGAGGAACAGGGCAGGCTGGGTGGGGCAAGCTCAGGAATTCTACCCACTCACTGAGCAAAGTCAGGCACTGGGGGAACAGCTTGAGCTGGAGAGCTAGTAGGAAGCCCAGCCCAGCCAGTGAAACATGGAGCCTCGAGAACATAGCCATCGGCCAAAAGCGTAGTCTGGTAAATGGTCTGCATCAGGGAAGTGGGAGTCCCAGTCAGGATTCTGGAGTAAGAAAGCAGGATGGCAGAAGCCCAGTAGCATGTGTAGGAGTGCCAGCCACAGGCTTAGCTCTAAGAGCAGCGCTTCCTCTACTTCCTGTGGGGTAATGGCAAGATCATGGCAGGACCTCAGGCTTAAGGGGCCTGGGTATAGTTAGCAGTTCCTCAAGACAGGAACTCGGATAGAAGGAAAATGACAGATGGGAATCCTGTTATCAGAACTGAGGTACACAATACTGCTCAGAATTCCAGAAGCCAGGCAGTGCTCAGAGCCAAGACAAGGTCAGGACTGGCCTGGGGACAGGCTTGGCTTGGTGCCCAGTGAGTCCCAGAGCCAGGAGCTAGAGCTACCTCAGTTCCGCTGGCCTCATTAGGACTAGTCCTGGACACCACAGCCAGGTAAGTCGGTCAAGTGGCCCTAGTCGTTGTGGGAGAGGCACACTGCAGAGACAGGGAAGGGCCCTGACATGGCTTTCACAATGGAAGCAACCCTGTGTGATAACAAGACAGCCACGTAAGAGTGGCTGCAGGAATGAGTTAATATTTCACACCAGAACCTACCTGAGGACTAGCAAAGATGAATAAGCAAAGGCCAAGTGCTACTGAAACACTCGCTGTGAAGATGGCCCCATGTTTCCTGTGAACTAATTTTCCAATCGGGAGGCAGTTTCACTATAGAAAAATTTAGCTCCAGTGATGTCTCTGCCCTTCCCCGCCCCCAACCCCGCCACCCTCTTACCAGGAGTCACTATAAGATGCACCTCAAGAACACTAATTGAATAGAAGAGAATCGAAGACAGTGGTCTGTGTTTCCTCCTCCTATAAAAAATGAGGCTATGATTTTATGCTGGCAAAACACCTTCGATTCCACATGGCGTCCTCCATAACCCTCTGGTTGTGGCAATAGCCGTTTGCCACTGAGTCAGAGGCCTCTCTGATTTGTCTTGCCACATCCACCCAAATAATGACCTCTCAGTTCACTCCTCCAACCTGCTTCCGGAGAGAATGGCTTCCTTAGGACCGTACCTGTAGCAGCTCCAATCTGTCATCATCTGGGGGACTCAGGAGCCAGCTGCATGAGTCATCCAGTCCTCTACTCCCACAGTTGTCCATAGAACACCTAGCCCTGCCACCTGGCAAGCCAGCCTTCTTTCCCACCCCATCTTCCCCAACCTGGGTACCCAGCAGAAGACATATACCCTCCCAGTGACCGCCTTAGCTCTCCAAGCACCCTTCTCCACCTGGGCACACTGATAGAGGATGTTTCCTTTCATCAAAATGACTTCTTCCTTTACCAAACTCCAGTAGCACTTCAGGATCATACTTAGCCTGTCTTGTAAGCATTATTGATTATGCATCTGTCTCCCCTACAAGATCATAAGCTCTGGGAAAGCAGGGACTGTATATACCTTGTTCATCCTTTTGTCCTTCACCATGCATGGCCAAAAATAGATTCTTCCTTTCTGTTGCTCACAAGGGACAACACTGTTCATGTTGGTGACATGTTAATAACATGTACATAGCAGAAAGATGTTCTCATATATCTTAAATAGTGAAAGTCAGGAAGTGGCTTAGGGTGAAAATCCTCCTTGGAGCCATTAGTCTGATCTATAAAGCTAATAATAATAATAGCTACAGTTTATCAAGTGCCTACCATGTAGGCTTTGTACTACATGTTTTAATTACATTATCTCATTTAATCCTCAATCATGCACTATATGGTTATCCACCAAAGGGGGAAACAGGTTTAGAGAGAGGCTAAGGAATTTTTCTCATTTCACCACTTAGTAAGTGGATTCAGACTCTTAAGTCTGTTTCTAACTGTTATGCCAGGTTATTCACTGAGTGCAGCCTTCTTGCCAGCTGGTAGGAAAATCAGGTATTAGAGCTTGCAGCAACATCACAGAAGCCTTCCCCAACTTGTCTCTCTCATGGCTAAAGTGGCTTCTAGGTGAGAAAGAGTTCGCATCCCCACTGGCATTTGCTAATCTAGGGTGCAGAGGGCCTTCCAGAGCACCACAGTGTCACTTCAGTTAGGTAGCCAAGGATAACTTTGGGAATGTGAAAAGGATAAAAGACTGGGTGCTGGTCTTAGCAAACCCTACTACAAGCATGCTGATAAAATGAATAGTGATAGCACACTTTCACTATTCTGATCAGCAGTGTGGTTTTCTAATTCATGTATTGTCCATTGGGTCTTCACTAATTGTTTATTTTACTGAGGGCTGCTGCCATCGATAGAGGTTGTTGGCACATTTTAACCCTGAGTAAAATGTAATAGCTAGAATTTACTGAGCACCAGGTACTTTAAGTTGATGCATTAATTTAATACAACAAACCTCTGAGGTAGATTGTTATCATCTCCATTTTACAGAGAAGAAAACTAAAGCTTAGAGAAGTTGCCCAAGATCACACTGTTAGTGTCAAAGCTGGGGTTCAAACCTAAGCAATCAAACTTGAGAGTTTATACTTCCACTTCCCTGATTCCCAAAAATACTTGCCATCTTATTCATCATCTTAGTTTACTGTGGATCTCTGGGGACAGCTGGCGTCAGTTAAATAAAACATTACATTATACTGGGCTTGTGTTTTCTTTCCCACTCAATTTGATGATAGAATAGCTATGACACATGATATGCTGCATGTTATCTCATTAAGCAATTACACCAATAATACCCTGAAATTTCCACATTTGAAATTGTTGTAGCACTTTTTTTCTTTGTCCAATAGTAAGGCATTATTGCTCTAGAGTCATAGAGACCTGAGTTTGATTCCTACCTCTTCACTTTTCTATTAAATGGGTATAATAATTATGCTAAACTCTTAGGGTTGTAATAAGAATTAAGCAAGATTATAATATACAAAAAAAACTTAGCACGGACTCTAGTATCAGGAAGCCCTCAACTGATGTTGGTATTGTTTGTATTATCACTTTTCTCTATCTCGATCTGCTAGAAGAGAATGCATATTAGGAGACAGATTAAACAATGGCTGGCTTATCTCTCACAGTTACCCACTTGAAATTTGTCATTCCTATTCTTTACGGAATTCTTTGCTGAATTGTGACCAGTTTTCTACTCTTTGAAAAAGGACAGAAGATGAGTAATGGACAGATAAGTTATGTAATTTACTCTTTTCCAGTAAGAAACCCCATTGTTGGGAAGTATGATTTGTGCCTTGAGAAGGTGATGGATTAAAAGATGATGATGACTCCCCCCAGACAAAGATGGTCTAGAGCAGCAGCTTCAAGATCAATGGGAATACCTAGACTGCAAGCAGCTTCCTGGAGAATTCTAGAGGAATATGACAGACAAGTCACTGTGGTTCTAAGATGTGTTCAGTGGAAGCAGCCGCCTTTCAGGCTGTTGTTGAAAGGAATTTTTTAGCTCTCTTTGCCCCTTGAAAGCTGAGGAGGCACAGGGGGCTGGTCATCTGCAGGCTGTGTGGCCCTGGCTATTTCATCTTGGAAATCTAGGAAAGCCTGTGTGAACAAGCTTAATGCTTCACAATTTCGGTTTTCTTGGTGTCTTGCAGATACCAAGTTTTCTATCTTGGGGATGCTCTGGTAACAGAGGTTAGACCAAGCTGTTCTCAGCAATCTGGAGCAGACACAGAAAAGGCAGGTTCATGTTGGTCCTGTGCTGGCAGAACATTAAGAAAAATAACTGTGCTTCTTAAGAAAACCCTGCATATGGCCGGGCGCGGTAGCTCACGCCTGTAATCCCAGCACTTTGGGAGGTTGAGGCGGGCAGATCACCTGAGGTCGGGAGTTCAAGACCAGCTTGACCAACATGGAGAAACCCCATCTCTACTAAAAATACAAAATTAGCCAGGCATGGTGGCACATGCCTGTAATCCCAGCTACTCGGGAGGCTGAGGCAGGAGAATCGCTTGAACCCAGGGGGCGGAAGTTGTGGTGAGCTGAGATCGCACCATTGCACTCCAGCCTGGGCAACAAGAGGGAAACTCCGTCTCAAAAAAAAAAAAAGAAAAGAAAAGAAAACCCTGCTTATACTCACAATATAATGGTTGAGGAGGGGGGAAAGTATGTATAGTAAATGGGGAAAAAAGCCAGATTGTAAAATTATTTCTACACTTTGGTGCCAATTTTACTTTGAAAATTAAACGCAGTACACATTCATATTTATAAGGGGAAGACAGCATGGATTTAACTCGAACAGCATGGATTTAACAGTGATTTCCTGGAGGAATTACAAGTGCCTTTTATTGTCTTAACTCTTATATGTGTGTGTATATGTATATATTAACTCATGTATGTATATGAGTGTGTGAGTGTATATATATATATATATATATATATATAATTTTTTAAGAGACAGGAACTCCCTGTCACCCAGGCTAGGGTGCAGTGGCACAATCATAGCTCACTGCAGCTTCGAACTCCTGGGCTCAAGCAGTCCTCCCACCTCAGCCTCCTGAGTAGCTAGGACTACAGACAAATGCCACCTTGCCCGGCTAATTTTTTAGTGTTTTTGGTAGAGACAGGATCTGGCTATGTTTCCCAGGCTTGTCTCAAACTCCTTGCCTCAAGTGATCCTCCTGCCTCAGCCTCACAAAGTGCTGGGATTATAGGCATGAGCCACAACACCAACTTTTTTATATATCTCAGTGTTGAACAATGAAACAGTAGAAACTCAGAAAATCAAAAATTGTGATAATTAGGGGAAGATATTACTTGGAGTCATGTCAATATGGAGTAATAAAAAGCTCGCAGTGCAGAACAATGCCTATGGTATGCTGCCATTAGTATAATGAAGGGGAAAACAATTTATATGACTTGCTTGTATGTGTATAAAATATCCCTGGAAGTCTAAGCCAGAAATCACACAGGGTTGGTCACGGGAAAGGAAACTGGCCTGTGGGGGATGGGTGGAATGGAGGCTTTCTTTCCACTATCAACCCTTTTATGCCTTTTAAAAAATCTAGTACCTATGAGCTGGGAGTGGTGGCTCACGCCTGTAATCCCAGCACTTTGGGAGGCTGAGGTGGGCGGATCACCTGAGCTCAGGAGTTCGAGACCAGCCTGGCTGTCATGGTAAAACCCCATCTCTATTAAAAATACAAAAATTAGTTGGGCATGGTAGTGGGCACCTGTAATCCCAGCTATTCGGGCAGCTGAGGCAGGAGAATCGCTTGAACCGGGGAGGAGGAGGTTGCAGTGAGCTGAGATCGCGCCACTGCACTCCAGCCTGGGCAGCAGAGTGAGAGTCTGTCTCAAAAGAAATAACAAACAAACAAAAACTAGTACCTATGTTAAAAGTTATATCTTTTGAATATGTATGTGTGTATTAATATATTTTTTCTATTTTTATGATGCCAGGAGTTCCTGAAAACTGTCAGAAGGTGCACGGTTATACGTGAACTGTGCACTACTGTATTTACCATTTCAAACACGCAGAGTCTGATCTACAGTAGGTGGAGTGTCTGCTCGGCACCACCCACCAGACGGTGTGATGCTGCGTACCTAAAGGTCCACATGTCAAATGCACATCCTCATTCAGAGTCACCACCACCGCCACAAAAAGTTTTAATGTGACCCATCAAGTTTCCATTTTTGCCCTGGCTTGCAAGGAGCCTAGAGCTATGTTTTGTCTTTAGCCAGGTTTTCTAATACAGCCAGGCTCCTCCCTATACCTACCACATTTATTATTTCTCTGTCTTCTTTTAAATCCTGTTCTAATAGCTTTTCATTTAGTTAGAGCTATGACTTTACCTATATGCAGTTTCAAAACCGTTTTGGAAGGCAACAGGATACATGCTAGTTATCTATTGCTATGTAACAAATCAAAACGTAGAAATTTAAAATAACAATACACATTTAATATATCTCACAGTCTTGGGGGGTCAGAAATTCAGGAACATTCTGGCTTGGAGTCTTTCAAGAGGTTGCAGTTGAGACATCAGCCAGAGCCACAGCCATTTGCAAGCTTGACTGGGGCTGGAGGGTCTTCTTCCCGGATGGTTGGCAAGTTGGTGCCAGCTGTTGGCGGGACCTTAGATGCTCCCCGTATGGGCCTCTCTGCAGGCAGCTTGAGTGCCCTCGTGACAGGCAGCCCCTGCGGCAGACAATCCAAGGGAGAACAAAGCAGAAACCACAGTGACACACACTTGCACTTCAGCCACATTCTAATCATTAGAAGCGAGTCACTAAGTTCAGCCAAATCGAAGGGGAGGGACACTAGTTTCCACCTTTTGAAGAAAAGAGTGTCAAAAAATCGGTGAACATGTTTTAAAACCACCATGGGTTATAATAATCAATTATTCAATATCAGATTAGTCAAGTGGGAAAATGATGGAAAGGTGCTTTCAGAAGGAGGGAACAATGACTGAGTACCTTGTGTGTCCTAGGCTCTGTACTTCACATACATTATTGTGTTTAATTTTTTTTTTTTTTGACAGGGTCTCACTCTGTCCTCCAGGCTGGAGTGCAGCAGTGCAATCTCGACTCACTGCAACTTCTGCCTCCTGGGTTCAAGCAATTCTCATGTCTCAGCCTCCTGAGTAACTGGGACTACAGGCATGTGCCACCACTCCCGGCTGATTTTTGTATTTTTAGTAGAGTCAGGGTTTCACCATGTTGGCCAGGCTGGTCTCGAACTCCTGACCTCAAGTGATCTACCCACCTTGGCTTCCCACAGTGCTGGAATTAAACGGTGAGCCACCATGCCTGGCCTGGGTTTAATTTCATGAAAACTTTTTCTCAGTTTTACAGATGAGGAAAGTGAGACTAAGTGGAGATACGGCTTGTCCGAGGTCACATCACTAGTGTCAGAGTATGTCAGGTACATAGCCTGAAGCCACAGCTGTGCCATCACCTACCTCAGTGGAAAATGGAAAGCATTCCCAAGTATGTGCTACCTTGACTTATCTAAGCCATGTCCATTTTGCCACCAGGGAGAATTGTGATCAATACCCCCAGCTGAGTGAATTCTAAAAGAGCTGTTTAATTTGCCTCTAAATGCTCTGGATCTTAACTCCCCTTCAAAGCACCTCTCCTGCTTTCTGCCATTGCCAGTATTTGCCCAGCCCAGGCAGCGCCATGCCTGTCCTCACCCCTGACTTTGAGAGTCAGCCCACTCCTCTTCCCACTACAGCTGGCTGCGGTCTGGAGGCCAGTGGGGTCAATGAAGCAGGGTGGCACGGAGTGCAGGGGTGAGAGGGCAAAGCCCTCTGTCTAAAGGGGACTGAGCCAAGCCCAGCAGGGCGGAGATAGGATGGCCCATCTCTGCCAGTTCCATGCTGGACTGCAGAGGCCTGATAAGGCCAGGGAACCACCCACCCAACTATGTCTCCTCTTCCAAATAGAGGAGACTCCCCACACTGCTCTCCCCGCCATCGGTGGCTACATGGATGCTTTCCTCCAAGGGTGGCTGGCTGCCTTTCTCCACTGGGAGATGGAACGTGATCCGGGGCATGACCAGCTCTTTGGGGTGACAGGTCAAGTGGCTGAGGTCTGTGCTGGGAGTTCCCGCCTCTCCTACTCCCCTCCCTTCTCAGCATCGGCCAGTCCTGTCCTTCCAAAAAACAAACTTTCTGTTGGATTCTCTACTCAACACTGTCCCTTCTCCTGGGAGCTCATACCTGGAGAACTGCCGGAATTCTGCTCCACTGGTAGTCTCATCTCCTAAGGCACATTTTCTTGGCAGAAACCGTTCCTTGGGTTGGAAGTTTGAGGAGCCAGTGTTACTGTTGGAACCAGAGCTGGAGTAAGAAGCAGGTCAACAGCTGTTAGCCAGCGCTCCAGACTGTAAGGGACTTAAAATCCATTCTGATAAAGGTGGAAGGGATGAAAAACATCAGCTTCCTGGAATTCCTCGTAGGAACTCTACTGTCTGTGGTTGAAAGAATACTATAGCTGGGCGCAGTGGCTCATGCCTATTATTCCAGCACTTTGGAAGGCCAAAGGGGGTGGATCACTTGAGGCCAGGACTTCCACCAGCCTGCTCAACATAGCGAGACCTCGTCTCTATTAAAAAAATTTTTTTTTCTAAAAAAGAAGACTCTGATCAAACACTCTGAGGTGGAGGAAGGCATTGAGACCTCTAGCATCCATTGGTTGCCAAAGATGACAATCTGGTTAACAGCAGGGCCTTTCTCTCTGGGTGTGGTTGTGTGTTAGAAGCCCATTGCCACTCCCACCCCACCCTACTTGGCCCTCCACCCCTCTCTCTGTGCTCAACCCCTCTCTAGAAAAAGAAGTAAGAGATATTGAGAGGGTATCAGCAGGCCAGGACACCAAGTTGTTACCTCAAATAGAAGGACCAGGTCTCAGCCCACCCTGGCTGGAGCAGCGCACCTGTGGGGCAGGCCGCCCTCCGAGTAGGGGCTTTATGGGATGGATCAGAGCCACCACTGACTGGGATAAAGGGAGACTCTAGGGGGACCAAGCCTATAAACTAGCTGCCCTGCCAGCTGTCCGCCTTCCCCTCAGACCTGCATGCTGGCTTTAGAGCCAGTAATTCTACTGGAATTTTTCCTGTCCTCTTAGATGGGGTTTATCCCTCACTTGAAAGAACCCGGGACATTTGACATTGATGAACAAAGCAGGGGAGTCCACCTCCTGCCTGGAGGGCAGCTGGGAGTCAGAGCCAGTCCGTGTTGTGTGCAGATGAAAAAACTCCTGCCTGGTGTGATGCATGGGCCTTGGGAGAGGTCAGCCTAGGGGGAGAAAGTACAAAAGTGATCGATTCCACCAGCACGTGTGGGGACCCTCAAGTCTAAGGCAGGGCTCTGGAGGCTTTACCTGGACTATCACCCTCCCAGGACACCCCCACGGGGTAGGCACCATTACCACCTACCCTGCCTTAGGAGGGAGGAACTGCAGGCACGGGGAGGCTAAACATCTTGCTCAAACTGGTGGCTAGTAAGTGGGGTTCAGGACTCAAAGGCTGGTGTCTCTGACTGCTGAGCCCTTTGAGCCACTGTGTCTCTCCTGAGAAAAGTTGCCTTTCAGAGCTTGCGACCCCCAATCTGTGGCTCTTCTGTGCCTCTGTTGTGCTCCACCCGCTCCCTGGGGATGGTCAGAGCCTGGGCCCTCTCCCCCGGGAAGCTGTTAGGACAGCTCCTGTGATCCCTGCAGCAAAACTATTTGTTTTCCAGAACAAATAGGAGCCTGAAATCAGAGTGCCTGTGTCCCTCAAGAAGGCGGATTCCCCACCTGGTGGGGAGGCGCTGGGCTGTGATGGAGGCTGAGGAGGAAGAAGAACCATGGAGCCAGAAGTTTTGCCAAGGACCAGCCGAGTGTTTTCCCTGAGCTCAGTGTTCTCAGCTCTAGCGTAGGGATGAGCCCCTCCTCTTCCTGGAGCTGAGGCTGGGATGAAGGGAGTGTGGGTCGGTGCCTGGTGCTGGAGGGGTCCACGGCAGGCATCCAGATGCTGTCACTGGAGGGCACGAGAGGCCCCTCCTGGGACACACCCTCTGTCCCCAGTCCCCCTGCACCACCTCTCACCCTGTCTCCTTCCTCTTCCACTTTCATTCTTTCTTTCCCTCTTCCTTCTACATGGATGGAGGCCTCAGAGTGGCCAGAGGGATGTGCTGAGCCTGGCCCTCCCATGGGGAGGAGCCAGTAGACACACCTGCCCGTGGCCTGGAACACTTCCAGCTGGAAAGGCGAACCGAGCCAGGCCCTGAGTCAGTCAGGCAGCCTCACCCCACGCCTCTGGCCCCTGCCCACCCCTCACTCATAGGCACCTGCTTGCTGCCGTCCCTCCTCACCCCGACCTCTGCCCACTCCAGCTGTGGCCTGGGAGGGGTCTGCAGTGAGGGAGAAAATGTTGACCACAGAGATCATGCCACGGCCACTTTTCACTGGAGGGGAAACTGCAGACTGCCTTCCTCCTCCTGCCCTCTCCCCTAACCCAGAGGGAAAGAGGCGTGGGGAGGGGGCTGAGGGATTACCACGCTTGGCTGGCTGGCTTTCCATGTGCAGAGTATTGAGGCCGCCTAATTGACAGATAGTAAACACGGATAAAGACTTTGGGAGAGAGAAGCAGGGGGTCGTTGGGACAAGGCAGGCTGAGGCATTGGGAGGGTGGGGGGCTGAGAGTCTTGGGAGAAGACCAGATGGCTCCCTGCCATGTCCCCATCTGGGCCTCTGCTAACTTTAAGCCAAGTGAACAGGGCCTGGTGGACAAAGGCCAGCGTGCACATGAAGGGGGCCATTAGAGGTGTGGCCTGGGGGAGAGGAGAACCCAGGGGTCCCCCCTTCTGTGTGAGGCCTGGCAGCTTGAGAGTCTGGGCCTGGCGTCCCCTCCCCCAGGCACCAGGGGAGGAATCCAAGCTCCCAACTTGTTCAGAGGGATCTCGCACCATCTCCACACCACCTCTCAGCTCGCCTGTGAGGGCGGCCCTGGGACAGCTCCACGCAGTGTGAATGTTAAGTTTTCCTGCAAGGAGCTGGGGTCTGTAACAGCCCTACTGGTGGCAGAGCTCAGGGAGAGGCTCAAGGCTGCTTGGGAGAGCCTGGTTGTGGCCACCAGCCCTGGGAACACCCTCCACTCCCTTCCAGCGTGGCCCCAAACCCAGAGGATCCAGGCTTCCAGCACGGGATGGGGTTCTGAATGGGGAAGGAGGAAGGAAGCTGCCTGCTCTCTGCCTGGGCCCCTGTACTACCCTCACCCCAGCATGGTCACTCCATTCAACCTACTTCTGTTTCCAAGGCGTCTTACTGTGCCCAGCACCCTGAGGAAGAGAGAGGATCAGAGACATCCCAACCTCCTGTTGGACAAATTCTCTTACTTCCACATTTCTGCCTTGGCTCCTTAGAGAACTCTTCCAAGGCCTCAGCTGGATCCCCTGAGCTCTGACCTGCCAATCACACCAAGGCTGCTCGCCACGAAAAAGAACTGACTTTGCCTCCTCTCCCTCCCTGTCCAAATCCATCCCAGGCTTTCCTGTGCAGCTAAGTCCTTCCCAGAGAGACATCAAGATGAAAGAAAGCAGACAGACCTGGATTCAAACTTCATCTCTACTCTTTATGACTTTGGGCAAGTTGCTTACTCTCTTTGAGTCTCGGTTTCTTGATCTGTAACTGGGAAAGCAGGTGCATCCTTGCCGAGGTGTTGTGAGGATTTAATAAGGTGCGACTTGGAGAGCACCCTGCCCTCCCTCCCTGGCAGGTGTACAGAGAGCTTGTCAGACCATAACTCAAAGGCCACGTGGCCACCATTGCCCATTGACACTACCTCCGAAACCTCTCTCCCGTTCAGCTCCTCTTTCTATCCCCATTGTCACAGCCCTAGTCTAAGCCCCTGGTTTCCCACCTGAATTCATTTAAACAACGAATTCATTGACCCTCTTACTGGTCTTCCCAGTACCCCCTGTCTCAACCCTCAGTCCAGCCTCCCGCTGCTGGAGAACGAGCTCTTTAAAATGCAAATCATGGTCTGTCACTCACCGCCTAGTTGCCTATGACTTGTGAGAGATGAGATCCAACTTCCTTTGCAGGGAGAGAGTTCATTGGTGCCCTGGCCTTATCTGCCTCCTGGCTTGGTTGCTACCCTCCCACCAGTCGCCTCATCTGCCACTTGCATTCACAATACTAGGCCATTGCACATGTTCTTTTCTCCGCTTGACAGGTCCTTACCCTGCTCAACTGAGAGCCAACTTCTCATCCTCCAGGGAGGAAGGAGACACGCTATGTGGCAGGCACTGTGCTAAGCATTTTATTTGCATTATTTCATGAGACAGATACTATTATCCCCACTTAGTGGGTGATAAAACCAAGTCTCAAGTGGTTAAACAGAATTCAATCCTAGATCAATTATGACCCTAAATCCATGTTTTCCTGTTACATCTATTTCCCAGCTCAAATGCCTCCTCCTTCATGAAACCTTCCCCCACTACGAGTGTGGAGGCCGGATCTGGCTTGGTGTTTTAGGGGACAGAGTACATAAATGAATTTCAGAGATGCAAAAAGTTTCTGTTTAGGGGAAGTGCATGATCAGTCCAACAAAGAGATTCAGCATTTCCTGTATTCAAGGAACATGTCTGGGTGCTGCACAGAATGAAACATTAATTGGTGGGCAATAACGTGTTGGCAAAGACATGGAGAAATCAGAGTCTTCATACATTGCTAATGGGAATGTAAAATGGTACAACCATATTTGAAAAACAGTTTGGCAGTTCCTCAAAAAGTTAAACATAGAGTTACCAATTCTACTACTCAGTATATACCCAAGAGAAATGAAAACATATGTCCACGTAAAAATTTTCACACAAATGTTCATAGCAGCATTATTCATAATAGCCAAAATCTGGAAACAACTCAAATGTCCATCAACTGATGAATGAATAAACAAAACATGGCATATGCATTCAAGGAATATTATTTAGCCATGTAAAGGGATGAAGTACTGATACATGCTACAACATGGTGAACCGTGAAAACACTGTGCTAAGTGAAAGAAGACACCTATTGTAACATTTCATTTGTATGTGAATGTCTTGAGATGTCAAGAATAGTAAAAATCAGCCAGGTGCCATGGCTCATGCCTGTTATCCCAGCAGTTTGGGAGGCTGAGGCAGGTGGATCACTTGAGGTCAGGAGTTCGAGATGAGACAAGCCTGGCCAACAGGGTGAAACCCTGTCTCTACTAAATATACAAAAAAATTAGTTGGACGTGGTGGCAGGTGCCCGTAATCCCAGCTACTTGGGAGGCTGAGGCAGAATTGCTGGAACCCAGGAGGCAGAGGTTGCAGTGAGCTGAGATCGCACCACTACACCTCCCGCCTGGGAGACAGAGCAAGACTCCGTCTCAAAAGAAAAAAAAATAGTAAAAATCCATAAACACATAAAGAAGATTAACGGTTCCCCTGGTGTCAGGGTGTGGGGTAAATGCAGTGACAGAAATGGCTGTGGGGTTTCTTTTGGGTGTGATGAAAATGTTCTAAAATCAGATAATGGTAATGGTTTCAGAACTCTGTAGATACAGTAAAAACCACTGAATTGTACACCCTAAAATGGTGAATTTTATGGTATGCGAATTATATCCCAACAAAGCTGTTTTTAAAAAATTGGGCCAGGAATTAAAGACCAGCCTGGGCAACATAGTGAGACTTCCTTTCTACAAAATTAAAAAAAAAAATTGGCCAGGCATGGTGGTATATGGCTGTAGCCCCAGTTACTTGGGAGGCTGAGGTGGGAGAATCGCTTGAGCCCAAGGGGTCAAGGCTGTAGTGAGCCATGTTTGCACCACTGCACTCCAGCCTCGGTGACAGAGTGAGATCCTGTCTCAAAAAAATGACTATAACCTAAATGTCCAACAATAGGGGCTTATTGAGAAAACTGTGATACAACTGGTAGACAACTCTGCAGTGATTTTCAATGATGCAAAATGTTGGTATGAAAATGTTTTAAGGTTATCGAGTAGTTAAAAAAGGAGTAATAGAACAATGAGAACACATGGACACAGGAAGGGGAACATCACACTCTGGGGACTGTTGTGGGGTGGGGGGAGGGGGGAGGGATAGCATTAGGAGATATACCTAACGCTAAAGGACGAGTTAATGGGTGCAGCACACCAGCATGGCACATGTATACATATGTAACTAACCTGCACATTGTGCACATGTACCCTAAAACTTAAAGTATAATAATAATAAAAAGACAAAAATAAATAAATGAAAAAATTATAGCAAATCTTTACTTTTTTAAAAAAAAAAAAAGGAGTAATAGACTCAAAATAGAGTATTGGATTCCATTCTGTTAGGTGTGTGTGCGTGCGTGTGTGTGTGTGTGTGTGTGTGTGTGTGTCTGCATAAGAAAATGGAAAGATCACCAAAATGTTACAGGTCCCAGCTGGGCATCAGGGATACATTTTATCCTCTCTGCAGGGGAGGTGGTGGGGAAGCCATCTGAATTTTCTAATATTTCCACATAGTAAACATCTATTAGTTGTGAAATTTCTAAAAAGAGTGATTAAGAGATCATCCTTGCCCCTCCAAGGGTTCACAATCTAGCAAGGAAGATGAATACAAAAATTGCAGAGGGAGGCCAAGAGACCGGGAGAGAGTGGAGTTCAGTTTTACTGAAGGGCACCAGGGAGCTCTCCTGGGAGGGATGGAGTCTGAAATTATGGCTGAGGCTGGCCGTGGTGCCTCACACCTGTAATCCCAGGACTTTGGGAGGTCGAGGCGGGCAGATCACCCGAGCCCAGGAGTTCAAGACCAGTCTGGGCAATATGGCGAAACCCCGTCTCTACCAAAGAAATACAAAAATTAGCCAGGTGTGGTGGCACACGCCTGTAGTCCCAGCTGCTAGGGAGGCTGAGGTAGGAGGATCACTTGAACCTGGGAGGTCAAGGCTGCATCAAGCTATGATCACACCACTGCACTTTAGCCTGGGTGACAGAGAGAGACTCTGTCTCAAAAAAAAAAAAAAAAAAAAAAAAGTATGGCTGGAAGAAGCATTTGGGGGCACCACCAGAAAACTGAGCCTACAACCCTCAATTTCCAAGAGACAAATGGGAAGGGGCAAATGGCATTTCTCATCAACTGCTTCCAGAGATTTTGTGTCCTGTGTGGCCCAGTCCTCACCTCATGTGATTGAATAATTCTGGATAGAGATTGTGCCTTCCGTACCCCTACAACCATTGGTGGGAGATCGAGTACATTTATCAAAAACCTATGACCAGGCAGTCATCAAACTCGCCTGGCAGCATTTGAATGGGGTCTGGACCAGAGTCCCCTGGGGCAGCCACTGGGTGGAGGGTGCAAGTGTGGATTCAGAGAGGCAGGACACGGACCCTCAGTCCCCTGCGGCTTCCCACGTCCACCCCTTTTTCTTTCTGGTTAAATCCTGTTTCAGCTCAAACTGGGGAGATGCCTAGTGGGGTGTGAGCAGAAGTCAGAGACTGTGAAATAAAACAAGAAAGATCAACAGGAAGCAGGCAGCTAAATCATGAGGAGAACGACGTCGAGAGGGCGTGGGCTGGGTTTGGTCTTATTTTTAGTGGTCATGGTGGTGACAGTGGTGGGGAATTGAGGCCAGAAGCAGGAAGCTGGGTTTCCCAGCCTCAGCTTTTGATGGTTTCCGGGTCCCCGTGGGCCAGTGAAGAAGCAGCCCACCCCTGTGATAAACCAGTTTGTTAAGTTGCCTTTGTCTTTGAGAGATTTTTATACGTTTTTTGTGAAACCGCTGCTGCTGCGAGGGGCCCCTCAAATCACGAATAAAGCAGAGGCTATTAACCAGGGTGTGAACACTGCCCTGCGCATGCTCTGTGAGTGAGCCCCACACACGCACAGGGTGGGCACTCACAACACGGGGAAGGGAGCTTTTGACAGGATCCAAAGGGCCCCACAATTTATCCCAAATTAAGAATCACTAATAAGGCCGGGTGCGGTGGCTCACGCCTGTAATCCCAGCACTTTGGGAGGCTGAGGTGGAGAATCACTTGAGCCAGGAGTTTGAGACCAGCCTGGGCAACATAGCAAGAACCCCATCTCTATAAAAAACACAAAAAATTAGCTAGTCATGTTGGTGCACGCCTGTAGTCCCAGCTACTTGGGAGGCTGAGGTGGGAGAATCGTCTGTGCCTCAGAGGTCAAGGCTGTAGTGAGCCAAGATCGTGCCACTGCACTCCAGCCTGGGTGCTTCCTGGTTAATAGATTCCGTGTCTGGTAGTGATCCATTTCCTGGCTAATAGATGGCCATCTTTTCGCTCTGTCCTCACATGGTGGAAGGGGCAAGGACTCTCTCTCTGGCCTCTTTTATAAGGGTCGTAATCCCACCATGAGGCTTATGCCCTAATGACCCACATCACCTCCCAAAGGCCTCACCTCCTAATACTATCACATTGGGGATTAGGCTTCAACACAAAAATTGGGGGCAGGAGCACACACATTTAAACCACATCAGGTTGTCAAAAATAAAGTTTGAATCTCAGCACTGCGACTGATTTGCTGTGGGATTTTAGGCAAGTGACTTAATGTCTCTGAGCCTTAGTTTCCTCATCTGAAAGTGCATCTAAATGAGATATGGCACCTGAAAGCATCTAAGGGATATTTGCTGTATCTGAGTCTCTCTGGAGAGGGTGGGTGGAAAGGCATTCTGGGGCAAGCAAGGCCAGCGTGCAAATTAGCACCCTGACTGGCAGAAGGCATAGGGGACAGAAGAAGCTCGTGATGCAGCAGGAGTTGGGTCAGCTGGGGGCTTGCCAATTGTCCAAAGGCCCTGCCACAAAGAACCACTTCTTTTTCCTCTGTTTGAGCCCCCTCCCCTCCTCCTCCCTAATACTTCCGCCGTAACCTGTCTGCACACCCCACCAGGCATCTTGTTTTTACCTGGTTGGCCTTTCCAGCTACTGCGTATTTCATTTTGTGTCCTGACTCCTCCAGAATCCTGGGAGTGCCTCAAGGCTAGTGAAATGGCCAGGAAGGAAAAACAGCAGAGAGGAGTCAAACAGACCATGCTGCAAGCCTAACGCGACTGAGTCGTGAGACCTTGGGCAGCTTAATTCCTCTGAGACTGAGTTTTTTCATCTGCAAAGAAGGAATCATTAACAGTACCTTTCTCATAGGGTGGTGTTTTAAAGATTAAAGGAGGTATTGCATGTAGAGACATAGATGGAAGGAAGTAAGCTCTCAGCGAGTCTTACTTGTTAGTTTTCTTCTTACCCCCACCATGTGGAATGCAGCACTGAGCAGGGCCTCAGCTTCCCAAACTCAGCCAGGTGTCATTGCAGTCCTTCCCACAGACTTGTTTTTCTGGCAGACACTTACATGACTGGCTTATTGCAAATACATGCACTATACTCCAAAATGCCCTTTTAGATGACTGATCCCAAACCCGGTGGCATGTCAGAATCATCTGGGTAAGCTTTCTTAAAAAAAAAAAAATACGGATTCCCAGATACCACCTTACCTACCAAATCAATCTCTGGAAATGGGGCCTGGGAATCTGTACTTTTAAAATGCCCCTCAGGTGGCTCAGATCCAGCCAGCAGATCACCATTTTAAAGGAAAACAGCCTTCTCTTCTTCTAAAGCTTCTTGTTGGCAAGTTTTGAGCCATCTTGTTCCATTATTCAGAACACCCCACAACGGACAATGACAAGATGTGTTTATTTTTTCATTCATTGAACACATGTTCATTAAGTGCCTCTGGTCTAGAATAACAGCTAAAAGTTTAAGCTCTGGGTCGGTTCATACCCACTGGGATGGCTATAAACAAAAAGACAATAACAAGTGTTGACAAGGGTGTGGAGAAACTGGAGCCCCCATACACTGCTGGTGGGAAGGTAACATGGTGCAGCCACTTTGGAAAACAGTCTAGCAGTTCCTTTAAAAAACATACGTTCTAGGTTCCTCTATCATCCCGCAGTTCCACTCCCAGCTGTATACCCAAGAGAGACGAAAACGTATGTCCATCCAAAAACTTGCTCATGCTTGGTCATAGCAGCATTATTCATAATACTGAAAACGTGAAAACAACCCAGTTCATCAGTTGACAAAGAGATAAAGTTGATCTGTCCATACAATGGACTATTTTTTTGGAAATGGAAGTGCTGATAGATGCTACAACAGGGAGGAACCTTGCAATCATTATGCTAAATGAAACAAGCCAGCCACAAAGGACCACATATCATATAATCCTATTTATATGAAATGCCCAGAATAGGCGAATCTATACAGACGGAAGTAGATAGGACTGAGAAGTTGGGGGAAATGGGGAGTAACTGCTAACGGGTATGGGCTCTCTTTCTGGGATGATGAAATGTTCTAAGATTGTTTGTGGTGATGGTTGCAGGACTCTGTTAATGCACTAAAAACTGTCTGATTGTATACTTTAAATGGGTGAATTGTATGGTATGTGAATTAGATCTCCATAAATTTATTAAAAGTAGAAAGTTCAGGCTCTGAAGTCTGACTTCCCAGGTTGGAATCCTAGCCCTGCTATTTCACTAGTTGGGCAATTTTATGCAAGTAATATAGCCTCTCCATGCCTTAGCTTCCTCATTGTAAGATTAATTTAGTTAATATGTGAAAAAGTTTAGAAGAGTCCCTAGCCCATGGGAAGTGTTCAGTAAACATTAGCTCTTCTTGTTTTGAGCCAGCCATGTTCTAGATCTGTGCTGTCCAATACAGTAGAGAATAGCACTTAAAATGTAGCTACTCCCCACCGCCACCCCCCTCCAAAAATGTAGCTACTCTGAATTAAGATATGCTAAAAGGACCAGGCACAGTGGCTCACGCCTATAATCCCAGCACTTTGAGAGGCTGAGGCGGGTGGATCAATTGAGGTCAGGAGTTTGAGATATGCTGAAAGTATAAAACACACATCAGATTTCAAAGGCTTAGTATGCAAAGTAAAAATCTCGTTAATATTTTATAATAATTACATGCTGAAATATTTTTGATATATTGGGTTAAATAAAATTTATTTGTAAAATTAATTTTACCATTTACTCTTATGTTTTAAAATTGTGGCTACTAGAAAACTTAAAATTGCATAGTTAACAACTAACATCATAATTAATGGTAAAAGACTGAAAGCTTTCCCCTAAGATCATGAACAAGACAAGGGTGTCTCCTCTTCTTGTCAGTTCTATTCAACATTGTGCTGGAGGGGCTAGCCAGGGAAATTAGGCAAGAAAGTGAAATAAAAGGCCAGTTTGGAAAAGAAGAAGTAAAACTATCTCTGTTGACAAATAATCTTTTATATAGAAAATACTAAGATATCTACCCCCAAGCACCAGGCTATTAGAGCTAATAAACAAGTTCAGTAATATTTCAAAATATAAGATCTGCATATAAAAATTAATTCTATATCCATATGCTAGCAATTAAAGTTTCAAAAATAGAATTTAGAAAACTATTTCACATCTAGTAGTATCAAAAGGAATAAAGTACCTAAGCATAAATTTAACAGAAGTACAAGATGTGTACATTCAAAACTGTAAAATATTGTTGAAGGAAATTGAAGAAGACCTAAATAAATGGAACAACAACACATAGTTGTGAATTGGAAGGCTTAATATTGCTAAGATGGCAATATTCCCAAAATTGATATAACAGATTCAATGCAATCCTATCAAAATTCCAACTGACTTCTTTGTAGAAGTTGATAAGCTGATCAAATGAATGTGGAATGCTTGTAAAATGCATGTGAAAGCGCAAGGAACCCAGAATAGCCAAAACAATTTTGAATAGAAAAATAGAAGATTCATACTTCTCAATTTTAAAACGTACTACAAAGCTACAGTAATTAAGACAGTGTGGTACTTGTCTAAAGATATAGACATAGAGATCAATGGAATAGAAATGAGGGACCAGAAATAACTCTCACAGTTGTGGTCAATTGATTTTCTTTTTTTTTTTTCCCTTAAAAACAGTGTCTCACTATGTTGTCCAGGCTGGTCTCAATCTCCCGGGCTCAAGCGATCCTCCCACCTCGGCCTCCCAAAGTGCTGGGATTTATAGGCGTGAACCACCATGCCCAACTGTCAATCAGTTATCAACCAGGATGCCAGGACCATTCAATGGTGAAAATAAGAGTCTTTTCAACAAATGGTGCTGGTGCAAATGGAGATTGACATGCAAAGACAGGTCAGGACTACACTTCGTGTTTCCTGTGTCCGGTGTCAATGTGTGAAGCTGCCTTGGATTAAACATCCAACGAGAAAGGAAAAACCCTCGTCTCCTCTTCCTGGGATCCCAGCCGCCAGAGCAGGGGCACCAGGCAGTACTCAGCACCACCTAAAGAAGTGCCTGTGCTTTGACCCGGCAATTCCACTTCTAGAACTTTACCCTACATACACACGCACACATGTGCACCACGACTTAAGTACGTGGTTATCTGCCGCAGCACTGTTCATAACAAAAAACTCTGGAGGTAATCTGTGTTCATCAGTGGGGGCCTAATTATGCTGCATCCATAAAGGACCATAATTTATATAGCAGTAAAAAAGAATGAGAAAGCTCTGTGTGTACTAATAAGGAATGATCTCTAAGATCCATCATTAAGTTAAAAAATAAGGTGCAGAGGCCAGGCTCAGTGGCTCACACCTGTCATCCCAGCATTTTGGGAGGCTGAGATGGGTGGATCATGAGGTCAGGAGTTCAAGACCTGCCTGGCCAATATGGTGAAACCCCGTCTCTACTTAAAAATACAAAAATTAGCTGGGTGTGGTGGTGCGCGCCTGTAGTCCAGCTGCTCAGGAGGCTGAGGCAGGAAAATCTCCAAACCCGGGAGGCGGAGGTTGCAGTGAGCGGAGATTGCACCACTGCACTCCAGCCTGGGCGACAGAACGAGACCCTGTCTCAAAAAAATAAATAAATAAATAAAAATAAGGTGCAGACAGTGTTCAAAGTATGTTAATTTGTTTATCGTGTGCGCTCATGTGTGTGTGTGTGTGTGTGTGTGTGTGTGTGTGTGTAGGGAAAAGGAGTGTTTGCATAGATACTAGATACTAGTACATTTGGTTGACTCCAGGGAGAAACTGGGTGATTTGGCAAGGGATAGGAGAGAAATGTTTATCGTACATCCCCATGTCTCTTTTGTATCCAGAGAAATAAATGCATATTCAAAAAAAATTAATAAAAGAAACCAGCAGAGTTGTTTCACAAACTTGAATACATGTTCTTCAGCCAAGTTTGACCTGAGCTACAACAGGAACTGGAAGTCACGGGTGGCTATTTTTCCTGCAGAATTACTGTGTGAGTTACTTTACCTCTGTTCAGAAGCGGAAGTGTGGGGATGATCAGTTCCCATTCCTTTCTTGCCCCCAGGGAGGTTGAGGAACTAAAGATTCTTCAGGCTGAGCTTTGAACTCCTGGGATACTCGGCACCCTGGAGGTGATGCAGAGGGCAGCTGTTGGTGCCCACACCCTTCTGCTGTTCTTGCATGCAGCTCAGTGGGGAGGCGTTTCCTCGTGCCATCAGGAAAGTGGCCCCTTAGGATCAATGGCACTGCCCAAGGGCTCCCCCATGTGATGGTGAGGGAGGAAGCCTGGCTCTGGCCCGGCTCTGGCCAACTCTGGCCCCAAGTTGATGTGGGAGATCAGACAGGTAAGTGAACTGTCTGTTCCAACAGTCCTCCCACAGAGCATCCCTCTTCCTAACCTCACAGGGACACCGGTGGGTGAGGATTCGCAAAGGAGAATGTGAAGCAATCAGGCTCTGACTGGTTTCTGGGGAACACCAAACTTCCCATGAGGAAGTAAGTGGCTTACTCCCCAAACTGACTCTCTGGTCAAAAAAAAAAAAAAAGAAAAGTCTGGGAAAGGCAGGATTAACAGAGTTAACCAGGTACCTTCACTGCAGACCTTCTCGGAGCCTTAAATATGCTAAAAGCACTGGGACATGTCAGATGTGGCTATCCCGTGTATCCTTTCCCAAACTTGTTTGACCGCAGAAGCACTTTGGAGCAAAACACCTATTAAACTCTCCTGGAATAAAGGCAACCCATGGAGCACAGTTTGAGAAGTGCTTATTAGGTGAAAGTAGGGTAAACACAAAACACCATTCAAAGGCACAATGGTAGAGATAATGACTGCAATATAAATTCCTGTCATTCTAACCTCCTATTCAGTTTCCCTGGCTCACAGTGCTAGGTGTTTTTAAAACTACAGACTATAAACCATTTGTGGGTAATGAAATCAATGTAGTAGGTTACAACTAGCTTTAAAACAAATGAATTTGGATGGAACAGAAAATAACAGAGGGTATTGCATTTAACATGGGTAAGCTTTGCTTTGTGAAGCACACATGCACACATGTATGCACTGGTTTGTGATAAAAAATGTATTTCTTACTGTGGATTATAGTCAAAACATTCAAAAAGACATTGCTCTAGAGCTCCTCTTTCAGTATTAGGGTAATTACCACGTGAGGGCTTCCCTACTTTCCCAACTGAACCTGTCTGACTGTCTGCTGAGGGCTCTGGGGACGGGGCCCCTCCCTGGCTGTGTGATTGCAGGACAGATTTTAGGATTAGCAGTGTCACCTCACTGGACCCAGAGAATGACAGAGGCCCCCTTTGTTATCCAATGTGCCCCAGAAATGCACATTCTTTCATTCTTTTTTCAAATGCTGCTCAGCCTTCCCGACCAGAAGCAACTTTCCACCTGGGAAAAACAGGATTGTTTTTGGGGCTCAAGCTTCTAGGTTCGACTTAGACATCCAGAATGCAACTCCCATGCCTTCCATTCTGAAAACTCATTTTGACTTTGACTCTTGGACATTTCTCTTTAGCTGCTGTGTTTTTCTTTCTTAAAACATTGTGCCTGGGCATAAGTCATTTCCTTGCCCTGATTCTCATTCTCTGTGATGGGTGAGTATTGTTTAAAACTTCAGGGAGTGGCTGAGCACGTGGCTCACTTCTGTAATCCCAGTACTTTAGGAGGCTGAGGTGGGAGGATCACTTGAGCCCAGGAGTTTGAGACCAGCCTGGGCAACAGGATGAGACCCATCTCTACAAAAAAAATTTAAAAATTAGGCCGGGCGCGGTGGCTCACGCCTGTAATCCCAGCACTTTGGGAGGCCGAGGTGGGTAGGTCACGAGGTCAGGAGATCAAGACCCTTCCTGGCTAACACAGTGAAACTCCGTCTCTACTAAAAAATACAAAAATTAGCTGGGCGTGGTGGCGGGTGCCTGTAGTCCCAGCTACTCGGGAGGCTGAGGCAGAAGAATGGCGTGAACCTAGGAGGCGGAGCTTGCAGTGAGCCGAGATCGCGCCACTGCACTCCAGCCTGGGCAACAGAGCGAGACTCCGTCCCAAAAAAAAAAAAAGAAATTAAAAATTAATAGGTGTAATAACATGCACCTGTGGTCCCAGCTACCTGGGAGGCCAAGGTGGGAAGATCATTTGAGCCTGGGAGTTCAAGGTTGCAGTGAGCTCTGACCACACCACTGCACTCCAGGCTAGGCAATACAGCAAGACCCTGTCTCTAAATAAATAAATAAATAAATAACTTTGGGGGGTTTCACACTGACCAATTGGAGCAAATATCCTGGGAAGCTTTATTTATTTATTCTGTATTAGTGATTGATTGATTCTCTGTTAAGGGGTGCTTTGTCAAAGTTCCAGCACAGCCACTGCCAGCTGTGTGACTCTGGGTAAGTGGGCTCCTCCCTCTGTGCCTCTGTTTTCTCATCTGTTCAGTGGGGGTAATAAAATCTGCCTCCCAGGAAAGTTATGACGATTAAATGACACAGTTTCTCCAAGACATTTATCACAGTCCTGGCACATAGTAAGAGCTCAATTAAGAACTTTTTTTTTCAAGACAGGGTTTTGCTCTGTCACACAGGCTGGAGTGCAGTGGCACACAATCACGGCTCACTGCAGCCTCGACCTTCTGGGCTCAAGCAATCCTCCCACCTCAGCCTCCTGAGTAACTGGGACTCTAGGTGCATGCCACCACGCCCGGCTAATGAGAACTAATTTAGTCACTGTTCCTCCCACTACTTCTTTGTAGTATAACTCATCTGTTTCCTTGAAACTTGAAGTGATCTGATCCAACCTTCTGTGTCTTTCAAAGGACCCGTCAAGGTTTGTAAAATAGCTTTGAGTGTTTGGAAGTAGTCCCCAAACCTGCAGAGGTCTCTGCCCAGACTCCCAAGCTTCCTGCCACCTCCTCCTTGGGTAGAAAGAGAGAGTCTAGTGTCATGAAGAGTTCAGGGAGGCTCTTCTGTGCCTTGGGAGAGCACACAGGGCCCTCTGAAGAGACCGTGACTTGCCTTCCCTATAGGTTTTGCTCAAGACTTTCTCCTGATTTTTGCACTGAATGGCCCCGATTCCAGGAAACCCTTCCATCCCGGGCAAATCAGGTCGGTTAGTCACCCTGCTTCCCAGGCCTCCATCTGGTGGCCTTTATCCCCCACCCAGGACTCCCTGCAGCCACTCACTTGGAATCCCCCACCCTCGCGCACATGCACGCTCTCTGCTTTCCCGCTCCCTGAGCTCTGCTCCCTCATTCGCTGGCTTCAAAAGCCCCAGCTTCACTGGCATTTCTCAGTTGACTCATCCATCTTCTCAGCTAATCTCTGTGTCCCTTGAGGCCAGGGACTCTATCTTGTCATAAATTCAGCCTTGCACCCCTCAGCAGCTCCCACTGCTTGAAGGGGCGACTGGTGCCTGACTGAGTGCTGGGCAGTTGGCTCAAAATCAGGAGGGAACAGCTCCAGGGACCACCTCCTCCTCTCCTCCCTGCTCATTGCACAAACCCAGGATGCCCCCTGCCCCTCTGGAATTCTACGTGGAAGCTGTGGCCCCAGACATGAGTAGAATTAACTGAGAGTCCTCCTTTTGACTAGAACCATCAGCAGAGATGACAATGTGGACTCTGAGCCAGTCTTGCTCAATGGGCCATGTTATCAGGAATGATAATGACCTTTACTGAAAACACTAATTCTGGCTGGGCATGGTGGCTCACACCTGTAATCCCAGCACTTTGGGAGGTTGGGGCAGGTGGATCACCTGAGGTCAGGAGTCCTAGACTAGCCTGGCCAATATGGCGAAACCCCATCTCTACTAAAAGTACAAAAATTAGCTGGGCGTGGTGGCACATGCCTGTAATCCCAGCTACTTGGGAGGCTGAGGCACAAGAATCCGTTGAACCCAGGAGGCAGAGGTTGCAGTGAGCTGAGATCGCACCACTGCACTCCAGCATGGGAGGCAGAGTGAGACTCCATCTCAAGAAAATAAAATAAAATAAAATGAAATAAATAAAACACAAATTCCTGGGCTCCACCTCAGATCTACTCAATCAGAATCCTTCAGGATGGGGCCCAGGAATCTGCTTTTGAATAGGTAATTCTGATGTCAACTAAAATCTAGAAACAATGATCTAGTTGTAGAACTTCCTTCACCTGCTCCACTCCCAGGTACCTTTCCTGGACTCAATCCCTGGCTCACACTCTACTGGAGGAGCAAATGTCGGCCCACCCAGTAATTTCAGGGCTGGGGGTCAGGTGGGTGGCGGAAAGGCCCAACAGCATGGTCATTCAGAAAGGATGATGTGGACAGGCCAGCCCCCTTCTCCAGCCTGAGACAGACCCTAGAATCTGGAATTGGTGAAGGGGAAAAGATGGCCCCAAAGCAGCCTGGCAAAAGACCCCCGGCCTGGGTCTTCCCTCCTCTAGCACGTGGTCTTTGCAGAAGTCTAAACCCCAATATTAGTCTTGAGTTTTTATTTTATTTTTTAATTTTTATTGTGAGACAGGTCCTTGCTCTGTTGCCCAGGCTGGAGTGCAATGGCACAATCTCGGCTTACTGTAGCTTTGATCTCCCAGGCTCAAGCGATGCTCCCATCTCAGCCGCCTGAGTAGCCGGGACTACAGGTGCATGCCACCACGTGAAGCTAATTTTTAAATTTTTGGTAGAGATGGGGTCTTGCTGTGTTGCCCAGGCTGTTCTTGAACTCCTGGGCTCAAGCAATACTCCCACATCAACCTCCCAAAATCCTGGGATTACAGGTGTGAGCTACTATATGTGGCCTGTTTTGAGTTTTTTTTTTTTTTTAATTAATTCTGAAGTGTTGCTCACCTGGAACTGGTCCCCAAAAGAGGACTTTCAGAGCCACAAATCCCTTGAAATTGACTACACAATTGTGCATGTGTGTGTGTGTGAATGCACATGCACGCTCATGTGCCTAATGGTTAATGGTGTGGACTGTGGAGTCACACTCACCACGTTTGAAACCTGGCTATACCAGTTTGCAACCAGTGACACAAGTTACTCAACTTCTCTGAAGCTTTGCTCTCTCAGCTGTAAAATGGGGATAATGAGAATAACTTACCATATGGGTTGTTGATAGGATTAAATGAGTTAGTACATGTAAAGCACCTAGAACAGCACTTGGCCTGTGGTAGATATTACTGATCATTAGCTGACAAAATAATAGCTTTTGGCACATCTTCAAAAGTCAGTGTTCCAAAAGAAGGTTAAGAAACACTGACGTTCTCTTGGGGCCCGAGAGGCAGTATCGTGGGGTGGTTAAGAGTGTAGTAGTCCCATCCATGAACTCCGAAAGCTCTGTCAGTTTAAGCGGGGCTGGGGACAAGTAACTGTACCTCTCTAAGCCTATTAATACATCCTTAAACTGAGAGCAACCGTGGCACTCATTTCAAGAGACTTCCGTGAGGGTTAACTAGGGGGCTGGATTTAGGGTGCTCAGCACAGCGTCCGGCAAGCATCAGTAAAGGCTCAGCAGCCATCACCATCATTTTGCTGCTGCAGGGGTTCCCAAGAGACAAGACTTCTCTATAATATCTCCTTTGCCAGCTTCCCAAAAAAAACCATCCACGAAAGCAGTCGGGAGAATGGTCCACGAAAAACTCCCTCCATCCATCCATACTGTCTCGGAAGGGATAACTTCTTCTCTGCAAGAGAGAGTTTTAACAACGACCGGCTCCCTACTGTCAGCCTCAGGGCGGAGAGAATCACTGAATCCCCTCCGAGCTAGAAATGAAGAGTCTCCCCCTTCACCTCCTCCCCTTCATCTGGCAAATGTGGCTTTCCTCTGCTTTTTCCTGGCTCCCAGAGCTCCTCCCAGCCCTGCCCTAGGTATCTCTGGGGCATCAGGGCGGCTCTGAAGACAGCTCAGGTGCCCTGGAGCCGTCAGAAGGTGCCAGAAAGTCTGACACAGTGGCTCAGGAAGGACCTGCCTAAAAATAGAATCTCCAAATCTCAGGCCACACAGGAGTCGGAAGCCCTGATAGAGTATCGGGTGCAGCTTCCTCTCAGTGGCGGCTCCCTAAGGCCATGCCTCCCACACCTACTTAGTGCTTGCTAAAAGCAGACTCTGGGGACCAACCCCTGCCCCACCCCCCTCCCCCGGAGATTCAGCTATGGTTCTGGAGGGGGAGGCCTGAGAATCTGGAGGTGGAGGAGCATCTAGGCAATTCATGTATCAAATAAGTTACAGCATCTCTTGAATGCCTCTGGGAATGTGGAAATCACCATTGACTGTCAAAGGTTGTGGAGAGGATGGAGTTAATGGTTAAGAGCGTGGACTTTAGAACCAGCAGCGGGTAGGGACCTCCGCTCTCCCAGGTGCTAGCTCAGCCACATTCAACCAGTTACTTAACTTCACTGAACTTAATTTCTCATCTGTGATCTGGGGGCAGTAATTAATTGCAGGCATCTACTTCCCAGGTGGTCAGGAGGTTTACTTAAGCCAGTGTAGATGAAAGTGCTTAGCATACGACTTGACATTGTCCTTCATAAATGGCTGTTGCTAGAATAACAATAACAACAACAACAGCAAGAAAGTAGTCTGATGTTCTTTCTTATGTTAAAAGAACATCTCCCTTTCTAAGATGTATATCCAAGGGGATTCTCTGCCCTCTGAAGCCCCACTTCCTAATCTCTTTTTTGTGACAGCCCTGCAGGTATCTGAAGGCAGGTACCACATCCCCCTTATTCTCCTCTCCCCAGTATTTTTTTCTTCCCTTTGAATATGAGGATTCTTAAGGCTGGGTGACAACCTCCCAGGTACAATTTGAGGAAGAGGTAGAACCCTCTCCCTCAGACCCCCCAGACACCACAAATCACCCAAAGTGTCACATCTTTATTTCTAGAAAGCCCCCGGTAAAAGTGTTTGTGATGGTGACTTAATGGCAGTCAGCAGTCACTAGCACAAAACAGCTTTTGGAATGTGTTAGAAGAGGGGAGCAAGATACTCAGGAAGAGGGTCCCAGGGCAGCCAAGGTGGCTGGATCCCAAGCATCCTCCTTGCACTGAACATGTGCCTCTCTCCCCTACCCCCTCCTCATCTCCCTTCTCCCTCCTGGTGTTGAACCTGTGCCCCAAGACCTCTGAAATAACTGCCCCCACCCCACATTTTTCAGAAGGAAGGGAGAGAGAAAGGGCTGAAAACTTCCCATTGAATGGCCTTTAGGGGATGGAGGACATTGTGCATGTTTTGCAACTCTGAGAGGAGCGCAGTATCTTCCCATGATGTAGAGGTTAAGTGCTCAGGCTTTGCAGAGACTGTCTTGGCACTGATCTCACATCTACCACTTAACCTCTCTAAGTCTCCGTTTATTCATCTGTTAAAAAAAGAAAGAAAGAAAAAAGAAATAATAACGAATATCCACTTCACATGGTTACATTGAGAAATAAATAAGATAATCCACATGAAAGTATCCTGCAAGCCTTTGCTACTGTGATCTCCTGCGCTGCAAATGGGAGGGTTTCACCAGCCCCAGCCAGTCTCCACAGCCGTGACAGATTTGGTTTAACGTCCTGGGAGACAGAGCTTCACACGATGTCCCCTAGAGCCTAAAGGCTGGTGGGGGGACTGGAGCAGCTGTTTGTCAATGGGGAGAGGTCAATGCTTCTGGACCAGAGGCTGGGCTCTGCCACATCCCCAACATGGAGCAGCTGCTCACATGGTACAGTTGAAGTGACGACCCCGGAGCTGCCCTTGAGCCCTTTATCACCCTGGACTTGGCCATGGCGTCTGCCCCCGCCCCCCCCACCCCTGGAAGGAGATTGTCAGTTTCCTTGTCCTTTTCTTTCAACTTGTAGCAGGAGGACACCCTGGAGGCAGGAATGGGTGTGGCTTTGCAGAAGAAGTTTTCTGGCAGCCTGGGGGGTTGCAGGAGGGGATCCTTCCTCTCCCTAACAGCCTTGAGCCAGGGACTTTAAACAACCCAGGGTGGATTTTCTTTCTGTTTGCATTTGGGCTCCGGGAAATTAAGCCTGATGTGTGGTCCTCCCAGGCCTTCCTGGAGAGGATCCCCGCCTTTCTCCCTTCCTCCCCAGCCCATTTATTGTGTAGCCCTTGTGGGCTGCTGGGTCCATCGGTGGCCAAAAACGTTTTTTTAAATCTGCTAACAAAGAATACTTCCTCTATCTCACACTACACTGAGGAACTATAAACTTTCTAACAGAAATGGGAGATCAGGAGTCAAAATATGGAACTAGAAAAAAAAATAAAAATAAAAAACCCAGACTATTTTCTTGGAGGGTTTGCTGTAATTTGCACAAAGGGCTGAGATCTGTCTCGCAGTGACTCCTTGTTGGAAGGCAGCTGCCCCTCGTTGGGGGCAGACCATCCTTTTCTTTCAGGTCCAGCGACTCCCTGAGGCTCTGAGCTGAGGAGAATCCCAATCATCCGCTGGGAGCCTAACCCTGCCTTTATAGATGCAGTATCTGAAGGGAAATGACTCACCTAAGATCATGGCTGACTGAACCTTACCTTTCCTCTCCCAGGAGGAGGATGTCACACCTCATGTTTCAAAGTTAGAACTGTGCGCAAATCACCACTATGTGATGTTGGATGCAACGGATGCAACTCTCTATATATAAATATATATTAGACACTACAAAATAATAGGAAAGAACAAAAATGAGTGTGCATCCAATTTGCTTCATAGAAGCCACGTTTTATTATCAGAAAGTTCAATGTAGGATGTTTTGGGGATCAAAGGGAAGCCAGCACATCCATCCTCTCGACAAACCATCTTTACCCTAAACTGCACAGCCTGAAATTCAACCCACCTAATAAACCCACTTTTAGTCTGAGAGTACACACACACACACACGCACACATGCATATATAGATATCTATATATCTATCTATATATTTATTTATTTTTTTGAGATGGAGTCTTGCTCTGTCGCCCAAGCTGGAATTCAGTGGCACAATCTCAGCTCACTGCAACCTCTTCCTCCTGAGTTCAAGCAATTCTCCCTCCTCAGCCTCCCAAGTAGCTGGGATTACAGACACCCATCATCATGCCTGGCTAATTTTTGTATTTTTGTAGAGACGGGGTTTCACCATGTTGGCCAAGCTGATCTTGAACTCCTGACCTCAAGCGCTCTGCCCCCCTTGGCCTCCCAAAGTGCTGGGATTACAGGTGTGAGCCACCACACCCGGCCTTATTTATATTTTTTAAACATCACAGAAAGACTTGGCCACAGTTTAAGGACCTGTCTTTCATGTGACTAATGGGCATCCAAGTCACTGATGCGATTTGAAGGACTTGGAAGAGGCCGCCCTGCACCCTAAAACTCTCCCCCAGCGTGCTGGCTCTGTGTCTGAAGTTCTATCATAGGTCCTGCTGCACATTCTTTGGTTTGGCTTTGTGTTTCTGGGGTCCCCAGAAATGGTTCCAGCGTGCCAGCTGAGCATTTGTCTACCATTAAGCCACTCAAATTCCAACTCGAATAACCACAACTTTTCCTGATTTTCCCCATTCCTGTGCACTTGTTTTCTTCTAATCTGCATGGTTGGTGTTTTGCAGTGCTCTGACAGCCAGATGTCACGTGTCTCTCTCTTGCTACCTTCAAGATGTCTCATGCGTATTAAGCAAACATGACTAAGAATGACAGTAATGCCCATTTACTTTAAAACAACTGTTATTTTTATGTTATGATGTCCCCCTACTGTCATTATCACTATGCTTATACGATTTTACACAGGTGTAATCAAGGCTTGGAAACTGTTTTGTATTCTTTATTTACCTGAAATTGTTTCATATGTACTTTTCCACAAATCTACTTAAACTTCCGTATTATCTTTCCTTTTTAGTTAATATTATTTTACCTCTTTTATTTTTCTTTGGAGAAGGCATCATAGCTCAAAAACTTCCTTATTATCTTTCTTTCGTCTCTTTTCTTTTTTTTTTTTTTTTTTTTTTTTGAGATGGAGTCTCGCTCTGTCGTCCAGGCTGGAGTGCAGTGCCACAATCTCGGCTCACTCCTGGGCAGTGGCACAATCTCGGCTCACTCGGCTCACTCCTGGGTTCAAATGATTCTCCTGCCTCAGCCTCCCAAGTAGCTGGGATTACAGTCGCCCGCCACCACTCCCAGCTAATTTTTGTATTTTTAGTAGAGACGGGGTTTCACTGTGTTGGCTAGGCTGGTCTCAAATTCCCAGCCTCGTGATCCACCTGCCCCTGCCTCCCAAAGTGCTGGGATTACAGGTGTGAGCCACCTCGCCCAGCCCCTTATTATCTTTCATAACAGCAATGTGCTATTCCATCAATTTAATAAAACAAGTGTACTTAACTGTTTTCTTTTGTTGGGCATTTGGACAATTTCCAGGTTTTCATCACTGTGGATCATGCTGCTATATTTTTATATAAACAGCTTTTTTAACTTTTGACCAACATCCTGGGGATGGCTTCCCCAAAATCCCTTTGGATTTTGAGTTCATGGGAGAAAGGGACTGCACTTGCTGTTTCTTTGACATTGCATACTTTTTTTTCTTTTTTCTTTCTTTTTTTTTTTTTTTTTTTTTTTTTAATTACAGACAGGGTCTCCTCCCTATGTTGCCCAGGCTGGTCTCAAACTCCTGAACTCAAGTGATCCTCCTGCCTCAGCCTCCCAAAGTACTGGGATTACAAGTGTGAGCCACTGTGCCCGGCCATGACATGTCATACTTCTTTTTTTTTTTTTTTTGATAGAGTCTCGCTCTGTTGCCAGGCTGGAGTGCAGTGGCATGATCTCGGCTCACTGCAACTTCCGACTCCAGGGTTCAAGCAATTCTCCTGCCTCAGCCTCCGGAGTAGCTGGGACTAGAGGCGCGCACCACCATGCCTGGCTAATTTTTGTATTTTTAGTAGAGATGGGGTTTCACCGTGTTGCCCAGGCCGGTCTCGAACTCCTGAGCTCAGGCAATCCACCCGCCTTGGCCTCTCAAAGTGCCGGGATTACAGGTGTGAGCCACTGCACCCAGCCGACATGTCATACTTCTTATGTCCACCTCTCAACCCCTGATCTCACCTAGGAAAGAAATCTGCTCATCCTGAGGGCTCTATGCTTGTGCTGACTGATATTGCAGAGGGATAGCCCTGTCTTTCTTACTGTCTTTAAAGAAAGAGATTGGTGATCTTTCTTTAGGAAATACCCTAATCCTTAACAGATTTGGCTGCCAGGACACATTGTCCAATGGTGGTTGGAGAAAGACCCTCCCAGGAATTACGGAAAGAAGGACTCCCCAGTACACTAGGCTGGCTGCCCACACATCAGCTGCAGAGTTTGACGTGAATAGTGCTCCTTGAGAACTGTGCTGGGTCCTTTTATTTCCAAGCAGTGAGTGATGAAGACAAGGAGTGGTTCTTCACCCCAGCAAAAAGGGTCCTGGACTGAAAAAGTCAATGGCTTCGGTGCTGAGCCAAGGTCAAGTCTGATTGTGTTTCCAGGAGATCAAGAACATTTCATTTTAAGCTATATATATTCAATAAACAGAAAAAGAGGGATTATGTCCTATTAGTGGGACTCCTCACAGGCCCTCAACACTGTAACAACTGGTCTGTGGGGGCAGGATGGGCTCTTAGAGTCTCTGCTCTGCCACTTACCAGCTGTGCCTCAATGGGCAAACCACTTGACCTCAATGATTTCCTTGGAGGCTACACAATGGGGACAATGCTGATGCTAAGGGACTCCACAGAGTTATTGTGAAATTATACAATGTAATATATGCAAAAGTGCTTTGTAAATACTAAGCAAATGCCAAGGATTTCTGTTACTGGTATTTGGATGATCATCATTGGCTAATTGGAGAACACTTCCTTTGTGCTTCTGAATGGAGGCTGTGACCTATGGCTTCTCTTTTGAATATCAGGTAACTGAGCTTAACAGCTCAACCTAGTCATAAAACAATATGATTTCAATCACCATGATTGAATTTTTTTTTTTTCTTTTTGAAACGGAGTCTTGCTCTGTCACGCAGGCTGGAGTGCGGTGGCATGATCTCCGCTCACTGCAACCTCTGCCTCCCAGGTTCAAGCAATTCTCTTCCCTCAGTCTCCTGAGTAGCTGGGACTACAGGTGCATGCCACCAGGCCTGGCTAATTTTTATATTTTTAGTAAAGACAGGGTTTCACCATGTCGACCAGGCTGGTCTCAAACTCCTGACCTCAAGTGATCCGCCCACCTCGGCCTCCCAACAGGCGTGAGCCACTGTCCCTGGCCAATTGAATGTTATTTTATGTGTAAGACATTGAGCTTCTGTGGAAAGAGAAGAGAGAGTTACTCACTGTGTGGGAGACTCTTCCTCATCCATTATGTTATTCAATCCTTACCACAACTTTGCATGATAGATATTATTATTCCCCTATAACGGAACAGAAATTACTTGGGAAAAGTCACCTCTCTGTACATGCCACAGCCTGGGAACTGAACTCTGTCTGACTACAGGGCCTATGTTCTCACCTTGATATTTTGTTACGTCTTTGTCCCTAGGACTTCAATGTAGATGGGCAATAGGTCAAGAGACATAGACAGGAGGTACCAGAGGAGGGAGAAAGGGCAATAATAGCTTACTATATGCATCAGTTAGCTATTGTGCATAACAAACCACCCCAAAATGTAGTGGCTTAAAATAATATGCTTGTGTTTAGCTCTTGAGTCTGTGGGTTGATGTAGTGGTTCTTCTGGTCTAGAACAGCTTCACGTGTGCACCTGTGTTCAGCTATTGGTCATCTGTAGGTTGGCTGTGCTTTCTCACATATCTAGGGCCTCAGCTGGGACAATGAGGCTGATTCAGCTCTGCCTCACTTAGTCTCTTATCATCCAGCAGGCTAGCCTGGGCATAGTCCCAAGGCAGAGACAGAATTCCAAGAGAGAGCAGAGTGGGTAAAACCTCTCGGGGCATAGGCTCAGAACTGGCCCACCTGTCACTGCTGGCCAAAGGAGGGGGGCAAGGGTCAGGGGAGCAGGGGAGGCAATATTTCCTGCTGCCCAAAGGGGAAAAAAACTAATATTTCTGTTTAACATGTTTGCCTAATTAAAACATTTAATCCTAATAATACCTCCTTGAGATGGAAACTGCTAGTAGTCCCACTTTACAGATGGGGATATTGAGTTACAAAGGGACAAGGCAAATTTTCCCTAAGAAGCACTCTCTGTTAAGTGGCAGAAAGTTGAGATTACAACCCAGAAGTCACTCTCTTAGCCACTTGTGCATACAGTATTTGCAGCATGATGCTCCCCTGGGGAGGGGCAGAAACCAAGGCTGCTGAGGGAGATGGGGTAGGTTACACAGCACAGAATGCCTGCCTGTGCCACCCTGATAGGTGTCCAAATTGCCCAGCTTCTGTGACCTCCTTCTCCTGAGAAGGTGCCGAGGGAAGAAAGGGAAGGGGCCCTGGAGGATGGCATAGCCCAGCCCAGGCCACTGGCCCTTATATCACTGGAAATGCTTGTTTTGGTGCATTTAATTTTTTAAAAACGTCCCCTGGCTGGGACTTTCCATGTCTGGCTCAGTCAGAGAGCTGTTTGCCTGGGACGAGCTGGGAAGCCTTTGGACCTCGGAGTCCCCGATTGCCGCCTCAGCTCAGCATTGTCACAAAAATAGCCCTTCTTGGGGAAGGCAGGTACTTCCTCTGGCTGCGTTTCCCCTCTCAGCCCCGCCTGGCCCTCAGAAGAAAAGAGACACAGAAGCCACTGCACACAGGACTGGGACGTGGCTGGGGAGAGGGCTTTATGGGGACTCAACAGTAACAAAGGGAGGAAATGAATATGCAGTATTAGTAATTATACTGTACGCGTCCCAATTTGTATTTCAATATGTCATTTCCATAATAAAACTGCTGAAGCGAGTAACTAATGACACGGACTCATGTCAGGGAGTTAGGAGAGGAAAGGGGTGACAGGGGCTTTTTTTTTTCCTAATAACAAAATTGCCTTCAGTGAGAAACTCTTTCACGGCAGACTGGCTGTTCACAAGGCAGATGTATTTCAGGAGATGAAGCTGCAGCCCAAACCCTTTATGGAAAAGGAGTCAAGGTTGACCGGCCAACTGTTGGCGCTCCCTGGCTTCCACAACTGTGTGGAGTTATGCTCCGGGGCAGGGACACAGCCTACAGGACCTCGAGGCTGGATAAGAGCAAACTGAGATGTAATTTGAGCTTTGGAAAGCCCAAAAGCTAAAAGTATGAGCTGGCCAGTCTTATGAATTTGGCTGTCCCATTTAAGGTCCCGAACCTATTATATTTCTTTTTTTTTTTTTTTTTTTGTGAGACAGAGTTTTGCTCTTGTTGCCCAGGCTAGAGTGCAATGGCGCGATCTCGGCTCACTGCAAACTCCACCTCCCAGGTTCAAGGGATTCTCCTGCCTCAGCCTCCTGCGTAGCTGGGATTACAGGCATGCGCTACCATGCCTGGCTAATTTTGTATTTTTAGTAGAGACAGGCTTTCTCCATGTTGGTCAGGCTGTTCTCGAACTCTCGACCTCAGGTGATCCGCCCGCCTCGGCCTCCCAAAATGCTGGGATTACAGGCGTGAGCCACCGCGCCCGGCCCCGAACCTATTATATTTCTTTTTTTTTTTTTTTTAGACGGAGTCTCGCTCTGTCGTCCAGGCTGGACTGCAGTGGCGCCATCTCGGCTCACTGCAAGCTCCGCCTCACAGGTTCTTGCCATTCTTCTGCCTCAGCCTCCCGAGTAGCTGGGACTACAGGCGCCAGCCACCACGCCCGGCTAGTCTTTTGTATTATTTAGTAGAGACAGGTTCTCACTGTGTTAGCCAGGATGGTCTGGATCTCCTGACCTCGTGATCCGCCCGCCTCGGCCTCCCAAAGTGCTGGGGATTACAGGAGTGAGCCACCGCGCCCGGCCTGAACCTATTTTATATTTCTAAGAACCTCCATGCCTTTGCATTTGCTGTTCCTTCCGCTTGGAGTGCCCTTTCTCCTTTCTTTGCCTTTCTACTTGTTCATTTGTTTGAACTCAGCATTATGGTCACCTTCCTAGAAGCCAGCCCTGGCCACCGGTCCCCAGATTCGGATTCCCTATGTTGGAGAAATGTGCTCTGTGCAGGCCCTGGGCTGACGTCTGCAACACTAGCCGCATCACATGGTAATTGCCATTTCACTTCTCCCCTCCCACACTGGGGCAGAGAGCCCCGCACAGTAGGTCAGAAACTCCAGGCCGGGGCCCTTCTGAGGAAGGGGAGGAGGAGAAACCGCCACAACCTTCTCCATCTCCCGATGATCAAGTCAGATTTATCTGGCTTTGCCCAAAGCGCCTTTCTCCACTTATAGATGAAAGAGAGTACAGGAAAAAAAATCACAGAGTAAGTGTCTGGTTATGAAAAAAAATAATAATCCCCCCATAACCGTACGGTGCTCTACCAATTACACAGCCCTTTGGGAACCCTATTCCAATGGATTCTCTCTTAACAACACTGTGAGGTAAGCAAGCAGGAATTATAGTTCTTTTCATGTCACAGAGAAGAAAGCCAAGACTCCAAGAATAAGTGACCTGTTCAAGGTCACATGGTGCAGATGTGTGTTTGGAGCTGAGACCTGAACTCTGGTCTCCAATTCCAACTCCAGGGCTTTTCCTACTGACTTGGAAGGTGTTGTGATGGTTTCATAAAGCATACCAGTCATCAGGCTGAGATGTTATTTTTTTTAAAATTATTTTGATTTTTATTTTGATACAAAGTCTCACTTTGTCGCCCAGGCTGGAGTGCAGTGGTGTGATCTCGGCTCACTGCAACCTCCGCCTCCTGGGTTCAAGTGATTCTTGTGCCTCAGCCTCCTGAGTAGCTGGGACTACAGGCGTGCACCACCACACCCAGCTAATTTTTGTATTTTTAGTAGAGACGGGGTTTCACCATGTTGGCCAGGCTGGTCTCAAACTCCTGACCTTGTGGTCTGCCCAACTTGGCCTCCCAAAGTGCTGGGATTACAGGCATGAGCCACCATGCCTGGCCAGGCTGAGATGTTATTATGGCTCTGCAACTAGAGGGCTTGGGTTACCTTTAGCTGAGATTTTTGTCTTTTCTTGTTTTTTGGGTTTTCTTTTCTTTTTTTTTTTTTTTTTTTTTGAGATAGTGTCTTGCTCTGTCACCCAGGCTGGAGTGCAGTGGCCTGATTTCGGCTCACAGCATCCCCTGCCTCCTGGGTTTGAGCAATTCTCCTGCCTCAGCCTCCTAAGTAGCTGGGATTACAAGTGCTGCCACCATGCCTGGCTAATTTTTTTATTTTTAGTAGAGACGGGGTTTCACCATGTTGGTCAGGTTATTTATTTTTTGTAAAGAGAATGCACACATGGGAAGATATGAGCCGTGCAAAGGGGCATAGACTGTGTCTGTCTTGTCCACTAATGTATCCCCAGTGCCTAAAACAGTACCTGACAAATTGTGACTCAATAACAATGAGACACCTTTTGTTTATTGATTCATGTCAATAATTGTGACTCAATGAACAAAGGTGTCTCTCTCTCTCACTCCTGGACTCCCACCACCCTGCCACCTGGTTTCTTGGGTATCCTTCCGGAGATATTCTCCACATGCACAAGCATATCTGCCAGTACAGTCTGTGATTTAGATACAGCCCTTTACCACCTCCCTCCCTCCTGCTATCCCCATGAGGACCGACCACGCTTTGAGGGTGGGAGATAACAGCCCACTCATGAACTCCTCTGCTGGTCATCCCACAAGCAGTAGAATCAAGTGCGAAGAATCCTGGCTGAGTCAGGAATGGGGACCTGGGGGCTTTGGAGAGCTCCTCTTGGTGAGCTGCAACGAGGATGGACCCAGACAGAAGATAGACGGGAAACCCTTCAGAAGGTGGATGCAACCGTTAAGGGGCAAGAAAAGGAGGGTCCCAATAAAGCTGATGGTTTTGGAGATGGAGCAGACAAGTTGTTTTGGAAGACGATGTGGAGACCTTGAGAATGCTCTTTCTAAAAATGTAATGCAGAACAGAAGAAAAGATGGAGCTGAGGGAAGAGTTTGTTGTTTGTTTGTTGGTTTATTTGTTTGTTTTGAGCTGGGTCGCATCCTGTTACCCAGGCTGGAGTGGAGTAGGGAAATCATAGCTCACTGCAGCCTTGAACTCCTGGGCTCAAGTGATCCTCCCACCTCAGCCTCCCATGTAGCTGGGACTCCAGGTGCACATCACACCTGGCTAATTTTTTTTTTTTTTTAATAGGGAAGAGGTCTTGCTATGTTGCCCAGCCTAGTCTCAAACTCCTGAACTCAAGCAATCCTCCCACTTCGGCCTCCCAAAGTGTTGGGATTACAGACATGAACCACCACACCCAGCCAAGAGTTTTGTTATTTGCTTGTTGGTTGATCTTGAACCCAGGAGGCGGAGGTTGCAGTGAGCCAAGATCACACCACTGCACTCCAGCCGGGGTGACAGAGCGAGACTCCGTCTCAAAAAATAAATAAATAAAATAATGATTTTAGGCTGAGCACGGTGGCTCAGCCTGTAATCCCAGCACTTTGGGAGGCCGAGGTGGGTGGATCACTTGAGGTCAGGAGTTAGAGGCCATCCTGGCCAACATGGCGAAACCCCGTCTCTACTAAAAATACAAAAATCAGCCGGGCGTGGTAGTGCTCGCCTACAATCCCAGCTACCAGGGAGGCTGAGGCAGGAGAATTCCTTGAACCTGGGGGGTGGAGGTTGCAGTGAGCTAAGATCACGCCACTGCACTCCAGCCTGGGCAACAGAGCAAGACTCCATCTCAAAAAAAAAAAAAAAGAAACTATTTTAATAAACAAAATAGAGAGGGGAAAAGTCACATCCATACTATTGAACACTATTGCCTATTCAAAAGAATGGGAAGAACACAAAGATACATACATATATGAATATATTAAAAAATGTATTTTTATGTAGGGAAACAAATCATAATGTATACTGTATTATTTTCTGTGTCTAAAAAAGTGTACATCTATAAAATCCCATATGTCTATGTTTGCATAGATGGAAACATTAATTAATTAATTAAAGTTAAAATTATTAAAATCCCAGAGATTGTGGTGAGTGCATGTAATCCCAGCTACCCAAAAGGCTGAGGCGGGAAGATTGTTTTAGCCCAGGAGTTTGAGGCTCGCCTGGGCAACATAGTGAGACCTTATCTCTAAAAAAAATTTTTTTAAAAATGTTTGCATAGCTAAATGCAAACATAGAAGGAAAAATCCAGAAGGATTGTAGTGCATGTATGGGGGTATAACAGAATGAATGTGAATTATACTTTTTACACTATCTTATATACTTCTGTGTTATTTCAAATGTTTTTATGTGTAAAGATAAACTTTTTAGTTTTGAAAAAGAAGCCAGAGACCATGGCTGGTCTCAGAGCCCCTCTCCCAGAAGGATGAAGTTCCAAGGCCTTTGAAGGCCACTTCTGGTCCTGGTTAGGACAGACATTCCAAATCTAGTCAGGGCCTAAAAGCTTCTCTTCTGTGGAAATAAAGCAAGCCTGCTGGCTTTGAAAACTGATAACACTGTACCTGAAGATAAGCCCAAAGCCCCCAGGAAGGCTGGAGTGGGTGGGAGGGCTGGGGGCGCTGCAAGAAACCACATTGTTGATAGTGTCACCCAGGTCCCGGCTCCAGGAAGCAACAATGAAAAGATATTGGCAACTTTGACATGGGGGAAATTGCTTTCTTCTGTAGGAAAGAAGAGTTCTGTTTTGCGGACAAAAAGCCACTTGCCCTGACAAAATGCTTAATTAGGAGATAAGCCAGGGAGCAGTAGGAGGGGTGTCATTTTCCAGGGGTCCTGGGGAGCGTGTGTGTACACAGATGCTGTCCTCCGCATCCTGTGGTCAGGGCTGATCAGGGCTTCGCGGGCCGCTGAAGAAGCAGTGTGTGGGCTATTACGGTCAGGGCTCTCCTGGCCCCTGGACAAGTCATCGAATCTGTCAGGACCTTAGTTTACTCATCTGTAAACTGGAGACCGTAATCCTCACCTCACCAGGGGTGGAGAGGATTAAGCGAGACTGCATTTCAAGTTCTCAGCACAGTGCCAGGCACCTAGTCCCTGCTCAGTGACTAGTGGCAGATATCACTGTGATTATTACAAAGGCAATTCCACACATTGGTAAGGACATGGGCTCTAGGGTCAGACCACCCTGGTAAGATTCTCAGCTCCCTCACTGACTAGCTATGGAATTCGGGCAATCACTTGACCTCTACATGCCTTAGTTTACTTATCAGTAAAATAGGGATAATGCTAGTACTTACCTGGTAGAGTTGTTGCTAAGATTAAATGAGCTAATGTTTGTTCAGTGATATGTGTCTGGCCCAAAGCGGTCAGGACTTGGCACATGTTAGCTGATACTATCGATAACAATGGTGGTAGCCACAAGGCAAGTATGTCCTGAGGGCTTGAAGTCTTCTTTCCCATCACGCATTCTTTCACTGTCCAATCCTGTTGGGTTGAAAGCGATATGGAACAGGATTCCCTTCTTCCTCCTGCCCAGACAGATAAAATAAAGAAGGAAGAGGTTTCATTCCATGTCCCAGATGCCCCTGCTGGAAAGTTGAGGCCCAAGATTCTCATCTCCCTTGTTTCAAGACCCATGCTGTTTTCTCTCAATGTGGCTCCAAGGCACTGGCCTGATAGTCAGTGATGTGGACTGAGTGCCACTTGCCTGTAGCTTTGGATAAGCTCCACAAGAGAGAAGGTGGCAAGTGCAGGGATTCCTAATTGGAATTTGAAACCTGAGATGGTCTAGTGGGCACCGCCACCACTGAGGGTGGTGAACCTGGAAGTCTGAGAAGAGATGACCTGGGTCTGTCCCTAGGGGTTGGCACTGCTTAGATTTGGGCTCAGCAGTTTTTAGTGGAATCATTTCTTCCCAAAAGGGGCAGGGAGTAAAGTACTCCTTGCAAATCATCTTCTACTGAGGCAGTGGTAGTTGAGGGACACCCAATCTCTTAGTGCCAGATGCAGATGTTACAGAGGGATGATCCACTAAAGGGGCTACACGACCCTTCTCAGACACCCACGTTTAAAGTGCCAATTGCTGGCCAGGCATGGTGGCTCACGCTTGTAATCCCAACACTTTGAGAGGCCAAGGCGGGTGGATCATTTGAGGTCAGGAGTTCGAGACCGGCCTGGCCAACATGGTGAAACTCCATCTCTACTAAAAATCCAAAAATTAGGTGGTTATTGTGGTGGGCGCCTGTAATCCCAGCTCCTCGGAAGGCTGAGGCATGAGAATTGCTTGAACCTAGGAGGCGGAGATTGCAGTGAGCCAAGATCATGCCACTGTGCTCCAGACTGGACAATAGAGCAAGACTCAGTCTCAATAAAAAATAAAAAATAAAAATGAAGTGCCAATTGCCATGGGAGAATCATCCGCATAAACCTTTATGCATATGTTAAGAGCAAATCACAAATTAATTGGCAGCTTCTTGAAAATTAGAATGACACTCAAGTGATGAAGACAGTGTGTGTGTTGGGGAGAAGGGATAAGAAGTGGACATCTTCATACATAGCTGATGGGAGCAAATAAACTCCAGGACAATTGGATAAAACCTTTCTCTAACCTCAACAATGTACAAATGTCTATCCAGCTATTCTCTTCCAGGGAGGTTTCCTAAGGAAATAATTAAGGATGAGGGCAAAGATTTTGCTATAGAATATTTATTGGAACATTGTTTACAGCAGCAAAAAATATTTGGAAACAATTTAATTGTCCACCATTGGGAGACTAGTTAAATTAATTATGGTGCAGCCATACAATGGAATATTGTGCAGCCATTAAGATATCATAAAAGCATACTTATTGACCTGGAAAGATGTTCAAGATTCATTACTGAGTGGAAAAAAAAGAGGTTACAAAACTGTCTGTATGGTATATAATTTGCAAGAAAAAAATATACATACATGCACACTTTGTAGGTAGGGAGAGCATTTTTTTACAGAGGACTTTGCTAGGGGAACATGTAATACGGGGCCTTATGCAGAATGTTTCTGTATTATGGCAATATAGCTTTTTCACATAACATGTTTTTACTTTACCCGGAAGGCTGGGGGGAGGTACAAACCAAGGAGTCTAAGTGGGAAAATAGGTGTTTGTGTGTATATATCCACCAAAAATGTTATCACTAGCAACTGGGATTTTGATAATTTTTATCATCCTCTTTTTTCTTTCTTTTCTTTTTTTTTTTTTTGAGATGGAGTCTTGCCTTCTTGCCCAGGCTGGAGTGCAGTGGCACCATCTCGGCTCACTGCAACCTCTGCCTCCCAGGTTCAAGTGATTCTCCTGCCTCAGCCTCCCGAGTAGCTGGGATTACAGGCGTCTGCCACCACGCCCGGCTAATTTTTTGTATTTTTAGTAGAGACGGGGTTTTGCCATTTTGGCCGGGCTGGTCTTGAACTCCTGACCCCAGGTGATCCACCCGCCTCAGCCTCCCAAAGTGCTGAGATTACAAGTGTGAGCCACTGCGCCCGGCCTATTATCTAATTTTTTCATCTTTGTATTTCTGTAATGATTATTTACTTATTTTGAAATTTTTTAAGTCTTTTTTTTTTGAAGACTAACGGAAATCTAGATGGCCAGAGTTCTATGAGACTTGAAAGGGAGGAGAGGGGAGTGGAGAGAGCACTAAACTCCAGTTGCCTCAGAATCTCATCTGCAGCCCCTCAGGGACCGATGCCCCTGACATTTCCAGACTCTCTTAGACACATGCCACCAATTGCCAGGCCTTCTTTTCCGTGGTCACATCTCCTTGGGATGATGGTGCAGACAAGTACCATGTGCTAGATTCTGTTTCTGGGCAGACACTGGGTCTCTGCCACGTGGCCACCTCATTTTTGGTTAGGCCTGGAAAAGAGAAAAAAACAAGGGAAACCAAAACCACTGCTGCACCGGAAAAATGTGAATGGGAACCAGGGGGGATAGCTCCAGGCCCCAGTACACAAGAAAGAGAGAACTTCAACCGAAGACAACAGTGTGCAGAAAAGAGAGTTCCTGCCTCGTGTGTATGTGTGTGTGTGTGTGTGTGTGTGTTTTAGCTGCAGCCAATATTTTATGAAAATGCCATTAAGGTGAATATAAGCAAATATAAAAATAAGTAAATAAGAAGTAAATTAAACATACAGTGATAACTATTAGAATATAAGAAAGTTATACTGAATAAGTATATTATACCAAACATTTGTGTTAGAGGAACTCTATACAACGCTAATGCATTTTTTTTCTTTTTAAAAATTTATATCACGGTAAGATAACTGTAGCTTGTTTTGGGGTAAGAGGCTACCCATGTTGAAGTAGAATAAGGTATATTTTGACGCATACATATATATATTCAGCACCTATGAATGGAGGACATAGTTGTACCTTCCAAGGGTAATTCTGAATCCTTCTCTCTTTTTATTCCTTGCCCTATTTTTAAGTAATCTTTTTATTTTTATATAATTGTGGATCTTGTCTACCCTTTACCCAGTTCTCTAATCCTGCAAAGCTATCATACAATACCACAACTAGGATATTGACACTTCGTACAGTTAAGATACAGAATATTTCCATCACAAGGATTCCTCATGTTGACCTTTTATAGGCACACCTACTTCTTCTCTTCTGCATCCATCCCCTCTTTAATGCCTGACAGACACTAATCTGGTCTTAATCTCTATAATTTTGTCATTTCTTTTCTTTTTTTTTTTTACTTTAAGTTCTGAGATACACGTGCAGAACGTGCAGGTTTGTTACATAAGTATACATGTGCCATGGTGGTTTGCTGCAGCTATCAACTCATCATCTAGGTTCTAAACCCAGCATACATTAGGTATTTGTCCTAATGCTCTCCCTCCCCTTGCCCCCCACCCCTGACAGGCCCCAGTATGTGTTGTTCCCCTCCCTGTGTCCATGTGTTCTCATTGTTCAACTCCCACTTTTGCGTGAGAACATGCAGTGTTTGGTTTTCTGTTCCTGTGTTAGTTTGCTGAGAATGCTGGCTTCCAGCTTCATCCATGTCCCTGCAAAGGACATGAACTCATTCTGTTTTATGGCTGCATAGTATTTCAGGGTGTGTATGTGCCACATTTTATTGAGCCAGTCTATCATTGATGGGCATTTGGGTTGGTTCCAAGTCTTTGCTATTGTAAATAGTGCTGCAATAAACATATGTGTGCATGTGTCTTTATAGTAGAATGATTTATAATCCTTTGGGTATATACCCTGTAATGGGATTGCTGAGTCAGATGGTATTTCTGATTATATAGAAATGGAATCATGTAGTGTGTAACCTTTTGGGATTAGCTTTTTCTTTTCAGTACAATTCCTTTGAGATTCATCCAAAAGGTTGTTTGTTTCAGTATTTCATTCCTTTTTAGTGCTGACTAGTATCTCATGGTATGGATGTACCAGTTCGTTTAACCATTCACCTGTTGAAGGACATCTGGGTTGTTTCCAGTTTTTGGCCATTACAGATAAAGCCACTGTAAACGTTCATTTACAGATTTTTGTATGAACACAAGTTTTTCTTCCTCTTGGTTAAATGGCCTAAACTACAATTGCCAGGTCATGTAATTGTTGGATATTTAGTTTTTAAAGAAACTGCTGGCTGGGCGTGGTGGCTCATGCCTGTATCCCAGCACTTTGGGAGGCGGAGGCGGGTAGATCACGAGGTCAGGAGATCAAGACCATCCTGGCTAACACGGAGAAACCCCGTCTCTACTAAAAATACAAAAAAAAAAAAAAAAATAGCCGGGTGTGGTGGCGGGCGCCTTTAGTCCCAGCTACTCGGGAGGCTGAGGCAGGAGAATGGCGTAAACCCGGGAGGTGCAGCTTGCCGTGAGCCAACCGCGCCACTGCACTCTGGCCTGGGTGACAGAGCGAGACTCCGTCTCAGAAAAAAAAAGAAACTGCCAAACTGTTTTACCAAGTGACTGTACCATTTTACATTCCTACCAGCAGTGTATGAAGGATTCCATTTCCCCACATCCTTATCAGCATTTGATGTCACTTTGCTTTATTTTAGCTATTTTGATAGGCTTATGATGGCTATCTCACTGTGGTTTTAATTTGTGTTGAACATCTTTTCATGCGTTTATTTGCCATCTGTATACCTTCTTTTGTGAAATGTTTCGTGACATCTTTTGCCTATATGCTAGTTGGATTGTTTGCTTTTTTTCAACTGTTGAAGTTAGAGAGATTTTTATACATTCCAGATACTAGTCCTTTGTCAGATATGTGGTTTGCAAATATTTTCTCCCAGTCTGTAGCTGGTCTTTTCATCCTCTTAACAGGATCTTTCATACAGGAAATACTTTTAATTTTGATGGAACTCAATTTATCAGTTTTTCCTTTCAGGAATCATGCTTTTTATGTCGTCTATGAACTCTTTGCCTAGCCCTAGATCCTAAAAGTTTTCTCCTATATTTGTTTCTAGAAGTTTTATATTTTATGTTTTACCTATAAGTCAATGATCCATTTGAGTTAATTTTTATAAAATGTATGAGACTTAAGTTGAGGTTCTCTCTCTCTCTCTTTTTTTTTTCCTATAATGCCCAATTGCTCCAGCACCATTTATTGAAAAAGCTATCCTGGGAGGGCCAGTTGCATTTTAAAAGGTATTTTTATACTTTTAGAGAACCCCTAGAATTTCTGTATATATACCGAAGTTTTAAAGAAAAGTCTATCTTTCCTCCATTGAATTGCATTTGCACCTTTGTCAAAAATCAGTTGAGCATATTTGTTGGTCTATTTCTAGATTCTTTACTGTCTTATTAATCTACGTGTCTATTCATATGCCAATACCACACAGTTTTGATTACTCTGTGTGTGTGCATAAATCTACTTGATTTTCTTTCTTTTTATTTTATTTTATTTTATTTTTTTGGAGACAGAGTCTCACTTTGTTGCCCAGGCTGGAGTGAAGTGGCGCAATCTCGGCTCACTGCAACCTCTGCCTTCCGGGTTCAAGCGATTCTCCTGCTTCAGCCGCCTAAGAAGCTGGGACTACAGACACCACCTTCGGCTAATTTTTGTGTTTTTAGTGGAGACAAGATTTCACCCTGTTGGCTAGGCTGCTCTGCAATTCCTGAGGTCAAGTGATCTGCCTGGCTCAGCCTCCCAAAGTGCTGGGATGATAGGCATGAGCTGCCGCGCCCAGCCAATTTTCAAGATTTTCTTTCCTTTTTCTTTTTCTTTTTTTTTTTTTTTTGAGACAGAGTCTCGCTCTGTCGCCCAGGCTGGAGTGCAGTGGCGCGATCTCGGCTAACTGCAAGCTCCGTCTCTTGGGTTTACGCCATTCTCCTGCCTCAGCCTCCCGAGTAGCTGGGACGACAGGGGCCCGCCACCACGCCCGGCTAATTTTTTTTTTTTTTTTTTTTTTTGCATTTTTAGTAGAGACAGGGTTTCACCGTGTTAGCCAGGATGGTCTGCATCTCCTGACCTTGTGATCTGCCCGCCTTGGCCTCCCAAAGTGCTGGGATTACAGGCGTGAGCCACTGCGCCCGGTCAAGATTTTCAAGATTTACTGTACATAACAAAGGGAACCAAAACTGTTGCTGTGCAGGACAGCTGTGAATGTGAACATAGGTGGTGGCTACTGGTTCCAGTATGCATGCGTATATGTCTGTCTATACACATACATATATATGTGCATAGTCATGTACCATATAACATTTTGGTCAACCATGGGCTGCATATATGATGGTGGTGCCATAAAATTATAATACTGTGTTTTTACAGTAACTTTTCTATGTTTAGATACACAAATATTTACTATTATGTTACAATTACCTACAATATTCAGTACAGTAACACTCTGTACAGGTTTATAGCCTAGGAGCAATAGGCTGTACCATATAGCCTAGGTGTGTAGCAGGCTATAATATCTAGGATTGTGTACGTGCTCTCTATGATGTTGACACTATTATGAAATTGCCTTATGACTCATTTCTCAGAAAGTATTTCTGTTAAGTGACACATGACTATATATATATATATACACACAAAGTCTTAAAATCTGGTTTGAAATCAAGTAGATTGATATCTACCACTTTATACTTTTTAATTCAAAATTGTTTTAGCTATTCTAATTCATTTACCTTTCCATATAAATTTTAGAATAATTTTGTTTATATCTACAAAAAATCTCTCCAGGATTTTGATAGGAAATGCATCAAATATGTGTCTCATTTTAGGAAGAATTGACATTTTTACTATGTTGAGTCTTCCAATCCATTAACATGGTATGTTTCTCATTTATTTAGATTACCTTTGATATCTTTCATCAGCATTGTGTCATATTCACCATACTAGTCCAGAACTGTTTATTGTTTTGTACCTAAGCATTTCTCTAAAGAAAAAATTTGTCAATTTTATTGATTTTTTTCAAAGAAACAACTCTTTATTTTGTAGATTTTCTCTATATTTTGTATTCTAACTTTTGTTTATTTCTACCCTTTATTATTTCCTTCCTACTGCTTGCTTTGGGTTATTTTGTTCTTCTTTTTCTAGGTTTGTGAGGTGAGAGCTTGTTGATTTCAGACTTTCCTCTTTCCTCATGTTTTCATTTAGAGCTATAAACTTCCTTCAGTACTGTTTTAGCTTCTCCTCATAAATTTTGATATATTGCATTGAATTTTCATTCAGTTCAATGTATTTTTAAATTTCCCTTGTGTCTTCCTTTGATCCATGGATTATATGGAAGTGCATTGTTTAGTCTGCAAATGTTTGAGGATTTTCCTGTTATCTTTCTATTATTAATTTCTAGTTTTATTCTATGATAGTTGAAGAACACACTTTGTAGGATTTTATTATTTTGTATTTGTTGAACATTTTTGCAGCCCAGAATATGATCTACCTTGGTATCTCTCATGGCCACTTGAAAAGAATGTGTATCCTGCTAGAGTTGGGTAGAGTGTTGAATAAATGTTAATTAGATCATCTTTGTTGAAGATGCTACTGAATTCTTCTATATATCCTTACTGATTTTATGTCTAGCTCTTCCATCAATTATTGAGATAAGATTACTGTGATCTACAAGTATAATATTGAATTTATCTATATTTCTTTTCAGTTTTAGCTTTATGTATTTTGCAGCTCTGTTGTTTGGTGCATGTACATTTGGGACTGATATGTCTTCCTTGTGTATTGATTCCTTTATTATTATATTCTGCTCTGTCTCTTGTGTTTTTTATCCTCTGCAGTATACCTTATCTGATATTCAAATAGCCGTATCTGCTTTTCATTGATTAATACTTGCATGATATATCTGTTTTCATCTTTTTACTGTCAACCTGCTTATAGTGTTACATTTGAAGTGAGGTGGTTTGTTTTTTGTTTTTTTTTTTGAGACAGGGTTTCACTCTGTCACTGAGGCTGGAGTGCAGTGGCATGAGCTCAGCTCACTGCAGCCTCCACCTTCCAGGTTCAAGCAATTCTTCCACCTCAGCCTCCTGAGTAGCTGGGACTACAGGCGTGTGCCACCATACCTGTCTAATTTTTGTATTTTTTGTAGTGACGGGGTTTCACCATGTTGCCCAGGCTGATCTCAAACTCCTGAGCTCAAGCAATTGGCCTGCTTAGGCCTCTTAAAGTGCTGGGATTATAGGCATGAGCCACCACGCCCAGCCTGAAGTGTTTCTTGTAGACAGCAAGTTTGGTCATGTTTTTAAATCCATTCTGTCAATCTCTATCTTTTAATTAGTGTGTTATACAATTTATATCTAATGTAATTCATGATGTGTTAGACTTAATTCTGCCATTTTATTTTTTGTTTTTTTTGTTCTGTTTTCTGTTTTTCATTTTTTAGAATTTTATTTTGATTTCTCTATAGTATTTTTGAGAATATCTCTTTGTGTAGCTTTTTATGGAGTCTTATTACAGTCTACTAATATCGTCACTTTACCAGTTCATATGAAGCATTGTACCCTTACCTCTCTTTACTTATGTTTATCCTCCTCCATTCTTTGCCATCTTCCATATATACCATATAGTTAAGAGAATTACATATCCTGTGATATAATTATCTTAACTATTTCCTCTACATACATTTAGAGCAATGTCAGACAGTTTTATTTTCTTTCACCATTAAAATATAATTTTAAAAATTCAAGAGGAGAAGGAAAGCCTAGTATATCTACATATATTTTCACTTACCATGTTCTTTCTTCCTGATGTTTCAAAGTTCCTTTTTTAAAAAAAATTATTTACTTTCTTGTTTAGAGAACTTTTTAAGCCATTCGTTTGGAGTATGTCTGCTGGTGACAAATTCTATTAGCTTTCCTCATCTGAGATATCTTGATACTCCCTTCATCCCTGAAGAATATTTTCAGTAGGCATAGGATTCTCAAGTGACAGCTCTTTCAGCACTTGAAAAAGATTGTGCCATTTCCTTCTGGCCTATATGGTTTTGATGAGAAATGTACTCTCATTTGAATTGTTTTTCCCTACAGATAAAGTATAATTTTTCTCTAGTTACTTTCAAGAGTTTGTCATTAGTTTTCAGAAGCTTAGTTTATGGTTATCTTGGAATCAGAAGCTTAGTTTAATTATGGTGGAATGAATCTTTTTGGATTAACCCTGTTTGGGGTTCACTAAGCTACTTGAATCTGTAGGTTTATGTCTCTTGACAAATTTGGGAAGTTCTCAATCATTATTTCTTCAAATACTTTTCCAGCCTTGCTGTCTTTCTCCTCTCATTCTGGAACTCCAGTGATAGGAATGTTAAATCATTTGTTATAGTTCCATAAGGCTCTGCTCATTTTTTTCAGTGTATTTTTCTCTCAATTGTTCAGTTGAATAATTTCATTGTTCTGTTTTCCAGCTCCAGTTTTGCTTCTTCTGTCTCCTCCATTCTGCTGTTAAACCTATATACTGAACTTTTTACTTTTGTTATTGTACTTTTTAGTTCTACAATTTCCATTTGGTTCTTCTTTATATCTTCTTTTTTTTTTTTGCTGAGACTTTCTATTTATTCATATATTTCAAGTATGTTTGTAATTATTCATTGAAGCATTTTATCGTAGCTATTTCTCTTTCATCTAAGCATTGTCATCTATTTTTAAAATTATTTTTTAAATTGACAAACACAAGTTGTATACATTTATAATGTGCAACATGTTGTTGTGTTTATATGTGTATATACACAATATGTATACATTGTGGAATGACTAAATCAAGTGAACTAACATATTCATTACCTCATATATTTATCATCTTTTGTGGTGAGAAAACATGAAATCTACTCTCTTAGCAATTTTCAAGTATACAGTACATTGCTAGTAACTATAAGCACCATGTTGTAAATCGATTTATTGAATTTGTTCTTCCTGTCTAATTGAAAATTTTTTTTTGAGACAGAGTCTTGCTCTGTTGCCCAGGCTGGAATGCAGTGGCACGACTTTGTCTCACTGCAACCTCCGCCTCCCTGGTTCAAGCGCTTCTTGTGCCCCAGCCTCCCGAGTAGTTGGGATTACAGGTGTGCACCACCATGCCCTGCTAATTCTTGCATTTTTGGTAGAGACAGGGTTTCACCATGTTGTCCAGGCTAGTCTTGAACTCCTGACCTAAGGTGATCTGCCCCCCTTGGCCCCCCAAAATGCTGGGATTACAGAGGTGAGCCACTATGCCCAGACCTAACAGAAATTTTATCCTTTAGCCAACATCTCCTCAATTCTCCCTCCTGCTCCCATCATCTTTCAATTGTCTTTTTTATTTGGTTCGAGATCTTGCTGGTTCATAGAATGACGAATGATTTTTTTATGGAAACCTGGAAATTTTCCTGTTATGTTATAAGGCTCTGCATTTTATTTAGACCTTCTGTTTCATGTGGCTTTCTCTAACACCACCATGGCGGGGGAAGAAAAGGTACTGCCTTGTTACTGCTAGGTGGAGATAGAAGTCCAAGTTCCCTTGTTGGTCTCCATGGACACTTGAGGGGGCGCTGTGTTAAATTGTGCAGGAATGGGAGCGCCTCTGTGGTCACCACTAACCACAGTGGGGAGGGCCCTTATTACCAGCTGGTAAGATTGAAGGTCATGGCCCCTATTCTGCTTTCTCTGACATCATTCTTGTGGAGGAGTTTGGAAGGCGTGCTATAGCCTGGCTAGGGTGAAAGTTGAGGCTCCCCACTTGGCCTTTTCTGGTGAGAGTGTGGGTGGGGTCACAGTTTCTCTGTGGTACTTGGCTGCAGTAGAGTGCTTATTATCTAAAAGTTTTTGTCGTGTTAGGCTGTCCCCTTCCTGGTCCTTTGGCTAGAGAGAATAGGCTTTTGTTGAGACTGTTTTTGCCTCTGCACTTTTTGGTGTGTCCAGGTTACTGGCTTCTTCAGCTCCAAGCCTGGAACATATGAGGCAAAAATAAAATCCAGAGAATTAATCACTGTGTTGTTCCTAGGCTTCTGAGATCTCTGGGCAGTCTTCCTTTCTCTCTCCATCTTTTAGAGTTGTCTTATGCTTGTTTTATATATAATGTCTAAGGTTTGGGGTTGTGCTTAGGGGGAATAGAGAAAAGTATGTCTACCCCTTCTTTTTGAAAATAGAAATTCTTTCTGCCCCGTTTTTACTTACACCTCTTAACCAAAGCAAAAACCCACTAAAATTTCAGTATCTTTCCAACTTTCAGCGTAACTCATCAACATTTTTAAGCGATCAAAATCCTTTGCTAATAGAACGTCTCCATGAGATATTTTGGGCCCATCTTTCCAGAGAGCTAATCAGGCCTGAGTTATTCAAGTATCCTTTCTGGGTAAATCTGTTATCACAGTAAAATTAACCCCATCAAAGGATGTTAAATCTCCACAGTTCAAAGAGGGAAGATAGTTTTACACTCCGAATGGCTGTCCTAAAAACACCAAAATGCCCAGCTGTTGGGTCTTGCTTTACCACGTCAAAACTCCGACTGGTGGCTGGTGATGTCCCCAAATTAAGTATCTGCAGCCCACATCCCACTTTTTAGATTTGATCTCCTGGAGATGTGGCCTGAATTCCTATTATGTTTCTTTCAGCAAGGCAAGTGACCAAAATCAAATCAGAAACAAATCTCTGAATATTATTAATAAAGAAGTTTCCTTTGAACTAGAGTCTTTTTAACTGTGTTTCCCAGAGATTTCCTGTGCAGCTTCAAAAGGAGTTCATGTCCAGTTTGATTAAGACTTTATCTCAAATCCTAATGGAGACAGCCATTTTCTCAGAATACCCATAAGCATGAATGTTAGCCAGTTATATAGCCTTGTAAAAAAAAGCAACATAACCTCTCCTTGGGATCCACACTAGTAAAATGATTTTCTTCATTAGAAGTGAGAGGCAGCTATTTATCCAGCTCTGAACCCTGTGGCAGGAAAACTTCTGGAAACCCAGATAACTTTTCTGTTGGTACCATGTTTGCTGTTAGGTTCGTCCTGATATTGAACAAACATGGACAAAATGCTGTGTGTTGCAACCAGATAATATATTGTCTTTTATTTCACTATTATTTTAGTTATTTGGGGATTTGGAGAAAGAGGATGGGGTAGGGGATGGTTAATGGAGACAGATGGTCAATGCAATTATCACTTGAAAAACAGGTTTGTCCTTCAAAAATGACAACAGTGGACTCTCAATGGCAGGTGAAATTTGAAAAAGGATTAGGAAAGGATTACCTAAGAGAAAAAGAACAGGTGCATCCAGGGTGCTCCAGTGAGTGGGGAGGGTGAATGACACCCTCAAAATAGTCCTTTTGCATTTCAGTTCTATTTGTACTCTGGACTTTGACAATGGTCAGTGCTGGGTGAGTTTGGGCTCATCTTAAAGATGGGCAAAAGATAGAATGAGCAAAGAAGTTTCCCTCCATTCTTTGAAGGGAAAACAGAACTTAAAGATCATATGTTGTACTTTTGGCCGGGCGCGGTGGCTCACACCTGTAATCCCAGCACTTTGGGAGGCCAAGATAGGCGGATCACGAGGTCAGGAGATCGAGACCATCCTGGCTAAAACGGTGAAACCCCGTCTCTACTAAAAAATACAAAAAAATTAGCCGGGCATGGTGGCAGGCGCCTGTAATCCCAGCTACCGAGGAGGCTGAGGCAGGAGAATGGCGTGAACCCGGGAGGTGGAGCTTGCAGTGAGCCGAGATTGTGCCACTGCACTCCAGCCTGGGTGACAGAGCAAGACTCCGTCTCAAAAAAAAAAAAAAAAAAAAAAAATCATATGTTGTACTTTTTAGTGAAAAGATGTACAGATGTACCTGAAGAAAAGGCAGGAAACCGACAACTTTCAAAGCTCTCCACTCTGCGTGAGCCCCAGTTCTCCTCTTCCCGACCCTGGGAATAGGTAGGGAAAGAATATTAACTATCTGGGGAAGGTGGCTGTAAAGTCAAGGCAAGAATTTCTATAAGAGAACTTATCAAGGAGTATTATGGATGGAAGTGATCATCTGGCCCATACTCATTAAACAAATGAAGAGACTGAACCGTAAGTGATGCAATGACCTGCCTAAGGTCACGACAAGTTATTGGCAAAGTCACAGCTGGAAATCAGGGAGTCAGGTCCCTTTTATCCACCCCAGCCCTTTTCTTTATGCTATGAGTAGTGCTATTTTGGCTAGGCACGATGGCTCAAGCTTATAATCCCACCACTTTAGGAGGATGAGGAAGGAGGATTGCTTGAGCCCAGGAATTTGAGACCAGCCTGGGCAACAACGTAGTGAGACCCTGTCTCTACAATAAATAAATAAATAAATAAATACGTGTGTGTGTGTGTGTGTGTGTGTGTGTGTGTGTGTGTGTGTATCCAGGAAGAGTGGTGGCTTGCATCTGTAGTTCCAGCTACTTAGGAGGCTGAGGCAGGAGGATTACTTGAGCCCAGGAGTTTGAGGCTGCAGTGAACTATAATTGTGCCATTGCATTCCAGCTTGGGCAACAGAGTAAAACCCTGTCTCAATTTTTTTTTTTAAAAGAGTAATACTATCTTAACAGGCTTGGCCTATGTCTTTCCCTTAAAAGCTGAAAGATGGGAACAGAGGGTTCTGAGCCTACATTCTGTTCAGCAGAGGGACTCCTTGAGGAGCTCCAGGTTTTATAGTACTGCACTCCCACCTGCAGTACCAATGGCCCCTGCTCTCCTGCTATTGCCAGATGTTGGGAGAGGGGGATCTGTAGGGGACCTCTGGGAAAGATAACAGCGATAAAATAATAACAACTACTTATTGAGTGCTTTGTCCATGCCAGACACTGGGCGAAGTGGGCATTTTACAGGCATTATCTCATTTGATTCTCATGATAATCTTGTGAGGCAAGTATAATTATCGTTCCCATTTTGCAGATGAAAAACTGAGGTTCAAAGGGGTTATGTAACTTGCCCAAGCTTATATACCCCCAAAGTAATTGACAGAAATAGAATTTGCACCTATCTCTGTCTGGCTCCAAACTTCAAGCTTTAGACCCTGTGTTGTGTGACTTCTCAAGGCGGACTTCACTCTGAGCTCCCCAAGTCACAGGAGAAATTTGGGTGGCTGCTTAACTCACATACACAAAGGAAATGAAATTTGACATATACTGGCTTTGCTGTTTCTGGATGGAGGTGGTTAGTGGGAAGGTTGATGTCTCTGGAGGGCACTGAGCTCCCAAGAGATGGTACTGGGCACTCTGGTGTGACCTTGAAAACACGATGGCTGCACAGTCCAGCTCCACTCTGACTGTGGCTGACTTGGTCTCTGGGATGTGGCCCAGCAGAGCTCCCTGAAGGCAGAACTTTGGGTAGGTGACGTTTGTCACATGTCTCCATTCCTTTCCTACGTAGGGGTTGCCCACTCTGGGCCAAACCCCATTTTCCTTCCTATGATCTCCAAGATTTTAGCTCCCTTCTATCAGTGATTCCCAAGCACAGCTGCCCACTATAATAACCTAGGAAGCCTTTTTAAAATTATTAGTATCTGGACCACATTTCAAGAGATTCTGATTTAATTATTCTCAGTTGTTTCCCAATTAAGGTTGCCAGATAATATATAGGATGCTCAGTTAAATTTTAATTTCAAATGACAATGAGTAATTTTTAGCATAAATATGTCACAAATATTACATGGGCCATATTTATACTAAAACATGATTTGTTGTTTATCACAGATTTAAATTAACTGGGCATCCTGTATTTTCACTAGAAAAATTTGGCAATCCTATCCCCAAGTGATTCTGATGTACAGGCACAGGCTGAGAATCTGCCATATGCGATCCACAGTCCTTGCAAATGCACCTATGCATTACTCTCCGCTTCACTACCTCTGGCCAGGGCAGCAAATGCATGCATTTTCTTAGGGTCTTCTGTGAATAATGGCCTAGTGTCTGCCCTTTAACTCAGCAGTGGGGCTGATCATGTGAAGGGGAAGACAGACACCGTGAGAAGTCACCGTGGGTGCACATAGGAGGTTGGTAATGTCTGATAAATAACTAGAGGTTCTGCCTACTCCCTGGGCTGGTCCTGTGTGGAGTTCTCAGTAATTGAACAATGCTTATTGGGTAGCTACTCTATGCATGATGCTTGCTAGGCCATGCAGGGGATGCTGTGGATGCTCTAGAAGAACTCAACCTGGGAAGGGAGAATCTGAGTTTCCTTTACTAGAAATTTTAATCTACAATCTAACAGGGATTAGATTAGAACAAGTACCCTTTTATGCACATAAACCCAATTAGTAAGACTGCATACACTTATACCCAACCAACAGGTGACTGGACAGAACTGAATGAAGATATGTGCATTGTAAACAGGAAGAAGGAATGTCTTGCCATTTCAGGATGGAGACCAAGAAGAGCTCCAGCTCTACCACTTACTAGCTATGCCATCTGGGTCATAGTATTTATTTTTCTTCAGTCTCCATGTCTTCATCTGTAAAATGAGAATGATGATAATAGGTCATGGCGAGATTATGAGGGTGAAATGAAACTGCATGGAGTATGGGTGCTGGAATACCAGCACACCTTAGAGATGCTATAGTTTTGGGGTTTTGATTCCAGACCACCTTCATAAAACAAATATCACAATAAAGCCGCTTACATGAATTTTTTGGTTTCCCAGTGTACATAGAAGTTATGTTTACATTATACTGTATTTTATTAAGTGTACAGTAGCATTATGTCTAAAAAATAAATGCACAAACCTTAATTAAAAATACTTCATTGTGGCCAGGCACAGTGGCTCACACCTGTAATCCCAGCACTTTAGGAGGTCGAGGTGGGCGGATCACTTGAGGTCAGGAGTTAAAGACCACCTGGCCAACATGGCAAAGCCTTGTCTTTACTAAAAATACAAAAATTAGCCAGGCTTGGTGGTGTGCACCTGTAGTCCCAGCTACTGGTGAGGCCGAGGCAGGAGAATCACTTAAACCCAGGAGGAGGAGGTTGCAGTGAGATCATGACCCTGCACTCCAGCCTGGGCAATAGAATGAGATTCTGCATCAAAAAAAAAAAATAATAAAAAATAAATAAATAAATAAATAAATAAATAAATATAAATAAATAAAATAAAACAAAAAAGAAAGAAACTTTATTGCTAAAAAATTCTAACAATCATCTAAGCCTTCAGGGAGTCATAATCATTTTGCTGGTGGAGGGTCTTGCCTCAATGTTGATGGTTGCTGACTGATCAGGGTGGAGTGGCTGTGGTAATTCCTTAAAATAAGACAACAACAAAGTTTGTTGCATTGATTGACTCTTCCTTTCACAAAATATTTTTCTGTCGTATGTGATGCTGTTTGATTGCACTTTACCCACGGTAGAACTTCTTTCAAAATTGGAGTCAATCCTCTTAAACCCTGCCATGGCTTTTTCAACTAAGTTTATGTAATATTCTAAATACTTTGTTGTCATTTCATTATTGTTCACAGCATCTTCACCAGCAGTAGTTTCACTCTCAAGAAACCACTTTCTTTGCTCGTCCAGAAGAAGCAACTCCTCGTCTGTTCAAGTTTGATCATGAGATTGCAGCAATTCAGTCACATCTTCAGGCTCCACTTCTAATTAGAATTAGAAGAATTCCTTCGCTATTTCCACCACATCTACAGTTACTTCCTTCACTGAAGTCTTGAACCCCTCAAAGTCATTCATGAGGATTAGAATCAACTTCTTCCAAACTCCTGTTCATGTTGATATTTTGACCTCTTTTTATGAATCACAAATACTCTTAATGGAGTCTAGAATGGTGAATCCTTTACAGCAGGTTTTCAATTTACTTTGCCCAGATCCATCAGAAGAATCATGATCAGTGGCAGATACAGGTTTATGAACTAATTTCTGAAATAATGATTTGAAAGTTGAAATTACTCCTTGATCCATGAGCTGAAGAGTAGATGTTGTATTAGCAGGCATGAAAATAAGATTAATCTCCTTGTACATCTCCATCAGAGCTCTTGGATAACCAGGTGTATTGTCAATGAGCAGCAATATTTTGAAAGGAATCTTTTTTTTTTTTCTGAGCAATAGGTCTCAACAGTGGGCTTAAAAATATTCAGTAAACAGATGTGCTGTTATCCAGGCTTTATTGTTTCATTTATAGAGCACAGGCATAGAGATCTAGCATAATTCTTAAGGTCCCTAGAATTTTCAGAATAGTAAATGAGCACTGGATTCAACTTAAAGTCACCAGCTGCACTAGCTCATCAGCCTCTATCTAGACAGTCAGCCCGGCTTTTGAAGCTTTGAAGCCATGTATTGACTTGTTCTCTCTATGACTTATTTAACTATGAGAGTCCTAGATAGCATCTTCTTCCAATAGATGGCTGTTTCATCCACATTGAAAATCTGTTGTTTCACGTAGCCACCTTTATCCATTATTTTAACTGGATCTTCTCAATAACTTGCTGCAGCTTCTACGTGTTATGGAGATGGCTATGTTATTATGGAGATGGCTTCTTTCCTTAAATTCATGAACCAGTCTCTGCTAGCTTCCAACTTTTCTTCTGCAGTTTCGTCACTCCTGTTAGCCTTTATAGAATCGAATAGAGTTAGGGCTGCTTTGCTCTGGATTAGGCTTTGGCTTAAGGAAATGTTCTGACTGGCTTGATCTTCTATCCAGACCACTAAAAACTTTCTCCATAGCAGCCATAAAGCTGTTTCACTTTCTTATTATTCACATGTTCACTGGAGTAGCACCTTTAATTTCCTTCAACAACTTTTCCTTTGCATTTACAACTTGGCTAACTGGTACAAGAGGCCTAGCTTTCAACCTATGTAGGCTTTGTCACTAAGGTTAATCATTTCTAGCTTTTAATTTAAAGTGAGATACATGTGACTCTTCCTTTTACTTGAACACTTACTTGCCATTGTAGGGTTATTAATTGGTCTAATTTTAATATTGTTGTGTCTCAGGTGATAGGGAGGCCCCAGTAGAAGGAAAGAAATGGGAGAATAGCTGGTCCGTGGAGCAGTCAGAACACACACAACATTTGTTGATTAAGTTTGTCATCTTTTGTGGGTGTGGTTCTTGGTGCCCCAAAAATTACAATAGTAAAATCAAAGATCACTGACCACAGATCACCATAACAGATATAATAATTATTTGAAAGTTTGAAATATTTTGAGAATTACCAAAATGTGACACAGAAACACAAAGTGAGCACATGCTGTTGGAAAAATGGCGCCAATAGACTTGCTCAATGCAGGACTGGCACACATTTTCAATTTGTGAAAAATGCAGCGTCTTGGGAATGCAATAAAGCAAAGCACAATAAAATGAGATGTGCCTGTACTAAGCATGCTATAAATACTAGCTCTTACAATGACAGCATCTCTAAGACAATATGGGACCATATTACCCATGTTTATAATGCACTCAAAAGTGTCCATGTCCAAAGAATTTAAGAATAAAGCTACCAAGAGAAGACCTTTTTTTAACACCAGTTTAGTCTAGGATTTGATAGAGCCTAAATCTTTGAAGACTGTGAAACGTGACACAGGAAATGGAGAAGAATTTCCCAATTCTAGTCTCCCTGTTTGGTATTTTCCACTAAATTTTACTTTCACAATGATGCAATAACTATCGAAAGTCTAGAGCAGGTTCTTGCAACTGTATGCCAACATGTTATTCTCATGTGCCTGCCTGTCTGGGATGGGTGTTTTTAGGGTGTAGTTATATGGAAATAGCCTCTGATTATGTTTCTGACTTTTCCAGGTAGGTTATAATTTCATACAGTTGTTTTGACGTGACTCTTTGGCAAGGCACACATATCTGTGAGATCTTCAGAACACTGAATTAGAATGACATGAAAAATTTTAAATTATTCTAATACATGATGTAGTGTGTCTTGATACTGTTTTGTTTTGTTTTGTTTGAGACAGAGTTTCACTATTGTCACCCATGCTGGGGTGCAATGGCATGATCTTGGCTCACTGCAACCTCCGCCTCAGCCTCCCGAGTAGCTGGGATTACAGGCATGCACCACCATGACTGGCTGACTTTGTATTTTTAGTAGAAATGGGGGTTTCACCATACTGGCCAGGCTGGTCTCAAACTCCCGACCTCAGGTAATCCTCCCGCCTCAGCCTCCGAAAGTGCTGGGATTATAGGCTTGAGCCACCGTGCCTGGCCTTGGTACTGTTGTAACATGCAAAGGGTCAGCTGTATGCAAACGAAAGTTAATTTCCAGTATAAGCAAGGAGAAAGAAAAGGAAAACATGAAAGCAAACCATTCCTCACTTTTATGACTATTTCTGCAGTGTGTGGAGAGGATATAGTCGTCTTTCTGTATAAATCCTGCTACTCAGGCCCTAATTTGAGTTTACATTTCATTGTCTGAAAGACACAGCAGTTAAGGGGCCTGTTTTTGTATATACATCTGCATGTGTATGCCTGGGTATGAAATAAGTCCTGTGAGGGTGGAAGGTTTTGGCTGTTTGCTCACTGCTGTGTCCCTGCACCTAGAACAAGCCTGGCACACAGGAGACTCTCAACATCCTCTGATGGAATGAATTAACGTGTATGTAGAGTATGTGCTCCTGGATCTGTTATCCCAGATAAACATACTCACTTCAGTGCTCATCAACTTTTTCACCCATGAGAACTGTGCTTTGGATAAGGAAAGGGAGAAGGACAACTTATAGGCTACAGGTAGGAGAGACAGAAAAAAGAGAAAGAGAAAATAGACTCCAGAGGTGAGGACAGGGTGGGTGGTAGGCAGGTGTCCAGGCAGAAGGTCAGGAACTAGAAGCAGCAGATTTTGTATATCCCCCAATGTTGGGTGGGAGGCTGTCTTCCAGATTATTCAGTCCAGGAGTCCTAGGCCCCTAGACTAGGAATGAGGCTTCTTCAACTTTTCTTTCTTTCTTTTTTTTTTTTCTTTCCAAAAAAGAACCAATGGGAAGCAGTCTTTTCCAGAGATGAGGCTGATTGGGTGACCTAAAATGCCAATCTTTTTGCCTTGGGCTAGAATTTTACCAGCTCGATGTGGTCACAATAGTTCTCCCATGCTGTTCCAAATACTTCTGGGCAGTGACATCCCAGTCTGCCATTCATGAACATAAGAGAGATGAATTAATGAAGCTTTCTGGAATGGTGGAGAGAGGTAGACTCTGTGGCAATGGAATACTCCCTTCATCAGCGAGGACACCGAGGCACCAGATGACTAGATTGTTTATTCAAAATTACACAGTGGTTCAGTAGAAGAGTTGGCCCAAAGCCCTGGTCTTCTAATTTCTTCTCCCATTTTCTTGTCATTTTTGTTTTTGTTTTCCCTAAAAATCTTCCAGGACTTTTGTAGCCTGATTCTATCCTGACATGCACACCATTGTTTTTTGTTTTTTGAGATGGGGTCTCACTCTGTCACCCAGGCTGGAGTGCAGTGACGTGATCTCGGCTCACTGCAAGCTCTGCCTCCCGGGTTCAAGCAATTCTCCTGCCTCAGCCTCCAGAGTAGCTGGGATTATAGGCGTGCGCTACTATGCCTGGCTAATTTTTTTGTATTTTTAGTAGAGATGGGGTTTCACCATCTTGGCCAGGCTGGTCTCAAACCCCTGACCTTGTGATCTGCCCGCCTCAACCTCCCAAAGTGCTGGGATTACAGGCATGAGCCATCGCGCCCAGCCACGCACACTACTCTTCACGGTTTCAAAAGTTTCTTCATATATACCCCTTCAGCAAGGCAAGCATTGTTCTTCCCACTTCGTCGATGATAACACGGATTATCTGAGAGGTTAAGTGACTTATACAAGTTCAGCTAGCTGATAATCAGGAGGAAAACCCTTTGCCACTTGCAAACTACCTTGCCCCTTCATCTCTTGATGCCTAATATTTTACCATTAGAATTTTATTCCTTAAAGCTTAAGGCACTGGTCATCTTTAATTCCAAACGCCTCCAGGGAAAGTCATATTTAAGCTAGTCAGTCACTGATACCTGCCACTTTAATGTACATAAATTTAGAGACTTTTGCTGAATTAATTAAAAAATATGGAGATGTTAAAGAACTGGGGCCTGAAAGACTGAGAAGACACTCTAGAATGGGGGAGATGTGAGAAAAGCTCCATCTGACTTCTAATTTAGTCTCAGGCCACTGCCTTCACCGCCTGGTGATTTCTGAAAATTCTTCATTAGAGGCATCTTATAACACAGGAGACCCATCTTGTCACCAGATCTGTCACCAGCAGTAAGGACAGGGGACAGGGCAGCTGAGTCTCTGCACTTTTTTGTAATGGAACCTCAACCATCTGGCTCAATGGGTTTCTGGCTTCTCCATGGAGACAGCATTTAGATATTTAAACTTTAATGTGAGTGACTCAGGAATAGTTTTGCAGACAGCATCAAATGCCTCTTCTCACCACTGGAACGAGAAGCCATGAACGGCCGGCACCGAGGCTCTGACCAGGCAGGGAAGGGCATTCATGCCTTTGACTCGTGACCTAAGCCCCAGTATTATGCCATGCATGTGCTAGGTGCCAGGGCCTGGGGATGCTAGGAGGAGCAAGGTGTGCTTCCTGCCCTTGATGAGCTCATAGTCTAATAAGCCCTCTAAGTACTGGGTGTTGGACAGGAGAAGCCCAGGAGTCTGCTGAACCAGGAAGAGGCTGCCAGACTCACAGTTCTGGGAGAAAGGAGGGCAGAGTCCAGGAGAGCTGAGATAATGCCTCCAGGAGCAGGTGACACCCAGTGAACTCCACTGTAGGGCGGAGGCTACTTATCCCCTGCCCATGTCTATACCCACTGGTGAGTGTGTGGGTGGTGGTGGGTGGTATGGGCAGTGGTTAGAGGAGGCCTGGTCAGCACTTTTAGGCCATGGGAGAGGCAGAGTCTCACAGTTCTCCTTGTTCCTACCATTCTGCTTGTGTCTTACAGTTCCTAACCCTCTATTCTTGGGCCTTCTACAGGGCCACTCCTTTCTAACAAATGAAAGCAAGAGTCAGGCCCCCAAGGAGAAGGAGCTGTGAGCCAGTTCCTCATCTCACTGCCAGATGATTCCTTTCCAAAAGGGAAAGGTACCCAGGAAAACTGTGGCTGGGAAAGCTCTGAGAATTAGGACTCAAGTGACAAGGGAGGGGACAGAAGAGCTCTTCATGGTGTTTGCCAAGTCTGAGTACAAAGATCACAGGGCAAAGAGTAAGAAAGAATCTGACTAGGACATTTTGGCAAGGTCCAAGGAGAAACTAGAGGGTGGACGAGTGACGGATTTAGGCAGAAAAGGCTGGTGAGTGGGGAATAGATGAGGCAGGAAGAGCAAGGCTAAGGAACCCAAGAGAGCCAAAATGGTCCATGACAGAGGGAAGAGCATCCCATCCCAATGCAAGGTGGGTAGGTTTCGATGGCAACGCATCCATCGCCTTCTCAGTAATTAACCAGCCTCTGTGTACATAAAGACATAATTATAGGCCAAACAACTCCTTTGATGTAAGAGTATAGAACGTCTGGGGGGAAAGGGGCAAATAAAAGAAAGAACAATCTTGCTTTAATATACAAACAAGGTCCATGGAAAGGTATTGCCAAACAAGCAAATAAGCCAAACAAACAAATGAACAGAGTGTTGGGAAAGCAGGACCCAGGCCGACTGGGCACCCAAGATATCCCGGGCCCTCTGAGAGCATTCTAGCTGACTTCATTGGGCATTTCTGCTTTTCTTTCAAAGAGTTCACATGTGTTCTCATCAGAATGGCTGTATTCACATCCCCTACCTGTTCTATGCAGAAATTCTCAGCATTTCCAAAGGGGCCTGTTTACTTCTGGAATCAAAACCCCAAAGAAAGGGGGGGTTGCAAAGGGTTTGAATGGCTCCTCCTGGGAAGCAAATCTAATCGGGAATGGAGCTGAGCTTGTAACCCAGCATCCTGGATGCCTGTCCTGTGATATAACCCCTGAAACACCACTCTTTCTGTTGGGGCCAACTTTATTAGAGAAATCTGTTAATTGGGGAACGGAGCGGGAGAAGGGAGAGAGCAATGGGATGTTAATATGATTTAACACTTGATGGGCTCTGAAAACAAATAAGGAGGGGGCTTCGGGCTTTAGCTTGGCACATTCGTCGTTCCACATACGTGTTACCAAAATGAATATATGCAACTAAACTATATGCGAGACTCTGGGGGCACAGTAACACAGACTTTGTGAAACAAAAAGGCATTTCTCCTGCTTCCACTGTGTCTCTTGTGGTGCCATTGTCTGATGCTAAGAACTCACATAATAACAAAAAACAATGCCCCTATGATGGGGGGAAAACTTGATTTGGCACCAGCCGTGGTGTTTTCCATGGGAATGATGGTGGGGGCTGTGGCCGACTGTGGGAATAGTGCAAATCAGCACTTTTTTGTAGATTTTCTTCAAGCCATTGTTTATTTTGGCTTTGGTCAGATCCGTGGCCCAGCTTGAAGATTCCCACTGGGCTTTCTGAAACTCGCAGACCTATGAGAGATGGAACAGGGATAAATAAATAATTACAAAACACCCTTCCCCCACCATGGCACTCATGCATGCGTGTGCCTGTCTTGGTGGTGCATGTATGTTGCAGTACTATACATCTGACCCATGCCACCAATGGGCAATTAAAGAGAAAGCAAGGTTTTCTCTGGGCTTAGCTGGTTCATTGTCTCAGTACCATCTTTCATTTGGGGCAAGAGAGATCAGAGCTGTTTCACACAAGGGCCAGTTTTTGCAAAATGGCATTGGAGAAAGCTTGTTTGAAACTGTGCATACATGAGGTCTTCCTAACATTTTTAGATGTTTACAGGCATTTCAACACGAATAACTCAGGTTGTGGTTCTCACAGAAGCAAAAAATCAGTAATTGTTCTAATAATGGAAGATAAACTTTTTTTTTTTTTTTTTTTGAGACGGAGTCTGGCTCTGTCGCCCAGGCTGGAGTGCAGTGGCGCTATCTCGGCTCACTACAAGCTCCGCCTCCCGGGTTCACGCCATTCTCCTGCCTCAGCCTCCGGAGTAGCTGGGATTACAGGCATGCGCCACCACGCCCGGCTAATTTTGTATTTTTGGTAGAGACAGCGTTTCTCTATGTTGGTCAGGCTGGTCGCGAACTCCCAACCTCAGGTGATCTGCCCGCTTTGGCCTCCCAAAGTGCTGGGATTACAGGCGTGAGCCACTGCGTCCGGCCATCAAGAGTTTTTATGACAATGTGTATGAAGCTGCCTTTGAGTAGGGTGGCTGCATCGCACACCTCCAGGGGGCAGCATTGTCTTTGTCCTCTATATAAATGGTTCCCCTGGAGGAAAACTCCAGGTGACCTTGCAAAGTAACCATATTTAGATGGGCTTGTCATAGAGATATTTTCCAAGGAAGTGCAGAAGAGTCTTGTTCACTACATCTTGTTCCTTTCTTAGATACAAGTTACATCAGAATAGGGGACTCAGGCTCTTGCCTGGGTCTGGATTGGAAGAAAAAGAGCTTACCATGGGCCAGAGTGTGCTAAGTCAGATACAATACACAAGCATCTTATCACACATTTCAATGATGTGGAAACTTAGGCCAAGAGAGGTTAAGGGACTTGTCCAAGCTCACACAGTCTGTATGCAGCAGAGCTGGGATTTGAACCCTTTCCTATGGCACCCTAGAGCAGCCTTCAATCATCCCCTGACACCTCCAGTACTTCCCAGGGCTGGAAAGCATCCATGATTGCGGACAGCAGTGGCAGTGAAACAATGTCAGCTGGGGTAGGGGTTTTCAGAGGCAAAAGGTGGAATTCAGCTGGGGAGGGGGGTGGTTCCTGAGCTGCCACTTCTGCCTCTCAAATTAAAGGGAGCCAGGTGTGGAGGCATCCTGGTGTGAGCTTTGCACAGCTGAACCAAGGCTGGGCAGAGGAGTGTGGAGAGGGATGCTGACATCTCCTCCCACTTCTGGAAAATAACTTTGCATTTGAAGGGAGAAAGGCATGAGTAAATCTGTAACTCGGATTTGGACGGCCTGGGATTTCATTTGACTGTGTGAAGGCACACACAGGTGCCTCGCAAGTGTGTGCGTGATTACGTATGTATGTGTGTCTGTGAGTAGGAGTGTTTGTGTTGGGGGTGGGGGGATCTTCTGGTTACACACTGGTTCCCTTCTTCCCATTTGGATTGGGGAGCTTTTATTTATTTATTTTTAAGTCATAGCAGCCACCATGTATGGGGACCTAACTATGTGCCAGGCATTGTGCTGGACACTTTCTGAGGCATTATTTTTCTGTGAAAAAAGTAGTTTGTTTTTATGCAGGTGCACCCAGAGACATCAGGTATTTTTTTCCATTCCGGTTAAAAGACAGTGTTCTACTCTGTGGTAAGCCTTGGGGAGAGGCAGGGAAGCCTGCGGGGACGGGCAGGGGCGGTCCCTGCCTCGCTCGCTAGTCTCCACCTTTTATTTTGACCGGTCCGATGGCGACAGGCTCGCACTAGGACCCAGGCGCCAGAGTGCCTCCGTCTGTCCTGTAGGTTCATTCAATCTCCCATACACACAGACTCACAGCGAGACCGACACACACTCCCATACACTCACACACACAACTGCAGGCAGCGAGGCTCGGGAAGTCAGGCCGGCTTTTCGCCCCGGCGCCTTCTCTGCTCCAGCCGGCCGGGTCTCCCTGGGGGCCCGGAGCTCGGCCGGGCCGCGCAGCCCCGTTAGAGGACGAGCTCGGCGGACCCCCGCTCCTCCATGGGCAAACGCGGGCGGCCGCGCAAGGAGGCGCGCTGCGAGGGCGCGGGGCTGGCCCCCGCCGCGCCCCCGGCTGTGCCCCCCGCCGTGGCCGCGCCCCAGCCCCCGGCCCTGCCCGAGGACCCCGCTGGGGCCAAGCCCAGGTGCCCCTTCTCAGACATTTTCAACACCAGCGAGAACTCGATGGAGAAGCACATCAACACTTTTCTGCAGAACGTGCAGATTCTGCTCGAGGCCGCCAGCTACCTGGAGCAGATCGAGAAAGAAAACAAAAGTAAGTTTGGGGGCCCCTGCTCTTCCTCGGCGCCCGGTTCTTTCTTTCTCGCCCACTTGGGCGACCCCTGTTGCGAGCTCGGCCCGTCCCCCCCCCGCCCAACATACACATCCAGCCCTTGGCAGTAAAGCCGATGACACCGGAGAAAGGACACGCACGCACAAAGCTGCTAAAGATGTAACAAAGACGGGCGAGGGGGAGAGGGGCCTGTCGGTGCGTCGGTCTGTCCTCTCCGGCGGGCTGGGGCTGGGAGGATGGCCCAGCGGAGGAGCGGGGGAGTGTTGTTGTTTGCTGACAACTGAGCCGAGAGCTCATCTCTTTGAGGTCGCTTTTCTTCCTTTTTTTTTTTTTTTTTTCCGGAGCCTTCTCAGGCAGACAAGTGTTGTTTTTCTGTTGCTCGTTCCTGGGTGGGGTGGGGATTAGAAGCCGAAAGTTGGAAACCATAGGCAGAGCTCAGAGGTTCCAGAAAGAAAACACACAGACACACACTACAACAATAACAACCAAACAGCTCTCCACGGCGTGGGCTCGGCTCTGTCTCTCTCTCTCCCTCCTACTTCGCCTTTTTCCTTCCCTCTAGCAGCAGGACTGGGCTCAGGCCATCACGTCTACGGACACAGTCCCCCTGCACGTCCGTTGCCGTGGGGTGCCACCGCCGCCCCCCCCCCCCCAAAGAAGGAGGCCGGCGGGGCCAAGCAACGCCAGCAGCTCGCCCCGGACACGCCGTCCTGAGCCCGGGAAACTTGGCCGTGGGGACGCGGCTAGAAGGAAACTTTGGGATCTTTGAGAAACAATAGTTGGGGAAGAAGGTGTGGGCTGTTCTGTGCTTTTTCTTTATTTTCCGGGAGACGGCTCTTGAGTGAGCGCACAGGGCAAGCAAGGCAAACGCCTTCCTGGTCGATTTCTACTCCCCCCACCCGCCCACCCCCAGATTCACGTGGATAGTAGTGCGTGGGTGGGGGTGTGCTGGGAACCCCACCCTGGCCTGGCTTCTTTTTTGTATTTATTTGTTTCATTTTTGCCCCTACCAGCCAGGTCACCCAGCTTTCCCCAGGCAGTCGACTCAGCGCCCTAACGGGGGCACGCGTGTGCAGCGTATCCAGCACCGTCCTCAGAATAATAGCTGTGAAAAGGAGGAAGGGAACTAGGCAGACAGACCGACAGATAGGGGGAAACCGGGATGTTTAATGTGTCCGAACAAGTAGGAAGATCAATGAGGCGCGAGTGTGTGTGTGTACGTGTGCGCGTGTGTGTGTGAGAGAGAGAGAAAGAAAGAAGAAAGGTCCCGATTGCAACGTGTCAGATCTTGCAACCTTCCCCCCACCCAACACAACAACCCTCAGACACAAAAACACCATTGCTGACTGATACCCCAGGTCTTCAGGGTTAAAGGAACCGTGTGTTGGCAGCGCAATTGTGCAGACGCTGTAAGGCCAAAACGAGGATTTGTGTTGTGAGGTCGGTGGTGCGTTCTTTTCTTTCTCTTCTCGCCTGTTTTCCCGGAGTGCCTGGGTTGCGAGAAAGGCGCATCGCAGGCTGTGCAGCCGAATCGCTTCGCAATTATTCATGCTGGTCGGAGGGGGATGGGGCGCGGGAAGCTATGTGTGCATTTGTCTGGAGGGTAGTTTCTGAAAAGCCAGAGCTGGTGGGGAGCTGGGTGAAGACGTGGTTTTGTTTGGTGTGTTTGCTTTTGTTGCAGGGGGGAGGGGCGCGATTTCTTCAGCTACCCCCATCCCCGGCTACCAGTTCTCTGGAGTCTGTCCCGTGGCGTTGGCTCTGACTAGGGGTACACCCCATGAGGGCACGTTGGCAGTGTGTGGCAAACCTGGCTTGCCCCCCTACCCCAGCCACCCCCCCTCACCAGCGAGGTGTATGGAGGAGGCGGTCGGAGATTCCTCAGCGTCCCGCCCCCCACTTCGCACCCGCAGACAATCGGAGACCTCCCCCTGCCCCACCCCCCACCCCCCACCCCGCCGCCCTGGCCGCCGCCACCTCGTTGTTTACCCCGTGCCGGGGCTCCGGCGTGGCCACCAGTCACGTAAGCAGAGAGCCGGGCGCGCCGGGCTTGGGCTGCCCCGCGCGGGGCGGGCCCGTGGCGGCGTAACCGGGCTCCAGAGGCTGGTGAAGCCGAGGGGCTTCCTCCCAGCCCATCGCCCGAGGCGTCCGCCCTGCAAATCTGCCAGCCCCCGAGAGGGGTTTGGAACCTTAGCACCCAAGTCTAAGTCAACTTCATGTGCGTAATAAGTCCCTCGGCCCCGCAGCCCCCCTCCTCCGGCCGGCTCCCGGCGGGAGTATTTTTAGCTCTCTTGCTTCTTTTCGCCGCTGCTGTTTGGCTCTAAATGACGTGATGCCAACGGCCCCCAGATTTCCCCGAGAGCTTGGGGCGCCGCGCCGTGCCCAGTTTGGCTGCAGAGACCCCGCTCCAGGCCCTCGCCCCGTCCCCAACAGCTCGAACAGGCTGGGGTGACCTCCGGCAAACTCCGTGCGACCATCCGCCAGGCCCTCTGTTATCCCCCTTGCAAAGAGAAGCGGTCCACGGGGGCCACTTTATCCCACCCCCTCTCCTCCCCTCCTCCTGCCCGGTCTAGGTCTCTGGGTACGGAAAACGGCGGGCCCTACATCTGCCTCGTTTTATGGGGGGCGCTTCTTCGCGCTGGCGGCGCTCGTCGTTGTTTTCTGCTCGCTGCACACAATGCCCGCGCGTCACGGCAATCCGCGTGTGCACAGCAATAACGCGAGTCGGGGGGCGGGTCGTGCGTGCGCCCGGCTCGGGCACTGCGGGTCGCTCGGCGCGCGCGGGGCTTGTTTTGCTCCAGAGCTCTGCTTTCCGAAACGCTTACATCATTCAGTCGTTGGGGGAGGGAGAGGGATCTGGGCGTTCCGATAGGATTCCAGCATCTACCGGGTCCCTGGTTTCTGGAAGGAAGCAGGGACCCTAGCTTTTTAGTAGTTATTATTGGGGGTGGGGTTGGGTAGTTTGTTGTGTACGTCTTTTTTTTTTTTTTTTTCGGTCACTACTGCAAAAGGGCATCGTTGGCCGACTCAGGTGCACAACCTCCCCGCCTTCATTTCAGCGAGTTCCCCTATAATCACTTGATCTCGGTTTCTCCGCCTTCTCCTCCTCCCCCTCCCAGCTAGAGACACATGGTTTCCACATGGAGACAAACTTCTTTCCTCCGACTGGACTTGACCTAGCTGCGTCGTTCAGCCAATCGGCAGCTCCAGCCTCTTCTGACGTCACGCGTTGCTGGGGCCGGAGGCTGGGTGGGGGGTGGAGCCAGGCTGCAAGCCAGGAAATCTCTGGGAGCTGTAGTGCGGCCAGCTGGTCCAGTCTCTTCTTAAAGGGACGCTCTTCTGTCCGGAGATGAGTGTCGGGCCCCGATTCTCCATTTCGGGTTCGGTGAGACCTTTCTGAGATGCATGGTGGACCCTGGTCACGAGTTAACACGTTCCGTTTTTACTGCTGTTTGCGAAGTACTTACTTGGCAGGAGCTTGCCTTATTTTCCATCGTAGCCAGAACTGCTTTTCGTTCCCTTGTTGAGGTTTCCGTACTGGTAGTGTTCACCAAGTTGTGGCCACATGGCTGAATTACTTCCAGTGGAGAGGTTGAGTTTTCTTGGAGGAGGGGTTCAAATTAAGTCACATTGTTGACTGTCTGCTGTGTGCAAGGCAGGGGGGATTCCCTAGGAAAGGCAGGTACATTCTCCCAAAACTCCAACTGATGTGAATCTCTACGGATCACAAATTGAAGGCCTCCAGAAATATTAATCATGAAGGCTGTGATCCTATTACCACAAATTCAGAAATTATATGTAAATAATCTCTGACATCATCACCTATATGCATTTTGAGTCCAGTGGAAGGGTGGGAATTAAGGACTGACTAATAAGTAGAAAAAGATCTTGGAAAAGGTTAAAACTAAAAGAGAAGAACAGATCCATAAAGGGATGTTATGTGCATAAGAGCCGACTGGCAGGTAAGTGAAACAAGCTGTGAGAGCAGGTAAGGTCTGGAGGAGAGAAATGGGCTTCCTAGTGTCTGGAGGAGGTTGCTTTGGAGGCAACACTTAAGATAGGGAAGGACGATCAGATGAGAGTAGAAAGCCATAAGGCTCCTTGGAGTGGATCACCTGGGTTTGAGGGTGGGGTGCTTTCCTAGGGGCACGGACAGCCCAAGAAACAGCCTGTTCCTCCTGGTAGAGGAAGCTGCTGTTGTGTGGTGTCATTTGGCCCCACCCTGCCTTCTGACTTAATCTCCTCTTCCTTGCCCTGAAACCTCTGTGTCTGTACAGCAGATCCACCAGCAAGCAGGCTTCACAGTCGAACCTCTGTGCTCGACTTAGACTCTTCCACTGTCTAGAATGCTTTCATTCTCTTACTCCCCTAGGGATATCTGTATCCTACCTTCTCTTCAAGACTTAGATCAGTTTCCACCTCCTCCAGGAAGCTTCCCCTAGCTATTTCAGCCCATTTGGCTCTATTTGTTAAGTCATTGTACTTGAGAGAATGAAACCTTTGCAGTCACATGGAGCAGGGCCCAGCTTGCTACTCTACTGCTTACTGGCTTTGTGACTTTGGACACAACTTACTTAGCCTGAGGTTCCATTTCCTTTTTGCAAAATGGGGATAACAATAGTATGACCCTCATATCATTGTCAAACAACTCAATGAGGCACTGCACTTAAATATTTAACGTACCTGAGATATAATAGGTGCTCAATAAATAGCAACTTCTCTGAGCTTTGATAATCAGTACCATGCACTTCTCTACTTGCTTCCTGTGTGTTAGCTTTACCTTTACAAGGAGTTTATTAGTAACTTAAGAGAAAAGATCACTTACAGTATTCAATGCATGTTACCCATTGCATATAGCACACCACTGGGCATACAGTAGTAGATCCTTAATATAAATGTTTTGATTGGTTAGATTTGTCATTTACTGCTAGCTATGGCACGAGGATCAGGTTTGGAGGCCAGGGGACACGTGACAGCCTTTCCGAAGATTTGGAGACGAGTCAGAAATACTGATCTCCAACTCCCTTGGGTGGTGAGACCAATCCCTGCAAGAAGATGATAGTTCAGACCTGAAGAGCTGAGACTGCATCCTGTGAACAGCTGTGACCCTGAGAAACAAATAAGAAAGAAGGAGACTAGAGTGACTTCTGCTGAAATCGAGGGCTTTGATGGCAACTAATGTTCAAGCTGGTCACGTTTTTGCATGGCAGCAATCTTATGAATTCATACATTCTTCAAATGTACATTGAATGTCTACTATGTGCAGATGCTTCTTTCTGAAAACTCTGTAGGTTGAAGTATGGTGGGGGTGGAGTAGGGTATTTGTCTTTAGTGGAGTTATGTGAAGAGCATTCTTAAATCAGGCCCTATTTCCTCTGCATCCCAAATTATGTTCCCCAGATTCAACTTATTTTTTCCAGTTTTAAATATGATCTCTGCTGACTGGTAAATACCAGAAGAAGGCTTTTTTGAGGATATTGTTACGGCTTTCAGAATCACGGAGCTCCCAAGGACTGTGTGTCCTGGAAAGGAGATCCAGGGAAAGGGGACAGGGCCTTGGAAGTTAGAGAAGTTGAATTGAGCCATTCCTGGTTTGGGAGCAAAAAGGAGGCTCCATTAGCTACCAAGGCAAAACAGTAGCTGCTCATCCATCTCTCATCTCTGATGGAAACAGTCTCCCACTGACACATCCAGAAATGGGGATTCATCTGGAGATGCCTGGGCAAAAGTCTAGAGGTGAAACTGAGGAAAATGAAGAGGGTGCTGGCGTGCAGCAGCAGCAACTAATTGTATGGCATAATATCAATAATGGCTACAATTTATTGAACACTGACTATATTCCAAGTATGGGGCTATGCATTCATTATCTCCCCTGATCTTCACAACAACCTTCTGATGGATGCAATTTTATTACCCTCTTTTACGGAGGAGGGAACTGAGGAGCAGGGATGCCAGGTAATTTGCCCAAAGGATATATAGCTAGTAAGTCGCGGAGCTGAGTTTTGAACTTAGGCCTCTGATTCCAGAGCCTGTGCTCTTAACCATATACACATGTACTCATTTCACAGCCAAGGAATGAAGTCCAGAGAAGTGAAATGACTTACTCAAGGTCACCCAGGAACCTGAAGCAGAGCTGGTATTTGAAACACCTTGTTTATTGTCCAAGGTCTTCCTGCACACACCTTGCTTAGAAAAGGTTTCGAAGTGAGGCTGGAGTCAGAAGAGCCAACCAGAGAGGCTTTTTTTCTTTTTTTGTCTTTCAGAGTTGTTCAACTCTCCTGGCCTTAACTCAAGTTTAGGGCTCCTAGGAAACACCACCCCCCTCCTGCTGCCTTTCCCAAGTCTGTCCTCTGGGCATATTAGAGGACTTGGGGCTGTTGCTATGGTACTGGGGCCAACAGCAGGTTCATCAAAAGCCGGGTCTTTTGCCTTTTGAAAAAAAAACCCAGCCCTGCAGAAGCGAATTGGCCACAAAGATTTGCATCAGTCATTGTGGCTTGTTCTGTTTTAGATCCCCCTGCCTCCCTACCCCACCCCCTCCTCCCTACCACCACCACTTTCTATAAATACAGTTGGATAAATATTGATTTAAACTGGGTTTCTGGAGGAGAAGCACATGCTTGCCCTGGCTTGGTCTTCACTTAGATACCACCAGTATGTCAGGCCTGACACACCTAACCCCCGACAGCTCTGGCTTCCAAATGTCCTGTTTTGGGGAGATGAATTGTGGTTTTGTGGCTTTTGAGTTTTTTTTTTTTTTTTTAAAGGAGAGAAAGAAAAAGAAATAAAAAAGTAACAACCCAGCAAGAAATGGGAGTCTTCCTGCAGAATGAGGAAAGCAATTTTCAGCAGGCAGAAATGGGGGAGCTTTATAGTAATATGGCCTCCTGAACCATTCTTCTCCCTTCCCATTTTTCTTTCTGCTCCACTTCAGTTTTTTTTTTTGTTTTTTTTTTTTTTTTGAGATGGAGTCTCACTCTGTTGCCCAGGCTGGAGTGCATTGGCACAATCTCAGCTCACTGCAACCTCCACCTCCTGGGTTCAAGTGATTCTCCTGCCTCAGCCTCCCAAGTAGCTGGGACTACAGGTGGTTGCCACCACGCCTGGCTAATTTTTGTATTTTTAGTAGAGACAGGTTTTCACCATGCTGGCTAGGCTGGTCTTGAACTCCTGACCTTGTGATCTGCCCACCTTGACCTCCCAAAGTGCTAGGATTACAGGCGTGAGCCACCACACTGGGTCCAGGTTTTGTTTTTAAAGGAGGCAGGTATTAGCACAGAGCATCAGGGCCAGAAGGAGCCCCAGAGGTCACAGAGCATCCATCATCTGTACAGTCATGGAGTCTGAGACCCAGAGAGGGACACTGGCTTGCCCAAGATGACACAGCAGAGGCAGAACCAGGTCCTTCTGGGCTGTGTTCCCTCCTACCTGATACGAGAATGGGTTCCAGGTAGAGTCCCAACCTGGGCATTTGTTTCACAGGTCCAGTGCTCATAAAGTCAGCAATTTTCAAACCTGGTTTACTGATCCCAGGGTGTGTCCGGTTATTGCAAAGGTCATTGCAACATTCTCAATAGTCTTTCAAAATGAAGCTAATTTCAATTTGCCATACTTAGAAAAATACTATCTTTTACATTTGGGGGCTGGGAGGAGGGAGGAGCTAGAAGGTGGTGGCAGTGATGAGGTGGCTATCCCAAGCCTTGACTGAGGAGGAGGAATTCAAGTCTTGGAGGATCCTTCTGGAGGTGGAGCTCTAGGCTCACAGTGGGGAGAGAGAAAAAAAAGAGAGGGAGGGAGGATGGAAGGGAACGGGAGAGGCTTCAATTCCCTGTCCCAAGGACAGACACCTGCTCTCTGGCTCTTCTAACTTAAAGGAAGCAATTGTCTCTGATGTCATTGTACCCGAGTGGCCTGGCTAGAGGTGTTAAAGCTGTCAACAGCTGACTTGATCTTTGTGGTCAAAAATAATGGGCATTTGCCATCATCATGCTGAGCAGGAGGCTCCTTCTTTGCTTCCTCATCTTGGCAGAAGTGTGCTGGGCCCCTTGCTTATGAAATGTTTTGAAAGTTCAGGTGACCCTTGGTTTGAGCAGTACGCTCCAGGGAATATATGTAAACAGAATCCTTTTTCAAAAAAATTTAGAGAAACTCTCTTGAAAAGCCCTTGTGGCAACTATTTTGGTAAGATGTGGAATTATGTTGTGAGCCATTCTCCCTAAATTTGTGTTTATTCATTCATTAATTAAACCAGTACATAAGGAGTACATACTTGCTTAATGGGAGGCACTGTGCTAGGTCTTGGAGGTAGAGTCCTTGCCCTCATGGAGTGTATTATTCCAGTGCCAGGTTTTAGAGGTAGAGTTCCTGTCTTCATGGAGTGTACTGTTCCACTGCCAGGTTTTAGAACTTCACTTGTCTTAAAGTGAACCCCAACAATGCAGGATGGCATTTGACTTGAGTATTTTTGTCTTTGGTTCTAGCTATCATTATAGACAGAATAAAAATTTAGCCTGGGCTTCCAAAAGGAGTAGTTCTTTCCCTCCCTGTCTCCCCTATCTGTGTTTAATGTTTTTTTTTTTTTTTTTTTTGGAGACAGGGTCTTGCTCTGTTACCCAGGCTAGTACAGTGGCACAATCTCAGCTCACTGCAACCTCTACCTCCTGGGCTCAAGTGATCCTCCTGCCTCAGCCTCCCGAGTAGCTGGGACTATAGGTGTGTGCCACCTTGCCCCACTGATTTTTTGTATTTTCTGTAGATACAAGGTTTTGCTATATTGTCGAGGCTGGTCTCGAACTCCTGGGCTCAAGCCATCGACCCACCTCGGCCTCCAAAAGTGCTGGGATTACAGGCATGAGCCACCGTGCCCGGCCTACAATCCTTTGTGTTTTTGTGTTTGTCCTTGTAATTTCTACAGATGTTTTTTTTTTCTTTCACTGCCTGAGCTTAGGAAACTGTGTAAGCAACCTTGTAAGTAAATACATTCCACTCGCAGTTCTTTACAGATAGGGGCCTTCTGCACTTGGAGGATTGTCCACACCAGCATTCCTCCCAAGTCCACTCTCCTGTACAACATGCTCTTGGCCACAGACCTCTAATATCCAACTCCAGTGTCTGTAAGGAAATTTAGACACAGCAAAATTAGAAAGATAAACACACTGTCCGGAGGGAGAGGGAGATTGAGAAATTCAAACTGAAGCCAATTAAAGGGGATCTGGATTACCTACTATTTGAAATTTCTTTTTCTGTGTCTTTATTGCCATTAGCAAGGATACTTGAATAAAGGTGATTTGGGAGTAGGAAGGCTATTGTATTAAAGTGGAGGACATGCCCAGGGCTGCTCTGGGCAAGTGAGAGCTGGTGTGGACTTTGTTTTTATTTCTACAGGGGCCCAGAACTACCTTATGGTGCCCCTGTGTTATCTTCCTCTTACCTCCACCACAGCCTGACCGTCCTGCCATATTTCTTGGCTCCCAAGACTGTGTGTGCCTTGCATACAACTTACTTTCATTTTTTTCTGCCAGTGGTACTGAGCTAAGTTTTTGTTGAACTGAGCTAAGTTCAACAAATAATTTCTAAAACCTGCCAGGGAGCCAAGCTCTGTGCTTGGTGATTCCAAAGTGAAGCATGTATGATCTCCAGTTCCAGGTCTATCTTCTAGTTCAAATGATAGACGAATAGAAATCAGTCAACAATTCTTGTCTGTCTTCTGGGAGAGTGTGATAACCTGTCCCCAAGAGAGCTGCTGACAAGTGCAATGTCTTCTCTGTTTTCCAAAGGAGTGGTGATAATGCCCTCCTAGTATTGAGCATTTACTATGGGCCAGCACAATGCTACGTGCTTTATATTAAATTCTCACAAACATCCAATATGCAGGTGCTATAATAACCCTCATGTTGTAGATGAGGAAAGCCTTAGCTTTAGCAAGACTAACTTTCCTAAGGCCACAGTCTAATAAATAGTGGAGTAGAGACTAAAACCCCAGATTTTTCTTTCTTCCTAGAGAGACCTTAGGGCTCTGGGAAAAGCCCCAGGGAGTAAGAAATGTGCAAGAGTCAAGAATTGGAATCTGGAGGCTGGGCACGGTGGCTCACGTCTGTAATCCCAGCACTTTGGGAGGCCGAGGTGGGCGGATCACGAGGTCAGGAGATCGAGACCATTCTGGCTAACACGCTGAAATCCCGTCTCTACTAAAAATACAAAAAATTAGCCGGGCGTGGTGGCGGGCGCCTGTAGTCCCAGCTACTCGGGAGGCTGAAGCAGGAGAATGGCGTGAACCCGGGAGGCGGTGCTTGCAGTGAGCCGAGATCACACCACTGCACTCCAGCCTGGGTGACAGAGTAAGACTCCATCTCAAAAAAAAAAAAAAGATTTGGAATCTGGAATGTTTTAAGTTAGGCTGAGGGTGCCCTTGAGGATGCCTCCCTGGAGCGACTTCCTTTTCTCCCCACTCTTGCTAGGGTAGAGAGTGGGCTGTCAGAACCTCCAGGGCCCTTTGGGTGTTGACAGTGGAGCCAAATGGCTCCTTTCTCTAGACGGAGATGGTCTAGGGTGTCACTGCTTGCACCTGCAGTAGTACCTTGCCCAGCACCCCCTGGGGAACTCACCCAACCAGTAGGTCTCCTGTGGTTCTGCATACTAGGGTGTCAGGGTGTGAATCCACACCCTGTCAGGCTTATTAGGCTTCCTGGAGGCGCCCGAGCTTGTAGGGCAACTGGGCTGGCCCATACATGGAGCCAAGGGCTTCTGCCAGGGAAGCCAGAGGAGAGAGGCAAGTGTGAGCTGCAGAGATGAGCATTAGGTCCTCGCTGCCACCGTGACAGTGTGGGCCAGCTGGTTCCAGTCAGACAATGACATAGGCCAACCACTTTCTCTCGCTGATCCAGAGCTAGGAAACAAGGGATCTTAAATATAACTGCATTTGTCTGGGCGAGGTGGCTCATGCCTGTAATCCCAGCACTTTGGGAGGCCGAAGTGGGTGGATCACCTGAGGTCAGGAGTTCGAGACCAGCCTGGCCAATATGGTGAAACCCTGTCTCTACTAAAAGTACAAAAATTAGCTGGGCATGGTGGTGGGTGCCTGTAATCCCAGCTACTTGGGAGGCTGAGGCAGGAGAATTGCTTGAACCTGAGAGGCGGAGCTTGCAGTGAGCCAAGGTCGTGCCACTGCACTCCAGCCTGGGAGACAGAGTGAGACTCCGTGTCAAAAAACAAAAACAAAAACAAAAAACCCAAAATATAACTGGGTTCCTATTACTCACTTTTCAAAAGCCCTTCAATAGCTTCTTTCCTGCCTCACTTAAAATAAAATCCAAACTCCTTGTCATGGCCTTCATCATTGCCGTTCGGAGTGAGTGTGATTGGAGGATGGAGAGCCTTGGTACCCCCTGGGAGCTTGTCAGAAATGAGACTCCAGGTCTGCTGCAGTAGAATCTGCATTTGCCACAATACCCAGGTGATTTGTGTGCTCCTTAAAGTTTGAGAAGATGTCTTAAACAGTCTTTGTGATCATCCCAGAACTCCTCACCCAGCCACCTAACCTTATCCCATTTTTATCATTTATCCTGTATCCTGCTCATCACAATTTACACTTACTCTACTTGCTTATCATCAGTCTGGAGGGCTGGAATATAAGCACATAGAGGACAGGGACCATAAGTAGTTTTGTTCATTATTTTATCTTTGGCATCTAGCTTAGTGCCTGGCACATAACAGATGCTTAAGGAATATTTATTGAATAAATGATTAGTTTTCTGTCTTTATCTTTCTGACCTAGTGTTTCTCAACACAGGAGCTGTTGGTGTGACAGTTCTTGTACAGATTAGTTTGGAATATGGCAGGATTTAACATCCTTGGTTCCCACCCACTAAACGCCACTGGAACGCCCCCAGTCATTGTGACAATAAAAAAGACACTCCTACAATGTTTCTACCGCCTCCTAGTGTGATGGGATTGCCCTTGGTTGAGACCATTGCTTTAACCAATTTCGTTTGACCTGACGCGATTGAACATAACATGATGTATGCTGTAGGGTCCAAGGGTCAGAAAATTCAAGTTCCAATCTGTTCATAGCCTGTGTGACCTTGGGCAAATCACCTATCCTTTCTGGGCCTTATTTGTAAAATAGGAATCTCAGAGGTGTGCTGAGGATTAAATGAACTGACTGGAGGAGCAGCACCGTGCATGTTGGCCCTAGTTATGTGGCAGCTAGTAGGCAAATGGATGTGTATTGTTCTAGGATCTAGGGACAATCCCAGCTTCCTCAAATCAAAACACTATTGCTGGAAGAGCTGGTGAGATCAGCTATACCTTGGACAGGCAAGAGAATGGTATTTTTATTATAAGTGCTGCATCTGAGGCTGAGAGAACGCAGATACAAGGCAGCAGGAGCTGGTTGTGTGGTTTAGTGTTCAGGGCCTGGCTAGACCTAACTGTGACCTCCACAACTTTCTGCTGCCTGGAAAAGGGTGGTGATGCCAAGGGGTGGGGGCAGGGCAACTCGAGGCCAGCTCCTGGCAGGGGAGGGAGGGTTACCCAGGGCTTTGGCAAGAATGTGGGGCATCCTCTTAGCAGCAGGAGAAGGCCTTAAAAACAAGTTACATCTAACTTTGAAAGAACAGACTATTGCAATACCAACATCTAGGAAACACAACAAAAAATACAGTTTACTTTTGCTTTCAAATATAGATGCAGAAATCCTAAACAAAAATATCAACTCTTGGAACTGAACAGTGCTTCAAAACAATAACACACCGTGGCTGACCAGGTTATTTGCCAGATATTGCTGAAAGTCACAAAATCTACCAGCATAAATGATTACAGGCACAAATTAAAGAATAAAATGTGTTTACACTAACAAATGTTGAAAAGTATTTGGGAGGCATTTCTAATGAAGAAAACTACTTCGGCACAACAAAGATTGTTTCCTGTGGTGGTCTTTTAATTATAGTGGAAGGGTGAGGTTGGGCCCAAGGTTTGCGGTCATCACCAGGAGTGAAGGAGTTGACTCTGATGGCAACCTTTCCTTGGGGAAGAATGAACCATAAACAGAAAAAAACAGCATTTGGATCCTTTGGGAATGCAACTTCGTCTTGATATTTAAAGGAATGGGCCCCACGGGTTTAAAAAAGCCTGAGTTCTAACCCTTATTCCATCAGTTTGATAGACAGCTGTTGGCCTTGGGCAAGTTACCATACCTCTCTGAGCCTCAGCTTTCTCAAGTGAAAAATGGGGACTGTATTGAGAAACAAGCTTAATGACACAAACTTCTATGACATAAACCTTGAAATGTTATTTGGGGAAATATTCACTTGGCATGGCCCTAGCAAAATCCTCCCAAATACCTTATCAGTAGCACCCTGGTGTCACCCCAAGTGGGGTGCTCCAAAGTAAGCAAGCCGCTTAGATGTGCATGTTAATTGAGTCCTGCAATGCAGATGTCTTCTTGGATCCAAGTTCATGCAAAAAAGAAGGAAAAGGACATTTGAGAGATTAACACATCCATTATAATCACTGAAATAGGCTGCTGTAATAAGGGCCATTTAATAAAATGTAAGAAGCCCTTTTCTAAGAGGGAAGAGATGGGTCAGGATGGAAGTCAAGTGCAGCTGTTTGAGCATTTGCCAGTGGTCTGATCTCACCAGTAAAACTGGAGTTAAAAAGCAACAAACTTCCAGATTCAGCCGTCTCAGATAAACACTGCCTCCCCCTGGCGTTCCCCCCACCCCATGTCCTTTCCCTTTCTCCCCAGCTCGGGCAGCACCTGAGTCGCTTGGTGCGTTTCCGTGTGGTTGGGATGTCAGCCGGCAGCCCTGGCGACAGGAGCCCTGGGAGGCGGCAGCTACCTCTCGGGTTTAGCATTACGTCATCCCTTCTAGACCCAAATTTATCTCGGCTGCACACAGACCCGCAGCTCTGAGCTGCCGCTGACTTGAGGAGAGCTTACGCATGAACTTAGGCAAGGCTGACTCACTGGGCGAGGGAAAGGTTTTCTGCTGTTCTTCACGTTTCTGGGCTCTGGGGGAAGAGGAGGGGAGGAGGCTGCAGTAGTCATTTTGGGATGGGAGATGGAAAAATGTATAACTGTTAACGGTTCTCATTTAAGAGCTTAGAGTTCACCTCCCGTGTCCCCAGTGTTGATTATTTGAAAACGCCCATCCTTAAAGATAATTGCAGAAAACAGTGCCCTACTCAGTAAACACTTTGCAGTTTCAGGGAAGTTCTCCTAAGTGCAAGGTGTCATCAACACAGTAACTTTGGACTTGTAACTTAACCTCATGGCCCCTTCCTCTCTCCCCATCTCGCCTCCCTGAAGAAAAGATACAACACATCAGCCTCCATTGTTTATGAATCTGCAATAAATCACTTGGAAATTGTCACTAAGTAAACTGTGCTGAGAAAGGACCCTTAAGAATTGAGGGCTTTGCCTGCTTCCTTCAGAAGGCAGATTGTCCCCATCCGTGGCTGTGATCGTTATAGGCCTGGGGTATTCTGGGGGACTTTCTCCATTTTCAAATGACTCCCTTGAGAGAGAGATATACTTTAGGGAGAGGACAGAACAGAGACTATGGGTAGGATTCCAGGTTCTTATGTCAGTAGACTTTGGAAGCCTTGCTTTTCCTGTTTCCCCATCTGCATTTGTAGTGCAAACTAGTTCATCGGAACAAAAGAAAGGCTATGGCTGCCTCTGGGTTCCTCCGGGCTGAGACTGTTGCTGAGGGATGGTTTGTGGGTAGCATTACTTTCCTGTGGATAGAGCCCTAAGCTTTGTGCTGGAGAGGCCCTTATAGCTGATGTCCAAGGAAGGACTCCAGGAGGCAGCCAGCGCAGGGAGAAGGAAGTGGCACTTCAATTGCTTTTAGAAAAGGCTGGAGATTTCTGTACATGAACCAGCCCTTAATACTGCCCACCATGATCATCATCTCTCCCCTTCTTCAATGCAGGTGGCCTTTTGGTGAGTCTCGCTCTACTTTCCATGTCCTCATCTCCCTCTTGGCCATGGCTCTAGAAGAAGGGCTCTAGGTTAGTTCACCTGGAGGTCAACTGTGAAAGGCCATGCATAGGCCCCAGGCCTCTTGCATGTAGCCATCTCTTCCTAACCAGCTATGGTTCTGTGACCTCTGGAATTAAAGCCATCTTGAATTCATGTATATTTTCAGTTTGTACTACTTTTCTTGATTGCTTGTCACACAAGTTTACCTCCTATTGAGAAAAGTAGAGTTGTATTTGTCCTGGCCAGGGACACTTTGGGAGGCTGAGGTGGGCGAGTCACGAGGTCAGGAGTTTGAGACCAGTGTGGCCAACATGGTGAAACCCTGTCTCTACGAAAATCAAAAAATTAGCTGGGCGTGGTGGCAGGCGCCTGTAACCCCAGCTACTTGGGAGGCTGTGTCAGGAGAACCCGGGAGGTGGAGGTTGCAATGAGCCGAGATCGCGCCACTGCACTCCAGCTGGGGTGACAGAGTAAGACTCCGTCTCAAAAAATAAATAAATAAATAAATAAAAAATAAATAAATTCTACCCTCAACTAACAGATGTTCTAAATGAATGGTATTTTCTTTAAAATAATCCAGTCCCACCCCTACCCAACATGGCCCTTGTTGAGGGTGAAGGGAGGTTGTTACCAACACCCAGTGGGAAAGTCCAGATCCAAAATGACCTGGGAAAGTCCAGATCCAAAACGACCTAGTCAAGAGCTAAAAGAACAGTCCCTTTTTGAAAGCCTTTACAAAAAAAAAAAAAAGTTCTTCTGTGGCTTGCGAACACCTCTCATTTTGGGTCTGCTTGCATTTGATGGAACGTCTATTTGGTCTTAAATGTGGTGCCAAGTGTAATATTTAAAAGGACTGGCAGAATTTTGCAGCTTGTGACCTCACTGGAGATTTTGTTCACTTTACCAAAAAAAAAGAAAAGAAAAAAGAAAACAAAAGGTATGAGGGAAAGGTAAGAAAACAAAAGGTATGAGGGAAAGGTATATTAAAATGCAGCATGAAGCCGATAACATTTTTAAGAGGGTAAGATTTCCATCTCAAGATGGTATTTTCTGCAGGAGCCAATGGAATGACCACGGGAGGGGGAAACTCCCCCCTCACCAGGAGCTTCCTGTTATTTTGGATGTGATGTCAAGCAGCAGGTTAATATAATTGGGGTGGAAAAAAGTTATGGGTATGTTTGCACGGTTCCCAGCTTGTTCCTAGAGCATTCAAGTACGATTCTCTTGTTCTTCCTCTCCCTAGATCCCTTGTTCCCAACTGGGGGACAGGGGAGGGATTTTGTGCCCCAGGAGATATTTGGCAATGTCTAGAGGCATTTTTGGTTGTCACACCTGAGGGGTGGTGGTGTGCTACTGGCATCTAGTGGGTAGAGGCCAGGGATGCTCCTAAACATCCTGCAAAGCACGGAACAGAGCTCCTGCTCCAAGGAGGAATTACCCAGATCAAAATGTCAATGATGCTAAAGTTGAGAAACCCTGGTCTAGACTTTGAGGATTTTTTAGGTGGAGGACTTAGAAAGAGAGTGGCCATGAATGAGCAGTCAGTGGCTTTTTTTTTTTTTTTTTTTCTTTGAGACTGAGTCTTGCTCTGTTGCCCAGGCTGGAGGCCGGAGTGCAGTGGCGTGATCTCGGCTCACTGCAACCTCCGCCTCCCGGGTTCAAGCGATTCTCGTGCCTCAGCCTCCCGAGTAGCTTGGATTACAGGCACCCGCCACCATGCCCGGCTAATTTTTGTATTTTTAGTAGAGACAGGGTTTCACCATGTTGGCAAAGCTGGTCTCGAACTCCTGACCTCAGGTGATCCGCCCACCTCAGCCTCCCAAAGTGCTGGGATTACAGGCGTGAGCCACTGTGCCCGGCCAGTGGTAGTCTTTTAATGTGGTCTCCGCTCTCTAACTTCCTTTTTAGCTACAGAGGAGAGCATAAGAGAAAACATCATCATCGCTTCTATTTACTGAGTGCCTAGTATATACTAAGTGCTGGAATTATTATATTTAATCTTTGCAAAAAGCACTACTGAATACACAAACCTCGAGAGCAGGTCTGCGTCCGTTTCTCTCTTACTATGCAAACTAAGTCTAGTACAGTGCCTGGCACATGGCACGCCCTCAACGCCGTGGATATGATCATATCCATTTTATACATAAGGAAAATGAGGCTGGAAGAGTTCACACAGGTCTCAGTGTAAGTAGCAGAGTCAGGATTTGAACCAAACTGTTCCGCACCAGGGAGAATTTTCTGGCGTCTAAAAGCACTAGTGAGGAGAGGAGAAAGTTTTAAAAAGTAAGATTAAAGAAAAAAGTAACTACTTGTCTGTGTGGAAGCTGAGGTGGAAGAAGGGCTTCATGGAAACCCTCTCTGATGAAATCATCCCTCGTTTTTGAACAGCAATTTTGGCTTTTCCAGTTTCTGTGTGCGCTGTTGGTGCAGGTGTGTTACTCTTCTTATTTTGCAGATGAGCAAACTGAGGCACATAAGTTACATGAGAAAGTAGGAGATAGAGGACTGGAACATGATACTTCGAATAAAGAATGTCTCAGCCCCTGGGCAACCGCAGGGAGTCGCTGAGAAACAAGTTTCCCCGGGAGTAGACTCCCAGCTCGCTCAAATCCTTCCCATTCCACATCGTGTCTGGAGGGAGGAAAAAAAAATTCTTCCCTCCCAGAAGCAAAGTCCCGCAACTTCTTAGTCTTCCCTAGAGACAGGAAAGGAAACCCAGCGGGACTACACCTTCCGACGACCTTTGCGAATCTTGCGGAACGCAGGCGCCCTGAAACGGCGTGTGCACTACGATTCCCGGCAGCCGCGGGCGGGTGCGGGACTACATTTCCCAGGGGGCAGAGGCAGGGGCGGGAGGGGGCGGGCCCCGGCGCTGCTCCCGCCCCTCCCCCGTGCTCGCGGGGAGAGGTAAACAAACCACGCGCGGGCTGCCCGCGGCACGGCGGGCGCGGCTGGCGCGGCTGGGGCGGCAGGGGCGGCGGAGAGCGCGCCGAGCCGCGGCCGAGCTGGCCCGCCCGCCCGTCGCACATGTTCCGGAACGGCGCCCGGCCGTAGCCGCCTGCGGCGCCTCCTGTCGGCCCGAGAAGGGAGTGCGGAGAGGCGCCGGTCGCCACCCGCGGTGCCCATGGAGCGGGTGAAGATGATCAACGTGCAGCGTCTGCTGGAGGCTGCCGAGTTTTTGGAGCGCCGGGAGCGAGGTAATGGCTGGGCGCCGCTGCGTGAGCCCGAGCGCTACTAATCTTTTTCGGCAGTGCGGTGCGGCCGGTAAGGGAGGGCACGCGTGTGAGGTGCGCGCATGAGGTGAGGTGTGCGCGCATGTGAGGGGAGGGGTGTGCGCGCGTGAGGGTAGAGGAGCGCGCGTGTGTGGGGAGGGGCGTGTGGGGAGGGGAGCGCGCGTGAGGGGAGGGGCGTGTGAGGGAGGGGTGCGCACGCGTGAGGGGAGCGCGCGTGTGAGGGGAGGGGCGTGTGAGGGAGGGGTGCGCGCGTGTGAGGGGAGGGGCGTGTGAGGGAGGGGACGCGCGTGTGAGGAGGGGCGTGTGGGTAGGGGAGCAGGCGTGTAAGGGGGGCGTGTGAGGAGCGCGCGCGTGAGGGGAGGGGCGAGTGAAGGAGGGGAGCGCGCTTGTGATGGGAGGGGCATGTGGGGAAGGGAGCGCGCGTGTGGGAGGGGCGCACGCGTGAGGGGAGGGGCGTATGAGGGAAGGGGAGCGCGCGTGAGGGGAGGGGCGTGCACATGTGAGGGGAGGAGTGTGTGAGGGGAGGGGAGCATGTGAGGGGAGGGGAGCTCGCCTGTGAGGGAGGGGTGCGCGCGTGTGAGGGAGGGGTGCGCGCGTGTGAGGGGAGGGGCGTGTGAGGGGAGGGGAGCGCGCGCGTGAGGGGAGGGGCGCGCGGGTGTGAGGGGAGGGGCGCGCGCGTGTGTGTGAGGGGAGGGGTGAGCGCATGTGAGGGGAGGGGTGCGAGCATGTGAGGGGAGGGGCGTACGCGTGTGGGGAGGGGCGTGTGAGGGGAGGGCCATGCGTGTGTGTGAGGGCAGGGGTGCGCACGTTAGGGGAGGGGCGTGTGAGGAGAGGGGCACGCGCGTGTGTGGGGAGGGTCGCGCGTGTGCGGGGAGGGTCGCGCGTGTGTGAGGGGTGCGCGCGTGGGAGGGATGGTGCGCGGGGGGGAGGGGCGTGTGCGGGAAGGGCGTGCGCGTGTGGGAGGGGCGTGCGCGTGTGGGAGGGGCGGGTGCGGGGAGGGGCGCGCGTGCGTGGGGAGGTGTGTGTGCTGAGATCGTGAGTGGAGGCGTGTGTGAGAGGTCGCGCAGGTGCTGGGGGAGGTGCGAGGGTGCGCACGGAGGGTGGGGCTGTGGGTGTGCGGCGAGCGGGAAGGAGACGGGTGGAGGGAAGTTGGAGAGAGGGCGGTCTGGGGCTGGAGAGAGGGTGACCGTGGAGAAGCTTGGAGGGCCCCGGAGCGGGAGAGGGTGCTGGGAGATAAGAGGAAGGAGGAACACGGATGCTGGGGGGGGTCAGGGGAAGGGACGAGGCCGGGAGAACACTGAGCGGGGGAAAACCGGTGGAGAGGGGCCTTTGAATACCTGCGGGGTGATGAGATGGGGTCCCTTTAGCGGTGGCAGCCCAAGGGGCTGTAGAGATGGCGCAGAAAGACCAGGAACTCGGAGACTGTGGTGTCGAGAGAGAAAATGTCTTTCTAAGACTTGTTCGAAGTACACAAAAATATTGGGCTTAAAGAGACTCTTTAGAACAGAGAGAGTTGAAAGTAAAGGGGAATTTTTGAGGCAAGCGAAGTCAATGAGGTGAATGGTAACTGGTCACAAAATTTTTGTTCTAAAGCATCTGAAATCTCAAGTTCTTGGGAGAGAAGGATTTTGGAAAGGGGGGATAAACTCTTTGGTTTAGAGGAGGTATCAAAACACCTTCCAGCTGGTGGGGTGTCACAGGATTGATGTCCAGGCGAGGGACATTAATTTTCTAACCAAAAAGAGTGGAAACATTTTACCTCTTTTCCTGCTTTCAAAAACCTGTTACTGCAAAGACCTCGGATTTGTGGGTCAATGGATTTGGGTACTATATTCTTCTTACCGTATCTTTTTTTCTTGCTTTCTTCAGAGTGTGAACATGGCTACGCCTCTTCATTCCCGTCCATGCCGAGCCCCCGACTGCAGCATTCAAAGCCCCCACGGAGGTTGAGCCGGGCACAGAAACACAGCAGCGGGAGCAGCAACACCAGCACTGCCAACAGGTAGCAAGCTGGGAACGCTTAGAAGAGGGAACTGGAGGGAAGGAGCACATTTCTCCTGTAATCCCAAGTCTGAAGGAGCAGCACTTGATGGGTTCCTTTACCACTACCCTGGGGATTTGGCCCTTTTAAAATAATGAAGTCTAGAAATCATAACCTGGTTTTGCATGGAAGGAAAGGAATATAATCTGGAAAGACAACCAAAGAAGTTCTTGCTGGGATTATTAAGATGGCTATGCCAAGTTGAGAGACTTGGCAGCATGTGTCCATGCATGCAGCCACCTGCTAAAAGTAATCGTGGGCTGGCTTTCAATATTCTGGCCAAGTTTTGGACAGTCCAAGAAGATTAAAAAAAAAATCAGAAATAGGTCTGGCAGGGTATAAAGCAGAATCAAGGGTTTGTTAAAGGAATAAAAATATTTAGGTAGAATTGGTAGTGAGCGGATGTGGTTATTTGTTTAAGGAGAAAAGGGAAGACCATGCTGTGAAAGTTTTGCCTCTTTAAATGATGAGATCGGATTGGTTGGTGGGCTCTTAAAGCAAAAAGGAAAAAAAAATCTGTTTATCTTTCAAGCAGAATAGATCTTTAAAAATATACTTGTCTAGATGTACTTGGAAAGGCTGGGCCTAGTGGCTTACGCCTGTAATTCCAGCACTTTGGGAGGCTGAGGTGGGAGGATTGCTTGAGCTTAGGAGTTCAAGACCAACCTGGATGACATAGTGAAACTTTGTGTCAAAAAGAGAAAAAAATAGATGTACTAAGATGTAGCTGACTTCCATTTTTGAAAACTTTTGAGTAGTATGTGGCTATCTCTTCGGTGTTTTTATTCTAGGGAGCCAGTGAATTCCTAGGATTCATCTCATAGGAAGTTTTCAAAAGGCCTTTCTTAACAGAAGATTAACAGATGGCTGCCTTTTCCATTGATAAGGGGAATTAAATGAGACCTTTATTTCTGTTTCCCAGAGCTTTGTCTAGAGAATATAATAAACATTCATTTTGAGGAGGACAGAGCAATCCCTGGGTAACCAAATTTCCCTGAAGGCTTTGGGGAGCTTCAGTCAGGTGGTTGGTTAGTCATTTGGGACAGCAGATTGGGTCAGAATGGGGCTCTTGATTCAGAAAGCCTGAGGCTTCTACAGATAATAATTGGAACTCATGAGGTTGGATCATCCCACTCTGTATTTCAGACATCACCGAGGAAAAACTAGGATTCACTTTTCTCCTTTGACTTCTCTATAGAGCTGCACGTTTCCTTTTTTAGCTTCTTTTCATTAAGACTACTATATAGTTTTTAAACTTAATTTCTTAAGTTATAAAAATAATTAACCATAAGCTTGATGTACTATCTGTGTTGTGTGTGGGTCTAGAGATTTTGTTGTAGTATGGTGTATTTGAGATGAAAATATGTAGTATGATATACAGCATTTTAAAAAATGTACATTTGCTTGCCCTTACGGTTTCAGTGTTTAAGCTATCAAGAATTAAGACCTATTCAGGAATTTATGTGTCTTTCAATCCACATAGATTAAAAAACTTTTTTTTTTCAACTTGGAGACATAGGAAGAGTACACATAGGAAACTAGACCTGGGTTCTGTCGTGCTGCAAGTATTTAAGCCTTTCCTATTTTCTAGAAATTAGGTATATAATTTCAGTACATTTCCCATCCCTTACTGTATTCATCTGTAAAATAAGATGCATTAGAGTCTCACCAAGGTCCCTCCTTCTCCTGAACTTCTATGACTCTGATTTATTGACAGTTTTAGAGATTGGTTACTATATTAGTAATTTAGTATGTCTCCCATCATTGCAGATGTGACATTTTTAGGAACTCAAGGATTATAGAGGCATAAATAAGATGCACATTCCTAAGTTTTATCAATTATGTTACCGGTCATTAATAAGAAACTCTTAGTCATCTGTTGACTTACGCTTTGCTCAGCTTGGGGTTTGGGCTAAGTGATGTTTCTCTTTCATGCTAGTGTCTCTGTTAGGATTCTAATATTATGTGTGGGACCACAGTGCTAATTACTGTGTTTTAGCATAGCATGTCGGAAAATTTGTAAAACTGCAAGCATGCCATATTGTTCTGATAGTGCCCAAAGGAGAATATGTGTACATTAGACCACCTAAAACAGGAGAAGATACTTTTTTTATGGGAATATAAGTAGCAAGAAAGAGAGAGAGAGAGAAAAATATATTTTAGAATATATTATCTCAAGATCCACCAATGTGTGGGTTTTGGGCTGGGGCTTATGAGAGAGAACTAGTATGTTAAAATGAAACACTAGAAATTATTTCTCCTTTGCCACTTATTTAAAATGCCTGCTTCATGGAAGTAAGGAGAGCTGAGGTAGAAATTCCAATACTGGGGTATTTGGACAATAGTGTTGGTCCATTTGAAAGAGGACACTGTAGGCTTCTTCTTAATTTTAAGTTTACTATTGGATTTTAATGAGATTTTATTATGCTGGTTACATAAAGCAGAAAGTTAGAAGACTTACAGAAATTTCCATGTATTTATCATCTGAAACAAGGAAAGGAATGGACTTCATAAGTATATATGTCTTATTTTTTCCTGATCAAAAAGCTACTAGTGTGGAAGTAGCTGTTATTTTATTACTATACATCTTGAACACTGATGTATGTTATAAAATGACATTTGTTTCTCTGACATCGTAGCATCTTTAAGATATAATGGTGATTGACTATTTTACCCCTGATATTCTCAGGTATTATATGATATGCCTGATAAAATGTTACTTTAGGCAGGGTGCAGTGGCTCACGCCTGTAATTCCAGCACTTTGGGAGGCTGAGGTAGGTGGATTGCCTGAGGTCAGGAGTTCGAGACCAGCCTGGCCAACATGATGAAACCCTGTCTCTACTAAAAATACAGAAATTAGCCAGGTGTGGTAGTGTGTGCCTGTAATCTCTGCTACTTGGGAGGCTGAGACAGGATAATTGCTGGAACTTGGGAGGCGGAGGTTGCAGTGAGCTGAGATTGCATCACTGCATTCCAGCCTGGGCAACAGAGTGATAATCCACCCCCCCCCCCTCAAAAAAGTAACTTTATAAATTTATGCTGAAAGTAGTTAACTCCTAATATTATAAATTCCTATTCCCCTTTCCCCCATTCCTTAAAATCTTATTTTCAAAGAAGTAAAAAGGAGAGAAAATAAATGATATAATGTGATATTACAAATATGTTCCTTGCAAATACCAGTAATTTTATCATTTGGGATCCTTCTGATAGTTGGAAGTGGCACCTATAATATATAATTAAAATAAATGCTTGATTTTACTGTGGTCTTGGTCACAGCCTTCTGGCACACTTCCAAAAATCAACATTGCTAAGATGTTACTGCTGTTAGAGAATGTGGCTGCAATAGCTATCTGGCTTTTTGGGGAGCATCAGATAAGTTCAAATTCCAGCTTCTTTACTATTTGGTACCACAGGTGAAAAATCTCAAGGTCTGTCATCCTTAAAACTCTACTAAATAAGCCATGACTGCAGTGTAACACTGATTTCTTCCTAAATATCTCTTCAGTCGGCCTTCTTTCCTGTTACCTTCATTACTATCCTCCTAATCTCAGCTACCATCATCTCTTACTTGGACGACTGCAGTAACTTCCTACCTGGTGTCCCTGCAACTACAGTTTTTTTTTTTGTCTGGTTCTGTTGCCCAGGCTGGAGTGCAGTGGCGCGATCTCAGCTCGCTGCAAGCTCTGCCTTCTGGGTTCACGCCATTCTCCTGCCTCAGCCTCCCGAGTAGCTAGGACTACAGGTGCCTGCCACCATGCCCGGCTAATTTTTTGTATTTTTAGTAGAGACAGGGTTTCACTGTGTTAGCCAGGATGGTCTCAATCTCCTGACCTCATGAACCGCCCGGCTTGGCCTCCCAAAGTGCTGGGATTACAGGTGTGACCCACCGCACTTGGCCAGTTCTTATGAATTACATTGGCCAGCCTTCTTTTGATTCCTTCAGTACGCGTTTTCTTCTACCTCAAGATCTTTGCATACTTTCTGTTCCCTGCAGGGAATCATTTTCCCTCCCCCTTTGTTATCTCTGTTGAATAACACTCTTCTTCAGCTCAATCATAAGTTCCTCAGGAATGTTTCCTCATCTGCCGTAGTAGATCAGGTCTTCACATACTTCATGGCACCCCTATTTTTCCTTCATAGTGTTCATCACATTTGTAGAAATACAGTTATCCAGTTGTTTCTTAAATTCGTGTCCTATTCACTGGATTAAAAACCCTGCGAGGCGGGCAGGGATTGAGTCTCTTCTGCTTAAACATTTATCCCTAGTACTTATCACAGTGCCCCGTAAATAGTATGTGTTTCTTAAAGAATGGAAGGTTTTCAAACTCCAAGCAGACTGTCTTAAATTGAATTTCTTTTTTGTGCTGAGTACCATATTAGACTGGAAGGAAGAGTGATAAAACCCCTGTTTTGGCAAACTCTGATTACTTTGTGTTCCAAGGGATGTTAATGATACATTTGGAAAAACAGCATGTAGTATTTAAAGAATAAAAATCTCTAAACTGTCAATTCTTTTAAACAAGCAGGCTACAGAATGCTACACTTAATTTTGAAGAACATTCAGTGTCATCCTGTGTCATGAAAATAAAATAATACCAAACTTGCATATTGAAAGAAACAGAAGTCTTTCAGATATTGGCAATAAATATTCATATGAGCCTGTGACACACACATAGTAATTGCATTGTTTTAAGGTAATCTGGGAAGTAGTAAATAGCCAATTTATGCTTTAATTTCAAGTTGATATATTTCTTCTCTTTAGTGTCCTATGGATACTAAAGAATCTCATAAAAGCAGTATCTCAGTTCCACTTTCTAAGATTGAGGACACTAAAAAACAACTTTTCTGTTGTTTATAAGGCTTTAGTTTAATTTTTCTTAAACTGTAGAATAAAGAAATGCTTTAGTCTTATTTTAGATAGAATTATTGTATTGTTATTTTTTAGCTTTGCATCCTTTTCAGCTATCTTCATGGATTTTTAGTTTTTCTGGGGAGAGGGATGGTGGTGAATTATTTTCCTAGGATAGTTTCAAAGGATTTTTTCCAGTAGTAATTTGAGATGCTTTATCTTCTCTTTATTCTACGTGAACCTATTTGTTCACAGAAGAATTGAATGAAGCCTTATTTTTATTTTTGTGTAATTTTTTTCTACTATTCTGTGTTTTTCAAATTTTTTTATATTAAAAAGTAGTTTCTGGGTCTTTGTTCCGTAGAAAACTCCCAAAGTTTCAGGACAAAAATGTAGATTAGTAGCAGTTAAACTCTTAATGATGTTGTTATTATTCTTAAGTATTTTCTGCATTTTGAGTGATTAACACATCCAGTGAAATGTGTTTTGTGATAGTCTGTCTTCTACCAAAATTGACTTAAATGAAAAATTCCCAAGAATTACTTATATGCCTTATACTAAAAAAACTGAGGCTTTCCTTTAAATGCTTCTTTGAAGTGTAAGTTTGCTATTGCTGGGTTTCTTAAGGTTATATTCCTCTATGGAAGTATTGAAGGAAACTTGTATGATCATGCCTTGTAAGTCAGTAGGACAGCTGTTTCTGTTCCTAGTCGATGAAAGGCATTTTTGTCAAAATATTGAATATATGATGTAGAAGATCACAAAATGTAGAAAGGGAATTCTTTAGTACAATTCTCTGATTTATGAAGACAAAATATTATCACTCATTTTATGATTAAAGCACATGTGGCTTAGAGATGGTGATTGCTTAAGCCTTACAGCTGTAGATGATGGTTGACTTTATTGTCAAGCTGGATTTTAAGCAATATATGCATCATTGTTATAATCAGGCAGTACTGTTGACTGGAAGAAAGCTTTCTCTTCTAGATTTCTCCTTGCAAATGAAAGAACATTGCCTGCTTTTGAATATAGCATGATTCTTTGTCATTTCTTCAGTAAGGACAGTTTTCTAGATACTAATCTAATCAAAGAGGCTTGATGGTATGCTTTGACAGAGTGTATTTCCAGGTCCCATTTTTAGTGTGATTGTATAGTGCTGATGAAATATAAACATGCATTTTTTGTTAGATTGTTTTTTTGTTTTGGTTTCCTACATTTTAAAACACAGTCAGTGGTACCATAATTAACAGCATTACCCATAATATCAAACCTATTTTTTTGAAGTTGCTCCTAACTTTTATATTATTATTAATATACTCAGCTCCTCCCCATAGATGCAGGTGTTATACATCTATGGTACCACTCGTTTTTCCCCCAACAGTTATTTACTGAATGTTTATTTCATGCCTGACTCTTAAAATGATTACCTTTGGAAGTCAGATGAGTTAGGAAATTGCTGATATTTTCTGTACTTTTAAAGGTTTTTTAGAATATTGCTCTGTAATAGAATTTGTTGTTAACAAATGAAGTAGTCTAGATAATTAGTTGTTTACCTTAATGTGTTTTTTAACTTCGAGAATATGTTTAAGAGCAATTATTTTAACCTTCAAAATTCTCTGTAGTTTCTAGTGTTGCTGCCTTACCTAAGAAATATTATTTTACAAACAATATTTAACTTTAGAATGTATAAGATGCTTCTTAATTTCTGCTGCTACCAGGTGAACTAGTTATTTTAAATTCTTAACATTTTATAAAGGTAATATATGTATATAGTTTAAAAAGTCAATTAATACTAAATAGCTTATAAAGGAAAATAACATCCCCATGCCCCACCTCTCTCCATCCAATTTCTGCTTCTTAGAGACTACCACTTCCGATAATTTCACAGCTTCTTCTGTTGTTTGCTTTCATATTTCTAAATGAGAAGCGTTTCTTGCTATAGAAGATGAGAATTTGACTGTCATACTCTTTGACTAACAGCAGATTAATATGCCAGAAATGAAGATTTTTAAAAAGTACATGAGAGCAAATATTCTCCAAAGGAATGATGTTTCCAAATGAGATACTTTGTAGTACTGTTTATTATTAATCACCTACAGAAAAACATTGATATTTTACTCTCATCTCTGAGTACTTTATGGTAAATTATTGCCTCAGTTTCATGATGAGGTTTATTAGTTAAAAAAAATAAGCTTGGCCGGGCACAGTGGCTTACACCTGTAATCTCAGCACTTTGGGAGGCTGAGGCCAGCAGATCATGAGGTCAGGAGATCGAGACCATCCTGGCTAACATGGGGAAACCCTGTCTCTACTAAAAATACAAAAAAATTAGCCAGGCATGGTGGCGGGTGCCTGTAGTCCCAGCTACTCGGGAGGCTGAGGCAGGAGAATGGTGTGAACCCAAGAGGCAGAGCTTGCAGTGAGCCAAGATTGCACCACTGCACTCCAGCCTGGGTGACAGAGCAAGACTCTGTCTCAAAAAATAAATAAATAAATAAATAAATAAATAAGCTCTATTGGCCGGGTGTGGTGGCTTATGCCTGTGTTCCCAACACTTTGGGAGGCCGAGGCAGGCGGATCATGAGGTCAGGAGTTCTAGACCAGCCTGACCAAAATGGTGAAGCCCGTCTCTACTAAAACACAAAAATTAGCCAGGCATGGTGGCACACGCCAGTAATCCCAGCTACTTGGGAGGCTGAAGCAGGAGAATCACTTGAACCCGGATAGTGGAGTCTACAGTGAGTTGAGATCATGCTACTGCACTCCAGCCTGGGCAACAGAGTGAGACTCCATCTCAAAAAAAATTTTTTTCTCTATTTTCTTCTAGCAGTTTATAATATTAGGTTTTACATTTAGATTTAAAATTCATTTAGAGTTAATTTTTGTAGAGGGTGTGAAGTAAAGGTTGAAGTTCTTTTTTTTTTTTTTTTTTTTTTTTTTTTTTTTTTTTTTTGCAAATGGACATCCAGTTGTTCCAGTATCATTTGTTGAAAAGACTATACTTTATTCATTAAATGGCCTTGGCACCTTTGTGAAAATCAGTTGACCACAGACTTGTGAGCCTTATTTCTGGATTTTCTGTTCTGATCCTTTGATCTAAATATTCATCCTTATTCTAATGCCACACTGTCTTAATTATTATAGTTTTTCAAAAAGTTATGAAATCAGGTAATGAATGTATTCCGACTTGGTTCTTCTTTTTCAAAAGTTCCTTTGGCTATTCTAGGTCTTTTGCATTTTTATTTTAATTAATTTATTTTTTTGAGACAGGGTTTCACTCTTTCACCCAGGCTGGAGTGCAGTGGCATGATCATGGCCCACTGCAGCCTTAACCTTCTCGGGCTCAGGTGATTCTCCCATCGCAGCCTCCTGAGTGAGGAGCTGGGACTACAGGTGTGCACTCCCACACTCTGCTAATTTTTATATTTTTTGTAGAGATAGGCTTTCACCATGTTGCCCAGGCTGGTCTTGAACTCCTGGGCTCATGCAGTCCTGCCACCTCTACCTTCCAAAGTGTTGGGATTACAGGCGTGAGCCACTGTGCGTGGCCTGCATTTTTACATAAATTTTAGAATCAGTTTGTCAGTTTCTACAACAGAGCCTGCTGGAATTTTTATTGGGATTGCACTGGATCTATAAATTAATTTGGGGAAACCCAACATGTATTAACTATTGAATCTTCTAATTCATTAACATGAATTAATAGACATGGTATGTCTATTACTTAGATATTTTCAAATTTCAGCAGTATTTTTTAGGTTTTCAGAGTATGGGTCATACACATACTTTATTAAATTTTTCCTTAAGTATTCTTTGATGCTATTTTAAATAGCAATTAAATTTGGCATTTTGGTTTTGTGAACTGACTTCGCTAAACTTAATTGTTCTAATAGTCTGTATATTCCTTAGGATTTTCTAAATAGACAGTAATGTTGTTTGCAAGTAAAGACATTTTTATTTCTTCCATTTCCTTCTGTGTATTTCCTTTTCTTGTTTTATTTCACTGGCTAGAACCTCTAGTACAGTGCTGGATAGAAGTGATGAGAGTGGACATTCTTGCCCTGTTCCTGATCTTATGAAAAAATGCATTCTTTGACCATTGAGTGTGACTATAGTTTTTCTTAGATGCCTTTTAGGTTGAGTAAATTCCCTTCTTCCCTTATTTGCTAAGAGTTTTTATCATGAATGGATGGTAAATTTTATTTAAATGCTTTTTCTACATCTATTTAGGTGATACTGTCATTTTCTTTTTTATTCTGTTAATATGGAGGATTACATTGATGGATTTTTGAGTCTTAAACCTGCATTCCTGAAATAAATCCTACTTATTCATGTTGTATTTTGTACTGTTGCAGTACTGATACTAACAACACAGAGCTAAAACAAACTTCACAGGTTTGAGGATTTAGTCCCCAACATGTCTGCCCTCGCTACAGATGCCAGCCATAAGTTCAGGAGTCCTCAGGCCACTCTCACATCTGACCAACTGGCTGCAAATTCAGAGGTTCCTACAGCCCCTTCAGGTTTGATAATTTGCTGGAACTACTTATAACTCAGGAAAGTGCTACACTTTGTCTGTGTTTAGAGACAGAGTCTCAACTGTCACCCGGAGTAGAGTGCAGTGGTGAGATCAAAGCCCACTGCAACCTCAATCTCCTGGGCTCAAGGCAGTCCTTCTGCCTCAGCCTCTCAAGTAGCTAGGAGTACAGGCATGCGCTACAATGTCCAGCTGTTATGCTTATAATTGCAAGTTTTATTATAAATGATACAGATCAGGACCAGCCAAATGCCCAGACACAGAGAGAGAGGTCTGGGAGGAACCTGGACACAGAGCCTCTGTGCTTTTTCCATGGAATCAGGATGCATTACTCTCCTGGCACATTTATGTGTTTACCAACCATGAAACTCACCCAAGTTTCAGGTTCCAGAGTTTTTATTGGGATATTATTACATAAGCATGATTGATTGAATCATTGGTTATATGGTTGTCAATTCCCAGTACTTCTCTCCCCTGTGTTGGGCCACAATCAGTGACTCAAAGCCCCAACCCTCTAATCACATGGTTGGTCTTTCTGATGTGACCATCCCCTATCCTGAGTTATCTCTCCTTGGCATAAACTCAGGTGTAGTCCGAAGACCCACTATGAATAATGAAGACACACCTAATTACTCAGAAAATTTCAAGGTTTTAGAAGCTCTGTCCCAGGAACTAGGGTACTTTCTGTATATTATTGGGTTCAATTTGGCAAAATTTTGTTAGAATTTTTGTGTCTGTGTTCATGAGAGATGTTAGTCTTTGTTTTGTTTGTTTTCTATGTAATTTGTCAGGGTTTGGTATCAGGCTAATACTGGTCTCATAAAATGATTTGGAAAATGTTCCCTCTCTCTTTATTTTTTCAAAGATTTTATGTAGGATTGGTTTTATTTATTCCTTAAATGCCTGGTAAAATTTGCCAATGAAGAACTTTCAGGCCTGGAGTTTTCTTTGTGGGAAGGTTTTTTTAAAAATTATTATTTTAATCTCTTTAATAGATGAAAGGCAATTCAGAGTTTCTGTTTCTTCTTGAGTCAGTTTTGATCATTTGTATCTTTCAAGAAATTTGTTCATATCATCTAAGTTATCAAATTTAGATGATGTGGACAATTATTGGCATAAAGTTGTTAATAATATTCTCTTATCCTTTTAATGTATGATGTATGTAGAATCTGTAATGATGTACACTCTTGATACTGTTTTTGTATTGTAATTTTTGTATTTTATTCTTCATCAGCCTTAGAGGTAGTTTATCAATGTGTTGATTTTTTAAAGTCAGCTTTCAATTTTACTGATATTCACTATTTCTCATTTTCTATGTCTTTCATTCCTGTCCTTGGTTTTTATTATATTTCTCTACTTCAGTTTCTCAACGTTAGCAGTCTTGACATTTGGGGTCAGATAATTCTGTTTTGTGCATCATAGGATGTTTAGCAGCATCCCTAGCATCTCCTCACAAAATGCCAGTAGCCTCCTCCTGATTGTGATAACCAGAAGATCTCCAGACATTGTCAGATGTGTTGGTGGGCAAAATTGCTTACAGTTGAGAACCGTTGCTCAACTTCTTTCAGTTTAGTTTGTTCCTTTTTCTACTTTCTTAAGGTGGAATCTTGGATCATTGATTTTGGACACTACCCTCCCAACAGAAGGATTTAAAGCTAAACAGTTGTGTTTAAGCACTGCTTTAGCTACATTCAACAACTTTTGATATGTTGTGTCATTAAGTTCAGAATATTTTCTAATTTCTCTGCAATTTGTTCTTTGAGCTGTGATTTATGTTCCAAATATTGGGATTTTTCTAATTAGCTTACTGTTGCTGATTTCTAATTAAATTTCATTGTGATTGGAGAACTTACTCTGTATGATTTCAGTACTTTTAGATTTGTTAAAAATCATCCTTTACAAAGCACATTTGTTTGAGATGTAGTATGCCAAAAGATTTGTCAAGGACTTACATTAGGGTGTTTGCTATATTTGAAGTAAGAATTGATTTTTAAAGAATTCAGTTTGTATGCTATTAAAAAATTTTTTCCTGTTTACCAAAGTAAAATGTACATACAAAAAAAGCATACAAATCCTGTGTACAGCTCAATGAATTTTTACAAAAGCAAAGAAATATTACAAATCTTAGAAGCCCCCTCCTGACTTTTCCAGTCACTGTCACCCCCTCCCCAAGGTAACTGCAATTCCAACTTTTTTTTTTAATTCCAACTTTTTATGCCATAATTTAGTTTTGCCAGTTTTGAACTTTATGTGAATGGAGTTATGTAGTGTGTACTTTTTGTGTGTGTTTGGCTTTTTTCATTCAACATTATGTTGAAATTGTGTAGATTAATCCATGTTATTGCACAATAGTTGTAGTTAGTTTATTCTCATTGCTGTGTAATATTACATTGTATGAATATTTCACAATTTATCCATTCTACTATTGATGAATGCTTCCAGTTTGGGGCCAGTATGAATAGTTCTATACAAGCATTCTTTTGTATGTCCTTTGGTGAACATGTAAACATATATTGGCTTGGTATATGCCTGTAAGTGGAAATACTTAGTCATAAAGTATACATATATCCAGCTTTGATATGTAAGTTTTAAGGAAAAAGGTTATTGATTATAGTTATTGTTGTGCATCCTGTTTAGATACTTGATGTTCGTGGGCTTAGTTATTGTGGTGGTAATTGTTTTGTCATTGTTAAGAAAGAAGCAATACATTTCTTATGAGGCATTTTTTCTAAAAGTTTATAGTATTCAAATTTTACTGTTTTTAATGGTTTTTAAAAATGAGATGTACTTTTCGATGGAAACAAATGCAGAAAACTACCGTCTTAAAAGAAGAATAATAATAAATAGAAGTTTTACTGTTCCACTAATCCCAGTATATTTTCAATCTCAACCCCTTTGGTATATCCTTGAAAGATACCTGCTCTACTATAGCTAAAATTTTCTGGTTTTTTTGCCCTCTACATGTATGTGTAAGAATTGTAAGCTTTAGGATACCAGTTAGTTAGAATTTAGCTTTGTAGAATATGCTCTTTTCATTGTGTGGAGGGCAACATCTGTGAGGCACTTTAGGATTAGAAAGTAAGTTAAATGAAAATGTTAACAAAGTAGGGATTGGCTCATTAATTCTGCAAAATTAGAGGTCTTTTCTTTTGCTAGAAGAGAGTATTGAAATTCTGGAGTGGGGATTTTTATTTTCTTTCCACAGTGGTACTACTCTTGAGCCAAACTGTACCATTTCGTATAGTTTCATTTCTATGGTTCATTTCTTTGACTGCCACCAAACTACACCCTAAATAATCACAAGTTTATGTATTGGAGCTATGTTGTAGTCAATGAAAAGTCACATATCTGGTTAAGGTAGTCACATTTCATAGATAATGACTCCCATTCAAATAGGGAATACATTAGGATGCCTCTCTTAAAGGGATGCTGTTTGCGAAAAAGATTACCTGTGATTCAATGATAAAATGATAGAAATGTCTTTGTCATTGGAAGTTGTTAAGTGTTCAGGGTAAGGGTGTTTGAAAGGAAGACACAATTCATTAGTGTTTGCTCTCAGAGGTGCATTTTATTGGGAGAAGAAAAGTGGGCTAACTAGATGGGTTATTCAGAACATCTCAGCCTTACACAGGGAATTTATCATAATTGAATATTTCAATGGAACATTATTGGAAGGGCTTGGTTGGACACATACCTCAGAGAAGCAAAGGGGTTGTTTCTGAATGTGCTAGTGTGTGATACATTTAATTACTTGTTTATCGCCTGTACTGTTTGGATTACTTTCTCTGTGTACGTATAATTAGGCATCTCTCTCTGTAATATACTCCTAAACCTTGTACTGTCCTCACAGCTGACTAAATGATAAAGTAGCTTCAGTCACCTATCTTTTCTTTCAGTTTCTCTTTCCATCATTATGGTTGTTGTTTGCTTATTTCCAGGCTAATTCAAAGTGTTATTGAGAACCTATCAATTTGTTGTCCCATGTAGTATAGTTAATAACGTTTTGGGTAACATAATTTTAGTCTTTTAAAAAAGTAATAAAAATACTAACAGTAGCTAGCATCTATTAAATACTTATTAGGAGCTAGATGTTTTTACATCTGTTTCTCTAATTCTCACAGTAACCTGGCCAAGGCATGTGTAATACTCCAGTTTTACAGATGAGGAAACTGTAAACCAGCGAGGTTAAATAATTTGTCTCAAAGTTACACAGCCTGTGTGAGTGACAGAGTTAATATTTAGATTCATGACTTTCTTTCTCTAACACCATGGGTCTTTATGATCTTTTTGTGTTGTTTGCTGGTTTTGCTTTGGACTTCACAACTCGACTTGTTTGCTTATCTTATCCCTTCCACTTGGAATGGCATCTCCTTAACAGTTTCAGACTCTACTAGTAGCAAATGTACCTATTATTTAAGCCTTAGACCAAATGCCACCCTTCTAAAGCTTTTCTTACAGTGCCATTTGGAAGTAAACTGTCTCTTTTGAGCTCCCACAATACTTTGTACCTTTCTTTGTATATTTATTTTGCCTTCAGTTATAATTATTGCTAAACATATCTTAATTTACCCAATGGAGACTGTCTTTGATTTCCTGTAGTGTAAGACAGCCTTGAACACTGAAGGTACTCAGTATTTGTTGACTTGACATTACAGGTAAAAACCCATCAAAATAGGAGTAAACACTATTGATGCTTTTGTAAAAAAAATTGGAAGAACATGGCAACATGGTAATGATTTGTATATTTATGATCATTTTTGCTTCTCGTTATTTGAAAATCTTGCTAAATTTTGCTGGTGGTATAATTAAATGTGGCATGCATTTCCTGGTTTGGTGAAAAGGTTCATAATCTTAGCTATCATTTTCTTTAAAAAAAGATAATAAAGAAATGTCTGTTTGGCAGGCAGGAAGAACCTGCTGTTTTAATTTTGTTCACAGCAGTGGGTCAGATTATGATCTTTTGGAGCTAGCTTTGATAATAGACTCAATATAATATTGGAATTCAACAATTGGTTATTGTTGAGTATATTATCTCTTGCACTGATGGCTGTCAGTGGGATTGCCAGACTGTTTAGAATAAGTTTATGGCTGTTTAGAATAAGTTTATGGCAAATAGTCTGCTCTTCTCTAAATACAATGTTTCCATTTATTACTTACTGTAGTATTTTATATGTGCATTGTCTTTTTGTTTTGTTTTTAGTTTTCTTCTCAGAGAGAGGCAATTAAACCAAAACTTGCTCACCAGTGGGGGTGGGGAATCTTACTATTGATTATTTATTCAAATTTTGAATTATATTTTTTCTTCTAAACGTCTTTAAATAGGCCTTTTCCCTCTTCTAACTTGACTGATTAACATTTAATTCAAACAAAGATTAACAAAATTTTAAACACTTTTATGGTGATAAAGGCACACTGTGGTTATAATTTATTGAATTTTGAGCTCCGAGTCTCTGTTAAACTAGGATTTCTGACTGTGCTTTTATAGTTTCTTCTATCTGAATTCTTGAAACATCATAAGACTCTATTTACTTCCCTCAAAGGAGAAGTCCTTTTGTTAAGATAATATTTTTAAATGAATATCAGTCTTTTTCATTTCATGTCTCTTGGACTTGATGAAATTACTCATGAAGCAAAAGGTGGATAGGAGACAGTAACTCAAAGAAGTCTTTTGGCCCTTAAGCTAAGACAGTGGGTAAAAGTTACACAAATTATGAGACCAGCAAAAGCACTCTTAATTTTAAGGTTTGAGAATCTGATTATTAAATATCCATTGAAATAATCAGATTAAAGCCATAAATATTCTTTAAGCATTTGACATTAACCAGAATCTACAAAATGATTAAAGTTTTAGTTCTAGTGACAGGAATTTAAATTCTCCTTCATAAAATTCCTGTTGTTGTTAATGTTAAGTTATTGCAAAAGTAACACATGTTAATTCTAGGGAACTAGTATAACAATTCTAATAGTAGCTAACTTTAGAGTTCATTATATTTTGCTATTTAGCATAAACCTGTTAGTCCTTATAACAATCATATGAGGCAAATACTGTTATTTTTCCTATTTCATAGATGAGGAAACCGAGCACAGAGAAATGAAGGGACTTTACTGAGGCCATACAGTATTTGGACTCAGGCAGTTTGGCCTTAGAGTCTGTGCCCTTAACCTCTGTTCAGTATTGCTTCTCACTGAGTGGTTAAGATTTGGGGATTGTTAAGATAGACCTGGATTGAAATCATGGCTGCCACTTTATACTCTTGGGAGAGGAGTATATTTCTTGACTTCTCTGAGCTTCAGTATTCTTGATTATAAAACAAAGGTTGTTTTAGGGATAAAATAAGATATATTAACTGCTTATCCCACTGTTCCCCAGATGCTGTGCTTGTTCAATAGAAGGTATCATTTAAAACAAATAATGAGAAACAAAAGGAAAAAAGTCACCAAAACTAAACAATAACCATTGCTAACATTTCGAGTTATCCAGTCTTGTAAAACACGTTTCTTGATTTTATTAATATATTTTTTCTTTATATTAATTTTCTTTCATGTATAACTTTTTCTTGTTTTTGTTTCACAAAATAAGGTGGGAAGACTTGGATTTGCCTGTATCACTAAGCAGTAACGCAAGCCTTTTTCAGCTTCTATGCTAGCCAAAACTTTTTTTTCTCTGTTTAGAAGTGGGTAGATGGAGATAGAGGAGGACATGGAAGTACACCCACTTTTTTTTTTCCTTTTTAAATAAAAACAGGATTATGTTTAAAATTTCTTATATAACATCTGCAGATCAACAAAATCTAGGATGCTAGAAGTAGGGAGAACATGTGCTAGTATTACTTTTATTAAAATAACAATGAAACTCCAGTTTCAGACTGTTAAGAGTTGTTAACTGAAAATACTATATTTGTATAAACAATCCTAATGAATGTAGACTATTTCCTCTCGATGAGTGAGCTTGTAGAAGTCTGACCATGTGTTGCATTGTTAAATAAATTCACTAGGTGTAGCATAGCAGTAACTAATCTGTCTTTCTATAGCTTTAGCAACAAAGCATGGCTAATGCTTTTTTTTTTTTTTGTCTTTTAGATCTACACACAATGAGCTGGAAAAGAATCGGTGAGTCAGTGATGAGGTACAGCTTTCACTTACGTTTAAAAGCAAACTCACCATTTTACCTGTGAAAATAATGTAATAGTGCATATGTAGTTGTAATTTTATTTTTCAGATGTATAGCCCATTGTGAATCTGATATATATGTATTTTCTCCAAAAAATGATTTAATAGTAAGCTTATAGCAGCTAGAAGACATAAATACATTTTTAAAGCTTACTCGAATTTGAGTTTTAGGTATAGCCTTTATTTCTGTCTCTGAAAATGAGTTAATTGTTACAAGCTCATGGTTTAAATGTAGTTTTGCTAAAGGGTAGGATTTCTAAAGAGTAGGTAATAAGCATTACAAATTGGAGGGCATTGAATTTTTCTTCCTTTGTAATTTGTTCATTCATTCATTCATTTATTCATGCATTCAACAACTATTTATCAAACATGAGCTGTATGTCAGTGCCAGGCAGGCAGAATGCTTTATATAGGAAATACAAGAATATATATGATAGTTTTTGTCCTTAAGGAATTCAGAACTTTGTAAGGGAAAGACAGGTAATTAAAGTACTATATAATGTGGTAAGTATGGTAATGGAGAAGCAGAAGGTACTAGAGGGTACTGAAAGATATTTTAGAAGGTCACCTGATACCTTTTTGAAGGGAGTCTTGGAAAGTTCTGCAGAGGATGGTGAGTGAGCAGTGTATACTGAGGAAACTGCAAAAGGTTCAGTGTGACTATAAAAGATTGTAACATGAGTAAAGCATGCCAGGTGTTGAAGAGTCTTGTCTACCATGCCCAAGAGTTTAGACTTCCTGAGACCCATAGGGAGCAGTTAAATAATTTTAAAGTGGATTATCATATGATCAGCCTGTGTCTTGGAAATATCGTTTTGGCTACAGCTTGAAGAATTGGTTGGTTGGGAGAAGGGATACCAGAGGCATGAAGATGCTTTTGAAGGCTATTGCAGTAATCTAGGTAAGAGATGATGGTGGCCACTGAGATAGAAGTAGACAAAGTAAAGAGTATGGAATGGAGTCAATAGAAATTGGTGATTAGTTAGCTATGGATAGTTGAGTCTTAGATGATATTACTGTTAATCAAGAAAAGAAATAGAAGAAGAAGACAAATTTGGAAGAGAACATAAGAATTGTAAGAGTAAAATACTTTCTTTTTGGTGTAGAGATTAGATTAATAGCAGCCAGGCATGGTGGCTCATGCTTGTAATCCCAACACTTTGGAAAGCCCAGGTGGGAGGATCGCTTGAAGCAAAGAGTTCGAGACCAGCCTGGGCAGCAAAGTGAGATGCCCTCCATCTCTACCAAAAAAATAAAAATAAATTAGCTGGTGTGGTGGCATGCAGTCCCAGCTACTCAGGAGGCTAAGGCAAGAGGATCACTTGAGCCCAGGAGTTGAAGGTTGCAGTGAGCCATGATCATGCCACTGCACTCCAACCTGTGTGACAGAGAGTGAGACCCTGTCTTAAAAAAAAAATGAGAGAGATTAGATTAATAACAAACTGAAATCATATGTACCAGCTGTTTTTGACAAATAAGATCTCATGACCTTCAACTTTTTGTCCTCCCTTTAACAAAAAATATATTGGCTAGCCCAACTGCCTCATTGCAAGTAAGTTTAAATGTCAAATCCCCTTGAAAAGGCTTAGCATAGTTTTTCAGGCAGACTCAGTGGCTTTTACTACTTTGCACAGTGCTGTGTTCTTGTCTCTTATTGTAAGGCTGAATAGGTAGCATTGTAATTATTTCTGCCAAATGACTATGCCCCAAATGCAAAGATACTGTTTTGTTCAATTTTGTATCCTCAGTGCCTAGCATTTGAGGCATGTATAGGAGACAATGGCTCTAGTATTGAGTGAAGGATAAAACTGGAACTCAAAGTTGAGTGGTCTAGTCAAAGACATTTTGGTAGTTAGTGGTAGAAACTCCTTCGTTTTAAAGAATCTTTTCTGCCTTTTATTTCTGATTTATTAAAGATCTGGATGGATAAAGGAAGGACATATCTGGCTATTTTAAACATAACAAAAAAGACTAAGAAATGAAACTTCTGAGGCTCCTAAAAATAAAACCTTAAATTGAAGTTTACTCTAAATTAGATCATAGAGTATGTTTTGGGCCCATGGATTAAATATTGATAAACATGTGGCTTTTATAGTTATTTCATTTGAATGTGGTCCTTGGGAGACCTTCATTGGAAACCTGGTGAAAACCATTAACACTGGACTAGGGACTCTCTTTAGTAACTATTTGGAATGGAGCTTTAAAAATCTTTGATTCAGTGATGATGAGCATTTTTTCATGTGTCTTTTGGCTGCATAAACGTCTTCTTTCGAGAAGTGTCTGTCCATATCCTTTGCCCACTTTTTGATGGGGTTGTTTGTTTTTTTCTTGTAAATTTGTTTGAGTTCATTGTAGATTCTGGATATTAGCCGTTTGTCAGATGAGTAGATTGCAAAAATTTTCTCCCATTCTGTAGGTTGCCTGTTGACTCTGATGGTAGTTTCTTTTGCTGTGCAGAAGCCCTTTAGTTTAATTACATCCCATTTGTCAATTTTGGCTTTTGTTGCCATTGCTTTTGGTGTTTTAGACATGAAGTCCTTGCCCATGCCTATGTCCTGAATGGTATTACCGAGGTTTTCTTCTAGGGTTTTTATGGTTTTAGGTCTAACATTTAAGTCTTTAATCCATCTTGAATTAATTTTTGTATAAGGTGTAAGGAAGGGATCCAGTTTCAGCTTTCTACATATGGCTAGCCATCAGAGAAATGCAAATCAAAACCACAATGAGATGCCATCTCACACCAGTTAGAATGGCGATCATTACAAAGTCAGGAAACAACAGATGCTGGAGAGGATGTGGAGAAATAGGAACCCTTTTACACTGTTGGTGGGACTGTAAATTAGTTCATCCATTGTGGAAGTCAGTGTGGTGATTCCTCAGGGATCTAGAACTAGAAATACCATTTGACCCAGCAATCGCATTACTGGGTATATACCAAAAGGATTATAAATCATGCTGCTATAAAGACACATGCACACGTATGTTTATTGTGGCACTATTCACAATAGCAAAGACTTGGAACCAAGCCAGATGTCCAACAGTGATAGACTGGATTAAGAAAATGTGGCACATATACACCATGGAATACTATGCAGCCATAAAAAATGATGAGTTCATGTCCTTTGTAGGGACATGGATGAAGCTGGAAACCATCATTCTCAGCAAACTATCGCAAGGACAAAAACACAAACACTGCGTGTTCTCACTCATAGGTGGGAATTGAACAATGACAACACATGGACACAGGAAGGGGAACATCACACACCGGGGCCTGTTGTGGGGTGGTGGAAGTGGGGAGGGATAGCATTAGGAGATATACCTAATGCTAAATGATGAGTTAATGGGTGCAGCACACCAACATGGCACATGTATACATATGTAACTAATCTGCACGTTGTGCACATGTACCCTAAAACTTAAAGTATAAAAAAAAAAATCTTTGATTCAGTTTTGTTTAATGCATTTTGCAGATTATTTCTGACTCATTGATAACCTTTTTAAAAACCCTCACAGAAGATGTGTGCATCACCCATAGTATTACTTTGGTATGCCATTATAAGTTGTTTAATCTAGCATCTAGCTGTGGCATAGGTATAACACATGTGGTTTTATTACCTGGGCTGTGTGTAATCTCCAATAAAAGTCATTTGTTCCTATTTTATTTACTTAGATATAAGACTTTCAGGCTGGTTTCTTACCCTACCTTACTTCACTTAAGGCATGATTTCCTCATCATCTTCTAATAGCTTTGGAAGTGCTAATAGATATTCTTTATTAGCCCAAAGGACTAATAAACATTGTTTATTTCTCAAATTATTTCTTCCACTCTCTCTTTACTCTTTTTCCTCCTTTACTCTCTCTATTCCCTGAGGCTTCATTGAAAGATGATATAGAATTAACTTTTCCAAGATATATTTGTTTTTAAAAGGGATTTTTATCAACAAAAATAAAACTCGAATTTAGAATAATAATCTGTACCCTACTTCTGGGAAGTTACCAGTGGTGGTCTGGCAAAAAACAAAAATACTGGTAGACTTAGGATAGGGGAGGTGGTTTAGCAAGAAGGTGGCACAGGAATATTTTTAAAATTTAACCCTGTATTATTTTTACATTTTAAGGCCCCCATCCAGTTCTGTTTAACAGTCCTTTTTACCAAGGCATCATTTTTATTTGACGTGTTAAACAAAGAAAAGTTATTCTAGCTTTGGCATCCTTTAAAATAAATAGAATTTTGGCTTTACCTTTGATCTGCCTTTGAGTGTGATGTTATATGAAGATAGTAACTCACTATGAAAAGATTAGTTTTGTCTTTGTTCTGAAAAGACATTCCTGAAGTAATTCATATTCCTTAAAATTTGCCACTTTGTATAACATATTCATGTCAGAAATTGCTTTTTTCCTTTTTAGCGTGGTTCTGAAATCTTGGATATAAGCTTCTCTGAGTTAGATAAGCTGGAACAACTGATACCTCAGTATCAGTTGTTACTGATTACAGTACATTAAATACAAAAATTAGACAGGCATGGTGGTGCATCCTTGTAATCCCAACTTCTTGGGAGGCTGAGGCACAAGAATTGCTTGAACCTGGGAGGTAGAGGTTGCAATGAGCCAAGATCACACCACTGCATTCCAGCCTCGGTGACAGAGCAAGACTTTGTCAAAAAAAAAAAAAAAGAAGGTACACTAATAGTGTTTTTCATACTGAAAAATGAAACTCACTAGTGGTCTATGTGATCATTTAGTGAATCATTTTGAAAAAGAAATGGAAGAAAATACCAAAGTACACTGCATGAAGTAAAGTTAAATATGGAATTGTGAAACCTGTGTATACTGGATTATGATATAAAATACTGTGGGTCATAGTCAAAACCTACTACTCTGGATATAAGCTTCTCTGAGTTATGATAAAAAACATAATTATTTTTATTGGAGCAAATGCAGTGAGATTTGGAGTAGGTGATTTTAAATTGCTGGTGAATGGCTAAGTAATTCCAGATAGCTATCTCAAACAAAACCGTGAGATTGTTGAAGCCCTGGGGTCTGGCCTTAAGGAGATAATAGCCACCAAATGTTGAGGTTCATACTACCAGATCTCCGAGGGAAGCCTAATGGTGGAGATTTGGGTTTTGGCAGGCCCAGAGTAGTTGGTTGTGATCCACAATTACCCCAGGATTCCCATAGCCCATTAGGGAGCTCTAGGTAGTTTCAGGACTGATAGAGAAATTCAGATTTTTTTCTTGGATAGGTCTTGGGAGCTGATATCTGCCCAAATCCTTGTTGGTTATACTGAGTATGCTCTAGATGGTTCAGAGCATTTGTTACCTATGTACCAACCCTGTCCCCCTAGGCCCACAACAGGTCATAATAGGCCTAGGAGATGGAGGGGAAGCAAAATACTTCAGTTGTTCTGCATTCCTCAGGAACCTATGTGAATCATCTCATGGTAAACTTAATGAGACTTTGAGATTGAAGAATTAAGATATTACTTTGCCCATTGGCTTATCTTACAGTTTGGGTCCTTTGCCAGATAAGACACAATTCAGTATCAGTACAGATTTTAGATTGCCTCATTGTTTTTTCATTTTCTTAATTCAAATTGCTGATGATGTTTTAGAAAGAATCAACAACTTTGGCCAGGCATGGTGGCTCATGCCTGTAATCCCAACACTTTTGGGAGGCTGAGGCAGGTGGATTGCTTGAGGCCAGGAGTTTGAGACTAGCAGGGCCAACATGGTGAAACCCCATCTCTACTAAAAATACAAAAATTAGCCAGGCATGGTGGTGCATCCTTGTAATCCCAACTTCTTGGGAGGCTGAGGCACAAGAATTGCTTGAACCTGGGAGGTAGAGGTTGCAATGAGCCAAGATCACACCACTGCATTCCAGCCTCAGTGACAGAGCAAGACTTTGTCAAAAAAAAAAAAAAAAAAATAACAACTTTAACAGGACTCTGATGGTCAAGAACCTTAGTGCTGACTGCAGGAGAGGCCATTTAACCTTAAATAGCTGTTATTCCATCAAAACAAAAGGCTTATCCTTATTATAACTTTGGCAAAGCTAGAAGGGCCAAGGAGAAGTGACTAAGTATTTGTTAAAAAAAAAAAAAAAAAAAAAAAAAAGAGAAGGATGTCTAGTGAGTAGTAATAGGTATTCTCCATATAAGGACTTTCACCTACCTCTGAGGGAAAATTGGAAATTAGCATTTATAGAGTTCTTACTGTGTTCCTCCACTGTGCAAGGCTATTACATAATTCTGTAAGGTAGAAAGGCAGAAAGTTTGAGTCAAAGTGTCAAAAACTGGCCATTTTATCATCATAGCTACAATTTGAAACAAGATGGATACAAACACAAAACAGTTCTAATCATGATCCTTTTTGATCATGAATATGAGAGTTACGGTTAATATCAATCTTTCAGCAACAATTAATAAATACCATGTGTGGCATCATGATAGATCAAATGAAGTATAAGATACCCTATTCTATTCTAGTTAAGGTTAAGGTCATTATAGTTTGGTATTTATATTTCACCTTTCAGTACCATTATCTAGTTAAGTTACCAGTAAATGTCTAGAAAGGTACACTAATAGTGTTTTTCATACTGAAAAATGAAACTCACTAGTGGTCTATGTGATCATTTAGTGAATCATTTTGAAAAAGAAATTGAAGAAAATACCAAAGTACACTGCATGAAGTAAAGTGAAATATGGAATTGTGAAACCTGTGTATACTGGATTATGATATAAAATACTGTGGGTCATAGTCAAAACCTACTACTCTGGGTAGTTAAGGAGAATGTATACTGAGCCGTGAAGAAGAGAGATAATTTGAATATAAGAAAAGAATAAGGAAAGGAGTCAGTGTGAGTAGAGCCATGGAAGCAGGAATGTAGCATCATAAGCTGTGTTCAGGAAGGAGTGGGTAGACCGTATTGAGTTAAATAGCAGAGTCTTATCAGATTAGTAGTGGAAGATGAGGCTGAAAAGGTGGTTTGGAATTAGACTGTGGAATGTTACTGAATGCCAAGTAATTTGGATTTTATTTTATTGGCAGTGGTGAATTTTTGAGGCTTTTGAAGCAAAGAGATAGGCATGTACAAAGCATTTAAAAAAGTACAATCTAGTAGCTGTAGAAGCAGGGAGACCAGTTTGGATGCTTTCTGAAGTAGTCCATATAATAAAAAGATATGAGTCAGCACTCAGGTGATAGAATTGGGAACAGAAAGGAAAACAAAGGTCTAAGAAACACTATAAATAAAAAGTATTTTCTGTTAATTGGTACTACTTATTTCTTCACATAGCTGCAAAAGTTATCTTCTCTTAGTGCCTACTGCAGCAAGGAAAAAAGAAGTGATCTTCTCAAAGAACATATCAAATTGAGTCATTTCTCTATTTACAGTCTTCCATTGGCTTCTCACTACAATTAGATAAAATCTGTGGCCTACAAAGTGCACCACTCTATCCCTTCTGTAGCTCTTCTGACATTGCTTCCTTTCCTTTCTTTAAACACAGCGTGATCATTTCCATCTTAGGGCTTTTGCACTTGCTGTTCCTTCTGCTTGGAAAGCCCTGCTCTAGTTCTTCATCATTATTTAGTTCTCAACTCTCAGGTCATCTGCTTAGAGAATAATAATCACCTCCTGGTCACACTCTATCACATTACTTTTTATGTCGCCTTAACATTTATATCTGTCTGAGTTATTTATTCATTTATGCTGTCTGACTTCTTTCACTAAAATATAAGTTTCAGGAAGGCAGGACTTTGTCTTATTTACCCTAGCACATAGCAGTCATTAAGTAAAAATTCATTGAATGAAAAAATGATATGTGATAGTAGATTTATAATCAACATGTTTTCACATTATAATGACTTCAGTGAAAAGTGATGAAGATATATACTCTTGAGAGTTCAGTTGACATAATAAAAGAATTTTATAATAGGCAAATAGAAAATTTAATGAATTCTTAAGATGTAAATAAATTATATGAGAAAACTTGATAAGTAAGAACAGCTTAAAGGATTTTTACCATGCCGGAGTTTATCGTACTTTTTTAGAAGCATATGGACTCATTTAGTCCTTTAGGATACCATACAGTGCACTAAGATAAGGATAGGTAATTTTATAAAGGAGAACACTTTATCTGATGAAGTTTATGCTATACTTGTGGGATCTTTATTCCTTTCTCATCCCATGACTTGAAAATGGTAAGCATTTTTACAAGGAAAAGATTTGTTTATACTTGTAGGCAAGAATCCTGTAAAAAATTTCAAATTTTTCATGTTAGAATTTTTGATGGATTAGTTCTGTTTATTCCAATTGTTTGGACACGATAATGAATGCATTTTTTTTTCTATACTGCCTATCGTGTCCCCATTTTACATGGATGTTTTGAGAGAGTGATGGTTTTGGTCTGCCTTATCTTAGAACAAAACGTAAGAGTAAATCTTTATGACTGAGGGTTAGGCAGTGTTTTCTCTTGGTACATCATCAGACTAATTTAGGATTCCTTGGCAGGAAGAACATATCTGAAATCGTTTTCACTGCCTATTTTGTATGCTTTTAAGATATTTGTTTAAAAAGGGCATAGTTTTTTTACACGGTGTACACATTCTACAAAAAAATGTACACTTGTTAGTAGGAAAGAAACAACATTGGTTTGACAGAACTTTCTTTAAAACTCTTACCTCAACTAATAGTACTTAAAGGGTATTTGCTTGCATTAAAGTCAGGTTGCAGGGTTAGGGAAGTCAAACTTTTATTCTAGGTTTGAAATTAACCTATAACTTCAGCTGGATTAAAAGTCTACAGTTTTAGATTGGGTCCTGTAATTTTGGAAAGTTTAGTCAAAATCCCATTTTAGCCTTGGTTTTTACTAAGATGCAAAGGGTATTAGTATGTCTCAATATGAAAATACCTTAGAGTAACTTTCTCAACCTGATAAACAGCATTAATGACAAACCCACAGCTTATGGCACTTGTAATGGTGAAAAACTGAATCCTTTCTCCCTAAGATCAGAAATAAGGTTGTCAACTTTCATGACTTATACTCAACATTGTACTGGAGCTTCTACCCAGGGCAGTTAGATAAGAAAAAAAAAATAAAAGGCATCCAGATTGGAAAGAAAGAAGTAAAACCATTTCTGCTTGCAGATATCATGATCTTATGTACAGGTATACTTCATTTATTGCACTTTGCAGATACTGCATTTTTTAGCAATTGAAGGTTTGTGTCAAGCAGGTCAATTTCTAATCGCATATGTTCACTTCATGTTTCTGTGTTGTATTTTGGTGATTTTTGCAATATTTTAAACTTTATTATAATTTCATACGTTACGATGATCTGTGGATCTGTAATCTTTGATGTTATTATTGTAATTGTTTTAGGGTGTCACAAACCATGCCCATATAAGATGCAGACTTAATAAATGTTGTGTGTGTTCTGATGGCTTCACTGACTGGCTGTTGCCCCATCTCTCTCCCTCTTATTGTCCCTGAGACACAGCTATATTGAAATTAGGCCAATTAATAACCCTACAATGGCCACTAAGTGTTCAAGTGAAACAAAGAGTCACATGTATTTCACTTTAAATTTAAAGCTAGAAATGGTTAAGCTTAGTGAGGAAGGCATGTCAAAAACCAGGATAGACTGAAAGCTAGATCTCTTGTGCCAAATAGCCAAATTGTGAATGCAAAGGGAAAGTTCTTAAAGGGAATTAAAAGTGCTACTCTGGTGAACATCCAAATATGAAAGTTAAACAGCCTTATGGGTGATATGGAGAAAGTTTTAGTAGTCTGTATAGAAACCAGCCAGAACATTCTCTTAAGCCAAAGCCTAATCCAGAGCAAGGCCCTAACTCTATTTAATTCTGTGAAGGCTAAGAGAGGAGGAAGCTGCAGAAGAAAAGTTGGAAGCTAGCAGAGTTTGGTTCATGAGGTTTAAGAAAAGAAGTCATCTCCATACAAAAGTACAAAGTGAAGCAGCAGGTGCTAAGGTGGAAGCTGTAGCAAATTATTGAGAAAATCTAGCTAAAATAATCAACGAAGGTGGCAACAGATTTTCAAAGTAGACGAAACCATCATCTATTGGAAGAAGATGCCATCCAGGACTTTCATAGCTAGAGCAGAAGTCATAGAGAAGGGAAGTCGATGCTTGGCTTCAAAGCTTCAAAGGCTGGGCTGTCTTAATAGGGGCTGATGGGCTGATGTAGCTGGTGACTTGAAGTTGAAGCCAGTGCTCATTTACCATTCTGAAAATTCTAGGCCCTTAAGAATGAGGCTAAATCTCCTCTGCCTGTGCTCTGTAAATGGAACAATAAAGCCTGAATGACAGCACATTGTTTATAGCATAGTTTACTATTTGACGCCTACTGTTGAGACATACTACTCAGAAAATTTTTTTAAAAAATTATTGCTCATCGACAATACACCTGGTTACCCAAGAGCTCTGATGGAGATGTACAAGGATATTAATGTTATTTTCATGTATGCTAACACAACATCCATTCTGCAGCCCATTGGACCAAGGTGTGATTTCAACTTTCAAGTCTTATTATTTCAGAAATACATTTCATAAGGCTGTATCTGCCATAGATAGTGAATCTTCTGATGGATTGGGCAAAGTAAGATGAAAATAATTACATGTACAATAGCATCTAAAAGAATAAAATACCTAGGAATAAATGTAACCAAGAAGATGAAAGCTTTGTACACTGAAAACTATTAATACAAAATACTTTTGAAATAAATTAAGGAAGACCTAAATAGATGAAAAGATATCCTGTGCTCATGGATTGGAAGACTTAATATTGTTAAGATGGCCGTACTTTCCAAATTGATCTATAGATTCAGTGCAAGCCCTATGAAAGTTCCAGCTTCCTTTTTTTTTGCAGAAATTGACAGCTGATAATATAATTCATGTGAAAATGCAAGGTACCCAGAATAACCAAAACAATCTTGAAAAGAATAAAGTTGGAGAGCTTGCATTTCCTGATTTCAAATCTCACTATAAAACTATAGTAATCAAGGCAGTATGGAACTGACCAAAGAACAGACTTACTGATTAGTGGAATAGAGTTGAGCGTGTAGAAATAATTTCTCACATTTATGGTCAACTAATTTTTAGCAAGGATCACAAGACAATGTAATGTATTTTCAACAAATAGAGCGGACACAACTGGATACCTACATACAAAATAATGAGGTTGGATCCCTACCTCACACCATACACAAAACTCAAAATGGATCATAGACCTGAATTTTTTAAGAGCTAAAACAATAAAATTCTTAGAATAAAACATAAGTGTAAATCTTTATGATGTTGCATTAGGCATTGGTTTTTTACATATGACACCAAAAACACAACCAACAAAAGAAAAAAATAGACACATTAGAATTTATCAAAGTGAGCTGGGCATGGTGGCTCATGCCTGTAATCCCAGCACTTTGGGAGGCTGAGGTGGGCGGATCACCTGAGGTTGGGAGTTCAAGACCAGCCTGACTAACATGGAGAAACCCCATCGCTACTAAAAATACAAAATTAGCCGGGCATGGTGGTGCATGCCTGTAATCCCAGCTACTCGGGAGGCTGAGGCAGGAGAATCACTTGAACCAAGGCAGCAGAGGTTGCAGTGAGCTGACATTGTGCCACTGCACTCCAACCTAGGCAATAGAGTGAGACTCTGTCTCAAAAAAAAAAAAAAAAAAAAAAAAAAAGAAATGGCCAATATACATGTGAAATGCTTAATATCAGTAGTCATTAGGGAAATGTGAATCAAAACTATAAGATACCACTTCACAGTTACTAAGATGACCATCTAGGGTTGCTCACCAACTTTGTAGTCATCCATTCATCATACCAGTTACCACTGATCAGAGAAAGGTCTTGAAAAGTCCACTGAGTTTGCAGTTTGGCACTTAAAAACTGATAATGTCATCATCAGCTGATGGCACTGCACAGATGGCTCAACACTTTGCAATTACTTAAGACATGTAATTAACCACAGGTAAGTTTTCAATATATTATGTGGTGCCAGTATGTAATGTGGTATGAGTATTTAATAATGGAGAAAGATTAGTCTCTATTTAGCATATGAAAAGAATATACCTTTCTTTCAGCTGGAATTACCGTCTTCCAGTAATTTACCAAAATAACAAACATAAAGGGAAAGAGGAAAGACTCCTGATATACGTTCTCTGGGTTTCTTAGAAAACATGGAATTGTTCCTTTGGCCACAGACATGCGATTCTACAAAAAAGATGATATTGTAGATATCAAAGGAATGGGTACTGTTCAAAAAGAAATGTCCACAAATGTTACCATGGCAAAATTGGAAGACTGCGAGCATGCTATTAGCATTGTTGTACACAAACAAGTTAAGGGCAAGTTTTTTTTTTGGTTTTTTTTTTTTTTGAGACGGAGTCTCGCTTTGTTGCCCTGGCTGGAGTGCAATGGCGCGATCTTGGCTCACTGCAACCTTTGTCTCCCGGGTTCAAGTGATTCTCCTACTTCAACCTCCCAAGTAGCTGGGATTACAGGCACCCACCACCACACCTGGCAATTTTCTTTCTATTTTTAGTAGAGATGGGGTTTTGCCATATAGGCCAAACTGGTCTCAAACTCCTGACCTGAAGTGATCCACCCGCTTTGGCCTCCCAGAGTGCTGGGATTACAGGCATGAGCCACTGCGAAGGGCAAGATTCTTGCCAAGAGAATTAACATGTGTATTGAGCATATTTTTTAAGCACTCTAAGAACTGAGGTAGCTTCATGAAATGCATGAAGGAAAATGATCAGAAAAATAAGCCAAAGAGAAAGGTTTCTGGGTTCAGCTGAAGCACCAGCCTGCTCTATCCAGAGACGCGTACTTTATAAGAACCAGTGGAAAGATGCCTGAGCTGCTGGAACCTATTCCCTGTGAATTCATGGCATAATAGGTGTTTAAAAAACAAACAAACAAACAAAAAACAAAAACCCTCTGGAAAAAAAAATAAGGGGGGAGGTATAGGTTTTAAGGATTTCTAATTAACAATGAAATCTAACAAAATTAAGACTAGATATTGAAAGAATTTACTAGTTTTATAAATTTCATTTAACAAAATTAAGACTAGATATTGAAAGAATTTACTAGTTTTATAAATTTCATTTAAGATGTAACAGAATATAACTTGATTATATTTGTTATGCCTTGAACAACAAAATTAAGAAGTATAGTTGTGGAGGAAAGGAAAAACAACATTGTCCAGTGATCAGGAAGTAGCTACTGATCCAGTTTTCTGGATTTTATTTCTGGCAAATAAAAATGGTGGTTACTTCCCATTTTTAGCCTAAAGGTAGAAAATTGATACCCATACTTTTAATTATTGCAAAAGTCCTGAAGAAGATAATTATATTCTTTGTACTTTTTTAGACAGTAGGAGTCCAGTTGCAGGGCTGAATTATAGAGGGTTACTGTAGAACACTTATGTCTTGGAAAGTAGGGGCCACTCATTTAATTGAATTTTCTTATGAAACTCTTAGAAAGTAGGTGACACTCATTTACTTGAATTTTCTTAGGAACCGGATAAATATGTAAATTAACATTATCAAACAGTATGAAGAACAGTATCATTTATCAGAGAGCTATATAATTCATGTATTTCTTTTTGTATGCAAGTAAATGAATATTTTAACTGTAATTTCTATAGGGATAGGAATACTGAAAACTGTAGACCAACTAAAAATAGTTGTCAGAGGGCAGAGATAGGCACCTGTTAGAGTTAGAATTGAATGCTATATGAGATAAAGATGAAGTAATGTGCAGGTTTTAGAGATAAAATAGAGGAAATGTAGCCAGGATAAAATTACACATCTAAAATGCAGTCTGTACAATGAAGTCATTGCAGTTGTGTCTAGATAGATTCACAGTTTCTATACTGACCTTTGTTAGAAATAGTTCATTAAGACTAAGCTTTCTTCTCCCTGACCTAGGTTACATATACAGCAAGGTGACAGAGGCTCATTCGGAGACAAAGACTGAATTGTAGGAACCAAGTGTTTTTAGTACTTCAGCTAGCCAGTTATTAAAGTTTAAAGCAATTCTACAACTGATGTGTGGGAAGAAATGAGATTATGAGATCTTAAAAAATAATCAGAAGTACTGTAACTTGAAATTCAGCTTCTAAAATTTTGTATAGAAATAAACAAATAAGTCAGACATTGAATAATTGACATGGTATATTATAGCGAAGTTGTGGTAGCTTTTTATGCAAGTGATTGCAGAGTGCCTAACTTAAGCTGTAACTTGTTTAAGAAAACAATTCTTCTCAAACTATGAATTTGTAATTTAAAAAAACAACAGGAAGAGTTTAATTAATAGATTTTCTTGAGATATTTTAGATGATGCAATGTAAACAAATTTATTTTATATGCAGCTTTGAGGAATGTGTTTGATTCATAAACTGACTATACCTTTAGTACTGATGCTTGTAATAATTACACAGGAGAATCCTACTAGACTTTAAGGCAATATGTTATTTTGCTAAATTCTTTTGCTGCATATTGTAAAGGAATTTGTCCATTGTAAATGCTGTGATAAATATTGAAAATTGAATAGTAAGCACAATTCAAATACTTTTTCTTAAACTAGAATCTTCTTCATTTAAAGATAATTTCTATTCTGGTACAAATTTTGGCAATTAAAGCATGCCAAGAGGAAAATCAGTAAAAAATGTCTTTTTATTAGATGAGAGACTTTGTTAGTATCTTGCATTTATATTCTAAAAATGAAGAGATTCAGATATTTTGATATATTTTAGCTGTTTTGAGGAAGAGGATAATTCTTTACTTCTTGCTTATCTTTTTCTACTTATTCTAGTAAATAATGTCAATCCCATGACAGTGAAAGTCCCGTAAGTGTTACTAGTGAAAAACTTTAGGTCTAAACTAGGATTCAGTAATGACAACAGAATTTCCTAATCTGATTACTAGCTAACCAGTTCTTTAAGACGAATTTGTTTGGAAAATAATTAATCAGCACTATGACAAACACATGACATAGTGCTTATACTCACATCTTCTAAATCAAGAAAAGTTGGAACTTAACTCATAAGTAAATGACTTCCTTGTTTTGTTGTTATTTTGGGAAAAGCCAATGGAGAAAGATAGGTTTTAATACTAAACATGATTTTGGAGCCAAATTGTCAAAAATGATACCCAGAATCCAACACAGATGGCCCTTGGGAGATATGTAATGCATTGACATGAGTATCGTACCAGAAGTCAGAAGACATAATTTTTCCTTTCATCTCTACTACTGATAGGTTGTGAATGTTGTATAAGTTAAACCACTTCTTGGAGTCTTGCTTTTCTTGGCTATTAAAGGAGGATCTCTAGATGATCTTAGAAATCCCTGCCTACATGTAAAGTTTTGTACAGTTTTGTGAATTTTTGAGTTAAGTAATTATTGGCATATTAGAAACTTAGTTGTTACTCTGCTGTTTCTGAAGCATTTTCCTTGATACAGGTGTGTGTGTGTGTGTGTGTGTGTGTGTGTGTGTGTGTGTGTATACGCCCACAGATATATACATATATATAACACTTGAGACACACACACACACACATGAAATGAAAGACCAGCAGGAAAAATCAGCTTAGAATCTCACTTCATTTAAAATTTGGTACTTTGTAAATATCTAAAGATTATTATAATACATGGTACTGTAGCTATAATAAGGTTTTAATTTATAATGAAGAACTTTGATAAGTAGTAAATATTTATATAAGACTAGAATTTGCCCTAAGAAACATATATTTGTGTGTATACTACAAACACATTCCTCAAAGCTGTGTGTACACATACACACACTCATATGGATAGATATAGATACAAATTCTGAAATTTAAATGCTCAGGAACATTCAGGACCCTGTCCCTTTTGGAAAACTACTTACCACTGACTTCTAAGGAAATGTAGTTAATCTGGTAAGCATTATTGTGTTATAACTTCTGGCCACTTTTTTGTATTCTCTGACAAGTTTATATTTGCTCAGGCTCCAGAAATCTGGTTTTGTGGTTGTAACTGTATTATATTGTTGTATCTCATCAGTCACTTTAATAGGCTCCAGTGATCACTGGATGGAGTGAGCCATATACCAGGAGGAAAGAGCACACTGCTCTTACACAAAACAAGGAGCACAGCTTAGCTCATCTAAAATATTTGTCTATAAACAATCTGAAGAGAAAGTAGCTACAGGTCAGTATGTTGGAATCTTTCTTCCTAACCATTTAGACAATAAAAGTAGCTTTTAAATAATGTCCTCACTGCTTTGATAATCTGCCAAGCCCCATTCCTAATTCTAGGACATGTCTACTGTTTATTTTTTTTGCTTGCAGAGTTGCTAAGCGTTGGAAATGAGAGCTGTGCTGACTGGGTCCACTAGATAGTTATGCTGTGTTTAATTGCAGCCTTCTATGGATTGGCCATTTTCACTTCTCATTGTCCCCCTGTAGCATTTATCATAATGACTATTCAAACCATTTTTTTTTTTTTTTTAACCCCTCCAAGAGAGTGTGAGGCAAAAGCCAAAGCTCTAGAGGTCATCAAATCATATTGTGGTTTACAGACAGGACCTTAGTTCCTCTAAAATTACGTGATAGAGATGAATGATCTTTAAGATTTCTTCTAGACTAAAAATTTCTGCTATTTGAAGTACCCAATCCCACTTTTTACTCTTAGATCTAGTTTTTGAATCAATGGCTAGGACCCATATCTCCCATCTCCTAGTCTAAAGATATTTCCAGTATACCATTGTGACTCTTCATTTCTCCCTTTGCTGAAAATATGGATGCCTGGTCTGAGCTTTTTCATCTTCTCCTATATTTTCTACCTTTATAACTTCAGCTCAGATTGACTATATACTCCCCCTGCCTTGTGAACTTCTACTCATGTACAGATAGGCATGAACAAGAATAACAAAAGTGTTTATAATAAAAATTAGAAGTAACATGAATTTCTGTTAACAGGGGAATGACTAAATAAATGATGATACATCCATACCATGTAGCAAGTAAAAAGAATGATGTAGATGTGTATATGTGTATGTGGAGAGATTTCCAAGACATATTAAATGAAAATAAGCAAATTGCAAAATGGCATTTCAATATGATCTCATTTATGTTAAAAAATAACAAAGCAAAATCACATACAGTTGGCTCTTGTATCTGTGAACTCCACATCCATGGATTCAAACGACTATGGATTGAAAATATTTGGGGGGAAAATTGCATCTATGCTAAACATATACAGACTTTTTCCCTGTGTCCTTATTCCCTAAACAATACAATATAACAACTATTTACATGGTATTCACATTGTAGTGAGTATTATAAGTAATCTAGAGATGATTTAAGGTATAGAGGAGGATGTACATAGGTTATATGCAAATATTACACCATTTTATATCAGGGACTTCAGCATTTGGGGATTTTGGTATCCCCCATTGATACTGAGGGATGATTGTATTTCTATATGTACATGTATGTGTATGTAAATGCATCGAAAAGGCACACCTCAAAAGAGATGTCAGATGGATACACTTTTGTTACTTCTGGGGAAAGGAGTGAGATTCAAGGGGAAACGATCATGTTGATTTTATTGTCATAGTTTCTGTAGTAAGAGTGCATTAATTTGTGAACTTAAAAAAAGATTTTTTTTGAGCCACTTAGTTTACAGTACTTTAAAGTAAGATTTTTAAAAAGGCAATAGGTGTATTCTATTCATACATTTCCACAGATAATAAAGGTGGGAGAGACCTTAGAAGATCATCTAGTAGAGTACTGAAAATCTAAGTCCCTGTAAGTAATATGCTCTACCAGTCTGGTTAATGACAAAGTCAGGATGAGAAACTAGGTTTTCTGATTCGCAGACCAGAGTTTTTTACACTACCTTCAAGATGCACAGCTAAGATACATAATTTTTCACAAAGTGTTTCCTGATTATCCAAACTGATCTCTCTAAATTCCTATCTCAGATTCACTGTTTGTGTCACTTGTATGAATTTTAACCCATACTACTTTATACTGTTATTTCCTCCCTTTCTAGATCATTTATATTCTTGCTAGAGCATATATATTCCATGAGGGCAGAAACTGTAACTTGCTTGTCTTTGTATCTGACACGGTGCCTTGCACTTAGTACTTAAGGTGAATTAGTAAGGAACATTTCTGTAGCAGGCTCTGCACCTTTCGTTAGATTCAGAGAAAAAAGTTGACTTTGGCCAAGTCAAATAAATAGCTGAGTTTTTTTTGTTTTTGTCTTTGCTGGTAAAACCTGCCATGTCGAGATAGAAAATATTTTAGGAAGGCACATAGTGAGATATTTGCTACCCTGCAAATATATTCCCTTTCCAAGGAAAATAGTTTTGTTCTCCACTCCTGCTTCAAAGAGAACAGTTTGTCCCCATAGAATATTCTAGGTAATATGACCCACTTAGGAAATATGTGGTGATTGTGCTTCATAATGGGACCTCTTTGCTAAAGTTGTACCATGAGAAAATGCCTCTTGAGTGCAATGGTTTTACAGATGAAAGTACATTTTTTTTCTGTATTTGAATTGGTACAGCAGACCAAGAAACTCCATTGTGACTTCAAGTTTACTATAATTAGCATAGAAGCTGTGACAGATCTTTTCTGTTATGAAAACCTTTCCTTAGAATTTTTGGAATTTATACAAGTATCTGGCCCTTGAGGTGTTGTTACCCTGTTCTGTCTAAATAGCTCTATAATTTGATATAGCATCTTTGTAGATTTCAGCTTGCTTTTCGAGATATACTCTTTTCTATGATTTTCATCTGCAGTTGTGTTAATCCTATTTTCCTTCTGATTTTTTTGTTTCTTCTCACAGCTATTTAATTTGACATCATTTAAGGCCTGTAGAATTATTTACAGAAATAGAATCTTTCATGGAAGTTTCCATGATCTGCTGGAACAGTGATCTTGGACAGAGCCTTAGGAAGACCCATTCCTTTTTGGAAAGCTAATTGTCTCTCTTAGTTTAGAATTAATAGCTTTAGGAAAATATCTCAGGATGTTCTAAATTTCCATACATGCTGCTAGCTACAGAGATTGTTATTGAAGTGGCCAATGGGTTCATCTGGAGCCATTTTTCTGTTACCATAATTTAAAAGTGTGTGTGTGTGTGTGTATGAGAGAGATACATATACACATCTTTTTTTCCACAAAGGTATATGAGTTACATATATGTGAGTTCTGAGTTTGATTCATTTGAAGGCTGTGAAGCAATTAGAGATAAGAGGTTATTAAAAAGAAAGTAATTTATAACTATTTTAGTGAGTTTCAAATATGGTATACCAAAACTTGTTCCTGCTGTATTGGGCATTGTATTAGAAATTTTGAAAGTAGTTTTGTTTAGCACATTCTGATTTGCTGTGCTTAGAAAGAAATATATTAGTAATTGATTTTTTTTTTTTTTTTGAGATGGAGTCTCGCTCTGTCACCAGGCTGGAGTGCAATGGTGTGATCTTGGCTCACTGCAACTTCCGCCTCCCGGGTTTAAACGATTCTCTTGCCTCAGCCTCCCGAGTTGCTGGGATTACAGGCACCCGCCACCACACCCAGCTAATGTTTATATTTTTCATAGAGACGGGGTTTCACCATGTTGGCCAGGCTGGTCTCAAACTCCTGACCTCGTGATCCGCCTGCCTCAGCCTCCCAAAGTGCTGGGATGAGCCACCACGCCCGTCCTAGTAATTGATTTTTAAATATTCTTGAGATCATAAAATTTTAAACTTCATCCAGATGAAGATTTCTTATGTAGATTAATTTACTCAGGCAAATTCCTGTTAACTTTATCATATTATTTTTCTAGATTTTAACTGGCTTTATAATTTGCCATAATAAAATTCCATTCATTTAAAATTGTAGTCAACAATGTTTTAGTTTAGTATTAGTTGAATGGAATATAAAAAAATTGATTTTTAAACATTAGCTTGAGGCTAGTGCTGGTTAGTGCTTTATGTTAAAAATTTTTTTTTTTTCAAATGGTGGTCCTCGATGGAGAAATGTTTTCTAGAAATGGTATACAGAACTGTATTCTACTTCTATTTAGGATTTTTTAGTTCGGATATGAAAAAGCTGGAGCTCAAATATATGTTTGAGTTTGGCACCTTCAATTTGCAAAATGGACACATCTTTCTTGACAGGTGAAGGTTTTGATAGAGCTCTGAGTACGGAGGAGTTAGATGCTAGTACAGGCCCAACATTGGTTAGGAATAAATAATAGTTAAGAATTGTTTATCTTTTAGCAACAGTTTTACTATATTCAATAAAGTACAATTTGGCTCCTCTCTCTGACTCTTCTTCCTCACCCTTTGCACTTTAGATGACATAACAAGGAAATACGTTAAAACTTTAGATTTAGGGTTTGTTTCAAACTTCCTTGATTACTTGATCTTGAAAATTTAGGATTTGTTTTGAACTTCCTTTGATTGTCAATCTAGGGTGACTTGCAAGTAATGGGTAATTATGCTAATGTCTCTTAACAGTCTTATATACCCCAAGATGATGTTTTCTGATTTGAAATTTTTGGTGGAAATGGAGTTCATTTGAAGTGGTATAGTTCCTGACACTGACAGAGGACTTATAAAGATAATTACAAATCAACTGACAAGCACTTATTAGACATTGTGTGCTAGGTAATGGGAATAGGATAAAAGAAGTAGAAGTCCTGAGCCCTGCTCTGGAGGATTATAGTCTAGGTAGAAGACAAAAGATATTATAAGCTCCTATAAGCAGCATATAATTAAGTGCTAAGTTGTATGTGTTTGAGATGGGAGTTGAGGTAAACTCATAGCAGGGGGTTATCACGGGCTGAGGCTAATATGAACTGCTTAGACATGAGTGGTTATTCCTCTGCATGGTTCTCTCTTGGAGTTTGCCGTAATTGGTTTTTATCATGTTTTCAGTATGTTTAAAAGGGCTTTCAGGAGAAACACTACATCTGAGTCTCTTTTGCTCTTTTAATCATTATAGTTGTCACTTACTCTGGGGTGAAAGTGAACTTGCAGCTTTTCAGCATGGATAAGATAGATATAGGCCTGAGAGTACATTTGGAGAATGTGATACAACCTTCTTACTAATTTATGGTCGCTTTTCTGGTATGTCTCTGATGACAGCTAAAATACAGAGTCTTTTTCTTTTCTTTCTTTTTTTTTTTGAGACAGAGTCTCGCTCAGTTGCCCAGGCTGGAATGCAGTGGCATGATCTTGGCTCACTGCAACCTCTGCCTCCCAGGTTCAAGCAGTTCTCCTGCTTCAGCCTCCTGAGTAGCTGGGATTAAGGGCATGTGCCACCATGCCCAGCTAATTTTTTTGTATTTTTAGTAGAGACGGGGTTTCACCATGCTGGCCAGGCTAGTCTCGAACTCCTGACCTCGTGATCCGCCCACCTCGGCCTCCCAAAGTGCTGGGATTACAGGTGTGAGCCACCGTGCCTGGCCTAATACAGTGTCATTTTTAATGGCTGTGTTTTCTATGAAGGAGTGTCTACAATGGTTCTCCCTCTTTTTGTGGTGGCAATGTTGGTGAATGCCCAAATGTCTTGTGAAAACAACCAAAAGCCTCAACTGGGACAGATCAATCTATCATTACCTCTGAGTAAATGAGGATACCTGAACATCCAGTTCCTTAGCCCTCCATAATTTCTTAGAGGTCATTGTGTTTTGGAGTACTATTGAAGATGTCAACTTTATTCTAGCAGGCCCTATATGATGAAGAGCCTACTAACTTTTGAGATCATGTATTTCACGTTGTACATTATATTTTATCTGAGTGCTTCTCATCCTTTAATAGAGAACCCCAAGCAAGATGTTTGCATGGGAAATCTTGTGCCTTTTAAAACTTTCTGCCTGCTTTAGTGCATCAACCTGTGATTATTGATTTTTAAAAATTTTAACCCATAACCTATCTCTTATAAGCTTCCCTAAAAACTAAGATTGATAGGGGATTTTATGCCATTACAGAAAAATATATGTTTAATAGAATCCTTTATTTTCTGATACTTTTATCCTGAAGTAACTAGAGTAAAGCTGACCCTTTAAAATCTAAAATCAAATGAGAAAGATACAGGCTTTCTAATGTTGAAGTGTAATGGCTAAATTAAGATAAGGGAGAAACTTGGAAATTAGGAAAAGGTACACTTAGATTTCTTCATCAGAAATCATAATGACTAAAATGAGGGTGTCTATTCCCTTTGAATCCTAAAAGAGGAATTCTCAAATTAAAAAAGGCAGTCTTAATACAATATGTGGTAACTATATGGGGACTTACTACCCCAATAAAAAATAGAAATAAAATCAAACCAAGTTTAGATCAGTTCTTTGATAAAATATTGCTATTGGGCTTTAGTAAGGAGATGTTAGGGGTATGTTTCTGTAATATATTGGTTACTGTCTTGGAGGACAGCCATCATAGTTTTTTCTGAGCCATCTGTTGGTGTCATTGTCAAAAGTGAACTCTTTGGCATTTGGACCATTGATGCAACCAAATATGTCATTTTTCTTCAGAATTGTAATGTTTGTAGGCTTTTTCCATCTTGATTCACTTTATTCCAGCCTGATTCACAATTATTCCTTTACAGAACAGCTTGTATTCGACAAAGCTGTGAAAAAAATCACTCTTCTCTAAATAAGGTTCTTTTTTTGATTAGAAATCCCATCTTTGCAGTTAAAACATTTGTAAACATAACACAATTTAGATAGAGCTGATTGACTTTTCAAGACTGCTATTTTTATAATGGAAAAGAATTTTTCTTAAAGAAGCAATTTGGTGATGGGGCCCTTAGAATGTCCTTGAAAACAGCTGGAATTTACTGCTAGCATATATTGGGTCAGATGAATGAGGGAGCATGGGTTTGGCTGATTTGCAATGTTCAAGAAATATTGATATTCTTAGAAGACAATACAGAATATATGTTGGGTCTTATTTTCCAAAATGTCAAAGTGTCCTTCATATGCCTTTTGTTCTGTGAGATAACAGTTGTTGGTGATCCTGAAAGATGTTTTAGAACTTTCATCCTGCAGTATCTGAAAGGAAATGTAGCCAAGATTGGAAAATTTAACCTCCATACTCTACTGGCTTCTTTAGTTGGAGTAGTGGTCAATATGTTCTTGCTGTTGGAATATACTTAGGCGAGAGAGCCACACAACCTGCCTGATGAACAACTAAAATATTGACTGGCAATGGTAACAAAATAAAACATGTTCCCCTCCACCTGTCTCTTCCTTCTTTTCTCAAATCCCTGGAACTGTATAGATTTTTCAGGGCTGTTCTCCTGAGCTATTGATGAAATGAAAATAATAGCACTTGTGTAGCAGTCCTTAGAAAACTGTAATGGTATTGAGCTGAGGCTGGAATCATATAAAATAAATACTAGAGCTTTGATTCCTCTCTCATTTAATCTTTTCCTGGGCTTTTCTAGAGGAGAGTCAAACTAAGATTTAGACAAATATAAATAGAAGCAAGTCACACAGTGTAATGTTGCAACCCAGATATAACTTGAACCCAGTCTTTTACTTGATAAAGAGGAGATAATTGTAATTGTTGTTAATCTATCAAACACCTTTCCCTTTTCAGAAGGGTTTTAAAAAATAAAGTAGTTCTTAAGGCATGTTCACTTTCTATCTACCTAAAAGTGCTAATCTGTAAGTGCCCTACTATATATAACACTGAGAAAATTTCTGCCTTATCAGAGGAGGGCATGCCCAGGATTGGTGCCAGGTGTTGTGTTATGCTAGGCTGCCTCCAAAAGTTACTCTCAAAAACTACTCTTCAGTTGGGCCCTTTGTGGTCAGGAAAAAAAAAAAGTGATACAGTATAATGAAAGAGAGGTCAAAACAGTTAAGTAATTTAGAAATAAAAAGACATACCAAAACATTGATTCTCTATTATTATCAGGGACTATGGCGTATTTTAAATTCTGTAAATTTTATTTTTCCAGAGGTTGCAAATGGCCTGTAAATGCTTCAGTTATTAACAACAACAACAACACATACACACATACACACTGGCCAACAATTCCTCTTTGTTACCCTTTTTCTACTGCAAATTTTATCTCCTCCTCACCAAAAAACAAACTGCATTTTGATTTTGGGAAAATTGTTCTAAAATGGGACTTTAAAAATAATTCCTGGCTGGCTTGACTGGATTGGCAGATGTCCAGCAATGCCAAACCATTTGCCATCTGCCAGTAGTAAGCATGGTTACCACTTTTAATCGTTTAGCTCTCTATTTCAGGTTGCTCATATTCAGTACAAATTATGAATATTCGCCTTCCAGGGATGAATTAATTCTTGGGCCAGATTGTTCCTGTTCCATTTAATAAAATGTCTTTCCTCCTATATGAATATTCCCCTTAAAATGAGCTATTATACAACTCACATCTTATTAGTAGGGCCACTTTTAAAGGTGCTTTGCTATTTTCATTTTCTGCTTCTAGATGAACAGCTATATTACAAAGCATTCTTTAAATGTGCTGTTTTGTGCTATGTAAGATCACCATTTTAATTAGAGATCAGTAACAGTATTTCGTCATTTCCCTCTTCCATCCTGGACAATAATTTGATACAATAAAGCAGTTACACTGGGCTCTGGGTGGGAATAGAGCTGTGAGAGTTAGACTTAAACTTTTGTAGAAGAGAAGACTTAATTCTTGCATTTTGTACATAAAATTAGGTCAGTGTCTTGTAGAACATTATCACTGCGTCTCAGATCTCACTTGCCAGCACGTAGGAAGTTTGTTTTGGTTTCAAAATGTACTTTACCCCATGGTGGCTGGCAGGGTACAATACTATTGACATCACTGTGTTTCAAATAGAAAGTTAACAAGTAGCTACTGTTGTGATTGCAGATTGCCTTCCCAGTCCCTGTGAGAGAATGCTTTTTCTTTTGGACAGCAACACTTCTCAGCCCCTTGGTACCATTAAATCAGCCAATGGGGGCTGCCAGAATAGAGATGAACACCAACAAAAGGCCAAAGAGTAGAAAAACTGTTAATAAGGCAAAAATCTTTAATCAGTTTCCAAATTGATGTGAAAGATAATTAAAAAATATTCTCTCCCATCGATGGCTAAGTTTTGACAGTAGTCCAGGTTCAGAGCCTGATCTCTCTAGAGAGGAGTATCCCTTCCCTCTACCCAGACCCCTGGAAAGTTGCCAAAGGAAAATAAGCTATTTTGTATTTAGAACAAATTGCCACTGTTTTCTCCAGTGATGTAGCCCTATTTCCCAGACTTTGAAACTTGGAATACAGAAAGTTCTTGTGTGACCAAAGAAGAAATATGGTGAATGAATGATCAAGTTTTTCTTTTTAACTAAATCCTTATAAACAGATAAGAGAGGGGAAGTATGCATAGAAACTAAATTTAGCACAGAATGGATGTCAAGTGAGCAATTTCTGTTAAATCACTTTGGAGTTTGGGTTCCTTGTGGGAGTTCCAGTGAAGAACAAATGCCTCTGGAACAAGATTTAATTATTTTTTTTTTTTTCAAATGAGGCTGTCAAAAATGAAGTCTTCCTTAGACATGAATGCAGGATAATTAAAAAAAATAGTTGTTTATATGTTCTGCACTATAGTCTTCAACTTAGCAAGCAGTCCATGGATCTGGTAAGCATACACTAGTTTCTCATTTATTACATGGGATTAAGAACTGTTGACTTAATTTTTTTCTTCTTTGCATTGTGGAATATTGCTTTTTAGACTTTCCCTTCTCATACCTTGGTTTTCTTAGCTGTTTGTTTTCCTAGTCCTAGGCCCCTTTCACTGTAAATACTTTGATAAAGTCATTCTGTTGTAAAAGCTGCAGTTCTTAAACCCTTTGCTTCACTATTAAAAAAGGTGTTGGCCGGTTGCGGTGGCTCATGCCTATAATCCTAGCACTTTGGGAGGCCGAGGCGGGCAGATTGCCTGAGCTCAGGAGTCCGAAACCACCCTGGGCAATATGGTGAAACCCCGTCTCTAGTAAAATAAAATAAAAAAAAATTAGGCTTGGTGGCACATGCCTGTAATCCCAGCTACTCAGGAGGCTGAGGCAGGATAATTGCTTGAGCCTGGGAGGCGGAGGTTGCAGTGAGCCGAGATCGCGCCACTGCACTCCAGCTTGGGCAACAGAGTGAAACTACGTCTCAAAAAAAAAAAAAAGTGTTGACTCTCATCAAGAGTTAGGTTGGAGACTGTTGGTTACTCTACATGTAGACATCTTTGGTGGTATGCACCTTATTAACATTTGCTGGTGATTTCAGCTGCACCAGAAAAAAAAAAGGTTAAGAGTTCTGGCATTCATAAATAGATCTCTCACAAATGCTGGCCTGGCATCTGATTATACTGTTTGGAGGTCCTGGTGTTGATTGTTACCTCAACTTTGGTGAGTTAGAGAGTCCCAGAAACATCCACTAGAAGTATTACATCTCTCCTCCCCACTGTGTGCCAGTCATTCTGTTTATTTGAAAAACAGAAATGACTAAAAGTATGGATTCACTCTCAATTGAAATACAGTGTGATTAGTATGAAATCAAGTATCATCTGAGGAAGGAGTATGGCAAGGATGATCTTGTGGAAGAAATTGTTTGGCCATGGCCTGAAAATGAGTTAGATGCCCACCAGGTGGACATTTGGAGAGAATGCATTCCAGGTAGAGATATTGGCAAGTATAAAAGCACATTTGGTTATGGAAGAGGTTTGCAAGGGTATGAGTTATGGGAAATGAGGCTGGAAAGGTGGTAGGCAGAGGACTAAATTATAGTCTTCAAACAGGTAAAGATTATACTACTGACAACTTGAAAAATCGTTATAGCATTTAGCTCAGTGGTATAATAAGGCACTATTGTTTACTGATGATAATTGTTATTGACTGAGTGGCACTTCATGTTCTTCATATTTCTGAGTTGTAAAGACTAAATGACATTTCAGCCTATGTGGTATCTGTGTAGTTTGAGAAAGAATATGTGACTATTTTGTCATCATTAATTTACATCTCCCTTTCCTCTCTCTTCCATATCTTCTCTCCCTTCTCCCCTGTCCCTTCTTTTTCCCTCTCCAAACCTTTGAGAGACATAATCCCAGCCATGAGTCAAAAATGATGTTCCAAAGTCCATAGTGATGTGTTGTGATTTGCTGTAGCAGTTTGAACATAGATTCCTGGAGGCCCTGGGATGTAGTACAGGTTGAGCATCCCAAGTCCACAAATCTGAAATGCTCCAAAATCTGAAACATTTTGAGTGTCAACATGACTCTCAACAGAAATGCTCATTGGAGCATATCAGACTTAGGATTTTTGGATTTGGGATGCTCAGCTGAGTATAATGCAAATATTCCAAAATCTGAAAAAATGAGAAATCCAAAACATTTCTGGTCCTAAGCATTTCACATAAGGAATACTCAACCTGTCTGAAATAATATGAAATTTGAAGTCTTCTTTTAAAAACACATTTTGCATTATCTGTGTTTGTTTTTATATAAAATATTTTTCTTCCAAATTTTTGAAAAAATTATGACTTCTGGAAAGGATAGTATAACCCTGTGGCTTCAAATATCCTCTGGCTCAGTGTTGAATACCTCTAGAGGTATATATAGCCTATGCTAAGAACTATTTATATTTTATTGAAAGAAAGTGGTTTTAAAAAGTCTCCCAAGAATAAGTAACATGCATCTCAACCATTTTAATTCTTATTTGTATACAGATAAGCCCTTTCATGCTGAGGCTGACAATGTGACAGAATAATTTATATTATTATATTATATATTATATGTAATTTGTAGAATTTGCAGCTTTATTATACCACTTGTTAATATTTCTATTTGATTATTTTATAAGATACCAATTAAGAAGGCTATTTAAGTGAAAGCTGCTTTTTTGAAAAGTGAGAAGAGAGTCCCAGCTATTTTCCTAAGTTTTTATTTCTGTCATCATTGAGTCCCATGACTACCACAATCAGATCTGACACTAGGGACCTGCCACTTGCCACGTTACTACCTGGGAGTTAACAGTCTGTTTATTTTCTGTGAAGTAGATAATATATGAGTTGTAGGTGAAACATACGATTATCAAATGCCATTTTGTAGAAATAGCTTGTTTAGCTTTTTTTTTTTTTTTTTTTTTTGTGAGATGGAGTCTCGCTCTGTCACCCTGGCTCGAGTGCAGTGATGCGATCTCGGCTCACTGCAACCTCCGCCTCCCAGTTTCAAGCAACTCTCCTGCTTCGGCCTCCCAAGTAGCTGGGACTACAGGCATGTGCCACCACGCCTGGCTAATTTTTTGTGTTTTTAGTAGAGATGGGGTTTCACCGTGTTAGCCACAATGGTCTCGATCTCCTGACCTCATGATCCGCCCGCCTCGGCCTCCCAAAGTGCTGAGATTACAGGCATGAGCCACCGTGCCTGGCCTTTGTTTAGCTTTCTTATTTCATGAACCGAATAAGCTGAACAGCAGAATATGATCATACATGTTTTAGTAAATAAAACTCATGAACCACAATATGCTTTTGATATATCAGGATCCATTTTTAATGTCATTTTTCATTAGGAAAACAGGCAGGCAGGGTTTTTTGGGGGGATAAATTTGGGTTTTCAGAAGATTCTCAACACATTAAGTTTTAGAGACACTTTGGTATATATGTGTAGGAAAAGTAGCTAGCTGCTGTCACGTGCAGGAGTGTGTGTTGGGAGTTGAGAAACCTGGCCACAAGCCACTGCAGCTTTGAAGAATGTGGCTCATGAGAGGACTCATAGTTCATTACGTAACATTCAGCAGAGCGGAAAATATAAGCACTGTCTCCATCACTTGACTTGCTTTCCATTTTGATTTAGTTATCTGGTAAAGTCTAGGTATCCTATAGTGGAAGAATGAAAGACAAGCAGGTTCCAATGAAGGACCATGCTTCCAAAGGCATCAGCCAGTGGATCGTTTGTGGGGCCAGGCGGGGGTTAGATCTATTATTGTTGGACAGGGGTATTAGAGTTTTGAAAGACTACTTGAAAAACATAATCAAATGATACTTGGAGTTTGTTCCGAAAGGGTATTCTTTCCTCTCTCTTCCCACAACAGTGTGCGCTTCCTATTATAGTTGATATACCTGTGCTTTAAAATAGCACAGCTACTAGTAGAGGCCATTTTATACCAAAATCATTTCCCTTCATGTTCTGTGGTACATCAGTTTGGCAGTAGAGGTTACAGAGTTTGAAATCAAAAGGAGCATTGGTTCCTTCAGGGAAAAATGATACCAATCTACCAAAATAAAAGCCAAACAGACTCTCATTGTTCTTTATCCCACAAGGGGCTTGCCCTTTTTGAAGGTGTGGTTAATTTTGATAGGACTCTTCTCTCTAACAGGGTTAGTGGCTGGGAATTACCTTTTCCCCTGGGCAAAACCCACTTTAAAATCTCATTTTAAAACAGAACTCAAAGTGTCTTTGAAAATAAAAGTACTTTGGGAACTCTTCATTGTGTAACCCCATCCCTCTCAGCAAGGGGACTCCAGTTTTCTCACAGGGCACTTCCTGCTGCAGTACCTAATTCTAACTTTGTTTTACTATAACTCATGCTAAAATAGGAAAGGTTTCAGCTTTACAGTTTTTATTAGCTGTTCATGTGTTTTTAAAAAGTATGTGTTAAATAAAAATAAAGTAAATGTCCACCAAGGAGCTAAATTTTTAAAAATCAGTTTCCATTAAGTCTAGTTCTATAAATGTTTCAGTACCAGGTTTTTTCTACTTGCTGTTTGTCTAATGTTCATCATAATATTCAGAAGAGCAGCCTTAACTTTCCCCAACCTTCTTTCCCTTCTTTTACTAGAGGTGCAGGACCATGCCTTTCATGAATCGTTATTCTCTATGTCAGCTCTTCTCTCCCTTGGAGACTTGAAAAACATCATCATATGATACTTGCAGTTTTTTTCCTCAGTGAATAAGGATTTTTTTTTTTTTTTTTTTTTTGGTGGAGTCTCACACTGTCACCCAGGCTGGAGTGCACTGGCGCGATCTCTGCTCACTGCAACCTCTGCCTCCTGGGTTCAAGCGATTCTCCTGCCTCAGCCGACAGAGTAGCTGGGATTACAGGCACGGACCACCATGCCTGGCTAATTTTTGTATTTTTAGTAGACACAGGGTTTCACCATGTTGGCCAGACTGGTCTCGAACTCCTGACCTCAGAAGATCCACCCACCTCGGCCTCCCAAAGTGCTGGGATTACAGGCATGAGCTACCGCACCCAGCCTGTGAATAAGGATTTTCAAATCAAACCAAGCTTTTTTCTTCTATTGCTTGTCCTTTTTCCTTCCCCCAAAGTCTTACAGCACCCATGATTTGGCAGCCTCATACAGGAGGCTCTTGAGCTACCAGTCACATGAGAATGAAGGCAAGAAAAGAAGGGACCAGATGGCATCAAAAGATATGCCTTTCTAGGTCACTGGTGGTTAAGCTTGCAATCTGGTTACCAACAGGGAGACTTATGGGGGAAAGGGTGGAGAGCAGCATCATTGAAAAGGAAGAATAATTTTGCCATACAATTGCTGTTCTAAGAATTTGCAGGAGAGAAAAAAAACTTAGACACTGAGGAGAATCGATTTTTCTGATTTAACTCTTTCCAGTTTACAGTTACAGGGCATCCATTGCTCTTGGAAGGGTACATTTACCTAAGTGGCAGCTAAGGACATGTGGTAACTGTGTGCATTATTTGGATGGGACTCTCCCTCTTGGTCAGCTGCTGTTCTTCAACTGCCATTAACCATTTGTTATTCTACTCTCCAAATGCCTGTTTCATTTAAATACAAAAACTTAAGGAAATGACATGTATCTTCCACAGGTACACCTCTGTCCACAAGAGCAGAGGAAATAATTCACTGTTCATCTTTCATATTAATACCGATTTTGGAGGACTGTATTTACAAAATATGAAGAATGGCATCACTGGCCTTTGTGAGATATCTCAGGGTATATTTTCTTGGTGTAAGCTGTATCTCAGAGCAGATGAATAATTATTTGACAATAAAATGTTCAGTAGTGGCTAAAAAAAATATCTTTTAGAGCATTCTGCCTTCCCTGTTCATTTAGGCATTTTTCAAACTTTGGTCTGGGTACCTCCTGATTTGTCGGTGCATTGCAGATCCTCAGACAGCTGAAACTAGCTGATTATTTCCATATAGAATTCCAGCTCAGTTGTTTTCCCTTGAAGGAGAGAAAATAAGGCATTTTAAATTTTATGTTTAAACTTGGTCCCAGTCTATAAATTTAGGTCCTTTACTTTTTAAATTACCTAGAAAATCCTCGCTTTTTCATACACAAATTCTATATTATTCAAGTCCAAAGTCAAATTTGAACCTCTTTTACAGGTCTACCTCCTCCAATTACAATCTCTCCATTTATTCAGATTTTTTCAATTTTATGTTTAAACTTGGTCCCAATCCATAAATTTAGGTCCTTTACTTTTAAAATTACCTAGCAAATCCTCACTTTTTCATAGACAAATTCAATATTCTTTAAGTCCAAAGTCAGATTTCAACCTCTTTTACAAGTCTCCCTCCTCTGATTACAATCTCTCGATTTATTCAGATTCTGTTGTCCTTGATATCTGTATGACTCATTCAGTATGGACCAAATGAAACAAAGTAATATGTTTCTTTCTGTAGTCTTGAGTGTAAACTCTTAAAGTTAACATTTTTTTTTTACTTTTCCTTCTCAAGCAAGTGTCTGGAACAGTGCTGAGTATGTAAAATCCATGTAATAAATACATGGAATGATTAAAGAGAGAAAAAATTTTAATATGTTAGTTATTTTCATTCTAGGTTTTAGCAAGTATCACAAAACGGAAAATAGACTCACCTTTCTTTTCCTTGATGTGAAAGTTTATGGAATCATTTTGATTTTCCTTTCTTTCTTTTCTTTTCTTTTTTTTTTTTTTTCTTCCTGAGGCAGAGTTTCACTCTGTGGCTCAGGCAGAATGCAGTGGCGCCATCTTGGCTCACTGCAACCTCCACCTGCTGGGTTCAAGCGATTGTTGTGCCTCAGCCTCCCGAGTAGCTGGGATTACAGGCGTGCACCACCATGCGCAGCTAACTTTTATATTTTTAGTAGAGATGAGGTTTTACTGGGTTGGCCAGGCTGGTCTCGAACTCTTGGCCTCAGTCTGCCCACCTTGGCCTCCCAAAGTGCTGGGATTATAGGCATGAGCCACCATGCCCAGCCCATTTTAAGTTTCTTAAAAACTAAAAAATAAAAGATAATTCTTACATATACTGAAGTTTTGGAGTTAATTTGAACCAAATTGACAAGGTATTCTTGCGGTAATGTGCTTGTTAACTTTACTAGTTGCTTTGTTGAGTTTTTTAGAAGACTGAATTTAAAGCAGGATTGTCTATTAGTGTAGCTGCCAGTCTTTGTTTCCACGCTCCAGTCATATTATATGAGTGCAGTTGTTATCATATGCCATAATAATCTTAATGAAGAGTTTAAAGGCACTTTTTACTCTGGTGTTTTGTTGTTGTTGCTGTTTGTTTGCTTTTTTTGGTCTGCTGAGCAAGAGCACTGTGGTCACATGAGAATCCTCACCTAAGAAATTTTCCAGTTAAAAATGAAAATTTTGTTAAAGGTTCTATGCATTTGGGTAGTACAGCAGGGGAGGAAAGTGACTTTGAAGTTGTTAAATATCATTAAGGAGAATCCATTGATATACCTTTGATTTAGGGATTCCTTTATCCACACCAGTTACGTCAGGTTTCAGCCTGGACCCAATTATTAGACCTGAGGTACTGAACTCAATAAAGAAATTTGAAATGGAAATACTGTCAGACCTTTAACTATAGTTAGGTTAGTAGGTGCTAGAAGAATCTTAATTCATTAGCCAAACCTCTGACCTCACTACCCTTAATCATCCTTGCTTGTCATGACATAATTGGCTGCTTATTGCCTTCTCCTACCTCTCTTTTCAAATTGCTAGCCTTTGAGAATTTCACTTGACATTATTTCTTGTCTATTAAGACAGAGAAAGCGCATAGTTTGGTGTGTGAATTAGCAAAACCATTTTAGTCCTCTTTCAGAAGAGAATGGAGGGTGTGTGTTTTGTTCTTGATGCAGTTAAGACAGTTACCAAAAGTTCAATTATAGGTCTTTAAGGACTAGGGGTAAACTGTGAACGTATTTGTGGATTTTCTTTTCAGATATGCTGTTAACTGCTGAATTACCTTACCCCTTATGAAACACAGGACCAAAGATGTGGACTAGTATTGTTTTAGGATGAAGTTAAATACTCAGAACTCTCTCATCACCATGATCATAGTTCTTTTAGGGCACAGGGAAGGTAAATCCATGAGGTTCTCTGCTAGCATTTCTAGGAGAAATTTCCCTCAACTTTCCCACAGGAAGGATAGATTAGAGAATGCAATGACTTTCAGTAAGTAATTTTTGTCACCTGTTGTCCTTGTGGATTGGAGGCAGGTAGTGAGAGAGACGAGAGAGGAAGAGAAAAAAGAAATAAAAATTAAGCTAACGAGCTAGCACACTTAGATAGGAAGCAGGGGATTATTTTATGGGTTATTTCTGTGGCTAGAATTGACCACAGGGCATATATTTTGTCTAACCCTACCCTAGCTGGTCACAGAATTTTGCTGTTTCTGTTGTATTGGAGTATAAGAAATCAACATTTTTATAAGTGAAAAGTGGTTGAATATCAGAAATTTCATGTGGTTCAAACTAATATATAACAACATGTAACACACTGTAGGATGGCTACAGTTGTAGAGAGGTAGGGTGTGTGTGTGTGTGTGTGTGTGTGTGCCCACACACGTGCAAGCAAGTAAAAGGTGGGAGGGGGGAAATAGAAACTTGTGAGCATATTATATTCCCTTGGGGTACCATAGCTGAAAACCTCTCCTCTCGCCTGTGGTTTTAGTTATTCAAGATCAAATACAATTGTCCTGGTATGTTTTCACACTTCCATATTAATACAGTTGAGACAGTTTATGGGGTGAGTTAAAAAATAAACCATCTTGACAGAGATTACCATTGGGGATAATAATCTAAAGTGAGTGTTGTCTAAAGAGTACAACAGAAATAGCAGAGACTGAAATGCGGCCACCCCTACATTCTTTGACAGTGGAGAATTAGGGGTGTGACATCTATCCTATAGGCTGAATAAATGCAAATTATTGTTTATCTTAAAATAGGTTTTATGATATTTCTAGTGAAATAACCAGACTGTGCTGATTTGACTTTTTGTCTTTCTTAGACGAGCTCATCTGCGCCTTTGTTTAGAACGCTTAAAAGTTCTGATTCCACTAGGACCAGACTGCACCCGGCACACAACACTTGGTTTGCTCAACAAAGCCAAAGCACACATCAAGGTGAGAATTTTTACTTTCAGATTTGCACAATTCCCTCAGTTCTGGTTTAATTATTGGCACTGATTCCTATTCATATACATCAGCTAGTTCACCATGCCCTCCTTAATAACTGACCTCAAGAGAAGTCTTTCTAAAAACTTACCAGCTAATCTGATGGGAACAACATAACCTGATTAAACTAAATTGTTTTGACAGCGTGGCCATTTGAAGAACTGAGAACACTAGGAAAATAACAATTACCCTCTTCATACTCGGAAGGCAGTTGTGCCCTCTGGTGGAGATGACTTCATTTGGCTGTGTCCTTCCGTATTTTTCCATCAAATACCATACTAGAGGAAGTTTCTCCGTGGAGATTACTTTACAGACTTTTAGAAGTCCATCTTGTTCAAGTAACATAGCATTCATTACATACACACAAAAGTAAAGACAAAACTATTTTTTATTTTTAAAAATATGTATTTATATGCATTCTCATTTTGGAGGCTTTAAAATGTATTTATATATTTTTATACACACTCACACATGTATATTCATTCATGTTTTCTCTGCTAAAGGAGGAATCAGTTTTATTGTTTGTACTGGACTATACACAAATGTAAAAATCATTTCATCATTTCAGAAACTTGAAGAAGCTGAAAGAAAAAGCCAGCACCAGCTCGAGAATTTGGAACGAGAACAGAGATTTTTAAAGTGGCGACTGGAACAGCTGCAGGGTCCTCAGGAGATGGAACGAATACGAATGGACAGCATTGGATCAACTATTTCTTCAGATCGTTCTGATTCAGAGCGAGGTAGGCAGCTTGCCTCTTCTCTAATGAAATACTAAACATCTCTGTATCTGGATTTAGGGAAGGTATGTTGGGAGGCACTGTATTTGCTTTCTTTCTAGCCAACAGAGTAACATTGTAGGTTTTATGCAATCATAATATTGTCTACAGCAGTGCCAGTGTGGACTATAAAACTTTTTGTTTTTTCCTTGAAAAAAAATATATTTATATATTTATATTATAAATTATATAATGTCCCTCAATTTAGGTTTGTCTGATGTTTTCAAATGATTAGATTGAGGGTATACAGTTGGGGTAAGGAATATCACAGAAATGATGTTGTGCCCGGTGGCTCATGCCTGTAATCCCAGCACTCTGGGAGGCCAAGGCGGGCAGATCACAAGGTCAGGAGATCGAGGCCATCCTGGCTAACATGGTAAAATCCTGTCTCTACTAAAAATACAAAAAATTAGACGGGCGTGGTGGCAGGCGCCTGTAGTCCTAGCTACTCGGGAGGCTGAGGCAGGAGAATGGCGTGAACCCGGGAGGCGGAGCTTGCAGTGAGCCGAGATCATGCCACTGCGCTCCAGCCTGGGCAACAGAGTGAGGTTCCGTCTCAAAAAAAAAAAAAAGAAAAGAAATGATGTTGTGCCTTTCTCAATCCATTGTGTCAGGAAGATACACGATGTCGAAGTTTTTACTACTGGTGATGTGAATTTTTATATGTAGATTTTAAAGTACAACACCCTTTATTTCTCTTTCCATCTATCCTAGAATATTTATCTTTGACAGAGTTAAAGAACAGAAGTCAACCAAAAAAGAATGGTTTGAATTTTACTGATTGTTCTTCCCAAAGCTTCCACCACATCAGGCTTCATATCACATTAAAAGATCCCAGAGGTGAACACTGGTGATTTGAAGTCTTACATTTGGAGAAAGGAGCTCATGAGCTCTTTAGGATTCTAAAACATGAGACAAGTGACAGAGTTTTTTTGTTTGTTTGTTTTTAGGACTCTGATTTTGTTTTTTGTTTTTGACTTTTTTAAGTGGAAATTTTCAAACATACTTAGAATAGAATAATGAACTCCTGTATACCCACCATTCAGTTTGAATAGCTGTCAACTTGTTTCATCTGTTCTTCACTACGCTCACCCTCAATATTTTTTCTGGAATGCTTTAACTCAAATCCCAGATAACATCATTTTGCCCCTAAATACTTTAGTATGTATCTTGAATAAATAGGATTTTTAAAAATGTAATTATAATGCTATTATAATACCCCACAAAATTAATTCAGATAATCTTTTTTAATATCATCTAATACCCAGTCTGTGATACATTTTCTCCAGTTGTCTCAAAAATGGCATTTTACCATTGGTATGTTTAAATCAGGATCCAAAGGCCACATTGCATTTGTTTGATGTGCCTTTTAAGATATTAATCTATAATAATTTTTTCTCTTCCCCCTACACCGTTTTGGTAGAAACAAAAACTGATTTCTACATAACATCTCAAAAAGACTTCTTTGGCAGAGAAAACATGAAGGAATATATAGGTATAGATCTGTGTGTTGTATATATGTACATATTTTTTTAAACATCAAGAGACTGAGTCATTTTTCTTATAGAATTTCCTACATCCTAGATTTGGCTGGTTGAATCCTCATGGTGTCATTTAACATGTTATGTCCTTTATATTGACTGTAAACTGGTTGGTAGATGCAGAATACTTCATAGGTGGTGCTTTGTACTTCCTGTTATGTCAGTATTGTGTGTAGTTGTTGTTGCACTTTTAATATTAATCAATAGGTTCAGGTAAGGTCATTTTAATACATTTATATAAATGTATAGCCTTTAACTTAACAGTTTTAGCAATTATTGCCCTTATTTCATTGGGTGTCATAAAATAGTGATTTTCTAATTGTGTCATTCCTCTTGTATTTATAAACTGTTTTTCTCCTATAAACATTTTCTCATCAACTTTTCGGTTATCCTGAAATAAAGTTCATACAGGGAAGGTGGGATAAATGCTTGGTCTTGGTTTTTGCTTTATCAGTTTTCCAAACAGAGTTGGTAACCTAGCAGCTTCCAGAAGTAACAAGTTTTGGTTTTACTATTTTTTGATTATATCATGAACTCATGTTTTGCTGTACTGAATGTGTTCCAATCCATTGCAGTCATCCTTTTAAATTCTTTTGAATGCTCAAACTGTCCCAGATTTGCTGAGTAGGAGCCTTTTAAATAGTTTTTTCATCCTTTTTAACGCAACCTTTTTAACACAACCCTAGGAGTTCTTGTTTTTCTGTTTTGTTATTTTTCTATGTAAAAGTTTATTTTTGTGTGGCAGTTTTCAAGAAAAGTCTACCAGAGGCAGTAGCAAGAACCTGAAGTACATGCTACATTTATCAGTAACAGTGAAATATAGCAGAAATAACCCTGACCTTGGTGTCCCAGTCTTTCCTCTATTGCTAACTAGCGGAAACCTCTTCTTAGGTCTTTAGGTTTTAGCTGTCCTTCCTGTTACCTCCTCCTTGTACCCACCCCAACTACCTCCAAATTTCAGAGAGGAGGGTGTATTTTCATCACTATAGCTCTCATTTTTTTTTAGTGTTCCCAGTGTACCTTACTTTAGCGGTACCTTACCAAGTACCATCCTTATCCTGAGCTGGCAACCTCCTTTTTGTAGTGTTATGGGGGCTTTTAGTTAACATCTGTGGTACACTTGGCTAAAGCAGTTTCTCATTTTACTTTGTTTTTTTGGGTTTTTAAAAAATTTTTTTAAACATATTTTTAAATTTTATTAAAATAGAGATGGGCCTTGTTGCCCAAGTGGTCTCAAACTCCTGGGCTCAAGCAATCCTCCTGCCTTGGCTTCCCAAAGTGCTGGGATTATAGGTGTGAGCCACTGTGTTGGCCATCATTTTACTTTATTTTGACTGAGTTCAGCATGCTCTTTTGGATAGTGTGCCTTGTTATTATCTTCTAGTTGTAGGTTGGATGAGTGTTCAGTGGTGCTGGGAAACAATGGCTTCTGAAGCAATTCGGATATAGAGCCAATATATGAATTCACAGATTATTTGGACAGCTGCCTACATTTTAAAAACATCTCTAGAATCTCTAAAACTTTTGAAGCAACAAGCCCTTTTGAAAAGTATATTCCTGGAAATAGCTTCACCCTGTCCTTTTGGCCTCACAAGAATCCACTTTTTTTTTTTTTTTGAGAGAGAGTGTCTCGCTCTGTCGCCTAGGCTGGAGTGCAGTGGCGTGATCTTGGCTCACTGCAACCTCTGCCTCCTAAGTTCAAGTGTTTCTGCTGCGTCAGCCTCCCAAGTAGCTGGGACTATAGGCGCGTGCCACCATGCCCAGCTAATTTTTCTATTTTTAGCCTAGACACGGGGTTTCACCATATTGGTCAGGCTGGTCTTGAACTCCTGACCTCGTGATCCACCTGCCTCAGCCTCCCAAAGTGCTTGGCCGCACCCGGCTGAATCCACTTTTTTTTTTTTTTTAAAGCAGTTGTGATTAGTGTGAACCCTTAAAAAGTCAGTGCCAAATGTGAAACATCAGGCTTTGAATTTAAGTAAGGTAACTGAAAAATCCTGGGTTTCACTCTAGCTCTGATGGGAGAAAACAACTTTTTAACTCCTTTTTGTTTTTAACATGTGTATTGATTTATGTATATTATTGATGATTGAATATCTAGTATTTAACAATTAAGATTTTTTTTTTTATTTTTAAGAGACAGGGTCTCACTCTGTCACACAGGCTGAAGTGCAGTGGTGAGACCTTGGCACACTGCAGCCTCAACCTCCTGGGCTCAAGAGTGATCCTCCCACCTTGGCCTCCCGAGTAGCTGGGACTACTGGATCACCCACTATACCCAGCTAATTTTTGTGTTGTTGTGTTTTTTTTGGTAGAAATGAGGTCTCACTTTGTTACCCAGGCTTGTCTCAAACTCCTGCACTCAAGTGATCTTCCTGCCTTAGCCTCCCAAAGTGCTGGGATTACGGACGTGAGCCACTGCGTCCAGCAACATTATCTATTGATAGCTGAGTCAAATATGTATTTGTGGTGTTTTTTTTTTTTAATGTTTGGCTTTTAAGTCTGTATACTACCACCAAAATGGATCTCACTATAATCTGAAGACTTTTAAGTCTCAGGCCCTTATTTCAAGCTATATTTGATGCAAGAAAATTAAATCTAAGACATATACCTCAAACTCTACTTTATAATGACTTGTTTGACTGACTAGTTGAAGATCTTTATGATGAATCCTAGAAGTCTGTTGAACTATCTGTAGAATGGCACCACCAAAGGCTTGGATGGGTAAATTTTCTAGTTTGCCTATATTAAGTTTATGCTCCTGCCCACCCTTTAAGGCAACCCTGATTAATAAACAGAACTGAGAATTAGTTTGTGGTTTAATGCAAAACAGATGTTTTTAAACCACTTGGGGGTTGGGACCTTTTAATATTAAGCACTAATTCCCAAATACGCCAAGTGCTTTAGGGAGGTCCAGACGGACTGGCGTCAAAGGATTTAGGAAATTTGCTGCCTAAATTAAGACCACCACTGTATATCAGACATTCCCCTTGGCAAAAAATATTCCTGTCTCTTCACCTTGTTCCTCTGTTCTCCAGACATCACTGATAATAAGCTTGTTGTGTAACATTTCTTATACCTCTTTTCCTCATGCTGTTAGTTTTTGAAGGTGCGCTATACTCGATAATTAATGTTCTTCTTTTTTTTTTTTCCTTTGGCAGAGGAGATTGAAGTGGATGTTGAAAGCACAGAGTTCTCCCATGGAGAAGTGGACAATATAAGTACCACCAGCATCAGTGACATTGATGACCACAGCAGCCTGCCGAGTATTGGGAGTGACGAGGGTTACTCCAGTGCCAGTGTCAAACTTTCATTCACTTCATAGAACCCAGCATGACATAACAGTGCAGGGCAAAATATTCACTGGGCCAATTCAATACAAACAATCTCTTAAATTGGGTTCATGATGCAGTCTCCTCTTTAAAACAAAACAAAACAAAACAAAACTATACTTGAACAAAAGGGTCAGAGGACCTGTATTTAAGCAAATACTTAGCAAAAAGTGGGGCAGAGCCTCCCAAGGAGAACAAATATTCAGAATATTCATATTGGAAAAATCACAATTTTTAATGGCAGCAGAAAACTTGTGTGAAATTTTCTTGATTTGAGTTGATTGAGAAGAGGACATTGGAGATGCCATCCTCTTTCTCTTTTCTAGTTTGCTCATACTACATTGAGTAGACACATTTAAGGATGGGGTTATGAACCCTTCCTGAGCTTTATGGTCCTAAAAGCAAAATAAAAACTATTCGAATGAAAAGACAAGAAAATCAGGTATTAATCTTGGATAGCTAATAATGAGCTATTAAAACTCAGCCTGGGACAGTTTATCATGAAGCCTGTGGATGATCAATCCTTTATTATTATTTTTTTTTTTTGAAAAAAGCTCATTTCATGCTCTGCAAAAGGAGAGACTCCCATGAAGCCTTTTGAAAGGGATCATCATGCAGCTCAACTTTCTGTTGGATTCCATGCTAAGCAAGCTAACCTTATCCTGCATTGTTAGCACTAGGCACCCAGCTGCCACCTCTCCATCCTGCTGCCCTTAGGCCACATGGGAGCAGTCCATGCATGACAGCCTCTATCCTACAAGGCCTATGAGTATGGATTGGGGGGGCCAAAAGGAAAAAGCTCCATGTGCCTCTTTGTCTGCGTGGGTCAGAAGAGTTGTGCACGCAGATTAGCAGGCCAAGGTCTGAGCCACAGCAGCATTTTTATTTCAGATTTTGATAACTGTTTATATGTGTTGAAAACCAAAATGACATCTTTTTAAAGCTTATCCATAAAAAAAAATAGATGTCTTTTATAGTGGAAAAACACATGGGGAAAAAAATCATCTATTTTGATGCAGCATTTGATAATGATAAAACACCTCACACCTCACTCTTTATAGTGCACAAAATGAATGAGGTCTGGGCTAGGTAGAAAAAGGGTCAATGCTATTTTTGTTTTTAGAATCATTACCTTTTACCAGCTTTTAACCATCTGATATCTATAGTAGACACACTATCATAGTTAACATAGTAAGTTCAGCACTTGTCTCATTTTAATGTAAAGATTTGCTTCCATTTTCCTACAGGCAGTCTCTCTCTTCCTCACAGTCCCACTGTGCAGGTGCTATTGTTACTCTTACGAATATTTTCAGTAATGTTATTTTCTTCTAAGTGAAATTTCTAGCCTGCACTTTGATGTCATGTGTTCCCTTTGTCTTTCAAACTCCAAGGTTCCCTTGTGGCCCTCTCCCTTACCCTGGGAAGGCCTCTTGGAGACCTTACCCCTGGCTGTTTGGACTTTGTATACTTTAAATAATTTAACTACCCTTAATTACTTAAAAAAAAAAAAAAGCTTTATGATTTTCATAACTTATTGCTGATTTTAATGGATTGTTAATTTCAGTCCTGTAGTTTTATTTTATGTTTAGATAGGGCTGGGCAAGGAAAAAGAAAATAAAGACAACCATATTTAGCAGTGCAGTTGAGTTGTGTGTTAATGTTAGACTATCCCTTTGTGAGTGACACTTTAACAGCATTCACTGCTTCTATATATAGTGTACCATCTTGGTCATACATTACGCCTCAACATATACTTGTGCTCTTCCTTTGCCTCCAGAAGAAGTTTTTCCTTGATTGTGCTATGTTTCAGTGGAAGAAATTCTTTGAAGTAGATGTGAGTGAAAAACTGCATGCCTTTAGAAGCCCAGTATCAGAACTTGCTACGTTTCAGGTGCTAGGGACTTAATGAAAAACAGGACAAAACAATTCCTTTTTGTGGCCCAGGTAAATTATTTCTGGTTTCACTTATAATTACTAATGGCTGAGTCAAGATGTTGTCTCTGTGTTTGCTTACTCTTGATCAAGTGTGAGACAGTTTGAAGACTGTGCTACCATACAAAGTGAATGAAGCCAGTGACTAAGCTTCTGTTTGTTTTGTTATTCTCATGGCCTTCGCTTGCATTATTTGGGCCTTCATTCAGATGAACTTGAGGTGCCATTTTGTTGCATATGTACAGGATTATGGGCTGGAAAGCATTTGTTATAAACCTATAGTGCACATTTTAACTGCCCCCTAAATTACCCTTCCCTGGGTTTGTTTTCCTTGGGGTGGTGTAGATTGTATGAGTAAGAAGTATTAATTTTTTAAAAGACAAATCAACTTTGAAGACACAAAAGTTAATTGGAAGAAATAAAAACTGTGAACGAAGAATACCTTTCTTTTTGTACCATCCTTCTTTATGAAGGCAAAAACATGAATGGGTATCCACACCTTAAGAGGTAACTATCTCCTAAATGTCTGTTGATACCAAATCAGTATCAATGCCAAATCAAATGGCAGTTTGAATTATAATTGCCATTCCTGTTCTGCAATTTAAACAGGAGCCTGACTGGTAACTCCATATAACCTAACTGCATGTGGTTTAATGTGCCACATTAATAATAATATTAACTGCCTCAGGTAGGACACAAAGCCATTCTCATGATCTGTTCTCTAAATAACTTTTGGGAGCATCCTTTAGCTACACTATTATTCAAATTGCAAACAAGTCTGGAAGTTCCACTAATCTTATTTAGGGTACCCTATTTATAGAACACCTGAGTGACATTTATATTAAAAGGTACAGGTAGGCCAGGTGCAATGGCTCACACCTGTAATCCCAGCACTTTGGAAGGCAGAGGTGCGCAGATCACTTGAGGTCAGGAGTTTGAAACCACCCTGGCCAACATGATGAAATTCCGTTATCCACTAAAAAAAAAAATACGAAAAATTAGCTGGGCGTGGTGGCATGCACCTGTAGTCCCAGCTACTCAGGAGGCTGAGGCAGGAGAATCTTGAACCTGGGAGGCGGAGGCTGCAGTGAGCTGAGATCGAGCCACTGCACTCCAGCCTGGGCAGCAGAGCGAGACTCCGTCTCAAAAAGGTACAGGTAAAACCTACTGTAGCGCGTTATGACTAGAGGATTCTGAAGTCACTGCAACTCAAGTTTCTGGTTAGAATAGGTATGAGAACTCCTACAGAAATGCCTTTCTAATCTCCCTGACAATGACTGCTTTTAGCATTATGAAGGAATTTTAAGAGGCAGTGAGGATTATTGAGGCAAAGTTGCTGACCAAAATCAGGTTCCCAACAGTTAACCCAGAACAGTAAAGTGTGGGAAAAGCAAGTGTTTTAATTACACTGTAATCCCAGTTCCAACATTGCTGACCCTAGTTAAGTTGCTTGATTTCTTCATGGAGCCCTTTTCTTCCTGAAAAGCTATTATAAGTACTACCTCTATCTTGAAGGGTTGTAAGGATTTAAGCTGATATATATAAACTACCACCCCACTCCCTGACTGCCATCTAGGAAGATGTAGCACTAAGGAAATTAAAAGGGGTGTATTTCTCTAGTTTCTCTGATGAATGCAACCTTTTAATGCATCCTTAATCCTGAATTTTAGTTACTTTGACTCCAGATCTTACAGAAAAAGACTGTTCCTAAATATTGGTTCACTTAAAATTCCATGGTAGGTAATACTTTAACATAAAGTAGTTATTTTTTATTTCCTATAGAATTTCTTTCTGTCACCCAGGCTGTAGTGCAGTGGTGTGACCTCGGCTCACTGCAACCTCCACCTTTTGGGTTCAAGCAATTCTCCTGCCTCAGCCTCCTGAGTGGCTGGGACTATGGCATGTGCCACCACACCCGGCTAATTTTTGTATTTGTTAGTAGAGAGGGCATTTCACCATGTTGGTCAGGCTGGTCTCGAACTCCTGGCCTTATGTGATCCGCCCACCTTGGCCTCCCGAAGTGCTGAGATTACAGGTGTGAGCCACTGCACCCAGCCTCCTATAGAATTTCTTAAATGAAGGCTTTATAAGATTAATGCAGCATCAGTTTTAGTGATTAGTTGGTCTTTCTAGAAAAAAGAAAAAGGACTAATCTCAAGTTGAACATATTATACACTGATAATAATGTGCCCTAGGTCAGTATTTAGTGCTGACTTTGCCAAGAAAAGACAATCAGCAGCTATCTCCTTTCCTATGTATCAGAACTAATAGGAAACTGGTTTTCTTGTGGAATATGTCAGATTGTTTTAAATAGGCAGCGTAGTTCAAAATAAATGTACTGGCTGAAAACTTCACTTCCTGTTGTTTTACCTTTCTATACAGTCATAAATTAGAGAAAATGGCTTTAAATGAAGTTCTTTTAAGATACTGCCAACTAACTTACTGTAGTTTTGGAATTTTTTCCATATCCTCAAGCTCATAGCTCTTTGCCATGGGGAATGCTTTAAAAATCTTTATTGGTAGGGTAATAATTGAGATACTTATTTCAGATGCTCACACCAGGGCACAGAATAGCACTGTAAAAATATAACAAAACCTATAAAAGTACCTCTAAAATTATAAGAAGAATATACATTTAAGATCAGTCGTTTCTAAATTAGTAGCTTCATCACACTTAGAAAGCTAGGTCAACTAAACCTGAGGGGCGATTTTGGAGGGAAAAACTCCAGGCAAAAGAATTAAAGGGATACTTACTCCTTCCTGCTACTTCTGAACAATGAACATTTGGACAGTTACCATCTATTAAAGTGATTACTAGCCTAGCTTCAGATCTCAGGCTTCAACTCTAGTTTCCCAGGATATGGAGTCAAGTGTTTCCTCCAAGCCTGAATTCTTTGTTTCTCTGGTCAGAAATTCACTGCATCTTGCTAAAGTAAGTACAGGGCTTGAAAGGGGAAAAAACAAAAGCACATCAGTTTTACCAAGAAAGGTAAATCCTGAGCCAGCAAACAACAACCATAACTTTCAGCCCCAAGTTGAGAAAGTAGCTCTTCAAACAAAATGCCAACCTTCTCTCCTAATGATTATCACCATGGCTCTTTCAGCCGTATTCTTAAAAAAGACTAAGTGGAGAAACAAATTACAGTTTAAATAATTCCAGTGACTATACTGGTTTTGTTTTAAATGAACTGGTAAGGTGTGTGGTGGAACTAAGTTTCCAGTTTTTGTTGCCTGGGAACTGAAAGATTAATTAAATATCCAAAACTTCGTATTTTTAGCTAGTTCAGCTGTCAACTACTACAAACCCCTATTATTCTCAGTTCTGCTTTACCCCAATCAAGGCCACAAAAGAACCACCTTTATATACATAAGTTAAAAGGCAGAAAAGGCAATTAAAACACCTCACAGAAATCTAACACTATTTTGTTTTATTTTACTCTTTTGGCTAGGCCAAAACGAATTATTAAAATGTTCCATCTATAAAATTGATTTCTGAACCTCTTAAGATGTTTCTTAAGAACATAACTATACACATACATAGGCCTTTTAAAAGATGATTGGATAAAGGGCGCCAATTACTTGGGTTTTTCTGTTTGTTTAAAATACAGTATTACCTGTTATTTTGCCTGCTATGCTCCTCCTCTCTACTGCAGTAAAAATTCAGTTTAACTTGCAACTCAAAAATCCTAGATACAAAGAATGTTTACATTTACTGTTGAACTTGTAAATTGCCATTTATACTAATTGATTGCTTCGTAGTACCATACAGATACTTAATTCAGCTGATATTTATTGAATCAAGATTTAAAAAAATATAAAACCTCATTGGTTTTAATAGATTTTCTTCCTTTATATTTCAGTTACTACCCAAGTTAAAGCAAAAAGCTAAATCAAAGCTTTAAATTTTTTTTGGTTGAATTTACAACTGGTAGTTTTTTATCTTATAAAAATTGTAATTATAAAATTACAATCTACAGACACATGAGTCACACAACTACAGTTTTCCTTTATGTTAACCTGATGGTCTCCTTTGCTATTTTTAAGGCAGACATTTGGCATTAGAATTGCATACTGGAAACAGACACACACCCTTCATTGTGACAACAAGCAATTTTTTAAAAAAAATGTGTTGCTACAGTAACTGATGCATCTTGTTTTGGTTTGACGCCTAGTCTTCATGATTAGGCTAAAAGGTAATTTTTCTTCATTTCCAAAGTCAAACTTTTATAGTTAACAGTTCTCAGACGGGGATGCACATCAGGATCACCTGCGGTGTTCGTCAAACAACATACCTTGGCCTGGATAAGTCTAAGGTTGGTCCCAGGCCCACAAATTCCTCTTTAATTTTAAACAAGCATTAGGGGTGACTTTTATTATAACCTTCACCCCCTTCCCATTAAGAAACATGCCCTAGTATACAAATTAGTTCAAACCTTTAACTAGGAATACTAAATATACCCTACAGCCTTGGTAATTTGATAACACTTCAATAATACAGTTATAATTGGATGCCTCAAATCATAAACAATGGGTATTGTTATCCATTGTAATGTGGATTGCTATTCAAGTTAAGGAAAAAATATCAGATAATTCACCACTGCCACTCTGCAGAGTAATAGCAGACGCTTCTATAGTGCTTATGCCGGATACTCTTAAGCTATTTACACATTTGAATTCAATCCTTAAAACTGAAACAGATTTTTCCATTCTACAGCTGAGAAAAATGAATCAGAGGAATACACAGGTAATAAATGGGAATACACAGGTAATAAATGGTAATAAACAAACACTAGTCTGGCTCTAGAGTCCTTGCTGTTTTCCAGTATGCTCTGTGGCCTCCCTACATGTTAATTAAAATAGCACTTGTTACCTGTGATTACCACTAAAACTCAACATTTTATTTTCGGGAGGTTAGGACTGTTCTTTCCTTGAAATGGTAACAACAGTCAAACGTCAAGCTTTGGTAAGTTACATGCAACCATTTCTACTTAGGGGCCCATAACTCAATATTTAACATTTCAGTCTGTCACAGTTTCAAAGCTTCAAGTCTCCTTTCTTAATGGGGAAAACTCTACATTAAATTTTCTAACAAAGCTTTTTAAGGTCAAGGTTTATATTTTGTTTCAGAATATAGAGAGCTTAACCACCTTCAACTGTAAAATACTGTGGGTATCATGCTTCTCATTGAGCATCTTCTCAAATTCAGTATCACACTGTGACAGGTAGTCTCCCCAGGAGTCCTGCCTCTTAGTTCAGAGACACAAACATCATCCTGACACTAGGATTTTCCAAAGGGCCACATCTAGATCTTTGACACAAAGGTTGCTGATTTCATTCTAAAGGTCTATTTTCAAAACATTTTTTTTTAAGGTCACTTTTATTCTTTTTCTCTCTCCTACTGCAAAGTCCTCTGGGAAAACTAAGGCCCCCCAGGGTCAAAAGAGGGACAAGACTGTTAACAGTCCTGCCTACACAAACATCAAGTGAATTACTATTCTAATACCACCAAGGTAATCTCAACAACCATTTTCTGGGGTCACACAATGACACCAAATTTCTTCCCAGTGCTTTTTAATTCAAAGGATTCTCTTGCAATCCATCAAGGCTACTCTTGATTATTGATAAGCTCTTAAGATGTTACAATAACAAAGTATATTTTATTTAGAAGTTTACAGGCTTCAACAAACCCTTTTTCTACTGCAGTTTGTGCCTTTCTGTCCTTTGTGTCCTACCCTGTGGCCACGAATTATATGAAGAAAAAGTGACCCTCCTGGGTTGAGAGGGGTGGGTGTGGAAGGGAGAGATGAAGAATTCTACCTACCACTGTCCTAAGTTTCAATTTATAAAAAAAATTAAAATTCATGAAATAAAAACTTATTTTCCCCTTCCACCAAAAATCTACAAACACCCATTAAAATGAGGACATCCTATAAACACAGGCCTGGTTTGCCCTTTAAGATCCAATTTCTTCTAATGGAAGGAATACTTAAGCATTTACTGAAACCTCTCACACACTCAGTATTCTCTTGCATGAATGCCGTGTGCAAGTACTTGGAGGTTTAATTGCTTTAAGTGCTGACAGCTAAAGACTTTACCCTTTTGTTAACACACCCTGGAGATTTTAAAAACACTTTATTTAATAAAAGTTAAACATACAAAACTGAAATAATACACATCCTAAAAATTACCTTCTTCCATTAATAGGAAGACCCTTTTCTATGCATGTATTTGGCTTAAACTCAACTCAGGATAACTGTGATGATGTTCACTTACACCAACAAATGCAGACAACCTGATCTAATTAACAAAAATTACAAACAGCTAAATGAACATAATATACAGGGAAATTATCGTCAGATTAATGCACAAGAAATACAAGAAATTTTTAATGATGAAATATTCAGTATTCTTGTTCATTAATTTAGCCTTGTGTTTTTACAAAAATAGTATCTACACTGTATACAGGGCTATACATCAGCTTTTTGTTCTCCCATATAAACATCACACATCCAAAACATGGTACCACTGCCGTAAATGGAAAAAACAAAAAACAGGAAAAAAGCAAACATACAAAAAACAAAAACACCTTAGAAAAGGGAGCTCATCCTAAGGTTTCTTACATAAAACTAAGAGTACATAAAAATAAAACAGCTAGATCAATTTTAGAGATGGCCTAATAGGCCTGGGAAACAAGTTATTGAGGAAAAACCTCAAAACAAACTTTGCCATTTACAAATTAACCTATCTTTAAGCTTAACTGAACGACAGCTAAGTTTTAAAGCTGAAAATAAGAAAAATGAAAAGATCTCTTTTAGCAGGTTGGTGTTTTTGCCTTGGTGTTCCAATGAATTGCTAGAGTATGTGTCAAGTTCAAAGCATCTGAAAATTTCAAGTTACAACTTACAAAAAGTACACACCATAGGTTAAGTAGGCGCCTGATATTAGGAAGATCAATAATTCATCTAAGTGCTGTATGAAACAGCATCTACAAAAGTTGCTTTATTCAACAAACTTTGAGGGAACCGTGGTACTGATAATGAGAAAAGTTAAATGAATAGCAGTTATCAAATGCAATTTCTTCACGTTTCATTCTACTGAAGCCAACCAATGACGACAATGGTATCTTGCTTACTCATCTAACAAATAATTTACCTTTAGAAAAATATAAGGATAAAAAGGTAAATGTAAAGCCCTGCAGAGATGAAATCCAACAGTTTTTCTGATTATTGAGGCATCAAATGCCTGACATTGTATTTAGAGGTATCTTGATATTGTGTCATAGGTTTATCAGCAATTCCACAGGTTCCTACTCCAACTTTACCAGTCACACTCTCAGGTGAAGCAAAAATACTCCTCTTTACCTAAGGGAAAGAAAACAGAAATCATTCCTGATTAGTGTTGGAAAAAATAAAAAATTTCAAATTTTAAGTAATGTTAAAATATATTCTGGTTTCAACGTTTAAAAGAAGAAAAACATATTGCCTTTGTTTAGTGTTAAAAAATGGGTACAGAAGTGGTCCCATGCTGGAAGCCATTTACTGTAACTTCTAAGTTGTGGAAAATATCATTACATTTACTAATACTCATAACACTTGCCTTCTGATACGTCAAAATTTTAGTTTTGTAAACGCAAATCCTAACTTCAGCTGTGAGCTAGCCATTCTAGCATGATTAAAGCTCTGGCTGTATTGTGGTTTACTGTGGGGCCTGTTATGATAGCCAAATTGTGAAGTCCCTTGGCCTTTGTCACAAAATAAACATCTTTATGAAAAGGAAGCGCTTCTTTCCAGAAGCCATGTCCATCAATGGAAGGGCTACCTTGATGGCAGTGAAGAGTAACACATGGGTGAAAGTCAGGTTATCCTTATTCTCAACTTCCTATATGAATGCTACAGTTATTTTCTACCCAACACACACAAGGTAAGTGTATCAAGGGAAACTGAATGCACTTTTAAATAAAATCTACCAGTGATGCCCAGCATGAAGGCATGTTAACAAAGCAGATAGAGTTAAGCACACTGCCTCTAAGTAGCAACTATTTTTTCAAATATTAGTTTATAGAAGGAAAAGAACATAGACCTTTTGTAATTTCTGATATAAATTCTCTCATTTGTAATATTTTTATTGCAGAGACAATGGCTAACATTTTTCAATAAGTTAAATTGAGCATCAACAAGGATTCGGAATACAAAATCTGAGTTAATCATACTTTACAAAAAATCTCCATCTCTTTTCATTTTAAAGTTATTTTAATGACAGTTGCATTTCTCAAATTTACAAAGTGTAAAAAGATTTACCAACCTGGCCTTTTTTGTTTTTAGAATAGGCTCTGTTGTTGAATTGTTGCCATTTCACTTTCTGGTCCTCTCTTTCCTGCTCAAGTTCTTTTATTCTCTGAGCTTTTTTCAAAGCTTTCTTCTTTTTATATTCACGCTGCTGGGCAATCATTTCTTTTCTGCATGAAAAAAAGTTAAATGTCAACTGTTAAGACTTATCATACAAGAATGACTTCCTTGAAGACACCGGCAGTGCAAAAAAAAAATCTAATAAACATATACAATGGTCTATGAATAAAAAGTACTAAATCATTAAAATCAGTACCAATCACCCAGAATTACTAAGAAATGTTTTTTTAAAAAATGGCATCCTTGGAAGCTTTCAAACATAACTGTAATCTATTTACCCATATAAGGTAAATATTTCAACTATGCCTTTTTTTTTTTTTTGGCGACAAAGTCTTGTTCTGTTGCCCAGACTGGAGTTGGAGTACAGTGGCACAATCTTGGCTCACAGCAACCTCCACCTCCTGGGTTCAAGAGATTCTTGTGCCTCACCCTCCCAAGTAGCTGGGACTACAGGCACATGCCACCATGCCCAGCTAACTTTTATATTTTTAGTAGAGATAGGGTTTCACCATGTTGGCCAGAATGGTCTTTAACTCCTGGCCTCAAGTGATCTGCCTGCCTTGGCCTCCCAAAGTGTTGGGATTACAGGCTTGAGCCACTGCGCCCAGCCTTAATTATGACTTTCTATTTTACTTTTGTATAGCTGTTACCAGTTGTTTTAGGAATAAGTTGAGTTTCAGTATTAATGGGTATCTAAGCCTTCAACTACTTCCAAATAGACATAGTTAACAAGTGCAGCATTTAGAAAAAAATGTATGAAGAGATTCGATGCAGATAAAATATTTTACCTACATTGGAAGAATGCAGCAGCACAAATGGAAATCATAGCTAATAATTCTCACCAAAACAAAACACCTGGGGGTTTCAAAAACATTCTAAATAAGATTCTAAATAGGATCAGAGCCTAAAACCCCCAATAATTTCTGCTCAGTTAACACTGACTTCTCACCAAAAGGATGAAAAGAAAGATCCTTAAGAGGGGCAATATCTAGACTCCCCGGTACCATATTACCACCATGAAGCTATGGCTTTTTACACAGATGACAAAGACATTAAAAAATATATATATACATTGTTCTAGAATTTTATTTTATTGGAATGCTTACATTAATATATAATTTTTGCATATTCAAATATAAATATGTAGCAACTTAAGTTTCAAAAACTCTTGACAAATCAAAAGACTAAGTTGTGGCAAATATGCAGAAGTTCACCAAAATATTGTTAATTCTGCCTCTTACTTTTCAAAACTGCATAGTTCCCCATTCCCATTGCAACTCCCTGGGTTCAGGCCATCATCTTATACCTGGATCACAGCAGTAGTTGCCTCTCCCTACTGACAGTGATCATTCTAAAGCTCAAATGTGATCACATCATATCCCCTCTACTTAAAATGTTATCGGTGGCTTACAAGCTCTTTATGTTCTGGACTTTACCTCTCTAATCTCTTCTCAGACCACCCACCTTCCAGGCCCCAAGTTTTTACCACAGGGATTTGTTACTTGTACGTGCTCACCTCCCCCCTTTAAAAAAAATTTACTAAGCTCTTACTACATGTAAAGAACTGTTACAAGCTTTACTAACACTTATCGTTTGAATCCTCACAACCCAATAATGTACTGCCCCTATCTTACAGATGAGGAAACAGAGTTAAACAGCTTCTCCAAGGTCATAATGCTCATTAATAACAAAGAATTCAAGCCCAGATCAACATCATACCGCCTTGTAGCTTTGTACTTGGCTCTTACTCTTTTCAAATCTCAGTTTAGATGTCATTTTCTCAAAGAAATCTGCCCTAATAATAAAAGTGGAGGCTGAGTACCTCTTGTTCCCTTACAGTACCTGTTATAGCTCCTTTGTAATGTTTACACTGTACTATTAAAGCACTTCATTAATGATGAGTTTTCTTCTCTAAATATAAACTCAGTTGGGACAAGGCCTGAGGTGGTCTCCTGTGGTATAGCCCCAGTACCTGGCTTATAAAATATGCTGGGAAGATGTTCATTGTACATAGTTATCTTCTTAATATTTACTGAATGCCTAAATGGGAATCAAAATTATCTTCACTTTACTTAGGCACACTTACACAGACAATGTTGACCCTTTGTTGCTAATCTTCAAAACAACGGTAAAACAGTATTACAACTTTCTTATGCATAGATTCTCTCTGCAGACTACTTCAAGTATCCAAATGGGGAAGATTGCACCTAAAATGGAAAAGTCAAAGTCACTTACTTTGACATGGGTTTGTTGCCACTGTCCTCCTTTGCCTTCCTTCCTTCTTCTACAGGCTTGAGGTTCAACAGTGGAGTCACTTCAGCATTGCCATAACCAGCAAAGGTGATTGCAGCGGTGCCATTTTCTTCATCTATCTCCTCAATCTCCGCTTCATAACACCTGTAAAGATATCATGGCTGTAAGCAGGTGAGTAAAGGTTTAGTACTCAGCCTACAAGACTTATACTGTAGTGATAAAATTATTACATGTGTCTATAATGAAACTTCTATAATCAAATGGTTGTTTCAGCAAAGAGAATACAAAAGAGTGGTTGAAGTTAGTTATCTGCTATCAAAAAAGGACATCCCAATCATAATATTGCTGGGCAAGTCTCTTACATGTACCTACTCAACGTGATTTAATGTCTTTGAGAATAGAGGTTTCTTTTTTTCTCTTTTTTGCGACAGAGTCTCACTGTCGCCCAGGCTGGAGTGCAGTAGTGCAATCTCAGCTCACTTCAACCTCCGCCTCCCAGGTTCAAACAATTCTCATGCCTCAGTCTCCCAAGTAGCTGGGATTACAGGCACACGCCACCACACCTAACTGATTTTTGTATTTTTAGTAGAGATGGGGTTTCACCATGTTGGTCAGGCTGCTCTCCAACTCCTGACCTCAAGCGATCTGCCTGCCTCAGCCTCCCAAAGTGCTGAGATTACAGGCATGAGCCACCACACCCAGCGAAAAGATATTTCTTATAGGAATGATGTCAGTGTATGCTCTTCACAGAATTCTCAGAAAAACCAACCATTCACTCAATTTTCAATTAGAGAAAATAATTTAGATTATTTTAGAAAACACCCATTCATTGTCCTGTTTTTCTTTCCTCCAGAATCCCAGCCATTCTTCTCCCCAAAACTTAATCTAAAGCTAAAACTAAACTGTATTAATGGCAACCACCCAAGAATCAAATTGGCTCTATAAATCATACTGCCTAATAGAAGTCAAGATTAAAATAGGGTAGTTAAAACTGAATAAAAACTTCTTACCATTGTATTTTATTATTTCATGTTATAGTTAGAGTTTTTTTTTCTACACTTACTGTCCATCTTCACTCCAGACTGCCATACACTTGTCTCCTACTTTCCATGAATGAGTAGGTTGAGTAGAAGCAAAACTGTCTGAACTTGCAAGCGTCTCAGAAGGTTGAGTTGACAGAAGGTCTTTGGTTAGTTCTATAACTTCCTAAAAAAGAAAAACAAAAACTACAACATTATTTTTATAATTCTCATTGTCAACTTAGTTTCTGATGACAGCCTTCATACTGTACGTTAAGTACTCTACATATATTTCATTTGCAGCTCATAACACTATTAAGCAAGTACTGTGATTATCCCCATGTAGAAACTGATACAGTATTGTCTACCAGTTAAGTGGCAGAGCTGTGACTTAAGCCCATATAGTTGCCTTTCAACTTAACCACAAATACTAATGAAAATATAAGACTTGAGCTTATACCATGCATTATTTCTAAGTGCCTATTTTAGCTGAATAGATCTCTCTAAAGATGAGAAAGTCAAGTATGAGGCACTGAATTAGATACTCTTATTGTAACATATTTTATGCAACTGTACTGTTTTATAGGGCATTACTCAGCAGTATTAACTGCCAAGCAATCCCAAAACACTTTAAGCAGCTTTATTAGTAACAAAAATGTTCCTACTTATACATATCTCGACTAAAATACTACAGGCAATGTAAAAGAAACCAGTGGTCTTCCTATTCAATTATTGTAAAACTCACCCCATCTGGGTAAGCAAATTACCAGGTTAGATTTTAAATGTTCCATACCTTAATGTTAAGCACATTAGCACAGCTTCATTTAAAAGGGGGAAAAAAAGGTAACACACAAAGGCAATGCCTTTCTGTGTGGCAAATATTTTTTTCTAATTCAGGCTTACATTTATTGGCTTCATTCAAAGATGTTTGGTGTAGGGATGGCTAAAAAATTGAGAACAGTACAAGCCGACAGATTCTGCTACCTGTCTACTATATTGTTACTCTAATGAAGATCCACACTATGCATCTTATCTGATCTAAGAACTTGCATAGCTGTTCACCCATTGTTGCATTTAAAACATCATACTGTGTGTTTGGGGAGAAAAATTAACAAAGTTAAACTATGTACTGAGTTTCTTCTAGTTCCCACTGAGGTTTCATAATAGTAATTTTGATTCCAGTAGCCAAGAAAGTTAAATATTACCTCTCTCCTAAAGATTCTAAATCTTCCTGGCTATTTCTGAAAAAACTAATATTTGAGTCTTAAATCTCTTGAAGAAAGGTTAGTTTTATAAATAAATAAATAGAACACTTAGGTTTGATTTAAAAATTTAGTAGGAATAATATCTCTAAGTTTTATTAGTTGCCAACTAGCCATTAATTAGATCTTTTTAATTAGACAGTCCTTTGCAAACAAAGCAAAGAACCTTCCAAATAACTAGATCAAGTAGTACACAACAGAAGAGTAAATTATCTGGTCTTATTTTTAACCACTTTTAGGGGTAGGAATGTAATCCAGTCAGCCTGACTCAAGAGCCCACACAAATCTCTATCATTAAATACTTCCAGATCCACCTAGGGATCATTTAACTTAAGCACAGACATGAATTCTGCACTTGTAGGTTTCAGATTTAGAACTCTATTTCTTTTAGGACAGAACTGTTTTCCAAATATATTTTGTTAAAGAAATATATTTCATCAAAGAAAAGGGTCCTGAAAAGCTGTGCATATTAGTGAATTCAGAGGCCTGTGCTGAAATGACCCTTTTTTAGAAAAAATCCAGAGCATTTACTCCTAATGTCCTTTAACTTTGCCATGGTTTTACATAACCCTCCCAACAAACTATGAAGAACCTTCTAAATTTCTATTCTTCACATGTGCGTATGGACCAAAGTATTAGAAAAACTATTTTATGTATGAGGGGGTTCTTGAAGGTACATACCATTAATTACTTTTCCTCCCTCAAGTCTGAGTTCTGAAACTGCTCCTTCATCGACAGATGGGCAGCAGTTACAGTAATCGGCAATTCCAGGAAGCATCAGGTGTTGTGATCTACATATCAGCAGGTCAAATGGGGTGCACTCAAGCACTCTGCTTACTGAAGGAAGGCGTTTCGGGGATGCAGAGAGCCACTGTAATATATGAGACAAGTGACTTGACCCCTGCCTCCTTTAGAACCAGCTTATTCAGCAAAACAGCCTAATAAATTGACTATCTCTGATTATCATAGACTGCCCGGGGAGCTAGTCAGCTAGCTAGCCTGGATTTTATCACACCCACTTTTTTAAGTGAAAAAAGAAAGGCAGGACTTTAGTAGATTATTTTGCTGCCTGCTGAATAACTTTAGTCTCTATGAAAGACAGTACATGAAAGAGATAAACATGGAAACCTTACTGGCAAAATGAAGTCATTGAAAAGATGCAAAAAAAGCATTTTGTCATAAAACAAAGGGCAAACAAATTAATAACTGGGATAAGGATCTAATTCTATAGAGGAACACAAGAAATTAGAAACCATATGATGGTCAAAAAATATTAATATGAGGAAGCCACAAAATCAGTCTGAACAGACTTTTCACCAAATATAACAAGCTGAATTAAATACCCATAGCATGAGATACATCCCAGAAGGCAGAGAAGGAAAAAGGAGGGGAATGAGGGGGGGAACCCCACAGCAAAATAGAAGCTGTTAAGTGTAGTCTCAATGGAGACAACAATTACTGAGTGGAAGCTTATAGCCAAATACTTTTCAGAGTATTACCTCATCTTAAAAGATGGTTTCCGTTTTTGAGTAGTTTTCAATTCAAAATAGACCTTATCTAGGGACCAAAATGAAATTTCTAATGATAGAATAAAATGGGAAGAAACTCTGATCAAGACTGGTCAGGAAAAACATTCTGTTATTACTATCTGAAGTATTAAAACTTGCACTTCTAAATCCTTGCCATCCAGTATGGTAGTCACGTGTGGCTAATTAAGTTATACTAAAAACTCAGCTCCTAAGTAAACCTAGCTGTATTTCAAATATCCAACCAAATGTGGCTAGTGGCTATGGTACTGAATAGCAGATATAGAACATTTCCATCATCACAGAAAGTTCTACTGGACAGTGCTGTTTTAAATGGTTATAGAAAAGAGGATACTTTACAGAAAAATGATTTCCAGGTCATTATTAACTGAACCCCTGCAAGCAAGCCTTTTAGGGGCTTACTACAGTGTTTATCACAATGGTTTCCCCCTACAGTACTTTCCACTATGATGATCATGACATGGTAAGGCAGTTCTGCTCAGACTCTAATGAGGAATTATTCTAGAAATATTAAAAAGACCTGATGATAATGCTATTTCTAACTCCACTCCCAACTTCCCCAACCCAACCAGTTCAACAAATACCCCTCCTCCCACTGCCCAAGAAGCAATATACAAAACATTGGCACCCAGTGTTTTCTTTTCCTAAAAAAGGACTGCTTAAGTTGGTAAAGGTAGTCAAGGCATCTCTCTTTGGGGCAAACAGAAAGCACTTTACAGAGTGTAAGAAAATAAGAGGTCGGTGTGCCTCTGTTGCCTCATCTTCAATGTATACTCACAACATATGAGCAAATCAAATGGACAGGTGGCAAACCACTGGGTTATTTCTCACTTAAGGGCCTGGGAGTGGGAGAAACTGCTCCCAAAACATCTTTTTTGTATTGACTGGCACCCTGAAGCCCACAGGCCTGGCTTCTACGTATCGAAGAGGGGTCTTGTTCATATTGAAATTAACCCAGATAGTTTGTGTGTGTTTAAAAATAACATACTACTGCAATTTTATTCTAAATGTAGAACTTGAAAGTATTCAACTCATCTTAATTACGCCCAGATAAGCAGTTCCAGAATCCCAAATCCGGACCCTATTTCCGTTAAGTTTGTTTGCAGTTCTGATATCCCTAAAATAGTAATAGTTTTAACGGGCAGTGGGATAATAAAGGGAGGGAATGAATTTTTAGACAGGATACAGATTTGAGTTTAGTACTCAGTCGGTAAAGCAATCTCTAATCAAAACACCCTTGAAACTTTTTAAAAATCAGGTTCAGAATTTAAAGGAAGCTCTTAAAAGTCATATATATTTGCAAATTATATATGGCATTTTTCTGAATCAGTCTGGTGTCCTGAAACACAAAAGGTATTTACTATGATGGCTCTATGTTTGTCTTGAAATCCCAGTGCAGGTTTTCAAAAAAAGGTTTCATTATCTACTAAACTCTACCATGACAAAGATCTCCTTTTCACCACATAGTTCAATTTCCACAAGTGTCAACAACTTTACTGTAAAACCTAGCCTTAAGTCTGAACATCTATGTAACAATTATACAAAGCACTTGTCTCTCTTTAGGCATTTTTGTGGTGTGTTTTCAATACAAAATGTAATCCACTAGCTTTGGGGAAAAAAAAAAGGCACGCATTTTCAAAGAATCTTGTGGTATTAAAAAGAATCTTAAGGTTCTATTTTTCTCCTTCAATCTTTGTTACTTTTTGAACTAAATTTCATTTGCCAGGTCTTAAAAACTAAAAGCGTTTTTCATTGTGAAGTTACATGTACCTCTCGTCTTGAAAATCTGACAGACTTGGAAATTTCTATCAACTTTAGTTTTTAAAAATTATGTAAGCACACAAGATTTATATAACAAAGAACAATATTTCACTCTGATGTACAGAAACCTGAGAACTGGGGAAGCAACCCTACTTCTACAAGCAATGGTACCTACAGAATTTACATATATACATAGGGTGGGGTGTAACCCCTCAAAAGGCGCTTTGGGTACTTAGGGATTCAAGCAATAATTTGAAAAACAGAGAAAAAGTACAATTGTCTACCCATACTTACTTGTAAATCTTTCTTCAATTTTAGCAAATCTTCATTTTCTCCATTTCCAGATAATGCAGCTTCAACTTGCTGGAGCTGAGCTTTGTAGCTTGCCAGCTGCTTTGCTAAATCCTCTGACATCTAGGGAAAATAAAAAGGGTTAGACCATGAAAACTAAACCAAAAATCAAGGCATAAAAAACTAACTCCCCTGTCTGCCTGAATTACCAGTTTTTGCCTCTAACTCCTTCTAACACTGCAGCTTAATTTACCACCATTACCTTTACTCTCAGTTTAGACTTCAGCTAAACCACAAACTTAAAGGCAACAGATTCTGAGGATTATAAACTTGAGATACATTCCATACTTTAAAAAAGCATACAGATACAAAGAAATTTCTAATTTTCTTTTAACTCCTATCCACAGGGTAGGTGCTGAATTCGGCTCAATAATCAGTGTTATCTTTTTAAAAAGCACTACTCTGTTGGAAAAGTCGAAACTTTCAAAAACAATCCAAATACTTATTTTTAAGCACTACAGTATGCTTCCAAAGCCAAACAAGTGCGTTTTTAAATTAACTACACAAACTACGATCTTTACTTGAACTATTCAATTAAGAGTGTATTTAAAAGTGCCTCTCCAAAACAAAAATCTTTCGCCCAGTCGCTTAAATATTTATCGGTGCATTATCTTCAGCAAAAAGAACAGCACAGGTACTCTCCCATTTAGGCATTCTAACGAATGTGCCTTTCGCCAAATCCAGCTCAGTCATTTTCCTGAAAATAAGATACCAATTAACCTTTTTTGATGGTTTATAAGCAAATGTACCACGTTTCCGAGGACCCTTCTCCTTCGTAAAATTCCCGTCCAACCAAAGGCTGGGAGCCTGCAAAGGCCCCCTAAGAGTTACAGCGACCCAGGCTGCTCTCCTCCCCGCCACGCAGCACCTCAAAGCCCGCCACAACTCGATCATTCGGACGTGGAAATCCACACGCCAGCTCCAAGACCACCGCCGGAGCCCCGCCGCGCTCCAACAGGCAGGCTCCACAGGGAGCCGCGCGGCGCCCAGCCCCACCCGACCCGGTCCCCTGCGGGCCGTGTTTGCCGCCGCCGCACGGAGGCCAGCGCCGGCCGGGCCGCCGAGGCTCAGCTCTGGCTGAGAGACGGCCGTGGCTCCGGGATCCAGGGCCAGCGCCTGGGCGTCTCCGGCGAGGCGGGCTCCTCAGCCTTGGGCCTCCGCTTCACCTCGGGAGGGACCCGGGCCCGGCCAGGCCTTACTCTCTCCCTCAGGGGGGTTGTTACCTTGTGTGGGGCTGGGGGCGGGGCGGCGGGAAGGGGTCGGGGCAAATGAGCCCAGTGGTAGTGGCGGTGGCAGCAGCAGCAGTAGCAGTAGCAGGAAAATCACCGCGACGACAGCAAGGCGACCCGGTCTGAAAAGGAAGAACTCGGTCGGCGGCGAGGGGGAAGGGAGGAACGCCGGGCACTGGAAGGAGGAAAAGACAGAGACGGTGAAGTCTCGCGAGAAATACAAACTCTCGCGCGAGGTCGCTCGACTCACGTGACTCCGCGCGCCCTCTAGCCAGTCCCTGGCTGTCAGGGACACGAAGTAGGCGGGGCCTAGGAAGGAAATGGCGTAGCTGGGCTTCGCCAGGCGCGGAATGCAGGTTATCTTCCTGGAGTTCCGGCTTGGAATTTATTGGAAATGCAAATTCTCAAGCCCCACCCCAGACCTCCTGAATCCAGAGACTCTTGTTTTAATAAGCTCACCAGATGATACCAATGTCCGCTGACGTTTGAGAACCACTGCTTTTCCGGGGCGGTGGTGGTGGGTGGCGGGGGGTGTTGGTGGGGGCTCTCTTTACGTTGCCCTGGCTGGTCTCCAGCTCCTGGGCTCAAGCTATCCTCCTGCATCGGCATCCCAAAATGCTAGGATTACAGGCGTGAGCCACCGCGCCCAGCCTGAGAACCACTACTTTATATGATACAAGCCTTAGTAGTAACAGAAAGCTAATTAAATCGTGACAGAAATAACCTATTGGAGAGAAGATTGATTTCTTTAAAATCTGTTTTGTTAAAACCTACTTGGTTTTAATTTAGTTGGGTTAATCTCGCCTGATAGGGAACAACGTCCAAGTTAGTCTAGAATGGTAAAGAGTGGTAGGAATACTCACATTTGTGTTCAAAAAGAAATGCCCCTTGTGTATGTTTGTAATAATATATACGCTTTCTGGACGGATACACAAAACTGTTCAGAGGTTTGGAGTGGAAGCCAAATGTTTTATTGATTACCCTCTTTGCTGTTTACCCTTTTTCCTTTTCTTTTTTTTTTAAACCATATATATATAATTTATTTCAATTAAAAAAGCAATAAAGGCCTGAGACACAAAGTTTTATATAGATGACAGGAAGCAACCTTTCCTGGGAGGTTGGGAGTTTGTTGCTGGATCCATAAAAAGGCCCACTTCTCGCGGATCACCTGAGGTCAGGAGTTCGAGACCAGCTCGACCACGTGGAGAAACCCCGTCTCTACTAAAAATACAAAAAAAAAAAACCAACAACAACAACAACAACAAAAAGCCGAGCATGTTGGTGCATTCCTGTAATCCCAGCTGCTCGGGTGGCTGAGGCAGGAGAATCGCTTGAACCTGGAGGCGGCGGTTGCGGTGAGCCGAGATCGTGCCATTGCACTCCAGCCTGGGCAGCAAGAGTGAAACTCCGTCTCAAAAAAAAAAAAAAAGGCCCACTTCTCAGATGGGCTCTTTTGAACTGTGCCAACATCTTTAGTTCCTAGTTTTCTTTTCAAGGAGCCTTCCCTTTTGTTCTCTACACACACACACATAACCCTTGCAGTGAGTCAGATAACCTGTATAGATGGAAACTAGGTCGGGTTTGTGAGTGTGAAAGATTGAAATTGCAGCAGAGGGCAGCAGTGTGTAGCTAGAATTAAGAAGGCAGACAAAACAGAAAGCATGTGCTTTTAAATAAATATTCGTTTAAAATAAAATGTAGTTTTAGAGAACTTCTGTTATTGTAATTGTGTGTTTTAAGAACCGATGCGAGGAGGAACTTCCTTGAATATAAAGTCAACCTTATTGTGTAAAAATCTCTTAAATGAGAACTTTTCCTGAACCCCATAGATCAGAAAATAGGCAAATATTCATTATAAGTTCCATCATAGATTTCTATACCATCTTAATAATTTTTTCAGGATTGTTTTTAGGATTGTTTTTATCTATGCAACATTCATTTATAAAGAAAAGCTATATTGAATTTTAATTTTCACAAAGAAATAACAGTTTGTATGTGCCAGATACCATTCTAAGCACTTTACACAGGTTCATTTAATTTTCACAATTGTATGCGGTGTTGCTCCAGACAAAACTGGAGCAGACAAAACTAAGAGCAATACTTCAAATAGGCTTTCTGAATTACTATTTCCTTTGAAGTGTCAAAATTTACTTTCAGTGTCTGATTTTTCTTAAAACATTTGCATTCAAACTTAATCATGTTTATTTAAAAAAAAGTATCTTAAACCTTTAGTTTTGAAACGTGATATTTATTTTATTGAAAGACAGTAAATAAATAAAATGTAAAGGCTCCAAATTGTCATCAGAATATACAGCTATTTCCTTTCTACTAAAGAAAATTAAAGTATGGCATGATGGCACCCAGCTACTTGGAAGGCTGAGAAGGGCATCCAGAAGTTTGAGGCTGCAGCACACACTGACTGTGCCTGTGAATAGCCGCTGCATTCCAGCTCGGGCAACATAGTGAGATCCTGTCACAAATTTTAAAAAATTAATTTTTTTTTAGATGGATTCTCCCTCTGTCACCCAGGTTGAAGTGTAGTGGTGCAGTCTCAGCTCACTGCAACCTCCACCTCCCTGGTTCAAGCAATTCCCTTGCCTCAGCCTCCCAAGTAGCTGGGATTACAGATGTGCGCCACCACGCCTGGCTAATTTTTTTGTATTTTTAGTAGAAATGGGGTTTCACCATGTTCGCCAGACTGGTCTCGAACTCCTGACCTCAGGCAGTCCGCCCGCCTCAGCCTCCCAAAGTGCTGAGATTACAGGCTTGAGCCACAGCGCCTGGCCTAAATTAAAAAAAAAAAAATTAAGTATAGCTCTTTGGAAATGTGCCAGCCCACTGTAAAGCAGAAGAATATGCAATAAAGTAATACATGTTGGTCAAATAGGTTTTTTTTTTTTTTTTTTTTTTTTGAGACTGGGTCTTACTCTGTTGCCCAGGCTGGAGTGTAGTGGTTTAATCTCAGCTCGCTGCAACCTCTGCCTCCCAGACTCAAGCAAACCTCCTGCCTCAGCCTCCCTAGTAGCTGGGACTACAGGCATACACCACCATGCCCGGCTAATTTTTGTATTATTTGTTTTTTGCTAGAGACAGAGTTTCGCTATGTTGCCCAGGTTGGTCTCAAACTCCTGGGCTCAAGTGATCTGCCCACCTTGTCTTCCCAAAGTGCTGGAATTACAGGGTGAGCCACCTCCCTGGGGCAGAGACTGCATTCTTTATCTCAGCTTTTATTGTATCATTTCCTGACTAAAAGTAGCCCCAGATTTGGCCGCGTTTTTTCTATCTTGACCAAATGCCAAAGGTGATGAATTAGAGTTGTGTACATAATCATAGTAATTGTTTTATGCTCCTTTCTTTAGTCCTAATAAGTGATTTGAATCTTTGCATAATTTGCTGCAGGACAAGCTACTTGCCTTTTTGTGCTTATTGAGTGTTTTTGGATACAGTACATGGAACACATATATCCTGGGATGAAGCTTAGGTGGCATCATCCATTTAAAGTTGATGGAAAACAACCTGAAAATGGTGTTGGTCAGCGCAGGTCTTCAGATGTTCATCAGTCATAGCAATCCTGAATTGTTTGCTTAAATTTGTATTGCACTGCTAGCCTTAGGATGTGCATTTCAATTATTCTGTATTTTACACGTACCATTGAGGAACAGAAGACTGTACCACTAAAAAACAAAAATATGCCACTAAAAACGGAAAACGAGAATTTCTTCAGGTTGAAAAAGATTATAGTCTAAGGCTTTACAGGATAAGAAATGTCAGGCTTTGTTTGTTTGTTTGTTTGTTTGTTTGTTTGTTTGTTTTTTGAGATGGAGTCTCTCTCTGTCGCCCAGGCTGGAGTGCAGTGGCACAATCTTGGCTTACTACAACCTCCACCTCCTGGGTTCAAGCCATTCTCCTGTCTCAGCCTCCTGAGTAGCTCAGATTACAGGCATTTGCCACCACGCCTGGCTAATTTTTATACTTTTAGTAGAGACGGAGTTTCACCATGTTGGCCAGGCTGGTCTTGAACTCCTGACCTCAGGTAATCCACCCCCCCTCAGCCTCCCAAAGTGCTAGGATTACAGGCATGAGCCACCGGGCCTGGCCAGAAATGGCAGTTCTTTTTTTTTTTTTGAGACGAGTCTCGCTCTGTCGCCTAGGCTGGAGTGCAGTGGCGCAATCTTGGCTCACTGCAACCTCTGCCTGCCAGGTTCAAACAATTCTCCTGCCTCAGCCTCCCAAGTAGCTGGGACTATAGGCGTATGCCACCATGCCCGGCTAATTTTGTTTTGTATTTTTAGTAGAGACAGGGTTTCACCATGCTGGCCAGGCTGGTCTCAAACTCTTGACCTCTGATCCGCCGGCCTCGGCCTCCCAAAGTGCTGGAATTACAGGTGTGAGCCACCGCGCCTGGCCTTGAAATGGCAGTTCTTTACTACTTATTTAGAAGTGGTGCTTAATAGTACTCCAACCATACATTCTTAGTGGTTTATATTCTGAGAGCAAAAAGAACAAAAACAAGCAAAAGCCCTCAAACACCACATATTTATTGCCAGTAGTGGTATTGGTAATGTAATTTTGAAACTCAGGCCTACTATAAAACAAACAAGAAATTTATTAGTAGAAACTCTAAGAGGAAAGAAATACAAATATCCTTTTTGTATTTTTAAAAGAAGATCCACCTTCTTTTATATTTGTACTTCTTTCCTCTTATAGTGGGAAAAACTGATGTTAAAACCTCTGATGTTAAATTGAATTAGAATTTTTCATATGTATATTTCTTAGAAGCAATGTCACCCCCCTAGAGAATGCCCACAGCTTGATATCTAAATACCAATCCCCACTAAGAGGAAATAATGTTTCTTAGAGAAATGGCTAATTTCCGGTTTCAGGCGCATAAAGTACAAAAAAAGAAAGTTAAGCCTGAAATACCTTACCAGAAATCAGGGAAGTGCCCCAAAATGAATAAGGTCAACTTAAAAGCCCACAGAGCCCAGCTCAAGTGGGCTCCACTAGCCAAATATGAGTCAATTTGGCCACTAAAAATAATAATAATTCATAGATCATCAAAGCCTTCAATACATTTTAAAAATCTATTAAGTCCAGAGTGATACTCAAAGAGTTTGGGAAGGGAGTTTCTCTTTAAAGAAGAATGCCAGCCAATTCATATAAATAAAATGACGGAATCAGAAAAATCACCGTTTGCAATTCCCAATAATTCAGGCAAGTATCAAGAGAAGCTAAAAACCATCTGGTGAAAGGAGGTAGGGAAAAGGAGGATGTTGGCATAATGTCAAAGTATCACACCTACATACAAAGTATCCCCACAGACTATCCAATAATTACAAAGGGGAAATATACCTTACTATGATGAAATTCAGCTGTCACCAACTTAACCCAGAGATCAAGTTTAGCACCGCTAATTGTGGAACAACCTGATTTTATATGCCTGTTGTTTTGATGCAACATGAAGCACTAATAGCATTACCTGTGAAGGAGGGTTGCCAAAAATGCTTAACCTGAATACAATCAAGTTTATTGACCCAACTTCCAGTATACAAGAAATAGGGGCATAAAGGAATGAGTAAATTGAGCATGAGGGAAGAATTACATCCAGAATATGGGACATTGTATAAGAAAACACCTAAATTCTTCCAAAGGTCAGTGACATTGAAAAGCGTGGGAACTGTTCTAGATTAAGAGGTAATCAGATGTAACAAGTGCAATGGATAAATCTTGATTGATCTTGGTTTTGAAAAACAAAGCTGTAAAAAAAATTTAGGGATCACTGGAAAATTTAAATATGGACTCAATATTAGATTATATTAAATTATTGCTAATTTTATTAGATGTAAAAACTATTTTATGGCTTCTTAGGAGAATGTCCTATGCTGACTATAGAAGTGTCCTATAGAAGTGATTGTTTCAAATTTTTCAAAATGAAAAGTATAGATAGACTGGCTAAAACGCCTTTTAGAATAGTTTTGGGAGGTGTGTACGTGTGTGTTTGGGGATGATGGGGAAGAGCAGAAGATAGTTGCAGGGAACTCTGGGCATTAGCAATAGCTTAACAAGCTCAGAAGTAATACAGGAGATTACAAAAGCATTGTCAGAAACAAAAGACAATAGAAAGCCAGATGGGTCAATGTTTAGCAGGAAAGATGTGGGCAGGAGGCTGTAGCAGTCACCAGGAGCTCTTTGAAGGGCAGGAAGGAAAGCATGATTAATGTGAAAGAATTACTTTGACTTCCCCACATGCAGGAGAGTCAAGTGGGTCTTGCCTTCTGATGTTGTGATAGGAATTTTTTTTTCATTTTTTGGCCCTGTTTAACTTTCTCGTATAGCAGCTCCAGCAGCAGTCTTAAGACAGTCTTTTAAACTCGGAATTCATTGGATTCGTTTGCATCACAGCCCCTGAAAGTACCTTTCTTATCTGGATATTCCCCACCCCATATTCATGTCACTTACAGATCATTTATCTTAGAAAAAAGAGGAATGGTGTGAAATAGTCCACATTATTTGTATTGCACAGTGGATAATAGAGCAATCTTTTAATGAAGTTTGCTTAAACTGAACAACCATGAGTGGCAGGGGATGTACATTCCCAAATGTAGACAGGAAAAAATAAGGCAGTTAACTTGACTTTTTCCAAAAACCAAAATGAATCCCAGAGTTTTGCCCCATGAAGACTAGTGGGCATAATTTGACATGGTCACATTTGCCATTTTGTTGATATGTCAGCAGTTGAAAAACCCCAAAAAACTACACAATGGAGACCTTAATGCTCAAAGATTCCATTAGGTGGCAGTCAGGATACAGGAATCTTTCAATGTCTGATTTCTCCGCCCCCTCCCCCACCTCCTCCAGCCTTAGTGAAGGAATATTGCCAGGTAGCGTGGTGGGGAGAGAGGAGTTAGGGAAAAACAAACACCCCCAAAAAACTATGGCTCGCAGTATCCAAATGATGAAGAACAGCAAGTTTTCTGTGCTCAACTTCCATTTTGGTTCTAATATATATGTTTTTCTTTGGCCTTCCTGTGATTCCTTCCTTTATAAATTCTTCTATATCTAAAGCCCTTTATAGACCACTTGTAATGCTGTTTACATCTCTGTGTTATTAGTCTTAGAGCATAAGTAGGAAGTGTGGCTCATTTTGTTAAAGACCTGTAAGAGTTCAAGGGACTTTTGTAGTGACACTCTCATCCTCTGTAATTATTGCTCATGAAAGGCTCCTGGTGGTCCTGGTTGGCTTTGTACATTGGGTTTCATGGGGAAAGGACTCTAAGTTCTGTGCGAAAGGTAAAGTTTTGGAGAGTGCCCTTGGGAACATCACCTGTGACGGCTGATGGGCAGGACTGGACAGAGGAAGAAGGTGAACTGTTATGCGCTTGCAATAGGGACCTTAATCAGTCCCATAGAAGCTCTGGAACTGGGATGGCCCTTCTGTAACTGAGATGCCCCTGTCCCTTAAGTCAAGGGGCCAGGGCTTTATGTTCACCCATCATCAATTGACCAGCCAATAGATGGGGGCTATCCCTGTGAAAGGGGCTAAGAGCAATTCAGCTAAGAGCTGTCAGCTACTAGCACTCCCAACTGCTAGGAAGATGAGTACCTCAGTCCTAAAGAGGGAATCTGGGAAGCATACCATAACATCTGCTACACAGATGAAAACGACGTACTTTCTGAGTATCACCCCTATTTTTGGTATCTCTGACATTGTCTCTCTTGCAAAAGCTACCCATATTAGAGATCATGAAACATCACCTTCTCATCTTGTTTTCCTTGGATTAAAACTAATGGAGAAATGCCTCAGCACTTCCTGCAGATGATATGTTTGTTTCAAATTGATTTCTGATATATATATATTTTATGCTGTAGGAGAGTTTGCTTATGCAGAAGCATCTCAGGTACAAAGATTAAGCATTTCCTCTGTTGCAGAATACTCCAAAATATTTTGGCACAATTGGTGATGATTTACTCCATCTCATCAAAAAGCCATTAGAGTGAGTTTTATAAAAAGAGAAAGAAAACGGAGAATAAATGATATTTTCTGAAAATAGCCTATTTGCAGGTAGTAAATGTATGATTGGCTAGGAAGAAGATTTTAAATTGATATTTTTGCCTGACCTTGGCTTTTATTGTATTTTGTGACACTGATGCTCTTCCTAATTTTTTTTTCTAGTTTTAGCTGAAGAAATCACTTTCCTCCCTTATGGTCATTTAACTAGTTTTAAAGACCCTCTGAAAGTCTTTTGGATGTATTCTCTTTCCTCTATCCCCTGTGTTGCAAACCAGACTGCCATCATTTCTCACTTTGTCTAATGCAATAGCCTAAGAATGAATTCCTTCCTGAGACGCATCCTCCACTCTTGGTTATCAGATTGATCTTCTGGAAACACCAATCTTAGCAAGCCCACACCTACTCATTGAAATCCTTGGTTAGCCCAGCATATAAGGCCATTGGGGATGCTGTCACAGCCTTAGCACTGGCACACACTCCTTATGTAAACCTGCCCTGTCTTTTCATGCATTTTTGCCTTTGCTCCAAGTGTCTGCTTTACCTCACATGCCTTTCCCCACTTCCCTGCCTGGAAGAATGCCTTTAAAGACCCAGTTTTTTGTTTGTTTTTGTTTGTGTTTTGTTTTGTTTGTTTTTGGTACAGAGTCTCACTCTGTCACCCAGGCTGGAGTGCAGTGGCCCGATCTCAACTCACTACAATCTCCAAACCTCCACCTCCTGGGTTCAAGTGATTCTCCTGCCTCAGCTTCCCGAGTAGCTGGGGCTACAGGCACCCGCCACCACGCCGGGCTAATATTTTTTTGTGTGTTTTTAGTAGAGATGGGGTTTCGCCATGTTGGCCAAGCTGGTCTCAAACTCCTGACCTCAGCCTCTCAAAGTGCTGGGATTACGGGCGTGAGCCACCACGCCCCACCAAAAGACCCAATTCTAATGGGCATTGGTGACAACTTACCAGCTTTCAGGAGTAGAGCTCCTTGCTTCTCTTTTCTGCTCCCTTAGTCTTTTTATATTTGTTAAGAGAACCCTGGACTACTGGGTTTAGAACTGGGAGCCTTGAGACATTATATCCAAGGGGTAGGGGGTAGTCACATCCTGTTCTTTGCATCTTCAACACCTGGCGAGATGAGCCTCCTTGATAACGTGACTGTTTAGTTGGACTACATTTGATCTCCTTGAGAACACAGAGAAAGTATATTTTTGGTATCAGTGAACACTATATTTGACTTTGGCAAATATTCTAAAGATTTCTTGTAATTGGTGTTATAATACTTCTCTGACACTTGGACACATGACATCAATTTCTTCATAAGTTTATTACTATAGTAAAAAGTAAGGAGTGAATGTTTTAGGCATTTTCATTATGGAAAGAACTTCTGATTAATCCTAGTGATAGCATGTTTTTTTACAGCCAATTGAAAGTGATTTTTACATTCATTTGTGCTGGTAAGTATATAGATATGAAAAATGAGAGCTGTAATAGCAGCTTGGTTATGAGCAATTTAATCAACATAGCTCTGGTCTATATTTTCAGCGCTACTGGCTGCCCAAGTCTGATGATGTCTCTACAGGCAACATTAAGTAGAACCAATTAACCTGGCTTTCAGTAGAAGAACAATGTTCATGTAACTGAGACAAGAAAGTAGCTATGATGTATAGATACATGTGGCCATTGATCCTGTGGCTTATGAAAGTATTGAACATGTTCTTTGCATCTTATCTGGAAAAAAAATGAAGATAACATATTTCCCTATATCCTCATAAGACAAACAAATGGATGTGAATATAATAGCTGTTTCTAACAGTTTCTGTGCCACATTTAATGGTCATGGGCTTTTTTGGGGTGTTGATGTTCTGTTTTGACTAATTAGTTTTTTCTTCACATCACTCTCAAAACTATTTTACCATCAAAGGAAGATATGTCAACATTCTTTTTTTTTTCTGAGACAGAGTTTCGCTCTTGTTGCCCAGGCTAGAGTGCAATGGTGTAATCTCAGTTTACCGCAACCTCTGCCTCCTGGGTTCAAGCAATTCTCTTGCCTCAGCCTCCTGAGTGCTGGGATTACAGGCATGCACCACCATGCCCGGCTAAATTTGTATTTTTAGTAGAGACGGGGTTTCTCCATGTTGGTCAGGCTGGTCTCGAACCCCTGACAGCAGGTGATTCGCCCACCTCGGCCCCCCAGAGTGCTGGGATTACAGGCATCAACCACCGTGCCCAGACCTCTTTTTTTTTTTTTTTTTTTTTTGAGATGAGGTCTCACTCTATTGCCCAGGCTGGAATGCATTGGCACAATCTTGGCTCAGTGCGACCTCCATCTCCAGGGCTCAAGCAATCCTCCCACCTCAGCCTCCCGAGTAGCTGGGACCACAGGTATGTGCCATCGTGCCTGGCTAATTTTTTGTATTTTTGGTGGAGATGGGGTTTTGCCATGTTGCCCATGCTGGACTTGGACTCCTGAGCTCAAACAATTCACCCAATTCAGCCTCCCGAAGTGCTGAGATTACAGCCATGAGCCACCACGCCCGGCCCCATGTCAGCATTCTTAATGAGCAGGTGAGACAGCACCCTGGATGGGAATCTGTAGTTCTAGTATGGATTCTGCCTCTCACTAGCTGTGAGACCTTCTGCAGAGAGACCTTAATTTCAGTGGGCCTCCATTTCCTTCCTTATGTTTATTTTTCCCCCCACATTTAAAATTTGTTTTTATTTTACCTAAAATTACCAGAATAGTTATTCCCAACCTACTTTACCTCATTGCCTTATGTAGGATATCACCTCATGAACATTTTTTATTGGTGTAACACTTAAATGTAATACAGATAAAGAGATAGATGTTTTAACTGTATACATTTATTTATTATCTTTAAAAAATAATTTCAGAATTTATTAAATGTAGTTTTAAACACTTTTAAAAATGAAGATATTTAACCAACAGTAGGAATTAAAAAAAGTTGTTAGCAAGTTTTTTCTGGACATATGTCATATTCTTTTACATAATAAGGTCATTTAGACAAATTAGTTTGTGTGCACATCACATTCATAAAGTGAAATACCTAGTTTTATGGAATTAGTCACTTCTGATACTGTTAATATTTAATGAATTCAACCTAAGACATATTTAATCAAAATACAAAATTGTTACATCTTTTATAACTACTATATCTAAATCTCCTTATAAAATATTTATATGAAATCTATAGATGAAGATTTTCCTTCCATGGTCAATTGACCACCAGTTATCTATTAATTTTCTTTAATGAAACTTCCCACAATTTAAAAAATTTTAATGGTTTTAAATATAAAATATAAATATATAATTATAAATATAATATATACTATATATAATACCATGGTTTAAAATATAAATGTAAAGATACCTTTTGTAGGCATAATTTCAATATAATTTTATATATTATACTTTAATATACTTCTTCTCCTTTCATTAACTAAGATATTATCCATGAATACTCTTACTTATATTTCATTGCAGCCTAAGACTCTGTGATTCCTGAGTGTACAGGAGTCATAACATTTGACATACAGTCTGTCTGCCCTGATGAATCCAGTCCATAGACAATTACTCAATCCTATCCCAATCTCTCCTTCCTCAAGTTTCTACTGCAGTATTTCAGAGCTACACAGTCTAATGCTTATTAGTCCTCTGATGGTAAGTTCTAGTAAGGCAGGGTTCCATGTATGAAATCCTACCTCGTCCCCCTCCCCTCAACCCCAGCCAACTCCCAGGTCTAGGCATTTGGTGTGGACTCAGTTAATACAAGGTGATGGAAGGTGGAATCTCAGGAACTCTACAGCTATATCTAAGAGTTGTCCTCCCCTTTCATTTTACAGAGAAAAGAAAGATCATTTGGCAAGAATTTCCTAAGATACCTTCCCCCCCCAGCACATACACCTTCAGGTTTTATTCATCCTTGAAAATACTGAAAAAATATGACTAGATTAAAATGTAAATCATGTATACAAAGACATTCTTAAAAAGTTAAAGACAATCCGCAGACCATGAGAAGTTACTTGTGATAAAGAATTAGTAGCCATAATAATAATAATTTTAAAAATCCTATGTATCATTTAGAAAATAAATAACCCAATGGAAAAATGAAAAGTAGAAGAAAGAAGGAAAGTAGGAGGTTATCTAAACAAACAATTTACAAAAGAAAGAACCCCAAATGGCTGATAACATATGAAAAATACTCAAACTTATGAATAATCAGGGATATATCCACAAAAACTATAGCCCCTCAGGTAGGAGAAAATGTTAAAGTCTGAAAAGAAAACACTCAGCAAATGGTAACACTCATACACGACTAGTGGAACTACATATGGTCATACCCACTGTGGAGGCCAATTTGGCATTATCTAGTAAGGGTAAGGTGGGTGCTCCTGTAGCCAGCAATTCTATTCTTAGAGAAGCTCTTGGATATGTAATAAGGAGACACATAAAACTGATTTCAGCTTTAATTTTAAAAAGGAAAACTTTAAAACAAAACCTGAATCCCCATCAACAGGAAACTGCTGGGAAAAGTGTGGTATATTTATTCAATGGAGTATTGAATAAATATTTTATGAAATGAAAAAAAATGAACTAGAGGTACAAATATCAACATGGATAAATCTCAAAAAAATGTTAAGCAACAACAACAAAAAGAAAATTTCAGTATAATATATATAGCTGGAGACCATTTATACAAATTTTAAAGTCATGGAAAAATATTTCATATTGTTTATGGGAACACATTGGTAGCAGAGTATAAGACCATGCATGAAAATGAAAAATACCAACTTCAGGATAGTGGTTGTCTCCGGGGAAGAAGGAGGGGCATTGGGGTACTACAGAAAGCTTTTCATTATGTCTGTAATATTTTATTTCTTCGATATATGATGTGTCGTATGTTTAAAAAGCAGAGAAATCAAGATCTCATAAGAGTCCTTATGGCATATTTATTTAAAAATATGTAAGTTCAATACAAGGACACTTTTGTAAATTTTAGAAAAAGGCGATATGAGAGGGGGGCAGGGAAGTGCTGGGTAGAGAAGGGTGAGGTCCCTGGTGAGGGCTCCACCTTCGGGCCTGCGCCCAAGGACCTAAGGGAGGACAAGCATTCCTGGTTTCCTGCCCAAATGTTGCATTTTCCAAGACCACCCTGGCCTGCCACACCCCGCATCGTGTGCCCACAAAAACCTGAAGATCCTAGCGGGCCTACACACAAGCGGCTGGATGCCAAGAGGATCAGAGGAGAAGAGGAGCACACCGACAGACACCAGCAGACGCTGGCAGGCCATTGATGACAGGACATTTTGGAATTCGGTGGGGGGGCGGTTGGAAGAGTCCAGCCAACTGGAAGACAGGGGACAGGGGAAGACAGCCTTCCCACACCATCTCCCTCCTGGCCTCCCCATCCATCTCGCTGAGGGCTACTTCCACCACTTAATAAAAAACTTTGCACCCATCCTCCAAGCCCACGTGTGACCCAATTTTTCCGATACACTAAGGCAAGAACCTGGGATACAGAAATCCTCTGTCCTTGCAATAAGGCAGAGGGTCTAATTGAGCAGATTAACACAAGCCACCTGCAGATAGCAAAAGTGAAAGAGCGCACTGTAACACACGCCCACTGGGGCTTTGGGAGCTGTACACACTTAACCTTAGATGCTGCCATGGGGTCAAAGCCCAAAAGCACTCCCCATGACCTGCCTGTTTGCATGTTTCTGCTAGGAGTTTGAGCAGCAGGATACCAAAAAAGCAAGCCACAGCCCTGTCACATGCTTTGCGAAGGGGATAAGGGAAAACTCCTCTCATTTCAAAAGTACCCCCTCCCTTCAACAAATGTGATGCCACAGAGACATGTTTAGATAGTACGTGACTAAGGATGCCTCTTCCTCTAGGTAGACACAGCCCCACATCAGGGCTTATAGCTTGGAGAGCAGAATGCTCCTCTCAGCCAGGGATCCACATACAGGACATGACCAATATAACCATATGTAGCAGCCCTGACTCTATATCAAAGAAACCCTTCTTCCCCTCCTTTCTTGCATCTCAGAGTCAAAGGGAGAAGTCTCCTTGCTCTTGTCCAAGGCAAACAGCTCCAGCTGGGCTAAGCTTATCTCTCCCCAACTTTCCTCTCTCATTATTCCCTCATTCCTGCAGCTTCAGCCTTGCTTCCCTTCTAGCCCCTTTTCCTAGCCTTTGACCTTATGTTTCTATTTGCTGCCACTTCTCAGCCCATTGTAGTCTTCCACTGTATCACTGAAATGACTGTCATACACAAAGTCATCAAAGCCCTCCTAACTCTCAGAGAGCCACTCTGCCATTCACTTGATCTTTGCAATATTTGACACCTTCCTTATGAAAACTCCTCTTGTGAGGCCAGGCGCGGTGGCTCACGCCTGTAATCAATCCCAGTACTTTGGGAAGCTGAGGCGGGCGGATCGCGAGGTCAGGAGATCGAGACCATCCTGGCTAACACGGTGAGACCCTGTCTCTACTAAAAAAAAAAATACAAAAAATTAGCCGGGCGTGGTGGTCGGCGCCTGTAGTCCTAGCTACTCCCGAGGCTGAGGCAAGAGAATGGCGTGAACCTGGGAGGCGGAGCTTGCAGTGAGCCGAGATCACGCCACTGCACTTCAGCCTGGGAGACAGAGCGAGACTCCGTCTCAACAAAAAAAAAAAAAAAGAAAAAAGCCGGGGGTCGGAAAGAAAACTCCTCTTGTGGCTTCTGTGACATTATTCTCTCCTGGATTTTCTCCCTTTGGCTGATGGAACTCTTTGTTTTTATAGGCTCTTGTTCTACCACATGGCTTGTAAATATTAGTGTTCCTTCCTTACGCAAGTTTTCATCTCACTTTGATTCAAGTAGTTTCAACCTTCATTTAACAACTATTTATTGAACGCCTACTCTATATCATGCTCTTTGCTCAGTGTTTGGGAGAAAGCAGTGAAAAGGCCCTGCTCTTGCGGACCTTATATGGTAGTGAGGGGAGACAGACAGCAACAATTTAAAAAGCAGATACTAGTTACGTGAAGATAAGTGCTATGGGGAAAAGCAAAGGAGAGCAAGGAGATAGGTAGTGCAAAGGAGGGAAGGAGTTGTATTTGTTTTATAGCAACGGTCAGGAAGGCCTCATTGAAAAGTTGACTTTGGGGCTGAGACCTGAAGGGAGTGAGAATTGTGAACCATGTGGATACCTGGTGGAAGATCATTCCATACAGGGGGAACAGCAAGTGGAAAGACCCTGAGGTGGGCATATTCCCGTTTTGAATATGTTGAATTTGAAAGGCCTATTATTTATTCAAGTGGAAATATCAAGGCAGTTGGAAATATATTCAGACTTGGGGAGGAGCAGGTTGGCGGGAGGTAGGAATGAGAGAGAGAACCAGGAGTTTAGTTAATTTGTGCTAGATGAAGCATATGTTGTCTATCAGTGATCAACACATAGCTATAAAGTGGGTACTTGAATCTATTCAATAAGTATTTATTAAACCCCTGGAATTCCATCTCTGTTAATAGCAGGTAGTTCATATTGGATCAGCCCTTCTGCAAATAACAATTATAAACTCTGGAGGAAAAAAATTGACCTAAAGGCATTACAGAGTGACCAAACTAGAAACCAGAGGATAATTTACAATTGGAAGAAGGAAATGGTGCTGGATGAGTTTGCTTTTTTTTTTTTTTTCCCTAATGAATTTTTGCCTGAGGAAAGGCCTCAGTCAGCTCTGTGATGGGATAGTTAGAATTTGGATAGAAATATACAATTTTGAGGAATTGGAAGTCAGACCTTGAGGTTATCACAGCTATTGCAACAACTGGGAAATTGTTGTGGTGGTGGGTATCCTAAAAAGGAGAGAGCCACAGAAGAGAAGCCAAAAATTCTGTGTATAAACTTTCCCCAAATCTCTGACTGTCCTCCAGATTATACACATAAAGGGCAGACCTCAAATAGCCTAGCTAATGACAAAAGAACTGAACGGACATTTTAACTCTTGCACATTATACGAGAGAAAGAGTTTGAAGTTTTAGTGTAGCCAAGTTAACTGTTTTGTAAAACAAAAAATTAAAAGCTTTCCAGAGGAACATAACAGAAACCATGGTCTCTATAATGTATAATTTACCATGTGCAGGTCACAATCCAAAATTACTGGACAATCGAAGAAAACAGAAAAACGTGGCCTATATTCAAAAGAAAAGGCAATCAATAGAGATTGAATCTAAGATGATGTAAAAGTTTGAATGAGGATACAATTATTTTAACTATTGTAAACTATTTTAACTCTGCTCAAGGACATAAACAAATATATGCTCATAATGAATGAACAGAGAGGAAACCTCAGCAGAGGGACAGAAACTACAAAAATGAACTAATAGAAGATTCTAGAAGTAAAAAATAACATCTAAAATTAAAAATTCACTCAATGCACTTGACAGAAGATTAGAAATGGCCGATCAAAATCAGTGAGCTTGAAGATAGACCAACAGACATTATCAGAACAGAAGATAAAAGAGAAAAAAAAGATTGAAGAAAAATTAAGAGCTTCAGTGACCTCTGGGTCAACACAGAAAATTCTAACATAAGCACACTTGTAATCCCTAATGAAGAGAAAATAATACAGAAAATGTATTAGAAAATAGTGGCTGAGATTGGGTGCAGTGGCTCATGCCTGTAATCCCAACACTTTGGGAGGCTAAGGCAGGAGGATTGCTTGAACCCAGGAGTTCAAGACCAGCCTGGTAAACATAGAGAGACCCCATCTCTATTAAATACAAATTTAAAAATTAGCCAAGTGTGGTGGTGCACGCCCGTAGTCTAAGCTACTCAGGAGGCTGAGACAAGAGGATCGCTTGAGCAGGAGGTTGAGGCTACAGTGAGTTATGATCACACCACTGCACTCCAGCCTGGGCAACAGAGTAAGACCCTTTCTCAAAAAACAAACAAACAAGCAAAAAAAGAAATTAGGCCAGGCACAGTGGCTAATGCCTGTAATCCCAGCACTTTGGAAGGCTGAGATGTGTGGATCACTTGGGGCCAGGAGTTTGGGACCAGTCTGGCCAACATGGTGAAACTCCATCTCTATTAAAAACTCAACATTTAGCTGGGTGTGATGGCATGCACCGGTAGTCCCAGCTATTTAGGAGGCTGAGGCAAGAAAGTTGCTTGACCCTGGGAGGCAGAAGTTGCAGTGAGCTGAGATTGCACCATCGCACTCCAGCCTGAATGACAGAGCAAGACTCTGTATCAAAAAAGAAAAAATAAGAAAATAGTGGCTGAAGTTTTTCCAAATTTGGTGAAAGACATAAAGTTACATATCCAAGAATCTTGGTAAACCCCAAGCAGGATAAATACAAAGAAAAGCATACTTTGGAACACTTTACTCAAACTGCTAAAAGTGAAAGAAGCCACAGACATTTTGCACACATGTCCAAAATGGAATTTATCCTCTTCCCTCCGAATTTGCTCCTCTTCTTATATTTACTTTTTCAGGAAATGATGCTACCTGCTGCCTTCTACAAGAGAGAACCCTGGAGTCCCTCTGAACTCATTCTTCTCCTTTCTTTTCTACTTCAGTGGGACACCAACTCCATCTACTATGTCATTACATAGCTCAAGCCTCTTTCCTTTCTCACAGCTGCTGTCTTAGTACAATTCCATATTTATAGCCTGGGAGTCTCCTAAATTGTCATCCTGATCTCTTCTCTTTCTGCTGCCGGAATGGTTATTTTAAGCCCGAATTCTGACCTTGTCACTTTCCAGTTTAAAATCTTCCAGTGATTTTCCATCCCTTTGGAAACAGAATTTCTATACCGTAGCATATTGCTTCAAGATCTGGGTCCTGATGTCATCTCTAGCCTTAGTTATGCCACTTGGAGGTCTCCAAATGAGCCACAGTGTCACACCTCTGTGGTTTGCCAATGTTGATCTTTTTTAGTGGAAGTTTATTCTCTTGTTTCTCAGGCTAATCTGTACTCATCCTTCAATCACCAACTCAAGGGTCATCTTCTCTTGGAAAACGTCCCTGACCCCTTTCCCTAGGTGGAACTGGATGCCCCCTGCTCATCCTGCGTAGTGCTGTGGTATCTGTGCTCCTTTACCTCTATTATATCTGGTGTTCCATTGTACTCTTGCCATTGATTTTCCTTTAGCATCAGGTCTTATTCATCTGTAGATCTCCAGAACATGGCAAATAGCTGGGGCTGAGTGTTTGTTGAATGAGCAAATGGCTGAGTGAAACAAGAGTTTGAATTGATTCCCTATATGGAGCCTATCTGTTTCTCAGGCAGTAAGTTCTTCTTTTGCCATGATAAACCTCCCCAAATAAGATTATCCAGGTGAGAAAACCAGCAAAGAACCTGAGGCAAAGGCCCAAGGAGGGGAACTTTGTACACGTGCTTACATAATGGACAGTGAGGCAACTGAGCTTATTTTTCCACCAAGGAGATGCGTTGGGCTAAGCAATTCATGTGTAACTTTGGTCACTAGCACATGAGTAGACCAACAATAAGCTTAAACTAGGAGAGTGATCTTTTTCAATGAAACCGTTTTGGACTCTTTTCTGCTGTAGGTGAGAGACTACCCTTCTTTGCTTTTTATACCACTTTTTGTGGACTAGTACTCATGTCCATCACTCATATCCCTAGGATTCTTCCTTCTAACTCTTAAGCCACTCATTTGCCAAAACAAAGCCCAAATTTCTCCAAAATATTGTCTTTTGTTTGCAGTCATTTTCAGCTCATCAGCATTATTGATTTTATGTCCACTCTGAAGGGAAGGCCACAGAGTTGACACCCAGGAAAATGATTCTCACTCAACTTACAGACCAGCTTAAACCAGGAAAAATGGGACCTGCAGAAAGATCTGGCTGTCCCAGACAAATGGGCATGAGTCAGGTTTAGCTCTGTCAGGAGGCCTCTCTGCTGCTGCATCACTGCCACATCAGCTGCCCTCCCGCACATTCCTGCTCTTGCTCCTTGTCTTCTGGAGCTGGTTGAGCATAGGCCCAGGGACCTAGTGAGTCAGCTCACTATGCCAGTTCCCTCCTCTGTGACCTGGTGCTTTTCTTTCCATCCTTTCTTTCCTTTCTATCGTCCTCCCAGATGATAACATTTCTCTTATAAAGATTATATTATGACCATACTTGAAAGATTTGTACATGTTTTGTTTATTTTCATTGCCGGAGCTAATTACCACACTAGTGCTTTCTGTAGATATCTCTTGTCTATCCCAGAATTCTTATCCTGAGTCCACTTAATAGATAACATAGGTGGGAGTCCTGAGACCTGGGAGAGGCAATATTCCTCCAATGTCCAGCCCAAGCCATATACTGAACATCTGTTGCCAACTCTCTTTGTACCCCCAAGAAACTCCTTTCATATGAGGGAGACCCCTTCATGGTTTACTAAAAAGCAATTTAGAAGTAGCAGAAGTAGCATCAACAAAGGTAAGTCAAAGAAGGAAAATAAGTTGTCAAGAACAGTGAGCAGTGATAGAGCTCAAAAAAATCAGACCACATATTTCTTTTTTTTTTTTGAGATGGAGTTTCACTCTGGTTGCCCAGGCTGGAGTGCAATGGCGTGATCTTGGCTCACTGCAACTTTCGCCTCCTGGGTTAAGGTGATTCTCCTGCCTCAAACTTCTGGTAGCTGGGATTACAGGCATGTGCCACCATGCCCAGCTAATTTTGTATTTTTAGTAGAGACAGGGTTTCTCCATGTTGGTCAGGCTGGTCTTGAACTCCCATTGACCACATATTTCTATGCTTGGGGTGTATCCATCAAAGTGAGTGGGTGACACTTGTCCCAGCCCAACACTGAATGACTCACTTTCTGTGCTATCAGCAAACAACCAAGGCTCTGCCCGGTAGTTAACAAACTCACCGAAGGAAACGCTATTCTGAATCTGTCACTAATTGAATTTTTAAATGTAATCCAATTGCCAGCCAATTTACAAACTTCCTCTGTATTCTCCAGGTTGTTTCTAGCCTTCCTCCTAATCACTTTTGCAGCCTGGCTGGATTTGATCAGGTTTATCTTTGTTTGGTTTGAGAAGGAATTGAAATGCCTCCTTCTCTTAAGAAGATGATTGTATATCCCTTGCAGTTTGCTTAGGGCACAGAGGTGATCTCATAGGGTTTTTCCACTCGGTGTATTTGATTTTAAAAACATAAATATGTGAAAGCCCCAATGTTGCCTCTTAAAATCCCCTTTGTGCTCAAAGAGGAAGTTTGGTGAACAGTTTCAGCAAAGTATCAGGAATATCAGATAGCATTGATTCACCGAGTTCTGGAAACAAACCTCAGCTTCTCCAGTCATTGGCTCATGATAAGAAAACTTCCCTTCCCACAAACTAATATGACAAAAAAGAGAGATCAGATAAAGATGACACATGAATTTGACGAGTGTTCCATCTTTTTTTACCCCAGCTCATGCTGTGCCCTTCTGGCTACATCATTGCCCTTGCTTCTCTACACAAAAGTCTTCTTCATTCTCACTCTTGCCCAGTAACCTTCACCAACATTCTGTCCTGTGGGGAGCTCTTCCTCCCCTGAACAACTCTGGCTTGCATGTAAAAATCTCCTAACATACACACACAGTATAGACTTTCCAAGGCAGGGACTCTGCTGAATTCTTATTTGCACACCTGTGGGATAAGCTGCTTAGCTCACAGCCCTGGTGTGCAATGCAGGCTGGGCATCAGAACTACCCATATAGCTTTTAAGAACTACAAATGTCTAGGTTGGGTGCAGTGGCTCACTCTGTAATCCCAGTGGAGGCCAAGGTGGGAGGATTGCTTGAGCCCAGGAATTCAAAACCAGCCTAGACAACATAGTGAGACCCCATCTCTACAAAATAAAAAATTTAAAAATTAGCCAGGCATGGTGGCATGCACCTGTGGTCCCAGCTACTCGGGAGGCTGAGGTGGGAGGATTGCTTGAGCCCAGGAGTTTGAGGCTACAGTGAGCCATGTTCACATCACTGCACTCCAGCCTGGGTGACACAGTAAGACCCCAACTCAAACAGCAACAACAACAAATAAACTACAAATGTCCAGACCCCACTCCGGGCCTTCTGAATCAAGATCACTCCATAGGTGACTCTGACTTGCGGCTGAAATGAGAACCACTAGCTTACCATCATTGGAAGGATTAAACGAGTTAACATACAGACGGATATTTTTTAAACTATAGACTTTCATGACAAATGCTAGGTATGATTCGTAGTGAATGCTACAGTTGCCCTCCACCCCATCCAACCCTTCTAACTCCTCCTCCCTTTCTCAAAGTTTCTGTTCAGAGGGTCACTCCTCCTCCACGCAGCCCCGTGGCTTCAGGGAAGCTGACCCCGCCTTCAGTGTCAGGTGAGGGGCTGATTTGTCTGAGCCTAAATCCATGATTCAGGAGTGGGGATGTGACTGGCCATTGAGACCCAGAAGGACTGCTGGAGGCTTCTGGGAAGAGTTTCCCTCACTTTGGGAAGCTTTGCTCTCCTGTCATGATTCTAGTTGTTACTGACAGCCATTCTGGGACCTTTCTCTCTCTCTTTCCTCTCTCCTTTCCCCAGAGGTAACAGGGCTTAGGATAATGCTATGAAAACACCTTGGTCTTTGACGGTGGATGGAGCTACCCTGAGCTGATCTCAATTTGGATTTCCATTTCTGTGCACCAGGAAATGCCTCATGGTTTAAGGCAGCTCTGTTACTTGTGGCTGAAATATCCTCCTGGCTACATTTGCTTTTAATTCCTTCTCAAGTATCATCTGACACAATGCCCTCTTTAGTAAATGCTTCAATAAGTATTTGTTGAATGTATGAATGACTTCATCGTCATTGAGTGCCTAGACTTGCTGGGTACTGGAGATACAGTAGCAACTAAAAGAAGTCCCTTTCCTTATGGATTTTATATTCTGGTGGGAATAAAACTGCACTTGTGGGTCAGGTTAGCAGCTTCTCTAGAGAAATAAACTTTATGTTTCTAGTTGTACAAACAGATGGTTCAACCCACATTAGGGGTTAGAATGGTAACATTTGTGCTAAAGAATCACTGCTTAGGAATTCACCTGACCACCAGAGTGACTTTCTGCAGCTAAAGAAAAAGGAAATGACAAGAAGAATCATGAAGAATACTTTGTCCCTAAGTTTATGACTCAGAGGAAAAACTACAGGGCTCTTGTTCCCAGATCTCAACACCAGAGCATGAGACAGGTCCTCGATTGCAGAAGACAAAGTGAGGAGTAACAATCTGAAAGATTCAGGATAACTCGATTTTAACAAATGAATGAAACTGGAAGAAGGGGAAACTGACGACCTGCTGAATGTTAATATTTGAGTCAGTGCAAGGTATCACGAGAGGTAGGGATCAGCTCATCTCTAGGTCTTCTGTCTGCAAGAAAGCAGGCAAAGGGAGGATGCTTCCAACTTACAGATTGTCTAGTGCAGCTTAAACTGAGGGACAGCCTTTCTTCTTTATTTTTGTATAGGATAGCCTCTTTTTCAAGATTGCCTTAGATGTATTCTTTGCACAAATGTTGGGATGATCCCATAACTTCTCCGGGGAAGTCAATGCTAGCTAGGGTGGCTACATTCACCACTCAGATTAAGGAAAGAGTCACCTGGCAAGTAAAATGACCGAAATGAAGAAATGTTTGGGGCAGCAACAGGCCTGGTGATTCAGCTGGGCTGGCCAGAGAGCAAATTCCAAGGGGTAGGATAGGAGGGGAAGCAGTCCAGCAACCTGAGGTAAGGGCCAAATTCAGGAAGATTAGTGATAACGCAAGGCAAAGGTAAACACGCTAGACCTGGAAGATGAGGGCTTCATAGAGCAGGGCTCAGGAACTTTAAGCCTGGACACTTGGGGAGCAAGAGGTAAGGACTTTGACCCTAAGATCCTGAGGTTAGGTCCCAGTAATAAAACTCAGCACCAGCTGACAGAAAGGACAATGACAAAGGGTGTACCCTTCAAGGGTAGGAGGAGTCCTACAGGCTTTGTGAGATATGGCACACAGTCAGTGCTGTGTAAATGTTAAAAGGGTGAATGAAGTCACTAGGCTGGGCTGTACGATGGCAGCAATCAGACTGTTTTTCATCCTTAAGCTCTAAAACTACTGGTTCTTCTGGAACTGGCAAAATTTTCAGTAAGATGCTTTAGTTCCCCAAAACAGATAATTGAGATAGTTTTTGTTTTGTTTTTGCCCAACCTGCTTCTATTCCCCTGGAGATAGCATTGCAGTTTTCTTTGGGGGACTGCGCCTCCTCTGCCTTCAAACCATGCAGCTCAGGTAATGCCCTGTTTACTAAATGCTTCAGTAAGCATTTATTGAATGAATGAAAAAATTCGGCCAGGCATGGTGGCTCACGCCTGTAATCCCAGCACTTTGGGAGGCCGAGGTGGGCAGATCACGAGGTCAGGAGATGGAGACCATCCTGGCTAACACGGTGAAATCCCGTCTCTACTAAAAATACAAAAAATTAGTCGGGCATGGTGGCGGGCGCCTGTAGTTCCAGCTACTCGGGAGGCTGAGGCAGAATGGCATGAACCCGGGAGGTGGAGCTTGCAGTGAGCCGAGATCACGCCACTGCACTCCAGCCTGGGCTACAGAGCGAGACTCCATCCCCCCTCCAAAAAAAAAAATTCATTGTCATTGAATGCCTAGACTTACCGAGTACTGGAGATAAAGTAGTAACTAAACCAAGTCCTTGTCCTTATGGATTTTATATTCTGGTGGGAATAAAACTGCACTTGTGGGTCAGGTTAGCAGCTTCTCTAGAGAAATAAGCTTTATGTTTCTAGTTGTACAAATAGATCGGTTCAACCAACAAAAGTGGTTCAAATGGGAACCCTTGTGCCAAAGGATCACTGCCAACCATGCTCTCCTATCTAGGAGTGGGCAAGTGGCTTGGCTAATTAGCATATTCCATTCCTCTATACACTGTGATTAGTTCGGGGATGGGCACATGATCTACGTTGTTCCAATGGAAGTTAATTCTGAGACTTTTGCTAGAACTACTGAGAAGGGGCCAGTTTTTCTCTGCTGAGGTTGCCGAGCTATACAATGTAGAATGTAAACCCAGGGTTGGCAGGAGTCACTGCATGGAGCTGGCCTGGCAGCAGATGGAACCAACTCAGAAAAAAGCATAGCTCGGGAAGTAGGGGATAGATTGAAAGACAATAATTCTGGTGACATAATTTGAGTTTCTGGTACCAGCTGTGCCTGAAGAGAGGCCTACCACTGGTCTTCTCTATGACTATTGCTTAAGCCAGCCTGAATTGGGTTTCCATTACTAACAACTTGGTGTCCTGAAATGATAAACAATGGAGACTGTATGATAAGTAACTGCTTTCCCATCTTGTCAGAGCTGATGAACTCCAGGCCAGGCGCAGTGGCTCACACCTGTAATCCCAGCACTTTGGGAGGCCAAGGTGGGTAGATTACTTGAGACCAGGAGGAGTTTGAGACCAGCCTGGCCAACATGGTGAAACCCCGTCTCTACTAGAAATACAAAAATTAGCCAGGTGTGGTGGTGCATGCCTGTAATCCCAGCTACTTGGGAGGCTGAGGCACGAAAATTGCTTGAACCCAGGAGGCGGAGCTTGCAGTGAGCTGAGATTGCGCCACTGCACTCCAGCCTGGGTGACAGAGAGAGACTCCATCTTAAAAAAAAAAAAAAAAAAGAGTTGAGGAAATCCAGCCAATCAACTAATACTTATGTAGTGATTTCTGTTGCCAGATATTGTTCTAAGTACTGGGGATACAGCTATAAACAGAAGTCCTTGCCCTCAAAGAGCTTACATTCCAGCAGGAGGAGACAATTGTTAAAGTAGTCAACAATAAATACATACGAAAAGTTTAGGTATAAATAAGAGCTATTAAGAAGATTAAATAGGAGCGAGCCACCTGCTCTCAGACAGGGCCCATCTCTCAGAGGGGGCAACATTTGAATTGCGGTCATAATGACAAGATACAAAGAAGCGGCCATTCAAAGACTGGGGCAAGAATGCCCTGAGGAGAATGAATAGCCGGTGCCAAGGCTCTAAGACAGGAACAAGACTGGCCTGTTCAAGAGACTAAAAAAAGGCACATGTGGCTGGAATGTCTCGAGTAAGGAGACCAGTAGAGAGAGGAAGATGGGGCAGAGAGGTAAGCTGAGGCAGTCCCCTCAATTTTGTGAGAATTTGAATTTTATTCTGAATGCAACAGACCTTCACTGGAGTTACTGAGACCTGATTTACCTTTTAAAAACATTATTCTAGGCCGGGCGTGGTGGCTCATGCCTGTAATCCCAGCACTTTGGGAGGCCAAGGTGGGCGGATCACTTGAGGTCAGGAGTTCAAGACCAGCCTGCCCAATATGGTGAAACCCTCTCTCTACTAAAAATACAAAAAAAGTAGCCAGGCATGGTGGCAGGCGTCTGTAATCCCAGCTACTCGGGAGGCTGAGGCAGGAGAATTGCTTGAACCTGGGAGGCAGAGGTTGCAGTGAGCCGAGATTGCGCCATTGCACTCCAGCCTGGGTGACAAGAGTGAAATTCCGTCTCAAAAAAAAAAAATTATTCTAGATGTGGGTTGAAGGTTGGACTTAAGGAAGGCAAGAGGGACATAAGGAGGACCTATTAGGAGATAATGCAGTAGTCCAGGCAAGAGATGATGGAGGGGCCCCAGGCCAGGGTTGGAGCAGTGGAGATGGAAATAGAGAAAGGGGGTTGCATTCAGGATACATTTTGGAGGCTTAGTCAATAGAATGTACTGTGGGTTAAAGGGAGGTGTGAGGAAAAGATGATTTAAGCCTGATGACTAAGTTTTAGCCTGAGCAGCCAGGTGAATGATGGCGCCATTTACAAAAATGAGAAAGTCAAGGCGGGGTGTGATGGAATCCATATTGTTGGGAGAAAAGCTGAGTCGTTGGGAGAGAAGCTGAGGTGGAGCTTACATGTCTGCTAGACTTGCTGGCTCCTTGCTTCTAGCACTCCCATTGTCTCAAGTAGCCATATGTTTCTCATTCACTTGATACACCATTTCGTTTCAACCCCCACATCCTCACCACCTGTTTCTTTGATCACCAACAAATAGCGAGGGCTCCCAAAGCTCAGGGCCTTCCCAGCCTCCACACTCGCGATGGCCCCCTGGTCCCACTTTCTCTCTCAAACTGTCTTTTTCTCATTCTTTTGACTCTGCTGGATTTCGTCGCCCCCATGACCTGGTGTTGAGTCTGATCACCCCAACACATATTGCTGCCTCAGCTATGCAAGACATCCAAGTGTAGATGTCAAATGGGCAAAGGGATAGAACATTCCTGGAGTTCCTTTTTTCTTTTTCTTGCTTAAACAACAAATTTATTTTCTCACAGTTCTGGAGACTAGAAACCTAAGTCCGAGATCACAGTGTCAGCAGGGCTGCTTTCTTCTGAGGGCTCTCTCCTGGGCTTAGAGATGCCCATCTTCTCTCTGTGTATTTGCATGGTCTTCTGTCTGTTTGTGTCTGCATCCTAATCTCTTCTTTGTATAAGCAAGAGGTGACAGCGTGCTGGCAGCCCTTGCAGCCCTCGCTCGCTCTTGGCACCTCCTCGGCCTCGGCGCCCACTCTGTCCACACTTGAGGAGTCCTTCAGCCCTCTGCTGCACTGTGGGAGCCCCTTTCTGGGCTGGCCGAGGCCGGAGCTGGCTCCCTCAGCTTGCGGGGAGGTGTGGAGGGAGAGGCGTGGGCGGAACCGTGGAACCGGGGCTGCTCATGGCGCTTGTGGGCCAGCACGAGTTCCGGGTGGGCGTGGGCTCGGCGGCCCCGCACCCGGAGTGGCCAGCTGGCCCCACCGGCCCCAGGCAGTGAGGGGCTTAGCACCCGGATGAGCAGCTGTGGAGGGTGTGCCGGGTCCCCCAGCAGTGCCAGCCCAGCAGCGCTACACTGGCTTTCTCGCTGGGCCTTAGCTGCCTCCCCACAGGGCAGGGCTCAGGACCTGCAGCCCGCCATGCCTGAGCCTCCCCTGCCCTGCCCCCTGCTGTGGGTTCCTGTGCCGCCTGAGCCTCCCCGACGAGCGCCGCCCCCTGCTCCACGGTGCCCAGTCCCATCGACTGCCCAAGGGCTGAGGAGTGCGGACGCAAGGCGTGGGACTGGCAGGCAGCTCCACCTGCGGCCCCAGTGCGGGATCCACTGGGTGAAGCCAGCTGGGCTCCTGAGTCTTGTGGGGACTTGGAGAACTTTTAAGTCTAGCTGGGGGATTGTATATGCACCAATCAGCACCCTGTGTCTAGTCAGGGTTTGTAAATGCACCAATCAGCACTCTGTGTCTAGCTCAAGGTTTGTAAACACACCAATCAGCACCCTGTGTCTAGCTCAAGGTTTGTAAATGCACCAATCAGTGCTTTGTGTCTAGCTGATCTGGTGGGGACTTGGAGAACCTTTATGTCTAGCTAATGGATTGTGAATGCACCAATCAGCACTCTGTGTCTAGCTCAGGGTTTGTAAATGCACCAATCAGCACCCTGTGTCTAGCTCAGGGTTTGTGAATGCACCAATCAGTGCTCTGTGTCTAGCTAATCTAGTGGGGACTTGGAGAACTTTTGTGTCTAGTTCAGGGACTGTAAATGCACCAATCAGTTCCCTGTCAAAACGGACCAATCAGCTCTCTGTAAAACAGACCAATCAGCTCTCTGTAAAATGGACCAATCAGCGGAATGTGGGTGGGGCCAGATAAGGGAATAAAAGCAGGCTGCCGGAGCCGGCAGTGGCAACCCGTTCAGATCTGTTTTCATGCTGTGGAAGCTTTGTTCTTTTGCTCTTTGCAATAAATCTTTCTGTTGCTCACTCTTTGGATTCACACTGCCTTTATGAGCTGTAACACTCACGATGAAGGTCTGAAGCTTCACTCCTGAAGCCAGCAAGACCACGAACCCACCGGGAGGAATGAACAACTCCAGATGTGCCGCCTTAAGAGCTGTAACACTCACCGTGAAGGTCTGCAGCTTCACTCCTGAAGCGAGCGAGACCACGAACCCACCAGAAGGGAAAAACTCCGAACACATCCGAACATCAGAAGGAACAAACTCCGGACATGCCACCTTTAAGAACCGTAACACTCACCGCGAGGGTCCACGGCTTCATTCTTGAAGTCAGTGAGACCAAGAACCCGCCAATTCTGGACACATAAGGAAGCCAATCCTATTTGATTAGGGCCCCCCCATATGATTTCATTTAACCCTAATTACTTGTTTCTAAGAAATCATCAATTTATTTATTTTTTTTGAGACAGGATCTCACTCTATCATTCATGCTGGAGTGCAGTGGTGCGATCAGAGCTCACTGTAACTTTGACCTCCTGCGTTCACTCAGTCCTCCCACCCCAGCCTCCCAAGTAGCTAGGGTTAAAGGCAAGTGCCCTACCACACTCACCTGTTTTTAAAATATTTTGTAGAGATAGGGTTGCACTATGTTGCCCAGGCTAGTCTGGAACTCCCGGCCTCAAGCAATCCTCCTGCCTCAGCCTCCCAAAGTGCTGGGATTACAGGCATGAGCCACTGTACCAGGCCTAATTTACCTTTTTTTTTTTGAGATGGAGTCTCACTCTGTCTCCCAGGCTGGAGTGCAGTGCAACCTCTGCCTCCTGGGTTCCAGCAATTCTCCTGCCTCAGCCTCCCAAGTAGCTGGGATTACAGGTGTGTGCCACCACACCTGGCTAATTTTTTGTATTTTTAGTAGAGACGGAGTTTCACCATGTTAGCCAGGCTGGTCTCAAACTCCTGACCTCAAGTGATCTGCCTGCCTTGCCCTCCCAAAGTGCTGGGATTACAGGCGTGAGCCACCGAGCCAGGCCCAAATTTACTTTTTAAATTAACATGTAATTATACATATTTATGGAGTACATAGTGATGTTTTGATACATATGATGTATAGTGCTCAGCTCAGGATGATTAGCATATTCATCATGTCAAACATGTATCATTTCTCCATGTTAGGAACATTCAATATCCTCCTAGCTATTTGAAACTATGTATTATTAACTTTAGTCATACTCCAGTAGTATGGACCACTAGAACTAATTCCTCTTGTTTAGCTGTAATTTTGTATCCCTTAACAAATGGGACATGTTTTCTTAATATACCATTTAACACACTCTATGAAAGAACAAGTTTCATTTTTCAGCTTTAAATACATGAGCTTTACATAAAATAGCTCTTAATTCAAAAAACATTGGCCAAACCAAACTAATCTACTGCGTTAGAAGTCAGGATCAGGAGGAGGAGAGAGTGTGTAGTGATGGGAAGGGAAATATCAGGAGCTTCTGGGGTGCTAGAGATGTTCTGTTCCTTTCACCTGGGTAGTGGTTACATGGCCCACTTAAAGATAATTAAGCTGTACACTCACGATATGTATACTTTTCTGTATGTATTCCTCAATTAAAATTTTTTTTTAAAAAATAACAAAGGAATCAGGAGGCCTGTGCTTCAGTTCCAGTACTAAAGGTAACTAGCTGTGTGATCACAGGCAAGTTACTTAACCTCTCTGGACCTCAAGTTTTCTCACCTGTCAGTGGAGAGGATTGAACCAGATGCTCACCAAGATCCCGTCCACCCAACATGGTTCCACAGGCAGCTTCCTCCATTTGAGATCGGGCACTTGTGCTGCTGGAGTCAGCCTGAAGCCCTCTCTGACCTTCACCAAGGAGGAGCTGGTCCTTTTTCATGTTCTTCCTTTCAGAAACTAACAGTTGTGGCTGATGTCTCTGTGGTACCACTTGTTACTAACAAGGCAGCTGTGAAGTTAATGATAGTGCAAATAAAAAGCTGCTGGTAATTAGGTGGCTGGATGTTCAGGCATTATTGTTATTTTTAAAAAAATCGGCTGGGCACGGTGGCTCACTCCTGTAATCCCAGCACTTTGGGAGGCTGAGGTGGGTGGATCACCTGAGGTCAGGAGTTTGAGACCAGCCTGAACAACATGGTGAAACACCGTCTCTACTAAATATATATTTAAAAAAATTAGCTGGGCATGGTGGCACATGCCTATAATCCCAGCTACTTGGGAGGCTGAGGCAGGAGAATCGCTAGAACCCTGGAGGCGGAGGTTGCAGTGAGCTAAGATTGCACCATTGCACCCCAGCCTGGGCAACAAGAGTGAAACTCCATCTGAAAAAAAAAAAAAAGAAAAAGAAAAAAATCAATTAGCTGAATAAGAAAATGCCATTGAGATGAACATTTATTTTTCTCCTTAGCATGATTCTGGTTGGATAGGAGGTTAATGTGGTCAATTCCAGAAGGGAAAAATATGTTTCTTATATATTAGAACTTAACATATACTTTTAAAACTGCATAGGGGGCCGGGCGTGGTGGCTCATGCCTGTAATTCCAGCATTTTGGAAGGCCGAGGCAGGTGGATCACAAGGTTAGGAGTTCGAGACCAGCCTGACCAACATGGTGAAACCCCTTCTCTACTAAAAATACAAAAATTAGCTGGGCATGGTGGCATGCGCCTGTAATCTTAGCTACTCGGGAGGCTGAGGCAGGAGAATCGCTGGAACCAGGGAGGCAGAAGCTGCAGTGAGCCGAGATCTTGCCATTGCACTCCAGCCTGGGCAGCAGACTGAGACTCCGTCTCAAAAAACAAACGAACAAACAAAAACTTCATAGGGGAAGATGGAGGCTTTTAATTTTTTACAAAAGGTTTCTGTAAGTGAGGGAGAAGCTTCATAATAATGACCTGTGATTTGTACCTACTGCTGACTTACTAACTAACCTCTGACTCTGGCAATGACCACATCCTCATTTCCTCCTTTTAGAAGGTAACCAAAAACACTTCTAGGAAGTCTGGGGTTATTGAGCCATAGTCCTATCTCTAAGACCTAGATAGTCTATAAAGCAAAATAAATGAAGCAACAAAATTTTTTCCTTGTACTTCTGTTGTTCACTGTTCAAATATCTACATTTAACCAAGCAGATATTCTAATATGGCTGTGTTTATTTACGACTGTCTTCTGAAGACTGCCTGGATCTGTTTTAACCCGGTAACCCTGGGCAAGTTACTTACCCTTCCTGAGCCTTATTTCTTCATCTGTAAAAGGAGATAGTGACAGTACCCACCTCAACGTTTGTGTGTGTGCACGCATGTGTGTGTGCACAGACATGCATGTGAATTAGGTGACATAGCCCATAGAAAATGCTTTGCACAATGCCTGGCATGTAACAGGCTCTCAAAAAATATGAACTATTTTTACCCTTGGGTAGAAGTGGTTCTTACACCTGTGGGGAAGGGACTGGGCAACGTTAGGCAGCAGAAAGTAGGTCTGGCTGTTTTCCTTTTGTGTGGCCTTGAGAACTCCTGCATATAAGGGCTCTTGTCCATCCTGGCTCTCACAGGACCCCCAGCAGGGCTTTTAGACTTCTCTGGGTTTATCAGTTTTCAGTCCCTGCTTGTCGCGCTTTTGGAACTACAAATAGCCTCGGAGAGAGGGCGTCAGATGTTTTGAATCTCCCCCTGCTAATGGATGGGACCACACCCCCTGCCGCCACAGCTGGTAACACAGGCCTTTAGGATAATGGAAGGCATTTGGGGATCTATTTTTCTCTTACTGTGCAGAGCATTACTCACCTCACTCCTCTGTGTTACAAGGAAGGCGAAGGAGAAAAGCACAATAAGCTGCCAAGGATGAGTCAAATTTCAATAGAGCGTCTTTGCTCAGAGGCAGCAACTGCCAACTGCCATTTCTTATGCATTCCTGAGATTCACATTGCAAAATAAATCCTGAACTCCTGCCCCTTTCTTCTTTTTTTCCCCAGGGAAGGGCAACAAATGGAGCTGCATTTTGACTGCACTCTTTCTAGGTTGGAGAAGCAGGGAAAGTGATACTCCGGGAGCTGGTGTGTCTAAGGCCTCTGTGAGTCTGCATGGTCAACACAGCTGGCTCTGCCTTTGCGCTCAGCTTCTCCTGAGGCATCAACCTGCATCTAAGCTCTTCTGCCTCCTTTCCGGGAATGGCCACGGTCTATGGTTTCTCAATTGACTCGAGATTCAGGAGAGTATGGAGAACTTCTCTTTCCCTGACCAGTGGTATACTGCTGTGGCCCTTGTAGCAGGGGAACAGCCTAACTGCTACAACATTCATTTCAGCCAAGAGATCAGTCCACTCCCACATGGGAGCAGGTGCCTTCACCCATGACCCTGACCTTCTTATAAAGCTTTCATTCAGGATGGCATGAGGTCTTTCCTCAGAAGGTGTCAAGAGAGAGAAATGCTAAAGGAAGAGATGCAATCAGTTTTATGATCATTAGGTGTTTAAGCTATAGGGCTTATCTTATAACACATTGTATCTGTGGTACAAAGCAATGGATGTATCAGAAGGGAAAGGATGAGGTTACGTTCAGAGTGTAGGGCAGGAAAAGAGAACACACAACATTATTGAATTAACTAGACTCTGTCTTGCATGAGGCATATTTTGAGCATCTCCATAGGCCATAGGAAACAACATTGCAGAAAACATTAATTTTAACTGAATGTTCGTACTTGAGGCTGGTGGTTCCCAAACTTGGCTGAGCCTGAGAGTCACAGGGAGCCTCTGATGATACAAGTTCTCGGTTCTGTGTAAGGGAATTCTGATTCCCTGGGTCTTGGGTGGAAATATTCATTTTAGAAGTTCCCCAGGTTGTTCAGATGACCAGTCAGGTTTGGGAACTACTAAGGTGGGCCACATTTTGAAAGGACATGGTCCCATATCATCTACCATCAACAAGTCAGCTTTTAAACTTTTTATTGTGAAATAATGCACAGATACAGAAAAGCTTATAAAATAGAAATGTGGCTCAGCTCAGTGATTTAGTTCAAAGAAAATGCCGAACTGTCCACCTCCCCCTTGAGAAGTAGAACATTGCCAACAGATGTATTTCCTGGCAACTAAACGAAATCTTGAAATTGTCCTCATTTATAAACCGTTGGAGCGATTTGACTTCTCTAGTACCTGGATTTCAAGCCTTGGGTTTTGTGTGTATCTCTGATACTCTCAGACTTTGCTTTGACTTAAGGAGCTGAGTTTTTTATCCTTTATAATCTTGCACTTGGAACTCATAATTAACCAGGAGTCAGAAAATCTCTCTTCAAATCTTAACTCCTCCACTTGCATGCAGTGTGATTGTGGGCAAGTTACTTAACATTTCTGGTTCTTAGGTTCCTCGTCTATTAAATAATGAGAATAACAATATGCACCCGATAGGAGTTTGTGACCATTAAATTTTTTGAACAAAATAATGCCTTACAACCGTAGAACACTTTTCTATCAGATCCCATTTTCATTTTGCTATTCTCCAAAATGACTCTTCCCAGCAATTATTCCCTGTCTCCCTTGCATCTGGGCCCTGTGCCAGAACCTGTGTCATTTCTGTACTGCTATGGTTTGAATGTGTTCCCAAAGTTCATGTGTTGGAAACTTAATCCTCAATGCCACAGTGTTGAGAAGTGGAGCCTAATAAGAGGTGATTGAATTAATGTCATCATTATAGGCTTGTTATAAAAGCAAGTTTGGCCCCTTCTTGCTCTATTACTTTTCCACCTTCTGCATGAGATGATATAGCAACAAGGACCTCACCAGATGCCAGCCCCTTGACCTTGGACTTCCCAGCCTCCAGAACTAGAAGAAATAAATCTCTGTTCTTTATAAATTATCCAGTCTCAGGAATTCTGTTACAGGAGCACAACATGTACTAAGACAATTCATTGCTGCCTTACCTCTTACTTTAAAAGGAAGCAAGCAAACAAAAAAAAAATCTTCCTTGACCCCACATCTTTCTCCTGCCATCGCCTTATCATTCTGCTTCCTTTCACAGCTAAAATTTTGTAGTTACTGTCTATGTTCTCTCCTCTATCCTCTGCAGCTGGGGCTTCTGTCTCTGTTCACCCACTGAGATGACACTTGTCAGATCGCAGTCATATCTGTGTTGCCCAAGTCCAGTGACTACTGCTCTATTCTGGACTCAGTTGGCCTTTCAGCAACATTTGACAGAGGGAACTGCAAATACAAAGGCCCTGATGGGGGACAGGTTTGGTGGATTGAAGAAACAGAAAAAAAAAATGCTGGTTTGGTTGGAGCACAGAGCTGAGAAGGCAGTGGTCGGTGAGGGCCAAATCACATGACGGCACCTTGTCAACTGGAGTGAAGCTTCAGACCAGCTCTGGCACAAGCAGGTGCTCAGTGTTAGCTATCACCATTGTTACTAAGAGCTTAACAGTGCCAAGTGTGAGAGAGGTGGGAAGGAGGCTGTCAGGGAAAGGAAGAGAAAATCTCAGCCCTTGAAGAGCTTTCCATCTAGTTGAGGGTTTAGATTGTACCCGTGACATAGGTTACTGGGCAAGAGAGCCTGTGAGCCAATTTCTTGGTGGCCAATTTGTTGTCATTGCCCTCCCCTGCCCCATTCACTTTCTTGGTGAATTGCATTGCATCCAGTGATTGTCTCTGGATAATTAAGATTTTTTTTTCAACCTGAAAGGAGGCAAAAGTGGGCTGTGAGCCCCAGTAAAGAAAGAGGCAATTAAGAAGTAGCAACCATGAGATCAGAGTGTGGGTTGAGGACAGAAACTAAACCTGGTGTCCTCTCTCTTTTTCCAGATTACTCAAGATAATCCCCTCCAAATAAATAATAATAGCTGGTCACTGCTGTCTCATTTGTACTAAAGCTGCAAACCACACAAAAGAAGTCAGACTGCAGAAGTAGCCCTTTGGATTCCTGATGCAACACAGGAGACCTAAGGCAGGTGTATACGTGTGTGTGTGTGTGTGTGTGTGTGTGTGTTTAAGACAGAGTCTTACTCTCCCACCCAGGCTGGAGTGCAATGGCGCAATCTCAGCTCACTGCAACCTCCGCCTCCCGGGTTCAAGAGATTGTCCTGCCTCAGCCTCCCGAGTAGCTGGGATTACATCACCACCACACCCAGCTAATTTTTTTTTTTTGAGATGGAGTTTCACTCTTGTTGCCCAGGCTGGAGTGCAATGGCACGATCTCTGCTCACCACAACCTCCGCCTCCCAGGTTCAAGCGATTCTCCTGCCTCAGCCTCCCGAGTAGCTGGGATTACAGGCATTTGTCACCACGCCTGGCTAATTTTGTATTTTTAGTAGAGATGAGGTTTCTCCATGTTGCTCAGGCTGGTCTCGAACTCCCGACCTCAGGTGATCCGCCCACCTCAACATCCCAAAGTGCTGGGATTACAGGCGTGAGCCACTGCACCAGGCCTAATTTTTGTATTTTTAGTAGCAAAGGGATTTCACCATGTTGGCCAGGCCGGTCTCGAACTCCTGACCTCAGGTGATCCACCCGCCTCAGTCTCCCAAAAAGCTGGGATTACAGGTGTGAGCCACTGCGCCCAGCCAGGCAGGTGTGTTTTAATCCTCCTGCTGTCTTTGCCACACATCCCTACTACAGGCCCATTTGCAGGCACACACTCAGCAGACCCACACACTCAACGCACACATTCAATACATATGCACACTTAATACACACTCAATAATATAAACACTCAACACCGGAACAATTAATACACACACACACACACACTCAGCACACATGCTAAACATACACACACCCACCAGAAACACAACACAACTCAGTACACATGTACACACACACTCAACCCACACGGTCAGCACCCACACATTCAGCACTCACAGACATTCATGCACAGTCCGAGCATTCATGATACTGATGGACTGTGAGTTATTTTCCATTTCTTTGCCTGTATTGCCCAGCAAGCTGAAAGTTGAACAGCATGGAACACTGAAGTGAGTCAGGAAAGATTCACCATCTTCAATTATAATTTTCTGCCACTTATCTGCCAGATCACAGTCTGGTGAGATCAAGAAAAATGAGCAGGTAATTTTTACAAAGAAAGACACTACTGGCATAGCATGCTCACTTTTTCTATACATGTGTCTCTCTGACACTATCTCTCTATGTCTGTCTCTATCTTTGATTATGGAAAAGCTGGCCCAGAAGAGGGTCCCATTTAGAAATGAGCTAGACAAAAAGTTAAAACGTACTGTGACTTTTAAAGGAGACCTGTTTGAAATAGGCCATCCTGAGTTAACTCCCAAAGCTTGAAAGGTTAGAGAATAATACTCCAGATACCATCTGGGCAAATTAACAACGCTGGATGATGCGAAACCAAAACTTTAATGAAGAATTCCATGAATAAGTAGAATAGATGATCTCGCCCTATCTAAAATTAATTTGCTTTCATTTCCAAACTCTGACGCTAGCAGAGTTCTTCCTCAAAATGACGAACCTGTAGAGCATTCTGGGCAATAGCATGCAAATGAGTAAGATCGCTGTGTTCCCTGCTTGGATTCTGGCAGACCACTTCATATGGCAAGAAATATGCTAGGGTAGAGCTTATTCCAATCTTAATCTGGTTGTTTTCAGATTTTCTGTTTGAGGACATTTTGTCATTATCCTAGTTTTCTAGTGTTCCTCTTTTTAATGTCTGGTAGCTCAATTGTCTTTTCTTTCATGCCTCTTTTCCAGCATTTCAGGCCAGTTTGATACCTTTATTCTCTCCATTTTAGATTCTAAAGCATCCATTGAGTGTCTAAATGTATCTGGCGTTATACAGGTGCTTTGTGTAAAGAAAACCTAGTAGAGTATTAAAAGCCAAAGTCGCCGAAAAGGATGCAGCAAATTTTCCTTGACAATTGTCTTAGCACTTAAAAAAATTTTCAATGTATTTTATAATCTTATTTTATCTTAGAACATATTGGTCTGCCACTAATGGAAATAAAACAAAAAACTGGTCCATCACCCATAGGTGAAATAGATAACATTAAAATTAAGAAATGCTAGCAATGAAAAGACATACAAGGATGAAAAAGCAAGTCATAAAATGGGAGAAAATTTTCCAACACATTCATTGTCAAAGGAGTTATAAGAATTAATTCAAACAAAAATGGGCCAAAAAAAAAAAAACAAAAAACCCGTGGAGAGACACTTTACATCAGGAAATCCCAAGGCTCAAGGAACAGGTGAGTAGTGTCCTACCTGACTTTCACCAGTTAAATGAATATTAAAACCACAACGAAAGCCACAGAGCAACCAGAGCAACAAAAACTAAAACATCTCACAATCCCAGGTGTCAGTGAGGATGCTGAGCAGCAGGAACACCCGAACACTCTGTTGGGAAGTAAAACCATCAAAGCCCTTCAGGGCACTCTTTGGTAGTATCCACCAAAGCTGAACGTGAGAAGCCGAACTTGTGAGCAGCAGTTCCACTGCTAATCCTCATCCTAGGAACCAACAGCAGTGTGTGCACAAACCCCGTAGTGGGGATGGGCGCATTCATGCTTGGGCACCAAGCAGGGTTTGTGATGGCTGCAAAATGGAAACAAGCAAAATGTCCACCCAAGCTCACTGGATAAATGAAAGCTGTTGTATTCACACTTTGGAATAGTAAACAGCAGTAAAGATCATCAAGCCGCAGCTTCAGATACCGTTGGTCTTGTCTGACTTCCCCACTGGATCTGCAGGGCATCCCAGGGACAGATTCTCCATGAATGCAGTCACGTCTTAGTGCTGGGGTTATTCCTGTCTGCAGAGCTTGCCCCTGCTTGGTGCCCAGACATCATAAGGGGTAAGAAAGGACCCCTGAAGAAGTTTTGGGTGGGAAGATCCCCCAGGCTCCCTACCACAAGCTTTGGCCCCTGGTAATTGCTGGGATGCTGTCCAGAGTATTTGGCCTGCTGGTTCATGAACCACAGGTGCTTGTTCAGGTTGAGTCCGGCAGCCCTTCTGCTCCTTGTAGGCTGGGTACCCACTTTTCTCCAAGTATTTCTCTATCTCCTGCTGTGATTCCCTGCTAGGACTCTGTGTTCCTGGTGCCACCTCCTCAAGGACTAAGGATGGTGTGAGGCCCTTGAGATTCTTAAGTTTTTGCCTCCTTCATTCCTTTGTTCCCTCCCCAAGAGCTTAATACATTTTTTGGTGTGTGTCATCTAAAATTTTCAAGCCATATACTTGTCCAAAAATAAGGCCTCCCAGAAGCATTAGACCATGAGGCAGTCATGGCCTTGGCCCCTGTGAAGATAGCCTGGATTGATGACTGAATAGAAGACACTTGATGAAAATGTTAAGACATTGAATAAATGCACACAGAGAATACCAAGGACCTCCCCTTTCCTCCTGAAAATAACCGGCTGCCTCTTTTCCTTCCCATTTGCAGGTCCCTGCAGCCCCACTGCTTAACCACATCTTTCAGCTTTCCCCGACCCTCCCCAAATAGATTTCATTTACATTTTGCCTAATTGCTCCAATAGCTTTTGTGGCATTTTCCTTCTAGGAGCACTCAAAATGGACTCCCAGTCGGCAACCCTGCCCCCTAAAAATCAGCATCCAGGTAGAACAAGCCCCAGCCCCAGCTTCTGGAAGGAGTGAAGTCACAGGGTTAAAAGCCCAGACACTCCTTAAAAGCTTTGTGATGTCTTCACACTAAAAATGTGTATTTTTTAAGTGGTTAGTTGTATTTCTTTTTGAAAAAAATTAGTTCATCTAATTATAAAATAGGTAAAACATGTACATTTACAAAATTGAAAAGGTAGAAAGAGGTACACGGTGAAAAATGAAGTCTCTTTGCTCTCACCCCTGTCTGCAGACTCCCAAGCGCCCTCTCCAGAGGTACCACTGTCACCAGTTTGTGCCAGAGACAGTCGATGTGTGTGTAAGATTATATGTACATAGACTTTCTCTTTCCTAAAATTACAAGCAATAGCATACCACACAGTGTTTGCTTTTTCACTTAGAACTATTTCTTGGCAATTGTATCATACAAGGACATTTTGCTCTGCCTCATTAAAGGCTTCATACTACTCTACTCCATAGAGGTGCCAATGGATGGACATTTAAGATATTTTAATAAGGTTTGGCTATTATAAATAAGACTGCAGTAAGTAAGAACCTCTCTGTTTCAATCGTTCTTCTCCAGACTCAGTCTCCTAGGGGTAATCTTTTAAATGTTTAAGAGAATGTAGACAAGGGAATGGTCTTCTTTGGTGCCTGCTGGGAAATTAGGACTCCTCTGTCTAGTACTGCGTCACCTTGGGAGAGTTGCTTATCACATGGAGGTAAAGTGGGTAAACTCTCCTAAGAGGGGTCTGGATGAAAAGCAATAACACATTGGTTAAAATGCTTTAAGAAGTTGAATGCATTTTACAGATATAATAAGGTATGACTATAGACTAATGGGACAGATTTTACCAGAATCATATACTAGAACCAGCCACGTTGCTTTACATTGGATAGATGATACTCGGAAGACAGTTCAGACTGACTTAGGAAAAAACCGGAAATTTATTCTCTTGTGTAGCATAGAAGCCCATGGAGTAGGGCTGTCTTTAGGTATGGCTGGATTCCAATGCTCAGATGACGTCACTAGGATTCAATTTCTCTGTCTTTGGCTCTGCCTTTACATGTATTGACTCCATTTTCATATGTACCCCCTTGTGTGGAGAGGATGGTCATAGCAGCCCAAGTGTCATGTCCTCCCTGGTGTTACTGGCTGCAGTTGAGTCTCCTCGACTCTTATTGACCAGAATTAGGTCAAGTGGCTGTCCCTCAATCAATCAGAGAATGTGGTCATCTGGTTGTGCCAGCCTCGGCATAATGCCTTTTCTAAGACTCAGCGCAGAGTCAACTCCACTGGAATCCAATGAACTAAGGGGGAAAGAGTGGTATCTGAACAAACACCCAGTGCTCTCGGGCTTTACAGGGATGGACGCTGGGCTCTTTTCTTTATCTGTTTGTGTTGCTATAAAGGAATACCCGAAGCTGGGTAATTTATAAAGAAAAGAGGTTTAATTGGATCATGGTTGTGCAGGCTGCAAGGAGCATGGCATTGATATCTGCTTCTGGTGAGCTTCAGGAAGCTTCCACTCATGGCAGAAGGTGAAAGAGAACAGGCATCACATGGTGAGAGAGAAGGAAAGAGAGAGGAGAGGGGTGCCAGCTCTTGAGTGAACTAACAGAATGAGAACCCAATTACCACAGGGAAGGCATCAAGCCTTTCATGAGAGATCCTCCCCCATGACCCAAACACCTGCCACCAGCCCTACTGCCAACTTCGAGGATCAAATTTCAACATGAGATTTGAGGGGAGAGATATTCAAACTATATCGGCCATCAGGAAGCCACAAATATTCACTACCTTTTGGGGATTTGCTGTTCACAAGCCTGTCATTTCAAAATTCTGGCTCAGACAGCTGAATTCCTTTCAAGGAATAGCTCTGCATTAGGTTTTAGGAGGTAGTGGAAATAAGCAATTAAAGGCATGCATGTGGCAAAAGAAGTGTTTACATGTTGAAATAGCCTTTAAAAATATTTCTTCCTTTATAAGATAGAAGAAGACTTCCTCCTGTCAAGTAAAGACGTTTGCCCTACAAAGGTCTGGCAAAACAAATTTAGTTCTTCATCTGCATTGCAGGAAAAACAAAACCACGAAGGCTGGCATGTTCCTTCTGCACAACTGGGAAGACATTAGGTGCTGGAAACCCCCAACACATTTAAGGACATTTAAATCTACAAAGAGGGAAGAAAATAATTGTTTTGGCCAAATACATGATGGTTATTAAGATAAGCTCAGCCATGTTTTTTTCAGTTACACAGGGAAGGTGGAGGAGGTCCCTAAAAATCTCCCTACCTCAAGCTTTGAAAGAGACAACAATGGAATGCAAATGACCCAAAATTACGCTAGGAAATTCATGTTGAAATAACCTATGAGGGTGTCAGCCCTCTAATCTTATTTTCTTGGTTTCGGTATCTGCTTCCATTCCTTTCTGCATCTTCCTTCTGTTTATTTCCCCAACTCCATCCTACCCTCAAGTCTCACGTCATGGGAGCTTGCCAGTCTCACTGAGCACAGGGAACCAGCAGTGCTTGTAGCCGGCAGACAGGCCTTCCTGAGTGGGGAATGGCTGTGGGGGGCCCTGTTTCCATTTCACCATTCATGTTAATCAGCAGTTACTATCTTGTCCTCAACTCTGCTTTTGGGGAGAGTGGAGTGACTCCTGGGGACAGGTGAGTTACAGGAGGCAAGCTGGAGGAACCACAAGGAACATGGGTAGAGAGCTGTCCATCTGACAGCCAAAGGGGCCTGCTCTCTCTCGCATTCTCTCTCTTTCACTCTCTCACTCTCTCTATTGCAGGAGGGGAAAGGGAGAGCTTTATTCTCTATGAAGAACAGTCTGCAGACTGGGGAGACAAAGCCTTTAGTATAAGTGAAAGTGTGCTCTCCACAGAGGGGCTCTTTTGACTCTTTTTCTGGCTCTGTGGCCAAGGAGCTCCCAGCTCTCCCCGTTCCCCCAAAACTCTTTGTTTCCAGGCAACTTGTTCCCCTGCAGTCAGGGACCCAAAACTGTTGGCTGGCAGACTTTGCTTTATTTGGCCAGCAACAGGTTTGAACATATTTTAAATTTAAATGCCTTTGGGCATAGTGTGTGTGTGTGTGTGTGTGTGTGTGTGTGTGTGTGTGTGTGTGTGTATGTATGTGTATCCTTCAGTTTTCCACAGTCTCCACCACTCCCTATTGCCTTTTACAGGCCTGCTCCACTCTGTCTTATCTGCCTAGCCCATGAGTTTGTGACTCTGACCTGCAGCTGATAGATGACATATTCATTCTTTCATTTTCATAATTTTAATTCTCTCCCCTCCATTCTTTCTGAAGCAAACAACCTCAAATGATGACTCCCAAACTTGACTGTATGCCCTCTTCCATGCCTCCACCACCTCACTGGGCCACACTCTTCATGTCTGCTTTTCCTGTCCTCAAACAGCCCTCCTGCTCAGGGTCCAGACACATTCTGGCCCCCTTTTCTGCTGTGCCTTTCAACCTCCCATTAATTAATTTAGACTCAGCCTCCAGAGCCCCTCCCAAATGTTACTTTCACAAGGAATCCCTTCCCTGACTGCTCTAGACAAGGGTAGATCCCGTCAAATGCTCAGAACACCTGCGCTTTTCCTTCACAGCCTTACCTAGATTGTCTTGTAATAATTAGTTATGAAATTAACTATTAACTGTTTGATATCTGCCTTCCCTCTTCCTCTGCTCCCCACCTCCATCACCTCCCAAACATGAGCTTGAAGAGGATAGTTACCCTGATCACCTTATTCAGCTGCGTCTCCAGCTTCTGGTACAATTTGAGCACTCATTACATTTTGATGAATAAGGGAATGAATGAAGGAGTAAATGAAAGGATGGGTAGGCCAGGCATGATGGCGGAAGCTTGTAATCCCAGCACTTTAGGAGGCTGAGGTGGGAGGATCACTTGAACCCAGGAGTTCGAGACCAGCCTGGGTAACATGGTGAGACCCCATCTCTAATTAAAAAAAAAGAAGAAGAAAGCATGGGTATGATGTCATCAGACTGAGATGGCAGGGAGGAGCGTTTCAGGAGAAAGACCGAGAACAAAGTCTCTGTTCAATTAAGTTTAGCCTAAAGCTGCCTCTTTACATATATTAAGTTAGGCCTAAAGGTTTCTCTGTACATAGTGAACTGTAACCTAACTGGATGTGTAAATGCACTGTAACCTACTCTTGTACCAATCACCAAGTTTCAGCTTATCAAAGGTGGCCAGCTGTCCAAACCATCTTCAAATTAGGCAGGTGCCAAACTGTAACCAATCCAGCTATTTCTATACCTCACTTCTAGTTTCTGTATGTCAGTTTCCTTTTTCTATCCATAAATCTTCTACAACCATGAGGCAGTGCCAATTCCTCCCAAACCTACTCTGGTTCAGGGGGCTTCCCAATCTATGAATCGTTCTTTTTTCAATTGTGTTAAATTTAATTTGCCTAAAATCAACAGGTCCAAGATGGTAAAGCATGGAGCATATGTAGGGACCACGTAGAGCCACGTTCATTCATAAATCCAACCTCCCTGAACGAGCCGGACTTCCTGAAGGTGCCTGGGTGAACTGGAGGCTCTCATCCCATCATCCTTTCCCTCTTCACTCTGTCCCAAGTGCCTACCACGCACGGGCAGAAGAGGGTTTCCCAGCTTCCATGGCTCCTTTTACTTTCCCCTTTTGCCCTCCCTCTAGGATGCTTCCCTCCTCTTCCCCACTCACTGTTTAAACTCTTCACTCCATTCCTTCTCAAAATAAAGGCCATTTAGTGATAACTTCCTCAGTTTTTCTTTCTTTTCATCTCAATGCTGTGGCCCTCAGCGACACTTATGTAGGTAGAGCAGTCTTCTCAGGGCAAGTATTTTTTTTTAACTTCTGTGGTTTCATCTGAATTGTTTTTGTTTGAGGCTTAAATGGATCCATTGATTTTTCTGACCTATTCAGGAACTTTGCTATTTTTAAATAAAAGAGAGATGTGCCAAGGAATAGCAAGCCAAAACCACTTCCATTGGTGAAAATCACCTTCAAGAAGGACAGACTGACTTTCAGAGGCCCGGCAAAGTGGTGGAGTGGGGGCTCCAGTCTGAGTGCAGGAGGTCTGGGGGCTCGGCTGTTTGGAGCCCAGCCCCTGATGGGTGACCCTGCACATCATTGCCCTTCTCTGTACCATGAGGGGGTTGGTCAGGGGATTTCAAGCCAATTTCTAACTTTGACAACTCACCTGGGTCTCCTGAGCTTAGGGTCATTGGATGTCACCCTATCCCTGCAAGAGCAAAGCCCAGGGAAGCCCCAGAGCATGAGTCACATGGGGTGGCCTCAGTGGGCCTGCCTGTGTCCCTACACAAGACAATCATCCTGCCTGTCTGGGTAGGGCATGCATTGTGAGGTCCAATTTACAGGAATGGGAGGAAATTAGAGAAGTGGCTCTTCCTCAGTTTTGTAAAGACTCTAAATGAGCCAACCTCTCACTTCCACCTACCAGACCTGTGACTCAGGAGTGGCCTCATGGTTGGGTTGGAAGAAGGGTTCACTGCATACACAGGGTCTCCTCATAGCCCCTTCAGGGTCCCCTACATTTTCTTCCCTCTGCCACCTCTGGTCACCACTGACTGGAATATGCTTGGGTGGTCAGGTGGAAATGGAGAGAAGACTTCCTCCTTCTCTGTGCCCCATCCCTAATAGAATAGTATATTAATCACCAAAGGGGACTGTGTTAGTCCACTCTCGTGTTGCTGTAAAGAAATACCTGACACTGGGTAATTTATAAAGAAAAGAGGTTTAATTGGCTCACGGTTCTGCAGGCTACACAAGTATGGTGCCCGCATCTGCTCAGCTTCTTGGTAGGTCTCAGATAGCTTTTACTTATGGAGGAAGGCAAAGGGGGAGTCGGCACATCACATGGCAAAAGCAGGAGCAAAAGAGAGAAGGGCAGGGAGGTGCCGCATACTTTTAAACAATTGGATCCCACTAGAACTTACTTACTATCATGAAGACAACACTAAGCCATGAGGGATCTACCCCCAGGACCTAAATACCTCCCACCAGGCCCCACCTTCAACACTGGGGGTTAAATTTCATCATGTGATTTTGAGGACAGATATCCAAACTAGATCAGGAACACAGAAGTGGTCAATCATTAGATATTCACCATCCCCTGAGGACCACATCGCAGTGGAAAAGAAGAAACTCCTGGAAGAGTCAATGGCTCGGGTACACTTACAGCCTGGACAGTTAATAACAAAATATCAGGTTAATGTATCCCACGACTGGAACAACTAAGATCCATTCACCCCCAGGGTTCCAGGAAGCAATGGCAGACACTCAAAGAAGCTTGGAGCTTGCTGAGGGCTCAGTGTTGGGCACTCGTGTTAGTCCATTCTCACACTGCTATAAAGACACTACCCGACACTGGTTAATTTATAAAGGAAAGAGGCTTAATTGACTCACATTTCCGCATGGCTGGGAGGCATCAGGAAACTTACAATCAGGGTGGAAGGTGAAGGGGAAGCAAGGACCTTCTTCACGTGGCTGCAGGAGAGAGAAAAACGTGTGAAGGAGGAACTGTGAAACATTTATAAAACCTTCAGATCTCATGAGAACTCACTCACTGTCATGAGAACAGCATGAAGGAACTGCCCCCATGATCCAATCATCTCCCACCAGGTACCTCCCTCAATACAGGGGATTATGGAGATTACAATTCAAGATGAGATTTGGGTGGGGACACAGACAAACCATATCAGCACTGGAAAGAAATTCTGGGTGGAGGAAGATATGGGATGGGGCTCAGGACTTCATGTGCCAAGTAGTGTAAGCCCTATCACCAAGTCATACTACCAACCCCTGCTTGTGAAGTGGGAGGAGGTTTGCAGCTTCAAGTATTGCAGAGTCCAAGCCTGGCTGACATTCTGATGCCAGGCTTGACTCATCCAGACCCTTCGATTCTTTCCAAATGTCTTTCATGGGCCTTTCCCTGCTCAGAAAATTTTATGAGTCTCTGATTTTTGAAAGCAAAACAAATGCGACCTCCCCAGCTAGGCCAATGCTGAAAGCTGTCCTGGCTTTCCAGTATGGAGCCTCCCCAGCCCTTTTCCCACTCCTGCCCTCGGTAAGCCATCTGGGACAGTGAGTCACAAGCCTCCAAACCCCCCAACTCATTTTCCTCTAGTCCTTGCTCCTTCTTCAAGTCCATGTCTGGGTCCTCTTCCTTCTTGAAGCCTCACCATCCACCTGGTCTCTGTGAATCTTTACTTTCCCTGAGCTCTGTTGTAGGAAGGAAGTGTTGCAGCCTAGTTTTGACCCATGGATTAAAAGGGCATGAAGGCCAGGACCATTTTTGTTTTGTTCGCCAATGTATAATATCCATCATCTAGGATAGTAGCTGGCACATAGGAGGTGCTCAATAAACATTTGCTGAGTTAACGAATCCCATTTTTTTTGTTTGTCTTGTTTCATGTATGCAATTTAGTTGCTCAATTAGACTACAAGCTTTTCAAAGCCTGACCCTGTTTCTATAACTTGTGAAGTTCTTGTCCATGGATTAAGGTCATCATCATAGCCCATGATAGTAGTCATTATGTAGGATTAGGTAATATTGAGCATCTCTGCTAATGCTTTTCTGGAAAGCAATTTGACAGTACAAACCAAGAGCCTTAAAATTGTCCACACCCCTTGATCTGGGAACAGCACTTCTATGAATCCATCCTAAGGAAATGAACTGAGATGCCATCAATATTAATAAAACAAGAGTGGCTGCAATTTACTAAGCTCTTACTTGTGCCAAACATTCTGCCGCTGGCCACTTTACATATCTTCTTTCACCTGATCCTCCAAGTTACCTCACCAGGCAAGCATTATAATCTCCATTCTACAAATGAGAAAACTGAGGCTCAGAAAAGAAACTTGACTAAGGTCACATTCTTGGTAAATGACAGAGTCAGAATTTGATCTGGGAATATAAGACTTCAAAGCCCACGCAATGCATTCTTCTTATAATGGTGAAAACTATGAACAACCTAACTGCCAAACAAGAGGAAAATGAATTAATTATAATATATCCACAACATGGAATGTTATTGGCCATGAAAATAGTGGTTTTGGTTGGATGTGGAGCCTCATGCCTGTAATCCCAGTATTTTGGGAGGCTGAGTCAGGAGGATCACTTGAGCCCAGGAGTTCAAGACCAGCCTGGGCAACATAGCAAGACCCTGTCTTTACAAATAATTTTAAAAATTAGCTGGAGGTGGTGGCATGTATCTATTGTCTCAGATACTCAGGAGTTTGAGGCAGGAGGATCACCTGAGCCCAGGAGGTTGAGGCTGCAGTGAGTGGTGATCATGTCACCACACTCCAGCCTCGGTGACAGACTGAGAACCTGTCTCAAAATAATAATAATAATGCTTTTGGAAGACTGCTCAATGACATAGGAAATATTTAGGTAAAAAGTTAGGTAGAAGTAATAAGATACTGTGGTAGGTTTAATAGTGGCACCTAAAAGATCTGTCGACAAATCCTGGAAACCTGTGAATGTGACCTTATTTGGAAAAAGGGTCTTTGCAGATGTATGTAATTAAATCAAGGATCTTGAGATAAGACATCCTAGATTACACAGGCAGGTCCTAAAACAAAAACAAATGTCCCTCTAAGAGACCGAAAGAGGGAAAGACAGAAGTGTAGAAGGCGACGTGGAGATGGAACAAAGATTGGAGCGATGTGGCTATAAGTCAAGGAATGCTAGCAACCACAAGAAGCCAGAAGAGGCAAGAAATAGATTCTCCCCTAGATCCTTTGGAGGGAGCATGTCCATGCCAACACCTTGCTTTCAGACTTCTCGTCTCCAGAACTCTGAAAGAATAAATTTCTATTGCTTTAAGTTACCCAGTTTGTGGTTATCTGTCACATAGTCTCAGTTAACAAGCCCAGATTTGTAGATGCCTTAGTCTTGTCATTGTAGTCCAGACCCATTGCAATATGACTCTGACCTACAGCTCAAGTAGATAAGCTTTCTGGGGAACCTGCCTCAGAAATGCTGTCCTTTCTCCTCAGGCCTGTGTCCCTCGAGTTCTCCATCCAGCCAAGGAGATACATAGGCACTTACCTATTTATCTGATACAAAAACCTGTACTTAATACCACCATTGGGATTTGGTTCAGTCAACACTGACTGCGTACCAAGCACTGGGCTGGGCACTGGGGACACCGTGCAGATGTACTTCCACTGGGTAGTGCTTTCAAGTTTGCAAGTCACATCCGTATGCATTTCTCTATTGGACGTTCAAACTGCCTTATTAGGTAAGTAAGACAAAAGAATCTTAAATCTATTTTGCAGATGGGTAAACTGAGGCTCCAGAGATCGTAAGTGCTTTGTTCAAAGTCATGCAGCAGGGCCAGAGCTTAATCCACATTTCTTGCATATTCTTTCCATGGTACTAAGCTCCCTCTAAGCCCAGTGATTTTGAAGTCCAGGGAGGGAAAGTACAAGTAGGTAGGCTCTTAGAAGAGGTAGGAATTGAGCAGTTGTTTTGTAAAATGAGTTGCAATAGGTCAGAAATTAACAAAGTGGATTAAATCTGACCCACCTCCTGCTTTTGTATTAAAAAAGGTTTCTTAGAACATAGCCTTGCTCACTCATTTACATGTTGTCACACTATGGCTGCAGAGTTGAGTGGCTGGGATAGAAACTGTGATCTGCAAAGTCTAAAATATTTATTATTTGACCCTTTACAGTAAAACCTGCAAATCCCTGCAGTAGATGGTGTCATGCGTGGGGCAGGAGCTTGTGGGGGTGGGAGGGGTGAATGCCTACCAGATAAGGAAATTCACAGCTCCTGGTTAAAAGTAACATTCAATTCCTTGGAGTGACTATTTTTGTAGTCTTAACAATAGCAAACACTTAACACGGTGCTCATTGTGTGCCAGGAAGTATTTTAAGTGCTTTACACATAACAATGCTTAATTATTAATTATTATTATTATCATCCCCATTTTAGAGGTGAGGAAGTAGGCACACAGAGAGATCAAGAAGTATGCTGGAGCTCACACAGCTAGCAAGGGGCAGAGCCAAGGTTCGATGCTGGGCAATCCATGCCAGAGACTGTGTGCAGAGTCCCCCCAGTTTAGCAGCTCATATCCTTAGGAACCCTGGGTATTCATCAATTCATTCAACAAGAATGTATGGAGCTCTGCCGCAATAAACACCCAGTGCTAGATTCTGTAAAAAGTGCCAGCTGTTTCTTTCCACGTGCATATTTCCTTACCATTTTCCTGACAGCCCCAGACACCCTGATGTGTGATGCCTGCCGCTCACCTGGGAGCAGAAACGTTATTCTCAGGATGGTGACTGTTTTGATGCACTGGCCTTGGGAGGTCAGGGAAGCTATGACAGAGCAAAGGCTTTTCCGGAACATAGACAAAGTGCTGAAGCCACGATGCAGTGATCTAAGGCATAGTCAGCGTTGAGTAAGGCAGGGAGGGAGGCTGCTGGGCACTGTCATGACGCTGAGAGACTCGTCACTTAGCCATGAGGACGTCTCGCTTCTACTGAGGCTGTGGCTCTGCTGAAAGCCACATCGTGATTAACTAGAGAGGATGAGAATGCTGGGTGTACCCTCCCCCTCCCCCAACCTCACCCCCAAGAGCACCAGTCAGTTGTATTCAGCTGTGTAATTATCCTATCATAGTTTATTTCCTATCTTCCTGCAGAGGTGATTGGTGCAAGAAAATTAAGTATGTGGCATCTTGTCAGGAGACAGAAAATTTCATACTGATTATTTCATCTAAGGTTGGGAGAGGGAAGGAGGCTGCTCTGCTGCAGTGTGTTTCAGAGGAAGCAAGGGGCAGGCTGGAGCAGGCACCCACCTGCTGGGATGAACTCACCTGGCCCTGGCCCCCCCGCCCATCCCTGGGTATCTGTGGTCAGATCTGGCTCCTAGTTGCTGGGGGGGTGGATGAGACAAGGGCGGGGTGAGAAACTGTTAAGGTGAATTTGGCTACAGTTGGTAACAGTGCTCTCCTTCTACAGCCCCTGCTCCCCGGGCAGCAAGCCTGGGAGGAGAGAAACTGAGGTACAACTGAGGTTGTACCTCAGGCTTCTTTATCACATAAATCCTTCCCCTCCCCACCCCAGCAACCCAACACTGAGAAGAAACAGAGGAAGAAGAAAGAATACTTGATCAGGGCTCCCTGGCCCTTAGTAGGGAGGTAGTCACACACACATGACAGATGGCGATCTGTCACGGAGTCATGGGTGTCAAGTTGAAAAAAAGAAAAAGAATACACTCTACCCTACACTAAATGGAATGAAAGGGAAAATACGGAGTATGAACGACAGGCTGTTCCCTCAAGACAGCTCCATTATCTGGAGGCGAGTCCAGCGGACAGGAGAGGGCGCTGTTTCAGAGCTTCTTCCTCATTACTGATGTGTGCAGCCCTCAGAGGATGCCCATCTCAGCCATCTACTCACGACCTTGGCTGACAGCCCCTGGCATGACCGCTGGTGAGCCAGCCAACTGGGAATTTGAGGGAGCCTCACAACTCAGAGACAGGCTCTTGAGAAAAGGAGGGAGCATCCAGAACCCACTTTAAAGATACACAGAGGAGCCCTGGAGGTCTGCGCCTGCTTGGCTGGTGGCTCCGCTCTGAGGATCTGGGCCCATTCACTGCACTGACCACCTGCTCATCTACCGTTTGTGCCTACAGGCTAAAGGCTTAAGCAAGCTCCCAGTTGCACTCAGGCCTGGACAGGATTTCAGGAATGAGTGGCCCAGCGGGCATTTATTCCTATGCCCTGATCCAAACCTCCAGATGCCACCATTTGTTTAAATCAGCAAGGGATGGGAGACAGCCTCCACATGCCAGGCCAAAGGCACCAAGGACCTAGGCCCTGCTCACACAGAGCTTAAGGTCTCACAGAAGCACATGGACCTGAAACAAATAAATACAAAACTGTAAGTGATTCTATATGCCATGAAAAAGAAGAGCCAGGTGCCAAGGGGGGGGGGGTGGTACCAGGAGATCTAAGTTTGTTGGGGCTCAGAGGAAGCATCCAGACAGCTGTGCAGCTTTGGGGTCGCGGGGCGGGGGGGATGCTGAGGCTGGGGGAGGGAGAAGCTGTGCAGGAAGAAGCAGTCACACCTGCAAAGCACACAGCTTGGGGCACCAAGCGGACCCCAAACCAAGGTGGGTAGGAAGGGAGAGAGCGAAGCGAGAGGACAGGGCCTCAGCTAGGGCCCAATCAGATTTGACTTTTTCTGGGATTTCCCCAGGCCCCAGGTCTCCAGCTACCAAACAGAGCAGCCCAAGTTCTTTCTCAGGAGCTTTGCATATTATTTGCTTACAACTTCTCTTGCTTTCTCTCTCTCTCCTTTATGTTTCTTATTGCATTTATACTCACATGTTGTGGGAGTCTTTTTTTCCTGTCTGTGTTTGTATTTCAAAGCCATCATCCTGCCCTCCCTGAGCTGCACTAGGCAAAAATATGTGTCCAGGATAGACGAAAAGACATAAGAAAGACCCTCTGAGGGGACCTAACTTGGGGTCTCCTTCCCCTGAAGACCCCACTCCCTGTCCAGTGCTGAAGGCATAACTGTTACAATAGAGAAAAGGAGGCAGTCAAGAGCTGGATCCGAGTCCAGTTGGGTGACCTTGCACAAGTTGCTCACCCCTTTGGGATTTGTTGCCTCATCTGTGAAATGAGTGGACCGCACTAGGTAACCGGTTCCCTATCTGGGATCTGCAGATAGGCTTTAGGGAATCTAAGAATCCCTAAAACTGTAGGTAAAATTTGGTAGACTTGAGTAGACATTGTTCTGGGGGAGGTTCCATAACTCTCATTCAATTCTCAAAGGCAACCAAGACCCCAAAAATGTTAGGAACACCTGCCCTGGGTGATGTCCACCAGCCCACAGCTTTCAGAAGCCTCATCCGAGGTGCTCTTACCATAAAGATGAAGAGACACAAGCTTCCGTTGCCCAAGAGAGCAGGGAGACTCTGGGAGTGTTCTAGGCAGGGAAAGGAAGGCAGGTGACAAACAGGAAGCATTGCTGTGTGCGCATTTCTGGTAAACTGCCTACATAGATTGCTGAAGGAAGGGGCCAATCTGTAGGGTGTCAGCAATTTGCTGTGATTCCCCACCCCCTCCTCCTAGGTAAATACCCACTTTTGTACTTAATTTTGTTTTCATACTTTTGTATTCTTTTTATTAAGGAGTGTCCCAAATTGTAAGTCTTTGGGCCCCACACAACATAGATACACTCCTGGGTCCTGAATATAACCAAGGCTGAGATGGCCTGATAGGCACAAGCACTGTCCGGACCTGCGGCCGTCAGGTGCCCGGCACACCCCACATAGGTGCACAGGTGCTGCTCCGACTGGGTGGCTCTCCTTGTCGCCATCCTGGTTTCTGCTTCCTTTCCTTTCCTTTTCCCCTTCCCTTCCCTTTTCTTTTTTCCTTTAATGTGGATTTCAGAAGTGGGGTGAAAATGACCTCAGTGAATAGCCCAGCTCCCTGGGACAGTGGCCTGGTATTTTTGACGTGGGAGTGGCGTCTGCTCTGACTCAACCTGGACCGGCCCAGGGACAACACCTCCTTCGGAGTAGCCGCTTTGTTTCGTTTCGAGCAGCCCAGCTGCGTTCTGCATGACCGAATTGGACACCTCTCACTTCCTCTGAGAATGGAACTTGGTGTTTAGATGACGTGCAAGCCAAGTCAGTTGTGTAAAATAGCACAACTCCACCTTTGGTCTCCCATCCCAACCCCCAAGGCCTAAAAAAAGAAAAGAAACAGAAAAAAGCAACACCTGAGAGGAACTGGGCTTCAAACAAGTAAAGACTTTTATAAGCGCAGCAAGTGCCTCCCTCTGGACTGGAGAGGGGCCGAGGGGGGCTCCCGAGACCTGTAGGAATGTCGGATCAATGCCGTCCTAGCTGTGTGACCTGGGCCAGTTTATTTAACATCTCTGAGCCCCTGGTTTTTCATCCTCACAGAGACAATGACGTTCGTGTTTCTGTGAGACATAAGCGGTGTAGCACCTGGCAGGCACTGATGAATTGTTCTCCTCCTCCCAGGAGCCCTGCTATAGGGTCGAGCTACTGAGGCACCTTCCCAGTGCTGGAAATGCTTCCTGTGGACACCTTCCCCCACCCCAAAGGAAGGATTGGGTCAATGGTCTTAAGCTCCAGCCCATGCGGGGGTGGTCAAGCCTTCAAAGTGGAGGGAAACCCAGGCTCCAGGTGAGCCCCAGGAGTCTCAGCTCCGGAATCTGGCAAGAAATACGGGGGACAGATGTTTTGGTCTCTGAGCCCATTTCCTTCCTGCTCATAGGCTCTCCTGTGACACGTCGATGAACAAATCCTCCAGGAATTATGCTCCTTTGAAGTTCTTGGCCGAGTAAAAGTAAGCAAAAATGAAAATATCTGTAAGTCACGTGAGGCGATGTCGGTTTGTATCGTCTGACTCAACAGCAGTGTTTCTGCTGGGGCACACTCACACGGGCGAAGGCGTGGGGCTGTCCTCCCACAGGCTGGTTTGCCTGAAGACAGCTGAAGATAAACAGGCAGCCTGAAGAACTAGAAGTCAGAGAGCCGGAGCCCACGCTTCCAGGCTGTGTGAATTTCAGCAAGTCACGGACGCCCTCTGGGCCTCAGTTTCCTGTTTGGGGAGGACTTTTATTCTCACCTTGGAGAGATGGCTTGAGGGTTAAGCGAACACCATCCGTCCTAGCACCTAGCACGTCACAGGTGCTCACTGCATGTCCATTGCCTCCCCTTTTTCTTTTTTCTCAGCCCCTTCTCTCTGAGAACAAAGTAGCCCATCCCCTGGGTCCCACCAGCCAGACTGAGCCACGTCCTGAGGCCTCCCTCTGCCTCACTGCCACACTTGGCGCCACAGAGGCCTGAGCCTCCTATTGCCCGAGTGCCTTGCTGCCCAGGTCAACCCTCACCATCGCTCATCCTGAGCCTTCTAATGCCCGAGTGCCTTGCTGCCCAGGTCAACCCTCACCATCGCTCATCTCTGCTCTGGACTCACAGCCACCTCCTGTCCAAATTGGTTCTCCTGCCTCCACTCTTGCCCTCTCCCAGCCACGCTCCCCGGGCCACTGCCACCTTTCTAAGCACGTGCTGGCCTTCATGGACCTCTGGGATCAGCCCCTGTGCCCCTCTCCAGCCCCCTCTCTCCCAACCTCACTCTTGGGCTCTGGTGAATCCAAACCATGTCCTGTTGCCCTCATGGGTCAGCCTCTGTCCCTCTGTTCCCCCACTCACTGTCAACAACTCAGATTTCAAGGCTTGGTTTAAGCACCACTTCCTTTTGGAGTCTTTTTTTTTACCACCATAGTGACCCCTCAGCCCTGCCACTCCTAGTTTCAGTCCCTCCTGGTCACCTGACTCCGTGTCTGTGGCACCTGGAGCACTTGGTGCTGAGAGCTAACACAGAGACAGAACAGGCTGCAGACCAGCCCTGTTCCAAATGGCTCTTTTCATGTTAACTCATTTAATCCTCACAAAATTGCCCTATGAGGTGGGTGCAGTTATCAAAATTTTTACAGGAAGCTGGGGCACAGAGAGGTTCAGTGACTTGCCAGTGACCACACAGCTACTAGGTGGCAAGACCCTTAGACCTTAGGGTGGTTTTGTGCTCCTAGGCATGATGCTATTCCACCGATTCATGGACTTTGTCTGCTTTGTCTATATGCCTGCCCCTCTCCCTTACACCATGAGCTCGCCTAGGGCCCTTCCCATTTGGGTACCTGCAGACCAAGAGTGAGGTCAGGTCCACAACAGGGGCCACTAAAAGTCCCCCAACTGAAGGATCCAGCCTCTACGTGGCTGCCCATCATAACAGGGAGGCTCCAAGAGTCTGCATTCTACCAGGAGAGACACCAGGCAGAAAGGTCAACTGAGTCCCCACCCCCACCCCAGGTGACTTCCTCAAAAGGCAGAGAAGGAGCAGGAGGGGAGCAGCTTTGCATATGGAAGAGGGGAAGCCTGTCCCTAGGTCGTTCTCGTGAAAGAACCAGAGTTCTGTCTTCAAGGGCTTCGTGCAAGGCCTGAGTGGATGAGGGTTCCCATCAGCCTCCATGCTCTACTGCCCTCTCCAGCACTCCATCTGCCAAAGATGGGCAGGAGTGCAGTTGATGCTTCTTATTACACTCTATGTTACCATCAGGTTAAGTTTGTCTTGCAAGCCTGAGGTCTGAAAGCCTGGAATGCCTTACCAGCCTGCCTGAGTAATGTCTCCCTCTAGTTTTGAAGTTTCTGCCAAGGAGGAATGTCACTGGAATGCAGCCTCTACTAACACCTGGGCAGCTGTCCCTCAGTCATGAGGCTGGCCCGGCTGGCTCATCTGGTGAATGATGTGGCTGCCAGGCGTGGGGCTGAGGGCCCCTGGTGAATTGGCCACACTCTCCCAATGGGCATGTCTCCAAGACAGGCGGCCCAGGTTAAGAACACCATCTGCAGCTAGGAACAATGATAACAACAATAGCAAGAATGAACAGCAGGTTTGCCTTGATGAAGCACATCCTATAAGTCAGGCTCTGAGCAAAGCACAACCTATGCAGGATCTAATTCAATCATCCAGGCAACCTAATAAGATATTAACATCCCCACTTTACAGATGAGAAACCGGGGGCTCGAAGATTGAGGGACTTGACCAAGGCTACACAGAGGTGGAACCTGTTCTTCTAACCACTGGGTTCCACTGCCTCATGGAAATGGAGTGAAGCTGATCCTAAGCCCACACAGTGATTTAGAGCAGCAGGTTTAATCTGTACAAATGACTGATTGTATTTGAGTGTGGTTGCCAGTAACCAGCAGAAGGATTCTCCTCCACCCGGGTTCCAGGTAGAAAACCAAATGGGGGCCGGGCGCGGTGGTTCACGCCTGTAATCCCAGCACTTTGGGAGGCCAAGGCGGGCGGATCACGAGGTCAGGAGATCGAGACCGTCCTCGCTAACACGGTGAAACCCCGTCTCTACTAAAAATACAAAAAATTAGCCGGGCGTGGTGGCAGGCTCCTGCAGTCCCAGCTACTCGGGAGGCTGAGGCAGGAGAATGGAGGGAACACGGGAAGCAGAGCTTGCAGTGAGCCAAGCCACTGCACTCCAGCCTGGGCGACAAAGTGAGACTCCATCTCAAAAAAGAAAAGAAAAGAAAAGAAAAGAAAAGAAAACCTTATGGGAAGGAATGGGCCACTCCTTGCCTGCCCCTCCCAGCCTCTCCATTCCAACCCACTTTCCTCTCCCACATTTTCTTTCTTTCTTTCTTTCTTTCTTTCTTTCTTTCTTTCTTTCTTTCTTTCTTTCTTTCTTTTCTTTTCTTTTCTTTTCTTTTCTTTTCTTTTTTTGGAGACAGTCTCGCTTTGCTGCCCAGGCTGGAGTTGAGTGGTGCGAACTTGACTCGTTGTAACCTCCACCTCCCAGGTTCAAGCTATTCTCCTGCCTCAGCCTCCCAAGTAGCTGGGACTACAGGTGTGCACCACAATGCCTGGCTAATTTTGTATTTTTAGTGGAGATGGAGTTTCACCATGTTGGCCAGGCTGTTCTCCAACTCCTGACCTCAGGTGATCTGCCCACCTCGGCCTCCCAAAGTGTTGGCATCACAGGCATGAGCAACCTCGCCCAGCCCCCTCTCCCACATTTTCAAACCACCCTCCCACCATCCTCTGATGTCTACAAGAAAAAAGGAGAGAGATTTTTTAGCATGATATCAGTTTCTATCCATCATTCACTGAATTCTCATTCCAGCCCTTGGAGGTTGGGTGTCATTTTTACCATTTTACAGATGGAGAAGCTGAGGCTCTGAGAAGGCAAGCAACTTGTTCAAGATCACCTCATTGGCAGAACTGGGCTTGATACAAAGCTAAACCTGAAGCAGAGCCTGTACTTGGTCTGCCACACTGCAAAAAAATGGGAGAAACCCTCCTCAGTATTGGAAACGACTTCAGAACCTTGGAGAGCAAGGCTGAGCTTGACTGGGAAAGAAGGGATAGTTTGGAAGAAGAGATGTGTCCTCTTCTGTCAGAGCTCAGCCCCAACCTGCCCTGGTAAGGTCATGCCCCTGCCATGGTCAGCCCCCTGCTAAGGAGAAATAGGATGCTGGCCCTCCAGTAGACAAGTGTCTGTGGGGTGAGTCACCCATTATCCCCCTCCCGTGTGACACACTTAGTACAAGGCATTGGGAAGTATCAGACCAAGAGAATAGACTTCAAGATGCCACGTGCCCACAGGCCTGGGAATGCTTGGCTTCCTGTGACCTTGGATTGCACACGCATTCAAGAGGCTCCCAAGAAGCTTACCCAGCCAGAGGTTCCCACGCCAAGGAGTTGGGCTGGACTCTGTGACCTCTCTTTGCCTTGCCTGGGGCCACCCAGATCATTAGACCATAGGCACTAATGCACCTGCCTGCTGCCTCTTACTGTAGAAAAAGAGATGAGTAGAGGCAAGTGGATTCCTTGGCGCTTGGGAAGCTTCAAGGTGGTGCACATAGTCTTGGAGCCAGGTAACCCTGGGTTAAATCCCAGTGCCTCCTCTAATTAGTCAGACAACCCTGCACAAGTTAGGTTACCTTGCTAAGCCTCAGTGTTCACATTTGTAAAAAAAGTGCCAATCATGCTTTTCCACAGTTTGGATTGAATCAGAAAACTTAAATAACCATCTATCCCCAAAACAGCTGACACATAATAAGGGATATTTAAGTTAAAACTTTTCATTTTTATTAAAATATTAAACATCTTCAAAATTCACATAGAAAGAAGAGCACTAGAATAATTGCAAATGATGGAGCAACCAAAGCCACCAATGATTGAAATGTTCTCTGTGACTAAAGGATGGTTATTTATTCTGAAAGTAAGAGTACGATGATATCAGGAGAGGAAAGGGGGTGGAGCTCATCTTAAGTGCTGTGCTTGCACTGTAGTGTGTGTGTGAGAGAGAGAGTGCATGTGTATGTGTGTTTGTGTGTATGTGTATGTGAGTAAGAGACAGAGAGAGAAGGGTGGGGGGACACACTTTCAACAGACTAAAATCTAATCCCTACCCTCAGGAATTTACACATAACTGGAATATTTTTAAAAGTGTCAAAATTGACATCTGTGAGCTACAAAGTGCTACAGGAATATAAAGGCAGGAGAGTTCGCTTCCAGCGCAGCTGGGGTTCTGAGTGGTATGTGACACTTCCTGGAGGAATGCTATTTGAGGTAACTGAAGCGAGGGTGAGATTTCAACAGGTACTAATGGGGATAGGGTGGAAAAGAGAATTGTTGAGAAAAGCCACGAAACAGAGAAAGCAGGGTGTGCCCTGTGAATCTGAGGTAATATGAAAAAAATACCAAATACCAAAATATTCTTACCCTTGGATGGTGGGATGATACCTGATTGATTTTAGTGTGTGTGTCTTTCTGAATTTTCTATTCTTTAAAATGAGTTTGGGCCTGTAATCCCAGCACTTTGGGAGGCCGTGGTGGGCGGATCACGAGGTCAGGAGATTAAGACCATCCTCGCTAACACGGTGAAACCCCGTCCCTATGAAAAACGCAAAAAAATTAGCCAGCCGTGGTGGCGGGCGCCTGTAGTCGCAGCTACTCGGGAGGCTGAGGCAGAAGAATGGCGTGAACCCGGGAGGCAGAGCTTGCAGTGAGCAGATATCGCGCCACTGCACTCCAGCCTGGGCGACAGAGCGAGACTCCATCTCAAAAAAAAAAAAAAATGAGTTGGGTAATTTGTATACTCAAGAAAAAAAATCATATTTTTAAAACCAACATCAGTAACAAAATCAGCAAAAAAAAAAATAGTGCTTTTGTGACTGAAGGTAAGAAAGCAAGAATGTTTAAAATTCTAGAGAATACTGGCAGTAGAGAAGGGGGCTTGTGTCTAACTGGGCTCTCTACCGCAGCACTGTTGAGATTTTGGACTGGATCATTCTCTGTTGTGGGAGCTGCCCTGTGTATTGTAGTATTCTAGTCTCTGCTAGATGCCAGTGGAATTTTTCCCCTTCTCTCCTCGGCCACCCCAACTATGACAACCAAATATGTCCCCTAAGGGATGAAATTGCCCTGGGGTGGATAGAACTACTATTCTAAACCCTGGAATATTTGATGTGAAGGAAAAGTCACCCCTACATACTTCTCTGCATGCACAGAGAGTGTAATCCCGTCACTGTGCCTTGGCTCTCTTAAAAAGTTTCCCTCTTTCATCCAATCCCACCCAAATCCAGGAGGTAGAAGGTCTGAATGCTGGGTCCCAAGTCTTAACACTAGTTAGCTACATGATCTTGGGTTAGTTGAATGGCCACTCTGGGCCTGCTTACTTATCTATAAAAATGACAGGTAGATGAGAAGTGCTCAAAGATTCTGTGAATCCGTGTGTCAATGCCAACCCCTTATTTTGTACAGGAAGAAAATGACATTTGGAAATGTGTAGTTTTGCCCAAGGTTACACACCTCACCAATGGCAGCACCACGACTAAAACCCAGCACCAAGACTAAATGCCATGACTTTTGATTTCTACTTGTGCCCCTCCACCCCACACTCTTTGTCACCTGTCTCCTTAGAAGCATGGCTTCCTTGTGTCAAAAAGGAAGAAAACAAGAGTGACTGGGCCAGGCCACTTACATGCGCTATTTGGTGAGCAAGACAACAGAGAAACCTCCTCTATGTAAATAATAACAGGGACACCGACATGACTTTCCGAATGAGCCAAAGCAGCTCGAAGAAACAAAGGGCTAACTGGCTCTTTCAAGACAGTGGAGAATCTGAGGGTGATGAGTTTTGTGGTATTCAATGGCAGGCTGCTGTGACAGAGGGCTGCAAATGCCACTCCGGGGACACGTTAATGAAGGCTCTGCATGCACAACACGAGAGGCAATTATTCTGTTCTCCCTGGCACTGGGTCCTCCTGGCAGGAGAGCTGCCGCCGACGCAGCTGGAAAGAGTTCAGTGCAAAGTTCACAGAGACAGCCAGATGGAGAATGAACAAGACTTGCCGTGTGGCTCAGCCAATGCCAAACAGACCAACCGCTCATCTGCAGGCCTTCCCCTGATCCTCGGGAACATATGCAGGAAGGGCATGGTGGGCGGAAGAGGTGGAGACTTCCGCTGGCAGATGCGAGAGGCATCTGGGGTGCTTCCGGCCTGCGTGTAGGCTGCCATCTCTGAAGCTCCCCGGGCTTAGGGCTGCCTTCCCTTCTGGCCAGGTGTTGTCAACATAGGATGCGAGGAGTCATCCCAAGACAAAACATGGCCAGACAGGTGAGCCAGAAAAAAGAGGCAGTGAATGCACATCAGTTTGTGGATGATTTTCCTGGCGCCCATTTCGTAGGCCGACCCGGCCTCTTTCTCTCAGGTTCACGCAGGGGAAAGGCTCTTCGAGGTGCTGGAAAGAAGACTTTGTCTCCTTCCTTTTCGGCTTGGACCAGCCCTATTAGTGGAGTTTTCTAGGCAAATCTGGTCCCCACCCCACCCCCCACAAATCAGGTGAAGTCAGGTTAAAAATAATATTGAAGGCTGCCGTGAGTGCCAGTTGAGTCACAGCCCTGAGGGTGTGTGGGTTGCAAGTAAGTGGGTCCCACACGTTTCCCAGGGAGATGATGGGGCAGAAACAGGTTGTGGAGTCTGCAGAGGGGTAAAATGAACCCCAGATCTTAGCAGCAGCCTGCCCCCACCCCCACCTGCTGGCATTTCCAGGCCAGAAGGGACTGTTCTGTCTCACTGTTTCTCAAAGGCCACCTGCTGCTGCCTCAGTGAGTCAGAAGGGCCTGTGTGGCTTGTCGTGGATCACTTGGAACCTGGCCACATGCCTCCCTTTTCTATTTCTGTGCCTCAGAAGATGGCAGTACCACCCAACACCCCACCCAGAAAATCGCTGCCACTAGCTCTAGTGAAGCCTCATCTCAGGGCTAGTTACCTAGTAAGAAGAGCAGTGCTGAGAATTCCGGCAGGTAGAGATGAGGTCTGCAGCAAGGGGAAAGAGAGGAGACTTCTGAGGGCAGCTGCTCAATGGAGGAATTAGGGAGGGTTGGAAGCAGAGTTATCCTCAGGATGAGTTAGCGACAGTCCTGGCAATAGGAACATTGTCCCTGTGAGGACTCTTGTGTGGGCCTGGACAGCTCAGGCCTGGGGCTGGGTAGCTCACTGGTTAGGCCTCAGCTAATGCAGGCAGAGTGTGAGGACAGCCGCCAGGCACTGGGGCAGCTTTCCAAGGGATGCTCTTTTAACGGAAGTAATTCCAAATCCTTAGTGCATCATGCAGTACCGTATGCTGTTTGGGGCCTTCTCACCTGATGCTCCCTCCCCGCCTACCCCCCACGCAATGTCCCCTTCTCCCAACTTAGTGGACAGTACAGCACAGTGTGAGGGATTTCAAACATTCCGTGCATCAGAACCATCTGGAAAGATTGCCAATGGCAGCCTCCTGGCCCCATTCCCTGATGTTCTGATTCCGTAAGCCCAGCCAGGATGCTGCGTTTTTATCAAGCATTATGGGGAGATCCTCAGCATGTGGTTCCTGGACTCTGCTATGAGAATGCTGGTTTCATGGCTAAGAGCTTAGACTCTGAAGTCAGACCAGAATTCAGATCCCAGTTCTGCTGCTTACCAGCTATAGAACCTCTAAGCTTCGGTTTCCTCATCTGTAAAATGGGAATGGTGAATTACTTTCCTCATGCTATGAGGATTAAATGAGATGATATATGTAAAGACCCAACAGACTGCCTGAGAGGCAATGAGCACTTAATAATGTTATTATTGCTAGTGGAATTCCTGCTGTTGCGTGTTCCCGACACACACATAGATGCTCAATGTGTGATGACATGTTTGTGGCTGACTCAAAACTGTCCTGTTCTTTATGGGAAATGATGCAGGGGCTTTAGAGGTGAGCTGCTTTCTCTTTGGAGAGCTGGGCCTCTTAGCCACCCCAAGGGAGAATCTTCTTTTTTCACCCCAAGGATGAATTAGAATCCTGTGTTTGGCATTTCATCATGCAGTAAGACATGAAAGACCCTCTTCTTGCACCCTTCACCCAGCAGGAACTGGGTGTTGAAAAAGTCTTTTTGACAGCTTGGTATCTTTTTTAACTTTCACAAGAAAACAGAAGTCTGCTTGTGAATAGTATCACCGTTGAACTCAGAGCCTGAAGGAATAGGAGTGGGCTGGGCAGAGCCTGGACTAAAGCCAGGAACCTTCCGTGAGGAAGATGAAGCTCTTGGCATGGGGCTGTTGGCATCCAAGGCCTCCCCAAGCCCTGGCATCTTAGGCCTGGGCTGCCCTGAGACAAAGGGAACCACTAGGGCCTAGCCTGGGTCTAGCCTGGCTAGACTTTTTTCTTGCTGTTCTCACACCTCCGTCTCCTCCTCAGCTTCCCAGGACCCGGCTGGGAGGTGGAGCGTGGCAGATGACCCAGGGCTGCCAAGGCTGGTGGCTCTAGAAGGGACTATTCATCCAAGGATTAGGGCATCAGGAAAGGCCACAGGACAGGGCAGAAGCTAAAGCAACCCAGGAAGGTGGGTTACCTTACAGAGGCCACTAACAATTACTGTTTGACAGCCAGACCCTGCCAAGTTTTCTCAAAAGCCTCCTTCACATTTCTCCTGAGGGTCTATCCAGTAGAGTCTAAGCTATAAGACCTGGATATAGTTACAGAAGATGATGACCCCATGGCTTAAAAGCACCTGCCCCATCTGACGCCTGGAATTCTACCATTGGAGCACTTTGGCCCTCACAGACTTTGAACCCCATTTAACTCCACACATCCTTGGACGAGGTAACATTAAACTCTTAACGCAGTGCATGTTGACACCATGCCAGCAAATGAGAAGCACTTAATATTTTGTAGCTTATAACAGAAGCAGTAAGTAATTAGTAGTTATCATAATCATCGTGAACACTTTAGAATTACTGAACTTCCAGTTTTTTGCAAATAAATTTTTTTGAAAAAAGGCAAAAGAAGAGAGCATTGAGTTTCTGCAGGAGAGAAGGAAGGAACTCACTAAAACCAGCTACAGAGCCCTATAAATTATGTAGCCTTGGGCAAGTCAGCCAAACCATCTGTACCTCAGCATCCCTTTTGGTACAGTGGTGACGGTGATTCTCTAGCTCCTAAGACTTTAAGATAAAATGAGGTAATAGCTTTCTGTGGGTTTTGGAATCATATTTGCCCTGTACATAACTGCAGAGGAGTGTGACTTACAACAACTTCTGTTAGTATCAACACACCAATTCTGCCATTGGTGCCATAGCTGTGAACACAGAGGATATGCTGTCTGTGAAGACCAACTGACCAGCAGCTACACATGGCAGTGGGCAAGGAGGCCCTGTCCAGATTCTGCACCCTGATTACAACTCCTCACCAATGGCTGAGGTCACACTTCACCTGCCAAGTTGCAAGAGAAACCACCAACAGAAGCCTGGGCAGTTTGGTTGGTGGTTCAGAGCACAGGCTCTGGGGGCAAAAAGTTTTGGGGGTCAGGTCTCACCTCCACTACTTACTAGTGGTGTGGCTTTTAGCAAGTTCTTTTTATCTCTAGCGTCAGTTTCTTCTTCTGTAGAATAGGCTAACTGGGCTGTTCTGTGACGGGAATCAACTGAGAGTCTGCATGGAATGTACTTAGCTCAGAGCTGACTTAGTGAGGAGGAAAAATTATAATCCTCATTGCTGCCTGATTTGCCTCCCTTCTCTTGGTCTCCAGTTCAACATTCATTCAGCATATTTTAAATTATACTTCTCTATGGGGAGAAAGAGGAGACCACTCTTGAAAGACATTCAAGAAAAGCAACTGGGTTTTTCTGCATTTCGTGGAGCATACTGATAAGCCCCCGAGGGAGGAAACAGCTCAGGGATGCTCCTTGGGCTGACAGTTGTCATGGAGGAAGCGATGAAGGTGTTTCTCCTTGAAGAAAAGTTGCAGTTGGTGTTTTTCTTTCTTGTTCCCTCTGTGTCTCAGGGAAATGGTGTGAAGCAGTTCCCTGGGAGAATCCAGGGGCTGTGTTATTGCTATCAGTCCACAGGGCTGAGCGTTCTTCCCGACCCTGGGCTGACTCACGTCCACAGGGCAGGCGCTGTCCCCTGGAGATAGCTGCCCTTTCAGAAAAAAGCCCCTGCTGGTGTGGGGAGAAGCATAAGTGGTGTGAAGGGGAAATAGAAACTCACTTGACTTTTACCTAGAAACTCCCTGTTTAGTGTGTGATTCATTATTAAATCCCTCTTTCCTCTCTAGGCTGCAAGCTCTTCAAGGGTCATCTGGTTCACTTCTGTACCCTTAGTGCCTAGGACAGTTGGTGCTCATGTAAATATATCCAGAAAACAAAAATGGATGGATCAATAGACAGGTGGCTGGATGAAGGATTATGATGGCACCCTTGCCCTTGACTGGCCCTCAGGCCAGTTGAAAGGTCAAGATACACCCAACATAGTTTGCAGGTGCAGAAAACAATCTTTATTTAGGCATCAAATTGAAGGTGTAATCTGTGGAGTCCAAATCATTTGGGAAGCCAGTGAGAATAAGCCTCACAGGCCTTCAGCTATAGGAAGTGTAATTAACTATGGGCCTCACCTGCTGTGTTCTGAAATCCATCGATGCTGAGGCCACATTTCCCATAGGCTGCTCCCAGCCAGTGACTGAGCATAGCAGGGTTACTCGGGCAGGCCCCTTCCTGGGAGACAACCAACTCCTCTGACAGCTGGCCTTGCCTGAGGACTCCTCAACAGCTTTGCCAAAGCTTCTTTAAACTGCATGACGGTCTAGGATGCTTTCACCCAACCTTTTCTTCCTCTGTTCTTCACTTGGAGTCAGACTTTTGTGGAGGCCTGATGGCTCCCATTCTTTTTGGTTCCCTCTCCTTTTTTTTTTTTCCCCCTCACATAGACATTTCCCCTAGTAAAATCCTTGCATATTTATTCCTGTCTTTGTGACTGCTTCTCAGAGGACTTGGACTATCACACCTTCAGAAGTTTAAAATGACCACTGTGGCCTAGGGGAGTCAGAGCAGGTTTAATAAAGGAGAAGGCATTCCATGGACTTTCCTAGTAGGGTGCAGATTCCTAGTTAGGGTAGTGGAGGCACAGGTTAGACTGTGGATTCTATGAAATAAGAGGCTGTCTGCATTGTTCATTGTAAATCTTTTGCACCAAACACAGTACCAAGCACATAATGGTCTCTCACGGCATACTTGTTGAATAAATGAATAAACAAAGACTCCTTTTCCCACCTCTATAGCATCAGAATGCTTTCACCTTGCCTGTGTTCCATAAGCCATCACACTTGGCTGTTACTGAAAGAATTACTCATTTATCTCTGCCCCTAGGCTGTTTGCCTCTTTTTTTTTTTTTTTTTTTTTTTTTTTTTTTTGGAGACGGAGTCTTGCTCAGTCACCCAGGCTGGAGTGCAGTGGCGCCATCTCGGCTCACTGCAAGCTCCGCCTCCCGGGTTCACGCCATTCTCCTGCTTCAGCCTCCCGAATGGCTGGGACTACAGGCGTCGGCCACCACACCCGGGTAATTTTTTTTGTATTTTTTTTAGTAGAGATGGGGTTTCACCATGTTAGCCAGGATGGTCTCGATCTCCTGACCTCATGATCCACCTGTCTTGGCCTCCCAGAGTGCTGGGATTACAGGTGCGAGCCACCGTGCCCAGCCGGCTGTTTGCCTCTCAAAGGCAAAGAGATCACATTCTGAAGACTCAGAGGCCTGGCTTATATGTAGTGTCCAAAGAAGAAACTAATAGACTGAACAACGATGGCCGAGGGAGAAGGTGGTCATGAGGATTGGTTATGACATCTGAGAAGTGGCTCATAGTTAGGGGTGAGGGTGGTATTCCTGGTTGCTGGTCGGGGCACCTCACTTTGCCTCTGTGTAAAATGCTGCGCTTCTTCCAGCTGCATCCTGGCACCACAGCCAGCTCCTTTCTTTCCAGCTAACATTCTGTGGTCTCATGAGGACCTTCTATCTGAGGGGATCTTATTTTTTTCAAAATCCCACCATATACATGATTTTGTGGGAACTGCACAGCTCACGGCATGGAGAGGTTAGCTATTCCCAGTTTCACAGATGCAGTAACAACTGTGGTTTTAGACTGCCCTCAGCCACCAGCACAGCACTTCTGCTGGTAATGACACCGCAGTTTTGCTTTAAGGAACACCCTGCCTCCATTGGATTATCTTGTAGGACTGTCCAGCAAGCGGTCCAACACTTTCCTGGACAAAGGTGGTCCTGTGACTTGAGTAAGACCCATTAGACACTTGTCCTAGAATTTGAATCTTGCGCAGATAGT